>NC_000014.9:97111713-98361713 GCF_000001405.40 Homo sapiens
AGATTCATGAATGATATTATCTTTGGAGAAAATGTTTTTAATATTGTATTTTAAAAAGGATGCTTTCCTCCATCTGAGTTTGGGGAAAGCCTCAAACCCAGGTCAGTGTTTCTCAGAGAATCTACCTAGATCAGGATCCCCTGACGTGTAGGGGGTGGAGGATAGGTGGGAGTGTGGTGATTGTTAGAAATCCAGATTACAGGGTGCACCTGAGACCTACTGAATCAGAGATTACAGGGGATGGGGCCAGGGCCTCTGTCCTGATGATGGCAAGTTTTCCTGATGATGCTTATGTACCTTTAAGTTTGAGAATCTCTCATCTGGGCTTTTTGAGAGCACCATTCCTCACCTGGTGGCAGGTGCCTAATAATGAGAGAAAAATAAAAAGTGTCACAGCCCTGAGCCCAGCATGCAGCATCTATCTTGGGACTCCAGACAGGGGATCCCAAGAACTCTCTGCTCCTCTTCTGCATCTAAACATGGAGGGGCTCTCTGGAAAGTTCTGCCTCAGGACTGTAGGTTGTACCCTTGGAAATAGGTCTTGTTCTCATCCCTTCTGCTCATTTTTTTTTCCTTTAGAGCTGGGATTTTGCTATGTTGTCCAGGCTGGACTTGAACTCCTCAGTTCAAGCAGTCTTCCTGTCTCAGCCTTCTGAGTAGCCAGGACTGCAAGACTGAGCCTCCTGCCTCAGCCCTCTGAGTAGTTAGGGCTGCATGCCACCATGCCCAGCTGCTCCTGCTCATATTAACAGCTCCTTCCTGCCTGAGACCCCAGACAGCCTGAGTCTTCTGTGGGTCTTCAGGGGCCCAGATAGGAAGGACCCCAAGAGGAAATGCAGGAAAGACAAGGTAGGCTAAAGTGCAGCTTGCCTCTGGCCTGGGGCCTCTAGATAAAATACAGAATGTCCAGTAAAATTTGAATTTCAGATAAACAAGAAATAATGCTTAGGTAGACATATGTTGTAAGTTTTTGTTTGGTTTGTTGTGTTTTTTGATAGTGACAGGCTCTCACTCTGTTGCCCAGGCTGGAGTGCAGTGGTGCGATCATGGCTCACTCCAGCACCCGGGATCCCGAGATCCTCTCACCCCAGTCTCCCAAGTAGCTGAGACTACAGACACATGACACCATGCCCAGCTAATTTTTAATTTACTTTTTAGTAGAGATGGGGGTCTCCCTATGTTGCCCAGGCTGGTTTCAAACTTCTGGGCTCAAGCGGTCCTCCCACCTCAGCCTCCCAAAGTTGTATGGGACATACTAAAAGATTATTTGTTGTGGATCCCAAATTCAATGTAACTGAGCATCCTGTATTTATACTCCATCCAGCAATCCTATATCCTGATACTTCTGCAGATGAAGTGAGCCCTGAAAAAGCCCCAGACTTAAGTCTCCACTGTCACAACCCTGCGAAAACAGCCACCCAGGCGCTTGCTGTAGAGCAATTAGCTGATGCCAAGTCCATGAACACTTGGGGGCGAGGAGTGCAGGTCTCATGTTTTCCAAACAAAGTCTGGTTTCTAATTTTGGTCATAGTGTAGGTTTCTAAGATCTGAAGATCTTTGAATGATTGTGACATAAACTGTTTTTATAGTGTTTTTTTTCCCCCTTTCTTTCAATGACAGTCTCAACCTTCACTAATAAAAGGCTAATTCGTGATTGATTACTTTTCCCTCTGGTGGCGATGCAGGCATCTTAAGGGCTAAAGTTGGTCAGAGCCATGTTTTGAGCTCCAGCCAACTCTTCAATTAGAAGGTGGAAATAAGTGAGCTATTACACGAGAGTAATATCTCCTTCCTTTTGTTTGGTCATTTATCTCATCTCTCAAGAAGATGACATTTGGCACTGCTGAAAAGACCCGACCTGCACTTACTCATACCATTCCTTTGTCCCAGATCCGTTTTGATTGCATAATGTCCCAGCCATCTTGAAAAGTTCCCTGGAAGCTCAGCTCCACTTACAAAACTTGGAGGGGAAGGAGTGAAATGGGGAAAACCGTCAGAACGGTAATAATAATAACAATCTCAGGACAAAGATAGACCAAGGTAGCAGCCAAGGTATTATAATCCAAACAGTGTTATGGATAATTTTCTCCTTGTAACCCGAGGACAAAAAACTTTATTACTCTTTAAACTTCAATATTGCACCAATTAAATTTCAGCTTAGGAATCCGAGCTTCTGGTCTATGTTCCATTAAAAAAAAAAATGTAGCCTTTCTTATGGTCCCTGAAGAATCATAGGAATAACTTTTTATTCTTCCTAATCGCTCTTATTTTTAGCAATTAAGGAGGAGAGAAAAATATTAACTGCAGATGCTAACTCATGTGTTCTTGATGTGGTGACGAACACATCTTAAACAATACTATTTTCTTACAAAAAGTAGGAATGACAGCAAACTGATAGACTTTTCTTTTTCTTCTTGTCGCATTTAACTTTTCTACCTCACAGCTCAGATAGCTTTTTTTAATCAAAGCAGGTAATGGAAGAACAGTCTGTACCCTCAGACGCAATCGTATTTAATCATATTTAATATCCTTATTTCTCAGCTGATCAAACTTAAAAAATTTGAATGCTTTGGTTTGATTTAGGACTCTGTGGAAGTCTAACTAATAAAGAAGTACATTCCTTTGTTGAGAAAGGAGTGTGCTGGCGAGAGGCCTGGCTGGGGGTCTGGATTCGGAGTAGGGACCAGTCAGGGCTCTGCTAGGGTTTTGCAAAGTAGACCTGGTACAAGTTCCCCCGTGCCTCTGTTTTCTCATCCATCAAATGGGTGTGTTTGTGTAGATGCCTACTTACATTTCATGATCCTTTGAATCTGTGAGGACTCGTGTGTTGCCCTAACAGCCATCATGCAGGGTGCAAACGGCATCTCTCTTTGGATTCCCTGTGCCTTGCACAGTGCCTGCTCATGGCAGCCTCACCATAAATGTATGTGGGCTGGGGACTGGACTGAATGTTAGACAGCCACTGAAAATGTTGAGGATGATTACCTTGTTGAACAATAAACAAATTAATAGAATGTTGGGTAAAAAATTGACCACGATAAATGTTTTAAGCCATGATGACAGCCGGTTTAAGTGTTTCTTCTTTCAACCCCATTGTGTGCCTGGTGGGCACTAAGTGCAGGAGATGTCTGATGAGTGCACATGGCCCTGCCCTCCAGCAGCCAGCAGAAAGGTGGGGAAGGCAGGGAAAGGGGCAGGTGTAACAGCAGGGCTTGCGAGAGGCTGGGGGAATCAAAGCAGGGCCCTGAAACTGACGGGGAGGGGCAGAAAAAATTGCTGCTGCGGAAGACCTTCACATGGCCCCCTGAAGAAAGAGCAGTTTCACTGGGAGTGGGAGGAAACTGCAGTTCCCACGTGGAGGGAACAGAACATGGAAAAGACAAAAGAAAGCAGGAAAAAATAAAAATTGCTCTTGTGATGGGGGAGAAAATGCCAAGAGAAAAAGAAGTTTCCTGAAGAGTCTAGAAAGTTCTGTCCTGATGGTGGGGGAGCAGCAGCCCTGACTAAGGTTTCAATGGGGAAGCTGAGGCTCCTGAGTGCATCTCCATTCCCACTTCCTGGGCTGCCTGTGGGGTGGTTCATGCCTGGGTAGGGTTGCCTGTCTATCCTTTGCAGGGACTGGATGCCTGAGGAAGTTCTGTGGGTGTGGACTGGAGAGGAGTCGATTCCTTTGAAACCAGACCTGGTCAATTGCAGCAATTTGTTTATCTGTCTTGTAGCTTCACACTTGTCCTCCTGTTATTATGTGTTTGTCTTCTTTTAAAAATGGTTTTCTAACTCTCCCTCCAAAAAGGAAGCCTAGCAAAATGGGTTTTGGAGTCAGACAGTCCTTGATCAAACAGATGCCCCATCACTTATTAGTTTTATGACCTTGGACAACTGACTCTGTCTGGATAATCCTTTTACTCATTGGCAAAAAAGAATGAGATTACCCAACATATGAAGCACTTGTGAGGATTAAATGAAAAAAAAAAATACAGGCTCACTGTCCATTAGTTTCTTTCTCCCTGTTTCCCCTCCTCGAGGGCAGAGATTATTTGTGTAGACCCCTTTATCTCCAGGCCAGTACAATGGGGGGTGTATCAGGCACCCATCAAGTCGTTTGAATGAGTAAATGAGGGCTGAAGAAGAGAAAGAGGGGTCTCGTGCCTTTATTAAGTCATTCTGCAATCAAGTATTTACTGATCACCGGCTACAGGCTAGGGTGTCAGAGAAAGACACACAGCCCCTGTCTGCAAAAGACTTAATACCCTGTCCACCACATACTTCAAGGGAAGAAGGCAAGTCTAAGGACTGAGATGAGGGCTATGTAGATTCCACGCCATAATCTACTCCATGCCAGGCCCTGTGCTGAAAGCTGGGAAGGAGTCTGTCCTGATCCTTCTAAGGCTTCCTGGAGCACTTGAAGCAAACGCTAAGGCTTCCTAAGTGTTGAAGGATGCATAGGAGTTCATCACTCAATTAATCAGCAAATGTCTTTGGGTGCACCTTCTAGTTGCCATGCCCCATTTTCTGGGTGGGAGTTTCCAAAGGCATGAGCTCTGGCTGTTCTCAGGGAGCTTCCTGGGTAGATGACACAAGCACCTGTCAAAAGAACTATAAATACCAGGTGGTGTGGGCAAGAGATGTCAGGAGAAGGCACATGCAGCAGAAATAATTGTTCTCGGTTGGGATAAACCAGGAGGGCTTCCCAGGGGAGGTGACATGTGAGGGAGATCAGAATGGAGGCGTCCCAGGACATAACTTTTCTAACTAACTTAGCTAGAGTGGGGACCACAGGGGATCCAGAGTATGTTATTGTCTCACTTTGCTGATTTTTCTCATCTCAGTAAATGCAGAGGACAGTTGCAGAGCCATGACACCCTGTTGACTTGGGAGGTAAGTCTCATTTCCTCTGAGCTTGGGGGCATTCCCATTGACCACTTAACTGTCTGCCTTTGTAAAATATGTATGGGTGGAGGATGTTGTCTCCAAAACCCTAGGATTGCACGGATGGGGAGGCACTGAGCTAGTGGGAATAATATTCTGGATGTGTTGGCTGATTCATCACTTACACAGAGTCAAGGAAACCCCCAGGCCTGGGCGGCAAATGATGTGTATTAGGAGCTAAAGCAGGACATGACCAGGTACTCATTTCCCCTTCTGCCTCCCCTAAGAAGCCCACTCTTAAGAATTAAACCATGAGCCTGCCGTAAAGTAAACCTAGGGAAACTCAAAAATGGAGAGTGGATTGCAAACATGATCTCAGGTTAATGTTCCAGGGAGTTCAGTTAGTTATGACAAAAATGAGAGATGGGAAAACGTTAGCCTAAGATTTGGAGTTCAAAGCCCAACATGGCCGCCATGTGACCTCGGGCAAGTTGTCAATCTCTCTGGCCCTCTATTTCCCCATCCATAAAATGGAAGCAATATCATGGATTCGTGAGTTTGTTGTGATATATTATTATCATGACATAGATGAATAAATAGATGAGTGTGTAGGTAATAATGATGAAAGCTAAAATTAATGGACTGCTGCCCCTAAGCCAGATGCTGTGAGAATATCCAATTTCTCATTTAATTCTCAAAACCTCCCTTGGAAGTTGCTATGGACTGCCATCTTTTACTTTGCCCTCATCTTATCGGGTGGCCCAGGAAGGACGGTTGCTGCTGTTGTTCTACCTGCATTCTTGTCTGTTCCTCCTACCTAGAGCCAGAGCAGCTTCAGAGCCAGCTGCCCTGCTCCTTCTTGGTGTCCTCTGGTGCATGATAGGCGCTGAGTGGGAGTCCAGTGACCAAATTAAAAATCGGATGTGGATGCTGATTCTCAGGGGACAGAGAGAAAAGCTGCCTAGCCACAGTGGAATGAGGTGTCTTTCCCCGCAGTGGGGAAGAAATTGCTGGAAGGCACTGATCTCAGAATCTCCCTCGCTGGGCAGCATTTGTTTACCAGGAGTGATTATTTGTGTCAGTCCTTGGACTCCTTCATGTTGAGTTCTGACGGTGCCACTTCCCAGCCCTGTACCCATTGTCAAGGCATGCATCTTACCTTGAGTTTCTCTAGAGTCAGACCTGAGACAAGGGTTTGGGGGATTGAGGAGCACACGCAGTGTAGTAAGGAAGTGAGACAGGCGAGAAGGTGCATGGCCTCAACAGCTACCCCCAGGGGTGCCAGGAGTGTGAGCCACGTGCCTTAGAATGATCCCACCTGATAAGGGACGAGCTGGGGGTGGGTCATTGTCGAGGCTGCTTGAAGGAGGGGGTGAGGTTTAGTTCCAGCCCATGCCTCCTGGATGTGTGGTCATGTGAGCTTGGAGGCAGTCCCCAACAGAGAGCTGCACGCAGTGGCTCCTGGACGTCTACCTTGAATCCCATCCTGAAGCTGAATGGCTGGAGGATGTGCAGGTGAAGAGGATCTGCATCTGCTTCATCACGTAGCCTGTCTAGCCTCAGTTTCCTCTTCTTCCAAATGGGCTGGTAATCCTTGTCTGGCCATCTTTTCAATGATCATTTGGTTCTGCAAACTTCCTTTGAGCACCCACTGAGAGTCAGACAACAGGGACGTTACAAAATCATGTCTGCTCTCAAGGAGATGTGAGTGTGTGGGGCGGAGTGAAGGAGTGGTGTCAACTCAGGATGTGTTTCCTACTCAGAAATTCTGTGTTTTTTCCCCCCTGAGAGATGAAGGTGACCTTGCAGCCCCAGCAACCAGATACCGGACTCCCAGGCTCCCAAAGGGACATTGTCCATAGGAGCTTAAAAAGTGAAGTCATCAGTTTCCTAGCTTCAAAATTCAAAAGCCTCATTCCAGGCACAGATGGGCTGGAAGAAGTTACACTCAGAGCCCAGGTAAAGATCCTCAGAGCTGGGGAGCTGGGGAGAGGGGCATAAGAAAGTTAGACATTGGGGCATTTTTCAGAAGGGTTGCACACTGCTCTTTTGCTCAGGCCATGGCTGGGGTGGGTGAAAACTAATAGATCCTTGGTCAACATGGGAAACTGAGGCAAGAGAGTGCCCATGCCTCACTTTCTAGCTGGCATCCTTGGAGGTGTTTCTGCTCCCAGCCTTGTAGTGATGGTGGGGTTTTGTCCTGCACAGGCTGTGTAGGCTTCCTTTATGGAGAGTGGTTTGCTCATGTAAATGGGCTGGGTGGGTACAGAGAGGATCTGACACCAATACTTTGGGTTTCCTGTGGCCCAGAGAGGAGTGGGAGGCCAACTCTTACACCTGAGGGAGGGCACATACCGACCAAGCCAGAGATTGCATTTCCTAGCTTCCCTTGTAGCTAGGTAGGGTCATGTAACAAGGTATATTAGTTTACCATTGCTGCTGCAACAAATTTCTATAGACTTAGCCACCTAAAGCAACACAATTTTACCTTCTTATGGTTTCAGAGGCCAGAATTCTGATACAAGTCTCACTGTGCTAAGATCAAGGTGTTGGCAGGGCCAGTGTTCCTTCTGGTGGTTCCAGAGTTGCATCCATTCTCTTAACCCTTCTGGCTCTTAAGGAGGCATGCAGTCCCTGGCTCATGGCCCTTTCTTCCATCTTCAAAGCTCACATCTCTCTCTCTTCTGATCCTTTTTCTGTCATGACATGCCTTTCTGACTGACTATAGCCAGGAAACCTTCTCCGTGTTTAAGGATTCACACAAACACATTGAGCCCTCCTGGGTAATCTAAGATCATCCCCTTATCTCAAGGTTCTTAACCTTAAACATCTTTGCAAAGTCTCTTATGCCAAGTAAGGCAACATATTCAAGGTTTTGAAGATTAAGTCAAGGACGTCTTTGGGAGCCACTATTCTACCCATTGTCTCAAGGAAAATGGGATATGAAAACAGTGGTGTGTGCAACTCTCGTTTCTTGTACTTAACAATGAAGCTTCTTCTCCCACCCTGTATGTGTCTCTCACCCTCCAAAGTCTGCAATTTCAAACCTACGGCAGAAGAATTGCACTTGACCATGTGATGACAACAATTGAGCCACCCAGCTTAGAGCCAGAGATGGGGAGCCTCACATCGAGGATGGCAGAGACATCTCACCAGCTTGGGCACTCCAGGGAGAGATGCAGAGCTCCCTCCTGCTCTGGACTGCGATGTGTGAGAGAAATAAACCTCCCTCTTATTTAAGGAAATATTGTGGGAACTCAATGTCGTAAGAGCCTATACCTCTATAGCCTCTACTGAAGCTGTGCTTTTACTAATATAGACCCCAAATAGAGATTCAGTTGAGTTACAAAAATATAAATAAATTGATAATTTCTTGCTCCCTTGAATACATGCTGGCTTTGGGAAATGCTGACTGCTGTATAGACAGACGGCGACACTAAGTAGATGACAGGCCAGGGAGGGGTGGAAGAACAGGGAGACCTCGCCTGACTCGGCAGCAATAGGAAGAATAAAAGACTTCCCAGGTGAATAAGTCTCATGAGATCCGACGGCTTTGAGAATGGGAGTCTCCCTGCACAAACTCTCTTCTCTTGTCTGCTACCACATGAGACGTACCTTTCACCTTCTGCCATGATTGTGAGGCCTCCCCAGCCACGCAGCACTGTAAGTTCATTAAAACTCTTTCTTTTGTACATTGCCCAGTCTTGGATATGTCTTTATCAGCAGTGTGAAAACAGACTAATACACCAGGGGAGGGTATTTTCTGGAAGGACAGTGACTGCTCTAGTTCCCTCCTCTAAAAAGTGAACCCTGCCCCAAGCCAATGCTGTCTGCGAAGGACTGTGGCTCTCACTTTCTCTAAGTTCATTTTTGCTCTGCCTTCAGGCCTAGCCTCCTTACATCCATGGTGGCGTTGCTTTGGCACTAAAATTGCACTCACCTTGGGCTTGCAGACACAGGTCAATTTTGAGGGGCCAGGTAAAATATATATCCAGGGGAGGAGGTTAGAAGAGGTTACCCAAGGCGCTGAGCCTCTTCAAGAGCTCAGGTTTCTGGCTTCAGAGTCTCAATGTGGGGCCTGACTCATAGACCCACAGGGCCCCCTTCCTGGAGATTCCCCACATCACGTATGTGGTTAGTGAACTTGAGGTATTCGTTGGCACACCAGCAATGATGGGGAACTCTGTGTTTTGTTCACTGATCCATTTCATGCCACTCTAACATTTTTAAAAAGGGGAGCAGGTGGTGCTGAGGAGTCTCAGAGGCCAAGAACCAAGGCCAGGGGCAGCTGAAGCCTGAATCAGAGAGATCTGCTGACAATCTGTATCAGTGACACTTCCATCAGGCAAACTAAAGTAACTCTGAGTATCTCAAGGAGGAAGAGACAACACAGGAAGTAGAGGCTTTGAAATGATTTGAAGACCTGGGGTTGCAAGGTCAGGGAAGCCACGGCTACAAACAGCTTAGGAACTCAGGAGCTACAGAAATTGCAGGGACAGTTTCCAGCAATCTCAGATCCTGCAGCACTGAAATCAGCAGTTCATGGGGGGCTGCCCAGAGACCCATCAGTGCTAAAGCCTTATGCCAGCTGCCTGCAAAAGTACTGGCTCCTCATGGCCCTTCAGGGGTAATAATGACTCTTCCTTCTTTCCCGTCTTCCAGATCTTGCATGAGCACCTCTCATTGAAGAACCTACTGTGTAACCCCGCTGGTCACAGAGGCTGAGAAATGCAGCATCCACATTTCCAGTCTCTGCAGTAGAGGAGATGGTACAGAAAAGAGCAAGAGATTGTCTAGCACACATTGTCTACTCTGGATGCCACATTGACATTTCTCCCAGCGTTTTCATATAAAATTAGTTGAGCTGACTTAGAAATGACCACACTGGTGAGTTTCAATGTAAGTTGCACATACATAAATATGAGATTAACCCAAGTGTCATGTCATCCCTTATCTTCTCAATGAAAAGATCTCCCACAAAGTGTTGCTGACTACTTAAAAAATCAACTTGGAATAATCAATTTATTAATTTACTAACATATAATTAAGATTTCATACAACATAAAATAGTAATTTTAAAAAGATTATTTTTCCTCTCTTAACATTTCATGGGGGTTTGCATATTAGTTACACATAATATATATGTGCATATTTACATGTTACTTGAAGCTTACATAATCTACCTTGACACCAGTAAGCATGATTGTCTGAGTTGTTTGAGCAACAGCACCCTTCAAATCTATGTTCCTCTGGAGGCTATGTCCCAAGCCACAGGTGCTCACTCACATAACAGTGCGACCATTTGCAAATTTTCTCCTGTAAGTGCGTATTTCTGATCTGTGCTGTTCTTTTGGCATAGTTGTTAAAATGATGCTCAGCACTTACAGTTGTACACTCATGCCCATAGAAGGGATGACTATACCCCTGTGACCTCTGTAAGCATCCCAAATTAGCCTTAGATGAGGTCACTTCAGGTTATTGCATCTGTCCCAGACCTAACTTTCTCTTGTATTTGGGCTTGCACAGAATACAAAGGCAATAAACACATAGCTCCTTTGTGTTTGTATATGTGTGTGTGTGTGTGTGTGTGTTTGTGTAATGTTTTAAAAAGTTCTTTTATGGGCCTCATTCATTCATTCATTCATTCACTCTTATTTATTCATTTACTCACTTATGGCATTTCCACTCTTAAACCCTTGAGTGGCTTTCTACTGCCCTTAGAATAAAGCCAAGCTCTGTTCCAAGACCTGCAGAGCTCAGCCTCACCTGAACCCATCTCCAGTCTTGCTTTCCCTTCCCTCTCCGTTCCCAGTGTGCCACCTGCACAGCTTTCTGCCTTGGTCATGCCTGCTCAGTCTGCCGTGGGGGCAGTGGCACCTGCTCTTCCCTCTGCCTGAAGTGCTCATCCCTGGGTCTCTGCCTGGCCAGACTCCTCTCTTCCTTCAGGTCTGTACTCAGCAAGGACTTCTGTGCCGCCCCTCTTGAAAGAAGTGTCTCCCCAGCTCCATTACTCCTTTTGGGGGTCATCCTATTTGATGTTCTTCACAATGCTTCTTCCAATCTGACAGTGTCTGCTTCAGTTGTCTGTTGACTTGCCTATGGTCTGGACCCTCCCAGTAACATGAGCCCTGATGAGGAGGGAACTCTGGAGAAGGAAATGGACTCTCTGGAGCTCCTTGAGGACATGAGCTGGCTGTCTTTGTGACACCAGTCCTAGCAGAGCCTGTGCTCATCATCTGGTGCATGCATTTATGGTGCAAGGATTCAGTGTTATTGGCCTCAGTGTACAGCAGAGAAAAGGGAATCTCAGAGAGGTCAAGCAACACACCCAAGCCCACACAGCTGATGAACAATGGAGGTGGGAGTGAGCGACAGGGCACTCGGAGCACGCACTTAAGCACGTGCTGCTCTGTCCTCCTCACCTCCCCATCGACCTGCATGCATTGACATGCTTTACACCTGAAAAAATGACTTACACTAGAAAAATGGAAGTTTCAAGAGTCTAATCTTTTCTGATCCCCCCAATGACATTAGCTTAGGAAAATCTCGCCTGGGCCTCATGTAACTTGATGGAGAAAGGTAATGAGACAGCACAGGGTCCCTTGTCAAGAGAAGCGGCGAAGAGACTTCATTTGTTCGAGTCTTGGGTGTAATGATTGAGCTAGAGAATCCATTTCAGCTGGGAAAGGTGGGTGCTGATGAAGTTATGGGCCGGCTGCACCTTTTAAAATGAAATATTTAAATAAGTGGAACCTCGTGCGGATGATGTATGAAGCTCTCCCGAGATGTAAATCACACGATTCCTAAACGTCCTTTAACAAAGTCAATTATGTTACATAAACTTAACAGAGACAAAGATCCCTTATCCTCAGAATCGTCCATTTCTCTGCAGTAGTTCTGTCAAGATAAGGACCTCAACAGAAGCAGAATATTATTTAAAACCTCTCGACATTGTTCTATAAATTGGATGAAATAAAAAAATTTAAACAAAAACACATACTTTATTAATGTTATTGGCGAGAAGCGGCACTCCGGCAAGCACATCACAGGAAACATCTTCCGTGTTCCTGAAATCATCTCTATTAGATTATGTAGGTATGATCTATGAAAATACTTCCAAACTTAATCTGTCGAGAATTCAGAGAGTGTGTAAGCAAATACTTAGATTTGCATTAGATTCTTGACTTTGAAATCCATTACCGTAAGTTACTTACTGACTTTGAGGAGCAAGCTTTACCATAGGAGGAAGATGGGAGGGGCCGCATTCCTGTTTCGAGGGGGATGGCCTGCTGGATATTTTTTTTAAGACCATTTAAATCTCTTGCGAAGGTCAATTCCACCTTTTCCCTTACAGAATTAGTACCAGGCAAGGGAGGCAAGCCTGTGTCATAACTGATTTCAGCCCCATGGCTCTCTGGGATCGTTTTGGCAATTTTTAGAATATATGCCTTATTATTATTTTTTTGTTTCATTGTGCTGTTAAAAGATGAAAATTGAATTTGCATTTTACTGCTCCTTTTTGAACCACTCCGCTTGCGATATCTGGCATGTGTATATTTTTAAAAAGTCAAATGTAGATTAAAAACCAAGAAAACAGAAGTCTGATAACTTCTTAATGATATAGGACGCGTCTTTATTTGTGGGGGGTGCACAGACTATTTTTATTTATATTCTGCTTTCTTAATTCGATGACTAGATACTTTAAATAAGACAAGTCCTCTGTGGCAGGGTCAGCAAACTTTTTCTCTACAAGGCCAAATACCAAATACTTTAGGCTTTGCGGGTCACAGGATCTCTGGCGCCCACCTAAACTCTGCCAGTGTAGCATGAAAGCAGCTGTAGAAAATATAGTCATGAAAAGGCGTGACTGTGTTCTAATCAAATTTCAGGCCAGGAGCGGTGGCTCACGCCTGTAATCCCAGCACTTTGGAAGGCCAAGGCAGGCAGATCACCTGAGGTCAGGAGTTCAAGACCAGCCTGGCCAACATGGTGAAACCCCATGTCTACTAAAATTACAAAAATTAGCCAGGTGTGGTGGCGGGCATCTGTAATTCCAGCTACTCGGGAGGCTGAGGCTGGAGAATTGCTTGAACCCGGGAGGCAAGGTTGCAGTGAGTTGAGATTGTGCCATTGCACTCGAGCCTGGGTGACAAGAGTGAAACCCTGTCTCAAAACAAACACACACACACACACACACACACACACAAACAAATTTCATTGATGCACACTGAAATTAGAATTTCATGTAATTTTCAGGTGTCATGAAATACTATTCTTTTGATTTTTTTTTCAACCGTTCAAACATGTAGAAGTCATTCCTAGGTCTCAGCCCATACAGAAACAATAGTAGACTGGATTTGGCCTGTGGGCTGTAGTTTTCTGACCCCTGCTCTATATAAATAGCCACAAACATTGCTTTTCTTTAAACATTGAACGTTAAGATGGAGCTCTTAAATAATTCTGTTTCAACGTAAAAGTGGAGGAGAATCTTTGCAAGTAAAGGTTGGACATTAGGAAACTAGTCTGACGCAAATACAAATGGAGCTCATCAAATATTTACTGCATACCTCCTGTGTGCCCAGTGCTATACTTGGGGGTTGGGGTGTGCCATGGTGCTGCAGAATTGCTTAGAATCTTAACTGTCAAAATCAGGAAGGGACTTGCAGAATCATTGTTGTCATTCACTTGGAAGAACTTTTGTAACCATGTTAAAGTGATGCAAGGATGTCTATTTTTTTTCTTAATGTGATGGTCTACCACTTTCTGTATCCTGGCCCCTAGAAGGGAAAACGGAAACTGCCCCTGAGAAATTCAGGCCTCTGTCAGTTTTGGACTTGAGCATAGGCTTGGCCATTCCCAAGTCACCCACGATGAGGGGTTACCTGGAAGGCCTGAAGATTCACTCCTGACAAATAACTCAGTTGACCTGGCAACTTATATTCATTTAAGTGGACATGTGTCCACTTAAATTCATTTAAACGACCCTCTAACAAGAAAGTGTGTCGTTTACACCAATAATTACCATCACTCAAAAGAGGCCATGCCTAGAACCAAAGCCTAGAATAGTACCCCGAGATGGTCCATTTCACCATATTCCAAAGACTTGAGTCAGTTTCAGGCTCCATGGGGACTTATTTGGGCTGAAATGGGCGTGCTCATCTGTCACTTTGGGACAATAATTCATCAGATCACTCATTAAGAGCCCTGGAGATGTTCCCATGTTTTGACTGTAATTAAATTTCTAGGTATCTTTTCTACCTAGAGAATTATAGTCAAAAGTTATAGTTTATTTTTTAAAACAGTAATATTTATAATATTAACATTTGAAAGCCAAATACATTTTCAATAATAGCTGAAGATGGTAAATTATAATATACCCATAGTTTAGGGCCTACTAACTTCTTTTAGAGAAAGATTTTTGTTTCAAAAAAATAGTTGTGGATAAAATCAAGACCCTCAGTCATGTTAAATTGTCCCAACCACAGATACATAAAAGACAGATGGAAATTTTTGACATTGGCACTGGCTTTTTTTTCTGACAGGTGAAATCATGAACTGTGTATTGAGTTTCCGGCCCTTTGGAAAAATGAAATGCCAAAACAAGCCTTTCTTGGGGTTTGTGCTTTGTTTTGAAGCAGTTCTTGGTGATGCTTAACAGAGTGCCTGGCTGGAACACAGAAGACACTCAATTAATGATTTTAAGCCAGTGAATAATGAATGAAAGCCACGAAGCCAGCCTAGCGAAGCCTCGGAGGATTCCTTCCCGATGGCATGATGGTTAGATGGTCCAGGCCTGGAGCTTACCTGGACCTCCTTACCTGGGTGTCTTAGATAATTAAGGAATTTCCCCAAGCCTCAGTTTTTAAGTTCCTTCATAAACAGGGATAGCACCTCCTTCCCAGGTGAGGTGGAGATGAAATGAAATGATGCAGGGGTATACTTGGCCCAGGTTTGCATTTAATGAGCTCCTAATAAGTGTTACTATTAATCAATGTATTATTATGAAAGACATTTGCTCACTTAAAAATCAGTAAGAACACTCAGCTGAGCAAAATAATTTCTTCATAATCACAATGTCTAATTGTTTATAGCATATTTTATGTTTCAGCATTTTAACAGTTACAGGTTCTTTGGCATCATCATTCAGTATTTCTTATTAATTAAATTAGTTATAACTTCAAAATTAATAATGTCTTCGGGTTACCAGCTTACGTTTTTAAATTCCATAATGTACACGCTGGTTTGTATTTTATCTATTTCTGAGCTTTAAAGTGTGTGTGTGTGTGTGTTTGTGGGTGTGTGTTGTATGCAGTGTTTTTACCTTAAGGTCCAAGAATTTCTTTTATGTCTAATCTGGGTCAGTTTGTGAGGCAGGGAAACAGTATTTAAAATCCTATTCATGAAAGAATTGAATGTTTTCAGATATTTTAGCAGCATGCATAGCAATGGCTGCTTGTGTTACGTGTTTTACCATTAATTTCTGGCGACTCACCCACACTGAGGGCTCTCGGACACCTTCGAGCTGAGAGGGGTGGACGTCACCAGTCCCTGCCTCATCTGACTGGGCCCGGCCCCTGGAGGAAATCCCAGGCATCCTGGGGTGGTTCAGAAATGGGCAGGCTTGGCAGGGCGTGGTGGTTCACGCCTATAATCCCAGCACTTTGGGAGGCTGAGATGGGCAGATCACTTCAGGTCAGGAGTTCAAGACCAGCCTGGCCAACGTGGCAAAACCTCATCTCTACTAAAAATACAAAAATTAGCTGGGCATGGTGGCACATACCTGTAATCTCAGCTACTTGGGAGGCTGAGGCAGGAGAATCGTTTGAACCCAGGAGGCGGAGGTTGCACTGAGCCGAGATCATGCCACTGCACTCTAGCCTGGGCAACAGAATGAGACTGTGAAAAGAAAAAGAAAGAAAGAGAGAAAGAAAGAGAGAGAGGAAGGAAGGAAGGAAGGAAGAGGAAGGAAAGAAGGAAAGAAAAGAAATGGGCAGGCGTGAGTCAACTTGGGTCAAGGAAACCAGAGGCACTTGCCCAGTTCTTTTGGGAAATAAACTTCCTCATTCTCAGAAGGGAGCTACGGGAAGCTAGTTCTTCTCTTTTGCTCCAGATGTGAATGTGGACGCATGCTGCTCCCATCCAGTGATCTGCCTCTATGGATATTAAAAGACTTGGCTGAGAGGAGCAAAGCTAAGAGACCATTGGGAGAAAGAGGGAACTGAAGTCTGGCAACCAATGGCCTTCTTCATTGGTTAGCCAGCTACAGGCCTATTTTTGTTCCTTGCAGCCCAAAACACTCGAATTGATTCACTCATCCTTGACAAGCCACCTGGCAAAATAGGACAATCGTACCAATGTCACAAGTGAGGCATGAGGATGAAATGCTGGGATGGTGCAGGGCCAAGTGTCGCACAGAGAGCTTGGGGGTCTCTTGTTCCATTTCACACTCTCCTTGACCCATTCACACTTTAGAGTAAAACTGAGCTTGATTTTCAATAGATGGAGATATTCGTTATAAAATGATTCACAGAGGGACATCTGGGTTTCTGACGACATTAAACTGTAAATATTTCATGTGTTTTGTGTACCTATTTCTTATATTTTTCATAAAGATTAAACATTATTTTCTGTCTTTTTATAAAATAACAATTGTAGTTTTATTCTGATTCTTTTGGTCACCAGTGAGCCAAATGTAAATTCCATGGAAATAAAAACCATACAAAATTTTTAAATCCAATTTGCTTGTTTTAAAATATGACGTTATGATGTTAAAATGTCACTGGTGGGTATATTGTCACTGATAGATATATTGACCCTGGTCCTGTGTATGTGTGAGCGTGTGTACATTTCAAAAGGAATTCTTGCAGACAGGGAGGGGAGGGGGAGGGGGGAGAGAGAGAGACAGAGAGAGAGAGAGAGAACGAATATTCCAGGGTATCCAAGGAGCAGCAAGTCTCCCTCCAAACCCCAGCTATGAGTCTCTCAGATACAGATCTATTTTAGAATTTCAATGACTGTCCCACTTAATGAATTAGGGAGTTCTTTATAGAGATGCACTGTTTTTGAAAGCATCAGAAGGTCACTGTTATATTAAGTTCTCAAATCTGACTTTTAAAGATTTCTGATGTTATGTAGGTCAGAAGTAGACCTTTATCAGACTACTTCTGCTTCAGGAGGGTCAGGACAAGAAACAGAACAATGGCAAAACATGGGGTCCCTGACATTCTCCCTTGAACTCTTTCTAAGCACGAGGGACTACATCTCTAAGTGACTGGACTGAGCTTCCTCCTTAGAGACAGTCTCTGCGGAAATGTGCCTTCTCAAAACCCTTCTGTTGCCATTCAAGGCCCTACCTGTCTAAGCCTTGCCTGTCTTTCCAAGTAGCCCTCTACTCTCATAAACCCTGCTCTGCCAAATCAGGATGCTCTTACCACTCCCCAACACTGTCTACCCAGTCCAGGCCTAGCACGGTTCTCCCAGCTTCCTGGAGCTCAGCTGTCATAAAGGTGCTCACCTCTCACAGAGGTGCCACCAAGGGCATGAGGCCTTGTCTTTTAAAGGGTCCTCATGGCTCCATCTTTAGTCCATGTATATTAGTCTGTTCTCACACTGCTCTAAAGAAATACCCAAGACTGGGTAATTTATAAAGGAAAGAGGTTTAATTGACTCACCATTCTGCATGGCTGGGGATGCCACAGGAAACTTACAATCATGGCGGAAGGGGAAGCAGGCACGTATTATATGGTGGCAGGAGAGAGAGAGCACTTGAAGGGGGAAGAGCCCTTTATAAAGCCATCAGATCTCATGAGAACTCGCTCACTATCACAAGAACAGCATGGGGGAAACTGCCCCCATGATCCATCCCCTCCACCAGGTCCCTCCCTCCGCATGTGCAGATTACAGCTGGTGATGAGATTTGGGTGGGGACACAGAGCCAAACCACGTCACCATGGATGCTGTCATTTTACCCCATTAGCCCTGCACGAGGCATGGTGGCCAGACCAGGGGGGGAAGCTGGTCAAAAACAAATAGCAGAGGTCTTGGAGAGAGGGGATATTGGGGCTGGATTCTAGTCTGGCCACCTATGGCTAGTGTGGCCCTGGGTGAGTCAGTGCTGTAGACATCTGCTGGTACCTCCTTAAAATAATTCCCCTTTTCTGGGGCACAGTCCCCCCTCCTCTGACAACTGCCAATCTCTAAGTTGAGGGATCGCCTTAGTCCATGGTCCCAGCATGATGCTCCTCTGAAATAGATCCTGTGTGATTTCTGAATCCACATGAAAAGGATCACAATCAAAGAAATGAGCAACCTGAGCAACTAGAGTAATGAAATGACTCTAACCTTGAACTTGAATGTCTTGAAAGACATTGAAAGTGACCCAATTCATACTCCCCCAATAGCTCTCACATTCCATTTTCTCTCCTCCCTAATTTCATCATACCCCGTGCCTCTTTGGAGCACTCTTTGCCAAGCCAACTCAGCACAGGGGAGACCAACATGGCTCTCCCAGCCCATGAGGCTTGCTTTGGCCTCTCTCTCTCTTGCCCTCTGCCTCTCCATCTCAACTCATCTTTTTCTCATTATACAACACTCTCCTATAGTTCATTATAAAGCCCCTCATTCTTCATTCACTATAAAGATCTCTCCCAAGGCCGTCTCCTGTTGTCCTCAGCTTCTCTGGGCCTTCCTTAGGCCACTCTCTGTTTTTTCATCCCTGAAGCCCAGACCCCACCTACCAGAAAGACACTTTAGGGAGTGGGATGAAGGAGGGCCCATCAACAGGAAAAAGCAGTGTCCTTCCCACTGAGCATTCGCACTCAAACCGCCTTCCCATTGCAGGTTCATATGCGGTAAGCCGTCGCGCCTGGTACAGAGTAGACGCCCACTGTTAGCATCTCTCCCAAAAACCCTCTTAAATCCAGGTGGTGTCCAAAATGGGAAAAGCAGCAGTGTTTATAGAGAATGATGACTTTTGAGGCTGGGGAATGAGAACACAGCTGCCAATCCACCATGCTGGCCTAGAAACAGAACATGGAAATGTAGGTCAAAGTGACCAGAACAGAGCATTTTCACTGGCTTCTGGGAGTTAAGCTTTGGCCTCAAGTCTTATCCTCATTCGATGTGGCAAATGTTTCAGAGAGAAGTCCTGAGCTACTGTGGGGTGTGGCCGCTGCTAGATTTTCAGGGACCACTCACGTCTGTTGTGTGGAAAGTCCCCGGTGGGTGTAAAGTTCAGAGCCAGTTGAACTGAAGTATGTTGAGATCCAAAGGGCAGGAGCCTCTGCATCAGGAGCCCAGGCCGGGTGCAGACTCTGTCACCTGTGTGAAATCCCATCCCAACATTAAGCCCCATTTTTCTCATGTGTTAAAAGGGAGAAGGGAGGAAGACCAGTGGCTCCCAGAACATCACCAACTCCACATCAATCTCACCACCTTCACTTTTAAGCAGAGCACCTGGCACAGAGGATGCTCTTACAAGATATCCGTCGAATGCTTGGAGTGGTACTTATTTCACTTCCCTGAAACTTAAACTGTGGCTTAGCAGGACTTTTAAAAAAAATCACCTCTATGGCTGTTCACAGAAGATATGATTTCCACATCAGTTACACCAGAAGGCGAAGCCAGATTATCTGTGGTTACCTTGGACATCCACTTTCCTGTCCCTCCGGACATGACAGCAGCAATCCATTCCCTGTCTGACCAGATCACTAGGAAACGCCATTCATAATCTTCCCCTCTATTGATTCTGGTCAGTGGGTATTGGCAGCTTAAAAAGATTATGTTTTAATTGGGGACCAGATAGATGGCGTTTTAAGGTTTTGAGTTTCACTTCATGCCGTGCTATGGATTATTTGAGAGGTTGTTCAACACAAGGAGGACAAAGATTAATGTGTTGTCCTTTTCTTTGAGTGACCCTGGGTGCAAATGTAGCTTGGGCTAAAGTGACTGAAAATCTTTTTCTATCACAGGGCTGAAAAGGTTGACTGTGAATTCATTAGTGTTATCTTTGTTTAGGGCATAAAGTCTACACATTAACTGGCTTAAGTAGAACACACATTTTCTCCAGGCTCAGCAAGCCTCAAGTGGCTGGGGAAAAGTGGGGGCCTCCAAGCTGGGTCAGGGTGAACAGTTTAGGAGCCAACAACCCAGGACTCTTAGAAGCTGCTGTTTCCCTGATTTTGTAGAGAAGAGAATCATAATACTAGTAGTTAGCTGGGGACAAGATGGGTGGGAAGATTAGATGGTGTCTCTGCAAAGGGCTTGTAAACTGGGAACTCTGGAATAAAAACATAACAGCGAGTAGTTGTGAAGTATTCATGAGGGGCCGAGCGCTTTTGTACATGATCTCTTATGTAATTGCAGCAAGTGGAAGCCCTTGCATTGTGATGTCTCTTCTAGAGATGCGGACACTGGAGCCAGAGGCCAAGCCATTTACCCAAGGCCAAGCTGCTTTGCCAAGGCCATGGAGATAGTGGTGGCTGGATAACCACCAAGCCTGGTCTCTGCCTCCAGCTGGGGTCTTGCCCTCGTCTACTTTATACTTTATAAGTGCAACCACTATGGCCTGGGTGGTCAATCACACACCAACTGATATGATCACCATGGTCTGAATTCTCCCAGGGGACCAGCCTTCTGGTCTTAGCACCCTTCCCTGCACCCTCACACAGGGTCTGATGGCTCCACTTCCTGTTTATCAGGGAACCTCAGTGAGCTCAAGGACTGTCCTTATTCAGCTTACTCTGTGCCAGAGGCCCGTGGTCACCAAACCTCTCTAATGAAGAAGCTGAGGAAGAAGCTGACCTCAATTACATGTCGTGAACAGCCACCATCTTGTTTTGTTCTCTCATCTCTCCCTGCTGTGCCCTCAGTGTAAAGTGAGTGTGCACTCACTCATAAGGCAGTGGTGTGGTCATGGCCATCGTCATCATCGTACTGGCTTGCCAGGGCTGCTATCACCAAGTCCTGCTCATTGGGTGGCCTAAACAACAGACATTTGTTGCCTCACAGTTCCGGAGGTGAGAAATCTGAAATAAAGGGGTGGCAAGGCAGGGTTGTTTGTTTTTTCTGAGAGCACTGAGGGAGAATCTGTTCCAGGCCTCACTCCTGGCTTCTGGTGGTTGCTTTGGCATTCCTTGGTGTATTAGTCTCTTTTCACGATGCTAATAAAGACATACCTGAGACTGGGTAATTTATAAAGAAAAAGAAGTTTAACGGACTCGCAGTTCCATGTGGCTGCGGAGGCCTCACAATCATGGTGGAAGGCGAAAGGCACGTCTTACATGGCAGCAGGTAAGAGCAAATGAGAGCCAAGTGAAAGGGGAAACCTCTTATAAAACCATCAGATCTTGTGAGACTTATTCACTACCATGAGAACAGTATGGGGGAAACTGTCCCCATGACTCAATTTTCTCCCTTTCCACAACACATAGGAATTATGGGAGTTACCATTCAAGGTGAGATTTGGGTGGGGACACAACCAAACCATATCACTTGGTGTGTAGAAGCATCACCCCAATCTCTACTTTCACGTTCATGTGAAATTCTCCTTCTGTCTGTGTCCAAAATTTTCCCTTTTTTTTTTGAGATGGAGTTTCGTTCTTGTGGCCCAGGCTGGAGTGCAATGGTGCTATCTTGGCTCACTGCAACCTCCACCTCCCAGGTTCAAGCGATTCTTCTGCCTCAGCCTCCAGAGTAGCTGGGATTACAGGCATGCACCACCATGCCTGGCTAATTTTGAATTTTTAGTAGAGATGGGGTTTCTCCATGTTGGTCAGGCTGGTCTGAAACTCTCAACCTCAGGTGATCCCCTTGCCTCGGCCTCCCAAAGTGCTGGGATTACAGGCATGAGCCACCATGTCTGGCCTCCAAATTTTCCCTTTCATAGGGAAACCAGTCATATTGGATTGGGGCCACCCTGAAGACCTCATCTTAATTTGCAATGACCCTATTTACATATACGGTGATATTCTGAGGTAATATGTGTTAAGTGTCCAATGTATCATTTTGGTGGGACACGAGTCAACCATAGCCATCATCATCATTATTACTATTTAGCTAATAAGAAGTAAATAATATAATCACTGCATCTGTCTTAGTATGCTATAATGAATTATGGTAGACCTCGTGGCTTAAATAATATACATTTTTTTCTCACAGTTCTAGAGGCTGGGAAGTTTGAGATTAAGTTGCCAGCATGTGTGGCCATTGTCATTGTCATCATTGTGTTGATTTGCTAGGGCTGCCATAACAAAGTACTGCATGTTGGGTTGCCTCAGTTTAAGGTGAGGAGTCTCTTCCTGGATTGCAGATGCCCACCTTCTTGCTGTGTTCTCACATGGTGGAGCTCTCCCTCTTCTTATAAGGACACTAAATCCATCATGGCAGGCCCACCCCTGTGATCTTATGTAAACCTAATTACATCTCAATGTTTATACCTCCAAATATTATCATATTGGAGGGTAAGGCTTCAGCATATGAATTTTAGAGGGCACAAAAATTCAGTCCATAACAGTCTTCTCCAGAGATTTTCCTTTACCTTCCTAGAGAATCAGTTATACCAGTATGCCAAAATCAATTGTTTGGCATGGTGTGTTCAGGAAACCAGGTAAATGTTCACCCTGGTTTTCAACCTTAAACTTGGTGCAGAGCCACAGGGAGGGGCTGCCCACTTCTGTCTGACATTTAGTTTTTTCCAACTCTTGTGGGCATCTCTGAAGAGTAGAACTATCACTTTCCCACAACATTATGTTGAGATGTGGAATAAACAGAAAATGTTCTGTGATACCTTCATAGAGCAAACATCCTATGTGCAAACTCAGAATTTGTGAGTGACCTCTGCATGCAAACCCATTACCTTGACTTGCAACCATTACCATTCAGTTTATTTCCCCAAGAGGTCTTGCAAGACCTAGAGGGGCACCTGCATGGTTTGCCTTCCTCACTTCCCCGAGTTTTCTCAGTATCCAGTGAATCTTTCAAGAGCTGGGAGAATTCTCTCTGAATTCTCTCAGGGGACCAGCCTTCTGGTCTTAGTCAGCATCTGTACCCATATCCTCACATAGGGTCTGATGGCTCCAACATCCTGTTTATCAGGGAACCTCAGTGAGCTCAAGGATAAACTCAGTAAGGATACTGACCTTATCCAACTTACTCTGTGCTAGAGGCCCATGGTCACCCAACATCTTCAATGGCAACAGGAGAAGCTGAACTCAGTTACATGTTGTGAACGGTCACCATCTTGTTCTGTTCTCTCATCTCTCCCAACTGTGCCCTCAGGGTCCTCCAAGGGTCCTCTGCTTCCTCAGTTCATCCCTTGGTACACTCCTGACACAGCAGCATGCTACTTGGGCACATTGGTGTGAATCAAAAAGATCTGAGACTTGGATATCTTCTAAAATGTTCAATTGAAATGCCTTCTGTTTTGCCACTATTGAGTTTCTGTGGTGGGTAAGACCTACACAAAGATAAACGAAAAACAGGGAGACACAGAGGTCATTTTTCATAATGCAAAAAGCTAAGCATAACAAGTGATTTATTCAGGATTACCTGTAGTCATGGTTGATTTCTACCCTCTCAGAGTTTATATGACATTTATATAATGTGCATAATATAATTATATATTTACATGAATTTCTCTTGTTTGTATTCATATATTTATTGTGAGCATTGCAGTACACATTCAGTTATTTTAAAAATAACTTCATGGAAATGCTTTCTCAACAGGAGATCCTGTTAGACATTCAATATTGGAGTATTCCTGTCCTTTTTTAACTTCTAAGGGGCTGATAAAGTTCAGTCCATTTGGAAACTGTCAGAGCTGAAATGTTGCTTGGAGATTCTTCGGTGCAGACTTTTCATTTCACAGACAGAGAAAGTGAGGATACAAGAAGAGAACTGATCTACGCAAGGTATGTTGGGACTCTGGTTTCATGGTTCCCAGTTCAGCGTAGGTACGTGTATGTGCACCTCCATCCCTGACATTCATCACCAAACTCTTGCATTAACAGCAATCCCAGTCTTTGAGTCTCTGCCTAGAACTTCCATCTACCTTCAAGTTTCAGCATCAAGTACATGTTATTGAATTCCTTCCAATTTATTTAATTCAGTTTTCTGCAGTTCAACTATATCACCATCATCATCACCACCATCACCAGCATCATCACCACCACCATCACCACCATCATCACCACCACCACCATCACCACCACCACCACCACCATCACCACCACCACCACCACCACCACCATCATCATCACCACCATCATTGCCACCACCATCATCATTACCAACATCATCACCACCACCACCACCACCACCATCATCATCACCACCACCAATTACCATCATCACCACAACTCACCCACTGACTACCACCATCATTAGCACCACCATCATCATCACCACCACCATCATCATCACCATCATCATCATTACCACCACCAGCATTATCACCACTACCACCACCATCATCATCACCACCACCATCATCATCACCATCATCATCATTACCACCACCAGCATTATCACCACTACCACCACCACCATCATCATCACCGCTACCACCACCATCATCACCACCACCACCATCATCACCACCATCACCACCACCAAATCATAATCATCACCACCACCACCAGCATCATCATCATCATCACCATCACCACCACCACCAGCATCATTACCACCACCACCACCAATATCACCACCATCACCACCACCACCAGCATCATTACCACCACCACCACCAATATCACCACCATCACCATCACCATCATCATCATCACAACCACTATCACCACCACCAGCACCACCATCACCATCACCACCATCACCACCATCACCATCACCACCACCACCATCACCATCACCACCATCACCATCACCACCACCACCACCACCACCATCACCATCACCATCACCATCACCATCACCACCACCACCACTACCATCACCATCATCATCACCACCACCACCACCATCATCAAAAGGAAGTGACTAAGGGACTTTGGCACTTAACAAGCTCTGCATCCCTCTATGTCAGGAACCCATGACCGCAGCCATTTTGTCAGTATCATTCAGATCTATTTGTATTTTTATTCCTTTCTCCTGCTAGGTATTCTTTTGATATCTTTACTTTTTTGAACAAAAAAAGTTTTTTTAAAGGAAATGTGTAAATACTAAATAATACATTTTAAAAATGATATAATGGTGATGATGCCACCACCCACCATGCAGTGGTTTTCTCTTTGCTTATTCCTTTTCATGTGCATGTCTATGCCATTTTGCATTCTTCCATTTGGACAAAACATATTGCATTTTTCCATTTGGACAAAATTTCCAACGTTTGTTTTACTTGCAGTAAAATGTGCAAAACATACAATTTACCATCTTAACTGTACATTTTTATGAGTACAGTTCAGTGGCATTAAGTACATTCACATGAGTGTGCTACCAATACCACAATCCATCTACAGAACTCTTTTCATTTTGCAAAACTGAAACTCTGTACCCATTACACAACTCCCCATTCCCCTCTCCCCCAGCCTCTGGCAACTACCATTCTACTTTCTGTCCCTATGAATTCAACTACTCTAGATAACTCATATCATCTTCAAATGGAATCATCCAGTCAAGTGGAATCATCCAATACATGCTCTTTTGTGACTGGCTTATTTAACTTAGTATAATGTCCTCAAAGTTCATCAGTGTTGTAGCATGTGTCAGGATTCACCTCCTTTTTAAAGCTAAATAATATTCTATTGCATGCATATTCCACATTTTATTCATCCATTCATCTGGATCCACATTATTTTTAATGACTTCATGATACTGCCTTATGCCGTTGTATTATAATGCGCTTAGGCTGTTTTAATGATTTTTTTCCCACTTAAAGCTATGTATCTGTCTGGATTTTGTTCCTCTAAAATGGGAATCAAGCAGAGTTTGGCCATTCATACATTCATCAATCTCCGAGTGTTTACTATGTGCCAGGTGCTGTAATAAAATTGGGAGAATAGAACTGGATAAACTGTGGTTCTCACTCTTGAGGAGCCCACCGTTTAGAGGGAGCCAGAGAAATTAACTGAGCATTATAATTCAGTGCCTGGAATACAACAGGTAGTTTTCCCCATTCTCCTCCTGCTGTTAATTTTTACTTTCTTTTTGTCTTCCTGGTGGTGCTTGCATCTCCATCCAAGGCACAAACATTAGCTTGCATTTAACCAAGCACATTCACCCGATCTACTGCAAGACTCTAGAGCTGGCAACCTGTCAGGAAACCCGTTTGAACTGTGTGAAACTGTGACCCCCAACACACCTTTACAAAAAAGCACAGTCAGATCTAGACACGAATTCATCATCTGCGGAAGATCATTTCCTGCTGTCGTTATTGTCTGTAGCAGCTCCAGTGACATGTGCTGGCATGACAAGCCCCATTTAATCTCACTAATGCATCCTTTTCCACGGGCAAACTAAACCCAGACCCATTCCAAAAGAGATGAACCCAGCCATCGCTTACCATAGGAATAACATTAAATACTAATGGGGACGGAAGACCCTGGGAGTGGCTTGCTGAGTGATGGGCCTTCCTCGGAGGGAACTGCTGATGGGATTCTGCTCAGATCCAAATGAGGTGATGCTCTTGGCTCTTGAGTTAAGGTTCAGAGGTTGCAGTGGACGCTGTGCCCTTTCCAGATACCAAGAACTCTGTCTAGCAAATGTCCACAAGAGGCTGGGTTGGACTTTGGTCTACATATATTTTCTTCAACATTTCTCTTCCATTCATCCTGAAGTCAAGGACAAAACAAAGGCCTTGAAAACATCTAATGAGGACACTCTAGCAGGGAATGGAACTTTCAGTGCAAGTAGAGCATTGAGCAGAAGGTAGTTTTCTCCTTTGAGTAAACATTCTCTTATCTCTTGAGCTCTTGGCACCCGCGGCTGTAGAATGATAGTCCTTTTCGAGAAGTACCACCTTCATCAGAAGGCCAAACAGGGCAAGGCCTTGGGAAAGGAGTAGGCAGTTGGCTTTGGCGGAGAAGGGTTTTTCCTCTTTCCTCTCTCCCAGTGGAGCCTTCAAGGCTCAGAAGGCCTTTCATGGGATTTGCTGACCTCTTTCTAACCTGATGCCAGTGGGGCCAAAAGGGTGTGTGGTCCAGGACAGTTCTCCAGGTAAGAAGCCAGCTAAGCATTCAAAACTTGAAGCCCTTGCTGGCAGCAAAGAGTGTCCTCTGTTTTGTGCATTGCTCTAAAAGCAATTCAAGTTATTTACGTGTAATTTAGTGGATCTAAGTATGTTAGCAGTATTTGCAGCCTGTGCACACACCTGACCTTCTCAATAGGGCTCACAGTCTTCCTGCATGGTCTCAGACCTTCTGTCTGTCGGGCGGTATTATGAGTCGAAAGAATTGCAGAATTGGAAGGACCCCTAATGGCCTAGGTAAGGCACTGTATTCAGGAATGGGAATGGATTACCAGAAGGAAGAAAGGTAGAGCAGGAAGTCAGGGGACAGGCAAAACAAAGAGACCATAGGCTGCATGGTGCCTTAAGTGGAAATAGGAGAGAAGGAGAAAGTCTTGTGGGGAAGCTATGGGACAGCTTGAAGGTTGAGAGGGGAGTAAATAGGGAATGATGCTTTTAAAACGTTTTGCTATAGAATGTGAATTACACCTTCTTCAATGGTCTATAGGATATTTCGGAAAAGATTTTAAGAATTACTTTTGGCTGTCAAACTATTGTTTATTCAAAAGCTACTCTACGCAGAGACTGGACCTCTGGCCTGGTTATATTTGGGTTACAAATTTTTTAAGAACCAGTGTAGCCTAAAGCACAATGGTATCAATAGCTTTCTTTCCTAGTCATGTAACAGGGGCTGTTTTCTAATTCAATCCTCATAACAGCCCCCTTTGAGGTAGGTTAATATTACCCAATTTTATAGATGAAAAACCTAAGTCTCAGAGAGGGAAAGTGACTAACTCAAGGTCACACAGCTGGGAAGTGCCCATAAAGTCCTTAGCACCACAGCTGTACTCTTACCCAGGATAACTGCCATCGATAGTTGGGTGGGGTCTGTCAAAAAAAGATTTGAGGTCCTTCTCTAGGAAAAAGAACTCAAAGGAATGATGTTGAGAAAGGGTAGTAGTGGCATGAGAATCAGGGACTAAGACCTCATGTCTCTTGATTGATCCGAGCACATGATTTAGCCCCTGTCATTGTGGTCTGAGGAGCACGCCACTTTACTTTCAACCTCATGTGCCATCATTCCAAGCTGTAGGCCTTCAAGGCCCAGGGAATAAAGAGGAGAATAAGAGTGAGAAAGATGGAGGCAGAGGCAATTATCTGAAGATAATTGATTTTAATTTACACATTAACTTCTTTAGCACCGTGAAATCTTCGAAACAAAGATGCCCCTGCCAAACATTGACACAATCATCCTCATGACCACCGGCACTGCAGGCATCTCTAAGCATCTCTCAGGGGTCTTCCATTGGAATTCTGATAATGTTACCACTTCTTCACTAAAAACAACGGCCAGCAGCAATTATACCCCCTATACATTCTGTGCTTCATGCTGGTTTAACCCTTTCAATCTACAAATCGGGAATATCTTCAAGGCAAGAACGTGGTTAACCTGGTCCCACTTGTTGTTGAAGCCTCTGTGTGTGATGGCAAAGGACTTTGTAAACTCTACACCCTTAATGAAAGCTTGGAGATTGAATTATAGCTAAGAAGCCTGAGGTTCAGCAGTGACGGGGCTTGGCCAAGGCCACCCTGCATGTTACCATGGAAGTAGCTCTAGAGCTGAAATGGTAGATGTCAACATAGAAGGGGTCAAGACAATACAATATCTGTAGCAGATAAGAAAACTGTAGCCGTACTTTTTCATTTCTTTTTTCTTGCATTTCAAACTTAATTCTTATTTGGCTGCTGAATAATTTAATGCATGGGTTCTGGCATCAGAACTGGGTTATAAACTCTCAGAAGGGAGAACCACATTTCTACTCCAGTGTTCCTACAGGAGAAGTTGACAACATAATAGGAAGTCCATACCCACTTACAGAATTATATTAGTTCAGGTGTCTATTGTCTATAACATCTACAGTCAGACTGTACTGCCTCCATGAGCCACCCATGAGCTCTGTGAATGAGTTGCTTAGTCTTTCTTTTGAGATGGAGTCTCGCTCTGTCGCCCAGGCTGGAGTGCAGTGGTGCAATCTCGGCTCACTGCAAGCTCCGCCTCCCGGGTTCATGCCATTCTCCTTCCTCAGCCTCCCGAGTAGCTGGGACTACAGGCGCCCACCACCACGCCCAGCTAAGCTTTTGTATTTTTAGTAGAGACGAGGTTTCACCGCGTTAGCCAGGATGGTCTCAATCTCCTGACCTCGTGATCCACCCGCCTCGGCCTCCCAAAGTTCTGGGATTACAGGCGTGAGCCACTGCGCCCGGCTGAGTTGGTTAGTCTTTCTAAACCTCAACCTGGCCATCTGTAAAATGGGGACAACAGTATCTCCTTTACAGGGTTGTTGTAAAGATTTAATGAGGCACTCAACACATTGTCACATTCAATAAAAGTTAGTTACTAACTTTTTAATAAACATTCAATAACAGCTATTATACAATAAAGCAATCATTTAATAAAACTTAATTTCTATTATTATTGCTGGTTTTATTAATATTATGATTCCCTCAAATGATTTCTCATTTTAAAATGGGAAAATATCTAAAAATGCTATTCTATATTACTTCTCTCTCCTATTCTATTTAAAGATGATTCAGCGTCTGTATCCCTTCATCTAACTAAACTTTAAAATTGGATTTTAAACTTCAATTGCCAGTGATCTGTTATCAATCTCTTACCTGTCTTGCCTTTAGGTTAAACATGGCCCCAAATGAGCTTGTCGAAGTCTAGTTACTTTCAGATATTCAACAATTACTCTCCCATGGTGTTCTAGGCACTGGGCTGGCAAGACCTGGGCATTCAGAGATGGAGGAGAACCAACATGCAGGCAGCCATGGGCTGGAGCCAGGTAGGGTCATGGCCACCATGGTGCCAGGGATGGGGTGCACCAGCCGAGACTTTCTTGGAGAGAGACTTCCTCTTAGTCCTAAATTCTTTTTCATTCCACCCAGGCCTTATGTGTTTAAGAATGCATAACTCACCATTCCAAAGTACTGTGTCTCTTACCTATGCTGTCTCTACACTGCAGCCCCCTTCTAGCCCTAAAGGGAAGGGAGAGAGGGAAGTCTTGTGAGTAACACAGGTGATGGTGGTATGTGTGTGTGTGTGTGTCGGGGGGGGGGCGGGGGGCATTCCTCTCTCCTCCTTAATCAGGGCCAACTGGCTGACAGTGTCTCCCACAGGACACTGTGGTAAGAAAGAAACAGCAGAGAGCCTGGACAGCAGAGAGGCTGGAAAGACACCACCACCTTCTTGGGATCCTCTCTTTTCTCCAAGTGCTCATGGAAGAGAGGGAATAGGATTTATACTGATACTTTTCATAACAGAAAAAAATAACTAGCATTATTAAGCTGTCATTATGATTCAGCTACTGTGTTCTAAACACTTTACACTTGATCTCAGTTATTTCTTATAATAATTCTCTAAATTTGCTAATGTTAATTGTGCCCATTTCACAGATAAGAAAATTGAGGCTTCAAGACATCAAGTCACTTACCTGAGGTCCCACAGCTTAGAAGCAGTAGAGTTAGAATTTGGACCCCAGCGTTCTGGCTCCAGAGCCTGCAGTCCCACCTCTCCCAGGACCCTGAGGTTGGGGCTCCCTGCCTGGGGTCAGTGCAGGATTGACCTGACCACAATTGAGGTACATGCCACACGATGGTCTGCACAAGATACAACTGATTGTTTTTTTTTTTTTGAGATGGAGTCTCGTTCTGTCACTAAGGCTGGAGTGCACTGGTGCAATCTCGGCTCACTGTAACCTCTGCCCCCTGGGTTCAAGCAATTCTCCTGCCTCAGCCTCCCAAGTAGCTGGGATTACAGGTGTGTGCCACCATGTCTGGCAAATTTTTGTATTTTCATTAGAGACGGGGTTTCACTGTGTTGGGCAGGCTAGTTTTGAACTCCTGACCTTAAGTGATCTGCCCACCTCCACCTCCCAAAGTGTTGGGATTACAGGCGTAAGCCATCGCACCCGGCCACAACTGATTCTTAAAGCTCATTTGCTAGAAGGAAAGAATGCAGATGGCCTTCTTCATACATCTTATGAGAGGACTACAGAGAAGGATTTTAATTCGTTTTTGACTTTTACATAACCTAAGGGAAGGAGTGAGATCCACTGCGCACTACCCATGGTGGGCCGTGGGTGGTGAGGGGAGAAGTCTAAATCACTTGTCTGTAGATTTTCCTGCTGCCCAGGGAGTCTGGGAAGCCTTTGCAGGGGTGGCATGTGAATTTTCAACACTTTTTTACAATCACTGTGAACTATATAAGACTTAGTCTCTGCCTTTGTGAGTTTGGAAGACAGGCATTTTACAGATGTGAATTTTTATACAGAGCAGATTAAAATACAAACTACACAGAGATTACATACTAAGAGCTGTGTGGTTGCATCACACAAAAAGCATTAATTGTTTCTAGGGATGAAAATGGACAGTGCGGTCAGAAAACATTCCACAGATGATAGGACAATTGAGTTAGGGTATGAAGGGATGAATAGGAGTTTGCCAAGCAGAGAAAGGGGGAGTGTGAATACTTTTTAAACTGGCAGAATATCCTAAGCTGATGCTGCAGTGCACTCTCCAATGCACTAAGATCCTACATTGTTTTATTCTTTTTTCTGTTCCTTTAAACAAGTACTTTTATAAAACAGCCTGTGGAAGTTAAGATGAGTACTCTGAAAATCCAAAATAGTTCTCTCCTAAAGTTCTCTATTTGATCTTTGAAACAGAATCTATTTTTAGGAACGAAAAGAAGGCAATCCTAATTGATTTAGAATTTCTCAACTGCAGATCAGAATTGAAGATTAAACAATGGAAATGTAAATTTAAAAAATGTGGGCATCTTCAGCCCTGCCTTTCCCCCAAAGGCACAGCATGTGAGGGTATGTGCCCCCAGATCGAGGCCGTATCCCACGTGGGTGTTCACACTGTGCATCAAGGATGCTGTGTGCAAAAGGCAGACAGTCTTGGCTGCTGGGCATGAGAGCTGACTTGCAATGCTGCAGCTTTGACAGGGGTTTTGGAGGTTTAGAACCTTCAGTCCTGCTTATTGGAGTCCCCATGAAGTGCTAAGATGAGAGAGTTGGAAAGTAACATGGCCTCTAAGCTTGGTAACACTGGAGTAGGGGTTCACTTTCAAGACCACCCACGTCACTTTCCAGAACATTTCTTAAGCCCAGGTGAGGAGAAGCCTGGCTTCACAGTTGACACCTGTGAGTGCAACTTTTGCCACTGCTGCTTGACATAAGGAACACTGTGAACCCAGCTTCTGGCTAGATCCTACCAGTAGGACTGGGCCTGCTCCAGAACCTCTGCCTCTGTAGTTCTTCTTAGCACAGAGCGGAGGGTGCTAGGAAGGTGGTGGAAAGAGGCTTATAGCCACCTGCCTAGGTGACGATGGATTGGGCAGAGTATGGGAGGAGGGACCAGCCTGCCCTCCCACATGGATTTCCACCTCTGACTTGAAAACCAAACCTCTGGAAAAGTTCAAACCTGGGGTGGAGTCCCTGGTTGCCCCTGGTTCCTTGGCCGATCTCCAGGCCGGCCTGAAAGGTAGCTCTTGCTGAGTAAAGTTGGCATCTCCTGGTGTTTGCACTGGGACTACAAAATCCCCTTGGTGCTTGACTATCACCTAGATCCCCAGGGATCAGATGGCCTCTGCGGGAATGAGCACAAGGCCCATCTCAGCTCAGCCTGGCCTGCTGGACCTGCCACTCAGGAAGACACTGTCCTGCATCCTGGGAACCCACAAGTGGCCCTTTATCTGATCTCCCCCAAGCATGGCCCGATGATCAGGGTTACGTGGGCTTGAGATTTCCATGTGATTGGCCGGGAGATGGGGTTGCAGAATCTCCTTCCCACGGAGTGTTCCACGTGTGTGACCTTCTCTCAGCTCAGCCACTGGTCACTTCCCCATTGGTCTTCTCTGCTGAGAGAGATTTCCTGGAGCCCAGCCTGGGCTCAGGCTGGGACTGGAGAGGTACAGCCCATTCACAAAGCTAGCTCCCCAAGCTCAAACCCCAATACCAGGAGGGGTGAGGATGGCAGACTTGATGCAGGAGCAAAGTGGATGTGGAAACATCCCATGTGTCTTGTAAGTCAAATTCCCCCTGGTGCACAGAAGTAGGCATGGTTAGCCCTTCCATAAAATCTAGAATTGAGCACTGCGGTCTTCCCGTGGTTCCCAGCTCAGCCACGCTGCTCACATACCTTGCATGAGCCAGTCCCTGGTCTGACATCTTCTCTCCACCCATGTTCTCCTGTCTGTGTACTTCCAAGTAATGCACAAAACCTTTCTCCTAGAATTCTGTATGACTTCAGCCCAGAATCCCCCAGCTGAGAAATTAGTAAATTACATAACTCTCCTGTGATTCCACTTTTCTCAATGGTAAATGGAGAGAATAGTAATAATTCCTACACACTCCATGTCACTGATACGAAGTTTAATAAAGTCAGTATTCATTCAGAACTTGGACTTCTGTTTAAGGAGAATGGATTGAACATGCACATTTGGCTTATCACCTTCCTCAAATCCACCCAAAAACAGTACGTGGAGACGTGGGCATATGTAACCCCATAAGGGCACGTAAGATGTGGGGTGAGAAGAGCAACAGCCTGTGTAAGGTAGAAAGCAGACAGGGAGGGTGATGCTTTCTGCAAACCCAAGGATGCGTACCCTAAGGGAGCCTTGGGTGAGAGTGGGGTCAGCTAGAGCTGCCCATTTGCGCTGCAGGCTCTGAAGGCCCCAGGAAACAGGGGCACCGCCTCTGGATGATGATGATGCAACTGAAAATAATTGTCTGTTCAAGGATGACTTAAGAATGACTTCAGAAGCAGGTAGATCCTCTTCACGCCATCTCTGAGAAAAACCAGAGCTGAGCATCCATAGATAGAGGGGCAGAGGGGGCACTGGATGGAAAAGAGGAAGGAAGTGAAATTTTGCACAGGAAACACCAGAGCCCCAGCCTGGTCCTCCTACTGGGGCTCCAGGACTCCCTTCTGCTGGGAGTTGGGAGGATTCTTCACTGGGGCTGCTGATCGATCCCAAAGAGAACAGAAGGTGTTGATGTTGGGGCTTCTGAGAGGAGTTTGCCCAGTTGGGCTGCCCTGGAATGGAGCTTCCAGAATATTCTTGGATGCACTGCTCATCCATGTGAGCTCACAGTTGAGAGGTGCCAGGCATTTGAGGACGGAAAGCATTAGGAAAAATGGTCCACAGGGAAGGCACCTTATGTGAAAAGCAGACTCTGTCACAATCAGAATTTGTGTCCTCTGTGCCAGGCCCTTGGCCTCTGCTGGGCTGGTGCATGCCATCCCCAAGGGTGGAATGTGTCCACCAGGGAGGCAGGAAGGGCTCCCCTGAGCTTGTAGCTGTGACTACCAGGTGGCCATTCGGGACCTCTGTCCAGGAGACCAGTGCCAAGTGCTTTCTGAAAACATTGGCAGCAACAAAAATTACCCATGTGCTTCCAATTACAGAAAACCTATACAGACAATCAAAACCTCTCATAGTCCCATCACAGGTAATATTTTGGTGTAGTTCCAGTCAATCTTTTTTCTGCATCTATGCATATTTTTCTTTTAAACTCAATATGGATCATAATGTATTTACTATCATGGAAACATTCAATTAGTAATATGTCATTAATAGTTTCCAGTGCCATGAAATATCCTTCTATAATTTGATTATTTATTTATTTATTTATTTATTTATTTATTTATTTATCTTTGAGATGGAGTCTTGCTCTTTCACCCAGGCTGGAGTGCAGTGGCACAATCTCGGCTCACTGAAAGCTCCACCTCCCGGGTTCACGCCATTCTCCTGCCTCAGCCTCCCCAGTAGCTGGGACTACAGGGGCCCGCCACCATCCCCGGCTAATTTTTTGTATTTTTAGTAGAGACGGGATTTCACCGTGTTAGCCAGGATGGTCTCGATCTCCTGACCTTGTGATCTGCCTGCCTTGGCCTCCCAAAGGGCTGGGATTGCAGGCGTGAGCCACTGCGCCTGGCTGATTATTTTTTTAAATGGTGGCATGTTATTTCATCATATGAATGTGCTATAATATACTTTTATAATGCTCTTTTCAAAATTGCTTAGGTCATATAGGCTTTATGCTGGATACTTGAAAAATATAATCACAAAAAGAAAAATAAAGTTATTTTTAGTCCTGCCACCCAATGAGCATGGCAAAGATCTTGGCATAGACATGTTAAAGACGTGTAGTTTTTCAAAGATTGTAGGCTACTGTATATATTGTCTTGTAACTTGCCTTTAAACTGATATATCAGAAATCTTCCCATGAAAAGAAATTACATATACCCACAACACGGAATACTATGTAGCCATTAAAATCATTATGATTAAAATCATTATGATTTTATGATTTTTTGATTATGATTATGATAATGATTATGATTATGATTAAGTCCTTCCCACATCCCATTATGATTAAAAATCATAATGACTTTAATGGTTGCATAGTATTCCATGTTGTGGGCATATGTAATTTTTCAGCCATTGCATATATGTGTAATGAAATTGATCCCAAAATGTCACTATTGTATATCGTCATTGAATATATATCTTTGGTTACATTTTAGAATATTTCTAATAGAAGAAATAACTAGAGATCCTATTTTTTTTGTTAGGGGAAGGGTACTGTATTAGTTTTCTGTGGCTGCCATACAGTAGAAAATTTAGTGGCTTAAAACAACATCAATTTATTATGTTACAATTCGGGAGGTCCAATGTCTAAAATAGGTCTCACTGGGCTAAAGTCAAGGTGTGGCAGGCTGCGTTCGTTTTGTAGGTTCTAGGGGAGACTCTGTTTCCTTCCTTTTTCAGCTTCTAGAGGCTGCCTGCAATTCCTAGGCTCACAGCCTCTTCCTCCATCTTCAAAGTCAGCCATGGCTGGTCCAGTCCTCCCCACATCCCATCATTCTGATACTACCCTTCCGCCTCCCACTTCCACTTTTAAGAACCCTTAGGGTTATATTGGGCCCACCCAGTCAATCCAGAATAATCTTCTTATTTTAAGGTCAGCTGATTAGCAAAGTTAATTTCATCTGCTGCCTTGATTTCCTTTTGAATATAATTTAACATATTCATATTCACAGCTTCTGGAGATTAGAATGTGAGCATCTTTGAGAGGCTGTTATTCTGTCTACCACAGGTGTGGGCTTAAAAGTTAGGGTTTCAGTGAAAGTTGGCCTCCTCAATGATGTGACTATTATAGTCTCTCCTAGCAGTACATGTAATTGTCTATTCCACCTCATGATATCAACATGGAGTATTATTACTTAAAAAAAATTATGGCCAGCTGGGTGTAGTGGCTCACACCTGTAATCTCAGCACTTTGGGAGGTTGAGGTGGGAGGATTGCTTGATGCCAGAAGTTTGAGACCAGCATAGGCAACAAAGCAAGACTCTGCCTCTACAAAATAAATAAATAAATAAATAAATAAATAAATAAATAAATAAATAAATTAGCCTGGCATGATGGCTCACTCCTGTGGTCTCAGCTACTCAAGAGGCTGAGGTGGGAGGATCACTTAAGCCCAGGAGTTTCAGGCTGAAGTGAATGATGATTGTGCCACTGCACTCCAGCCTGGGTGAAAGAGTAAGACCCCCCTGTCTCTTAAAAAAAAAATTAAAATCATTGCCAATTTAAATAGCTAAAAGATTGTATCTGATTATTTTGTTAATTTTTATTTCTTTGATTACTTGTTATGTAGATTTTTTTCTAAAAGATCTTTAATCATTTAGAGTTCTCTTTTTGTAAATTGCCTGTTCATATTATTTGCTCATTTTTCTGTGGTTGGGGGGCATCATCTTCTTTATTTGTAAAAGATTTCTTCATGTTAAAGTTACTATTTATATCCATGTCAAAAATATTTTGTCCTGGTTTGAGGCTTACTGTTTAATCTTATATTTTACAGCCAGGATCTTATCTTTTCTGTGTAGATTATGTCAGTATTTTCTCTTATGGTTTCTTCCTAGGTTTTGTGGCTACTATGGTTAATAAGATTTTTCTCACCTCTAGTTAGAGAAATATTTACTAATGCTTTTCTATTTTCCATTTGAACATTTAACTCTTTAATCCATTTTGAATTTTATTTTAGTTATAGGGAGAAGTTAGTCATCTCCTCATTCTTTTCCCCATTATTTTAGTAGCTTGCACTGAGCCTCTTGATGTTACACTCTCTGGAGCACATGATTTGGGTACATAACCTTAAATTTTTGTTTTTTTTAAATCACAAAGGTGAGGCTTTTGCTGCCAAGAGCTCCTTGCCATTTTAACACAGGTGTTGCTATTTTCCCGGCATCTGGGGCCAACAAGTGCAGTTCCTACAATGGAAAACAAGTCAAAGCCTTCCACATACCACTGCATATAAGAGGAGAATAAATGCTTCGATTCCAGCACGGCAGGAGCACAGGCTGCTGGGGGACCATTAAGCTCTTTTTGGAACTTGCCAGTTGTTTATTTCCAGTGTCTGTCCTTACAGGGACAGCCAGGGGAGCCATCCTTTTCTCTGTGAACATGTGCTAGGTGTGTTCTTGGATGAGTACTTCTACCTGGAACAAACAATGGGCAGGCAGGATAATGAGAGGCCGTTTCCCGTGATCACTGCCATCTGAAAGCACCATATCAACACCGCTTTATTTCTGGATAATGCACAACAAAGGAAGGAAGGAAAGAGACCACTGTGGGCCCAGCTGCTGCCCAGCACCCCTGAGCCTGCGTGGGGAATGTTTGTTTCAGCCTGGGCTCCAACCCATCCCTAGACAAGATCCTTTTCCAATGGCTTGCACTTCTCTCTCTCATTCATTTTCTCATCCATTCTGTGTGTCTTTCTAGGCAGAGGGATATTATGGAGAGAAAATGGAGAAGATCCCTGGCTTCGTGGCACTTAGAAGAACTTAATGGAGGAAAAAGATACTAAAAAAGAGACAAGCTGGAACATAATTGCACATCGTGACAAATGCATTGAAGAATTCAAGTAGGATGTTGAGCTGCAGAATCCTGGGCTTGGAGAGAAAACTCCTTTGGGTTTCGGGTATAGGAAGGCCTCTCTCTCCAGGCATCCACCCCAGCCCAGCTGGAAGCCTCTGCATTTCTCAAGCACAGCCAGGTCTTTCTTTTCTACCCTTTTGTCCTGGCAGCCTCTAGGTCCCCAAGCACAGGTCTCAGTTCCGATGCTGACTCCTGTAGGACATCCTTTCTTCAGGAGGCCACTCCCCTATTTCCCTCCCCCACACCCTCAGTTACTCTCCCACACATCCTCTGTTTATCTCATTCAGAGAACAGGTCCCACTGAAGTGGCCTCTCATTGTCATTTATGTATTGGTTTAGGGTCTGTCTGCCCACTAGGAACAGAAGCTCCATACAGGGAAGGACTGTGCCTGCGTTGTTTACCACTGTACCCCCAGCAACGAGCATAGCCTGGCCCTTAGTAGGTGCTTAGCAAATATTTACTGAATGAGTGAAAGAGCACATGGTGGCTGGAGAGGAGCAAAATGAGTCAAAGAGCCCCAGAGGCTTGGAACTGTCAGATCCAGTGCTTGGATGTGTAATGGAGCTGTAAGGAACCACCTCCTTATTCCTAGGCTTCTAGAAATATCCACTCCTATCCCGAGGCCTGCCACAGGAATGGGCCTGTGCAGCTATCTCAGTTACCAGGTGACCTCATTCCCTTGGGCCAGCCAGATACTGTCTGCTGGGCATTTTAGGGTTATGACATGGAAATGCTGATTCCATTGGCTGTTGGGAGACATTTGCAAGTTCATGGATGTGTCTGGGCCAGGGTTGGACCACAATCAGCCAGAACCAGGTGTCAGCTGAGGTCACAGGGGTGCGGGAACCGAAAGCCCAGCAGAGGAAGCCAGTCTGCGGAGAGAAGCAGAGATGAGAAGCGGGCGGATTTGTGGAGCAAGAGGAGTGAGCACAAGTCCAAGAGAGAGAGGGAGGATAGAAGGGAGAGATAACAGCAGTATTGGCCTGGCCTCTCATCCCTCATAGGGAAGGCATCAGCTCGGAAGAACATGCCTGGTTTTGAATCCTGGCTCCACCTCTTATTAACTGGATGACTTTGGGCCAATTCCATGACTTCATGGAAGTCAGTGTCTTCATCTGTGAAACGGGGATAAAATGTTTCTTACAAGGACCTCATGAGGTCTCACGATCTGATCTGAGGTCCACCCCCATCTCCGGTACTGCTTCTGTTTTTGTAGAATGTTCTGGGGAGCGTGGACCAGGGGGATTTGCTGCCTGCAGAAGCTCTCTCTGGCATGAGGCTGCCAACCTGTTTCACTCTGCGAGTGAGTTTCAGCAGGAAGGAGGATGCACACAGCTGTGGAGTGGAGGCCATTCATAGAACACGGACTATCAACTTCCTGTCACAGGCCATGGACACAGCCATGAGCCTCACTGTTGGGGGTTTGGATGAGCCCAGGCCCAGGCTAGATCCTGGCCTCCAACCCACTCACTAGGAATCTGTTAATAAGGGCCCAGACACTCAGCTGCCAGCGGTGTGGAGCTCTGAGTTGAGAGAACCCGATTCTGCTGCAGGGCTACCCTGGGTCCGGAATTGTGAAAATTCTGCATGGCAGTCAGATGTCCTTCCCCGCATAAGGTTTGTGTCTTTCGCCAGCCTCCTTATTCTTTAAAGATTGAGAGAGGAAGGAGAGAGGGATGAAAGGAGAGAGAGGAGAGGGGAAGAATAGAAGGTGGAAATGCTGGGGTTGCAGTATGCATATTTTACAACATTTTAGGTCACTTTTTTTGGCTCAAAATAGAGTTTGCACTGAATGATGTTGGCCTAGACTGAAACAAATTGGACAGAACAACCCAGGCTACTGGTTGTTCTTCATATTTTGTCACTGGTGGTCCCTGGATTGGTGACATCTGTCTTCCTGTCCAGAATCAGAAAATCACTGAGTCTCAGGGTTTCAAGTGACCTCACAAACCATTGCCAAAGACCAGGTGCCAATCTCACGGGAAGGTTTTTCTTTCGGTGGAACTGGAATCTCCCTCTCTGAAGCAGCACCCATTCAGATCCTTTCTCCTTCAGGCCCCAATTTCCCTGCTTCTTTAACCCATTGGGTTCTGATAAGATGCTAAGGACACCCCTTAGTCCCTGGCTCCTTCTTCCCTGCACGCCCGCCTGGCTATTACACTGATGAAGACAGGCTAGGCTGAGCTGCCCTCACAGGAGCCCCAAAGCCACAGTGGCTGACCTAGATAAGGACACATTTCTTGCCTGTGCTACCCCTCCCTGGTAGGGGGTGCTGCATCATTTTCACCATGGGGTTCAGGTTGAGGGAGGGGACCCAGCCTGGGACTTCACCAGTCCTTAGGAGGGAAGGAAAAGAGAACTCAGTGGAGCTGTGAGATGACTCTCAAGGATTCTGTTTGTAAGCGGCCTACAGCCATCCTGCCCACGTGTGATCAACACAGTCAGTCACACGGCTGCACCTGAATCTAACAGGGTGGGGGAAAGCATTGTCCTCTCTTGTCTTCTGCGTCTCATGCCTTTAATGCAAGAATCCCATAACGGAGACCCTTCACCCTGTTAAAAGCTAATTACAGCATCAAGTTAAGTTGAACCGTTTCCTTCGATGAATGCAATAGTAGTATTTGTTAGTATTTTGGGAAGCCTCATAGCCTTGCTGTGCCCACAGTTATAACTGGAGGTGCCAATATGTCATTTCCTAAGCTGTGACTCTTCCCTCACTCTCATCCCCTTATCGTTCACCAATCTTCCACTTCAGGTCTCACCTTCAATGTCACTTCTTCCAAGAAGCCCTCTTGGCCTCTACACAGTTAGTACTTCTGGTCTCGCTCTCTGTAATTCTTCTTCAAGGCTAAGCACTTGGCCAACACCCATTTTTTGGCCAGACTAAGGAAGGAAACAGTGTCTGTCTGGTTCAGTGCAATTCCCCCCTGATCATAAGATGAGGCTTAATATATCAAAGGCACTCAAAAAATATTGTTTGAATGAGTAGACAGCTCAAAACATGAACACATAACTCATTCTCAAAGGATATTATTTTCTTATGATGTGTTTTAAACAAACAAAAAAAAGGAACTTTAAATTTCTGTACCCAAACCCTGATGGGCTCTGAGATTTGCCTGTCGTTTTGTGTATTTCAATCCCCTAAATTAGGGATTGTGGAAAGACTGGCCAGGTAAGTTACTGTTCAGATCAGGACCATTTGTGAGAGTGAAGTGTATGTGTGTGTGTGTGTGTGTGTGTGTGTGTGTGTGTGTTGGGGGGAGGGCAGGGAGGTCTGGGGGGTGGAGCTTATCACTAATGCCACCCTCTGGGACAAATCACACAGAACTTGCAAGGTGGAAAACAACACACACACGTACACACACCCTTTCAAGAGTTGTCCAGGCCTATTTTTCTTTTACTGTACCCCAAACTCCCTTGAGCCTTTTGTTTTATGAATTGGGCCCTTCTATTTTACAGCCAGCACCATTTGCACTTACTGCAGAGCTGTATTATGGCCAAAGACTCTTTTTATTTTTTTTTATTTCTTATAGTCCTGGAACATGGCCCCCTGGAGAATGTCACTTCACAAAGCAATGGCCAGTAAACTTGGCTCATGCGTCAGCGAAACACTTCCAACGAAAGTGCATCAACTTCTGTTCTTACACATTGTCGTCTTTCACCTTAACAAGCACACCCCAAAAAAAGTCCTCTGGTTTCTACGGCTTGTTAGGTCTATCATCTTTTTAATTAATAGTGTTTTTACGAAGCCGTCTGAACTGTGTCATTTCCATTATCAGAAACGCATTGCCATTAATGAATAATTTTCATTTCTGATCCCTGGTATCATGCTAGTTGATCTCCTGTTTCCATGCCTTCAAATGATAGCATCGTTTTCTGCCCACGATCAAATTTAATTTGGACTCTGATTATATTATGCTGTTGCGACTGAAGTGTCAATTTTTGTCAGGCAATTAGGAGCTATAACCTGTGAAGTTAAGTTTGATAGGCATTGTAATTGGATTGTTACAGTAATAGCCTGGAACGTTCCTTTTCCTCTTGCTTCTTTGATTCTTGATGCATACTCTCATCGTGAGAACAAAGACATTTGGTTATTATACAACCTTAGGATGTTTGAGACAACAAGATCACAAGTTGAAGTTTTTGCAGTGGAGTGGGCTTCGATGTAACTCGAAGTGTGGGACGTTGAAAGTTTGAGAGATTTGGAAAAAATTAGAACAAAGGGAAAGAAGTATCACAGAAAGCATTGTGTAAGAAGAAGTTAACAGGTCCCCGAAGTTCACTTCAAGATTCCAGATAAGTTGCAAACAAAGATGAATCACAAATAGCTTAGAGTCACCTGAGAGTTCCTCTCTTCCTCCCTCCCTCCCTCCCTTCCTCACTCTCTCCCTCCTTCCCTCCTTCCTTCCTTCCTTCCCTCCTTCCTTCTTTCCTTCCTTCCTTCCTTCCTTCCTTCCTTCCTTCCTTCCTTCCTTCCTTCCTTCCTTCCTTTCTTCCTTCCCTCTCTCCCTCTCTCCTTTCCTCCTCTCCTCCCATTATTCCTTTCTCCCTCCCCCTTTCTTTTCTTTCCCTCATTTCTACTAATTTATTGACACTGGACTAAATACATTAAATATTGTCATGGAAAAGACAAGCCCTCTATCCTCGTGTGGTTCATGGTATAATAGGGGAGAGATGGAAAATGTCACATCAACAGAATGATGTGACGAGATCCTTTAACAGAATACCTGCGTGTATCAGCAGATTCTCACTTGAAGAATGGGAGCTTGCCTGCAATGGGGAGGAGAGGAGAGGAGAGTGGTGCAGTGTGTGGGCACAGCTTTTGCAGAGACCTGGGCACAGCAAGGATTTGGGGCCATGAGGGAGTGGCGAGAAGTGCAGCAGGATGGGTGCCTGTGATGCAGCAGGATGGGCGCCTGTGAAGCCTGTGATGCAGGATGAGCACCTGTGATGCAGCAGGATGGGCGCCTGTGATGCCTGTGATGCAGGATGAGCACCTGTGTTGCAGCAGGATGAGCGCTTGTGATGCCTGTGATGCAGGATGAGCACCTGTGTTGCAGCAGGATGGGCTCCTAGCTGCCCGGGTGGCAGGAGGTGGGGCTGGAAGGAAGTGGGGCAGATCACAGGGAAGGGGGAAGCTGGCCCAGGCATCTGGATTTTATCCCAAAGCTCATGAATGTTAAAAGGCAGGTCCGAGGGTACCCTGGAGGACTTCCATAGCATCTTTATCAGGCCTGATGCCATGGCCCCTAAAACTCATTTGCTTTATTGCTACCCGAATACCCTTTACAAATGCAAATCCGAGCAATGAGCACACTGCCTGCAACCCTCAGGGATCCCGACTCTTACAGTGAAGACAGAGCTCTTCAATACACCCTGTGGAAAGGCTGGCCAGGTAAGTTACTGTTCAAATCAGGACCATTTGTGGGAGTGAAGTGTGTGTGTGTGTGTGTGTGTGTGTGTGTGTGTGTGTGTGTGTGTGTTGGGGGGATGGCAGGGATCTTTAGGGGGTGGAGCTTATTACTAATGCCTCCTCTGGGACAACAGGTGTCCTTGAGGACTGCCCCAGGAAAACCAGGAGGTGGGGCTTGTATCCTTAAGGCCCACATGGTCCGCCTGCGGCCTCTTTTTTTCACCCCTTCTCCCATTTGTCTCCTCCCCAGCTCTCAGCTGGCCAGCAGCACTGAGTTTCTTTTTAGTTCCTCCTACCCCCTGAAAGCTCTCTCTTGCCACAGGGCCTTTGCACATGCTGTTTTTGCTGCCTGAACCTTGGCCCTGTAGCCTCCCATTCATGCCCAGGCTTTCTGGCCACCTGGCTTCCAAGAAGGGAAAGGAGGTTAGGTTTTTCTTCCCACTCCTTCTATCTTTGCATCTTTTGCAAGAGCTGCATCCTTCACAACTTGGGTCCTACCTGATGTCTCCTCCTGTACAGTTTGCCTCCAGTTTCCTGCTCTTGTCCCTTCAGTCCTAGGGGTGACAACCACTCCCTGATGCTTCCTGTCTCTGAGCCCTTGCCATCCTATCTTTGTCCTCTTAACCCTGCTCACCTCTGTTAAGAGTCTTTTCATTAAAGATTCTTCATTTGAACCATCTGTGGCAAATTCTGCTTCCTGCTGGGACCCTGACTACGATGGTGCCTAAAACAAACTGCTGGAGGAGGAGAGAGGTGGGAGCAGAGACTCCCTTCTGGGATAGACCAGGAGGAGCTGACGCTTGTCTCCAAATACAAGAAAGACGTCGGCAGGCAGAGAGGGCTGGGAGAGCAGCTTTCAGGCATAGAGAACAGCATCAGACCAAGATGTGGAGGCAAGAGGAGGGTGGGCTTGTGGGCTAGCAAGGAGTCCAGTGTCTTCCTTCCTTCCTCCTTCCCTCCCTCCCTCCCTCTCCTTTCTTTCCTCTCTCTCTCACTCCCTCCTTTGTTTCTTCCTTTCCTTCTTTTTCTTTCTCCCCTCCTTCCTTCCTTTTTTGCTTCTTCCCTCCCTTCCTCCCTCCCTTCCTCCCTCCTTCCTTTCTTCCTCTCAGCACATACTCCTGGAGCATATACCCCGCTCTGTGCCAGGCACTGTTCTAAGCACTGCATAAATAGCAGCAAACAGACAACTTTTCTGCCCTCATGGATGTTCCATTCTCATGGGGGAAGACTGTTAACAAGCAATGGATGCATTTACACTATGACAAGTGTGTATAATATGACAGTGGAGGAAAATAAAGCCAAACAAGAGAACCACCAATGTGGCATGAGTGATTGGAGGTGTTATTTTACTGGGGGCTTCTCTGATAAGGTGATAGTTGAATGGAGTTCAGAAGGAAGTAAGGGAAAACGTCATTCCAGGCAGAGGGAAGGGCAGGTGCAAAGACCCGAGGCAGGCGATTGCTTGCTGTGTTCAAGAACAGTCAAGAAGCCAGAGTGGCTGGAGCAGGAGGAAAGAAGGCTAGAGTGATGGGGGCTGCTGTCAGAGGTTGAGGTGCAGACTGCGTTTGGTCATAGGAGCTGCTGTCATGAATTGGTGTTTACCCTGAGCTGGGAAGCTAAAGTAGGTTTGTAAGGAGGCAAATGACATCAGCTGGTTGCCAAATGAAAACAGTTTGCGAGGCAAGGGACAGGCGGGACCATTATGTAGGGTGTGGCTTCAATGGTCCCAGTGACTGAGTGTGGTGGCAGAGGTGATAGCAAGGGTGTCAAATTCTGAATGTATGTTCAAGGCAGAGCCGGAGACTCCGCTGAGTGATTGTGTGTGAATCATGGGGAAGGGAGTGAGATCCATCAAGGATGACACCAAGGTTTTTGTCTTTAGAGTGCCATTTACAGAGATGAGAAAGACTGAACAAGTTTTTTTTTCATTTTATTTGTTTGCATTGTTTGAAGATCTGGATTTCTGTTTCATTCGTATTTAATTTAAGCTTCCTTTTATGCAGCCAAGTGATGGTGTTGAGGAGGTAGCTGGATTTAAGGATCTGAGGTCATGGGAGATTCAAAATTGGGAGTCATCTCTAAAGAGATAGTATCTAAGGACATAGCTTCGAAGGAGATTACCTGGGGAAAAATATAAAACAGGGAAGAAGTGGCTCCTAGGACCATTCAATGTAGCCTAAGTGTCATATGACTGGGGAGTGCCTACATTGATATTTCTCTCCTCTGGACTGCAATTTTTCAGCCTGTTTGCACCGCTGACTGTGACTTTAGTAAAAACTGCATTCCTTATTATACCTGTCTTGGTATCACCCTGCATACCCAGTGCCTAGCACAGAGGCCTGCCTCGAGTAGATGCTCAATTGTTGAGTGAGTCACTGAATGAATGCATTGATAATAGGAATGAATGAATGAGGCATATGTTGACTTTCCGATGTCACTTGTGAGCACATTAAGGGCAGTGGAAAAGACATCCTAAGCAGCTTGTGCCCCAGTTGGGAAGCATCAGCTAGTAAGAAGAAGGACCTAGTTTCAAATCCCATTTCTGCTACTTCCTGGCTGTGCCACCTTGGGCAGTGCATGCCACCTCACTGACTTTAGTTTCTCTGTTTGTAAAACAAGGTCGGCCGGGCGTGGTGGCTCACTCCTGTAATCCCAGCACTTTGAGAGGCTGAGGTGGGTGGATCACGAGGTCAGGAGATTGAGGCCATCCTGGCTAACACGGTGAATCCTTGTCTCTACTAAAAATACAAAAAACTTAGCTGGGCGTGGTGGTGGGCGCCTGTAGTCCCAGCTACTCAAGAAGCTGAGGCAGGAGAATCACTCGAACCCGGGAGGCAGATGTTGCAGTTAGCAGAGATCGTGCCACTGCACTCCAGGCTGGTGACACAGCAAGACTCCATCTTAAAAAAAAAAAAAAAAAAAAAAACAAGGTCTATTATGAAGAATGGAGAGGGGCAAGTCACCATGCTGGGCACACATGAGGGGCTCACCTGGATTTTATTCCTTCTGCTCCCTGCCCCTGACCCCAGTGTCAGATGGGGTTGAGCACAGAATAAGCAGCCAATTAATAATAAGTAATTAGTACTAAATCATTAGTAATAATACTTAATTACTAAAATAACAGTAATTAATTAATATTAGTAATAATAGTTACTGCTAATAATATGGGCTCATGTTTTCTCTAATAATTTATACTTCCAAAAGCTCTTCTGTCTGTTTTTCTCTCTTGGTACTTGGTGACCCAGTAAGAGGCTCTCTAGGACAGGTAATAGACACTGACTTTACTGATTAGGACAAGAGGGCTCGGCAGGGAGGCCACTTGGCCAGAGCCCCACAGCTGGTGTGTGATGAAGGGAGTGCCCCAAGTTATCCTAATTCATAGTTTTGCAAGTTGCCTTTTTTTTTTTTTTTTTGCAGTGCCTTGACCCCATTAAAAGGCTCTGAAAAAAGTATAAAGATAGGGGAAAGCAGAGCAGAAGGCTTGGGCAGAGCTCTGGGACTCGGATGGAAAGCATCCCCACTTGGAGGTGCTCACAAGCGGAAGCCCCTCTGGGAGAGGAGACAAATGGGAAAGCAGATGGAAAAGCTTTTGGTGGAGCCAATTTGCAGATCTGTAAAATGGGTTCTTTCCGGCCTACTGTGCTTGCTTTTATTTCGCTCCTTGACCCTTCCCTCAACACCCAAATCTCCAAGTCAGATCTACTTGTCCCCCTCCAGGTTAAGATGCTGCCCCTTCAGGAAGCCTGCCTATCCTCCTATCCTCTTCTTTTTAAAGAAATCTCCACCTCTAAACTTCCATAGCAGTGTACACCTCCCTGTCTATGGCACTGGTCACTGTCCTCCAAGATTAGACCCATGTGAATGGGTGTGGCATCTCCTCTGCAGATGGTGAGCTCCTTGAGGGCAGAGATTGCACCCATTCCATCCTTGCATTCCAGCACCAGCAGGGCCTGTGAGTGGAGATGTGGTAGAGGACAGATGTATTAGTCTGTTGTCACATTGCTGATAAAGACATACCCAAGACTGGGAAATTTACAAAAGAAAGAGGTCGAATTGGACTTACAGTTCCACGTGGCTGGGGCAGCCTCACAATCACGGTGGAAGGCAAGGAGGAGCAAATCACATCTTACATGGATGGCAGCAGATGAACAGTGCTTGTGCAGGGGAACTCCCCCTTATCATACCGTCAGATCTCATGAGACTTGCTCACTATCATGAGAACAGCATGGGAGACACCTGCCCCCATGATTCAGTTACCCCCCAACCAGGTCCCTCCCACAACATGTGGGAATTCAAGATGAGATTTGGGTGGGGACACAGCCAAACCATAAGAGCAGGTGACTCCCAGGAGGTGATGGAAGGAGGCACAGGGTTAGGTGTGGAAGCGAGAGAAATTGGGACTTGGTTGATTTCAGCAGAGCAGGGCACTGGTCGGTGATTCACGGGAGCATGGTGGAAATGAAACTGAACAGCCAATGGAACTCTTGGACTGAAGACCAACTCAAGAGCCATTGAGAAGCCACCAGGAGCTCTGTTTCACTGAGAAGGAAACTTGAGTCTCTGAGAGATGAAGTGGCCTTCTCAAAGTCATAGGGGCAGGAAGAGGCACAGCTGAGACAGAACTTGGATCTCCTGGTGGCACTTATTCAGCTTGGTGGAAATACCAGAACCACAAAGCCTTGACATAGTTTGAGGGGAGACCATCAGGTCACTCCTGATGCTGCAGACCCAGTCCTGCCAGGGGGACTCTGGCATGGCCCTTTGGTCCGAGGTGGCCCCTGCACCACATCCACCTTCCCGAGGAACACAGGGATGGGGCTGGGCGAGGTCCAGCTGGCTCAGCTCCTTCATTTACCAATGTGTGAACTAACCTCATTCTCCAGGACATTATGATGGTGCCCAGTGCTGTGGCACTGGGTATTTGCCGGAGCTCATCCAGGGAAGCTCTTTTGCATACTGCCTGACACATGGTTGGTGCTCAGTGTAACCTCATCTTTTTTGCCTCCATAGCTGTTGCTGCTATTCTAGGCTCTGCTTCTATCATCATAGAGCTGTGACACTTGGGAAAGGGCCCTTCACCTTTCTGAGCCTCAGTTTCCCCATGTGATTGCCAAGGGCACCTTTAGGATGGCCATTCAATGACTCCCCCACCTGGTTTCACCTCTTCTGCCTGGACCACAGGCAAAGGGACAAGCAGCAGCATTGGGACATCTGGGGAAATGTCTTCAATATATAATATGGAACTTTCGGGGGTCTGGCTTCAAGTTCATAACATTGGAGGATTAAAAGGAAAATGGTAATGAAATGGTGATATTAGGGAAGCTCACTGGGCTGTAGAGATGGGACAGGATGCCGTGTGAGGAGCAGCCTGCACAGGCAGGGGCTGGGGCAATTGAATGGGCCCAGGAGTGAGATGTCCACAGGTTTGACTCCTGGCTTGACCGCACACTACCATAGACCTCACCCAAGCAATTTGACCTCAATTTTTCTCATCTGTAAAATGGAGAGATAACAGTATCTACCTTATACTATGGGTAAGGATTAAGTGAGATAATACAATGACAATGAAATGCCCAGTTAGTGGTGAACACTGGGTCTGTGCTAGCACTTATTATTGTTATTGATCACCCATGGCTCCTACTCTATAGCTGGGAGGAGGCAAGATCTTTGTCCCTGGTGCGGCCCAGATTTAACCCCTACCTCCTTTCCTTCCCCAAAGACATGTGCTTAGCTCTGTAGGTGCTGGGGCTATATCTACTGAATACACTGAATAAGAAAACCCAGGGCTGCCCTCAAGGGGCTGTCTGTCTCCCTGCAGAGTCAGCCAAAGGAGACTGTGTTAAGAAGAGATGGTGCTATTCAGTTAGAATGGTGATCATTAAAAAGTCAGGAAACAATGGGTGCTGGAGAAGATGTAGAGAAATAGGAACACTTTTACACTGTTGGTGGGACTGTCAACTAGTTCAACCATTGTGGAAGACAGTGTGGCAATTCCTCAAGGATCTAGAACTAGAAATACCATTTTACCCAGCCATCCCATTACTGGGTATATACCCAAAGGATTATAAATCATGCTGTTATAAAGACACATGCACATGTATGTTTATTTTGGCACTGTTCACAATAGCAAAGACTTGGAACCAACCCAAATGTCCAACAATGATAGACTGGATTAAGAAAATGTGGCACATATACACCATGGAATACTATGCAGCCATAAAAAAGAATGAGTTCATGTCCTTTGTAGGGACATGGATGAAGCTAGAAACCATCATTCTGAGCAAACTATCACAAGGACTGAAAACCAAACACTGCATTTCTCACTCATAGGTGGGAATTGAACAATGAGAACACTTGGACACAGGGTGGGGAACATCACACACCAGGGCCTGTCATGGGGTGAGGGGAGGGGGGAGGGATAGCATTAGGAGATATGCCTAATGTGGATGACGAGTTAACGGGTGCAGCACACCAACATGGCACATGTATACATATGTAACAAACCTGCACGTTGTGCACATGTACCCTAGAACTTAAAATATAATAAATAAATGAATAATAAATAAATAAATAAAAGAAGAGATGGTGCTATTCATTCTGTATGGACAAGGCAGAATCAGGGAAGGCTTCTCAGAAGAGGTGACAGAGGAGCATGGTCTTATGGTAAGTGAAAGTATCTTAGTTCAGGCTGCTATAACAAAGATATTATAGACTGGACAATTTATAAACAATGAGCATTTATTTGTCACAGTTCTGGAGGCTGGGAAGTCCAAGATTAAGGAGCCAGCAAAGTCAGTGTCTGGGACCACTTTCTGGTTTACATACGGTGCCTTCTCACTGTGTCCTCACATGGCGGAAGGGATAAACAAGCTCCCTCGAACTTCTTTTACAAGGACACCAATCCCATTTGTGAGAGCTCCTTAAAGGCTCACCTCTTAATACCATCACACTGGGGACAGGTTTCAATGCAGGAATTTAGGGGGCACAAACACTCAGAGTGCAGCAGAAGGGAAGGCAAGCAGTTTGATTCAAGAACCTAAAGGGGCCAGAGGACGTGAACCGAGATGCACGTGTGGGAGGGAAGGCTTTCTGTTCAGAAACCAAGGGTTGGCAAATTACAGCCTGTAGTCACATCCAGCCTGAGCCTGTTTGTGTATGGCTTGCAAGCTGAGAACAGTTTTTACAATGAACATTTGCAGTTGATTTGAAGATAGGAAACACTATCAAATGTTAAATAAAATATTATCTCAAAAAATTCATTTTTCTTACGTGCAGACCTGTATGATAAAAAATAAATACACCCAACCATTCCATGTTTAATTTCATCAATAAAAATTTTGAGAAAAAATGTTTTCCCTCTTATTGTATAAGTATGTCATACTCTTGATTTTGCCTCTTAGTCTGCATTAGCTCATTTAAGCCTGTTTGTTGCCTGCACTAGGAAGGACAAACTGAAAAGCCTAAACTATGTATTAGATGTGGCTTTTTACAGAAAAAGTGTGCCACTCTCATCTTAAACTCTGGGAAGAGAAGAACTATTTCTATTCACTGAGTGCCTCGGCACTCCTAGGAATGTACCAGCACTTTCAGACGCACTGCTATTTTTTAAATCTTGATCATGACTTTGCAAATTTCACAAACAATGAAAGGAGGTCCTGTGAAGTCAAACGGCCTTCAAAAGTCACAAGATAGGAGTTGACAGAAGCGGGATTTGAACCCAGACCTTCTTGTTCCAGAGTCACCTTTCTGTCGACTACGCCCTGTTAGATCACCAAGGGTCAGCACCAGGTAATTTTAAGACAGGCAGATAAGGAATGCCACTATTCTTTCACTCATTCCATTGAGCCTCTTCTTAAAATCTTAAAAGAGCCATTCTGACTAAAAATCCCTGGGCCTCTCAGGTCTCCAGTTGCTCTCTTGAACTGGGGGATTGGCAGCTTAGACTTCAACGCCATTTTCTGAGTTCTCTGTAGAGGCCCCTGTGAGTTCTTTTTTTTTTGTTTTTTTTTTTTTTTTTCTTTTCTTTTTTGAGACAGAGTCTTGCTCTGTCACCCAGGCTGGAGTGCAGTGGTGCGATCTCAGCTCCCTGAAAGCTCCACCTCCCGGGTTCACACATTTCTCCTGCCTCAGGTGTGATCTCGGCTCACTGCAAGCTCCGCCTCCTGGGTTCACACCATTCTCCTGCCTCAGCCTCCCGAGTAGCTGGGACTACAGGCGCCCGCCACCATGCCCGGCTAATTTTTTCTATTTTCTATTTTTTAGTAGAGACGGGGTTTCACCGTGTTAGCCAGGATGGTTTCGATCTCCTGACCTTGTGATCCGCCCGCCTCGGCCTCCCAAAGTGCTGGGATTACAGGCGTGAGCCACCGCATCCGGCCGGCCCTTGTGAGCTCCAAAATTCCCTCCTCCACCACAAAGGTGGCTGACGGTCGCTGTGGGGTGTAGGCGGTCAAAGATGTAGCCTTTACAAACGTACGGACCCTGGCCTGGGCTCCACACCCCTGGCTGCTCCTTGCTGACATGGGGGAGAAAGACGACCCACCTTACTGAGAGCAGAGCTCACTGCAGTACTAGAGATGCTGGTTCCGCAGCTCTTGCAGCAGTGTGAGCAAGCCGGAATACATTTTAGAAAACTTAATGGAAAAGGAGAAAACACCCACATTAAGAAAACAAATCCGAGTGCCTTGGCGTGCCTTCAGACGCAGACTGTGGTGTGATAGTCATCTTTATTAACTTTCCATCCTGGACTGATCTCCAGTGACGGCACAATTATCATAGCCAGGCAATCGATACCTCATTAAGGGTAAGGCTCCAGAGGAGGAAGAGAGCAAACCTGGGTCTTTCTGAAATGCATTCCCCTCTTTTTAGGTTTCCTTGCTTGTATAAAGAGAAATAGTGCGTACTTGCCTCTGACAAACAAACACAGCCTTCCAGAGTTGAGGGAACCTCATTCCCGAAGGCGATTGTTAGCTGTGCAAGCCAAATGCCCTTGTCCTCCCCCGATGAAGGTCCCCGATGAATGGAGACATTTAGAAGTTTCCCATTTCTCTCTGATGTCAGAGATGTTTTAACCAGCTGGGGGCAGAATTACATTCTGGAAATTATAGGGGATGAGGGGAAAAAAAAAAAAAGTGAACATTACAAATACAGTAGTCTTTCGGATTCTGATCTTCACTATTAATGCATTATAAAACAACTTAAAAAATCCTATCAGGAGAAGTGATGTTTGAAGCCACGATATATTTTAAAAGTGTCAGGACATGGGCAAGTTTACATCTGACAAACAATTTAAATATTTCAATATATTTTATATCTTTAAAAAAAATTGCCAGGATCAAACCCAAGATGAAACTCTTTCATTTGGTACCTGGGTAGGAAAACATTGAGTTACAAATCTTTTTGACAATGTGGATTCTGGGTGTTACATAACCATTTTTAATCTTCTGAAATATTTCATTGCCTGGGAAAGCAAATCAGGGACTGGTATTGTGTGCTTTTAAATTCATTTGTCTTAACACCCTTTCACTTTCTTGTTCAGCTTTGATGGTGTGATTACTTCTCTACATAAATATAAGCCTGAATTCATTCTGGGTATAAGCCTTATCTCTTTCCTCAGTGGTGATAAGGGATGGAGAGGCCCCCTTTTTTTTTCCTGGTGGGCTTTAAAGTGAATTTAGTAGTGAATAGTGTCTGCTGTTTCAGAAAAGCCCATTTATTTCTCCTTATAATCAGAATAGCACAGACCACGGAGCCCAGCATTTCCTCATTCCAGGTTCAGACACAGGGAAGATTTATTGAGCATCTACTATGAATTGGACACCCTGCTAGGCATGGCCCTGCCAGGAGGAACAAGGCACACACCGTTGTCCTTTAGGGCTTGTCTGCATTAGCTTGTTTAAGCCTGTTTGTTGCCTGCACTAGGAAGGACAATTAACTTGCCCCCACTGTAGTCAGTGAGAGAGTGGGGAGTTAGACTCCAGGTTGTCTGAATCCAGTTTTTCCTTGCTGAGGACCCGGTCGAGGAGCAATGAGTGGGAGTAGGGAGGAAAAATCATGTCAGGCCATGGTAATGATGGGAGCTGGGGTCCCTGGAGGCAGGGAGGTGGGCGAATGGTTTGTCCTATGCTTTGCAATTGTCCTTAAGCTCATCACCAGGTTGGTGGTGGTGGTGGCAGGGCTGCAGGACGTGCTGGGTCAGCTCCTGGGTCATTCTAGATTGCCATGGAAAACCTTCCCCTACCGACATTTTATTTCTTCCAAAATTCCTTTTGCAGATTATTTCCCTTTCTTTTCTTCTTGGCTCTGTCAACCAAACAGTCTCAAAAGCAATGGGAGGTCCCCTCGCCCAGCTTTTCAATGCCTTGAAGGAAAAATGAAGCCCCCAGAAGGACTCAAGCTCCAGGGAAGTGCAGTTCCATGAATAACTCCCCTGGAATGCCTTAGCCAGAAAATGTCCAAAGCTGGTTCTGGCTGAGCTGGAGACGGAGAGACCTCCATGGACAGAAAGCCATGCCTTCTAGTTGCAGAGTGGCATCCTGGGGAGCAGAAATGTTCCATCTGGAGACAGTTCAGAAGGTAGGGTGGCCAGATTTAGCAAAGAAAGCTATAGGACTCCCAGTTAAATTAGAATTTCAGATAGACAACAAATAATATGACATTTGGGACATACTTATAAACATTATTTGTGTGTATCTGAAATTCAAATTTAACTGGGCCTCCTGAATTTAACCTGGTAGCCCTATCAGAAGGGTACACTCTGCTTCACTGGCCATGTCCTAACTGTTCTCTGTTCTGGTGCAAAGGAGCTAACTCATCCCTTGTATTCATTTATTTTTTATTTTTATTATAGTATTATTATTATTATTTTTGAGACGGAGTCTCACTCTGTTGCCAGGCTGGAGTGCAGTGGCATGGTCTTGGTTCACTACAACCTCTGCCTCCCGGGTTCAAGCGATTCTCCTGCCTCACCCTCCCGAGTAGCTGGGACTACAGGCGCACACCATCACACCCAGCTAATTTTTGAATTTTTAGTAGAGACGGGGTTTCACCATGTTGGCCAGAATGGTCTCGATCTCTTGACCTCGTGATCTGCCCGCCTCAGCTTCCCAAAGTGCTGAGATTACAGGCGTGAGCCACCACGTCTGGCCGTATTCATTTATTTAATTTTTTTTTAGTGATGACGGAAGAATCTATTTTAATTGGAAGGCGTGGCTTGGGGGGCTTTTCTTTCCTCTTCCAACTCTCTCAGTACTGTAGCCCCCAGGCCACCCCAGAAAAAGATATAAGAATACACTGTGAGTTGATTACAGCACTTCAGCTTTAAAACCAGGTCCCCAGTCCTCTCTTCCAAGCAGATAGGCACCCCCAGCCCCTCCCATGTAGAAATTCTGGAGCCTTACTGGCTTTAATCAAATGTGCTTTTAGTCTCACTCAGGCCAGTTAATCCCCATTTGTGGTGACTCCCCTGCTTATAGCAGACGCCGCTGGCGGCAGAGTCATCTTTATAAACGGCCATGGTGATCGCATCACACCTCTGCTTGCAAACCCTCGCCAGGAGATGACGTTGCTGTCACTAGAAATGACTCACCTGGAGAAGACATTTATGCAGCCAAAAGACATATGAAAAAATGCTCATCATTACTGGCCATCAGAGAAATGCAAATCAAAACCACAATGAGATACCATCTCACACCAGTTAGAATGGTGATCATTAAAAAGTCAGGAAACATCAGGTGCTTGAGAGGATGTGGAGAAATAGGAACACTTTTACACTGTTGGTGGGACTGTAAACTAGTTCAACCATTGTGGAAATCAGTGTGGTGATTCCTCAGGGATCTAGAACTAGAAATACCACTTGACCCAGCCATCCCATTACTGGGTATATACCCAAAGGACTATAAATCATGCTGCTATAAAGACACATGCACACGTATGTTTATTGAGGCATTATTCACAATAGCAAAGACTTGGAACCAACCCAAATGTCCAACAATGATAGACTGGATTAAGAAAATGTGGCTCATATACACCATGGAATACTATGCAGCCATAAAAAATGATGAGTTCATGTCCTTTGTAGGGACATGGATGAAATTGGAAATCATCATTCTCAGTAAACTATGGCAAGAACAAAAAACCAAACACCGCATATTCTCACTCATAGGTGGGAACTGAACAATGAGAACACATGGACACAGGAAGGGGAACATCACACTCTGGGGACTGTTGTGGGGTGGGGGGAGGGGGGAGGGATAGCATTAGGAGATATACCTAATGCTAGATGACGAGTTAGTGGGTGCAGCGCACCAGCATGGCACATGTATACATATGTAACTAGCCTGCACATTGTGCACATGTACCCTAAAACTTAAAGTATAATAATAATAAATTAAAAAAATTGTAGTATCCTTTAGTTTTAACAAAAAAATAAAAAATAAAAAAAAATAAAGACACATGCACACGTATGTTTATTGCAGCATTATTCACAATAGCAAAGACTTGGAACCGACCCAAATGTCCATCAATGATAGACTGGATTAAGAAAATGTGGCACATATACACCATGGAATACTATGCAGCCATAAAAAAGGATGAGTTCATGTCCTTTGTAGGGACATGGATGAAGCTGGAAACCATCATTCTCAGCAAACTATCACAAGGACAAAAAACCAAACACCGCATATTCTCACTCATAGGTGGGAATTGAACAATGAGAACACATGGACACAAGAAGGGGAATATCACACACTGAGGCCTGTTGTGGGGTGGGGGGAGAGGGAGGGGGAGGGATAGCATTAGGAGATATACCTAATGTAAATGACTAGTTAATGGGTGCAGCACACCAACATGGCACATGTATACATATGTAACAAACCTGCACGTAGTGCACATGTACCCTAAAACTTAAAGTATAATTAAAAAAAAAAGACATGACTCACCTGGCAAGCTCTTATTGTCCTTTAGGTCTCAGCTGAGATGCCCTTTCCTCTAGGAAGGATTTTCTCATCCTAACCCACCTGAACCCACCTCCCGGCAAAAAGCCCAAGGGTTAGAAGCCCTCCTGTGCACCTTCAGGGCACCTTAGAACCTCCCATCAGGGCTTCTGCCACCCTGTGTTATCATTTCACAAATGGCATGTCTGCATCTTTTCCTAGACTTTCAGCTCCTTCAGAGCAGGGGATCCCCCTTGTCCTTCACCATGTCCCAGCACCTAGCAGAGGCTGGTACAGAGCAGGTGCTCAGAGTGTGTTTGCCAAATGACTGACTACTAACCTAGTGAATGAGCAGGCCAATGGAAGAATCAATGAATGAATGACGGTGTTAAAGAGAGTTTCAGTGACTCAGTAAAACATTTTTGATGTAATATTCCACAAAAGGTTTCAGACTCTAAGTTGTGCACATATAATGGCTTTTATGCAATATTATATACATACTTTAAAGATTACTGAGTAAAGGGAAGAATCTCATTGCAGAAGCAAGGAAAAGTGACAGTGGTCCCACACTTACGAGGCCAGAGCCATAAAGTTGAATGCCTGTAGCAGCAGCTGCCTTTTACGGATTTCTGGGGCAGTCAAGCTTCAACTGCTAAAGACCGCAGGGTTAACTCATGGATGAGATCCTATACATTCTCAGTGGTGCCCCCATTTCTTTTTCCTACGAGGCCTTCTTTATTTAGGGTAGATACCAAGTACACAAAATCAAAAGGGCCATAGGAGTGTCAGAGGGGGCAGATTAGAGGAATATTCTTTATCTTTTAGCCGCTTGGCATCATCTCACCCTTCTCTCCCTTTGGGAAAAATTCTGGCTTCTACACGGACCCAGGAGGAGACCAGTCCTGGGTGACCCCCTCCTTCTGCTGCCTGTCCTCCCACACCAAGGAGCTCAGGTCCTTCTCCCACCAGCTTGGTGGTACAGCAAGGGGACAGGCTCATGACCTTGGCTCAGCCCATGAGACGCAAACTCCCAGATGCCAGCTTTGTGGACTTGGTGGCAGTTGGAGTGGGCCATGCTAGGTTGCCAATGCTGTCTCTGCTCCTGTGCCAGCGTAGTCCTACACAAGCCTGGTCCTCAGCCTCCCATCAAATCTGTCCACCCCTTGCCTTCTTCCAATAGCCTGCCCCCACTCCCTTTGTTGCAAAAAGCAGGCAGAGTAGGTTTCCACTAACTTTAACAAGAACTCATATACATACATCAATCGATTGGTTGAACAGCCAGTTGATCACTGAATCCATCTGAGGACCTCTATGTGACCAGCATTGTGCAAGGATGCTCTATCTGTCTCTGAGCACCTCCATCCCGGTTTTCCCTGCATCCCAGGGTACTGACCCTCCCCAGTGCACAGAAGGCTTGAGTAGCCCCAGCCCAGGTCCCTAGTCTTACCTCCCAATGCATCCCACATGGATGCAACTATTGTCCTCAGTTCTGATACCTCCACGTTCATCTCCATAACAAAACCCATTGCTCACCAAACTGTCCAAGACATTTCCTTGGGTCCTTATAACCTTCCTGGAACCTCAGTTCTTCACAGACCTGCCTTGGCTTTGTAGGACAGAGACAAGTGACCAGCCAGGGCCACTTACACTTGCTGTTGTATATTGCAGGTCCTGCTGCCTGTGCGCTTCCCATCTTGCCATCCCTGGATTCCCTGCTCCTTCTAATGTCCATCTTGTATATTTCATTCTGGGCCTGTTGACTATTGGCCCATTTTCTAGACATCTTTTGTACCTGCTGGACCCCCAAATGAGCTACGTTAGGGTCACCCCCAGTGTCCTGCTCTGCCAGGAACAGTGACCTCCTTGTCTCCCCTGCAGAGCCTGGTGAGGAAGATGTAACCAAGATGCAGGACACCCCAAGAACAGTCACGTGCTAACTGTGTGGTGGAGGCTACAGCACAGCTGGGGTCTGCAGAGCACTGTGATGCACCCTGTAATCTTCAGGATTGCAGCTTCCTATTTGTTACCTCTTCCAAGTGTCAAGAACGCTGAGGCCTCAGAGACATGGGCCTGGATGCCACACAGAGCCCATTGCTGACAGCAGGAACACCCAGTAGGTCAGCATCCCCCACTGTCAGTCTGCAAAGGGTCAGGCTGCATTCCAAACAGGAGCTGCAGGGCAGATTGGAAGAGCCCTGGGCAATGGCACTGGAGGCTTTTGTTTTTGTGTGGCTTTAGTTCCTCAGGGGCTGTGTGACCTTGAAGATCTCTCATCTTCATTAAAAAAAAAAATTAAAACACAAGGAAGTTAAACCGGAGGACACATCTGAGACACTGAAGAATAATCATAACAAGGATAAGGAGGGAGCATCATTTATTGAATGCCTACTGTGTGCCATAAGCTTCAGGCACATTGTCCCATCTCATCCTCACAATCGCATTTTCCCCATTTTGCTGAATCTTATGGCTCCCCTGTCTGGAAATGCACCGATGCTTTCACGACTGTAAAACCAAAGTGGAACTTTTCTGGGCTGGTGAAGAGCCCTTGTTTAGTCGAGAGCAAGGGAACTCGGTTGTGTTCCTCTGATTGCACTTCAGGTCACTTAGTCCCTAAATGTACAACCGAAAAAACACTAACTGGTAACTGATCAAATTATCCTGTTAGGAAGATAGATGGTTATAATAGCAGCAGGGAAAATAACCCCAGAGTTGAACAATGTAATTATATGTGGGTTAGATTCAATATTAAGTCACCCCGTAATCATGTAAAATTTATATTTTGGTTCTTGAACTATTTTTCTCTAAGGATTTAGTTGCTGGGTGTTTATGTCTAATATGGGAAGGAAAATACCCCACAAGGATGGTTATGAGGTTTGAAGAGAAGGGCAGGACTTGACAGATTCCCAAGCCCTCTGTGATCAACACCTTTGTACCTTTTAAACACCAGAGATTTATTTACTTTTACTTATTATTGACACAAATAATCCTGTCTTTGGCTCAAAGATACATACATGGAGTCAGAATTTTCTACTGGACAAGACAGAGATGAACATCCTAAGGTTGGAGTCTGTTTGTTTTTTTTTTGTAAGTGCAGGAAAGTCAGCACAGAGAGGTTAAAAGGCTCACCCGAGGTCCCACAGGGGGCTGGGGTCAGACCCAGGGCTGCAGTCCAGCCTTCCAGACCTGTCCTGAAGAGATTTTTATGTAAGAAAACCAAGTGTCTGCCGATGCCCACTGCTACAGCTGGACATTAGAATGGGCCCACTTTCATCCTAGCCCCATCCCCGGAGCGTGCTAAGCCCTTGCCCACCTTGGTGACTTTATACTCGCTTCTGCCTGGCATCAGTTAATGCTTTTCTCAAGCACTGGCCCATGCTTCACCTCTCTGAAGTTTCTTCTTCCTCCTGTGTCTGGTTCTCTGACTTTAGGGCCTAGAAGACAATCCAACATTTAAGAGTCATTAGTAGCTGTTAGCGGAGGGATAAAAAAATGAACGAATGAATGAATGCAGGATAAACACTGGGATCCCAGGAAATTCCCATATGTGGACACATCCCTTTCCTCCCACACACTGCTTTAAATGTCATGTCTCTTAACTTTTATTTAAGGTTCCTACAAGCCATATGATGCTATTTCTGTGTTTCCTGTGCAACATTGAACTTGAGATATTTCATTCAGACTTTAGAACTAGGAAAGTCTGTCTCCCCTGGGGAGCTGTTGTGGTTTGTTGCTTTCGGACAATCCAAGTTATATAACATTGAGTTTCCCTCATTGCTTTGGCCACTAGGAAGCTCAGATCCTGGTTCTAAACTCAGTCACAGCAACTGAGCTGACCCTTGTGTGTTTTCTTATTTTTAGTGCCATTTTATTAATCGTATTTTACATTGGCTCTTTAAGTTGCCTCAAATTCTTTTTTTTTTTTTTAAATTGAAAGATGCAGAGTATAAATACATCTGATGAGTACATTTTAAAAATAACATCATGGAGGAATAACACTTTGTGCTATTTCGGGATTCATGATCTAGGTTACAGATTACTTGAGCTTCCGGAGTCTCCTGATTATCACCAATGAGCAGACTGAGGCTTTCTATCTGAAACCACTTTGCTGCCCTCTCTGCCCCCACATGGTGAGGGTTTGCTAAGTGGACCTGCCGAATAACCACAGCTTTCCAGAGCTCTTTCTTTAGTGCTGAGAGGTACATGAGAGGTGAATGGCAAAGGAAAGGAATTGAGGTAAAAATGCAAGCACAGATTGCCACCATTTCCTATTGAGTGTGGTAAAATAATTGGTTTCTTACCATTTTATACAAGGCATTTCTCAGTCTAACCACAAATTAGTTCTTAAGCCTCTTCTCTTCCACCATTTCCCCTGCTCCTTCCATCCCCCACACATCAGTCATATAAAACTCCTCTGTTCTTCAGACATGAAATGCCCTTTCCTCCACTTCTTGTCCAGGCCAACTGCTCCTCATCCTTTACAACTCCAATGAAACGACTCCTTTTTCTGAGGAAACATTCTTGATCTCCCCACTCCCACATATGATAATTTACTCTTTATTATTCTTGTTTAGTGTACCCGTGGAATCAATAGTTGTATAAACTTCACTGGCGCAATGAGCCCATTGTACTGTGGTGAGCAACAGGTTTTACTTGGAGGAGAAGTTAAGAGTCTAGTCTTCCCAGACTTGAAGCTCAGTACTGCCACTTAGTAGTCACATGACTTTTGGTAGAGTACTGAATGTCTGTGCCTTAGTTTCTGCATCTGCAAAATGGGATAACAAAAGTACCCCCTGCATAAGAGGATGGCAGAGTAAACACATTTAGTGTTTAGTATATTACCTGGCATATAACAAGCTCTGCACAAATGTTAGCTCTGTTTTTAATCACTTGTCTTTCCCTTGACTTGTTAGGATGGGGTGTCTATTATGTTTACCCAGATTCTCTTGTCTTTTCCTGAGGACACTTAGTAAAATTTTAGCAAATGATGGTAGAATGAATAATTGAATGAGAGAGTTGGATTATGTGAAGTGTGATTCTCTCCCCCAGGGAATTGTGTTTATTTTAGGACTTAGTCCTTACCCTTTCCTTCCAATAACAAAACACAGCCTCCATCCCACCCCCAGGCCCAGGAGGAGAGGCCTTTTTGAAGAGGAAGGAGCTGCTCATGCCTCTGCATAGACGCCTTCCTTCCTTCTGAGTTCTCCCTACCCACCTGGGGGCAAGGTGGTGGTGACTGCCTCACTACCCAGATCCAACTCAATGTCCTGCTGACAAAGGAATCATCCCTCAGCCTAGCAAGTGCTGAGATCTCTGGGGAAGCAGGGCCTCAATGAATGGGAAAAGCAGCAGACTCCTACGAAGCCTGCTGGGAGGAAGAGGGACGCAGAATTGGCATTGGGGTTTGAGCAGCAAGAGAGACTGGTGGGTTTCCAACACCCCTCCCCAACCTGGCCTTTCTCCCACAGCTTGGATGGACCTGGGACCCTTAGGAGCCACAGACCTCAGGAGCCAGCCACACCTGCACAGTGTTTACTGAGCTGGGTGTCAGACTTACCCCTGATGAGGCCCTGGTCAGTGGTGAAGAGGAAAGCCAGACAGCTCAGGAGATGGCTACCACCAATCATGGGAAGTATGTACTCCAGAATCATCCCAGCCAGGGTGCACTGCAGGGATAAATGCTGGGAACACTGAGAAGACAGGCTCGTCCCTGTGCTAGGGTGCATGGAAGGCTTCCTGGAGGAGGTAATATCTACCCTGCTCGCAGAAGGAGTGAATGGGACATGGCCTGGTCAGGTCAACCTGAAAGTTTTGAGCAGGTGAATAAACCAACTTAAAAAAACTTTCCACATGTTTCTGTACTCCTCTGGGTGGCCTCCTCCTTATGATTCTACAGAGAAAGGCTGGCTTCTGGCCTTGCCTAGGTTGGGAATGGGTGAAAACTCTCTGAGGAATGGAAAAGTCATTGCTAACTGATACTTGGCACAGCCTCATCGGTGTCTTTTATTTTTTATAATCTACTCTTTATGTTAATTATAACATTAGGCTCACTCCATGATTTGTACGCCCTAAAGTTGTTCCCCATTCAATGACCACAGTCAAAATAGCACTAATTCCTGTTAAATGTCTTGAAGAACATTAAAAACACACACACACACACACACACACACACACACACACACACACACACAACTTTCCCTTATAATGATGCCCTCTACCACTCCTTGCAATAAGATCCTTAACATAGAACTGCCTTGGGTTGAAGAGTTTTTTCTCTCTAATTCAGGATTATAAATTGTGACTTAAAACAATTGCAATAAGAGGCCCCATAAACATTGTTAAAATGATGGTGTTTGAAGAGATGTCCGCACTATGTATATTTCACAGCTGGAATAGATCTCTTTGGGGAGCATGTCTCCTCCCTGGTGTTTGGCAAAGTATAATTGAATTAGTGAAAGTCTAATAAAGTTTGGGGAAATGTCGAGATATAAGAATCGAAAATAAAATAAAGATAATTTAATCATTAAAGTTGGCGCTGGTTTTTAGGACATTCATTGCTATGGAGATGTTAGAGTAGATTCCAGCTTGCATTTTAATGGTGAACTTAAATAAATCTGAGTTCTGGAGAGAAACTGCTAGTGTATGGAATCTGAGCTAATGAGTGAAATAGCTCCGACTTGGAGTTAAAGCCAGGTAGTCATTTGCAGGGAAGAAGCCGAATAATCCAAGCCCTGTCTGGTTTTTGAATTTATTTTCAAGTTTTTTGATTTTTGGAGCTAAGCCCAAACTCTTTAACCAGGCATGTGGGGCCCGCCATATTCAGGAACCCACTTTCTTTCCAAATTCCGGTGGCCTGGACCAGCTCTGCCCTTGGCTTCACATGACCTGGCCCACCTCTCCTTCAGGGACCTTCTCAAAAGCCCCGTCTGTTGGTAACCCCTGCACTTTCCTTGAACTACTGCAGGGAGTGGTTCCATGCACTGCGTAGGAGTGTGGGATCTGGAGTCAGGTTGCCTTGGTTCAAATCCCAGTTCTGACTTTTCCGAGACTCAGTTTCTTTATCTGTAAAATGGGGATAATAATAAAACCTGCCCTTAGTGTAAGTACTTATGCAAGGTGTCCGTGCTTACCCTGTGCCTGGAAACTACTCAGTGCTCACTATAGATTTCACTGGGCACTCATCCCATTCTGCCTTATACACAGATAGCCACTGACGTACATGGCTTCTCTCCCCAGTGGAGTTCAGGTGCCTCGTCGAAGGAAAAGATGACTTATATAAGTTTACAAATAGTAGATGTTCAATAAGTGTGCTTAATGAATAAATAGGTATCCCCTAACGGTAGTGTATCTGTATTTGAGGAACGTAGAAGGTTTCTCTCTGTATAATAATGTAGAAGTCTAATTATTCTATTTCTGTTGCACTTCTATAATAGGGAGGACATTTAGTGTCCCTGGGTGCCTGGCACTGAGCTAAGTGCTTTTCAAAGAATCCTATGAGATAAGCACTCTTATTAACATCCCATATGCTGGTTCATTCATTAGAGTAATGCTAGAAAAGACCCCAAAAGGATATTTTCAAATCACCTAAGAGTTTCATGTGGGTGTCTGTGCCCAGGGACAGCTTCCTCCATACAGTGATTCAGGGACTCAGGCTTCTCCCCTTGCGTGGCTCCATCAGAAAGGTGAGAGTGGGCAGGGAAGAGGCAACCGCGTTTTCTAAAAGCTTGCACTGAAATTAACAAAGATCAGTGAGGAAAATCAATGACCACACCTTGAAACCTGGGCAGAAGGGTGCTGGGAAACATGGACTGGGGTTGGGCAGCTCCTTTAGTCCTGCATAGGCACTGCTCCCTGCCAGGGATCAAGAGCCGACTCTGTGCATTTCTGTCCAGCGCCACGTCCAAGGATGTCGTGGGAAGCTAAACACCAGCCACGGTGAGAGTATTTACACCACAGCATTTAACAAAGGCTACACATCAAGGTTTTTGTTTTGTTTGTTTTCAGTGAGCTGGTTTACCAGCACCTTCCCAGTGCCAATGCAACTGAAAGAAAGGGAGAACATGAATTTTGAGACACTGGTCCTCTCTGTTAGGTACAAAATTAACCCCATTTTAAGGACGATGAGGTGGAGGCTCAGTCATGCCAACTAACTACCCTTCTCCTGGACTGCAGAACTAATGAGAGTTGAGTAGAGACGAGCTTCTGACTCTAGCTCTTACTGCCCTGCCATCTGGCCTCCCAAACCCAGAACATTTACTTGCAAGATTATTAGCAATTCTATTTTTAATGTACACACATGTTTACCCTCCCCCAAACTATTTTAGAACGATAGGGGGAAAGAGGATAATTTCTTTTTTCTGTAACGAGAGGTTTGATTAGAATTGAAGCCACTTTCTTTCCCCTTTTATCATTATTAAAAATAATTTTTTCTTTCTTTGTCTGAGAATTGCTATAGGAAACATTATTGAATAGGATCCCGCAGCTATGAGCATTGTTCCATAACTACGAAGGCCCAAACAGCATTTTTTTTCTCTCCCAGAAACTGTGGTGGCTGACTATTTTTTACTGAGTATTTTCCTAGTAAATCTCACTGCTAAATTGGCCACTTTATTCATGATGATTTCTTCAAATATATCATTCTTGTGGCACAATATGAATAATGAAGAGGAATATTTTCAAACACATAAAGGGCTCTGAATAAAACTAATGGGTGAGGCATTAAGCAAAGTCGATAGGGGCTTGAACAGTCCCCGGCATGCCTGATAAGGAGACTGGAGGTCGCATACGCCAGGGACCAGAGACTTTCATCCCTGGAGATCCTTGACCTTGACCCAGCAGTCAGGGCTAGCCTGAGCATCTGTGTCAAGTCGAGTTGGCTCTCTCAGACTTCATGCAGCCATCAGTGCACCTCTACTTAGCCTCTCTCTGAGAGGCAGGAGGATGCCCAGGTTAGAGACTTGGGCGAGGAAGCCAACCACCAGGATTCGAATCCAGACCAGCTGCTCCTGTCTGTGAAGCTTTAAGGAAGCTGACTTAACCCCTCTGCAGCTCTGTCTCCTCATCTTGAAAATAGGGACAATTATAACCACGAGAGGGCACACCTGCAACTCATAGACTGTGAAAGGCTTAAAACCCTGCGGGCAGGTTTACACGCTTTGTATCACTGCAGTGATTATTACTGTTGTTACTACCATCATCACTATAATCTACCACGTATTGGGTGCTCCTGGGGCAAGTACAGGGAGGCACTTTGGGCCCCTAAGTATTACCCTGCATGGGGCAAGTTGTTGTGGCTGATGCTTCAAATTGCCAACATTTAAAAAGGCTGGACACGTAGGAAAACAATCTACTGACTTCTCTTGGGGAAGAAATAAGTTTGCCACTGTTCTCACCTCTCTGAGGCCCTCTACCTCTGACCTCCTTCACAGTGCCTGGTTGTGTAGATATGTGAATTTGTGGTTGTGTTAGTCCATTCTCACATTGGTATAAGGAAATGTCGAAGACTGGGTAATTTATAAAGGAAAGAGGTTTAATGGACTCGCAGTTCTGCATTGCTGGGGAGACCTCAGGAAACTGACAATCACGGCGGAAGGTAAAGGGGAAGCAGGTACCTTCCTCACAGGGCAGCAGGACGGAGTGAGGGCAAGCAGGGGAAATACCAGACACGTAAAACCATCAGATCTCATGGGACTCACTCACTCACTATCATGAGAACAGCATGGGGCAACCACCCTCATGATTCAATTACCTCCCACTGGGCCCCTCTCACAACATGTGGGGATCATGGGGATTTCAATTCAAGCTGAGATTTGGGTGGGCACAAACCCAAACCATATCAGTGGCTTTTCCTTGAATAATGAAAAATAAAATGGATTTGGCTTGGTTTGGGGATCAAAAATCACTGCTGAGACAGACTGGAGGATGAGAGGCTGAATCACGGAGAAGAGCCCTGGGAAGAGGAAGGCAGTGTTATTAACAGTGTTGTCTCTGGCTTTGTGGGGTTAGGCATAAGTTAATTGCCATTGGTGCAGTACTGTCATCACACCAAAGATTCTGGCTCAGTATCTGCTTCTAAGGACAAGGGTCCCATTGGATGTCCACCCCCAGCCCACCTGGCCTGGCACCAGGGGACAGTAGATGTTTCAGAGTGAGGGAATCTATTCAGTATCCCTTATGCCCATTCAGAAACTCAGCAAACATTTTTTCATGCACCTACTATGTGTTGGGCAGAAGGTTAACTTCTATAACATTATTTTATTTAGTTAAAAATGTTCTTCATAGCCTTTAGCTGATGCTATTTTATATGATACATTTGTTATTTGCATAGGATGTCTCTCTTCTCACTTCCTCAGGACAGGGGCTCACTTTGTTCGCCGCTATATTCCCCAGTGCCGGTGTCTGGAATCAGGCTGATACCCCGTAGAACTTCTTGAACTAATGAATGAATAAATGTGTTCTCTCACACTCTTTCAGATGGGTGTTAATCTCTGTAATACCAGGTTAGGAACAGAAGTTCAAAGAGGATGAGCACAGCACAGGGGTTAGAAGCAAGGACTTCAGAGTCAGGTGGAACTGCAAGGTTTTATTTCATTTTACTTACTCTTTTTCTCTCCAAGCCTCATTCTCACACTGAAAAATAGGAATCATAGTAAACCTACCATACATAGTGGTTTTGTGAGGATTAAATTAAGTCAGAGAAATAACTTTGCTCTGTTCCTGGCATATTGGGAAATATTCAGTGATTTGCAGCCAAAATTATGACATAGAGGTAGGACTGGGTTGAGTGTAATCTCTGTTCTCTGGCTCCTTTCCCAAACACTAAGGGTCGATTCTACACAATGGTGATGAAGGAAGCAGGATGTGGCTTCAGGGACAGTCATCTTCCCTTTAAGGGTCGTGTGGGCTCATGCATGTTAACTGAACGTCTACTATGAGCCAAGCCTACAAGATCTGCAGTCACAGATACAAATGCGGCACAGCTCTTGCTTTCAACTTTGCTCTCAGCCTCATGGAAGAAACTGATAATTCAGAGAAACGGACTGTATGAGTTTTCTGTTGCCATTATAACAAATCATCACCTTCTTAGTGGCTTGAAACAACGTGAATTTATCTCACTGTTCTGCAGGTCAGAAATCCAGAATGGGACTGTGTTCCTCTCCGGAGGTTCTAGGAGAGAATCCACTTATTTGTCTTTTCCAGCTTCTAGAGGCTGCCCATATTCCTTGGCTCATGGCCCTTCATCACTATGACCTCTGTTTATTTTATCACCTCTTGTCCCTTCAGTCTGACACCCCTGCCTCCCTCTTATAAGGACCACTGTAATTACATCAAGCCATCCAGATAATCTGGAATCATGTTCCCATCTCAACATCCTTAACTTACTCACATCTACAAAGTTCCCTTTGCCATCTAAGGTAACATAGTCACAGGTTTGAGGGATTGGGACGTGGACATCTTTGGAGGGGCATTCTTCTGATATGGTTTGGCTGTGTCCCAACCCAAATGTCATCTTGAATTGTAGTTTCCATAATCCACATGTGTCATGGGAGGGACCTGGTGGGAGGTAACTGAATCATGGGAGAGGTCACCCCATGCTGCTGTTCTCATGACAGTGAGTGACTTCTCACAAGATGTGATGGTTTCATAAGGGGCTTTCCCTGCTTTTGCTCAGCACTTCTTCCTGCCATCTTGTGGAGAAGGACGTGTTTGCTTCCCCTTCCACGACCACTGTAAGTTTCCTGAGGCCTCCCCAGCCATACAGAACTGTGAGTCATTTAAACCTCTTTCCTTTATAAATTACCCAGTCTCAGGCAGTCCTTTACAGCAGTGTGAGAACGAAATAATACACTACCTCAATGACAGTAGGACTGCATTAATGCATTGATAAGGACTGCAGTGGAAGCTCGGAGGTGGGATACCTTATGCAGTTTTGAGAATCAGGGTTTCATCATCTAGAAAGCAAGAGTTTGAATGCACCGATTCCCAAGGCCACAACCTTGAACATTCTGAAATCTACAAAAAGCCAGTGTCTTTCCTACTGTAGTATTTTGGGTTTGCTGAATCTAAGGTCTACTTGTGAAGTCAACATCTTTGCAAGTTATCAATATTAAGAAAAAGGACCCACACATAATATCTGGCTCCCTTCATGAACACACTCTACTATGTTCCCCCTGCCAGCTTCCCCAAAACAGCCTGGGGGCCATGGTCACAGGAACCACCAGCCCACCCTCCAACAACTCAGAGGGACCTTGACGTTGGTTGAGGGGCCCTTGAAAAGGGAATGAAGTGCTGCTGAAGAGCGTCCCCCACCCTGCCCATGCCACCTAGCGGATCTTCTTTCAAACCCTGCATTTCTGAAGGCACGTCTTCCTGTGCTTGGCTGGGTGACTCATCACAAGGAGAAACGTTAGTCACATCAGATGACACATGGCAGCAGCTAAAACGGGAAAAGCGCTCCCTGAGTCATCCCTGGAGCCGGGCGGCAAAGGCTCCTCCTGGGACCATGTGTGGACCCTCCAATGAGGGGGGCCTGGGTCACCTTCACTGAGTGGACAGGACACTCAGTGAAGTTCCAAAGGACACTCAGTGAAGTTCCAAAGGACACTCCGCGTCTTTTTCCTCCAGCTCCTGAAGGAAGCACAGTGAAGACTCCAGCATGGAAAAGCGTGTCCCACACGGCCTCGGCGCCTCCATGGATGATAGGCATGGGGCACCCCCTTTCCTCTGGAAGGTTCTGGTGGGGGGCAGCACACCGTCCACGGGAGCAACGGCCTCTGCATCTGCCCACTGCAGATTCACTTCGTATTTTTAGTTCCCAAACCTTGACATCCAAGCTCCCGCTCTGTGGCTTCCGCGGCAGCCTGGCAAGCTTCCTGTGAAGTCGCCCGCTGCTGAGCTTCCGCACCCTTCCTCCCGCAGAGCCAGCCAGTCATGGAAGAGCGGGATCATCCCGGAAGGTTGGTGCGACAGGAGTGGGTGGTGAGGAAGGCGAAGGCAGCCTTCTCGGAACCTGGCTCCCTGAGACAGGACATGGAAGCAGGGGTGTCCTCTTCTGTGGAACGTCATTTAGCTTCTTCTCACCCATTCTGCAACACACACACACACACACATACACACACACACAAACACGCCACATGTACACATGCACATATACGCACAAATACACACAGTACACACTGTGCATACACATGCGGCACACACAGTACCCACATGTACACATGCACACATACACACAAATACACACACAGCACACACACATACACACATGCAGTACACACAGTACCCACATGTACACATACACACATATGCACAAATATGCACACAGTACACACGCACATGCGGTACACACAAAGTACCCACCTGTATGCATATGCACATATACACACACAGCACACACACACACACACAGTATACACACAGTACCCACATGTACACATGCACACATCCACACAAATACACACACAGTACACATACATACACACATGCAGTATACACAGTACCCACATGTACACATACACACATATGCACAAATACACACACAGTACACACACAGACACACATACAGTACACACACATAGTACCCACATGTATGCATATGCATATATACACACACAGTACACACACATACACACATGCAGTATACACACGGTACCCACGTGTACACATGCACACATACGCATGAATACACACAGACAGTATGCTCATACACACATGCAGTATACCCACAGTACCCACATATACAAATACACACATATGCACAAATATACACACTGTATGTACACACATGCAGTACACACACTACACACATGTACACATACACACATATGAACAAATACACATAGTACACACTCTGTATGTACATGCACAGTGTACACACATGCAATACACACACAGTACCCACATGTACACATACATATGCACAAATACATGCAAATCCACAAATACACACACGTGCACACATGCAGTACACACACATACACTCAGTACACACATGTACACACAGTACTCACACATACACATGCACAAATACACACATAGAGTACACACACATAGTACACATAAATACACACAGACACACATATCCACACATGCAGTACACACATATACATATATAGTACACAGATACATGTATAGCACACACTTGCACACACGCACACATATACACACATACATCTCTACCAGAGATTTTGCATCTGATAGAATAGATGCTTCTCTTTCACACCTTAAGGCATCTAGGATAACTTTCTTTCTTGTTTTCTAAAATTTTTTAAATGTTTAAAATCCTTAATAGCATAATGAAGATGAAGTCTCTGGAAAAAGAGCAAAAAATCTCAAGAAAAAAACAAAAGCAGGCTGACATGATGACAGAGAGGCAAAAATAGAAAGCTTAAATAAGAAAATAATGGAAGGAAACACAGAGAGAGCAAGATAATAAAATCTACATAGGTTTTAGGATGAAAAACAGCAAAATTGACGTTAAAGAAATTTTCATGTGGAAATTTCTTTAGGATCTCAGGATGTGGAAGAGAAGCCTGAGAATCCTCCTAGACTGAAGATGCAAAGAAAAAGGTAAAAATGTTGAGAGAGTACATGATAAACATGGAGAACAGAGAAAAAAGAGCAAATATTGTACACTTTAAGGAAGAGATCAGGACAGTAGAAATATAAGTTATAATAAAGATGTTGGAGAAAATTTCTAAAGCTGAATAAAGAACTAAGAGTTCAGGCCTAAAGGGGACACAGTGGCCTTGTTTTAAAGATGTGACATTGATAATTAAGGCCAAGCGAGGGAAAAGAACTTGGTCAGGTTTGCAAGATAGGTTGGGTGGTACCTCTCTTATTTTCTTATTTGCCCTGTGCACGTGGGTGTGCAAGGAAAGAGAGAGATGGAAATAGCAGAGAGGAAAAGAATTCAAGGGAGAAATCATCTCAAACATGGCAGTGGGCTCCATGATTAAGACCCTGGTATCAGGCAGGCCTGGCCTGCTTTCCAGCTCCATCACCAACTAGCCAGGAAGTCTTGAGCAGGTCATCTCACTCCTCTGGGACCCGCTTCTCTCTCACACATAAAATAGAGTAAAAGTAGTTGGACCCTCATCATAAGGTTCTCATGAGAGTCTAGTGAGCTAAGGCATGCAAAGCTTTTAATACAGTGGCAGGTACAGAGTAAGCACTTCAAAGAGGTTAGCTACTGTTTCTGATATTTAGAGAGAGAGAGAGAGAGAGAGACAGAGACAGAGAGAGAAAGAAATATGCAGGCAAAGGCTGGATGTGAATGGTCTTAGCCATCTCAGGTTAAAGAATAAGACAAAGGCAAGCAAGACATCAGAGCTTTAGGGAAGTCAAATCCAGGGTTCTGTTCTGCAGGGTAAAGTACATGGGGCAAGGGCATTAATGAAGCACTTCTAGTGGTGGGCATGAATTCTGCATCTCAGCATCCTGGGCCTTCAACCAGGGCCACCATCTCTTTATCCTGCTGTGACATCAGCAAGGTGGCAGGCCCCTGGAGCACAGGTAGGCCTACGGGCTTTCCTATGTGTCCCACCAGAAGTTCCAGATGGTGTAGATGTGCACCAGGCAAGGGGAACACTGGTGTAGCTAGGCTTTAATGACCCAGTTGAGACTAAGCTGCTTTCCCATGGGAGGAAGGCCTGCTCGAGATTCTACACACCCTAAGCTAGACTTCTAGTTTAAGGAGGACTGAAGTCTTCAATCATATCACTTTAAATATACAATGACAAGTCACTTTGGAGAGTCACAAATGTTTTGAGCTGGAAAGAATATTTGAAATTGGGTAGTTAACTGCTCCCATCCCATATCCCAGAGGCGGGAAATTGGGTGCAGGCTGTGGAAATGACTTTGTTAAGCATACACGTCTCCTAATGGCAGGAGGCTAGAACCCAGGGAATCCTATCATGTCATTGATCGAGAATTTGGGTTACGAAGGATTTGTGGTTCCATGGGTTCATTCAGTCTTTCTGACAGAAAGACTGCATCTTTCTGCATCTTATCTGATGCAGATAGAACAGCAATGACTATTCCTGTGTAATTATGAGCAAAGTAAAGCTGCGGGGTTTGTTCTCATAGCTAGTAAGTTGCAATGCTGGGACTAGAATCCAGATCTCAGGACACCCAGACCAACATAGTTTCTACTTAGAATAACCACCCCTCTGGAATTTCAGAAAGAAAATTCTGTGTGCATTTCATTATGATTATATGGCATAACCCTCCTATAAGTTAATGAATCTTTAAAGGGTACAATCAAGAATGAATGAGTTGATTGATAAATGAGCAAATGGTTGCATAAATGAATGAATTGGTTAAATTCTGGGAGAAATAAAATAGATATTCTCATTAAAATTTCAATTGACCTATTAAATGCAGGATCCCCTGGGTCCTCTCTTTCTAGCTGACCTACAAAGCAATGAGGAAATGTTATTGTAGAAATGCCAAATTCTATCCACATTCTCCACTTATTCTTCTCATTCTAGTCTCTTTAAGACAGAATTTCAAGTATAAGCTAACCAGGGGCCTCCCCTCACCCCCCTCATAATTATTATATTATTATATGAGAGATTTGTGGAATTATAGCATCTCTTTTTTGGAAGGAACAGAAGAGAGCTTTCCTTCTGAAGAGAGAAAAGGAAAATGGTTGGTACAGTCCAAAAAGCCTAAGACTTGGGAGTCTCTAGTTATGTGAAAGGATTTAAGAAAATAATATATATTTTTAATGATTCCTCACTCAAAGAAGATACTTGGTTGATTTTAATTGGAGGACTTATGTTCTTCCAAGTCATTAGAGCCAGAGCCCTTAGCTTCACAACTTTGGTATCTTGCAAAAGCGTTTTGAAGTTTATCTTGTGCACTCCAATTCTTAATCTTTTGAATGTCACCTCCTTCGTGAAGCCTTCTCTGATAGCTTCCTTTCCTTTGTCCAGATCAAATAATCACTCTCTACTCTGCACCCTTCTTGAACCCTCTACATTCTTTAATAATTGCAGTGTTTTCCAGAGGTACCCATAAAGGTCCCTCAGTGGCAAACAACAGAACCTAACTCTGGATGACTTTTGCAGAAAAAAGTTAATTTGGACGTTTGAAAGTCAGAAGGAAGGCTGAACAATTAGAATTTGAGAGGATGAGAACTGGACCAACCACCACTGTCGGAATGCATAAGTTTTGTTCATTTTCTTTCCTGTGTCATTCCACTCCGGATTGTCTGAGCTTGTGTACGCCACCTGCCCTTTTCTTGGCCAGAAGATGGCAGAGTTCCTCAACTGACCCGACCCTCCCATCCAAATCTATCTGCTGTTTCTAGAAGATGGGGATGGGTAAAGTGAGAGAGAGGTTCACAGTCCCACCCCCATGGTGTTAATTGTTGACATATGTGTTTGTCCTCTAACCCCGCAAGACTCTGAACATCTTGAAAGCAGGAACTGTGTTTTCTTCAGATGTTCAATTCATGTGAGTCAACATCTCAATGGTGTCAAGGTAATACAAAGAGTATGGCCAAAGAAGGTAGACAGGGCTACTGCCTACCAGATGCAAATGTCTTTTCCAGCCATCTCTGAGAGATTCTCTATGAACACAGATCTGACACCCTTAAGAAGAATCTAAAAGAGCAGCACTGAGCTAATATATTCCATCTTCCTTCAGGTTCTTTTTAGGGGGAGATATAGGATGGCGATAACCTAATGCGACATCTTTTTGTTTCTAGAAGAACTCTGGTAAGTGATGAATGGATGTTAGGGTTTCCAGAACTACCAGAACTAGGTTTCCTTTTCTTTTTTCCTTCCTGCTGCTGAGAATTTATTTCTGGTAGTCATTAAAATTCTGCTCCTACCATTTGTAACAAATGATAGAAAGCACTAGGTACAGTATGTGGAGTATATGTTTATGAAAACGAGAGACGAGTACCTTCCAACACTTTGGGATTTTATGAATGATTTACATCAGGTGCTAAAGTTCACAAATGAAACGTGCGGGAAGCAGATGCTTCGCTTCTTGACTGCATCGTGCCTGCCCATACTGATGGGGAATTGAAAACAGTGAGGTCTCATAAATCAACAAAATCTATTTTTGTGCCTCTTGATCTCCACTCTGAACATCCATATAATACCCAAACAAATGTGCTGAAATTAGTTCCTCAAGAAGCCCTTTATGTTTAGTAACAGTGTGGACATGTTAATAAAAAGAAGAGAGGAATAAAAGTGGACTGGTGGGGGGAGAGGGAAGGCACGGGGATGTGAGTGAAAGAAAACCAAACCTCAGAGTAGATGAACTCTTCCAGAACACTTATTTTTGGAGAATGGGAAAGGAAGTGTGGTGCTGTGCAGAACAGATGAGGAGGACCCGCTCTGGCCATCCTGGGGCTTCCCTAATTTGGAAAGAGAGTTGATCCGGGTAAAGGAGCGTTGTTGAATTGCAAATGAAAAAGAACTCACATCTGGAAATGAACTTTAGTTGGCAATTGGAAAATCATGGAAAGATACTTGTAAGGAAGACAGGGAGCTGATGTTTTGTACTTTTTTCTCCTCTCTCTCTCTTTCTCATTGTTTCTTTCTTTCCTTCCTTTCTTTTTTTCCTCCCTCCCTCCTCCCATCTGCCCCTCCCCTCTCCTCCCCTCTCTTTCTTTTCCCTTCCCCTCCCTCCCTCCCTCCCTCTCTCCCTTCCTTCCTTCCTTGTTCCCTCCCTCCCTCCCTTCCTTCCTTGTAAAATATGGTCTTATAGGAAACATGGTGACTCTGTACAAGAAAAAAGTAGAGCTTTCTTCAGAGTTCTATGCTGGGCCAGGCTCTGTGGAGTAATACACACGATTGTTTTTCTCATCTTGGTATCTCTGCCCCCATCCTGGCTCCAATTCTTTGAGTTTCTCCTCTGATTATTATAAAAAGTCTAGTCTATCACCCTAAATTTGCACTTTAGCATCTTACATGTCTCTTTCATTGTTTCATGTTTTATCGAATCAGTAGAATTTCCAATTTCTTAAAGGCAGAGACTTTGGGGCAGATAATTTGTTATTTCTTTTTTTATTATACTTTAAGTTTTAGGGTACATGTGCACAATGTGCAGGTTTGTTACATATATATACATGTGCCATGTTGGTGTGCTGCACCCATTAACTCATCATTTAACATTAGGTATATCTCCTAACGCTATCCCTCCCCCCTTCCCCCACCCCACAACAGGCCCCGACGTGTGATGCTCCCCTTCCTGTGTCCATGTGTTCTCATTGTTCAATTCCCACCTATGAGTGAGAACATGCGGTGTTTGGTTTTTTTGTCCTTGCGATAGTTTGCTGAGAATGATGGTTTCCAGCTTCATCCATGTCCCTACAAAGGACATGAACTCATCCTTTTTTATGGCTGCATAGTATTCCATGGTGTATATGTGCCACATTTTCTTAATACAGTCTGTCATTGTTGGACATTTGGGTTGGTTCCAAGTCTTTGCTATTGTGAATAGTGCCGCAGTAAACATACGTGTGCATGTGTCTTTATAGTAGAATGATTTATAATCCTTTGGGTATATACCCAGTAATGGGATGGCTGGGTCAAATGGTATTTCTAGTTCTAGATCCCTGAGGAATTGCCACACTGACTTCCACAATGGTTGAACTAGTTTACAGTCCCACCAACAGTGTAAAAGTATTCCTATTTCTCCACATCCTCTCCAGGGCCTGTTGTTTCCTGACTTTTTAGTGATCACCATTCTAACTGGTGTGAGATGGTATCTCATTGTGGTTTTGATTTGCATTTCTCTGATGGCCAGTGATGATGAGCATTTTTTCATATGTCTTTTGGCTGCATAAACGTCTTCTTTTGAGAAGTGTCTGTTCATATCCTTCACCCACTTTTTGATGGGGTTGTTTGTTTTTTTCTTGTAAATTTGTCTGAGTTAATTGTAGATTCTGGATATTAGCCCTTTGTCATTTCTTAAGGGCAGAGACTATCGTGTTTTGGTGTGGGGTTGCAAAACCTAGTCTCCTAAATACCAAGTAGGGGACATTGCCTTGGGCCAGTTCCATTCCTCCAGCATGATAGAGAAGGTAGACTAGGTGCTGTGAACATAAACTTGGTAAGAGGAAGTCTCTCCCTGCAAAGGCCTCCCAGTTGGTGAGGAGGGGTGGATCTGTCTATAATTACAAGGATCTAGAGCCATGCTGGCTTGAGATTCAAAGCACATTGAGAGCCAAAATAAGAAAAGAGCAATTATTTCCAGGGAAGCCCAAGGAGCTTCACAGAGGAGGTAACTTGAGCTGAGCCTGGAAGAAGATGCATTTTGGGGAGTGCAGTAACTGGAAAGGCAGGAATAGATGAAGAAGAGATGCCTATTACTTTTGCTTTTTTTCCTTCCAGCCAGAAGAACCACATTCATTATAATGAAGCAATGGTTTTCTAAATTAATTTGCCTTGGGAATGGTAAGAGTTAAGGTACACCTTACCACTGTGTCTATCTTATATCTGGTAAGGAGTTTATTCATTCACAGTTTCTAGCTGGTTGACTTTTACAAATGAAGCAATAAACACAACAATATTAAATATGCATCTATAATATGTCTTCACATTTATTTCCATTGCCATCATTCTCAAGTACCCACCGAATCCTTTGTTGAATTTTCTCCCCTTTGTATTTGAGCTTCTACATGCAAGAGACTTTTTGATTTACGGATTTCCTCTATACTTAGTTTACAAAAAACAGCAGGAGATGAATGAAAAAAAGACAAGAAAAAAACAATTTCCAGCTCTGTCCTGAAGCCTGTGCTGCATTTAAAAAAATGCAAAATTCAAGTTATTGGTTCATTTTGAAAAGTCCATGTTGAAAAGGAGCCAGAGTAGGGCACGATTGATGCGATTTGCGACACATAATATCAACTATTGGGTTAAAAAATAAATGTAGCTGCTACATTAACAGCAATATTGTAATCTAACACCTAATTTTCTGACAATTCTCTAATACATAGACCACGTCCAATTTAAGAAAACCTAAGATAAAAATATATGTATATATCATGTGCATTTTACTATAATTAGATGACTCTTTTATGGGGGAGTTTTTCTTGATAACACCAAATAACCCACACCCTTCTTCACCTAGGAAGTTACAAATGCAGAAAAAAAGAGGTTCTGTAGTCTCCCTTAGTTACCATTCTGTTCAAAATATGTCCCCACCTAATATAACTTGCTATGTGTCATAAAATACAAAGGAAAGTACTTTTCATGCCAAATATCAGAGAAGTGCTCTCTTTTCTATACTGCACAAGTAACAGAAATGATGTGTTCATTTTAAATTCCATTCATGTAGGTTCTAATAAAAGCTATTATAAAATACAATTGTGTGGAGACAAAAAGAGAGATAATATCACTATAGCTCAATATAAAATTTAAGTAATTAAGACATGAAAACTATTACACAATTTACTACAAATGCAGCAAGAATAATAAAATGTTTAACCCTTTTCCTTCTGATTCCTCTCCTGATCTCACTCTTTCTCTTTAATGCCTAATGGAAAAACACGAGTACCTCAGAGAAAGCACAGAAATATTACGATGCAGACTGTTTGGGGAATGCATAATGTTGATAATAAAAGGAAAATGACTTGTTTTTCTTTTCTTTCAGGTAAGAGGTGTTGCATTTCTGGAGTGATGTACTCTCTACTGTGTACCTCTAAGGCAAATTGATTTTATCTAGAGAAAATATGAAATTGCCTATCTATAATCAGCCTCACAATGACATGATTAACCAGTAAAAGACCATGATGACAAGTGTAGAAGGTCCTGTGGGTCCGTGGCCAGAATTTGAGCTGGGGTCAGAGGGATCAGAGTTCAAATCTTGACCCTGCTGCCTGCCACCTTTGTGACATTGGACAACTTTGTTCAGATTCACTGTTCTCATCTGTTGAATGGACATCATTATATTTGCTTCTCTTAGCTTTTACGGCTGCCCTTCAGTCAGGCAATAGAGGTACTCAGTCTCCATAATTAGTGCAATGGGATATTCAAACTTCATGCATAAAATGGAAAAAGTACAAAGAACTATGATTCTCTATTTTGATTTTCCCTGAACAGTGGCATATATCTGTCTGAGATCATTGCAAGTTGCACCAGGATGTGAACACCGTCAGTAGGGATGTGCTATTTCTTTGTCAATGTTTTCCCCACTTTTTTGATTTTATTAAAGAGAAAAGATCTACATGGTGCCAGTAGGTCTCTATCACTTTTCTAGCACTTGTTAAGTTTCACTTTTTAATAAAGAGGGTGAGGTCTTGAGCTTGGAGCCTGCTTAAGGGAGTGGAGTCTCAGGAGAATAAGATGATATCTTTTTAATTGTATTTTTTCTATTTTTAATTTTTAATTTTATTTCAATAGGTTTTTGGGGAACGGGTGGTATTTGGTTACATGAGTAAGTTCTTTAGTGGTGATTTCGGAGATTTTGGTGCACCCATCACCGAGCAGTGTACCCTGAACCTAATGTGTAGTCTTTTAACCCTTGTCACCCCCAACCCTTTCACCCGAATCCCCAAAGTCCAGTGTATTATTCTTATGCTTTTGTGTCCTCATAGCTTAGCTCCCACATATGAGTGAGAACATACAATGTTTGGTTTTCCATTCCTGAGTTACATGACGTAGAATAATAGTCTCCAGTTCCATCCAGGTTGCTGCAAATGCCGTTATTTCATTCCTTTTTATGGCTGAGTAGTGTTCCATGGTACATATATATATCATATTTTCTTTATCCACTTGTTGATTGATGGGCATTTGGGCTGGTTTCATATTTTGCAAATTGAAAAGTGTGCTGCTATAAATATACATGTGCAAGTATCTTTTTCGTATAATGACTTTTTTTTTCGTTTGAGAGCATACCTAGTAGTGGGATTGCTGGTTCAAACAGTAGATCTACTTTTAGTTTTTTAAAGAATCTCCGGCCGGAAGTGGTGGCTCACACCTGTAATCCCAACACTTTGGGAGGCAGAGGTGGGTGGATCACAAGGTCAGGAGATCGAGACCAACCTGGATAACATGGTGAAACCCTGTCTTTACAAAAAAAAAACAAAAATTAGTCAGGCGTGGTGGCACACACCTGTAGTCCCAGCTATTCAGGAGGCTGAGGCAAGAGAATCACTTGAATCTGGGAGGCGGAGGCTGCAGTGAGCCAAGATACTGCCACTGCACTCCAGTCTGGATGACAGCGAGACTCCACCTCAAAAATCAATCAATCAATCAATCAATCTCCACACTATTTACCATAGTGATTTTACTAGTTTACTTTCCCACCAGCAGTGTAGAAGTGTTCCCTGCTCACTGCAGCCATGCCAACATCTATTATTTTTCTATTTTTTGATTATGGCCATTCTTGCAGCAGTAAGGTGGTATCACATTGTGGTTTTGATTTGTATTTCCCTGATCATTAGCGGTGTTGAACACTTTTTCATGTGTTTGTTGGCCATTTGTATATCTTCTTTTAAGAATTGTCTACTCATGTCCTTAGCCCACTTTTTGATGGGATTGTTTGTTTTTTTTCTTACTGATTTGTTTGAGTTCTTTGTAGATTCTGGATATTAGTCCTTTGTTAGATGTATAGATTGTGAAGATTTTCTCCCACTCTGTGGGTTGTCTGTTAACTCTGCTGATTATTTCTTTTGCTGTGCAGAGGCTTTCTAGTTTAATTAAGTCCCATAGATCTTTGTTTTTGTTGCATTTATTTTTGGGTTCTTGGTTATGAAGTCTTTGCCTGAGCCAATGTCTAGAAGGGTTTTTCCAATGTAATCTTCTAGAATTTTTATGGTTTCAGGTCTTAGATTTTAAGTCTTTGATCCATCTTGAGTTAATTCTTGTATAAGGTGAGAGAGGAGGATCCAGTTTCATTCTTCTACATGTGGCTTGCCAACTATCCCAGCACCATTTGTTGAACAGGGTGTCTTTTCCCCACTCTATGTTTTTGTTTGCTTTGTCGAATATCAGCTGGCTGTATTTGGCTTTATTTCTGGATTCTCAATTCTGTTCCATTGGTGTATGTGTTTGTTTTTATACAAATACCATGCTGTTTTGGTGACTATGGTCTTATAGTACAGTCTAAGTTCAGGTAATGTGATGCCTCCAGATTTGCTCATTTTGCTTAGTCTTGCTTTGGCTATGCAGGCTCTTTTTTGGTTCCATATGAATTTTAGTATCATTTTTTTCTAGTTGTGTGAAGAATGATGGCGGTATTTTGATGGGAATTGCATTGAAGTTGTAGATTGCTTTTGGCGGTATGGTCATCTTCACAATATTGATTCTACCCATCCATGAGCATGAGATGTGTTTCCATTTGTTTGTGTTGTCTATGTTTTCTTTCAGCAGTGTTTTGTAGTTTTCCTTGTACAAGTCTTTCACCTCCTTAGTTAGGGATATTTCTAAGTTTTTTTTTTTTTTTTTTTGCAGCTATTGTGAAAGGGATTGAGTTCTTGATTTGATTCTCAGCTTAGTTGCTGTTGGTGTATAGCAAAGCTATTGATTTGTGTACATTAATTAATTTGTATTCTGAAACTTTGCTGAATTCATTTAATTCTAGGAGCTTTCTGAATGAGTCTTTAGGATTTTCTAGGTATATAATCGTATCGTCAGGAAACAGCAACAGTTTGACTTCCTCTTTACCAATTCAGATGCCCTTTATTTCTTTCTCTTGTCTGCTTGCTATGGCTAGGACTTTCAGTACTAAGTTGAATAGAAGTGGTGAAAGTGGGCATCCTTGTCTTGTTCCAGTTCTCAGTGGTAATCCTTTCAAATTTTCCCTGTTCAGTATAATGTTGGCTGTGGGTTTGTCATAGATGGCTTTTATTACCTTAAGGTATATCACTTGTATGCTGATTTTGCTGAGATTTTTAATCATAAAGAGATGCTGGATTTTGTCAAATGCTTTTTCTGTGACTATTGAGATGATCGTGTGATTTTTGTTTTTAATTCTGTTTATGTGGTGTATCACATTTACTGGCTTGCCTATATTAAACCATCCCTGCATACCTGGTATGAAATCCACTTGATCATAGTGGATTACCTTTTTGATATACTATTGGATTCAGTTCACAAGTATTTTGTTGAGGATTTTTGCATCTACATTCATCAGAGATATTGGTCTGTAATTTTCTTTTTTGTTATGTCCTCCCCTGGTTTTGGTATTAGGGTGATACTGGCTACATAGAATGATTTAGGGAGGCTTCTCTATTTCTCTATCTTTTGGAAGTGTCAATAGGACTGGTACCAACTCTTCTTTGAATGTCTGATAGAATTCAATTGTGAATCTATCTGGTCCTGTCCTTTTTTTGGTTGACAACTTTTTTTTATTGCCATTTCAGTCTTTCTGCTTGTTGTTGTTCAGAGATTCTATATCTCACTGGTTTAATCTAAGAGGGTTGTATATTTCCAGGAATTTATCTATCTCCTCTAGGTTTTCTAGTTTTTGTGCATTGTTCATAGTAGCCTTGAATAATCTTTTGTGTTTCTGTGGTAACAGTTCTAACATCTCCCATTTTATTTCTAAATGAGCTTATTTGGATCTTCTCTCAGCTAATTGTCTATCAATTTTACGTATCTTTTCAAAGAACCAGGTTTTTGTTTCATTTATCTTTTGTATTTTTTTTTTGTTTCAATTTCATTTAGTTCTGCTCTGATCTTTGTTATTTCTTTTCTTTTGCTGGGTTTGGGTTTGGTTTGTCCTTGTTTCTCCAGGTGCATGAGGTATGATCTTAGATTGTCTATTTGTGCTTTTTAGACTTTTTGTGTAACTATTTAATGTTATGAACTTTTCTCTTAGCACTGCTTTTGCTGTATCCCCAAGGTTTTGATAGGTTGTGTCACTATTGTCATTCAGTTCAAAGAAATTTTAATTTTCATCTTGGTATCATTGTTGACTCAATGATCATTCAGGAGCAGGTTATTTAATTTCCATGTATTTGCATGGTTTTGAGGGTTCTTTTTTGAGTTGATTTCCAATTTTATTCCACTGTGGTCTGACAGAGTGCTTGATATAATTTCAAATTTCTTAAATTTACTGAGACTTGTTTTGCGGCCTATCATATTCTTGGAGAATGTTCCATGTGCTGATGAATAGAAAGTATATTCTGCTGTTGTTGGGTAGAATGTTCTGTAAATACATATTAAGTCCATTTATTGCAGGGTATATTTGAAGTCCATTGTTTCTTGGTTGACTTTCTGTGTTAATGATCTGTCTAGTGCTGTCAGTGGAGTATTGAAGTCCCCCACTATTACTGTGCTGCCATCTATCTCATTTCTTAGGTCTAGTAGTAATTGTTTTATAAATTTGGGAGCTCCAGTGTTGAGTGCATATATATTTAGAATTGTGATATTTTCCTGTTGGACTAGTCCTTTTATCATTATATAATGTCCCTCTTTGTCTTTTTAAACTGCTGTTGCTTTAAAGTTTGTTTTGTCTGATGTAAGAATAGCTACTCCTGCTTGCTTTTGGTGTCCATTTGCATGGAATATCTTTTTCCACCCCTTTACCTTAAGTTTAGGTGAGTCCTGATGTGTTAGGTGAGTCTCCTGAAAACACCAGAAACTTGATTGGTGAATTCTTATCCACTCTGTCATTCTGTATCTTTTAAGTGGAGCATTTAGGCCATTTACATTCAGTGTTAGTATTGAGATGTGAGGAACTATTCTATTCATTGTGTGATTTGTAGCCTGGATACCTTTTTTTAAATTGTGTTATTGTTATATAGGTCCTGTGAGATGTATGCTTTAGGAGATTCTATTCTGATGCATTTCAAGAATTCGTTTCAAGATTTAGAGCTCATTTTAGCAGTTCTTGTAGGTTTGGTAGTGGTGAATTCTCTCAGCATTTGTGTGGAAAAGATTGTGTCTTTCCTTCATTTATGAAGCTTAGTTTTGCTGGATACAAAATTCTTGGCTGATAATTGTTTTGCTTAAGGAGGCTAAAAATAGGACCCCAATCCCTTCCAGCTTTTAGGGTTTCTGCTGAGAAATCTGCTGTTAATCTGGTAGGTTTTCTTTTATAGGTTACCGGATGCTTTTGCCTCGCAGCTCTTAAGATTCTTTCCTTTGTCTTGACTTTACATAACCTGATGACTATGTGCCTAGGCAATAATTTTTTGTGATGAATTTCCCAGGTGTTATTTGAGCTTCTTGTATTTGGATGTCTAGATCTCTAACAAGGCTGGGGAAGTTTTCCTTGATTACCCCCTCAAATATGTTTTCCAAACTTTCAGATTTCTCTTCTTCCATGGAAGTACCAGTTATTCTTAGGTTTGGATGTTTAACATAGTCCCAAACTTCTTGGAGGCTTCGTTCGTTTTTCTCAATTCTTTTTTCTTTGTCTTTGATAGATTGGGTTAATTTGAAAGCTTCGTCTTCAAGCTCTGGCTCTGAGGTTCTTTCTTCTGCTTTTTCAAATCTATTGCTGAGACTTTCCAGTGCATCTTGCATTTCTCTAAGTGTGTCCTTGATTTCCAGAAGTTGTGATTGTTTTTTATTCATGTTCTCTATTTCACTGACAAATTTTCCTTTCATATCCTGTATCATGTTTTTGTTTTCTTTAAGTTGGACTTCTCCTTTCTCTGGTGTCTCTTGATTAGCTGAATAATAGACTTTCTGAATTCTTTTTCTGGCAATTCAGAGATTTCACCTTGGTTTGGATCCATTGCTGGTGAGCTGGTATGATCTTTGGGGGGTGTTAAAGAACCTTGTTTTGTCATGTTACCAGAATTATTTTTCTGGTTCCTTCTCTTTTGTGTAGACTATGTCAGAGGGAAGATCTGGGATTCAAGGGCTGCTATTCAGATTGTTTTGTCCCACGGGGTGCTCCCTTGATGTGGTGTTCTCCCCCTTTCCCTAGCAATGGGGTTTCCTGAGAGCCAAACTGTAGTGACTGTTTCTATTCTTCTGGGTCTAGCCATCCAATGGGGCTACTGGATTCCAGGCTGGTATTGGGGAGTGTCTGCGAAGAGTTCTGTGCTGTGATCCATCTTTAGGTCTTGCAGCCATGGATACCAACACCTGCTCTGGAGGTAGCAGGGGTGTGAAGTGGACTCTATGAGAGTCTTGGTTGTATTTTTGTTTAGTGTGCTGGTTTTGTGTTGGTTGGCCTCCACCCAGGAGGTGACTCTTTCAAGAGTGCATCAGCTGTGGTCCTACAGGGAGGATGCAAACTTGCCTTAGAGACACCTGGTTAAGTATTCAGGATTCTCAGACAGTGGGCAGGGCCATAGAGCTCCCAAGCGATTATGACCTTTGTTTTTGGCTACCTGGGTGGGTAGAGAAAGACCACCAGGTGTGGGCAGGGATAGGCTTGTCTGAGCTCAGCCTCTCCTTGCAGCTGCTGTGGGGGATGGAGGTGTGGTTCCCAGTCCAGTGGAGTTATATTCCCAGGCGGATTAATGGCTGCCTCTGCTGAGTCATACAGGTCACCAGGGAAGTGAGGGAAAGCCAGCAGTCACCAGTCTCACTCTGCTCCCATGCAGCTGGCAGTCCTAAAGGCCGGTCTCACTCCCACCTTGCCACCCCAACAGTACTGAATCTATTTCCAGGCAGCCAGTGACCAGGGCTGAGAACTTGCCCCAGACCACAAGTCTCCGCATTGAGAAAGCAAGCAGACTCATGTTTTTTTTTGTCATTTCAGGGAGCCTGCAGCGATGATCCAGCTCCTTCAAAGGGTCTGTGGATTATCTCAGCTTCCCTGGTACGTTCCTGTGGTAGCTCTTGGAGCAAAAGTTCACGATGTGAGTCTCTACACACTGCTTTGTCTGTCTGAGTGGGAGCTGCAAGCTAGTCCTGCCTCCTGTCCGCCATCTTAATCTGCCTGACTCTCCCTTTTTAATTGTATTTATTTATTTTTGTGATTGCCTTCTACTAATGACAAGGATGTGGCTTTTTCTCTATGGCAGTGATATAAATTTTCCTTATAAAATAAATTTAATTCAGATAAAATTAAAAGGGAGAGGAGAGGAGAGTAGTTTGCTAATGTGTCCCAAATACTACAACACTCTCTAGTACACAGAAGATGCTCAAGAAATATTTGTTGAATAAGAAAAGTATTTAATACTGTGCAGATATGGAAAATAACTCAGTGACTGATGTAGGTAATTCTTTTCTCTTACATGCAAAAGACTGAATGAATCATTTTTATTAAGATCAGCAGCTTTGGCCTGGCATGGTGGCTCATGCCTGTAATCCCAGCACTTTGGGAGGCTGAGGCGGGTGGATCACTAGAGGTCAGGAGCTCAAGACCAGCCTGGCCAACATGGTGAGACCCTGTCTCTACTAAAAATACAAAAATTAGTCAAGCATGGTGGCACGTGCCTGTAGTCCCAGCTACTCGGGAGGCTGAGGCAGGAGAATCGCTTGAACTTGGGAGGCGGAGGTTGCAGTGAGCGGAGATCATGCCACTGCACTCCAGCCTGGGAGACAGAGCGAGATTCCATCTAAAAAAAAAAAAAAAAAAAAAAGATCAGCAGCTTATGAGTGCAGGAATCTGCCTTTCCTCTTACATTTGTTCATGTGGCTTATTCTGTCTTACATTTCTTTAAGCACTTGAAACTCTTGCTCATGCTTCTTCCTCCACCAGAAATGCCTTTACCGGTTTCTTTGTCTGTTAATTACTCATTCTCCAAGGTTCTGAGATCTCCTAGGTATTTGCATCTAGAAGCTAACCTTCTGGGGAACCCCCAAAAGGGGCAGCCTTCTGACACTAATTCCACAGGTGGGGAGCTCAGAGGGCACTTCTGAGCTCTTCATCCCCCAATGGTAACAGACAGAGCCTGGATTTGAGTGAGGCCCATCTAATCCCACCTGCCTGCAGTCTCTACTATATCTTAGCATCACCATAGGCATAAACACCATCAGGTACCAAGATGAGCATCTCAGGAACATCTTAGGAAGGGTTCATGGCAGAGTCAAAGATATTGAGGATATAACTAAGTGAAAGAAAGAGTAACGGTAAGCAAGGTCCCCAAAGCCATACCTCATATTCAAAATGGCAACATAAACTCTGTGTTATGGACTGGAGATAGAAAAGAAAAGCTGAGGAAAGGACTGAAAGATGCCTTTTCTCTTCATACTCTTTGCTCCTATGTATGGTTGCACAGAAACTTACCCAGAAAAAATGTTTTGTTCCTTAAAATACATTCAGAGAAGGAGATTACTCAATTCATTTGCTCTGAGCATTGACTGAGACCTACAAACCCCACCCAATTACCTGCGGTTTTCAGTTTTTCTGAACTCCACCCTATGCTCTGCGTAATCTACTGCCATCAGGGATGAAACATCTGGCTCCATAAGTACTCCACCCCCACCTCGGTTCAGGCCAGCCCACCCAACCTAAGGGAAGAAGTGGAAGAATACGATGGAATCAATGGAAATCCACTGAATCTTCTAAGAAAAGAACAAACATATCAGATTGACTTGCCGTGATGTCTTGTTTTATTTATAGAGTTTATTTGATTATTTTTCAACTAAAAAGAAAGCCATACTCATTATAGACAACTGGGAAAAGTAGAAAGAAGAAGAGAATCAATTGGTCTTACTACTTAAAGAAAATGAATGTTCAGTTTTGGTGAATATACTTCCAGGAACTTTTTCTAGCCATATTTGTATTGGTCAGGATGGACTAGGTTATGCTGCCGTAGCAGCAGCAACAACAAAAAATCCCCAGATATACAAGGTTTAAATCAACATGATTTTATTTCTCATTTGTGCTCTGAGTCTAGCACAAGTCTGTACAGGGGCTCTAGCTCTGGTGACCACTGAGGGGTGTACAGTTGGCAGAAGAAATCAACTTCAATACAACTTGGTTGCTGTCCTGGAGGGGAAAAGTTCTAGAGCCTAACACTGATCACCAAATGATCCAATCAGGAAGTGATAGGTGGCACTTCCACTTCATTGGCCAGAACTGGTCATGTGACTCTACACAACCACAAGGGGCCAGGAAGTGCCAACCTGTGATGTAATTAGACAGAAGTGGGGGAGTCAGAAACATCTGATGAACAATGTTAAGAACTACACATTATTACTGGAGGGGTGTTTTTCTAATTCCAAAAAAATACATGCTGACAGTAGAATATTTGAGAATCAGTAAAGCATGAAGAAAATAAAAACCACTTATAGTCCCACCATTCACTTACCACTCCTTCAGGTGTGGAGGGCTATATTGATTTTCTTCTGTGCTTATATAAAAATAAGAATGTTTTAAAGAATATTTGGACCATATTGTACTTCCTGCTTTGTAATCCACTATTCCTACTTAATATATCATGTACCGTTTTTTAGAGTGTTAAGTATTCTTATATACCACACACAGTATTTCATCTTATGTTTTTACACAATTTCCTAATTATTTTATATTTAAGTTTTTTCTATTTATATTTTGTGATTAAATATGTGTGCATGTACATACATAAAAATATGTACACACACGTATGTACATTCACTTATTTTCATACATTATTGCATACATATTTGTCTGTATGATTATAAACTGTCTCTAAATGAAGTTTCCAATGGAGAATCTAGTATTTTATTGTGCATATTAAATAGTATACTTAATCTTTTTGCCATTTTGGTAGTTTCCAATCTTCTACCAGCATAAATAATACTTCAGTAGACTTTAAGAAACTTAGAATTATTTAAGGCACTTACAGTTTTTCAGTGGGCTAGAGTCTGAGGAGGAATATCATGAAATCACATTTTACAGACATTTTAAGGCACTTGACTAATAACATCTTTAAAGGAAAATGTTCGTTTTGAAGAATGAATAAGTGAGTGAATTAAATCACAAACAACTTATCAGATGCTGAGAATTGGCAAAAAAGTCTCCAAGGGTTCCCTTCAGTAAGACCCTTTTGTTGGAGCTGATATTTTTAAAACACCAATTTTTTATTTTGCCCTTACAAGTATCTAGTGAAAGAGGCTTAAAGAATGGAACCGATTTCCAAGTGCTGGCTCCCTGTGAGGTGCAGTGTTGGGAACTTTCTATTTTCTAATGTAATGACCACAATGTTTCCATTAGCTGAACTTTAAAAATCGCCGTGTTACAGACCAAACAAGGTGCAAGCTCATGATCACAAAGGGGAAGAAACAGAGTTGGAACTCCAACATGGTAGACTCAAATTTATGTCCTTTCTCATAGGATGGCAATTGACCTAATAGCAACTTGCACAATGGAGAAAGACACCCACAATTAAGTAATAAAATGGGTATCATTGTGTGATTACTTCAGGGAATAAGAGCGATATGTACTGTAACATTCAGCTGTGGGGGACTGAGTCACGCCATGACAGTGGGTTAACTCTGTGCACAGAAAGGAAAGCTTTACTCCACATGTTTTATTGCCAATGAAGTCACACTTTGACCCTCCTTGCACTTTATTACAGTTGCCACAGGACATTTTACTCCAAACAATAAGCCATCCATCCCTTAAGCAAACCTTGCCTCCCCTCCATTGCCTTCCCTTACTTGACTAATCTTACACTATCTTATACCTCCATACTATTCTGCACCTTATCCAGTCGCCAGACGTTGCAGCACTATTTGGGACCTCTCTGCCTATTTGATGTTATCATTGTCTTAAGCCAGTTTCTGGGACAACCTTTTCTACTGTCAAGGCCAAGCAGTGAGTTAAGAGACCTAGGTCTACATCCCTTACTATCTGGGAGACCTGGAGAAAATCATCTGGGGTCTCTGATGGTAATTTTTCTCATTTGCAGAATGCGGGTAATGTTGTTACCCTGCCTGCATGAAATCTTATAAAACACTTTTGTAAATGTAATGTGTTATGCAAATATTACTAGTTTGTAGGTATTTTTTGGTTTAAATTTTAAATTAGTAAGTTTGGAGTTAGTGATATGACTGGTGTTTGTGGGTTTTTGGTTTTTGTTTTCCTACAAAGATGAAATTAACTTAAGCAAGTTAACGTTCTCCTTTTGAAAAACCGACATGTTCCCAGTTTTTGTCTTTCATCCTTTATCCATTCCTCGCCTTTCCAAAATTAACCAGTCTCTTGGCTGTGTCTAGGGACTTGCCTTCCACCTCTCATTTGTGCCACTCAATGTCAACTCCAGATCTCACAGCATGCCACAGATGCCAATTTACAAGCCAGAGAACTCAACTATTAATTCTTCACTCCAGTTTGAGCTCTCATTCCCCGCACTGTAATCTACAGCCATAACTGTATAGCAGCAAAATCCGTCACCCTCACAGGCCCCTTCCTGTCAGCTCTGCACAAGTCTGAACTTTTTGGCTTCTCACAACACTGCAAGAGGAAAAGGGCATGGTTGATGGCATGGATGAAGGTCATGGCTCTGCAGTGTAGCGAGTTTTTCACCACAGTTGAGCTCAACGTCCTTCTTCTTTTTGGATTGGGGAGAAATGAAGGTGAAGCTATATGACGAGAAAGTCATTGCACTGGGGTTGAGAAACTGGCATCAAAGTCTACCCTTCCTTATCCTGTTTTGCACCAGTTTCACATCAGTTTTCTAGCTGTGCGTCCTTGGGCAAATCCCTTCACCTCTCCATATCTTATTTGTTTCACTTGTAAAGTTGGAATATTAGTAAGTGAAACATAATTTATTGAGAGGCTTCTTAAATAGACTCTACACATATATAAGTACCCAATAACAACAACAATTATATCTCAGGTTTATGGAGTGTGTAGCACAGGTACAAAAAACTGCATTTTTTATACATTATCTCAACAAATCCATAAAGTGGTTCATCAGCTAGGAAATTTGCTCATTGTTAGTAACCAAAATAACAGTGGCTTAGATAATTTAGATGTTATTTTTCTTTTACATGACATGAACCTCCACACAGCTGCTATGGTGACTGTACATTGAATCAGTGACCCAAAATCATTCATTCCCACTTTCTACTCTGCCATCCTTAGCTCATTGCTTCCATCTTCAAGGTTGCCTCATGGTTGCAAATTGGCTGCTGCATCCCTTAGCCATCATGCCTACATTCTAAGCAGCAAAAGAGAAAATAGGACTGAGGCATAGAGGTCAGCCTCCTAGACTAGTTGACTCTCTTTAAAAGTTTTTCCCAGAAACTCCTTTGGATGATGTCCATCTAAATCTCTTTGGCCATCCCTGTCTGAAAGAGAGGCTGAGAAAAGCAGTATTTGGCTGGGCACATTGATGCTCTCAGTAATGCCAGAGTTCATTCAGTGAGAATGAAGAGGGGGCGGATATTGTATAGGTAACTAGTAGTTTCTGCCATAGTAAGGTACTTTTATACTAACTTTACAGATGAAGAAACTAAGTTAAGCAACTTGTTAAGGTCATCTAAAGTTCAAGAGTTAAAATTCAAAATCAGGCTGGATCCGGAGCTCCAAATCCTAATCTGTGTGCTCCATAAACACAGGACAATGGGTAGTCAAAAAATCCAGCTTTGACTCCTTGACTTCCCATGTGTAGAATGGGATAAGAGTGCTTGCATCATGGGCTGTGGAGGGTTAACTGAGATAATGAATAGGAAGTATCTGAGACCTCTTTTTTTTTTGAGACAGAGTCTCACTCTGTTGTCCAGGCTGGAGTGCAGTGGCGGGATCTCGGCTCACTGCAAGCCCCACCTCCCGGGTTCACGCCATTCTCCTGCCTCAGCCTCCCTAGGAGCTGGGACTACAAGTGCCCGCCACCATGCCCGGCTAATGTTTTGTATTTTTAGTAGAGACGGGATTTCACCATGTTAGCCAGGATCGTCTTGATCTTCTGACCTTGTGATCCACCCACCTTGGCCTCCCAAAGTGCTGGGATTACAGGCATGAGCCACCGTGCCTGGCTGTATCTGAGACCTTGACTGAACATAGTAGATGCTCAATAAACAGAAGTTTCAGATTTTTAACACCCTGCCACATACTGTGATGTTACTCAAGAGTCCCACATGCTAACACACTTCCCAAGAGACATATAAACTGCTGAAGCCCAAGGAAGACTGTCCAATATCCCTTCTAGCCTGGACTGCCCGGTCAGGTTGTGAATTTCCTAAAAGTAGGGGTTTTTTCCTGGCACTTGGTAGACCCTGGGTCATAGTTGGTTGACTGACAGACAAAATACTTTGTTTCCTTTTAGGCATTATGTGACTCTCCCCTGTGTATCACTTAGTAGGACAAAGATGCGTGCAAAGAGAGGCCTTATGACCAGACATGTGTATACATACATGAGTACATGGGCCTGGATGCACATGTGTGTACATGTGTGTTTGAGCATGGTGCTAGGGAAAAGCAACATGAGAAGAGGAGATTCCAAATAGAACTCCAGCTCTCCCTGAAATTCTCAAAGTGTATCATTCAAGTTAAAGCGTATTCTGATATTAATGAAGTGGATGAGGAAAAAAACATGAACAACACGTATGGTGTAAGTGTTAATTATCAAGACACACATTTATTTTATTTTAAGAAAAAAGAAGCTTCCGTAAATCATCCCAAAAAGCAGAAAGAAAAAGAAAATCACATAATTTTGAGATGTCCACTGGGATACAGAAAAGCTACTTCCGAGATACTCTCAATCTGCTTCTGCAGGGAGGGATGTATTGGTCTAAAATCTATAGCCAGTGTTCCCATGTTTACTTATTTAATCATCTATCATTATGGTTCCTAGAGTAGAAGCAAAGGAAAAGTAAGGTTGTTGATCTGGTCTACATTTCTTCCCTTTCTTGAGACTGCCTATCCAGCTGTCCAGACAATGGGCGTAAATCCTTGACCTTGACTAAGAACATTAGCTTTGACTAAGAACAGAGAGAGGTGACAAGCCATTGTTCTGGGGCAGACTGCCTGATTCTGGAAGTCAAAGGCCCTAACTCCCACCTTTGAGTTTTCACCCAGGACTGGGTGGCAGAACCCTGCTGTTTCCATTCACATCAAATATGTACCCGCCTCAGAGCCTTTGCATGGGCTGTTCCCTACCTGAAATCCTGTCCCTCCAGGAATTCTGAGGTTAACTCCTTTGCTTCAATCACATCTCTCTCAAATGTCCCCCCGTGTCCCCACCACTCTTTTCTGACCCTATTTACACACACACACACACACACACGCTTCTTTTTTTATGTCTCTCCCACTGGGATGTAAACTCCATGGTGTCAGGATTTTGTTGCAGTTACTACCATATCTCTAGTGTTAGAAGAGTGCCTGGCACATATTAGTTGCTCAATAAATATTTGTTGATGAATGTGTAAATGCTTTGACAAGCATCATTCCCAGAGAGAATTAAACTGACTTCAGCCAACTAATTTTACCACATTTCCAGGTCTAAACATCCAAATCCTTCCAATCTTTCAAACCCAATTTGGAGTCTACCTCTTTCTCAGTCAGGAAAACCTGGTCCTTCTTTAAGACACTCTCTAGCTGTGATAGACAGTCACCACTATTTATGCCATCTCAGTGCTACAAATGTTCCCATCCCACTCTTCCATTGGACTGCTTTACAATTAGCCTCCTGGGGGGTTGGTCTACCTAGAGGTATTGATTTCTTTCTGATTATGTTTCTGTGTAGACATGGCTGCAGCTCATTTCTGTATGATCCCTGTTGTATCTAGCATGAAGTTTTAATGGTAGTTCGCATTTATTTAGCATTTGCTATGGGCCAGGTGCCATATAAAATGCATTACATGCATTAAATTAGTGGTTTTCTTGTTCCTTTTTTTTTAAAAAAGATAAACTGAAAACAAATACATTTTACATTTCAATCTGGTAAATGATATGCATGTATCTGTATGTGTATATAAATGTGTGTGTGTGTGTATATATATATATATATATATATATATATATATATATATATATATCCATAGCCATATCTATAGCTATACTAATGCTGAAACCAAAATTTTAAGACAATATTCTCATCTTTCCTATGCGCAGTGCACATTGCTATTTTTTATTCTATTTAATTTTTTTTTTAAAAAATGCTAATTGCAATCCAGCAAACCAGGGGTCATCAAACTATGGCCCTTGGACAAAATCCAGTCTACCACCTGTTTCTGTTAATAAAGTTTTATTGGAATACAGCCATACCATACTCATTTGTTTATGCATTAGCTATGGGTGCTTTTGCATTACAAAAGCAGAGTTGCAACAGAGACCATCATGGATGCAAAGTCTAAAATACTATCTGGCCATTTACAAAAAGAGTTTGCCAAAACTTGCATTAAACTGACTTTAGATTCATGAATGAGTTGTGACGTATGGTTTGAAAAACACTATATTTGCTCATCTCATTTTGACAATCGCCCTTTAAAGGAGGTACTATTGTGATCTTCATTTACAAGTGAGCAAACTGAGGAACAGAGGAAGAAACTTGCCTGGGGACGTGTGACTGGCTGGCATCAGAGTGGGTTTGACCTAAGTCAGCCTAGAAGCAGAGCCAGTGGCAGTTAACTAAGACAAAATTCTGCTCCTCTCCTGAGAGGAGTTTAATAAATGTTTGTTGGTCAAAGGAATGCTGCACAAATTATATTTGTAATTTTTAAAAAATTCTTGCTGGTGGGCTTTGGAAGAAATGTTGGCCTCGTTTTCCACCACATCTCTGAATAAGGGAATGATACCAATGACCATTTTGAAGGGGATACAATGTAGAAAATCATTTCAGTTTAATTTCTCATTACCAATATAGGCTCGGCTATTTTGATGAATTCATTATCAAAACCTGACCTCCTGCATGGAAATATACACACAGATGCTAGACCAGGAGCTTCAGACATGCCTCCCAATGACTGCTGTTCCTGAGTGATGCCCTCCGGTGGAGTGTGGGTTGGCACTAGTGACTCTTATCTCACCAATATCATACAGAGAAGGTGCTGGGATATTATGTTTGAGAGTGCATTGCAGAAGACTATCTCATCTGTCTTGCTCACACTTTCTCCTGACTGCCACTTGCTCGTTCACATGAAGTGAGTGCCATATCGTGATCACCCTACAGAAAGGCCCATGTAGCAAGGGGCTGAGGGAGACCCATAACATTTGCAGAGGCCCTGAGTGGGGGGATCCAGCCAAGCCATGCCTGCATTTCTGATCCTATAGAAATACAAGTGTATTATAGATAACACAAGTGTTGTTTCCAGTTGCTCAGTTTTGGAATAATTTGTTATGCAGCAATAGATAATGATTACAACACACTACTTTGTTATGATTTGGGTTTCTGGAATCCTCATCAATCAACAAATACATCTTCAGCACCTACTTGGTGCTCAGTCCTATGAAAAGTGGAGCTATTCAGAGTATAAGCTTCCTGCCCTCAGGGAGCATTCGATCTGGTTAGAGAGTAAGATGTCAGAACTGGACTTTGTGTTCTTAACCACAGTCTAACTTTTGGTCAGCTGCTCTTCATCCAAGATGAAGAGGACTGTATTCATTTATTCTCTTCAGTTGAATGCTGCCTTCTCTAGTTCCCCATAGATTTTCCTGGCATGAGTCCCATCTTAGCTGCCCAGCTTGGAAACCTGTCCTGAAAGTGAGGAGCTGGGAGCCTTCCCAAAGCATACTTGGACTTCCTTGGTCCAGCACCCCAAAGCCACGTGTTGACTCAAAAGGAGCCATGAGCAAGGCCTGATATTACCACAAATAATCTGGTTTCTGAAAGTCGAAAATGAACCAGATGGCTTTTAAGGAAAACAGGACACACATCGGATTCCAATTATATTAAAATGATGACCCAATTTAGGAAAACACAAAGTGTAATAAAAAAATGTTTAAATAAACAAAATCTGCATATTTATGAAACTATAATATTCGCTGGGCTCCTCACTTTGGATAATGAATTTCTAAACTAGACTGATTGCATTCCAAACTTACACTGACTCCGGGCTTGGAGAAGTCTGCAGCACTGTTTGGAATTGCAGACTATCTGGAGAAAAAAAAAAAATATTTAGCATGTGTGTCGGCAGCCAATTCAGGAAAAGGAAAGGTCAGCTCTATACAAATGTGATCTATCCGATTCTGATGCAACCAAGAATAGTCAACGCTCACCCTGCGTTATTGGCTGAACACTCTGACACCTCTCCCTGGCGGCAGTAGCTGTCACCCGCAAACCTCCACCGCCACTGGCAGACCCGGTGCTGGGCTGGGTTGGCAGGGAGAGCCTCGGATTTATCTATTTATTTTTCCAGATAAATTAAAAACTCAGGGGGCACTTAAAATAAATTAGCAACTGCTCCTGACGGTGTCTTTCTTGCGGTGTCACACATTTGAAATTTTGGCAAGGACTAAGTTGCCTCACCATCTTTTCCCACCAAGCGCAAACTGCTAACGGAACAGTGCGCTCGTGTGAACAGGCACGTCGCTGGAGCAGTTATTAATTCAGGAAAGGGTGATCCACTGAGTGTCCAGGGTCACCAAAATGCTTGCAGGGTTACACCGTCTCTGGGGGACCCATGCGAGGCTTCATGAGGCCGGGGAAGAAGGCCAGTTTCTTCTTAATTGTACTGAAACGCTGAAACGGTTTTCAAATGGAATTTCATTTCACCTATCCCAGGGAGCGCATCTCTTTTAATTTTATGCATAGTATTTTTAGAGAATTACATTTTCTAGATAGGATGATGTATAGCTCACCTCTTTCCTTGTAGTGCCTACAGTTATTTAATTGGCAACTATTTACTGAGCCTCCTTTGTACCCAGCACGTAGGTCACGGCAGTGGCCGAGGATCACGTAATCCCGGTCTTGATGGGGTGGCATCACCATCTGCAGTGTATGAGGATGACAGTGATCGCCACGCAGCATTGATGGAAGCTAAAATCAGCACCTAAGAACCAAAACGGCAGAGAGAAAGAGCCCGTTCCGAAACCGTTACGCAGAACTGGCGAGGGGAATGTCCAACTTACCAGACCGTGGTCCAAATGCTCACTTCCTCAACAGGGAGCTTTCTTCCATGGCCGAACCAGCACCCCCGCCCGTCTACTCCTTCACATGGGCACGATGGACCCAAGAGAAGGGCAATTTTCTGTTGCTATTATTTCAATTAAATAGCTGCTTTGAGCCTTTATTTCTTATATTAATATCTCTTAAGCAAAAGTAAATGTGTCTTTTCTGGTTCTATGAGAAAAAATAGTTACAAAGTCTGTATAATATTAAATGAGAAGAAGTTTTCACTCTCCTTTCATGATGTAATATTCATTTATATCAATCTCCACCTCTCAATAAAATTTTCCACACTCATCATCAATGTGAACCAAGAATTAGAAAGATATAAATGTCAGAATCTTTTAAAGGCACTGTATTATACAACATTCATTCTATTATTATATTCTCGAATCATTCCTTTTAGGTGAGTAGCTTTTATTGAAAGGGTCTATATATATATTTTTTAGTTAATAAATTTACTGTCAGAAAAGCCCTTCATTATGGGAACCTGCGTAATTTCCTACCTGGGATGTAATATAAACCAGGAACTCCTTACTTTTAGGTAATTTTCTTGGAAGCTCCTAATTTTACTACAATATAGCATCTTCCAGAAGATTATTTTTGATATTTTTAAAGTGTATTTTTAAAGTGTATATTCCTCAAAGTTTTTTTTTCTTTTACTTTTCAATTGAGGTTTTTTTTTTTTTTTTTTTTTTTTTTTTTTTTGTCGTGGTAGAGTTGGGGGGAGGTACTAATTGTCTCTTTGCCAGAGTTTAAGTGCAACATTTTTCATTGCAATTTAACAAATGTTCTTCTTAAAATAGACTGACAGTGGGTCAAACTGCTTCAGCTTCTCCTTAGTTAACCTAAATGCATTAGAGTTGAGGCTTTTTATACTCAGATCAATGTTGCTTCTTATTCTTCGACTTAATTTAGTGTAAGACTAATATGACTATCTCTCCATTTATTTCTCTCTCTCTCTTTGGTTTTAATAAAATTAGAATTAATTCAATATATGCAATTTCTAGATTTCTTTTTTTCAATCATAGAAATGCCAAATACAACAATATACTTTGATTTTTTTTTTTTTTTTGCCAGTGGTAAACTATTGTACAAAATAATTATATAAATATACAAGAACATCTGGTCTTTTGAACTGTAGTCACTGCTGAATTTAAACATTATACGTGTTTGACAAAATTAAAGGAGCTTATTCTTTGTTTCTCCTGGGCTTTAAATAGTAAGCCACAAATAGTACTTAGAGTTATTGTTTCTAGTTAATTTTGAATATTATGTGGAGAAACTTATTCTGCATTCCCACAGACTTTCATATACCTGGGTTCTATAAAATTTGGGTTCAAGGTTATAATGTATCACAATACTTTTCTAAAACAATGACCCAAATCAAATTAAAGGTGGGGGGAACCCCTACTAAATGCTTTTCTCCCATTTTACCCACAACAATTCCTAAATGACATTAGACAATTAGGGCAATTTTGATATCCTTTGTAGAGTATAGTAATTAAAATTATTACTGCCACTTTTGTAATAAACTCGTGTGACTTTATAAGTCTGTCCCTGTTCTCTTTCATGATGGAGACATCATACAATCTGTAATTGTGCTATTAAGGAAAAGAGACCTAATCTTTTTGCATTTGAAGTAAGCCTTCATCATCAGCCCAACAAAGCCAGACAGATCAAAAAAGAACCAGAGAGAGCATTTAAGGAAATTAGTACAAGTGTCAGTTAAAAGGTAAAAATTAATGCAGTTATTATTGAAATATAGTTGAAACCTACGTTCTTTTCATTTCTTTGATAGTTCGAAGGCATAAAACATTCAATTAACTTTCCATTGTGTTTGGGGGAGAAAAGGCAGAGGATTGTCAGTGAAATGTTAGGGGTGTAGGTGGTGCATGGTGAAAAAAATAGAATAGGATGAGCAGGAGAGAGACCCAGAAAAAACCGCATGGCCCAGGCCATGGAGACAGAGCTGCTGCAGCCCTTCAGAGCCCACCTGTTCTAGGATTTCAAATGGGCTTTAGACTCTGCTGCTCCATTAAGTCTGGAGATTTAAAACTTAACATGTACAATTCTTTATTGAAAATCATAGACAACAGACAACTATGGTTATCTGGAGGCTTTGTGAGTAAATTCACCCTCATTCTTCCATGTACTATGATTATGATGATAACAGTGCATCAAAGAAAGACTGTAAAGACATGTGACTATTGATGGCTATTGGGGTTGTGGGTGAACTTTTTTGCCTTTTGACTTTTTTTTTTTTTTTGGTCAGTTTTCTACTACAATCATGCGTTGATGTTACTGTGATCATAACTAGAAAAGTAAAATAAAGTTGATTTAGGATAAGCAGCAGCATGGGGTGAAAAGGGGAGGATAACCATAAGCTTTGGGGTCAGACTGATTCATGTCTGATGAACAACTTGGCTGCTGAATGCTGTGTGACCTCAAACAAGTAGCTGAACCTCTCTGAGTCAGTATTCCTTTCCTTTATATAACAGGGAAATGGTTATTTGCTTGGTAAATAGCTGACAAATAATGAAAATGCTTCATCCCAAATGTACATAGCAGACATTCAACAAATATTAATTTATTTTGCCCTGACTCTATCCTTTCATCACCCCTTTATGCATGAAAGACAAATTCATATTTTTTGGTTTTCATGACGAGTGGGATCAGTATTCAATGTAACTCCTTCATGCTGAGTTTATATTAACTCCCCACAATCACCATTGCTTCTCAGGGCCAAATGTTTTCTTTGTTTTGCTTTGAAATTTTTGCAAGTTTATTCAGTAGGGAAGATTTACAAGGCTACTCTCAGAACATCAGAACTCCTTAGCTGAACAATCATTATTTGACAATTGCAATTCAAGAATTTTTAAAATTGTATAATGAATCAATCTTACTAAATTGTATGCATGTCAAATTGTGATCAACTTGCTGTGAAAATGTTCTGTAAGAGAAGGCCTAATGTTTAAAGTGAAAATTACTGGGATCACACACACTAATTTGTCTCTATCATTAATGAAACATTGTTTTATTGCCCTGAGAAAAAGACTCATACATATTATTAAACAAATTTTAAGAGTGATACTCTTGAAATGATTTTGCACCATAACATACCAGAAGCAAGAGCTTTGCCTCCATAAATCTTAGTTTATTGCAGGGCACATTATAGGCACCTAGTAAACATGTTAAATGAAAAGAAACAGACCTGTTTTGCAAAATATGACCTGTAGTCAGTGTCTGGCTAATTATGTTCTGGAGAAGAACTGCTTCCATCCTAAGCAGAAAGTTCTTGGGTTCATAAAGGCTACCAGAAAAGGGGGAAACAGAATTATTAGCAGAAACAATTTTGGGTTTAGAAAAGGCCGCTTCTTTGACGCAAGCTCCCTTTTACCCAAAAATAATATTTGTAAAGTTCAGAAATCCATTTCTAAGGAAAAATCCTTTGCAATATTTGTGCTACTTTCTAGCCAACTCTGCCCTGGCACTTAAAGAAAATAACTCAGTTATAAAATCCCAAATCACTGATGTTGTGATTATTATTCTTATTAATATGCATATGATAGAAGTTAGTGCCAAAATGACAGATTTACGCTTTTGCAAAGGTAATGAATCAAAGTAAGAAGGTAAAAGCCGCTATTACCCTAAAACCTAAAAGTGATAGACTACTCAGTTTTTTTTCCCCTGTGCAGATGGCTGATAATGCTGTTTTTCACGGAAACACAGTGGGATTGTAATCAGGAATACAAAACTAGCCACTGAAAGAAAGCATGCACTCTTGTCTTTTGGAACTTTTCTAATTCCAGCTCTGTTCTGAAACGTGCAAAGACAGAGGGTAGCAGTGGTGGGGTGGTTAGCAGGTGTACTATTAATAGGAAGTGAGGAGAGATAGGGGCAGGACTCAATTTTAAGAATGACCTGACCAACATCAACAGAGAGCAAGAGGATGAAGGTATCCTTAAATTAAAAAAAAAAATCCTCTGTCCAAACATAAACCCTTCTTTTTGGCATCTAGAATCTAAAAGAAATTCATAGAGAACCAAAGAAAGGAGGACAATGGGAATGTGAAGACAGCCCAAAGACAGGCCGAGAACAAATAACGAACATATGAATCTCTCAAATGTTTCGGATGCTCTCTGGTTTGGCGAGTCCTCTCCCATCTGCTACTTCACCCGGTCCTGAATCCAATCCGGTAAGGTTGGCATGATGGGTGATTTTAGATTTCCACTTTAGAGATAAGGGGTCTGAGGCTAAGGGGAGAGAGGTGACATGTCCTTGTCCAAGGTCACTGTGGCTACGATGTCACAGTCAGTGCCGAGGCAGAGCTGTGCTGTTTCAGAAATTGGCATTTGACTCCTGGGAGCCAGAAAGACATTTTTGGAAGCAGCATGAGGGTTCCCAATATAGTTAGTAAACTCTAGCATCAATGCCCCAAATAAGTCCTTTACGGTCTGAAAGAGAATTTCAGTTTTTTCCAACCCTCTTTCTGCCCTCCCTGTTACTGAGGGACCAATAACAGCATTTTCTTATACAAAAGCTTAGAACCTCAGAGGTGAAAGGAACTTGGAGATTTCTAATTCACAAGACCCACAGTGGTAACTTGAGACAAAGCTCAGTCAGCTCCCCAGGTCAAACCAAAGTGTCACATTTTAACTTAGCAACAAAAAAGTAAACATGTTTTATAACCCTCAGTGCTTGGTTGCATTTTTCCAGTCTGCCAAAGCATTTCTGCATATACTCTCTGATTTGACCCACAAAGGCTCAGAGTAAGACCCACCTAGAATCAAATCTACGGCTTTTGCCCTTTGTAGGCTCTGTGACTTGACTTCTCTGTGATTCAGTTTCCTCTTCTGTAAGCTGAAGTTCTACCTCATAGGGTAATGATGAGAATTACATGTAAATATGTAAAGACTGAAGTAGCACAATATAAACATAAACACCCAATAGGTGCTAGCCACCATCTTCATCTTTATCACCACCATCACTGTGAATATTAGCAGGGCAGGTTTAATATCCCTACTACAAAGGTGAGAAAATGAGGGCAAGTATCTTATTTAAAGAGCCTTAGAGAGTTAGAGGCTGGGCTGGGTCTCCTCTCCTCTCCTCTCCTCTCCTCTCCTCTCCTTTCCTTTCTTTTTTCTTTTCTTGTTTTTTTTTTTTTTTGAGATGGAGTCCCACTCTGTCACCCAGGCTGGAGTGCAGTGGTGCAATTTCGGCTCACTGCAACTTCTGCCTCCTGGGTTCAAGTGATTCTCCTGCTTCAGCCTCCCAAGTAGCTGAGATTATAGGCATGTGCCACCACACCCAGCTAATTTTGTGTGTGTGTGTGTTTTTAGTAGAAATGGATTTCACCATGTTGGCCAGTTGGTCTCAAACTCCTGACCTCAAATGATCCACCTGCCTCGGTCTCCCAAAGTGCTGGGATTACAGAGCCACCATGCCTGGCCTGGGTGTACTTTTTAAAGCTTCCAGTTCAAAACAAGCATGGACATTCAAATTTTGGATGGGTAGGTCCAAATAGCTTTGGGGTGGGAAGAAAGTCATGCATGGGCTAACCAATAATGATAATAACAGGGTTCTCGGGCATTTCATTTTTACTCAGCTTCTGCCTGTTAATGGGGAACTGGAAATGTTTCTTATTCTTTCGAAATATTCAAGGCTGCGCATGTGTCAAAGGTCAAAAGACCCAAGTCAACGGGTCATGCACATCTTTATAGCCAACATGGAAATGCAAAAGCTAGACAAAAATCACTGCTTGGTGCTGCAGGGTACACAGGAGGACTGCAGAAGATGTACTGTCACCATGGGACAGAAAGAACTGGGAGACATAAAGTCTGGAAGACAAACAGACCCAGCGCTGCACTGTTAGCAGAGCAGACAGATTTATGTGGGTGCTGCTGGTGTCCCAGGACAGAGAGATATGCATACGTTAACACTCTAGCAAGGAAATCAGAGTAGAGTATATGTGCTCTATTTCCAAGCCTACATGAGAGTGCTTGTGAAATCAGAGACCAAGGAGCTTCGGGAGTGTGGATTTCCTCCTGCTAGGCAGCTCATGATTCTAATCCAAGCAAAATTGAACCCTTCTCCACCCTTCCAATTTGTGCTTGTGCTCATTGAAATGTACCATCACCGCTCCCAGAACTCACGGGCTCAAGACTTCTATGCCTGTCTGCTGAATGATCCTGGCCAACTGAATGTCTCTGGCTCTCAATTTTTTCACCTTTCAGATGGAAGGGTGGGGCCGAGTGATCCATGCCACCTGCCTGGTGTGAAGCAGGCACTAAGGCAATGACTGCTACACACAAGTGATTCAAGGTCAGGTGGTCATGCATGGCTATTTCCCCTTTGACTGTGCTCAGAGGTGTTCGTACCTGGAATAACACTGTTGCTAGAATATCCCTGTCCTGAAGGGCCTCTGTGTCTCCTTACCTCTGCCAGTGAAATATCAGTGCTTTGCACAGTCTAGGAATTTTTGGCTGGACCAATGTCCCCATCTCTAGAAACACGTGCCTGTGGACAAATTAAGGCACCTACGTTTTTGTGTTCTATTATTGTTTTCTTAAAAGCCATGGAGATTGAGCTTTTGCATCCAGATCTTCCTCTAACCAGCTGTGAACTCAGTACCTGCTCCTCTCCACTCTCTGTGGTTCAGTTTCCTTATCAGCCAAAAGGAGAGAACATCATCTAGTTTTCTGGTGTGGACACGATGGGTGATCAATGAGTGTCAGGCACCTTGTAATGTATGGTGTCTGGCCTGAGGAAGGTACTTAATGAATGCTATTAACTGTTCTGATCATTAGAAATTATGCTTAAAAGCAGGCTGAGAAAAGCAAACTCTCTTCTCTACCTACTAAGCACTCAATGAGAGGCTGTGAATAACTGTAGAAGGATGAATGCAGGAGCAAACTCCAGTTATGACACTTCCTCCCCAAGCTCTCTTACTCACATAGCATTCAAATTGCTAAATTCTTTGAAAAAGCACTAAGCACTCTTCAAGTGGAGGTGATGTTGATATTTTTCACACTTTCAATTTACGAAAAAACAATAGCAAGCATTCTTTCATCTGTTTGCCATTGAGCCTGTGAAGTAGGCCAGGTAAATATCATTACCACAAATCCCACCTCATCTATAATATATCTGTATCTATTTCCATGTCTATAGCTTTTCCATATCTATCTTTATCTCTTTTCTGTTTCTATAGCTATGTCCAGATTTCCATATCTATATCTTTTTTCCATATCTATATTCACACGCATACCTATACCTATATCTATACGTAGATCTGCATCCATACTTATTTTTATTCCTATATCTTTATCTTTTCCCATGCCCATATCCATATCCACATCTATATGAGGAAATGAAGTCAGGCTCAGCAAATAGACCAGCCAAGGTCACCCAGTTAGAAACAGAGCTAGTGAGGCTTCAAGTTTTTTGGCTACAAACTCGGCTTTTTGCAACTTCTCCTATGCTAGGCTTCAAATAAACAGGATTATTAAAAAGAAAAAAAATAAAGAAATATGAAAAAGAAAGAGAAAAAAAGAAGAAAAGGAAGGAAAGAAGGAAGGAAGGCAAGAGGGAAAGGAGGGGAGGGAGGGAAGGGAGGAAGGAAGCAAGGAAGGAAGGGGAGGGAAGGGAAGGAAGGAAGGAAGGAAGGAAGGAAGGAAGGAAGGAAGGAAGGAAGGAGCAAGCATTATAATCTCTTTATCTTCTATTCACAAAGCCCAGTATATGGCTCAGGCCTTTGTCATCTTCACTTCCATTAACTGAATTTTTTTTTTTTTTTTGGCGTGGAGCAGATGGGGCAATGGTCTTCAAAATGTCAAATCACTGAACTATTATGTGTCATCTATCGTTCTTCATTATCTATGTCTTGTTGCTTAAAATTCTTAGAACGGTTTCTAAACACTATATTTTTTAAAATTAGAAAATACAATAGAGCTATTTTTCAGGGGGTGGTTAGAGAGCTGTCATATTGTTAGCAGCTACCCTTAAGAGATTATTCCAGGAAACTTACTGTGTGAATGCAGGTTTAAACCAGGTATGTTTTAGGAGACACTTCCTATTCAATTTCTTTTGTCTTTCTTTTCCTATTTTTTTCTTCACTTAGAGTTTTATAACAAGACTTGAATAAACAGTATACTTGGACTGCCAGCACGATTAAAATTTATATCAGTTTTGCATCTGTTTGGAGAGGCAGAAAGCAAATCTCTAATTTTAAAACAAATTATCGAATATTTCAAGAAGTCAGAATGAAGATTCCTCTTCATTCTCTTAAAACTTTAAGAACTGAATTGCTGTGAATTATCCATTTGGCAGAATTTCTAAACAAAATTAATGTATCTGATGCAAACACAGGGCCTCCTGCTTCTTCTGTTCATTAAAGCTTATGTATTTGCTCAGTTTTACAACAATAATTTTCAGGGTCAGTTTTCAAGCTCTCCTAAGCTCACTTTTTTCCAAATGTGAAACTTATGGAAGGAAGAAAGCATACATACCTTGTTTCGAAAATTGAGTATTAATGTTCTGAAGAATATATCTGAAGAGTATCTTCTGGGCTAGAGGTTTGAAAAACATCAGCTGTTTTTCCTTGTGTGGGGTTTTTATTTATGCTCTTCTTTTAAAGCTATTTTTGGTCCCTTGAATTTAGCACAGGTTGCTTAAAAAAATCAAAAGCAAATATAAAATTTACCTGGAATCTTCTTTAGGACACAAATTAAACCATATTGTAGTTTTGTTTTCTGTTTTTGCTTTTAACTATGTGAATGGTTAATGCCGTCTTGTATTTTCTGTTGCCTAACTTGCAAAGAGACGCATTTCTCACACAATTCATTTACTCTCTCCTTATTTCTTCATCACTCCCTTGTCTTTGCAGAATTATTCAACTCAGACTGCCATGCAGAAGAAAAACCATGAACCCGTAAGTGTTACATTTTGAAGCAAAAGTTTATTTTTTCAAAGTCCATTTTCCCCCTTAGAAAGAAATATCAGAGTGAGAAATAGCGAGTCTCACATTATCTAAAAAGCGACTCTCTCCGGTTTTTGTTCCATTTATTGAAAACTCCAATTTCTTTGCCTCGGGTTCTAATTTATTTTGCAATTCGCACAGTGCACTGTAAACATAATGTAAAGTTTTCAAAGCTTAATTAACAGCTACAGGATAACGGCAGGCCAAGATTTTAAAGGCATTTAAGCTTGGCTCCAAGAAATGAAGAGACTTCCATTCAGGAAGCTGTGAACTTGTACCTCTTAAAACAATAAAACCCGTCAGATCCAGTACTTTGGCTTGCCTTGAATGCCAAGACCGGCACACCTGCTGGCTTAACCCCATCCCTCCGAGGTGCTTCTCGAGGGAGTCCTTCCTGTTCTGGAGCTGTTTTTCTCTTGGGGAGATGAGACAGCAAAAACAACAAAACCAAAAGAAACAAGCGAAAAAAACCACCAAAAACTCAACCACCCCAAAACTAAAAACTGTATATTTTAATCAAAGGTTCAGAAAATCCACTTTCAAATTCCACAGGGATGAGGGTTGGGATTCAGGTATCTCGGCAGAAGGATAGCCAACTGAAAAACCAACCCAAGTGGATGGGAAGAATTGACACAATCTCTCAGATCTGCAGTGGGTTCAGAAGAGGTGCTGCGTTATCTGTAGTGTTCCAGTTCTGCCATTTCCTAGGAGAAGTGCTTGGTGTGGTCACTTACTCTTTCTTGGCCTCAGTTTTTTCCATCTGTAGAATGGGACTGAGAAGAAGAATATCTCTCACAGGTAGGACATTGCGTTTTTGTGCTGCAAACGATTGCATAACTGTCCGGAGAATTGGGTCAATCTCTGGCTTAGTCAAGACCCAACAGTCTTGGTTTAACCGTTTTGTAGTGAGAGGGTTGAATTCTGGCCTCTGATATTTTTCCCAGGGCCTGTGGAGGGAGTCACGAAGGTCAGCCCCTCCGGGCTTCCTGTTCACCGAGGGTCTCTACTTAGACTTTTGGCCGGCTCATCAAATGGGGATATGCCCTCACTGTGCTGACTGAAAGGCAGTGCTTGCCACATGGAACATTGTGTCTTGGGACGTGGTCATCTGCCTGAAATACACAATGCATACTTACTTATTCTAAATCTTTTAATTACTGTCAGTTGCACAATTTTATTTGCTGGCACTATTCGTGTTAGAAGTTTTTTTTTATTCGATTTACCTGTTTGGCATTCTGTCATTAAAGAAAAGTACCAAGAACCTCAAAACAAATCCAAGCTCTTGCGGTTGTATGAATCTATTTGTAAATCAAAGGGGGCTTTTATGTTACGGCAGCAACCGAGCTCACTTTTTTTTTTTTTTTTTTTTTTTTTTTTTAAGCAAAATGCTCCAGGATTGCTGGAAAGTCGCTGTCCTGGTCTGCAGGGCCCGGGGAAACTGAAAGAAGATCCAGAAGGACGCGCCCTAGCTATGGAGGCTTTGGTGGCATCCGAAAGGGGAGGGGGTGGCGACCTGCATTAGGCCCCCTCCTCTCCAAACACCTGCTGCTGGTGATGTCGAGAAAACTCCTTGCCCTTGCAACTCTGAGGCGGAGGGGGAAAGGGGACCGGAAGCCTCAACATTTTCCTGGTTTCCTGGGGGAGGAGGGTCCGAAAGGAAAGGCTGGTGGGGGGGTGGGGGGAAGGGCCCCAGTGACGACTGGATTCGGAATTTTCCTCTCACTTCGTGGTAGTGAAGAATTTAACTACAACAGTAACAACACTAATAATTCTAAAAGCCGTGGGAGGTCAGAGCGGGCGCTGCCCGGCGTCACCCCTGCAGCGTCCGGATCGCTCCGCATAGGCAGGGGTGGTGCCCCCTCCCCGGGGCACAGAAACGCCACATCCCGGGGGCGCCGCCCAGAGGCTGTCTCTGTTTCTGTGTCCCTTCATGAGGCTCTGTCCCACAAAGGCAGCCTGAGCCAGGACCCTAAAGAGGCCTGGTCATCGGGACCGGAGGGAGTTCCGCTTCCCAGGCCGGCTCTGCAAACGCGAGCCTGCGCCAAGGCGCCCTGCGGGTTTGCTGGTGGCATCGAGGGGCAGCGCGGGGCCAGCGCTGGGAGCTCCGAACCCACACGCTCCGGCCAGCTGCCCGGGAAGCGCCCAAGCACACGTCCCGAGTCCCAGATTGGATTAAGTTGCCCAACTACCTACTTTTTCTCTCTTTAAGGAGAAGCCTAATTGGAGAAGATTCGGTTTTCTTCGCCATGGCAGGTCCCTTTCTCCTGACCCGCAGTTGCAGGGGCTGAGGGTAGGCGCAGGTCCGCCCTGGGGTCGAAGCCACCATCGGGCCTCGAGGTTGCCCCCCTAACATCCGGCCTGCACGCCTGGCGGGGGCGCAACAGTGTCTCACGGCTCGGGAGCTCGTTTTTGGCTTCTGAGCAAGGTATTTTTTTCATCTGCCGTGTGTTTAGCTGAATTCAGTATATTTTTCTCGCACTTCTCGCTTTTTTTTTTTTCTTTCTGAATCTGCTCTTCTGCTTTGCGGGCCCCTAATCTCTCCCGAATCTCGGGCGCCCGGCCCGGCCCAGGCGAGCGCTCGCGGTTGGGGACGCGGGTGGGGACGCGGCGGTCTGGGCGCTGCAGGATGCGCCTGGCCGCGGAGGAGACGACCAGGGAGCGGGTCGCCAGATCAAGATCTGCCAGTGCCACTACCTCTGCTTATCTCCAGGGGCAATCATCGGCTGTCTCAGCTTCCTACCTTTCCACCCACTGTCACTGGGGGTCGGGTTCATTTTGGGGTAAAGTGAATTAAGGTCTCCCTCGTTCGTCTGGATCCAGGCGTGGGTGGGGACAGGGGCGAGCTCTTGCCTGCCTCGCCCTGGCAAACATCTCTTGGAGAGAAAAGTCAGTGTCCTGGGTCCCCAGTGCACTCTTCCACCACGCCTAGCTATGGCTCTGTGTGTGTGTGTGTGTGTGTGTGTGCGCACATATATGCATATCTCTACAACCCCGGGGCATCATAAGGCTGTACTCTCTTTATGGAATTCCAGAACTGTGCAGGGCCTCCTGTGATTCCAGGATCCTGCCCTTCCCACTATTCAGCAGTGCCTGCCACCTGCCCGCAAGACCAGGAGGCATAGCCAAGCAAAATAATGGCCCTTGAGATCCTTATAAAACTTAGGGTGGCAAGAGCTTTAAGGGTCTTTAGTTCAAACTTTACCTCTGGTCCGTCCATAGGATCTCCCCAAACCCCAACCTCTCCCTGCTGTAATTAGAAGCTCACTCTTTCCCTGGGGTCAAAAATCCTGAATTGATATTCTCTAGCTGCAGTGTGACTTTTTAGGCCAATTCCTTAACTTTTTGCGCCTTAATTTCTTTTCCTGTGAAATTGAAAAAGACTCCAAAAACAGTAATATATGCCTTTTACATACACAATACACAAAATACACATACCTGGCTGCAGGTCGTTTCAAGGATGCAAGGTGGTCACATATTTGTAAACATCTTGACAAACTCTAAGTTCCCTAATTTAGGAGATACCTGCAGGGACTGCTATTATGAAGATTAAGTGTGCAGTAAATGGGGGAGGATGAAGAATCTCACTGATTAGCCTAAATCAGATAAAAAATGAAAAACTGAAACCTGTTGGTGCCTGGCAGAGGGGATGTTCCAGTCAACTCTATTCGTGGAAGAGTTTAACTTTGTTCTGTTCTTTGCAGAATTTACTTTTTTTTTTTTTTTTTTTTTTTTTTTTTTTTTTTTTGTGGGACAGAGTCTTGCTCTGTCACCCAGGCTGGAGTGCAGTGGCACAATCTTGGCTTACTGCAGCCTCCGCCTCCCAGGTTCAAGTGATCATCCTGCCTCAGCCTCCCAAGTAGCTGGGATTAGAGACATGCACCACCACGCCCAGCTAATTTTTGCATTTTTAGTAGAGAGGGGGTTTCACCATGTTGGCCAGGCTGGTCTTGAACTCCTGACCTCAAGTGCTCTACCCGCCTCGGCCTCTCAAAGTGCAGGTGTGAGCCACCACACCCGACTGCGGAATTTACTTTCTACAAGGAAGTCCGAGGCCTCAGAAGCTTTTACTGAGCCCTTTAGTGGAGTGGGAAGCACTTGTCCCAATCTCAGTTCCCCAAGAGTTTCCAAAGACACACAGGCCTGCACCTGTAGCCTCTTGGGTACATGTCTGGCACCTAGAATATGCCCGATAAAGGAAGGTGCCCTTTGCTGCTTTAAGAAGACTGGGCTTGGCCGGGCGTGGTGGCTCACACCTGTAATCCCAGCACTTTGGGAGGCTGACATGGGCAAATCACCTAAAGTCAGGAGTTCAAAACCAGCCTTACCAACATGGTAAAACCTCGTCTCTACTAAAAATACACAGTTAGCCAGGCGTGGTGACGCATGCCTGTAATCCCAGCTACTAGGGAGGCTGAGGAAGGAGAATCATTTGAACCTAGGAGGCAGAGGTTGCAGTAAGCCAAGATCACGCCATTACACTCCAGCCTGGGCAACAAGAGCGAAACTGCATCTCAAAAAAATAAAATAAAAAAGAAGAAGAAGAGGAAGAGGAAGAGGAAGAGGAAGAGGAAGAGGAGGAAGAAGAAGAAGAAGAAGAAGAAGAAGAAGAAGAAGAAGAAGAAGAAGAAGAAGAAGAAGAAGAAGAAGAGGAAGAAGAAGAAAGAAGAAGAAAAAGACAGGGCTTATCCCAGCCTCACCACCTGCCATTTTCCTTTATTAGTTTAGTTTAATTTCGAGGTTGGTGGGGGAAGCCTATGGCGCTCATCACCGGAAGCACTTTTATTAGAATTGAAATCTTCCAAGCTTGCATTTGCTACTTTTAAACTCTTTGGACGGTAATGAATATGGATGGAATGTGGTTTCCTATGAATATGGAGGAGCGATGGGGGGTGCATGGTGGATGGATTACTATTTAACATTAACCGCTGGTAACCTTTCCTCCTCTCTGACTTCCCTGCAATATTATCCTGAGAAGGGTCAGCTCCAGTTGCCTTTTTGCAAAATACGATTAGTCACTTCTTGCCACATGTGCTTGCCCCTGGACCTTATTTGCCATCCTACATAATTATTAGAAGAATCTTCTAATTTTATTTGAAATTCTAAGTCGACACTTATGTCAAAGTGCCATGACACAGCATTGTGTTTAATTCCTCTTTTGTTAGCCTCATTTGGGCTCCTGAAGAATTATACTCAAAGGAAGCTTCCATCCTGTTCCCTTTCTTATTACAGCAGTTGGAGCCATTAATTACAGCTTTGAGGATTTGCTCCGGAAAGGAAGGTACTACCCTGCGCTGTGCTTGTTCTCCTTTACAGATACAAGCGAAGGTGTGTCAAGGTGGTTTTGCAATAGTTTGAAACTACAGGCCATGGATTTTCAGCGTGTTTTTGAATGTGTCATTCCCTCTATCTGGAATGCTCTTTTCTCCTCTTCACCTGCTTGGTGAAGTCTTGTTGATTCTTTAAGACTCAGCTCATACGTTTCTCTTTGCAACCTTGCCAACCACACAGGAGTTGGCCCCTTCTTCGGATGTGCCCCTTGTACCTATTTCTGTCCTAGAACTTATTGCCTCCACTGCAACCATATTTTTATGTTGCTGTTAAATACTGGTGGTCTATAGTGTGGGGTTACGAATGTGGACTCTGCAGTCAGACTTTCTGGGCTGATGCTTTGATATCCCCTCACTTACCAGCTGTATGTGTGACCTCATTTCTATAGCGGGGGTAATAATATTGTCTGAATCTGGAGTTGTTAGAATTACCTGAGATAGGTTCTTCAAGCCACTTTAGTTTGCAGCAAGAGCTCAGTAAATATTCAGTAAGATCACAACATTGTTTCTTTCTTGTGAGCTATGAGCTTCTGAAGTGCAGGGTGACAGGGAGAAAGCCCTTTGTATTCCCATTTCCTTGACTCATAATGGGTGCTGTTCCCAATGCTTGGCACATAATTCGTGCTCAGTTAATGTTCTCAGCAAGAATGACAGAGGGAGAGTTTGTTAATGGAGATATCCAGTGTCAAATATCACACTTAACCAATTATTAACGCAAAGCATTGTGCTAGATTTTTGCAGAGGATAAAAAAGGGAGATAAACACTTTCATAACATTCACCACATAGCCAGGGTGATAAACAAATATGCAAGCCACTTTATATGATGATACAAGAGAGAAATACCTATGCTACAAGATGGTGATCTGGTCTCCTTCCTAATCTGCCCTACTCACGCCCAACTGGCTTTTCTTATTGCAGCATGGAATTAACCATGCCCAGAGGCTAATGAAACCAGTGAAGTCTAAGCTGTAAGGCCACTCACTTGCACGGGACCCCTTCCATCTGTTCACAGGTCATATGTTTTAAAATTCATTTTCTTGGCCGGGCGCGGTGGCTCACGCCTGTAATCCCAGCACTTTGGGAGGCCGAGGCGGGCGGATCACGAGGTCAGGAGATCGAGACCATCCCGGCTAAAACGGTGAAACCCCGTCTCTACTAAAAATACAAAAAATTAGCCGGGCGTAGTGGCGGGCGCCTGTAGTCCCAGCTACTTGGGAGGCTGAGGCAGGAGAATGGCGTGAACCCGGGAGGCGGAGCTTGCAGTGAGCCGAGATCCCGCCACTGCACTCCAGCCTGGGCGACAGAGCGAGACTCCGTCTCAAAAAAAAAAAAAAAAAAAAATTCATTTTCTTAAAGTGCTCCCCTAAATGACTTTAAGCTTCAAGTCCTATAATGCCTGGATCTGCCCCATTTGTGCCCCTGTGAGGTTTAACTTTATCTGATGACTCCCCAGTGTCTTGAATGGTGAGAATCTGCTATGAGCCAGACAGTGGGTGAGTATGTACCAAGCGAAGCCCCTACTACGAGCCATCCAGTATATAAATGTGTACAAAGCAAAGCACCTATTATAAACTCTCTACTATATGGATCTGTACCAAGCAAAGCACCTGCTATGCACCACACAGTGTCTGGTATACACCAAGTCAAGTCTGGACTTTTAGCATGGTATGCAAAGCCCTTCATCATCTGACCAAATCTCACCTTTGGCCCCATTTCTCCAGGGAGCCCAGCTGGGCCTCTTGATCATTTCTGCGTGCACTGTAGCACTGTTTTGTCTCCACGCTGTTAACCAGAATTTCCTCTCTGCCTAGGATGCCTTTCCTCCACTTCATCCACCTGTCAAATAGTTTAGCATCCTCAAAGGCCTCCTTCAAGTGTGCCTTCTCCCCTAGCTCCTCCACAAACTTGTGACACTACTGCCTGTTCCCCGGGACTCTGCTCAGCTTGCTTTGATGGGCCTCTTCCTGTGGAATTTCACTGTGTCGCGATGATCCCTCTCCCCTGTGAGACTGTGTACGCTTTGCCAGCAGGGCTGGCTTATTCCCATTCGTATGGCTTAACTTGTAGCCTGATGTCTGCTCACACAGTCGGTAGCCTCCTTGTTTGGGGAAAGAAGGGAGGGAGGGAGGGAAGAAGAGGAAGAAAAGAGGGAGGGAGAGAGGGAGGGAAGAATTTTCAAATTTTGTCAAATGAGTGTTAGAAATAATAGATCTTATACTATCAGAGGAGAAAGAGATTATTCGGGCTGGACAGAGAAGGGCCCTACATTCAACTTTAGGCTAAATTCAATTCAAGGCTACAGAAGTAACCTGGGTTATAAATGACCAGTAGAATTGAGGAAGTCACATTTTATATTTACAAAAAGACATCTGTAGGCTTTTAGGTTTTGCACCCACCTTGATTTAAGTAGTAAGTGTTTAAAAAAAGAAAAGAATGGAAATCATTGCAGTTCACAAGCAATATCCACGTATTTACTTTTTTAGCAACCACTTCTAGAAACAATGGCTCTTTGTTTCCAAAATCATATATTGCTAATGTCAAATAGCATTTTGAAAGGAGTCTTCAATAACTCGTGAAAAATTCAAGTATTACTATAGACTGAAAACTGGAAAACAATTCTTTTATATTCTTTATGAGCCACATTATGGCACAACCATTTGAGAAGATAGCATGTAAGTTAAATTTGCTTTGATACTGACATGTGACATTGCAACAAATCAAATGCATTGTTTTTTGACAAGTTTTGAGAACTAAAATTTCAGAAAGCACTTGGTATGGGAGGTGACTGAATTCATACTATTGAAATTGTGGTTATAAAGATTGATAAGGAAGGTTCATTCACTAAAAACTATAATGGCAGATGTAATAATGATGACATTCATCATCCTTCAAAGGCATTTATTAAGCACCCACAGGTACTTGGCAGTCTGGCGTGCTGCACAGAGTTAGACAGACATGGTCCCTATTCAGCGAAGAGCTCGCCATTGTGCACTTCCTTTGTTGAGAGTACAACTTTTCTACTTGTCATTGGTGACTGAAAGACACTCCTTGTCATTATTTATGCTGTCTGGGTTTCTGATTTTCAAGGAGCAGGGAGTCTTTCTTGTCGTTTCTTTTAATTATACCGCACAAAGTGGTATTCTGTCCTCTGGAAACATTGTCTTTGTTGGGTGAGCTTGCAGGTGGGATGACCCTTATATTCACAGCATCGTAGCAGTGTGGGCGACTTGCAGTTGGACTGCATCTTTGCAACTCCCAGAAGCACCACGGTGCTTTGCCATTCCCTCTGCTGTGACCCTTATTCCCTATGTTCTGCCCCTCCAGCCCCACCCCAGTCTAGGCTGTTTGCAAGCTGAAGGCAGCTCTGTTCCCCACCTCAAACCCTTAGCACTCACTGAGCACCCTGCTGCTACCTCATCAGAGATCGGCAATGTATTGACTGACAATAAATTGAAAGGAGGCAACGATAGAACTTACAAAGCAATGGGAAGTCTGTGACAGATTTTATCAAATGTTTGCTAAATTCAACTCCGAACACATTTTATCCTGGACACATTGGTGTCTGCTAACTTACCTGTTTGTACAATGTGAAGTGCTGCTCACTCCAGCAATTAAAAGTTGACCCCAGGCAAATTGAATGGGAGGAGCTGGGTGTGGGATTCCCCTTAACTATTCTTCTATGAAGGATGCTGTCAGTTGGCATTCAAAGTGGAGCAATGACCTGAGACCAGGAGCTCCAAATCCCAGTTAGTGGCAGAGAAGAAAATGCATCCAGTTCATGATTTTAAAAAATACCATGATGGGGGTGGGGAAGCATGCCTATGCTGAGCTTTCATTTCATTTTGTACCCATTACTTTTATAGAAGATTGATATACAAAAGAAACCAATTCACAGACCATTTTTACATTTTTTGAAACCGTTGTTGATAACATTATTCATCCTTTTCCCCAAATGTCTCTCACAGAAGAAGCTAAATTAATGTGCCCCTGGATATACGTTTGTTCTTCCAGGTTAACTTGCAAGCCGTTGGTGGGGCAATGAAAATTAGTAATACAGTGAGTTTCTTTCATCACCTTGGCCAGTAGGAAGCTCAAAAACATGTACTATCACCGAAGAAGAGAGCTTCTTGGCATATATGTACACACACACTAGTTTTAAAAGTTTTAGATATACTAGTTGTGATGGTTAATATTGAGTGTCAACCTGATTGGATTGAAGGATGCAAAGTATTGTTCCTAGGTGCATCTGTGACAGTGTTGCCAAAGGGGATTAACATTTGAGTCAGTGGACTGGGAGAGGCAGACCCACCCTCAGTATGGGTAGGCTCCATCTAATCAGTTGCCAGCACAGTTAGAACAAAGCAGGCAGAAAAAGGTGAGCTTGCTGAGTCCTCTGGTCTTCGTCTTTCTCCCATGCTGGATGCCTCCTGCCCTTGAACATCAGACTCCAAATTCTTCAGCTTTTGGACTCTTGGACTTACACCAGTGGTTTGCCAGAGGCTCTTGGGCCTTCAGCCATAGACTGAAGGCTGCACTGTCAGCTTCCCTACTTTTGATGTTCTGGGACTCTAACTGGCTTCCTTGCCCCTCAGCTTGCAGATGGCCTGTTGTAGGACTTCACCTTGTAATCGTGTGTCAATTCTCCTTAATAAACTCTCCTTCATATATACATCTATCCTATTAGTTCTGTCCCTTTAGAGAACCTTGACTAATACACTAGTCAACTATACATAATTTGTAGTTTTATGTTGTTTATAACTACATACATGCACATGTACAGTCATGCATACATACATACACATACATATATACACACACACACACATACATACATTCAAAGCCATTCAGAAATTCATTCAACAACATTTATTGGGCATCTGCTAGTTTCCAGGCAGCCTTTGGTGCACTGACGAATCTGGCCACAAACAAGGCAGCTTCCTTCTTTTATGCATCTCACCTTTTTAAAGCAGCCAACTGCAGGGACAATGACATGGTACACTAATAGGTTTTTGGAACAGACAAGAGGGAAGGAATCTTGGAGTTGCTGTTTCTTCAACTCTGTCCTCTCCTTCCTCTTCCACATGTTCTCTCTCACCCCTTTCTCTCCTTTTGGCTTCACGTCCTCCCCTGTTCATGGCCACCCTCATTGATCACAGCTTGATTGCCCCAGTGGCTTTACCTCCGGCATCTCTTCATCAATTCTTTTATACTTGTCTGATGATTTTTCCTAAAACTTGGTCTTTACCTCTTTGGGACCTCCTACCATGATCATCGTAGTAGCAGCTAATCATATAAGATGCTTACTCTGAGCTTGCTGCTCTGCATGTAATATCCCATCTAAACCTTACAGAGGCTATGAGGTTGCCACTATTATTCCCATGTTATGAATGAGGAATTCATGCTCAGAAGGCTGAAACCACTGGCCTAAGACCAGGAAGGCTGCTCCGGGGCAGTGAGACCCCAAGCTTGTCATCTCATAATTCAATTCTACAATTCTCCTTACCTTCTGACCTCCTCCTGCTGCTGCTGCCAGAAGGCTTTGTGGCTTTCTGGAACCTGACTCCCAACCTTGGCTCTGCTGTATTTTCTGCAAAGAAAATGGTCTCACCTGTCTGCTCTGTTTCACAAATACTTTCAGGTGTTCTGAGCGTTCTGGGTAGGTGTTCTCAGTGCTGGTGGGCAGGGCATGAGGCTGCCAGTGGAGCTGCATTAATGAAGGTACATTCTGTAGCCCCAGGCTAGTGCTGGTCAGACTCCACCGTAAATTCTGTGTTTCCATTCTGGGCACCAGACATATCAAGGGGAGAGGGGTGCTGGAGACCATGTGAGCTGATCAAGTTGGGAAGTCAAGGAAAGGTTTCCGGCATTCAGCCGGAGTCTGGTGTTTTCCAAGGTTGCTTCATGGCCTGAGAATACGTAATTCCTATAGGAAGACTTGGATTCAGTCTACAGATGTGTGTTTTTCCCTTCCCAGATTCCAGTGGTGTTGATAGTTGGGTCCTATTGGTCAGATGCCTGTTGGTTGCAAGCAGCAGAAGCCAGCTCAAGCTGGTCTAAGCATCACTGTGGCACGCTTGCACCCTGGACAGTTTCATTTGCCCATTCAGGTTTTTTTGGTTTTTTGGGACTGAGTTTTGCTCTGTTGTCCAGGCTGGAGTACAGTGGTGCAATCTCGGCTCACTGCAACCTCTGCCTCCCGGGTTCAAGTGATTCTCCTGCCTCAGCCTCCTGAGTAGCTGAGATTACAGGCACACGCCACCAGCTAATTTTTTGTATTTTTAGTAGAGATGGGGTTTCGCCATGTTGGCCAGGCTGGTCTCGGACTCCTGACCTCAAGTGATCTGTCTGCCTTGGCCTCCCAAAGTGCTGGGATTACAGGCAGGAATCACCATGCCCAGCCTACCCATTCAAGTTTTAATTTCCTAAAACACAAAGGCAGACACTTACACCATCTCCTTCTTACAGATGTGAATGTCATGTTGAACTCAGAGAAGGTGTTCAGTAAATTTCTTGGCACTGTTCTAGGTACTGTTCATAATCCACCAGTGAATAAAACAAGCCCTGCCTTCATAAACCTTACATTTTTCAAGGACGGAGAGACAATGAACAACAAATATAATAACTATAGGATTGTGTCATGCATTAGAAAAAAGAATATCAGAGAAAAGTGGGTGGAGAATGCTGAGCTAGGGAGAGGAGTGCTAGGAAGGGACAGACTGTGGCATAAAAGAGTAAGGTAAAAGTTTATTGAGAAGGGAGCAAAGCGATAAAGCGCTATGGGCAAGAGCCAAGTGGATATCTAGGGGGAGGAACATCCTAGAAGGAATAGCCAGAACAAAGTCTCTGAGTTAGGAGGGTGTCTGGTGTGTCTGATGAAAAGCAGGGAGGCCAGTGTGGCTGAAGCTCAACATTTAATTTCTCCTTGAACGTGGAAGAATTCCTTTTTCGGTAAGCACTTATGTTCCATGTTGGCTTGTCTCAAAGTTTAGAGGCGCTAGCCTGTCTCAGTCTGTTCTGGCTGATAAAACAAAATACCTTAGACTGGGTAATTTATAAACGACAGATGTTTATTGCTCACAATTCTGGAGGCTGGGAAGTCCAAGATCAAAGTGAAGGTAGATTCCATGTCTGGTGAGGGCCCACTCTCTGCTTCAAAAATGGTGCCTTCTCCATGTGTCTTCCCATGGTGGGAGGGGTAAGGGGCTCACACACTCCCTCAGGACTCTTTTATAAGGGCAGGGCCCTCATGACCTAATTATTACCTCTCAAAGGCCATACTTTTTAATGTAGTGGACACTCTGTATCCATAGGGGTGTCATTGGTGGATTCAACCAAACTCAGATTGAAAATTTTTTTAAAAATCACATCTGTCCTGAACATGAACAGATTACTTTCTTGTCATTATTTCCTAAACAATATAGTATATAACTATTTACGTAGCATTTACATTATATTAGGTAAACCTAGAGATGATTTAAAGTATACAGGAGGATATGTTATATGCAAATACTATGCCATTTTATATCAGGAACTTGAGCATCTGTGGATTTTTGTATCCTTGGGGGTCCTGGAACTTATACTCCACAGATACTGAGGGATACTGTACTACTGCGTTGGGGATTAAGTTTCAACATATGAATTTTTGGGGCAACCCATACATTCAGAGCACAGCCCAGTTCAACATCGAATGCTACATTTTTAATTTGAGCAGTCCTATTTTTTAAAGATGGTGTCCCACCAAGTTTCTGGTGATGTGTGTGTGTGTTGTGAGGGATGCTTTATTTTCTCTGAAAAAGCCTAGCTCAGGGAGCTGTTCCTGTTTGTAGATAAATTTTAAAAACATCACCTTCCAGATGCTGTGTCTCCACAGCACATTTTGGATGCCTGACATTTAAATTCCTGGAAACTAAACCTCCAGTGTCTTGTATCTCTTTGGCAATGATGAATTTCAAATGAACTCAAGTTAATGTAGTGCTTGTGAAGGGCGCCAGACAAACCGTGCTCAAAACTGTAGATTCTCAACACAACAGGTCCAGCAGGGCCGCACTCGGCAGATGGCTCTGCCCTCCCAGCCTCGCAGGCAACCCAGACATCGCCTCTTGATGCGAGAAGATAATTTTTGTTTAGTTCCCCCTCACTATCTTGCCTCTGGGTGACCATGTTATTTCCAGCAAATCGTCTTACCTCATGTGAGTTAATAATTGGATAACTAATCAGATTTCTATTTTAATTCGGATATTTGGCATAAGGTAGATGCAGCCAGGGGCACTTAGAGAATTTGACTGGGACCTGTCACTCAGGAGTCATTTTTGATTCCCTGTGTGTGCTACAGGCTTCCATCTTACCTCTAAGAAGATCACTCCCGATGGCTATCTCAGCCCTGGGCCCTCATTTCTACTTGGCCATCATACATCTCCAATGATGTCCCCATGTCTCCAACATGGCCCCTTGAACAGATGTTAGCTATGAACCATTACTTCTCAACCTTAGCCCTATGGACACTCTGGGCTAGGTCAGTTTTTGCTTAGGGGAGTTTCCTATGCATTGTAGGATGTTTAGTCATGTCCTTGGCTTTTACCGTCTAGATGCCAGTAACATCTTTAGTTGTGACAACCAAGTGTTTTCTGACATTGCCAAATGTCCCCTTGGTGACAGAGTCATTGTAGACCATGAGATGCCAATATCATGGCCATGATCAGCACCCATATTTACAAACAAGTTTCATAACCATTGTGCTTTTGACAGAACAATACCATGAGTGGGACAGGGATCGTACTTTACCACAGTGAAGACAGTAACATATGCCACTTTTTTTTCATTTGATTATAGAAGCAATACGTGCTCATTTTAGAAAACTTGGGAACAAAACTATAAAATTAAGCGAACATTAACCTGGATTCTCACCAGCCATCAACAAAGTGTCATTAATATATCTAGTCTTTTCCATGCATACATCTATGTGAATATCAAGAGATATACTTTTGTTACAAAAGTAAAATCATGCTTTTTGTGCTATGTCCTAATCTGTTTCTTTCTCTATGTGTTTCTGAAACATTTTTTATGCTATTAAATATTCTTACGTGGGATTCTAATAGCTGCAGGGTGTTATATCATGGAGATGGAATATAATTTACTCATCAGTCCCCTGTTACTAGCATTTAAGTTGTTTCCAATTTCTCTCCTGTAAGCAATACTTTGATTTTTTGTTTTTTACATTTAGAAACACTGAAATGGACTGGGAAATATGATGTTGGGTTTTGGCTGGAGGTAAGGGATAGAAGAGATGAGTTGGGGATGACATCAGATGTCCAATCTTTAGTCACGTCAGAGGATGGAGATGGCTGTATTTGCTGAGTTGTAATGGAAGAGAGATGATGAGGCTTGTGGCTGGGCTGCTTGCTCTGACCATCAGCTGTCAGATCACTGCAGATGTCTGATAGCCAAGTGGAAATGAGGGTCCAGGGTTGAGATAGCCACCTGGAGTGATCATCCTAGAGGTGAGACAGAAGTCTGTAGCACAGTACTGTCCAACAGAAGTCTAATGCAAACCACATGTGTAGCTTTTAGATTTCTAGTAGGCAAAGTTAAAAAAAAAAAGAAACGGTACATTCATTTTAATGATATATTTTACTTAACCCAGCATATCCACATTATTATTTCAATGTGTGGCATCCACCACATTTCAAGTGCTCAATAGCCATATGTAGCTTTTGGCTACCAAACTGGACAGGGTGGCTTGGAGGCACCTTGGTGGTATTCGCTTTGTCACTCAGAAGATATTTGGCAATGCCTGGAGACATTTGATTGTCATGACTGGAGACGGTGCTACTGACAAGTTGATAAAGGCCAAGGGTGTATCTAAACATCCCACAATGCATAGGAAAGACCCCCCCCCATGCAAGGAGTGATCCAGCCCAGATTGTCCTTAGTGTTGGGGTTAGGAAACAGTGGTCTACAGCTGTTTGTTCAAGAGTCCATGCTGTTCACTAAGTGTCAGACCTGTGTAAAGCACTCTAGATAATCCTTTATCTCACTGAATCCTAAGAGCAACTCTGTGAGAAAAATGTTATTAGCATCCCCATATTACTAAGGAGTTAACTGACATCTAGAGAGGTTAGGTATCTTTGTCCAGGTTCCTGGAGCTAGAATTCCAACTGAGGCCACCTGGCTCAAGAACAGAGATAGATAATGGCCTCCTGGAAAACAGCTTTGGCATTGACCCCAACAGCCAAAGTTCTCCAAAGCATTTGCTTACATTCAATATCTCATCCTTCAGCTATTGGTGAGTGAACATAGCTCTGCTGTATTTCTGTTTTACCTTTTCGATTTTTTTTTAACATTGTCACATTGGTATGGTCAAGTGGAAGAACGTCTCCTCCCACATGCTCCCGATTAGCTCTGAAGTTTTGGACAAGTCAGTCAAGCACTCTAAATTCTAAACATTTTCATCCATAAAATGGGAACAAATAACACCTACCTCACAGGATTAATGGGGAACTGGAAGTATTTGTGTATTTGAAGGTCCGTAATCCCAATCCTCTAGGTCTTCAGTAATCTAGGCCAGATTTGTGTCAGCACATCCTTGGTTTAAACTCTCTGATGTCAACTAAAGAAAGGATCTGATGCCTGATTTTGGAAGAATGTGTGCACCTTGCCCTCTTAAAACTCACAATCATGGCCAGTGTGATGCTGATCAACAGGGTCATATTTCTCTCTATTTAATTTAATTTAATTTATTTATTTATTTTGAGACAGAGTTTCACTCTTGTTGCGCAGGCTGGAGTGCAATGGTGTGATCTTGGCTCACTGCAACCTCTGCCTCCCGGGTTCAAGTCATTCTCATGCCTCAGCCTCCCGAGTAGCTGGGATTATAGCTGCCCTCCATGATGCCCTATTTTTTTTTTGTATTTTTAATAGAGACGGGGTTTTACCACATTGGCCAGGCTAGTCTCGAACTCCTGACCTCAGGTGATCTGCCTACCTCAGCCTCCCAAAGTGCTGGGATTACAGGCGTGAGCCACTGAGCCCAGCCGGAATTATATTTCTTGAAAACTTCAGAGAATAGTAATTGCCAGAACTCTCCTCTGTGCCTGGTGTCTAGAAATATTTTGGGAGCGGTATGATTTCTGAGGCAGAATAATGCTGAAGAGAGGTGGCATCCAAAATAGCACATTTTTTTTTTTTTAAGTCTGAACAAGGGCATTTGCAGTATGAAAGTGGAATGTTAATTGAAATCGGACTCTGCCAACAGGAGCTTTGGAAGGAGCCCAATCAGGATTAGACTAATTAAGACATCTTTAAAATTGAACAGGTTGGACTGTCTTAAGAATTGAACCAAATGAAAACTATATGCTCAGGAATGTGACTCTGGAGGTTTGAAAAAGCAAAACAAACAAACATGAAAATAATTATGGTAAAGTCAAAGGAAGGAAGAAAAGATACTAGAGCCGTGGACTTGAGCAAGTCATCGTAAAACACCTCGCTGGAAACAAAATATTCTTACATGTGGCTGACACTGGCAGATTGCTTTAGTGTTGGGAAGACAGTCTTTCAAACCGAATTGGAAATAAGCCCGCTGGTGTTATTTTACAGGCCACGTCGGGTGTTTTATAGGGAACATCTTCCCCATACTTGAACTACCATTCCAAAGGCCAAAATATTTAAACAGAGGTCATTTAACATTTTAACATAAAGTGTCATGTACTTGAAAAAAATGGTTTTTAAATGTTTTAACATGTTTTCTCTCTAGGCTTCTCTTCCTTTGTTTCCTCCTGAGCCAATCAAAAAGTCTTTATTTTAATATGTTGCTAAATAAAGTAGTAGTTTTGCAAAAAGCACAGAAAAGACGGCTGATTTTTTTAGGTTGTGTGAAGTACTGAACTGACAGCCTATATTTAGTATAATGATTTATTTGCTCTTCCGGAAAGCTAACAATTTACCGTAAAATTTTGGATACAAAAGGTGAGGTTATACCAACTACACAATATAATCAATAGTGTTACAGTACATCAGAAGATTCCAGTCCTACCGAAAAATATTTTGACAAGAGTTAAAACAGTTAAAACTTAATCGTATTTGCTTATTATCAGAAACAGTAGTATGTGTGCTGACTGCATCACAATAAATATTTCTGTGATTAGGAAACTTGTTATAGTCCAACAGCAAGTTTGCTCAAGCCTTAAATTATTTTTCATAATCTGTAAATAATGTTGACATTACTTTGGCATTACAATAAATATTAAGGCTATTTGGAAGGGAATTTGCTAGTTTAGATGCCTGCCTAACAAAACAAACTTATTTATATTATTGGCACATAAGACAGGGAAACATCACAGGCTTCTGCATTTGGCAAACCAGGCTGACATATTTCACATTATCATTACATTTGTTCTGGGGATCAAAAGTCATATAATTAATATACTAATAAACTATTCTGTAGGGCTGTTTTTCAGAAGAATATTACCACATGCTTTTTAAATAACATAATAACTGAAGGCTTATTCACAATAAATACCAATTGATAATAAAAGTCAACTGAACGGTTTAACCATTTATATTAACAGCAAGTAATGCAAACTTAGCACATGGGGAGGAATAAACAAGGGAGAAAATTGAAGTTTTCAGAGTAATTTTTACAGGCAAATGGATTGTGATTTGTGGGGTAGATAGGGAAAATGAAATCTAGATGCCAGTGGTTACAGGCAGGGATTTTTCTACTAGCTGCAGTGTTATTTTTCTGTACTAAATAAGAGGAAGGAAAGAGGTTATAGAGAAGGGAGAAAAAAATATTTCTTTACAAATGATTTAGTTTTTAATATGAAAAGAAACTGTCCCTGTTTCCTGTTGCACCACCTTAAACTGATCACATTATCCATCCTTCTTTTGGCAAAAAGGGTTAAATCCTGGCTCTGCTACTTGGGTTAGCTTTCAACTTCTGGACCTCCATATTCTTTCTGTAAAACATGGGCATCATTATGGTTGAGACAACAGCATCACAAGTTGTTCAGAAAACTCCTGCACAGGTTTGAAACATCAGCTCCCAAGCCTAGTGACTTAGGGGACACTACTGATCTTTCAGTGAAATTTCCCTGAGCGTTTACTGTGTATGAGGCCCTTTGCTTGGTGCTCATACTCCTGTTTGGTGCTTCACAGTTCGTAAATTGCTTTCTCATACACTGTTTAATTGTACCAAAACATATCTCGATGCTTCGCTGTCTCTTGCATGCCAGATCCAATTCATTAGCACATTCTTTTTGTTCTACCTTCAAGATCTATCCTGTCTTATTTCATTTCCCACCACTGCTTCCTGCATTCTCCCCCACTAGTCCAAACTGCCACCATTTCTGGTCTTGCACCTTCCTGTTTTTCCCTCACTCTCTCTGTCCAGCTGTTCAGACGTCCTCCCTGCTTTTCCTTTTCTTTTTTTTCTTTCTCTTTCTTCCTTCCTTCCTTCCTTCCTTCCTTCCTTCCTTCCTTCCTTTCCTTCCTTCCTTTCCTTCCTTCCTTCCTTCCTTCCTTCCTTCCTTCCTTCCTTCCTTCCTTCCTTTCTCTCTCTCTCTCTCTCTCTCTCTTTCTTTCTTTTGATGAAGTCTCACTCTATCGCCCAGGCTGGAGTACAATGGCACGATTGCGGCTCACTGCAACCTCCAGCTCCCAGGTTCAAGTGAACCTTTTGCCTCAGCCTCCCCAGTAGCTGGGATTACAGGCACACACCACCAAGCCTGGCTAATTTTTGTAGTTTCCTTTAGTAGGAATGGGGCTTCATCATGTTGGCCAGGCTGGTCTCGAACTCCTGACCTCATGATCAGCCTGCTTTGGCCTCCCAAAGTGCTGGGATTACAGGTGTGAGCCACTACACCTGGCCCCTTCCTCCCTGCTTTTCAAAGGCACAGGCATGCGCCTTCATCCCCAAGCCTTTGCTCTTAGCCTTGGGAGAGTCTCTGCAGAAAACCCCACTGCTCATCTCTGGCTTAATTTGAGCCTTTGCTCAGCATCATTTTTGCAGAGAGGTCTTCCCTGATGCCCTAAGGTGGCACTCACCCCTTTTTCTCTCCCTGGCTGTGGTTTAATTCGTAGCGCGTGTCATTCCTTGGGACACACTTCTATGTGGTCTATGTGTCCATCTGTGTGCTCATCGTCACTCTTCTCCTCGACAGTGTCAGCTCTGTGAGCATAGGGCCATTGCTTGTTCAGCCCACTGCTGTCCTATGCGGTGCACCTAGAGAAATCTCTGGTACACAGCAGGTGCTCAATAAATGTTATTTGAGTACAACATAAGGCGGACTAGGAAGATATTATCCCTGCTTTACATATAATGAGTCTGAGGTCCAGAGAAGCTGGTCGCTTACTCAGGCCCACAGTGAGGAGGTGACAGAGCATGGCCTCTGTCTCCAACCCAAGCACTACTGGCCAGCCTCTGCCTTCTGGTGCCTTCTCGTGAGGCCTCACTCTTATTTCCAGTTCCCAGGAGCAGCACTTGATGGGCACCTGCCCATCAGCAAATCTCATGGCGCAAACACCAGAACTCCATCTGTCCTCTCTGTGGCTGCCATTCATATCTCTCTCTCTGTTTTTTTGATATGGGTCAGCCCAAAGTCCTATGGCAAATTAGCTCACTTCCCATGTCTTGATCTTCACTGTGAGGAGTGGCCTGAGGTCAGATCTAATGACGTGGGCCTTGGTGACTATGGATGAAGGTGTCTGGACATGAGTGGCTGGCGAGGCCAGGCATGGAGGAGCTCCGCGATGGGCAGCTTATGCCCTCCATATGCCTGCTGCCCACCATACCCCATGTCCTAATAGAGACTTGCAGACACCTGACTCTGGGTTCCCCAGCAGGGCAAGATTAGGCTCAGAATTGGACTTGAGCCCAGGGAAAAAGGGGGAGTGAGGAAGGGAGTGTCAGAGTCCAGAAATAAAGAGCCGACATTAGGAGCGAGTGGTGGGAGGTGAACAAGGAGTTAGGAGAACGAAAATGACAAGGAACAGAAAAGGGCCCTGCGTTAGGGCGCGCCTAAGTGGGAAGAGTCCATAGATTCTTGTCATCCTGGAGAAAACAAGCTGTTGGGGAGATGTGGGGAGTCTAGCTCAGCGCTCTGCCTTTGACCACAAGATGACTCTTCAGTGCTTATTTTTAAAATCATATCTTTCTTCTTCTTATTGGAAACTGGTAAAGTTTATTAGAGAATACTAGCAAAAAATACAGGAGAGTATAAGGAAAAAAATTAAAACTATCTGTAAACCAAGATAATTAAACGTTCTGATTGTGTTCCTTCTAGGTGTTTTCTTTTTTTTCTGCTGTGTTCATCTATAATATAATTATTACAAATGTGAAATTGGCTTTTTGTCCTAGTCTTTGCATTTAGTCTTTATGAAGTCGTGAGTAGTTCCCATGCTCCATACATAGTCTTTAAAATATAATTTTAAGACAGGGTCATAGCCCTGGGTCGGGTATATAATAATTTAAGAAGCCATCACTCAATATTCAAATGGCTCCCCACTTCCATGATTATAATAAAGTGGAGGTTTTTGTTTGATCTATGAATCCTAGACTACATCTCTGATTATCTGGGGGACGTAGGTTCCTAAAAGTGGAGCTCCTTGGTCAAAAGGTATAAATATTTCAAATCTCTTGATACTGTTATCAAAGGGCATTAGACCTGTTTCTCTCCCCACCTTTCTGACAAGGCTATTTTGAGAATTGAACAGAATCCTACATATGTGAGCTAAACACTTCATAACTTGCACACCACCACAACAGGCAACCTTTAGAACAAGCTGCTTTATCACTATTTCCATGAACCTTGAATAAGACCCTCTAGCGAAGTAAAATCTTAAAAACTTTTTCTCCCCCTTTCTTAAGAAGATCTATTTTATGCTGGAAACTGTGGCACAAGACACAATTTAAAAAGGATTTTCATCTGCTTTGGGAAATAAAATCTAAACACGTATTTTAGAAACTGCTGTAAATTTTGCTAAGCTACAATGTTTTCCTTGGAAGTCTAGGACATATGGTTAGTCTTCCAGTGTTACTAGTAACAAAGTCCTGAAAATATTAACTATTTCATTCTTCCGAGGATAGTGTAAAATTATCCTTTATTTTCTTTTTTGCCTCCCACACTTTGGTTTTAACAAAAAACGAGACATTCCTATTATAAATAATTACAGCCCTTCTGTTACAGTCTTTGAGCGCCATAAAATTAGCTATTGTGCGAAATAATTAGCACATGCCATTCAGAATATCCTAAAAATTATACGCAACATCAAGCAGGAACTATACACTGACACTTGGCCACGTTCTCTAGAAAACTGCTCAATGAAAATTAGGTATTGGCAACAGGTGCCTTGAAAACAATTTATTAATCGTTAAAAAATGAAGCATTTGAACGACGGCATGTAAAAATGATTTAAAGTTTGGAATTGTCTGAACTCTGACTTCTTAAACACAGTCTTGCCTGCTAGCACACTAATTGTATCCTTGAAGATAATTCTAACACTGACTTTCCCAGCAGCTGATCTAAAGCCCATGCAAAACCAGCAGAGTTTCCTCCAGGCTCAAGGAGATGGACGAATGAGGACCAGGACCCCTGAAAGGCTGTTAATCCCTGTGCAGAGAAGCTGCCTCCAGGAAAGAGTCAATATCATGCTTTGCCCCTCCAATCACTGAGAATTATATTTCCATTAATTTTTAAATGCCTACCCAAATGTGGCTGTTTTGAAAGGTTTAGTGACTTTGCAGTTGAATAAGGACCTTAATGGTTTTATAAATTTGAGATGGAGAGTCAAACTTGTATTATTTCATAAAGTAATGATAATTTCCTGGTCTTTTAACGAGCGGGTGGGGGGGACATGGCTTATTGAGACCATGTGTTTTGGAAGTTTCACACTGAATATCACATCATAATTTTGACTAGAATAGTTTAGCTCATATTAGGTAAGAGTCTGACTTCTAGAATGTACTTTTAAAGGCAAATTAGTTTTATTTTAGTATACATGTAGAATTGGATACTAAACTGACATTCAGGCTTAGTAGAGGTTTGATAAGAATTAGACAGTCATACGTTTAGAATTGACATAAGAGAACAGAAGATGAAGAATAAAAGAATAATATTATCTCTTCCTCCCAGAAAGAGCTGATATGCTATATTAGTATCAGAGAAAATAGACTTAGTGAAGTTAGAAGACAGTAACTTCAGGTCTGGGCATGGGGGTGCTCACCTGTAGTCCAAGCTACTTGAGAGGCTGAGGCAGAAGGATTACCTGCGCCCAGGCATTCAAGCCTATAGTGTGTTATTGTCACATCTGAGAAATCTGTAAATAGCCAGTGTATTCCATCATTCTGGGCAACATAGAGAGGCCCCATATCTTAAAAAGAGAGAGAGAGAGAGAGACAGAGAGGGAGAGAGATTACTTCATTCAAGGAAAAGCTTCTTCAAGGATGATGCATGATTTTAGATATGCTATTTTTAGATATAAAATATAGCATGTATCTAATGGCAAAGGCTTAAAATATAAAGAAAAACTTGATAGTACTACAGGAAGAAATTGACAAATTCACAGATGCTCCTCTCAATCATTGACTGAAGAAGAAAACAGAAGATGTACGCAATTGATAAGTAAGATCTAATGGACCTGTTACAGCTTGGTACCACTCTGTACCCAAACTGAAGAATGCACTATTATTCTGAAGCATGAATGAGCAGTTTTGAAAATCAATCATGTGCACACCCCTGATTCTCGAATTTGGCTGCATGTTGGAATCACCTGGAACATTTTTAAAGTGTGTCATGTCAGCTGGGCGCGGTGGCTCACGCCTGTAATCCCAGCACTTTGGGAGGCTGAGGTGGGCGGATCAAGAGGTCAGGAGATCAAGACCATCCTGGCTAACGCGGTGAAACCCCGTCTCTACTAAAAATATAAAAAAAAGTGAGCCGGGGCATGGTGGCGGGCGCCTGTAGTCCCAGCTACTCGTGAGGCTGAGGCAGGAGAATGGCATGAACCCAGGAGCCGGAGTTTGCAGTGAGCTGAGATCGCGCCACTGCGCTTGCGCTTCAGCCTGGGCGACAGAGCGAGATTCCGTCTCAAAAAAAAAAAAAAAAAAAAAAAAAAAAAAAAACTGTGGGTGTGTAATGTCAGGTGTTCTGATTTAATTGGAAGCAGGTATGGCCTGGGCACCAGGAAAACTACCACGTGGTTCTAATGTACAGCTCAGGTTGTGAGTCACGGTGCTGCCCGAAAGCAGCCTTGACAAATTTCAAAGGGCTGCATCCTCCAGGTCCCCATCGCTGATCACGTTGCAATTCATTTAGAAATCAGTAACAAAAATTTAACTAGAAAAAGGAATATATTTGGAATGTAAAAATTACACCTCTAAACGATTGATGGGACAGAAAATAAACAAAAAGAAAATGAAAAGCCACTTAGAACTGTTTGATGAAAAATATGTGTATCATGGTATGTAGAATGAAACTGAAGAAGTAAATATAAATCTAGTTAGAGTAGAAAAGAAAAAGACAACATTAATGAGAAATTAATTAAGAAAATAGAGAAAGAATAACAGATAAAACCCAAGGAAACTAGCAGGAAGAAAACAAGTAAGAGAATAAATTAATGAAATAGGAAAGAAACATACAATAAGAGAGAAGCAATGAAGCCAATGGTCGATTCTCTGAGAACATTAATAAAATAGACAAAGCTCCTTCAAAGTTAATTAAGAAAAATAGAGAATGAAGACACAAATAAATGATTTTAGAAATAAAAAGATGATGCAGAGATCAAATTGATGAGGATATCATGAATAAAACATGCATGCCGATAAATTTTGAAGTCTTCAATTCAATTAATAAAATACAAGGAAAAATGTAACTTATCATAACTGACTTAAGATGAAAAGGTTCTAAAACCACTAAGAAAATTGAATCTGTGGTTAAAAATCTTTTCACAAAGAAAGCAGGAGAACTAGATTATTTGAAGAGGAAGTTCTACCAAATATTTAAGAAGTCATTAATTCCCTCTTGCACAAACTTATGTGAAAAATGAAAATGAAGGAACAGCCCCCAACTAATTTTATAAAACTGTTCTCACCTTGATACCAAACGGTATAAGGAAGAAGAACAACAAAAAGAAAAACTACAGTTGAATCTCAATCTCATGTAGATAGATACAAAAATGCTGAAAAAAATATTAGCAAAATATACCCAAATAACCTATAAAACATTTAATACATCATGGCAGGTTGAGTTTATGCCAGCAAAGTAGGATTGGTATTCCATGGGAAAAATCTATCCATGAAATTTATTTTATTCATCAAATCAAATAAAAAGGCTTGTGATAACCTAAATAGATGCAGTAATATGTTGAATAAAATTACACATCTATTCATAAAATATAAAAAGTCTTATAACCAAATTTGAATCCAAGGAAACTTATTTAACATGGTAAAGGATGTCTAAAAAATCCTGCTGCAAATATCAAAATTAATGGTTAAATATTAAGTCTGGAACAAAGAGGTGAGGATGACCATAGTGGCAACATTACACTACAAGTGTTATTCATAATAAAGGAAAAGAAATGAAAGTATAAAAATTGTCACTGAGGAAATAACATTGTTATTACTTGAAGATGACATGATAGTCTGCATAGACAACCCCAAAGAATCCACAAATAAATTATGAGAATTAATTATAAGTTAATAAGAATTAATTATAAGTTTGATTCTTTAAGAATCAAACCCAGGGTACAAAAGTCAGTTGCATTTCCTTAAACTAGCAAAAGCTCTTAGGAAATGTAAGAAAAAAATCTATTTATAGAAAACAATTTATAAAATTTCATGAAATCAGTTTGATAAAATATAGATGAGCTTTTTAATGGAGGAAATTATAAAGTTTTATTGAAATCAAAATTAACCTAAGTGCAGATATATTCTTGGAGAGTGTTTAGTCCATTTGTGCTGCTATGAGATCACATCATAAACTGGGTAATTTATAAATAACAGAAGTTTATTGCTCGCGATTCAGGAGGCTAGGAAGTGCTAATCCAAACTGTCTGAAGATCTGCTGTCTGGTAAAGGGTTTGCTTCCTGGTTCATAAAATGTGCATTCTTGCTGTGTCTTCACATGGTGGAAGGGCAAAGGGTCTCTCTGGGACTTCTTTTATAAGAACACTAATCCCACTGTGAGGGGTCTACCTTCATGACCCAATTACCTCTCAAAGACCTCGCCTCATAATTCTAGCACCTGGGGGCTAGGATTTTAACATATGAATTCGGGAGAGACACAAACATTCAGACCATAGCAGTGAGGAAGATGAAATATTATAAAGATGTAACTTTCCAGGCTAATGTATAGATTCAATGAGTTCCCGATCTAAATACCAAGAGGATTTCTTTTTTAAGATAACAACAAATCGATTCTAAAAAAGTATGTGGAAATGGAAAGGACCAAACATGCTGCTGACGAAGAAAACAAAATGGGGAAATTTGATCTTACAGACAGAAACACTAAGTTATAAAAAACAAGGTGTTGATGCGGGGATGGACAAATAGGCCAGTGGAACAGAATAGAGCCCCGACGTTTACTCACGCATATATGGAAACCAGCTTTACGATAGGGCAGGCCCTGAGAAATAATGCAAAAAATCTTAAATTTAGTAATTTGGGACAAACGGGCATCTATCTGGAAAAATATAACTTTCTACCTCACCCTGCACAGCAAATTCAATTCAAAGAGGATTTAAGACATACGTGGCAAAACAATAAAATGCACAGAAGGAGAATATCTTCATGAACTTTGGGGAGGTTTTCTGAAACAAGACATAAAACATAAGGCAAAAGATGAAAAACATGAGACAAACTTAGAGGATAACATTGATATACTTGGACATATTAAAATTACAAATATCTCTCGTGGAGCAACAGGGGCTTCAGTCCTGCTGGTACACTGGTATGAGAAATTTGGGAAACAGCTTGGTATTCCTAGCAAAGTTGAATATTTGCATACCTCACAGCCCAGCAATTCCATTTCAACTTATTATGCTCTCAACCTGCTCTGTCCATGGCACTTTCTGTGATGAAGGAAAATCTCTTTCTGTGCGGTCCAATACGGTAGCCACCAATACGCTACGCATATGGCTGCTGAGCACTTGAAATGTGGTGAGTGTTACTGAGGGACTGAATTTTAAATTTCATTCAATTTTAATTAATTCAAATTTAAATAACCCCTACAGTGAATTGTGTAGCTGCAAAGCAATGCCTCCTGACATATTTAAAATCATTTCACCGTAGACAATGGTAATATTTAGGAAGAGAGGCTCTCATGCGTATTAGGAGGTATGAGTAAGATTGTCCATCATTATACAATAGATAAGTAATTGAGGTATATTCGTACAATGGAATACTGCATAGCAGTATGGGGAAATGAACCCCAGCACTCCAGTTCAACATGAGTGAACCTCAGAAACTCAATTAGAAGAAGGAACTGGTTTCATTTAAGTACAGCTTTTCAAAAGGCAAAATAAACAGTCTGCTGTTTGGGGATATAAGTCAAGCGGGCAAAACTATTAGAAAAAAAAAACAGAATGACACACAAAATTTAGAGTAGTGTATACCTCTTTGGGAAAAACAGAGGATAAGTTGTTGGGTTGAGATACTGAAGGTGTCTGTTATATTTTTGCTTGGAAAGTGGTACCTAGTTATTTTATTAGCATTTAATTAAACTGTATGTATACATTAGACAGTCTTAGGTACGTAGATTTCTTAACTGAAAAAGAATAGAAAGAATCATAGTTGAAAAATGTTAATAAAGCTTGGAAGGTGCCTGACACGCCTGCTTCTTAAGTTTAAGGCTCTTCTGCTCTTATTTCATAATATAATTAAATAATTACATTAATATGACCTAAAGGCAAGTATAAGTCCAGTTGAAATCATTTGCTCAATAAATTATTCACTGAGCACCTAGTCTGACCTGCACCGTTCCCGGTGGTTGGACTGTTTGGTAGATAAAGTCCTGGTTCTTAAGGGGTGTATGTTCTCACAGTTAAGGAGAACATGTCATAAATAAAGAGCTGGATATAATGTTAGATGTGAGAAGTGCTGGTAAGGAGGAGAGGCATCGGGGATGCATGGTTTTAGGTAGGGTCGGTGGAGGTGGGCTTCTCTGGAAAACTGAGAGTGGAGGAGACCTCTAAGTAAAATGAAAGAGGGCAGCCACGCAGATTATTAGGTGCAGAGGGGGCCCTGAACTCAAGGACTCGAGGCAGAAATAAGTGCAGAGTGTTGGAGGAACACAGGGGGTCATTGGAGGCAGGGAAGGGTCTCTGGAGACCTTGGCAAGGTCTTGGCAACAGGAAACCCTTGGAAGGTTTTGAACAGAGGGAAGCATGACCTGATGTGTATTTTCAACATCTCCCTAGCTGCTGGGTGAAGAGTGGACATTCAGAACGAGGCTACAAGAGGGTAGAGCAGTGGGGAGCTACTCCATGAAGAAGAGAGGTGACGTGGGAATGGTCTCAGAGTGGAAATACACGGAGTCAAACTGGCTATTTTTACTGTATTGTGCCACATTTAATTCTGCTTATTGTGTATAGGCAAGGCTCAATCGAGAGACATAAAACTCCTGCTTTCTCAGTTCTCTGGTCTCACTGCAGCATAGTCTCCTGACCACATCTCTAGTCAAAGAGATCTCCCCGAATGCAGATCTGAGCCTAATTCACCCTTGCTTTACACCCTTGTTGGACATATAATGACTCTTAGGATTAGTCCCGAACTCAAAGGGCCAAGTGCCACCCAACTGTGCTGTGACTCCCGTGCCTCTTCCTCCTTCTCTCTTGGGTGGAGTCCCCTGGTCTTTCAGTTGTCTGAATACATCGGTAAATCTTAGCCTTTACTCCCTCTAGAGCAAGTGAGAAGTTTCTTCGGAAAATGGTGATAAATTTCACTACGGTTAATTATAGAATTAAAATGTTATAGTTATGTGCTCTTAGAATAGCGTCTCACACATAAGAACTCAGGAAAAATTTCGTTCATATCAGAAGAGATTTTACAGTTTATTTATAAGCCCACCTGCAAGCTCCCAATCAATTGGTTGTCTATCTTCAGTTTGGACTCCTGCAAGGATCGGAGGCCTTCTGAGGGGGGCAGCTGGATGGGTTGAAAGAGCTTCCTGACACTGAACCCCAATGTGCCTCCCCGTTGGCAGTATCTCTTTCTCCCAGGTGGTTCCCTGGGGTCATGCGGCATGCGTGTCTCCTCTAAAGGTATTGAATCTGAGATTCAGTCTGGACCCACAAGCTTTCTCTTGGCTTCCTAATCTCAAGACTCACTCATTGAGTCTCTACAACTTGAATTCATTGATATCTTTTTAAAATTGTAGATTTCCCCAATTGCCCGGATGTCTAGCCTGCTAAGTCCGTGGAGCCAGGCAGTAGCCTGCCCTGTGTGGATGAGGTGTGCCTCCTCCTGTGATAATTTTCACTGTTGTTGGAAGCTTACCCACCCTGCCCTGGCAAGCATTTGAGTTTGAGACCCCTCAATCCCCATACTACATGAGACCTTCAAAGACATTGAAAGAGTGTTGTTAGATGTCCCCAAACTTTTTCATTGCCTATTCTTTCTTGCTTGCTACAGTGGCAATAAACCCATAGATCCCTTTCCTTTTCATGGGTTTTTATAGATAATCATCTCCAGTAGGTAGGGATAACAAAAATATTAACTAGAGGGAAATAGCTGAGTTTGTGCAATTCTACAAACTTCTTTGAGTTCCAGTGTTTGATCTTTAGATTCTAAATTCTCCTGTGACAACTGGAAGATCACTTTGATTTCTGAGGGTAAAGTTCCCTCCCTCCCTCCCTTCTTAACTCCCGGCCTCAGAAAGCAGGGCCACTTCACATGTGAATAGTTGTGACATGGATAACAGTCTCGGGGGTTAGAATAAAGTACCAGAAAGAAGCTCCAGATAAATCTATTTCCACGCTACAGTCAGAGACTTTGTCTGGAGAGAAAACCAGCTGCCTCATCCACCATTCATTTATCTGTTCATTTACTTACTTTTGCATTCATTCGTTACTTTGTTCATTCTTTCCCTGGCATCCGAGAGGTGACTCTGTGGCCTCATCCTGAACACAGAGTTGCCGCCCTTGGGGTCCTGAGTTGCCAATACTGGGCTGTTGAGGCACAGCCATCTGCTTTGCATAAGGACAGTGAACCTCCAGGGGCGTCTGGGATGTCCTATCTTCCCAAGTTCTAGGATTCTGTGGAGGATGCTCTGCTGGAAGCCTGCTGCAGCCATCCCAGGGTTTGGTTTGGCCACGGATATGCTTGACCCCATCCACCTCATTGCAAGCAGGGAAATTTCCAAGGCAGTGCTTTGTGTTGATGTGGGGGCACCTTGCTGGAGAGCCAGGGTGGGCATGGCATAGCAGGCAACTAGGGTGATTCTTGACTTTGGAGTCAGGCAGGTTTCCTCAGGGTCAAGGGTTTCTGACAGAACTTGCAGGCTTTAGCAGAATATCTCAGCCCGGCAAGATCTGGCTGCAGAGGAATATGGGTGGCAATCAAACCCACGACATTCTTGACTCTGCAAACTCTTATCAGGAAAATGCTTGCGGTGGTTTTGGTGGGCGCGTGACAAGACATGAGACCGCATGATTTTCTTTGATTACCCTTTCCTATGGAGATTTTGGGAACAGAAATCTAAATGATGATCAATAGTTCATTTTGGGAATTAATTCTTTTATGTTTTTGTACTTCTTGCTCACCGAGCACAAGTGTAATTTGGTTGTAGCCCCTTAGGCAATGGTAGAAACTGCTGGGTTTCAGGGGGCTCTATTGATGCTTTCAGAAATTCTTCACGTGCAATCTGGAGTGGCCAGGGTGTGTCCTGCTTTTACATTTTCATGTCAGAGACAATGCATTGAAGCAGAGCCTTGTTCTGATGTAGAGGGTGGGTTGTCTCGACGGGCAACCTGGCCCTCATGAGAAGTTCTAGGGAGAGGCATCTGCAAATTGCCTTGCACACCTTCCAGAATTTTGGAAATAAATCCATTCACAGCGGCTCCTTCTGTGGTCATGCAGTAACAGCTGTGGGCCGAGCTGTGTAATGCTCGGAACATAGGAGTTGTCAGAAGTAAAAACATCTTTCAGTTCTACTGAAGTTAATAAGTCAAGTTAAATCATCCACATATGTGGAAACAGAAGATTTTCAAAGCAGCGCCTTCATTATAAAAAATGTGTTAAAATTAGTAACTATTTTATATCTTGCCTATTTTCCCCATCCAATCTAGTTTTTTTTTTAACATCCAAATATAGATTTTGCAATATTAAGGTAGAGATGCACAGAGTCCCAAAACTGAGAGCTGAAATTAGGGTTTAATTTCTTCCCCTCAGGATAACAAGTGCCCTGGATAACTTTGACGGTGATATCTTGGGGAGTGGGGTCCAACTTCAGTGGTCCCTCTCTCTCCCCACAGTCACAATCTCAGAAAAGATTTTCTGGTTCCCCATTTTACAGCCAGGGCCTTTCCTCCTTTTCACTGTTTTAACGTAGAGTCTTTGGGGAACGTGTTTCTGGTATCTTTTCTGAACTTGGGTTTTCATGCTAGGAATGGAGTAGGTTCTCTATAAACACTTGTAGAAGAAATTAACAAATAAAATTCTTCATTGCATCGTGAAGCAAACACCTGAGCTTTCTCTCTACTATAACATAATTTCGTGGAAACTGATAGCCTTTGAGACATGGGCTCAAAAGCCTCACTTGGAACATGTGCCATCAAGGCAGTTTTTAGTCTGTGTTGTGGCAGTTAGTTGCTCTCCTCTTCTCTCGGGAACAGCACCCCTATTTCCTTTTGGAAGAACAGAGAATAGCCTCCATCTGCTGTAGTCGGTCTTGTTGGACTATTCCTTGCTCCTTGCCCCAGGTGTGAATAGGTGACCTGATCTGAGCCAATCAGATTCTCTCTCTGTTGGGAGTTTGAATCTTAATCTCAGTGAGCCAGGCAGAGACAAAGGTGGCCGGTGTAGCTTCACCCAAATGACAAGGTCGTGTATCTCCTGCTCTCTGGATCATTAGACCTACCCTGGTTCTTTTCCTAGCTGAGTCTGTTCCTTTGACTGTGCTACCCACACCAGATCCCTACACTCCCTTTGCAGGGAATATAGCCAGTGGCCTTTGTGCACCTGTTAACAAACAATCCCAGTTCATATGCCCAGAGAGTAGATGTCACCGATATGGTTTTCTGTGATCCATATTAGAAGGGAAAGGTCATATGGCATATATTTATGTTGAACCTTTTGTGTTGACTCTCCCCACCCCCTAAAATGGAGTTCTATCTAGAAAAATCTGTGTGCCTACTGTGAGGGTAAAACAAGGTGGATAGTAGCTTCAGAGACAGAGGCTGCGGCGGAAGGGGATGGGACTTCTGAAAACAATGTAGTCCTCACCTCTGTTCTCTTTCCAGAGCCACAAGTAAGAGATCATCAGTTTAATAATCTCTCATTTTCAAATGAGACTCACGTAATTGTTGTACTTTCCTCAAGGCAGTCATTTCCTCACCTAAACCCTCATGGGATAATATATAGATAATATTACTTGTCAAATGGGGGTGGTCTTCTGTGGCATTCTTTTGGCATTTCTTATAGTTTTTATTCCTCTTACAAGATATTAATTTGTTATTAACAGTATCTAAATTCTGTGAACATAAACAGTGATTGAAACATTTCCATTTGCTCTGTCTGCCCTCAGACAAGATGACAGACAGCTGGTCAACCTCCTGTTGGTAAATTCCCTCCTGTTGGAAAGCTGGTCACACCTCTCCTGATTTCCTTCCTTTTGTTTGGTGAAGCTGTCTGCTCTCCAAAGATTTCATTTATGTCGCTGCACCCACTGGGCCTGGGCCTGGCCTTGGTACTCCCACTTGAAACCCTCAGCTTGGCTCCAGCTCGCCATTCCAGCCTCCTGCCTCACAGCCCCCTCATTGCTTCTCTCCCGCCATGCCAGTCTGCAGGCAGCTCCGAAGGCATGACATTCATGGCCACAGTGCCACTGCTGTGACTTCACTCGCACTAGGCATTCACTTGAGATTGACTTACCTGCTTCTCCACTGGGCATCAGTGCTCCTGAGATGGAAAAATGAAGTCTGTGCTCATGATTGTCTTCTAGCAGTGTTTCTTTGGTCCTTTTTCTGATATTTCATGGCAATATGCCCTACTCCTCACATTTAGTACTATGCAGTGTGCCCCCGAGTGGAAAATAGGACAGGGACAGCCCTAAAATAGAAGGGGAGCCAAAGGACAGCTGAAACAATTATGGAAGCTTTATGCAAATTAGAGGAAGGTGATCCTTTAGGCAGACTTGATCACAAGCTGGGGTGCAATGTTTATAAGCAGAGTTTTTGGAGGATTTCAGCTTCCTCAATCAAGCATCTTTTTGCAGTACACAACCTGACCAACTGTTCATGGTGGTCCTGCGTAAAACAGATAGTTTAAAATTTGTAAGGATATAAGTTCAATGCCACATTTGTTTTTCTGTGTAAACATTGACTTTTATATTTTTGTAGGATTTTATTATGTATCAAGCACTTTTAAATCAGCCTTTGATTTTCATTATAAAAGTAATATATACCCTTTATCGCAAATTTGGAAAACACAGAAAACTATTAAAAAGCCAGTGACTATGATCTATTACCCTATATCCATTTTCTTTCTTTTTCTCTTTTTTGAGACAGGGTCTTTCTCTGTCACCCAGGCTGAAGTGCAGTGGTATGATCATGGTTCACTGCAGCCTCAACCTTGTAGACTCAAGTGATCCACCCAGCTCAATCTCCAGAGTAGCTGGGACCACAGGCACGCATCACCACACCCAGCTAATTTTAAAACTTTTTGTAAAGATGGCTGGTCTTGAACTCCTGGGCTCAATCGATCCTCCTGTCTGCCCTCTCAAAGTGCTGGGATTACAGGCATGAGCCACAGCACTTGACCTCTCCAATATTAGTTCCTGCTTATTTTAGTAGATTTTCACTCTTGCCTCTTAAATGTGTTTATAACCTATCCTAGTAGCTAGTATTTCATTTGATGATCTCATAAAAACTGTTAGGTAATCTCATAAATAATGATTATGCCCATTTTAGAGACTATTAAATAAGGATATGGGAATTGGAGCACTGAGCAGGAAACCGTGGAGAATAAGCTGGCAGTAGAGAAGGTGGTGCTGAGAAAGTTGCTTTAATGAAGGTGTCTGCACCCTTCCCCCATTCCCCAGGTTCTATCTTAGTGCTTTGTCACTAAGTGACCCTGTGACTGCGCCTTCTGCAAAGTCCGCTCTCTGTGACTAGCTGGACAGAAATGCTGGAGTGCAGTTTCCAGGTTGGCTTCGTCCATTCATTCACTGAATGGGTTTAGTGACAGAATCCTCATAAGATACGTGTGTCTGGGATAGAATATGTGATCAACACACGTGAACTAGTGTCACCAGCATTATTATTTTTGTATTTACTACATCCTAGGCACTGGTTGGCTGCTTTGAATTCGCTGTCTTACTTAATCTTAAAGGCTATCCGGTTAGGAAGCCAATGTTACTATTTTTTCCCCCATTTTCCAGATGGTAAAATGAAGATTAGAGAGGTAAAATGAGAGCTGAAGGAAGTAGCTATAAGTGGCCAAAACAGGTCTAGAAGTGAGGTCTCTTGTGCTTTCTCTGCAGCCATAACTGCCTTCAGATCAGGGTCTAGCACACCGGGGAGAGTTCTGGATCCTTCCGGGGCTTTTGCCTGCAGAAAGCAGTGAACATGACAAACTTTCCTGTCTGCCATTTCCCCGGGCATAGCACTGTGACTAAAATGGGCCTGTCTAGCTTGGAAGTAATCATAGTGTAATTTGAGGACAACGCCACTTGGGGTGGCCTTCTGTATGGATGTATTACCTGGAGATGCTGGAAATGAGAAACAGTCTGTTTATAATAAAAATGAGCCTCATCCTCCATTTACTTTATCCATTTGAGCCTAAGTGGATCTAAAGATATTTTTGAAAGACTTACAAATACATATAATGTGCTCCGAAGAATTGCTTTATAAGAAAATAAAAGAAAGTCATTTACAGGTTAAGTAGGGGCAGACTCAACATATTTTTAAACCTCTAAACTTAAAGATGTTTAACATGGAATTCTAGTGGATCCTAGTTTGCTCAAATATGCCACAAAAACACTGGAACTGGATTTAATACAAAATTACTGTCAATACGTTTCCTCCCATGAAAATGACCCCTCTTTCCCAGTGCTGGGTAGTTTGAGATGAACCCCTAAGCCACAGGAGCACCTCTAAGAGCTGGTGTTTCCTGTTTTTTCAGGATATCCAGGTCTCCACTATCAAAAAATTGACCACTAAAACCACTTCCTTGACTCCACGCTCACTCCAACTATGACACAATTTTTTTTTTCTTTTCACGGCCAAGCCTCTAGAGTTTTCAATGTTTTGTTTTTCCATTTACTCCTCACTCTATTGCAGTCTGGCTTCCTCTGGTTGTATTGCTTTAAAGCCACCACTTTTTAGTAACCAGGTCCAGAACGAGCGATTGGTAGGAGATGGCCAATGAAGTGGCAGTTTTGCCCCCAGTCTCCAAATAGGACCCACAGAAACCACTGCTACTTGATGATAGAATCCTTTTCAGAATCTTTTTGAAGATCGTCTCCCTCCAGTGGTCAGAGCTGGCTGAGGACGGTGACACCTGTTCACCAGCCTGGGTTCTGCTGGAGCCATCCCTCAGGCAGAAAGCAGAGAGGCGGTGCTATAAGTGAAGGGACCACAGAGAGAGGTGGGCTCCCATGTTGGCCCACACTTAGTAGAAAATGGGTTTGGGCAGGTTTTCTCTGGGCCTTCGTTTTCTTCAAAAGGGAAGAGCAACAGATTTGACAACTCAATAAGCAGTTAACTATTTTTATCAGCACAGAAAACCACAGTAAAATGCAACCATTGTCAGTAAGCAGCTGGGTAATAGCACTTCTTGCACGTCTTGTCCTGGTTTTATTCTCTTCTGCTCATGGAACTTGGTGGACATAGTAGGCCCTGCCAAGCTGACCTATGCCAGTCCAATGCACAGAGCATTGACTTACAAAGCAGGATGCCAGCTTATTAGCTTTCAGTTATGATTCTAATTATGTGGTGAAATTTATTTGTGCATTTGCTATACAAGGTGCCCTCTCTTTGCCAGACACCAAATTACTGTATACAACAGGGGATAGACTTGGCGGGGAAACTCAGCATCTCCTGTACTCTACAGAGGGCATTTAGTTCCAGGTGCTCACCTCAACTCAGGAATCCAAATTAGACAGCATAAGTGAGTTTCTGAGGGACAGTCTCATCTCACCATTGATTGAACCCCCAAAGAAAGGTTTGGTGGCTCCTTTCCAGCTCTTTCTGCCTTGAAAATGTTATGAATCACAGTGAATTATTTATCTCAAGCAGTTTTCTCAAGATATCTTTGCATTTAGACAATGTCAGGCAATTTGCAAGGTGTTTTCACGTACATGCATTATAGATAGGCAGGACTGAGATTTGTATATATCATTCATTCACTCAATAAAACAGTTATTGAAAGCCTGGACATTTCAGGACTTGCCCAAAACCACTAAGTATTCTGGTTATCCATTGCTGCATGCCAAACCCAACATTCATGGTGAGTGTGAGTTTGCAGTTTGGTCAGGACTTGGTCAAGAAGAGATCTCTCTGCTTCATAATGTTGAGGCTTCAGCTGGAAACAGTTGTCAAACAGTGGGGAGGTGGAATTCTCTGCAGGTTTCTTCACTTACAGGTCTGGGGCCAGGGCTGGGGTGACTTGAAGCCTGGGCTTGGCTGGGATTGTTTGTCTGAGCACCTCCATTCACCAGCCTCCCAATATAGCTTGGGCTTCCTCACAGCATGGTGGTCTTGAAGCAGTCAGACTTATTACATAGAAGCCCAGTGTTTAAAAAGTGAGTATTCCAGTGAACAAGGCAGAAGTGAAATGGCTTTTTTGAGGTCCAGCTTCTGAAGTCGCATAGTATCATTTCCACTATTCTAACCTCTATTGGTGGAAACAGATACAAACCCATTCAGACTCAAGTGTTGGAGACATAGACCCCACCATAGGAAAGCAGTGATAAAGAATTCATGGCATGTTTTAAAAGTACTACATCAAGTGTCAGGACAAGACCCAGCTTAATTACTCCAAATCCAGGTTTGTACGAGTTAGGTTAGTGGGAGTTATGGTGGAATGCTACAGGATTTAGCCATGGGTAGAATTTGTTTCAAACCCTAGATCTTTTACCTATTAGGTGTGTGATCACAGACAAATATCTTTCCTCTCTGAGTTTCAGTTTCCTAATCTATAAGATGAGGAAACGACAATTCTAATTTTAGTCCATTTTGTGACAATTCAATTAAATGAGGCTTGTCAAAAGCTAACATCGTGTTTGGCACAGAGTAGGTGCTTAATAATTAGGAACTGTTAAAAAACACGATTTAAAAATACCCATTTAACAGCAATGTAACAAATGTTATTATTATTCTTATCATTGTTACTGTTATGAATCACCTATGACATAATAAACTCAAGCAATATTTCTTTTTTCTTTCTTTCTCCATGGTTCTAGCTCCTGATGTGACTTTCACTTCTGAGCCTAAAATCTCCACCTCCTCCTTGTGTCTCTGTAGTCCTGGGGAGGAGAGGAGAGTTGGTTTCCTTTTTTGCTAACCTCTGGTTACTTTACTTCCTCTATTTGATCTCTTGGCTTCGTCTATCATCCTTACAACTAATTCACTGTCACACCGTGGTTCTGCTTCAACTATCTAGAAGATCTGTTTTCCTGAGGGAATCCTGACTGATACAATATTCCAAATGCGTAGAGGCTCTGCTGGGGAGGACTAAGAGGAGTGGGGCGGTGGATTTGGATAAGAACACCAGGCATCTGCCTCCCTTCCTCCTTCTGTGTCTCCTTCACTTTTTTCTTTTGTGTCCGCCCTCCTTTCTTATCTTGTATTTTTCATTTTTTCTTTTATAAAGATGGAACATCATATAACAATCTTCTGCAACTTGCTGTTTTCACAATAACTCTTCAAGCCAATGCACATAACTCTAATTCATACAGTTCTAATTCATTTAAAGAGAGTGCCATGATAATCCACATTATGCACACCCCTTAATACATCTATCCATTTTTTGTATGGATATTCTGTAGTTTATAGAATTTGGGGGTGAGGTTTGCTACAATAAGCAGTTCTTAATTAGCCATACAATTTTTATGCACAAATGTCTTTACATATTTCTTTCTTCATTTCTGTAGTATGGGTTTCCAAAGGTAGAATGACTGGATCAAATAGTATGTACATTTTTTAATTTAAAAAATATCACCAGATTACTTTCTCCAAAAGCTGTATCATTTACCCTCTCTTTAGCAATTAATTTCCATGAGTTATTCATTATGGAAAGACCTCTGCTCATATGTTTGTAATAAGCAATACCAGGCTTGGTACTCGGTGTGGGCTATTCAGTGAAGCAAGGATTTGGAGAATGGAGAAGAAGAAAATAAAAGTGATGCCCAAAATTGCTGACTGAAACGTATTTTATTATTTGTGGGTTTGTTCTCCCTACCCCACCCTACCCCTGCATTCTATAAAAAGTCAACCTTAAATAAAGGCCTTCTCTCTCCAGATTTTCCATCCTCTAATCTGTGAGTCCATGTAGGTGTCCTTGATATATTTCATAATAAGGCACTTGAGAGGCTAATTGCATTGTATTTACAGCCTATAGAGGTGGCCCCCACTTCAAATGACGAGTTTCCTTGGTAATGTACTAATAACCACAGGTTCCAAGGGCTAAACTGAGACTAATGCAGAAAAATTCAAAGCTTGGCTTGCAGGGGACCCCATAAAGGCACCGAATGGAACAGACAGTCCACATGAGAGAGACAAGGGGAGGCCATGGTGAGGGAGTGGGTTTCATTTCATTTTTTGTGCTTTCCTAGTTTTCTACAAACCTTTAAAACCTGTACCAAAGGTAAGCTTTGTGTTGACCATTTTGAATTCCTATTGTTCCAAAATCCAAATGTGTTATACAGTGTGCTATAACTGCTCCCAATTTCTGCTTTAACCACATCTTACTGCCCTGTGTTATATTGTTATATTGATACTGGCTTCTAACCTTGGCAGTCCTTGTAAGATTTCCTCTCCCCTTCAGGATGGATGAAGTAGCTGGCGTGTCTTTCTCTCTCTCTCTCTCTTTCTCTCTCTCTCTCTTTCTCTGTATATCCCCATTAAATTTCCAAGTTAACACTGACTAGTTGACAATTACTGCGAATCTTTATTATTTAAACACATATATAATTAATTTGAAATAATAATTGTTTTAACAAATACTAATAGGAATATTTTGGAACACTTATGTTCTAAGCTGTAAGCACTAAGACGCCATATATTTGTACTATGTCATACATAATAATTCCATAAGTGGGAATAATTATCAATTTGATAGATGATGGTATTGAAGCTTAGAGAGGCTTAGTGACTTACCCAAAGACAGTAAGTGGCAGACGTGCTATATTAGTCTGTTCTCATGCTGCTAATCAAGACTTGAGACTGGGTAATTTACAAAGAAAAAGAGGTTTAATGGACTTAGAGTTCCATGTGGCTGGGGAGGTCTCACAATCATGGTGGAAGGCAAAAAGCATGTCTTACATGGTGGCAGGCAAGAGAGAATGAGAGCCAAGCTAAAGGGGAAACTCCTTATAATAAAACCATCAGATCTCATTAGACTTATTCATTACCATGAGAACATATGGGGGAAACTGACCCCATGATTCCCTCTGGGTCCCTCCCACAACACATGGGAATTATGGGAGCTACAATTCAAGATGAGATTTTGCTGGGGACACAGCCAAACCATATCACGTTGCATTTACATGCAAATCTCATTTGGCTTTGACATCCACACTGTAACACTGTCCTACCTCCTGCCAGTGTGCCTCACACCAAGTAGCAGGAGCTTATCTTCATTTTTAGGGCCACGAACCATTTCTGCCACTTAACTTAGTGCTTCTTCATTCTCATTCTCATTAGATGTGATGAACACTCGCTGCTTGGTAGCTGCCTTCATGTACCTGGTTACCTACTGTGTTATATGGTTCCTAGGAGACAGAAAACTCAGCTTATACATTTGGGTCCTTATAGTTCCTGGCCCAGTGCTGGGGGGCATGGTACAAACTCAACCCTGGTTATTTCTCTTCACCATAAGCATTTTGAGAGCATGGGACGTCCTACCACTTCCCTAAGTTTCTCTCCTGCTCTGTCCAAGGCAGAGCCGTACCTTTATCATAACTAATTCATTCTCTTTAGCACTGAATAGTTTATAGAATATGCCCTCACACATTCAGTCCTCTTCCTTTTTATTTATCCTGTTTTATAGGCAAGGAAACTGAGGTTTTGAGAGACTTACACTCATTTCAATGAAGGACCCTGTGCTGCACAAAAAGTTATATCTATATGACAGGGCTTCTCAACCAGGGGTGACTTTGTCCTCCCCCCACCCTTCCCAAGGACATTTGGCAATATTTGGAGATATTTGGCTGTCACTGTTGAGAAACTGTACTGTAGCCAGGGATGCCACTTAACATCCTACAAAGCACATTACAGCCCCCATGACAAAGAATACTCAGGACCAAATGTCAATAGTGTTGAGCTTGAGACATTCTGCTACAGAATAAAAAAGAAGACATTTTATTTGATCATATTTTCTACTTTTGGATATCTTATGAGATGCAATTTTTATGTAATACTCACAGTTGAATGTTCTTTCTCTCCTAAGATCTAAGCCCACAAAGCACTAAAATAACTTTTGATTATGTATGGGGGTATAAGGAACAACACATGCTATAATTCTGAAAGCAAAGTAAGTGAGCTTTAATCTTCATTTGAGTTTTTTTAAGACTATATATATATATATATATATATATATATATATATATATATATTACTGTCTTTCTTATTTAGAGAGTCCAAGGGCACTTGCTGGTGTTCTGGGAGAGTATTACTAAGACATGGGTCTTGCAGCCCAAATCAAGAGCTTAAAAGTTTGTTTCAAATGATATGGTTCCATATTCTAATCCAGGCAGTTTGGATCAGACCTTTGTTTATTAAGAGTTCTTGGGCCTATACCTACAACCAAATAAAGATCCCAAATGAACATCTTAAGTTTTTTTTCTTTTGGAAAGGTGGCATATTGATGGGTAAAATTAGATGATGTCTGGGATTTGTTTTAAAATACTCCAGCAAAAACAAAGATGAGGAATACTAAATGAAACAAGATCAGCAAAATGTTGGTAATTGTAAAAGCTGGAAGATAGTTACATAGACATTCATTTTACTATTCTTTCTACTTTTTTGTGCATTTGAAAATATCCAGAATAAAGTGTTTAAAAAAATATATCCTACGGCCATCTGCAGGATGACAAGTAATGCATTTGCAAGTACAGTAGATAGAACTTTTTTTCTTGCTCCATTTCTGTGGATGCAAAAGCAATTTCTTTAGCAAACTTTTTTGCATGTGTCGAGAACATTGTTTAATTCGGCATACTGTTTTTCATCTCAGTATTTTAGAGAACTTTGAAAATTAAAAGTGACCACAATATGGGCAAAAGATTTAAAAAGACACTTCACAAAGGAAGTTCTATGAATGGCCAACAAGAACATGAAAAAGCTCTCCACATCATTAGTCATTAGGAAAATGCAATTAAGACCACAATGAGATATTGTGACACACTGACTTGAATGCTTCAATTAAAAAGACTGATAACTACCAAATGTCATCAAGGATGAGGACCAACTACAGTTCTCTTGTATTTTTGGCGAGAAGGTAAAATGATATCATCATTTTTTTTTGAGAAAAAAGTCTGATAGTTTCTTATAAAACTAAATGTCTGCTTTCTTTATGACCCAACCATTCTACTCCTAGGTATTTACTCAAAAGGAATGAAAACATATGTCCACAGACACATACAAAAAACCTGCAAAAGAAGAGCTGTTCATAGAAGCTTTATTCACGATAGTTTCCAACCAGAAACACCCCAGGTGGCCATCCACAAAAAAAATGAATAAAGAAACTGTGGTAGATTTATGCAATAGAAAATTACTCAGTAATTAAAAAAAATAAGCTATTGAAACAAAACCATGGATGAATCTAAAAAAATGTGATGTTGAGTGAAAGAAGTATAATTTTTCACTGTATAGTTCATTTATGTGAATTTGTAGAATAGGAAATACTAATCTACGATGGACAGTGACTTCTCTGAGGAATTAGGGGAGGGTTCAACTCAGATGGGCACAAGGGAACTCTGGGGAGATGGTGATATTCTATAACTTCATAGAAGTTTGAGTTTCACAGGTAAAGACATTTGTCAACATTTTACAAATGATATACTTAAGACGTATGTATGTCAAATGATCACTTTCAGCAAAAATAATGAGGACCAGATTTACCCTCCCACTTGAAACAAGCAATAAATGGATGAAATATATAAAAGCAAGCAACAGGTTGGCTGGGCATGGTGGCTAATGCCTGTAACCCCAGCTTTTAGGGAGGCAGAGGCAAGAGGGCAGTTTGAGCCCAGGAGCTCGAGACCTGCCTGGACAATATAGCAGAACCCCGTTAAAAATAAATAAATGAAAGCAATAGGTTACCAGACACTAGACATAAGGAATGAAGGACAATGCTAGGCTGGAAACCATGAAGAGAGCCCTGTGACTCCCTCATTTTATTGCATTAGGAGAGTTTCCTGGCTACAGTGCAGGGAGCAGGTGCCCAGGCCAAGTTTGGCAAAACCTTGAGCTAAGGAGATATAGTTGAGGGTCTAGGGAGACAAAGAGGACTACAATATCTGCTTTCTTTATGACCCAATTTCTGTATGACTACAAGTTTCGGAGCAGAGTACTGGAGCGAAGAAAGACACATAGTAGGAAAACTATAAAGATCAGCAGAAAGTTTCTCCCAAGTATTTAACTGAATAATTATTAGTACATATGTGTGATGCAGTTCCTAGAAGCCAGAAAACACACCACTTGATTGGATTAGAGATGAGAGTGTTTGGTACTTGTACAGCACTTAAAATAATACATGCTTCTACTATCCAGACCAAAAAAACCCTCATAATTTAACTCATAATTTACCGAATGCTGAGTAGAATACACAGAAGAGGTCTTGCCTTTGTAGTGAAGAACAGCACTGACCCCTCTTCTGATTTCACATTGCACATCTCTTTTTTCTTGAGACATAGTCTCACTTTGTCACCCATGCTGGAGTGCAGTGGCGCAATCTTGGCTCACTGCAACCTCTGTCTCCCGGTTCAAGCGATTCTCCTACTGGGATTCCAGGCACACACTATCACACCTGGCTATTTTTTTTTTTTTTTTTTCAGTAGAGACGGGGTTTCGCCATGTTGGCCAAGCTGGTCTTGAACTCCAGACCTCAGGTGATTCATCCCCACCTCAGGCTCCCAAAGTGCTGGGATTACAAGCATGAGCCCCCGTTCCTGGCTCACATTGCAAATCTTAAAAGCAGCATAGCAAAGGTTCAAACTGTACTGAAGTAACTCAACTGCATCCAGGACAAAGCTCAAGAATATAGGAATACCAAAATATTCCTGTATCAAAATGTCCATCAATGATAGACTGGATTAAGAAAATGTGACACATATACACCATGGAATACTATGCAGCCATAAAAAATGATGAGTTCATGTCCTTTTTAGGGACATGGATGAAGCTGGAAACCATCATTCTCAGCAAACTATCGCAAGGACAAAAAACCAACCACTGCATGTTCTCACTCATAAGTGGGAGTTGAACAATGAGAACACTTGGACACAGGGTGGGGAACATCACACACCAGGGCCTGTTGTGGGGTGGGGGAGGGGGGAGGGATAGCATTAGGAGATATACCTAATGTAAATGACGAGTTAATGGGTGCAGCACACCAACATGGCACATGTATACACATGTAACAAACCTGCACATTATGCACATGTACCCTAGAGCTTAAAGTATAATAAAATATATATATATTAAAAAAAGGTAAAATTCACCATACCTGGTATCCAGTCAAAGATTATCAGACATGTAAAAAAGCAGGAAAATACCATCAATAATGAGAAGAAAAGTCAATCAATGGAACTTGACTAAGAATTGGCACAGATAGAAGTAGCAGAAAGAGCATTAAACAAATTACTGTAACTGAGTTTCGCATGGCCAAAGGGTCTGGTAGAGACATGGAAGTATGAAAGACCCAAACTGAACTTCTAGAGATGAAAGATAAAAACTACAATGTATGTAATAAAAAATATACTGGCTAAGATGAGTGAACTTGAAGTCATACCAATAAAAGCTATCCAAAGTGAAACACAAAAAGAAAAAAAGAATTTAAAAAAAAAACAGAGCATCAGTGAACTGTGGAACAACTTCAAGAAGCCTATCATATGGATAATTTAAATGCCCAAAGAGGAGAAGAGCGAGGTGGGAATACGTTGCAGTCCGGATCCACACAAAGAAATGAACAGCATGAGAAATTGTGAATGTTTACATATTTAGGTAGGCTAATATATGTTTTACTTATTATTTAAATCTCTTTAATAAGATAATTGAGCACTTAGATAAAATAATAACAATGTGGTGTTGTATTGATGACATATATGAAAAGAAAATACACAAATGCCAAAGTAAAATGTAAAAATCAAAGATTTACGGCTGATAGACTAACAGCCTAAATAGACTGAACAGAATTTTTAAAAGTTAAATTAATTCAAAAGAATGCAGAAAGAGAAGAAAACATAACAAAGAAAGGTAAATGAAAAATAAATAACAGGCCGGGCGCGGTGGCTCACGCCTGTAATCCCAGCACTTTGGGAGGCCGAGGCGGGCGGATCACGAGGTCAGGAGATCGAGACCATCCTGGCTAACACGGTGAAACCCCGTCTCTACTAAAAATACAAAAAATTAGCCGGGCGTGGTAGCGGGCGCCTGTAGTCCCAGCTACTCGGGAGGCTGAGGCAGGAGAATGGCGTGAACCCGGGAGGCGGAGCTTACAGTGAGCCGAGATCGCGCCACTGCACTCCAGCCTGGGCGACAGAGCGAGACTCCGTCTCAAAAAAAAAAAAAAAAAAAAAAAAAAAAAAAAAAAAAAGAAAAATAAATAACAATATTATCAGTTAAAATCCAACCATATCAAATAATCACACTGATGGTCTAAATGGAAATGGTCTAGAAATCTCATTTGGAAAACTCATTAAGATACACTTACTCTCAAGCTGACATACAGATTTATCAAAATCAAAATTCTAACAGGCTTATTTTTGGAAATTGATAATCTGATTTCAAAATTCATATGAAAATAGAAATTACCTAGAATAGCTAAAACAACATTCAAAAAGAAGATTAAAGGTGATTGGATAACACCGTCTAATCTCAAGACTTAGTATAAAGCTACCTATTTTATAAAGCTATAAAGGAATTATGATAGATCAGTAGAACATAGCATAGAGCCCAGAAAGTTTGATGTTAGAACAATTGGCTATCCATACACACACACACATACAAAACTCTAATCTTCAATTTGTACCTTGTACCATAACAAAAATTAACTCAAATTGTATTACATAGCTAAACATAAAACATAAAGTTTACAAAACTTCTAGAAGAAAACATTTATGACCTTGGATTAGGCAAAGATTTCTTTATAGACTCACAAAGGCATGATGTGATGTGTGTAAGAACAAATTGGTAAATTAATCAAAATCCAAACCTATGCTCCTTTAAAAAACACTATTGAAAACATGAAAAGACAAGTGACAGTCTGGGAGAAACTATGTTTAAATCATCTTATAAAGGATTTGCACTCAGAATGTACAAAGAACTCTCAAAAGTCAACAATAAGAAAGCAAACAACCCAATAAAATAATTAACAACAGATCGGAACAGATGCTTCCCCAAAGAAGATAAACAAATGGTACATAAATACATAGAAAGATACTGGCCATCATTAGTCATTAGGGAAATACAAACTAAAACCTTAGTGAGATATCACAACACACCTACTCAAATAGTTAAATTTAAAAGATGGATAGCAATTAAAGGGTATCAAGGATGTAGAACAACCAGAACTCTCGTACACTTCTGGCGGGAATATAGAATGGTACAACCACTTAGGAAAACAGTTGGCAGTTTCTTAAAAAGCTAAACAGTCACCTATTGTATGATTCAGGCATTCCACTCCTGGGTATTTCCCAAGAGAAAGGACGGCAGCACATGCTCGTATGAAGACTGACACATGAATGTTCACAGCAGCTTTACATGTAATAACCCCAAACTGGAAGTAACCCAAATGTCTATCAACAAGTGAAAAACTGTGCCTTATAGGTACAATAGAATACTCTCCAGCAATAAAAATAAATAAGCTATTGATCAACTATTTGGATGAATTTCAAAATAATTATACTGAGTAAAACAAAAACCATATAAAATAAGAATATAGACCACATGATTTCATGTATATAATACTCTAGAAAATAAAAACTACTCTCTACTGACAAAAAGCACATCCATGGTTCCTTGTGGAGGTGGGAAGAGTTACAAATGGGCATGAGGAATCCTTTGGGGGTGAGGGATTTGTTCATTGTCTTGATTGTGGTAAATAGTCTCATGAGTGTGTACACTGTATATATCAGCACTCAACAACGTGTATATTAATTATACTCTAATAGAGTTATTTAAAACTTTTTAAAAGTTTGTTCATTACATTTTATGTAGATTTCACCTAATAAAAGAACCAAAAATAAATATAGTCATGCAACGCATAATGATGTTTTGGTCAACAATAGGCTTCATATACTACGGTGGCCCCATAAGATTATAATAGAGCTGAAAAATTCCTATCACCTAGTGATGTTGTAGCCACGGTAATGTCACAGTGCAATGCGTTACTCACATGTTTGTGGTGTTGTTCTTGTAAGCAAACCTACTTTGCTACCACTTGTATAAAAGAATAGCACATATAATTCTGTACAGTAGATAATAATAATAATCAACTATGTTATGGTTTAAGTATTTACTATAGTATACTTTCTATCATTATTTTAGAGTTTGCTCTTATTTATTAAAAAAATAAGTTAACTGTAAAACAGCCTCAGGCAGGTCCTGCAGGAGGTATACAGAAGACGGCATTTTTTTTTTTTTTTCTGAGATGGAGTCTCGCTCTGTTGTCAGGCTGGAGTGCAGTGGTGCAATCTCGGCTCACTGCAACCTCCGCCTCCCAGGTTCAAACAATTCTCCTTCCTCAGCCTCCAGAGCAGCTGGGGCTACAAGCACAAACCACCATGCCCGGCTAATTTTTATATTTTTAGTAGAGATGGGGTTTCACCATGTTGGCCAGGCTGGTCTCGAACTCTCGACCTCAGTTGATCCACCTGCCTTGGCCTCCGCAAGTGCTGGGATTACAGGCATGAGTCCCTGTACCTGGCCCAGAAGAAGGGATTTTTATGGTGGGAGACAACAGCTCCGTGTGTTATTGCCCCTGAAGACCTTCCAGGGAGACAAGATACGGAGGTGGAAGATAGTGATGTTGATGATCCTGACTCTGTGTACACCTAGGGTACGGTGTGTGCTTCTCTTAGTTTTTAACAAAAAAGTTTAAAAGTAAAAAAAAAAAAAAATAGAAAAATGCTTATAGAGGAAGGATACAAAAATAAAAATATTTTTGTTGTGTTGTAAGCTAAGTGTTATTACAAAAAAGTCAAAAAGTTAAAAAAATTGTTTATAAAGTTACAATAAGCTAAGGTTTGTTTATGATTGACAAAAGATATTCATATATGAATTCAGAATAGCCTAAGTGTTCAGTGTTTATGATCTACAGTAGTGCACGGTAATGTCTTCGGCCTTCCCATTCACTCACCACTCACTCACAGACTCACCCAGAGCAATGCCCAGTCCTGTAAACTCCATTCATGCTAAGTGCCCTAGACAGGTGGACCATTACCATTTTTTATCTTTTACACCATATTTTTTTTACCATACTTTTTCTATTTTTTTTTTTGGTTGTTGTTTTTTTGAGATAGAGTCTCACTCTGTCACCCATGCTGGAGTGCAGTGGCGCAATCTTGGCTCACTGCAACCTCCATCTCCTGGGTTCAAGTGATTCTCCTGCCTCAGCCTCCCAAGTAACTGGGACTACAGGTATGTGCCATGCCCCCTGGCTAACTTTTTTTTTTTTAGTAGAGACAGGGTTTCACTATATTGGCCAGGCTGGTCTTGAACTCCTGACCTCAGGCAATCTGCCTACCTCGGACTCCCAAAGTGCTGGGATTACAGGCGTGAGTGCTGCCTATTGTGTTACAATTGCCTACAGTATTCAGTACAGTAACATGCTGTACAAGCTTGGAGCCTAAGAGCAATGGGCTGTACCATGTAGCCTAGGTGTGTAGTAGACTGTGCCATCTAGGTTTGTGTAAGTACAATCTGTGATGTACACACAATGATGAAATCCCCTAACAATGCATTTATTAGAACGTATTTCTGTCCTTAAGCGGCGCATGACAGTATTGATCTTTCGTCAACGATAAGCATATTGCATTGTTTAGGAATGAAGTGTACTGATGTCTCCAACTTAATATGAAATGCCAGGATGAAGAAGAAAATGAATTGCTGGAAGGATAAAGGGCTGAATAGATAGATAAATATGTAATGACACATTGTTTGTTCCTCCTCACATCAATTTATTTCTTTGCCATGTCTACCACAGAGAGTGCTGGCAGATGGTACCACTCTACTTTTTTAGCCCAGTAAGCCCACTTCCTTGTTAGAAGGTTTTCTACATAACCTTTGACTCTTCTTCAAGACTTGGAGCCCTGCCACGCCTTCCTGTGGTTCCCTTTAATTAGCATTTTATCCACAACAGTGCTAGAAAAGTTTCTCTCTAATTTATTGACCAGGACACACGTATAACTTTTTTATCGCTCACTAAAGAAATCCCAGCTGTTTATTCTCCGAATGCCATAGCCACAGTGAGCACTCGTTTCATTATTCCACGTGTGAACTATATGGAAAAGGGCTCATCGCGGCTATTTATTCTATACTCTGAATCTCAATGGGGTTCTGTTTGGATGTTGCATTAGTTGCTTGCTCAGGCTGTCATAACATGATACAGCAGACTGTGTGGCTTAAACAAAAGACATTTATTTGATCAGTTCTGGAGGCTGGAAGGTTAAGATCAAGGTGCCAGTGCGGTGAGGGTTGGGGGAGGGGGGTTTCATCTGAGACCTCTCTCCCTGGCTTGTAGATGGCTGTCTTCTTGGAGGCTCTTGGCGTGGTTTTCCCTCTGTGCATGTGTGCCCCTGGTGTCTCTCTGTGTTTAAGTTTACTCTTGCTATTAGGAAGATTGGATGAGGGCCCACCCTAAGGACCTTATGCTGACTCAATCATTTCTTTAAAGAGCCTGTCTCCAGATGCAGTCCAATTTGGAGGTATTGGGAGTTAGGGCATTTCAGCCCCTAACAGATGTACCGTAAAAAATGCAGCATGCATGTTGTACCTGCACCTTGCTCTGTAAGCCTTTCCTTGGTTATCAGCAGTGCAGTAGATATATACCCAAGTGACCTTTTCTACAGGGGTGGGTTCTTCCCAACTGTCTCTATCTAGCTCCAGCTCCAGTCCAAACCACCATCATTTGGCATCTGGAATTTTCCAACAGCCTTAAAGCCAAGTCCCCATTTGTTCTTCATTCAGCAGGTTGAGAAGCTTTGAAACACGCAGGTGTGGTCGTGTCCACACAGTCGCAGTCCGCTCCACTTCAGCCCTGCAGTGGCAACCAGGATCAAGTCCACATTCTAACTTGGCTTTATAGCATCCTTTCTCAGCTGTTCAACTTCTCTTGATAGCTTAGCTCCTTGGTTATCTGCGCCCCAGCCACAGCAGCTTCCCATCTTTTCCTTGATGTCCCAAGCCTCTTCTTTCCCTAGGATCTTCACACATGTTATGTATTTCTCTTGGCTGAACTCTCCTACTCCTACCCACTACCTCTTCTATTCAGCATAAGGGTCACTTGCTTTGGGGGACAGTCCCGTGACCACTCCAACTCTCTCCACAAACTAGGGTAGGACTCCCGGGTATATACTTTCTTTATGCTGCTCTTCAGGGCTGTTACTAATAATAATATGAACAGCAACACTGTTACTATTAATAGTAATAGTATATTATTAATTTACTATTAATAGTAATAGTATATTATTAATATACTATTAATAGTAATAATTCTACTGTTATGTGTTTCAGTGCCTGCCCCTCTCCTACACTGCAGACTCCTTAAAAACAGGGAAAATGTTCAACTTATTCCTCGTTGTAGCCCAACCACTAGCCAATGCATCACACATACTAAGTTATCAATACATATTTGTTGAATGAACTAATGAAGCCACAGAAACCTTTAAATCAACTGACCCTTAGCTGTTTGCCACAGTTTACAGATTATTCATTCTACTCACCCTTTGATCATTTTATTCCCAACTGGAGGTTTCATCAGTCGGATGACAGGCAATGAGGAGAGAGACCAATGAGTCATTTTCTAAGCAGCTGTAGTTAAGGTCAAAGGAGGGGGAGGGGGAGGAGGGAGTGGGCAAAGAACAAGGTTAACCATTGAGCTGCTGTGCATTGATTACCTTTGATTGATACTCCTCAGTTATGCTGCCCCATTCATTAGCATGAGGAGGTGAAGGTTGGATGTAATTTTAAACAACAGTTTGAGGCATTTCTATTCTGGTTCTGAAACAGCTTAAATATTTTATGAGTTTTTAAGATTGGGAGAAATTAAAGCAAGTATGTAATCTTGCTCTGTGTGTGTATAAATATATACACATATGAAATTTAAATATACTCACACAAAATCTTATTGTAGAGAATCTCATAAATCTAAAAAAGATAGGGAGTCTAAAAAAAACCTACCCATATGTAAACATAATATGAAAATATATTCAGTGTTAATTTCAGAATTTATTGCAATCTGCAGAACATCTTTAACAATTGCACATACACCCTCCCAAGAGCAAGAGGGAATTTTTTTTAAAAATGAAATATTTTGCATAAAATATTTTGATATTTAAAAAAACCAAAACCAATATAACTTTTAAAAACTATAAAAGAAATGTCTAGCAGGAGTTGTAAGGGAACAGTTTTTGGGGAAAAAAGTAATTTCGCTATAGTTTCTATTCTCTGAAAGTGGGACCAATGTACTAGATAATTATGTACTTTGGGATCATTAAGGGGCTTTTAGCAAATAATTTATCTAGTGTTCAAATGGGAATGTAAATAAATGAGTAATTTTTCTTTGTTAATTATAATTCTTGTGAATTACAATGTCTAGGCACCTCTCCAGGACCACAAATCCACCCATGAGTCAGAAAATGCCACCAACAATGTTGATACTGCATGTGATGAAGTTTTTTTTTTTCCATGAGTAATCATTATCTTCAATTTTAGATCATTTCAGAAATAAAAACTGACAATAAAGGTAACTTCTCTTTCATTCCATTTCTTGTATGCATTTTATGGTTTAGAATATGTTTCTATATCTCAATGAAGCAATTTATAGTAGAGGCATTACTTTTTATTAAGTACATATTATGCATATTTTATTACGACTTGCTACAATTGAACATGTTTTAAAAGATTAACTCCCAAGTCACTCCTGTTTCTGCCAAAATGAAAAAGAAAGAGAATACATTTCAGTGTGACTTAGCCTAAGAAATTCTATAAACTATAAATATTAGAACAATTGTGATTTAGATCTTATTTAAGATTTCAAAGCATTTTGCCACTGATTTAGTTTGATTACCATATTATCCAGTTATGTGCATTAGAAAATGTCTCTGTGATGTGGTTCTGTAAATGATCTTGTGACTTGTGCACTCCTCTTCCTTTAAAAACCAAAAGCAATTCACAAAAGAGGCTTATGGATTTGCAATTAAAATAGGAGTGTGTTGCCTGAAACCAGAGAGGGTGCCGTGGAGTTTGACCTTCCATTTGTACATAGTAGCAGGTCCTAATAATATATGCGCACATGTGTCTTTTTTTCAAATTCAAAGGAAAACAATTTGCAAGTGCAAACAGGGTAAGTGGTAAGTCTCTGTTTTTTGAGGATCTGAGGGGTTTGTAAATGCTAATTTTAAAAAAGGTACTCAGAGGATTCTTAGAGCAGGAGGGAGGGAGCTGAGACAGTTATTTCAACCCACTTAATGTTATCGACATACCAGAAACCCCAAGGATTAACATTGCAGCATCATCTCCTGTTTTGGTCTACCTACTATGTGCTCAGAGCCTTCTCAGTGTCATCCCACTCAATTCCTAGCAAAAGCGTGGCAAGATCTGTGACATCATTTTAAGCATGGGGAAAGGTGGCTTACTCAAGTTTGCACGGTTGATAAGTAATGGGGTAGAGATATAGACCCAGACCATGTCCAAGCAGATCTCTTTCTACTCCCTGCTGTCTACACTGGGAGTTTGTTAGTGAATTAAAGAAGTCGGCAGTTAGTGCTATTTTCACTGCACACCAATCAGTTATAGGGGATGCTGTCTTGCCTGTTTCCACTCCGCTCAACCTGTGGGTGAAATGCCGCTTCTGTGCTCTCATGGAAACACCCCCATGGCTGCCCAGGGCATGCCCAGGGCCACCTCTGGCCAGGGCTGCCCACACATGTCCTACCAGGTGATGCACTCACCAGGAGTCACTTGGTTCACCCAGTCCTCCTTGTTCCAAGTGTTCTTCTTATAATGAGCTAATTTAATTAAATGTTACATATTTCATATAAGTCAATGAAACAGTGTGAAAGGAAATTTGTTGTTTTCATGGAACTTAAGATGAAGGCTTTCAAAAGATGTTATAAAGGAAAGTTACTATTAAAACGACTGTCAAATTGGGTATAGATCAGATAATTCTAAAGTCTTGGGGGGGAAATGAGAATGATTCAGAAGGATTCTGAGTATTGGTTACTTGGCACGTATCTTCATGTTTTAGCTACACTTGAAAGAAACTGGAAATCATAGAGATTGCATTATAGAGGTGGCTTATAAAAACGAGATCATAGCCCCCAACCCCTCAAAGCAAAGGCCTGGGCCCAAAAGCAAAAGTTTGATAAGTTAAAATACATTATATATTTTAAATTAAAAAGAAAGGTCTTAAGGTATTTAAGATTTTCTACTTTAATGTGCGTATTAGTCTGTTTTCACGGCGCTGATAAAGACATACCTGAGACTGGGTGATTTATAAAGCGAAAGAGGTTTAATGGACTCACAGTTCCATGTGGCTGAGGAGGGCTCGCAATCATGGCGAAAGGCGAAAGGCACGTCTTACATGGCGGCAGGAAAGACAGAATGAAAACCAAGTGAAAGGGGAAACGCTTTATAAAACAATCAGACCTCGTGAGACTCACTACCATGAGAAACTATGGGGGAAATCGCCCCCATGGTTCAATTATCTCCTACTGGGTCCCTCCCACAACACGTTGGAATTATGGGAGCTACAATTCAAGATGAGATTTGGGTGGGGACACAGCCAAACCATATCAATGGGCTTTTCTAATTAACTGACCAGATAGTGGTCCCAAAAGAACTAGGTCACAGGGCTTCGACTTCAATTTTAAAAATTATAATGCTTAGCTTCTACTAGGGGCTTATCCTATGAAGGGCATTGTGCAGGTAGGCATTCAACATGAATAAGAGTAATGTGAAAACTAATAAATAACATTTATTGACCAGTTACTCTTCTTACGATTTGTAGCCCCTTTCTAGAATTACCTCAATGTTACAGATAAATCAGCCAAAACTTAATGTCCTCCAGGGCTTTAGGCCACTCCTAAAGAGACTACAGTGGAGAGAATGGTAGACATATGGAGTCAAAGACCTCAGTTTAAATTATAATTCCACCACTGATACGCCTCAGACAAGTTGGCTGACCTCTTTGAGTTCTTCTTACTGCTTTGGTAAACCCAGGACAAATAATGTGCCCTGTATAAGGTTGCTGTCAGGATCATATGAGAGTGCCAAGGCTGGTGCTTAATAAATGACGCTTCTTTCCCTCTCCCCACATTCACGTGGAAAGGTAAACATTACGTAAAATAAAGACAGGCAGGTGCTATGATGGAAGAAAAGAGAGGAATTCCTTTGGATTGACTGAACCAGGGAAGGCTTCCAAATCACAGTCACATGAGTTGGACTCTGCACCTAGGGTGAATGTGGCAATCAGCCTCAAGAACATTAAGAGCCAAAGAATGGAGTTGGAAAAACACAGGCTATGGGGTGGTGGGAAAGCATGGGGAATAGAAAGTAGTGAGGGTGAAAAGGACAGCTTTGGACAGACAACAAAGGCCTCATAGGTCAGACGAAAATGATTGTACTTGATCTGGAAGGCATTCAAATGATCGGCTTAGAGCTATGAGAGGGCAAGTAGTAAGGGGGGAGGTGGGCCACATGTCAAGGCTGCATTATCTCCTTCCCTCTCCCTCTCTCCCTCACTCCATTTATTTCTTCACTAAACCATCATACAATCACCCATCCATCTATCCCACCCAACGATTCATCCACTCACCTAACCACCCAGCAATCCATCCATCCTATCTTTCACCCAGCTTACCCACCCTACCCATCTATCCATCTACTCATCCATCCATCCATCCATCCATCCAACCATCCATCCATCCAACCATCCATCCATCCATCCATCCATCCATCCATCCATCCTCTCTTTATAAAGAAAGCAGGAAATATAAGAGTTTCGGAGATAGAGAGATTCTTCTCCCTCTCTTTGTGGTGGGAATACTGCTATTGTCACTACCATCACTACTAACACAGCGCTTAGTAACAATTCTTTATATGGGTAGAGTTTTCTGCTGTTATGCAACTCATTCAAAGCACTATTTCATTTGAACCTCACAACAGTGATTTCACATAGTCAGGACAGGCATACCTACGTCTATTACATATAAGAACATACAACTTATCGAGTTTACCAGGACCTGGGTGGCATAATAAGGATTTGACATGAGGTCTTCAGATTTGAGATCTTTTCTGCCTTAGCCCATCCCTTACTTATCACCCATCATGATGGACCTATCAGGCTGAGGAAGAGGGGCCCCTTCCAAGTGTGAGGCCATCCGTGGTGGCCACCAAACAGCCATCCCCAGTTTTGGGCCTCTGTTCATGAATGGGAAGATGGCTGCTTATCATGCAAATATACACGGTGTCTGAATGCTGTGTGCACAGAAATGTCCCCATTCATAGAGTAGGAGACAGCTGGAAGTAATCTCAAATGCATTATGCATTGTGATTGCATTGGCAGAGGGGTAAGAAATGTTAAAGTTTTGTTACAATAATAATAACCATTGTGACAATACGATTTGTTTTACTGACGCCCATTTTTTGGCAACTCTATCGTTATAAACACAGCATGTGACTGTACTTTAATGAGACTGTATAAACTTATGCTTGTTTATGAGAATATATTCATCAAGCCACTCTAGGTCCTTATTTTCTGGGGCACTTCTCTCTCCACAGCTGCGGCCATGTGACCTCCAGCTGCAAGGCCTAGTGTGGTCGTGGTATGCGGGGCCAGTGTGTCTGAATGGAATAGCTCTGGTTTGGGAGGAGGGGGATCAACACTCTGGCTGCACATTCGAATCACTGTGTGAACTTCTAAAAAATACCCACACCTGGGAACTAATCCAAACGAGTTAAATCTGATTCTCTAAGGATAGGGGCCAGGCATGGGAAGTTTTTGAAAATTCCCTAGTTAATTCTAAAATGCAGCCAACTCTAAGAACTACTGCTCTAGTTCTGTGCGTCTCAGTCTATAATGTGCACACCAATTACCTGGGGATCTTTTCAAAATACAGATTCTGAAACAGTAGGTCCAGGGCAGAGGATGGGGTGGAAAGGGGAAAGAGGTACAGGCCAGGAAGGTTTTCATTTCTCTGAAGGTCCCGGGGATGCTAAGGCAGCGAGCTCTTGACCACAGTCTGAGTAGCAATGCTCCAGCTAACCATTATGGATCTTCACACGGGGTTTCTCCTGGAATCCAGTGCTGACTATAACTGGATTAAAATACTCTGGTTCGTGTCTCTTGCTTCCCAGGAACTAATGGAAATTACATCTGTGATTGACATTGACTTTGAAAATACCATGGAGAACATACCGTGGAAGGCTGAAGGTGGGCAAATGTTCTGACTTCTGAAAGAAGATGACACATGATTTAGGTGTCTGGCAAAACTCTGGAAGGAATCATTTAACAGACTGTTTATGGCACATGGGAAGGAAAGAGGTGGTCACTATGAGCCAGTTCAGGGATACCAGCAATAAGTCATGAGATTTCTCTTTCTCTCTCTCTTTTCCTTCCTTCCTTTCTTTCTCTCTCTCTCTCTCCCTGCCTCCCTTCCTTCCTTCTTTTCTCTCTCTCTCTCTCTCTGAAATGGGGTTTCACTCCGTCAATGAGGCTGGAGTGCAGTGGTGCAATCACAGCTCACAGCAACCTCAACCTCCCAAGCTCAAGCAATCCTTCCTCCTTAGCCTCCCGAGTAGCTGGGACTACCGGCATGCACCACCATGCCTGGCTAATTAAAAAAAAATACTTTTAGAGATGGGGTCTCGCTGTGTTGCCCAGACTTCATGGGCTTTCTCGACAGTATTCATGGACAGGGAGGTCATTTGAAAGCTATTGTCATTTTATCTGTCTTGAAGAGATGTCACTGGAAGCAGGATTGAATTTATTGTGTTTACCTGCATAGAGTGCTGCAAGAGTGAAATATTAATTACTAACTTGTATTTGGCTGCATGCTTGCTGCAGCCTCTGCATGCATCAGCTCATTAAACTGTCCTAGCACCTATCACTTAGGTAGCAGCAAGACAATTTCAAGAATGGGGAAACTGACACTTAGGGACATAAATAAAAACATTTCCCCAAAGCTGCAGAGCTGGGAGAACTGGAATGAAAATCAGGTCTGAAGGAATCCAGAGTCCACTTGCTTTCCCATCCTGCTCCATGACCAAATAAAGATGGGCGGTTGTCTTAACTGGAGAAAGAGATGTCTCCTAAAAGAATGAGCTGCTGCACATGGGAGGAGAGATGCTTGCTCTTGGACCTGGGTCAGCAGGGCATGGAAACCCCGCAGTGGAGATGCCATGGAAACAATGGCTGCAACGAGAACAGCAGGACCATTTGTGCAGAGTTGCCTCAAAGGATTAGGTAAGAAACTGCATGGCATTTAGCAGGGTACCTGGCACACAGTAGGGGCTCTACATGTAAGAGCTGCTGCTATTTTTACAAGTGTTTGATTAACATGAACGCCTCAGTTCCTTCAACTCTAAGATTCCATTCTCCTTGGCTTCGTGACAGTGGAAATCACACTACTGCATCAGGGACTCACTCTCACCACCTGGTGGCTTTGTGAATTGTCACCTGGTTCACCCTCTCTTCTCTTCTCTGCCTCTGCCAGTCATTGGCCTCATCCAAGGTCCAATAAAGCCTTTCCTCCTTCCTAAAGCCTCATCTGCCTGTGTCGGTCTCATCGATTCCTCTGATTGCTAACTGCCTGCAGGGTTTATCCTCCCACATGCAACCCACCACTCAGTGATGCACTTTGGGTGGTTTTGTTTTGTCATCCCTTCTTGTGTGTTCATCTCATCCTTTAGGATGGATTGTAACCTCCTTGGAGGCAGGTCAGTCAGGCAATAATAATCCTCAGCTTTGTGGGTGGACATTGTGCTTTAGGGCTTCTGAGGCCAGCATGGGAAGTGAAGAGGTGGAAGATTTAAAGTCTCTGGTGTGATCTCTGTTCTAAAGATCCACATTTCCATATAATGTCTGGATATCCAAATCTGATTCAAGTTTTCAAAAAGAATGGAGGAAGCTGGCAAGTCTGCAACTTTGTCCGCATGTTAGATCCTGGATCAAGTTATTTTAAAAGCATCTCATTTGCTTTGCTACATCCTCTGGAAGATGTCAACCGAGCTACTGTATTCTAGCCTGGTGCAGTCTGTCCTTGACTAAGGAAGGTTGGGGAGGGAGGAACTGTGGGAGCCTCTACAATCTAGATTTTTCTATTGACAGCTTCAAGAAAAAATACAACTGGCAGCACCGTGTAATGCAGCTATGTTCTGCAGAGTGGTGTTTGTTCCTCTGTGCCTGCTGTCTGGGCAGGTGGTGTTTGTTCCTCTGTCCCTTGTTGCCGACCAAGGCTGCTATGGGTGCTGAGGATAAAGATACATTCTTGAGCTTATTACCAGCCTAGGACACTCCTTGTTCATGGAAGGACTAACTTGCTGTTAGTCACTGCAATTCTGATAATCACCTAAGCAAGTGGCCTGTAGCAGCCAGGAAGGTAACATTCCACTGTGGTAACAAATAACCCCCAAATCTTTGTGCCTTAATAAAGGTTTATATCACATCTTAAACAATTTCTACCACACATTACATGAGATGATCTCACACTTTAGTCACCGGTATGCTTATCAGGAATGAAAATTGCTGCAGGTGGCTTGATGGAGTAGATCTTCGAAACGTGCATGGGCAGCGTCAGCGCCGTTGCATGTTTGAGAACACTGCACTTAGACCTCCAATTGTCACCTGTCTTTAACGTCCACTTGCAAATCAATGACTTCGGTGCCTTTGTTTTTGCCACAGTTTCTGCTAATCCACTTAAGCTGGTTGATTGTCAGAAGCAATTCTGGTGGCTTTAAAAAGCATTTTACAACAAGTGTGGCCATCATCAGTATCAAGGAGAAGGCTCATCACACAGCAGATATGAAAATGCTTTCTAATTTAAAACACTATTCCAGGGCTTCTTTGCACACACCATGAAATACTGATATATTAAACATAAAATGACAAAATATATCATGTTGTGCTAAACCACACTTCATCTTCTAAGTGATTCTTGCATTGCCAAGCAGTAGTGGGCACCAAAGATTTAAGTAAAAATCATGAGAGAAGTACTTAACATTAAGAATGTCCTACTCCCCATAGGTTTTTCTTTTCCTGCTAAGTAATGAAAGAACATTGTTATTTGACCTTAGCAGCTGGACATAAATGTAGGTAAGTGCTGCGTAGACATCCAGACCTGCCTAACTTGCTGCCGACCAAGGCTGCTATGGGTGCTGAGTATAAAGATACATTCTTGAGCTTATTACCAGTCTAGGACACTCCTTGTTCATGGAACGAATAACTTGCTGTTAGTCACTGCAATTCTGATAATCATCTCAGCAATTGGCCTGTAGCAGCCAGGAAGGTAACATTCCACTGTGGTAACAAATAACCCCCAAATCTTTGTGCCTTAATAAAGGTTTATATCACATTCACACTTAGGATTGCCAGACTTAGCAAATGAAAATAGGGTGTTCAGTTACATTTGAATTTCAGAGAAAAAATAATTTCGTTTTAGTGGAAGTATGTCTCATGCAATATTTGAAATTGCACATTTACCTGAATTCCAATGGAAATGGGCATTCCGCATTTTATCAGGTAGACCAACTCCCATTGCATATCCACCAAGGCAGGGGGCTCTGCTCACCTGGAACCAGGTCAGAGTCTTGAAGAAGGGAGCTCTGGAGGGTCTCCACTGGCAACCCAATGCTCTAGCCAGGAAGAAACACATATTATTTTGCTTACAACTCATTGGACAGAACTAGTTATGTGGCTTCACCCAAGTGCAAGGGGTCCAGGAAGTACAGAAAGTTCTGTGATGCACTGGGAAGCCGAGAGAAGAGCACTCAAGGAACTACACGAGCTGTTTGCGTGACTGACAGCAGGAAGGAAGGGGAAAGCCTTCTAGTAGAAACGGCATCTCCTTTTTGACCTTTCCCATTGTGGTCAGAAGAATAACATCCACCTGCCCCAAGATACCCTCATCCTAATTCCCCAAACCTGTGAATATGTGACCTTGCATGGCAAAAGGCAATGTGTAGGTGTGACTAAGCAGAGGAGCTTGAGATGATGGGGAGATGATCCTGGATTATCCTGGTGGACCGGATGTCATCACAAGGGTCCTTATCAGAGGGAGGCAGGAGAGCTAGAGCAGAAGCCCTGCTGACTGAAGCAGAGGTGGGAATGATACAGCCTTTAGCCAAAGAAAGCAGATAACCTTTAGAAGCAGGAAAAGACAAGGACCACATTCTCTCCTAGAGCTGCCAGAAGGAACATAACTCCGGGTACACCTTGATTTTAGGTCCTGGACTTAAAATGGACTTCTGACCTCCAGAGCTGTAAGATAATACATTTGTGTTGTTTAGGCCACCGAGTTTGTAGTAATATGTTATATCAGCCATAGGAAACTAATATGCCCACCAAGAGAAATAGGAGACCAGCTCTGACGGTGGATTTCTGGCATGGTGGCTCCAAAACCACAAAACCAGGCACAGAACCAGGAAGGAAGAAACTCAGGCAGGGGAACTATGAACTGGTGCCAGGATGCGGTTTCCCCTCTGACGGAGTGAAGAGCAGGCAGGCAGGCACAGGAAGGCTGAAGGGGCAGAGAGCTGCACTGAGCCTGCTGGGCTGCATTTATGCATTGGGATCACCTATATTTATTTTCTTGCTGTTATCCTTTAGAGATGAGCAAAATATCATTGAAATTTGAACTTGTTTCAGTTGTTCTGATAGAACTTTCTGGAAGTGTTGGATCCATGTTTGTCTACAGTGTTATAGAGTAGACAATGGGTTCTGGGGCTGTTAGGGTGGCAGGTATGAATAAGAGTAAGAAATCCACCGAAGGAAATAAGGAGGCTCAGAAAGAATATTTGGGGCCCCTTGATCCATTATCATGGTCCTAGATTTTGAGATTTAAGTTAATAAGGTGAAAGGTCTCATTTTTCCATGTTACTATTTCAAGAGAAAAGCCAGTTATAGAGAGTGAATGTAACTATGGCATTCAGGATTGTTATTACGGGTGACTACCATGTGACCTGCCTTCTTCTAGAGTCCCCAACCCAGACCCGGAGAGGCACAAAGATGAATAAGAACATTACAAGGAGTTGCGGTGCTTGGAACAAATATTTGGCATGGTATAAATATTTCGTGAGTGCATGAAAAGCTTTTGAATGATTTTCATAAACTTTTATATCTCAGTTCAGCTTTTATGTATCTAAATTTATCTGTAAAAGAAAGATGAAGGAACACTGTTATATTTTATTCTCCGTGCTTGTTCGGATAAACCACCCCTGCCGTATTATATTTGTAGAATCAATTGCCAATTGATGATGCTCTGGAAAATCCAGTTTTATTGTTTCAGCTTCTGACCAGGTCCATGCAAATTTTAGAATCTTAATGCCCCATCTTGACCTCTCGGTGCCTTGTGGCTTCAAATTCTTGATTTGGGATTAATTCTGTCTGCTTTTATTTCCTCTTTTTCACTACAGAACATCACTAAATTGTTCTTTTTCGCTGAGTGCTAAACATACAGCCAGGCAGGGGGATGGTTGGGGAATGGTAAGAGGGAATCAAATGGAAGCGTTGACATCCTTGCTTGTCTTAGAAGCTCCATCCGAAAGGCGCTTTGGGGGATTTTCTCGGGGGCAAACTGCTGAGTAAGAGGGAGTGACAAGCAGGCGGGCTGGACAAAGGAACGGCAGGGGGAGGGGCCAGTGGGCAAGCAAAACGTGAGTCAGGAGAAACTTAGAGTTGGATGCATTGTCCCAAGTGCTGACCCAAGGCTGCCTCTGCAGAGATGTCAGTGGGGTTTCTCTTTGGAGGATATCAAAGCATGTGGGGGCTTGTTCACCTGGGTCATTTTCTTTCCTCTCAGTACTCTTCTTCGAACCTTTTCCTAAAGGAATAACTATATCCTCCATTTCCATTGAGACTGAAGTTGAATGAAGGTCACATTCTGGAAAGCTCTTTTGGCTCCCCCTGGGTATGGGCAAGGTTCCCTCCTTGGAACTTCCACTCTGTGTGCCCCTAGCATCCTCCCTGCTGTCCACTGTGCTTAGAGGGCTGTGAGTAGGGATAGTAGTAGAGAGTGTTGACCTTTGGCAAGTGCTCCCCTGTCACACTCACACCTGTGGTCATGTCGCCACCTTCAAAGGTGCTTGCTATTGGTGGTTTGTTTTCTGTTTTGTTTTCTGGAAAGCAGTGAAAGAAATAAGTTTTGCATCCAAGGGAAAATGAGAGTGCACCCAGGATGGAGAGGACCTTTAGGAGTGAAAATACACACACACACACACACACACACACACACACACACGTATATAGACGCTGTCATTTATCTGAGAAATCAGACCAGAGAAAATGGGGATAACTCTATAACCCTAACCTACACTCTGAGCTGCTAAGACTGATATCCAGCTAATATTAAGTTGTTAGGACAGCATCTCCTAAAGACTGTTGATCGACATTACCAGGGCTCTGTAGTCAAGAAACCATGGGGAATGTTGGTTGGAACAATATTCTTTGGGTTTCCTCACTGCAGGACTTCTCAGAGCCTTTAACATGCTAATGTGCCTCATAGGTTGCAAGAAGGAGTGTAGATGTAGCATGACCAAAATCCACTTGGCTGTATGATTCTTTTTTCAAGGAGCATCTCAAAGTTCTTTTGTTCTTTGAAACAGTAATTGGGAACCTCTCTTCTCTTGTCATTCCTTTACTGGAAAGAACCCACAACTTCACGAGCGGCAGGGAGTCCTGTGTCCACAGAAATGTATCACGGGGGGGCTTTCCTGGAATAAGGGTAGAGGCAGAGAAATATTTAGCAAATGCAGAGTCTAGGCATTTTGCTGAGCTAAAGTGAGATAATTGAAATCACACTAAAGTTCAAAAGCCTCATTTGTGTACACGAGTCTAGTGCCAATTTATCTATTACTACACTTGAATAATACACAATTTTATTCAGTACTAATAGTGTGGGTATAATTATATGTTTTTCACACATGTAGAATTAATGGCACCAAATATAAAATAAGTAATCTGGAAAATTAGTCTTTAGGAGTTTCATCTCATATTCAACACGAAATCACTAATGTATTTGAATATTTTTCTCCCATAAGCAGGACAAGTAATATTTAAGAAACACTTAAATGAAGACAAATGTCCCCACCAGAACTTTTTATACACTAAATTGGTTGAAGGTGTTATTTCCTAATTATGTCAAATAAAAACTTGGGCAATTTAGTCCAGTGAGCGCAGCTGCGTTATTAAACAGTAATTTTTTCCATTCCATGAAGTATATTCAACAAACATTAAGTGAGCACTTACTATTTACAAGAAGGCATTGTCCTCAATGGCTAGAACGTGCAATGGTCAACTGCATACAGTTTGCCTGTTGGAAACTTCCAGTTTCATGGCGGGGTAAGGTGGTGTGGAGCTGTGGGTATGTGAGGCTGTCAGGCTTCTCTGATGAACAATTTCTGTTGCAAGTGACAGAACGCTGAATCCTGTGTCTTAAGTAACTGAGAAGGTGAAGGATAGACCTGACTTCAGACATGGCTGAACGCAGGCACTGAGGGTTTCAGGCAGGACTTCAATTCTTGCCCAGTCTCCAGGTCCTGTTGCCTCTGTGCTTGCTGTGCTTTGCCCTGATGGTGGCAACGTGGCTCTAGCAGGTCCCACCTCTTCGCTCTCAGTTTCAAGTAAAGACACTAGGCTTTTCTTCCGGTAGCTTCTAAAATCGTCTCAAAACTATCTCTCATTGGACAGGCTTGGGTCACATGTCTGTGCTCCAGCCAGTGGCTGGAACCAGGGATCTCCTGAGCACTGATTGGCTTAGGCTTCGGGAAACCCCACCTAAAACACCTACACCGAAGGTGGGGAGAAGAAGGGATGTCCAAGGGGAGTTGGGTGCTCTTGTTGAGTGAAGGGGGTCCCTGTGTACACCAGTCTAGTGCTAATGTTGCAGCCCAGTGTTCCATGTCCACCACAGATAGAGATGCAGACCTGGAAATAGACAATGACCGTGCAAAACACAGGAGAGGTGGTCTAATAGGGGCACAAGAATCCTGCTGGGAGCGGTTGGAGGACCGAATGATGGACCTGACTGTGCAGAGTGTGCACACTGAAGGATTAAGAAGAATGTCAGCTGGGTGCAGTGGTTCACGCCTGTAATCCCAGCACTTTGGGAGGCTGAAGTGGGCGGATCACGAGGTCAGGAGTTCAAGACCAGCCTGGCCAATATGGTGAAACCCCATCTCTACTAAAAATACAAAAATGAACAGGGCATGGTGGCACATGCCTGTAGTCCCAGCTACTCGGGAAGCTGAGGCAGAAGAATTGCTTGAACCCGGGAGGCCGAGGTTGCATTGAGCCGAGACTGTGTCACTGCACTCCAGCCTGGGTGACAGAGCAAGACCCAGTCTCAAAAAAAAAAAGAAGAAGAATGTCGATGGTCTGAGAGGGGAAAGGACATGATTCATTCAAGAAACAGCGCCAGCAAAATCACAGAGGCATGACATCAATTGTGCCAAAAATCCCGAGAATTTCAGTGTGACTGGAATTCAGAGAGCCCAGAGAGATGGAGTAGGAGGCAAGGTGGTCAAGATTGTTCAGGGTTAGATCGCGGAAGGCCTTACATGTCATCAAAGGAGGCTTCTTTTGCGGGCATCTGTAAGGTTGCTAGAAAAGGGACATAAAAGTGCTGAGTGTAACTTTGCTAACTGCCTTCCATCCCATCACACTCACTAGAATCAGGTTTTCGTGATTAAACATGTTCCTTGGAATCAAACTTGTAAAAAAAAAACTAAACTTCTTCCTATTAAAGAATAACGTTAATTGGTGAGTGTATATAAAAGAGGGTTGTATGGCCCATTGACTTTATATAGATTGAAATGCTAAGTAGGCCCAAGCAAAGCCTCGGTGGGGAAGAGAGGGTTCGCACTCATCAGCTTTATGTCCTCTTTCCTGTTTACAGCCTACCCCTTACAGTGCTCCAGAACAAGATAAACAGCGTTCTCCTTACTGCTTCCCAAAGAAAGAAAAAAGAAATAGCCCCAAATGCCACAACCCATTTCATTGCTGAGGAATGTGTTTTGGTCTGCAAACTCTATTTTCCTCCTGATGTATAGGACCAGAAAGCAAGTGACAGTCTTTGGAACTCCGTTGATAACAGAAGTCTCAGGTCCCAGCTCCCATGCTACCATTCATCCAGTCATCCATTCATTTCTCAAATATTTGTCAATGTCTACAGTATGCCTGGCATTGCTACAGGCACAGGAGATGCATTAATGAACCAAGGCCCTGCTTTCAGGAAGCTGATATTCCAGTAAGAACAACAGACTATAACATGTAAACACAGGTGTTATGTGATGCTGGAATTTGTCAGGTATGAAGGGAAAGGGCAGGGCAAGATATGGAGTGTGGAGGGACCTGCTATTTCCCATGGACATGGGAAGATCTCACAGCGGCCTGAATACAGGGAGGAGTAAGTTAGGCTGGGTTCTTCAGAGAAACAGAACCAATAGGATGGAGAGAGAGAGAGAGAATAAGGAGTTGGCTCAAGTGACTGTGGAGGCTGACAAGTCCCAAGATCTGTACACAGCAAGCTGGAGGCCCGGGAGAGTGGATGATATAGTTGCAGTCCAAAAGCAGGCAGGCTGGAGACCTAAGAGTGGATGTTTCCATCTGAGTCCAAAGTCTGGAAAAGACGAGTGTCTCACCTCAAGCACTCAGGCATGAGGAGTTTCCTCTTACTCACACTTTTTATTCTATTCAGGCCTTCGGTGGATTGGACCAGGCCCCCCTACATGAGGGAGGACAATCTGCTGTGCTCAGTCTACTGATGCAAAATGTGTGTCCCTAAGAATTTCATCCTGAAATATACTCACAAGTACATCCAGGATAATATCTGAGGAAATGTCTGGGCACCTGGTGACCCAGATGAATTGATGCCTAAAATTAACCATTGCACAGGCAAGGCCTCCAGGCATGGAGTATTGTGGGCACAGGAGAGAACAGAGGCAAAGGCCCTCGGGTGGGTCCCTGCTTGGTGTTTTTGAGGAGTGGCCTGGAGGTTGCTGGGTTGGAGAGCATCATGCCTCAAGAGTAGTGTGGTGAGAGGTGAGGTCCTAAAGGCACATAAGGAGGTGCAGGTCAGGGAAGCCTCTTAGATTTTAGAGAGACTTGATCTGCTTCCTGTTTATGCTCCACTTGCCCTGTCCAAACCGCCAGGGAACTTCCAATGCGCGAGGTCATTTATTTACCTGGATGTTTGCCTTCCCCACCAGATCATGAACCTCAAAGAAAAGGGGCAGAGAACTGGTTCATCTGTGCCTCCAGCCCCTTGTAGGCTGCATAGTAGAAGCATATTATGCGTTGATTGAGTAAATGGAAGAAGCCTGTCTTTTGACAGGAGGTATAAAATCTGAATGAAAAAAAAAGTATGGATTTCATTTTTTTTTTCAAAGGTTTTGCAATTGAATCCAATCTTTAGTCAACTAAATTCAACAAACATTTGTTGCTTACCTTCATTATGCAGGGCATTGTGCTGGATACTGGGGATTCAGAAATGAAAAGCAAAAATAGACACACAATAAACAAACCATGTTATGCCAGTTGCTATACTGAGTGTTTTGCATGTTAACTCTCGTTTGATTCTTGAAATAACCCTCCCTGAGGCGGGTTATATATAGATCTATGATGCCCATTATATAATGGGGAGACTGAAGCCCAGAGAGGTTGAGGCAGGAGCTGGTCCAAAATCAACCCCAAAGAAGGCTGAATTCAAAATAGGATTGTTCTGACTGTAAAACCTTTCTCTATACTCCACCATGGTCAGGGACTTTGTGGCGGGATAGAGGAGAGGTGTGGGATGGAGGGAACTATCAGCATGACTATAATACAAATCAGGCAATCATAAATGCAAAACTCGGGTCTAAATACATTGCTGGGATGACTCAAGGCAATCTGACTGATCACGTATGGAAATTAATAGAACGTCTGGGTTGGGCCTTCTGGGTAGAACAGTGATGAGAATGTGTGGGCACAGGAAGCAGCGTGAGTGGCCGGGGCACTCGGGGTTTGGTTGTTTCTCTCTGCTCCTCTGGAGCCAGTCCCGTCTCGATCTCCCCATTCTCATCCTCTTCTTTTCTGAGGCAAACTTGTCTATTTTCCTTCACACTGTTTCAATTGATTTTTAATCTCTTCCTAATTTTGTTAAATTAAAAAAAAACATAGCTTTTTGTTTCTGTAAAAATAAATACTCACTGTGAACATGTGAACAAGGTGGGGAAAAGCCAAGGAATTGAAACGCATTCCAAATCTCACCCGTGGATAAGCCACTTCCGGTAGCTTGGTGAAGAAGCACGTAAGATACAGGCAACATACACAGCTCTCCACAAACGTGGTTGTGGCATCTGTGCGCTGCCAGCCAGTTATGCAAACCAGAAGCCAGGAGTCAGCTTGAATATACCCTTCTCCCTCCTTTCCCGTAAGTCCTGTTGATTTGGCTGACTAAATATTTCCTGAGTACATCCTCTTTTCTTTGTCTCCACCACCATCAACAGCAGCAGCCTACATTCCAGTCTTGGATCAAGCCCTTGGCCCCCGCATCTGACCGTGCAGTGGGCTTCTAATCGACTTCCCCACCCACTCCTTCCATCCTTGAGTCCGTGCTGCATGCCGCAGGTTGGAAGGCTCTTCTAATTTCTGAAGTCTGGTCATGCGAGTTTTATGCATAACCCTGACATGCTGCCTCCAGCCCACCCTCTCAGCGGCTCGTCCTGCCACTTACTTCCACCCCCTGACCCAAGACCCAATCACCACTTCTTGCTGCTCCAGCTGCATTTCTTTTCTTGTGGTTTCTCAAAGACAGCCTGCTCCCCAGCTTCACAGGTCCTTGGCACCTGCAATCCCTTTGATTTGCCAGGACCACTATCCCACTCATTCCTTTCAACCAGTGACCTTGACTCCTGCACCAGACATTAATTAGCTCAAATGCCACCTCTTCCTGGAAGCCTTCCTGGACTTGACAACATCAAGCTCCCAATATTTATTTATTTATTTATTTATTTATTTATTTATTTGATGGAGTTTTGCTCTTTCACCCAGGCTGGAGTGAAGCAGTGCCATCTCGGCTCACCGCAACCTCCACCTCCTGGGTTCAAGCGATTCTCCTGCTTCAGCCTCCTGAGTAGCTGGGATTATAGGCGCTTGCTACCGCGCCTGGCTAATTTTTGTATTTTTAGTAGAGATGGGGTTTTACCATATTGGCCAGGCTGATCTGGAACTCCTGACCTCAAGTGATCCACCCACCTTCACCTCCCAAAGTGCTGGGATTACAGGAGTGAGCCACCATGCCCAGCCAACAAACTCCCAATTTTTGAAGGTATGTGTTCACCTCTACTTTTTCTTCGTAACACTCATGTGAGTTTATATATTTATATGAAGATTTGATTGGCCACGAAACCGTGATAAGCTCCTCCACATTCATTGTGTCCTTAACAACTGGCACAAGGGCAGACATGTGAACTGTTGCCCAGAAAATATCTGTTAAATAAACAACTAAATAAGGGTTCTGTGGCTGCCCTATTCACTCATAAAATGTCATGAACATCTTTTCAAATCTGTGTGTGTGTGTGTGTGTGTGTGTGCACGTGTGCACGCAAATGGCTGCCCAAGATTTAACTGTAAGCACCAGAGTCATTGACTTCACAGTCCATCTACTACCACCGGACTATTTCCAGTTTTTCCCTGTGATCAACAGCAATGTGATTAATATCCTTTGGTGTGAAGTGTTTTTTTTTTGTTTTGTTTTGCTTTTTTTTTGTTTGTTTGTTTTTTCAAATTTTGTATTCCTTTCCAGAAGACACATTTCTAGAAGCCAGCTTTCTTGGTCAGAGGAGGATAGGGGCATCTTCTATTTTGATGTATTTGGCCCTCCAGGAAGGTTCTAGTGAGGTACACTCCTCTGCTTCCAAATCCTCACCAAAAAACAAGTTTCCCTTGTTCCTTTAAACTTGGTCAGTCTGAAAGTTGGGAAGGAAAATTTCTATTGTTTTTATTTGTATTTATTTGATCATTAGTGTGATTATTTAAACATTCTCTTAACGGCTAATTGGTTTTCTTTATTTTGTGAGTTCCTTTGTTCTGATTATTTGACCAGTTTCCTACCGGGAAGTGTTTATTTTTCTTTTCTTATTGACTTTTAAGACCTGTTTGCATGTTAGGAATATTACCTTTGTTTGTGATACGTGTGTTTTCTTTAATTTTTAGGTAGATAAATTTATTAGTCTTTTTGGTGATAATTTTAAAAAATAACATGATTGAAAGAGGCTTTTCAACTCAAAAGCTATGGGGAAAAAGAGAAAAGAAAAAAAAAGGTTATCTTTTTGTGTTCCATTTTTTTCATTATTTTTTTCCATCTGGAATGTCTTTTGGTGTAAGGACTGTGGTGGGAACCTAGCTAGGCCCTTTGCGTGGCTCCCGGGGCATCTATCCTACTGCTCTCCAGAGAGGTCTGTTTTCTGCTTCCTTGGAGTAGAGCCGCTTTCCTCACAGGCAGAAATCCAGTGTATGTCCTTGGGTCTATTTCTGAATCCTCAATGCTGCTCTACTCACTTGACTTCCATTCCGGGTTCAGCACCTCAATTTTAATTACTGAAATCATATCATAAAACATGAGTGAAAATTCTTCCTCATTGTCCTTTCTCCTTTCTCCAGAATTATCTTTGCAATCCTTGAGTGTTTATACATACAGATACACTTAAGAACTATTTTGTCAAAAGCAAAATAGGTGGCGATTTTGATGGAAATAGTCTCACTTTTCAGAGGATTGTTTCACAAGAACCTCATTACAATTATCACCTGTTATGAGTTGACTGGTTTCCCCTGTCCTCCCAAATTTATATGTTGAAGTCTGAACCCTGTGTACCTCGGTGTGTGACCTTATTTGGATTTAGGGTCTTTGCAGAGATAATCAGGTTAAAATGAGGTCATTCAAGTGGACCCTACTCCAATATGACTGGTGTTCTCATGAAAAGGAGATATTTGAATACAGAGACATGCACACGGAAGAATGCCATGTGAAGATGGAGGCAGAGATTGGGGTGATGCTTCTACAAATCAAGGAACTACAAAGATTGCCAGCTACCACCAGAAGCTAGGAGAGAGGCATGACACAGATCCTCCCTCACAGCCTCAGAAGACCAATCCTGCTGACACCTTGATCTCAAACTTCTGGCATCTAGAATTGTGAGACACCTAATCAGTGACACTTTGTTACGGGAACTCTAGCAAACCAATGCAGCATCATTCACGCTTTCCTTCCTCCATGACTTTGAGGTTACTAAGGATGAAGGGTTGGGTCCCCTTTATCTCCCAGCAGAGTGCCTGGCACATCATTGGTGCCTATTACACATTGCAGGAATGGGAATGGATTAATGAATGGGATGAAGTCCCATCACCATGAGATGTAAAGATTCAGGGCTGCTTCTCTTCCACACCTTCTTTTCTTCCTATGTGGCTACAGAAATGGAAGTGATGCTCATTGGGGCTGCTAGAGATCTCTTTTTTTCCATTCATTCTTAGCCCTCGCTTGGGTTTCAGTGGCTTGAGGGCATCTCATCCAAACTTCTGAGTGAACACATTCATTTCTTGTCATGGCAAGCATGCAATGGAGATTGAGACAGTGACAGCTTTAGAGACCTTCTCATCATCCAGGTACTGGGAGAAATGAGTTTCATGGAAGTAATTTCTTTCTGCATCTCTTTCACAAATCATCTCATTGAATTATTTGAGTTAAACACAGCTTGCAGTGTAAGAATGGATCTGTTTGGTAAGACTGTGTTACAAATGGTAAAAATTATTTTTCTAATTATACCGTACCTCCAATGTATAAGATGTGATTCATGTATAATCATCGTTTTAATGTTTTATTCCTTCCACAGGAAAAAAAGTGATGGGAATAAAATATCAATATTCTCCTTAAAATTGACAGTTTGTACTGACATGTAATTTAAGTGAAAGATGAGATATCAATTAAAAGAGGATGATACGACATTTTGCTCCTTTTTTCTCATTTTTTTGTTGAGAGAGAGTAAAAGAGATGTTTGAACTTTTTATTTCCTCATTCGGTTAGAAAAAGCCAGTGTAATCCTGGTGTACATTAAAATGGATGTAAGAGCAGGTGAGATACTATATTTAAAAATAGTTTTATTTATTGTATGATATATTATCCAAAAAAATTGTAGTCCTTCAAGTAAAAGATTCATAACTGGTGAATCATTCCAGTCTATTTCATTTTCAAATGACAGTAATTTGTAATAAATAAGTAAATAACATTTTAGTATGTTGGTCATTCTATAAAGGGCTCTGCAAGGCTTAAAGCTCCATGTGTATCCAGGATATACCATGTGGATTAGAGAGGGTGAATTTAGGGGCTTGGAAGTACGTGAAATTTTAGAGGCCATTTCCTGAAAGAATTCTCTGGGCCAACACTTCCCCACTTAATTTAGCTAGGGTGTTTAAAAATCACGTTAGTCTTAATTTGCTGGATCAAGTAGTGCAAAATGAGAGTTGTAACATATATATCCCGAGCAGACAGGAAATTTTTATTTCTGGAATTCATTTTGTTTAAATGTTAATTTTAGTTATACATTTTCCCTGGTGTCTAAATCAATTTCTGCTACAGCGGAAACCTAATACATGTTTTACAAACCAATGAAGAAATGAATGAGCAATGAGATAAATGATTGAATAAAAATAGATGGATGGATGGATGGATGGGGGGATGGATAGCTGGGTGGATGGAGGAGTGGGTGGATGAATGAGTGGATGGATGGATGGATGGGTGGATGGATGGATGAATGGATGGATGTGTAAATGGATAGATGGATGGTGGATAGATGGGTGGATGGACAAGTAAATGGATGGATGGACGGGTAGATGGATGGATGGATGAATGGATGGATGGGTGTGTGGATGGACAGATGGATGGATGAATGAACAAATAGATGGATGGATGTGTGGATGAATGGATAGATGTGTGGATGAATGGATAGATGTGTGGATGAGAAGAGGAATGGATGGATGGATGCATGGATGGATGAATAGATGGGTAGATAGATGGATGGGTGGATACATGAGTAGGTGGGTTGACTGATTAATTGATGGATTAATATAGGGTTTGATGGTAGATGAATGGTGAAGTTCCCAAGTCCAGAGATAGAATAAATAATTTTGCACAGAGGCTTCTCCACCTTGGGGAGTGGCTGTCATATTTGGGTTTGAGCAAAAACAATGTGGTATGCAGAAAGAAAAGCTCAGAAAGTTTCTCCTGATCCACCTTCTCCTTCACCCAACTCCTCTCCTTTGGATCCCTCCTTTGTGCTTCAGGCTGCCCACAGGCCTGAACTCTGCCATTGCTTCTGACTGGCTAAATTGTAACTCTCTGTTGTGATTTTTTCCTCCTCCAGGCTCTGAGCTCCTGGAGAGCCAGGCCCTTCTGCCTTAACCACTGTGTATTCCCTTTGCCTTGTCCAGTGCCTGGCATGCAGGCATGGCTCAAAAGATAGTCCTGCAAAGCCTCAGGTAGAGTCAGACAATGGAGAGTCCCAGTCCTGGCTTCCTCATTCACCAGCTCTCTCACTTTGGGTGAATTACTTGATTTATCTAATCTCCTGGAGATGCATCTACTTAAAACACTTTGTGCTTAGCACACAGAAAGCTCAATAAATGTGATCTAGTTGTTTAAATAAATACCAGGTATTTTTACAACGATGGCCATCGTCTGGGAATAAATGTCCTTGAAGTCTTCTTGTCTGAACTTTATGTTTCAGGAATCAGCATTGTGATTCCTTCTGCACTCCTTTCATTTGGCAAGCACTCAGCACGGCAGCATCCCTGATCTCATGTAGAGTCCAGGTGAGATCAAGGCAGCAGAACAAACAGGAGAGAGGTGCTTCACTGTACCACCATTGCTCCTCAGAATAAAATCCAGCACCTTCATACCAAGCGATTGGCAGCTTTCCTTCTGGCTGGAGATGAGGAAGTCACAATAAGGTTGTTTTTGAGACCACTGGAATCAGATGGTTGAGTTTATATCCCAGTGTTGTCACTTATAGGCTCAAGATCCTGGAGCCTCAGTTTCTCATCTGTGCAAGGGGGCTAATAAAAGTCCCCACTTCATATATCTGTTCATTGGACTAAATAAGCCAGTGCTTATTTGCCTTATGCTAAATACTCAATAAATGTCAAAAGTAATGATGATGATGATGCTGATGATGCTGATTAGAGTTAATATTTAGTGAGCACTTTCAGACTCAAGTCTTAGAATAAGCTAGGATAGAATGTATCTCCAGTGTAGGTCATAACAGAATAAAGCCCTAAATTTGATGGGCACCCAGCTTTGCCTGCTGTCCTGGAAGCATTTGGAATTAACCATTATCATGCAGACATATCCCTTTTTTTTTTTTTTTAGAGATGGAATCTTGCTATGTTGCCCAGGCTGAAGTACAGGGGCTATACACAGGCATGGTAATAGGGCACTACAGCCTTGAGCTCTGGGGCTTAGGCAATACTCCTGCCTCAGCCTCCTGAGTAGCTGGGACTACAGGTACTGCCAGCATGCCCAGACAGACACATCTTTTGAGGCATGTCAGGCTCACAGTAGGTGCTCAATAAATGTTAATTACTATTAATAAGAATAATAAGAGCAAGGTACAGGATTAATGATGAATAATATGGGGTCCCTGATAACAAAGAACTCAGACTGTGAGGGAGCTGAACCACATGCCCTTGTAAGATAATGTGCAATTGGAAGCAGGCAGTGTCTTAAGAGAGGAATCTGGAAGAGGATTCTCTGGAGTTGGGATGGGGGTGTCTTTCAGGTCATGGTGTCAGAGAAGCTTCCTGGGTGGCATGACATTAGAGTTAGTCCTTGAAGGAAGGTGAAATTATACAGAACAGAGTGGGAGGAAAGGACAGCGTGGGCAGAGGAAACATCAGTGGTCAAGGTGTCAGACAAGGGGGAGTCCCTGTCCTAGCTTCCTCATTCACCAGCTCTCTCACTTTGGATGAATTACTCGATTTATCTAATCTCCTGGAGATTAGAGAAGTTCACACATGGTGCCGACCTTGACTCTGTACTAGAATCAAAGCAATATAAACTGGGTGTGGTGGCTCATGCCTGTAATCCCAATACATCGGGAAGCTGAGGTGGGAGGATTGCTTGAACCCAGGAGTTTGAGGCTGCAGTGAACTATGATGGAGCTATTGCACTCCAGCCTGGGGGTCACAGAGTGAGACCCTGTCTCTCTAAGAAAAAAAAGCAATATACAGATTTTATGCACCACCCCATGCAAGGAGGAGATGTCTTGCAAATCACATACTAATGGGAAAAGTGACTTTTGCAATGTGTAACAAAATATCAAATTTACTTTCTATATAAAGAGCTGGGAGAAATCAAGAAGAAAAAAGGACCCCTAATATTCTGTAACAATAATCAGAAACGTGTAAATGCAATCTGCAGCCAGGGCCAGTTTTCCAGGAATGTGACCTGACAGTCACACAGGACTCTGTGCTTAGAAAGGTCCTGGGCTTGGTTTAACGCTTTGCTGTGACCATCTTGAAATTCTTAATGACTTTTGAACAAGGGGTGTCTACACTTTCATTTGATTTGAGCCCTGCATGTTATGTAGCTAGTTCTGTCTGCAGTGAAGACACACAGAGAGACAACGTGTATATATCAAGGAATCTCAACTTCATTGTTAAGCGAGGGGATAATAATTGAATTTAGACTGCTAATTTATATGTATCAAATTGGTTAAACGATGTCACTGCAGACAAGGGTGTCAATGAGACACACCCAAGTTAGAAACTTCTGGTGGATTCTAAGTTGTCTCAGCATCCTGATCCACTCTCTACTTACTCATGGGCTTAGTTGAAGGCTTCCTATTCCTCTGGGCTGCACCTTCTAAAACCACATCCTCATATGCTCTGACCACTGGAAAAGCCCTTTCATTTTCTACCCACATCCTCATGTTTCTGGACTATTCTTCCCACAGAGGCTATACCCCTGACTCCCTTCCTGCAGCCAGGCTATAGCTTTACTCGCTCCCTCAACCAGCCTCATAACTTGGGACCCTAACTCTGAGCCAAGATTCTGGGTCCCTGACATACTTAAGACCTCAAAATCAGGTCTGTCATTTACAATAAGAGACTATCTCCACCACCTTTGAGATTTGAAGCTTTGCACAAATGTATGAGGTTTGGACTCTTTCAGCTGCAACTGACAGAAAATAAACGCAAAATAGTTTAAGGAGGAAAAAAAGAGAAAATTTATTGGCAATAGAAAAACTCCCAATATGTCAATTAGCCATCAGACACACACACACACTCTCTCTTACACACAAACATATATATACACACATATGCACACACACATTACACACATATGCAAACACAGATACATACATATGCAGCCATAAACACATACATGTAAATGTGGATATTCATTGCAAGATTGTTTCTGGTATGAACAGGTTAAATATCCAACAGCAAGGGATATTTCCAATTAATTGCTGAATATCCTTATCATCAAATACAATACTTATTAAACATCAAGTTTTCAGAGGGTGATAATAGTTAATAATAATGATGAGGGCTAATGTTCTAACATTTATTGAGCACCTGTTATATGTCAGGCACTGTTCTAAGTACTTTGCTCAAAATAACTCCTTCAGCTTAGGATTTTTAAGAATATGTAAGGATGTGACAAAAGGCTTACACTGTATTGCTTAGTGGAAAAAAACAACAACAACAACAGAATTAACAGAATTGTTTTTACACAGAGATTTCAGGTTTGTCATATGTATTTCTTATATCTGTTATATATTATATATATACAGAAAAAATAAACCAACATATTTATTCTATTAGGGGGATTATATCTGGGTGTTTAGATTGCAGGATATTTTGATTTTTTCTTTATTTTATTCTATATTTTACAAATTATCTGTCATGTATATAAAGTATATTATTTTTATGATTATTAGAAAGCTAAGCATTGTTGGCATGGAAGTAGGATGAAGAGTTACTTGGCTTGTTTTGGGATAACTTAAAAGAAAAGAGAAATAAAATTGAATCCATGGCTTGTAACTAAAACATAGAGGGTCCAGAATGTCCGAGAACATTCTATTTTATTTGAAAAGCAATAGGGAACCATTGAATGTTTGTGAGAGAGGTAGTGACAAATGCAGATTTAAAAGATCCTAAAGCCGACAGCATTGAGAATGCAGTCAAATCAAAAATGGGAGTCAAGAGGGCCTGACAAAGGGACAGAGGCCTTAAGTTTAGTAATAGTAGGGAGAGTAGGGGGGCCTGGCGGTGCACATGATATGAGGAAATGGCATCCACAGGATCTGGCAGCTAGTTAAATGATGGAATTCAGAGAACAGTCTTGTTACGCAGGCAGTGCGTCTCCAACCACGCGGGAACGATTCTCAGCGCGGCTGCTTTAAAAAAAAAAAAGAAAAAAGAAAAAGAAAAAGAAGAAGAAGAAAAGAAAAAAGCAAGCAGGAGGCCAGGATGCTCTACGGGGTTCACGCAGATGCAGGGTGGAATGGAGGCAGAAGGAGAAGCCTCAAGAGGGAGAGGAAGGCATGCAACTGATGGAGGGTTTTGTTATCTTTTTCCTCTTTTTTTGTCTGCTGCCCACAGAGACTTCACAAAGCATCTTAGACTTTACATATTCCAAGTTCCAGTTTGGTTTTCTGTGGATGCCCACTGTAGACTCTTCAAAAGTTCTTCCATTAATACCACGTCTTGAAATCTGCTACGAGTGTTTAGTCCATGCGGGCAGCTCAGTATTATTCTCAGCTTTGGGATATGGAACAGCAGTCACGTTTTCACCCAAAGGAGGGTGATCACAATTTTGTGTTTGGGAATTTGGAAAGGAGGAAAAAAAAATGACTTTCTTCTCAGATGAGTGTTTTTGCAAACAACGAAGCAAACTTCACTCAATTATAAAAATGTAAAAATGCTTCACCCTTGACAGCAGAGGCTCAAGCAAGCCACAACTCTCCCAGCTTTAAAAGGAGAGTCGTCCCTGCCCTGTCACTAACATGCAGTTTTGGGTTAGTTGCTTCACTATCCTGGGGCTTGTTTTTGTGACCTATAGAATAAGACAACAGGAGAGTCTCCCCTCTGAATGGTTGAGAGGATTAAACCAGCCACCACTTGCAAAAGGCACAAAACTTACCTACACATCGTAAGCATTGAACAAATGCTAGTTCTTTCTGTGTTTGCTGTCATAACCATTATCATTTTTCCCAGCCTAATTTTTGCCTTCATCTACAAAGCCTTCTCTGAACACTCTGATTCACAGATATCTTTCTTCATGCTGAACGGTTATCACACTATTAAGTGTGACTATTAAGTGTCACTATTAAGTGACAAATCCCACCTATTTGGATTTGTCATCCACTCTTAATCAATTTGTAATTAATGCACTTGAAGTCCTTGTCCAGATGACACTGAAAAGAGCACACAGCCTTTGCAAACCCAAGTGGGCTTTCTGGATCGCACTGCCTGGTCCTTGGACTGAGTGCATCATTTACATTCTCCAAATTCCAGTTGCTTCAATATGTGAAGAAGCCTCCCTCAAATAGCAGCACTGAGAGGATTAAATAAACTCAGGCTTCTTCAGCACCTGGCATGATGCCCTGACACAAAGAAAGGACTCACTAAATGTTTATTGAATTTTAAAATAATTATGATTGATGGCCACTAGTATCATCATTTTGAATATTATCCCTGAAAGCCCTAAACTCAAACTCTTCTTGGCACTGCAGATTCTGATAATTTATCCTTTCTATTAAAACTCCTAGCTGGGAGCAGAGACAGTGAGGTCGCCCTCATGTCCTTTCTGTATGGGGGTTTTGGGGGTCTCCATGTTCTTTCCAAATGTCTGTCAATTAATCTGCCTCTTCAAGTGCAGGGGAATGGGGTCCCAAGCCCTGCATGGCACCCAGCCTTTCTATCCCTGTGACCTTGAGCAAATAAGACCCTCTCTCTGGGATGGGATATTTACCCTTCTTTAAAAAAAAATCCTTTTGAAAGGATGTTATGAAAATTACAAACAGATTAGCACAGAAAATTGCTTTATAAACTCTAAAGCACTGTGCCAAAGAGATGCTTGTTTTTATTCTGTATAGAGACAGAACTATTTTACTTTATACGTGTCGGTGTGGGATTAGGGGCCATGAATATTTTTACACCTTTTCCATATAATTGTTTTTGTAAATGCACATTTTTGTTGTAGCATATACTAGAGGAACGATTTATTAGTAAATTCTGATGTGATTTAATGAATTCATTCATCTATTCAGTAAACATTGAGAGAGCTTCTGTATATTCAGGGCACCCTGTTCAGTGCTGATGAGACAGACATAAATAAGACAAGTTTCCCCACCCTTAAGAATTACAACGTTTCATTTGATAAGTTAAAAAAAAAAGTCTTTTGTTGGTTCCAGTTTCGACACATTAGATTGCACCACTTTTTGTTTTTATTAAGATAAGGTGACCACCTGGGTTACTTCCTTACCTTGGCTGTGAATAACAAAGTCTGTCATGTCCCTCTTGTTCAGAAACATCCCATCATAGCATGGCTTCATTCCACACTTTTACGTGATGCCGTATTTGTGAACAGAACCTCCCCCAATAGTTATTCATGTAATTCTATTAATATGATCTCAATCACCATATGGCGGTGTGATAGCAATTATATTGTTGTAACCAGCCGACTTAGGAGAAAGGAGGCCATCTTCCCAGCCAAAGACTGCACCCTCATTATAAAGATCCCCCAAATAATGGCTTCTCAACTGCCTCCTCCGTGAGATTTAGTTTTCCCAATTATTTAATCAGGATATTCTTGATGGTACTCAAAAGACTAAGTGTTAAAAAGAGGTTGGAATATTAATTTTTCTTTTTTCTATGTGAAATGAACAATGTTTGCAGTGTCGGCCTGTGCCTTGATAAATGCAAGGCTTGTACGGCATTTTTCGTTGTTGTTGTTAATTAGGGTGGCATGTGCACAGCTCAATCTCTGTGGAAACAAAACATAAAGCTTCGCTTAAACCAATGCAAAGCACATATATTTATTTTTGAGCTCCAAACACAAGTAGTTTGTCTCAGTTATAAACTCCTGACAGTGGTGTAAAAACGTGTAACACGGCACACTGCATTCCTCTCTAGGACTCTGTGTGAAAGAACTTCCTTTTTTCCCCCCAAAGAATTACATTCGGCACCACATGTCAAAACACAATTGTAATTGTGTAGCACAATATTTCATAAACCTGAAAATGTTTTAAAAACCCATTGTATTTCCGAAGCTTCCAAAGTCATTTTCTGGGTTAGCGTTTTTTCTGTACTAAGCCTGCCTTTTTTTCCCCTTTCTTTCTGATTTCCATATTCCTCAATAATTATTAAGCATTCTTATCTCCCAGGCAGGCATCTCTGATGTAGACGCTGGTGATAGTAGCAGTGGCTGTAATTCTTGTGAATTACTACGTTTAAAAATCTTGTGTTAAAACATGTTACTAAGCTTCCTGAAGTCAGCAGATGGCCTCAAGAAAGGCTCGTTTTAATTTTTCAAGTACATAAGTATAATAATCCACACTAATATATGCACATAACAATAAAGTGTGCTTGTTGAGCAATTATATTCACAGTTTCACATGTGTACCTGTAAGGATGGGCTCATCAATGTATAAATAGACATGCATGGACACAATACTCACATGATCGAAATAGGTGATCAAAATGGTTATATGTCAAAAATAATAAGAATAATAATAATTAAGAGCAACGCTAGAAAAAAAGCTGAGGAATGGAATAAACATCTCATTCACCAGAATGGAAAAGTTTGTGAAAGCCATTTAATGGAACTCAATATCAAAACATTTTAACTTTTTCAAAGTTTTTAACATTAAACAATTAGGATGAAACGCAATTAGGCAGCACATTGTAGAGGATGGTCACTTTTTGCATGTCATGTGGCTTTAAAAACAAGTCAGATAAATGATGATGCCATTAAAACTGAACTAATTAAAGAAAGCTTCTTTTAAGAACTCATTAACTGCAACCTCATTTGCATAATGATGCATATTAATTAAGTTTTAATGAATCTGAATTTGCACCAAGCCTATTCATGTTGGCTTTGAAACAAATTGAACAAATTAGTTAAAAGCTTTTTGGAATCTACTTTTCACACCAAACAGGATATGAATGCAATCTTCTCTACAAAAAAGAAATATTTTTCCTTTAATTTAATTCAAAGGTATGCAGGCCCATCTATTAATTATTTTTAAATGCAATAATTTTCACCTTTTCTTTGGAAAATCAACAATATTACTTATTCCTGAATGGGAAATATTAGAAATGTAAGTTGTGGGGGAAAATCATTACGGCCAATTTATTGGCAGTAAGTTGGAGATATTTGACTTTAGGGTACATTTAGTTTATTTAATAGTGGGAATAAAAATAGAGGAGGTAATTTCTGGGCATTCTGAATGAATATCTTCAATGCAGCAACTAAAATGTGATGTCTAAAGGTGGCATGTCTCATTTTTTTGGGACATAGGAGGCAGCGTTATATTATTGGTGTCACATTCATTTCTAAATCTGATTCTACTCCATCATAAATCTCCTAAGTAGCATGGAAAAAATTAAACATTTACAGAACATGTGTTCTTTTCCTCTGAATTTGTGCAAATCCTAATTTTTTTATACACAAGAAGCAGAATTCAATTTTAACAAGTTCGTGTTCGGCTCATAATAAAAACAAGAATTACAGCAGCAACACTATTGATTTGCTCATACTCCATTGTGTCTTCATCAAGAATGAAGAGATTTATGTAATTACTGCACCATCTTTTGTTGTTTGAAAGCACTTTTTTTGTAAGTCAGCATATACAAAGGATGGAAACGCTTTTATTGTTGAGATTACAAGATCATTTCTCCCCCTTGTTGAAACGCTTTCTCCAATAGGTGTTTTGGTGAGGTCGACAATTAAGATGATGTTGTATTCTGGAAATGCACATTTAAAAAATGTATTTACAGGTATTCCTTTGCAGCATTTTTTAAAACCCATTCATCCCTTCACCTTTCTCTCTTTTTTATACCTCCTCGGCTGTTTCAGTTTCCAGAGAAGCGATTGTCGGCACCAGGGCAAAGCCCGAGCAAATTCCCCGCAGCAAAGTACCGTGAATGCTTTTCAGATGTAGCGGGACAAAATAGCAACACTCTAGATTATTCTCTCTTAATTACTTACTTTGCTCTTGTTGGAATTTACTTGTGCTTGGGTCAGTGATCACTTTTGACTCTGTTAGAGAAAAATAAAATTAAAATCAGCTCTTTGGCTGCCCCACTTTCTCCTTGAGCTGGTCTAGCTTGCATTCTATTTAAATTACCTGCTCTGCAAAGGGTCTTCTTGGAGTAAATGCTTTTCCACTTTGGAAGCAAAGTCCAACGGCATTGTAAAATACTGTGAGCTCCCTCATCACTTTCCTGAGCCAGGTATTTGTAGAAGCCATCCCAGACTTTTTTTTTTTTTTTTTTTTTCTACAAGAAAGAGGAATTGCCGTTTATCAAAACAGGAAGCAGAAGCAATTCTAACGTGCAAAACAATTTAAAAAATATATTAATTCACAAATCATGTTTGGGGTGATTTTAAAATGAACTGCTCTCCCATTCCCCCTTTTTATTAGCATAATCCTGCGTGTCTCTTCCTGCGATATAGTTACTGTTACCACGCTGGGCTACAATGTACCCTGTGATGGGAGGTTCGACATAAGACGAAAGTCAGGAAGGGCAGCCTGGTGGGAGTCAGCCCTGAGCTGGGAACCGTTTGCTGTGTGATCCATTATGCTTTGAACGAAATATTGTTTCTGTATTTCCTCCTCTCATTTCTATTTTACTTTTTGAGCATGTTTGTCATTGGGAAAGCCAGGGAAGCTGTGGAATGTTTTAAATACCATCTGATGTTCACAGAGAGAAATCTGCTGCTTCCAGATCACCCCCAGAGGAAGGGAATCTCTTTTCCCGAGTTTTAGGATTCTGGGTGTGCCAGGGAACAGGAGCACCACCATGGGAACCTATAATTAAAATAATAATAATAATAATAATAATAATAATAATAATAATAATGAAGGCCATTGGAATCTTCCATGATGGTCTGTATTTAGGTAGGCAGATGTAATTCCGGATAGCAGAGCTGGAGTGGGTGTCTGTACCGCCCCCTAGCTGCAGGACTCGGGGCAGGGGCAAGAGGGAGAACGAGGACGCTCCGGCTTGTGTTCCCAGCCCTGGAGATGATTTTCATCTTTAATTTTTAAAGACTCAAAACAAAACTAAATAAGGCAGGGAAAAGGTTTCCAGTTGCAGCGACTCTCCCTACCCCCTCCAAATGGCACCTCAGCAAACCCATTTCCTTTCAAAAGTCTTTAGTAAGGTAGCATTAAAAAAAATAAAAAGTGTAAATTTTGCGTGGAGAATTGGCTTCTTTGGGGGAAATTTTGACAGAAAGCGTCTTCCTTGGGGGAGGTCAGGAGTCATTGGTATTAAACTAGACAAGCTGGTAGCGGAGTGTTAATGGCCACCGCAAGCAGATGTTCTGTAATTAGGGGAGATGTGAATGACAAGGCGGGAGAGGTACGGAACACGGGCGGGCTGGCACAAAGCAGCTGCCGCTACCGCTTCCCTGTCATGGATGTACACAAGTCAGACCAGCCCCCGTGAGGCTGCCGGCGCGGTGACAATTAGAAAAAAATTGTATTTGATTAAAATAAGTAATATATCATACAATGCAATTTCTTCCCCCTAAGAGAGAGGAAGACTGGCCCAGGTTCCACCTGCCAAAAGTAGACCAGTGTCCCACCAAATTTCAGAAATGAGGAGGTTCTGCTGGAACTGACATTTTTGTCTTTTTTTGTTATTATTATTTTCTTAGCTGATATTGAGCTTTTTTAAGAGGAGGGATGGAGTCTCTTCATTCTCTCCCTTAATCTTCACATTCAAGCAGTCTACATACAAAGCCTGTCTCTTCTATCTCCTAAATATCCTCTAAGTTCTCCCTTCTCTCTCCATCCCCATTGCCTGAGCCTCATCTTTTCTTCTAGAATATTCCACAGCCTCCTTCTCCTGGTTTTCCTGTCGCCAAGGAGCCTTCTTCACTCCGATCCTCCTCTCTAAGGATCTGGGAGCCCCTTCTCCAGACAGCGCCAGAACCTTCTCATACCACTGAATTATTCTCTGGGCCCTAACACCTAGCACCTTGCCAGCCACATAGGAAGCCCTCAGGAAACGTGTTCGTGCGAGTAAGTGACAGACCCAATGCAAAATGCATCACCAACATAGACTGAGGCGTTTCTCCTTTGCCGGGTACCATGATAACGAAGAGTTTGTGCCCCTTTATACTAAAACTGAATTGTAAAATCAAAACATGTTCTTTGCTTACATAAACTGTGTTTTAGTGGCAGTGAAAGAAGGAGCAAAATCAGTTTTCTAAAGGGTTGTTTGGTACCTGTGCTGTTTAGCCATTTGGTGGGAGCAGCACAAAGATGTGGTGAAGCCTGTTGACCTCCTTCCACCAGAAGGAGGCAGCCTGGCCTGGTGGAAAGAACTCTGGGCTTAAATTCAGAGGCTCCGGGGTGAGTCTCTGCAGACCTCAACTTCCCTGAGCCTCAATATATTTTTTCCATGAAATGGGGATAATAACACTAAACTCTCAAGGTTGTCAAGAGTCTGAAAACAGATCACAAGTGCTTTATTATGACCGAGTTGGCTTCATTTCATCAAATGAGCTCATGGGCTTTGCAGACTGTGAAGCATTATGCAGGAATTATTAAATTCCTCTGTGTCCTGGAAATCCAATAGGACTTGCTTATCCCATGTTCTTAATGTAAGGGAAGGAAACAAGGAGAGAAAACCTAATTAACTTTGACTGAGTACCTCTCCTGCCTTTCGTTCTCATTTTTCTCACTACTTGGTGTAGGTCTCCTGATCTCCTTTTACATGTGTGCAAACTAAGGCTCAGAGAGGTTGAGCAAGTCACTCAGGGCCACCCAGTCGGTCAGTGGGGCTGGGATGTGGGTCCTAGGCTGCCTGATAGCAAAACCAGCACTCTCTGCGATGTGAAGCTGCTGAGGGAGCCTCGGTGGGATGTCATCCTGTCCCTGTCCTTTGGGTGAGGGGCTGAGATGTCACTGCCTGTCCTCAGAGATGGAAAGAAAGCATCCCTGGGAACCATTTCTAAGCAGAGCGCCAGTGAGAAGCATGGCCCCTATTCTATGCTGTCTTTGTCTCCTTTCCTGCCTCTGTGGGATCCTCCAGGTCTCCCACCTTAGTCTCTTGACTTCTCCCCAGACCCTCTTCTCACCACTCGCTTCCTCTTTATTTCTCTCTCCATCTCTCTCCCTTGATTTCTAATTTCCAAGCCCGCGAGCTATTACAGAAAGCATAATGACGGTTACACTTGTCTATAGCAATATTGCTGTCTAGCTTATTGCTTTGTAAAGTACTTCGGGAGCCTTGAAAATGAAAGGTGTTATGTAAAATGAAAATCGATTCTAATTCTAAATAAACATCATTGCTTCAAGTTTCCCTTGGATAGCATTGTTTCTTGCTCAGGAAAGACAATGGCTCAGAATTTCCTCCTAATGTTTAAAAGATGTATTTGGGCATGCCAGTGTCTTGGGGCTTGTCACGACAGGGCAAGGTCTGAATCATATCTCAATATATCCTTACAATTGTATTTAATTGCACCTGGTAAAATGTGTCTTTGTTCATTATTTATGAAGGGAAATTATTTTTGTCCATAGGAAAGATTGATACCACTTTTAGCTTATGTTCAGGTGATTAGCGATTAAGTACAATTTATTTCCCTGATATATGTCTCTATCAGCAACGACCATTCAGAAATGGGGAAAGAAACATTCTCTCAGCAGAAAAACAATCTCCACTTTAGGAAGCTGTTTCCTCCTCCTTCGCTGGTAGAGCAATTTACAAGGACATGCGAGCCACAAAAATGGAAGTTTGAATCATTTCTGTGCAGAAAGCTCATCATCCCAAATCAGAAATGTCATAAAAGTTAAAATGCCATAAGAGTGTGTTCCCCAAGAAAGAAATAATTTTCTTTTCATTGAGAACACACTGGAGGACATAATATACTTCTTGAAATTCAAATTTTCATAGCAAATGCGATTTATCCCTCCCTTGCATGGTTCATCTTTCTTTAAGAAAAAGCAACTGAATATTATCCCTATTTTATATTTTTCCGCAAAATTATCTTCCAAGTGCTTGTTTCCTTAAAAACATGCATACGGGATGGGGAAAAGGAACAATTTCATCCTTGGGAAAGTACATAGGAAACTTCCAGCACTGGGAAGTACCAACGAGTTGGCTTGAATTTGCTGTGATAACTCAATCATAAGTCCATTTGCATCCACAGAAAGACCCAGGATGCCTGTGGGACTCATGGCCTCAATTCATTTTTTTTCCCTCTTTCAATTTTATGTCTGGTTAAGTAATCTGAAGTGTCTGCCAGTAGTTCAGGCCCTGCAAATGCTCTGAATATAAAAAGCTGAATAAAGGTGTCAGTGTTTGAATATGAATGTATTGCTAATACCTGTGCCCCTCTATCAAATAGGCTTTCTCATATACAGACCCAAAATATTATTATTTTTTCCTCCTTAAAAAGCTCTCCTTGTCCAATCAGTCATGTTTGAGCCTGTTAACTGGGTGACAAAATTGCTGGAGATTGATAGACTGTCATTGGATGTGTGGAAGGAACTTACAGTGGTGTAGACATGGCCCTGGATTTGGAGTGAAAGGCAGGGGGAGTAGCACGTTGGGGACAGGCGCTATTAGCACACAAAGCCAGCAGAGGCCACGTAGAGCTCTTACAGCAAGTCAAAGCCTCCCTGAGCCTCAATTTTCTTATCTTTAAAATGAGAGAGGTGACTCTCCCTGGAAGGGCTGAGTGGGAATACAGAAAATATATAGAAAGAAGAGCCTATGGTATGCAGGATTGACAACATTGATGACAGCATATGATATGGGCAGAGTCTGAGCCCAGCAGTATTTCCTGGAACTTCCCAACAGACCCTCAGGGCACATGTGTGATACCTAGTTGTCCTCCACGTGTTGACTCCCTCCTGTGTCAGAGCTTTTACCCCTGTTGTTCCCCTGAACTGGCATTTCTCCCAAGTGGCAGAGGCCACTCTTTGATTCTCCTTTCTTAGTAACAGGCTGTCAATTTTTACCTGGGCACATTGCCCTCCAGAGTACAAAGCAACATGTTACAGCCTTTCTTGCAATATATATGGCCAATGATATTTGAGGAGACACATAGAAAAGCCATGTAAAGGCCACTGGCTCAAGCTCAGAGGGAATGAGCTCCCCTGATTCTCTTCTCTGTGGGCCTGGAACTCTTCTATGATGGCTGGAGTTCCAGCATCCATGTGGACCATAAGGTGACATTATATGAAGATGGCAGTAGAAACAGCTAGTAGCCAATGATCTAGTGGTTGGCTTACAGCTGGATTTCTCATATATGAAAGAATGTACTTTTGCATGTTTAAGTCACTATGGCAAGGAATTTGTTTCTGGTAGCTGAACACAATCTTTTCTGTTTGTTTTTGTTTGTTTGTTTTGTTTTGTTTTGTTTTTGAGACGGAGTTTCACTCTGTCACCAGGCTGGAGTGCAGTGGTGTGATCTCAGCTCACTGCAACCTCCATCTCCCAGGTTCAAGTGATTCTCCTGCCTCAGCCTCCTGAGTAGCTGGGACTACAGGCGCGCACCACCATGCCCAGGTAATTTTTGTGTTTTTAGTAGAGACAAGTTTTCACCATGTTGGCCAGGATACTCTCTATCTTTTGATCTTGTGATCTGCCCGCCTCAGTCTCCCAAAGGGCTGGGATTACAGGCATAAGCCACCAGGCCTGGCTGCTGAACACAATCTTAAGTAGTATTTCTTCCATATCCAAGTTATTTAAAGCCTGTTTCAAGTCCTTTCTTTTTCATGAAGTCCTCCCAGGTGACTCTAGAACCACTGTGATCTACATCTCCGAATTCTCACAATACTGGAATACGGTCTATGACTTTATTCTTCTCTCATTGCCTAGGTTTCTTATTCCTGGGCTCCCAGTGAAATATCAAGATCTTCAGGGACAGAGGCCCTGTCTTAAAACTCATTTTATCACCCATAGTATTTAAGAATGTTGAGAACCAAACAATTTCTCTATGATGAAAGAAAATGTATTGAGAACTTGAAATATGCCTATATGTTACCTCATACTATCCCACTGCCCCCAATATCTAGTTGAGAAAACTGAGGCTTAGAGACTTACGACATGGCCAAAGCCACATAGCTTCTAAGTGGCAAAGTAGGATTCTATTCCAGGCTTACTGAAGTCCAAGCACCACACCATCGCCTGTATACACATGGAGTGACTTAAAAGAAAATCACACTTGTTTCTATTTTGTTCCTGGTTATGATTTTTACAAGTTTATTGCAGAAATTTTAGAAAAATACATAATAATATGAAGAAAACAAATTAAAATCATCTTATGATATTCCACCATCTAAACATCACTGTTAACATATTACTTTTTTTCCTCCAGTATATGTAACCTGTGAATCAGATAGTAAATATTCCTTCCCAAGTAGTTACTGTTGCAATCATATTTTATATAATAATAGCTAGCAGTTATAAATTACTATCTGTCAGATACTATTCTATATGCTTTATGAAAATTACTTCACACAGTTCTTACAATAACTCTAGGAGATAGATTCTATTATCTCCCCTACTTTCAGATGAGAAAACTTAGGTGAAGAGAGGGAGAATAATTTGCTCGAGTTCACAATAGCAAATAAATAACAGAGTCAAGAAACACATGCCACAAGCAGGGACTGGGCTCTGGAATCCACACTTCTGAGGACTAAACTATACAAATTCTTCAGTACTACATGTTGCATCTCCTTTTTTTAAACATAAATCTTAAGATCGGCTTCACAGTCTACCATAAATATGTGCCATACTTTTCCTGGCCATTCCTTCTGGTTGGACATAGAGGGTGTTTCCATTGTGTCACTATTATTAAAAATGATCACCTTTGTACATAGGTATCATTGTCTGAATGTCAAATTATTTCCTTGGGAAAGATCTTAAGGAATAAAATTATGAAGTAAACAGTCTGCATATTGTTTATCATTATCCCAACATTGAAATATCTGGAAGCATAGAATCACAAAACACAATTTGAAAGAGATCTTCCAGGTCATCTAGTTTCACCCGCTCATTACAAGTGTGGAAGCTAAGGTTCAGGGTGAGCAAGGGACTTGCCCAAAGTCACACATGAATTCTGACACCGAAGTACTTTCCTTCCTACTTGACATTCTTTCCAAGACTGTACCTTTTGTTCCTATAATAGCTGACTTTGCAATCAACCCTATGTCTCTTTCTATAAAAGGACCTTCTTTCATAAAACAAATAGTGATAGAGTGTCGATCACATTGCTGTCACTGTGCTAGGCACAAATTCACATGTGAATTCTCATCTTCTACTTCCTAGGGCAGTAGGGAGAGCTAAGATGTCAAAATGTCAAGAGTAGACATTGAGGCCTTTCCCCCTTGCCTTGGCCCTGGTTGTGACCACTGCAACACCATTCTTTCTACTACTTGGGCTTGACTGCCATCTCCATGACCTCTTCCTCTGATACGCTCCTCTGCCCAGTCTTCTCACCCCAGATCCCAACATCAGGACTTCTCTCTTATTACTGTTAATGTAAACTTTACTTCCTTTTTATTGTATTAAAGCAATGCAAGTTCATTGTGAAAACAGAAATACTTACCACTTACCGGATGCTAACTGAAGGGCTGGAAGCCATGAAATCCTAGAGAAAGAAAGAGGACTAAAACAAAGCCCCTTCCCTCAAGGAGCTCCAATCAATGAGGAAGCCAAAAATAAAGACATTTACAGTGTAATGTCACAAATGCTATTAGAGGTCTGCACAGGATCCTAAGAAAATAGAGAACAGGGACACTGAACACAGACAGGGGGAGTCAGAAAGTCTTCTTTCTTCCATTTCTAATATTTTTTCATTTATAAATGTATCAATATATCTACTCTTCCATCCAATAATAGTTTATTGAACATTTATTGGGTACTAGGTATTATCCTGGAAATACAGTTGCAGAACTTGGGCTGAAGCCCACGTTTTCTGTCACCAGGTCCCATGGTATTTGTTCTTGCTGTTGTACGGTGCTGTTATAATCCTTTAAAACAAAACAAGGAAACTGAATGGGTTTTGGTATTGCATCCACCCAGGTGGAGTAAAGTCAGTAACTCAGCATGATGAAAGCACACACCAGGCTCATTAATCAAATACTCTGGTTAATAGAGAGTTCTCATATATGCCATGCATGAATTACCAGTTTTCAAAGAATTATAATACAACAAAATATACTGGAACCATACAGCTCATAATTGAATCTGCTTTCGATGTGACAGAAGTCACCTGAAGGGCTGTGTTTAAGAGCCATCAACTTTGGAATGTCATACGTGCATAAGGCAAGCCAGTGCAAAATTAACAGCTCTTGGCTCTTACTAACCTGCTGTTTTTGAAAATAGAAAACTCAAACCCACTAAAAAACAAGAATAGGTATACCTTAACCAAATCTGCCATATAAAAAGGGAGGGAAAAATATACCTCACAATTGCAAGCACAAATATATCTTAACATTATTTTCAAATAACCAAAGCCCTTATGTGTGTATTTAGGGGCATGCTTAGAAAATGTATGTTCCATGGTGGAGGTTACTGAAGGACATTTGACAATCCAGAAGGTTTTTTTTTTTTTAGAGAAAGTCTTTGTTTTTTAGGTTTTATTGCAAGTTGCCTTTAATTGTAGTTGGGTTTAATAGACATGCTGGTTAGGGGGTTCTGGTATTGTCTAAACTCTTGAAGACCTGGGGATGCTGGGATGTCTGAGAAGCACACAGGCTGGTGTGGATGGATGCTCTGAGTCAGCAGTGCCCAGTTTATGTTTCATGAGCAAAAAGCTTCCCAGGCTGGGTGAATTTGGATACCACATCACAGAGTTCCCCTTTGGGGGACTCCAGTGCATGTTAGTCTAGTAAAGCCTCTGATAAGTCCTGTAGCAGAGAATCCCATTTTACTTCCCTTAGCTCAGAGTTTCTCAAGAATTCTGTTTTATCACCTTGGGGAGTAAGTATTCTGACAAATATGTTTTGGGTTGCTGGCCCAAACCCATCTGTTGTGAGGATATCTGGCTTGCTGTCTTCCAGCTGAGGGGGTTCAGAAACTGTCAACCATTCTTTCTTTCGTTATTCAGCATGCATGCTCTGAACACCTGGTCTGCATCTTGGAGAGTTCAGATGATTCTTTACGTGGAAGCCTAAGGCCTGGAACAGCTATAGTGTGGGTTCTGATGCCGTAGATAGAACTACTTTAATAAGTTATAAGTAATGTTTAATAATTGTATATTTGAAACAACAGCAAATGAAATCCTGGCCCTTAATGTAGATTGCATGCTTTATTCTGGGAAATAAACCTAGCCTTTCCTTTCTGGTATTAGATGAGTCATCTGTTCATACAAAAGAGCTTGAAATTGTTTTGAATCTAGAATGTAACCATGGCTCATTCTCTGAGGTTTAGAGAAGTCAACAGAGTTCAGTACTGATTTTTTATTTTGCAAAATGAATGAGCTTCCAACGCTTCTTAATTGTGACTTGCTGAGTCTCTCACGACTTTCTGGAGGAACTGCTCCCTTCCTCATACCCACGTGAGATAAAAGCTTGTTTTTCTCATCTAGTGAATCATTTGAGATGAGAAAGTGAAGACATTCATGAGGACAGGTGTCAGCAGCACTTGGAAGAGAAGCTGATGCCACTTGCAAACCCACTAGAGAGAAAGCGCTGGAAGAACAGGCCCTGCCTGCCTTCTTCATGCTTCATCCTCGGCACCTGGGACAGTGCCGGGTGCTGTAAACTTTCAATGAGCATTTATTAAATTAGTGAGTGAATGAATGAACAAACAAACAAATTAATGAAACAGTGATTCTTCAAAAAGCTCTGACTATGGGAGTGTGTAGTAAGAAAGGCAGAGATAGCAGTTTCTGGATTAGGTGTTGCCACAATAAAGCTGCATAGCAAGCCACCCCATAACTCAGTGGGTGACACTCACCAAGCATTTATTTGTTTTATTCCTTGGTTTGTAGATCAGCTGGCATGCGGAGAGGGATCTTGTTACCTTGTTATCAGGCTTTGGGTTGACTGGGCCTGGCTTTGAGCTTCAGGTGTGTCCAGAACTGTCACATGTCTGTCATTCTCCTTGGACCAGTGGCCAAGGGCATGTTCTCCTGGCCCTTGGCATGAGTTCAAATGCCAAACTAACTCACATCCTAGAGGCCTCTATGTAAGGTATGTCTTCTAACATTCCATTAGCCAAAGCAAATCACATGACCAAGCCCCAAATCATTGGGTTGGAGAAGCGTCGTGGTGGGGGCCGGGGGAAGAAGAGAGGATATCAACAGAGCAATAATGCTACCACAAATGCATGTTTTTCAACATGTATTTCTCTAAAGTTGGTAGAGAACGATCTCAAAACAGGTTTCAAGCTTTCTGGTGGTCAAAGGGAAGGAGGAAACATGTTCAGGTATTGAATTCCCAGTGACCTCACACACATAAGCTGGGACTGCCATGTATTCAGAAGGTTCTAGAGAAATAAGCACTCAGCCATCATTTTGTCTCATCATTGGCAGCATTTTCTGAGGACCCAGTGTGCATGCCTTTGGGCTGGATGCTAGCGGCATGTCGACCCTTCCATTCCCCTGACCCCTCACAGCACCCCCTGCAATTGCCTTAAGCAGTGAAGCTGTGACACTGTCCACGAGAGCTGTCTCACAGATCCATAAGGAGCATTGTTGAGTCCATAGCTTCTGCCCCACTGGAAAGCTCTTTTATTCAGGTCCAAGCTAGAACTCCATCTTCCTGCCAAGTCAGACATATCAGCAGTCTCTGCAGAGTGGCAGAGGCTCTGGGGCTTTCTCAGAGACCAGGAGCAAAGAGCCCTGTTTCCCTGATGGCAGCATCTTCAGGATTAGTAGAAAAGTGGAAAGGGGGACCAAGAGATTCAGGGCTAGAGAAATACCATGTGCACACTGAGCAGCAGAAGTCTGAACTTAAAGCAACTGTGGTCAGAATGACTGAGAATTACTTAAAAGTATGGCTCTATACCCCTGTGCAAAATAACGCACACAGGGTGCACTTGAGTGAGGTTGCATGCATAAAGAGTTGGGTTCATTACCTGGCACAGGGGTAAAGTCTTAATCAAAGGTTTCTTTATAAAACCAAAATTGCCGAGAGAAAGGTGCTCCCAGGCCCAGCAGAGAAAGGGTTTCATTAATAGCATTTGGGTAGAGTGGTGAGCAAAGACTAGAACCTAGGGAGCGAGGGATTGTAATTGTTGAATAGGGAGTTCTGCTGGAGGCTTTCGGGTCATTTTTCTGAGGATGTTTCACTGATTCCCTCTGCCTCTTTCATGAAAGCTTGGCCGAGATCATCCTTTAAAGATGAGAAGAGGAGCAAGACTCAGTGGACCCACTGTCTCCTGGGGTCAGGATGTGGGTGCCTGGAATGGGCGTAGCAGCAAGCCTTAGCAAAATGACTGTCCTTGATCACGGGCTGCTCTGGGCAACTCCCCAGGTTCTTCATAACCTGTTACCTAATTTGTGAATTACGTTTCAATGTGTTTGTCTCCACACTAAGGCCAGGACTGCATTTCATTTGTTTTTGTACCACCACATCCAGCATGGTCCCTGGTGCTGCCCAGGTATTCATGACTTTTTATCAAATATGGAATGAAAAATCCAGCAGGGAAAGAGTCACATCTTTTTTTTTTTTTTGAGACGGAGTCTCACTCTGTCACCAAGCTGGAGTGCAGTGGCATGATCTCGGCTCACTGCAAGCTCCACCTCCTGGGTTCATGCCATTCTCCTGCCTCAGCCTCCCGAGTAGCTGGGACTACTGGCGCCTGCCACCACGACCGGCTAATTTGTTGTATTTTTAGTACAGACGGGGTTTCACTGTGTTAGCCAGGATGGTCTCAATCTCGTGATCTCGTGATCCACCCTCCTCGGCCTCCCACAGTGCTGGGATTACAGGCGTGAGCCACCGCGCCCGGCCAAAGAGTCACATCTTGCCTTCCTGCACAGGTTTATCTCCCTTTAATTTATCTCCCACATTCTAGCCAGGATGACTAGGAAGTTAGGCCACCTTTAAAGAGCTTGTGCATTAGTCATGAGACTTTGGACAGATCACACAACTTTTTTAGACCTTAGTTTCTTCATCAGTAAAATATGGAGGCCAGGGACTGCTGTAATCAGTAAACGTAATGAAGCGTGCACAGTGCCTGGCACGTGACAAGAACTCAACACACCAGCACTCCTCGTGCCTTTAAAGCAACATACTAGTCTTGCACTGCCTCTCTTGAAACCCTTTCTGTTTATCTGCTGGAAATGGCTTCTTCTCCAATAATATATCTTCTCAGAAACCTTCCTTGATACTATCTCCCCTACATTTCAGCTTACTAGACCCTCTCTCTCTTGCTTCCACAGACCAGTGAAAGACGTTGCTGGTTGTCTATCTAATATCCATTTTTTGTTCACCTTTTATTGAAAACTGAGTTCTTCAGACCCTCTTGCAGCTAAGGGTGATCATGTGACAAGAGTTCTTGTCGGTGCAGACAGAGTTTCTGGCAGGGTGTCCCTCCTTTGACCTTTTTCATTCCCCTTTCTTTCTTCCTGGAATGCAGGTGGAAGATCTGTAGGTGAGGCAGCCTTCTTGCAACCAAGAGGCAAAATGCATGAGAACGGAAACTCACACATGAAGAATGACCTAGTAGAGGGTAGAAAGACAGCTGGATTCTTTAGGGTAGTACCAAGTCACTGTCCTATGCCTGGGTGGCCTGTTGGCAGACTTCATTTTTTAATAATTTTCAGCTGATTGTATTCTTGACTGATATGAATGTTCATTTATATCTGTATAGTCACCGTTAATCTCAGACTGCCAATATCTATTCATGTTTCAGTTACCCCAACTAGGTTGTGAGGGGCTGACAGGCACAAAACTTGCCTTATTCATCTTTGTCTTTGGCACAGAATGATGTTAAATAAATGCTGTTTGTCAAGAGAATTGGATTCCTGGACATCAAGGTTCATGGTAATGTACCCATCCTCTCCCCTCCTCTCCCCTCCCCTGCCCTCCCCTCCCGTCCTGTGCCCTCCCCTCCCCTCCCCTCTCATGTATCTCTCTGTCTCTCTTCCTATTTTCTTAGAAATTTACTCTTTGTCTATTTAGATGAAATGTTCTGAAAGAGGGAATATAACAAGTAAGTAAATAAATTGTCTTGGTTTGATAAAACACAGGAAAAGAGGGAGTTTTCTGATGTGTTGGTTGCATGACAAGCTTTATAAATGGTTTTGGATTTCCTGTAACTACCTCTATGGCACCCTGATTTGGCCTTTATTGGAGTAAGGTATTCTCTCTATTCTTGTGGCCTCATTGCAGATCTTTCTACTCAGTGGGAACCAGATATAAAAACCAATGCATTTAAAATGTGAGATATAGAAAGGAAACAGAGAACAGTTTCCGAGCTGGCTTCCATTGCCTTATAAATATAGCATAGTTACTTGAATTCCATAAGAATTAAACTCTGATCTTTTAAAATGCATGCAAATTCTTGCAGAATATATATGAAAAAGTCACTATAACTGTAGAGGCACTTCGACTCCCTTGATAAATGGGACTTCCAGACCACACTTTATTGAGTCTCTGATTTTTAATAATTTGAATCCTGCAAGATTTAATTCTGCATAATTCTGGCTGAAATCAGCTTTTGATTGAGTTGTAATGGCTCTGTTATTGTAAATATCTCTGCATGCTAATGTTGTGCTGGAATTCAATAATATTTAGATGAAATTTTTTGCCTTGAGCATTATGGAAGCAAGATTTAGAAATCGGGAAGTTTATGTCAAAGCGACATCTATTTTGGGTAACCTGCAAAATTTTTAAATGCAATAAATGGTCATCTCAAGACAAGATTTAAATAATTATGAATCCTAAATGTATACGTGTGGATCAATTATAATATGCGTTGAATTAAATATATGTATATTATTCATACATTTTATGAATAAAATATATAAAAATACTTTAAATATGCATCTTTATTTAACCTTGCAATACTTCCTGAAATAGTTGCCAGTGACTCCGTGGAGGAAGTGGAAGTGAGACTGAGGTCCTCCTAGCCTGAGAGGTAGTGTGGGGCTGTGGAGGTGGTGTGGGCTATAAGCCTTGGCACCACCATTGTCACTACCTGTGAATCAACTTCCTGTTTTTTGAGAAATTCACTGACATTCTGAGACTCAGCTTTACCTGCTGTAAAATCAAACAAATATGTTTATTTCCTAATCAAATATCTCTCCTTCAGAGCAAGGGCATCTTGAAGAATGAGCCATTTCTTTGGCATCCCATTGTCTCATCACCCCACATAGTGCCCAGCATGTATCCACACTCAATGAGTACTTGTTTAACTAAATTGAAGGTTCGAAGGTGAAAATGCTACTTATTCAGTTTTCACAGCAACTTGTAAAATAGCAACTATGATTGTACCCACTTTACAGAAGGTGATATAGAAGAACAAATAAGTTGGCAAAGTTTACACCAGCTAGGAAGTGGAAGAAATAGGATTTGAACTCAGGCAGCCAGACATCAAGATCTAACCCTTGCAATGTGTGAAAGGTTAATAAAAGAAAAACTTCAGCCAAATTAAATTTAAAGGAGTTTAGTTAGGCAATGAATGATTCGCAAATCAGTCAGCCCCCAGAATCTCAGCAGATTCAGAGACTCCAGCACAGCCACGTGGTGGAAGAAGATTTATAGACAAAATAATAATAATAATAATAATAATAATAATAATAATAATAATAATAAAGGGAAATGAAGTACAGAAATCCAACGTGAGGTACAGAATGGCTGGGTTGGTTACAGCTCAGTATTTGCCTTATTTGAACAGTCTGAACACTCAGCAGTGTATGAATGGTTGAAGTATGACCGCTGAGAATGGCCAAGACTTAGCTATTGTTACAGGTGCATACTCCAAAGTTAGGTTTTCAATCTTGTCTACCTATTAAGCTATGCTGCAGTTGGTCCACAAGGACTCAAATGTAGAAGTATGGAGTCCTTCTCGGGCCATATTTAGTTCACTTTAACAGGATGGACATAAATTCTTTGTCAGTTCTTCTTTCAAGAGGTAGACTCTAATTCTGCTCTTTCAGCCTGGACTGGAAGTGCCTTGAGGAAACTGGGTGAGAGCTTCCTGGGTGATGAGGAAAGTGTTACTGGAGGCTGGAGGAAAGAGCCCCCAAGTTAAGTACTGGCAGACAAATGAGCAAAACTATTATTGGTGGAAACGTGGATAATGGGAAGGACACTGAAAGATGCTGTGCATCTGGCTAAAGGCCTCTCCAGGCAGAAAGCTAAAAGCACCAACTGGCTTCTACTAGTGGCCTAGGATAAGGCACAAGAAGAGAGGGATGAACTAAAGAAAAATTGTTCCATTTTTGAGCAGAATTAGAGGAAATATCAAGAGCTAGGGCAGTCTTTCTAGTCAGCAAAAAGTCCTCAATGTAAGAGCTCAGGGCAAAGGCCAAATCCAGGGGCCTTTCAGTAACATATGGCTTCAAGGAAAAGATATTAAAGATATAGCTCTAAGACAGACCAATCCTTCCCCCACCTTTTCTTCTTTTTTGAAAAGTCAGCACAATTTAAGAATGTACTTGGTAAGATTTCTAAATGTATAGCCTAGTAGACTCTCTCAGCTGGACAAAAAGGCTTCTATGAAGGTAGAGTCCCTCTTAGTGTCTCTCTTTGAAAGAAAGGTGAATATGATTTTAATCTAATGGTGCAAACCTGATATGCTTTGGATGTTTTTCCCCTCCAAATCTCATGGTGAAATGTGATCCCCAGTCTTGGAGGTGGGATCAAGTAAGAGGTGTTTGGGTCACGGGAGCAGATCTTTCATAAATGGCTTGGTGTCCTCCCCACAGCAATGAGTTCACATGAGATCTGCTTGTTTAAAAAAGTCTGGGGCTTCTTTTCTCTTTCTTCCTCCCTTGCCACGCCTGCTCCCATTCCCTTCTACCATGCCTAAAAGCTTCCTGAGGCCTCGCCAGAAGCCAAGCCGATGCTGTTGCCATGCTTGTACAGCCTACAGAACTGTGAGCCAAATTAATCTCTTTTCCTTATAAATTACCCAACCTTGAGAATTCCTTTATAGCAAAGGCAAAGCAGACTAACACAAAACCCCAATGAGATTCATAGAAAACCCACCAAGTTTTATGATAATTGTATTGGTAGAAGCACTGCCAGTGTGGGCAAACAGCAACAGAGACACCATAAAATGAAAAGCAGTCTTAGGATACCTCATCTTCTACTCACACAGGGCAGAAGCAAGCTAATAAGGCTACTTGATTGCAAATTGGAACCATTTCCTATGGAAAATAAAGAATGATCCAGAAGGGAGAGCCAAGAGCTGTGAAGAATTATTTAAAAGGAGCATTATTAGACCCTACTCAAGGAACTGGCAACATGTGCCAGGCTGGGTTTTGGAATTGCTGCAGACCAGGAACTTCAAGGCACTCCTGCTTTCTCCCTGTTAGAGCAAGCATACCATTTGCAATTGTTCTATTTTTGTCTCAGCACAATAGATTAGATGTGTGGAGGGCAGATAGCTTTTCCCTTTAGTCCACAGATCATCAGATTGAAAAGAACTATGTTTGGGGAACTGCACCCAAGCAGCCTCATGAGCACCTGTCCTTAATACAGACAATAAAATGTTAGGCTCTAAGGCATTGCAAAATTGTGATGAGACTTCAGGGGTCTTGGGAAGGGGAGAATGTATTTTTGTGTGTGTGAGGTATGTAAACAATTTGTCACCAGATCGTAAACTGAGATGGACTAAAGATGGGTGTAAATTATTTGACAATTCTTCCATCCAGAAGAGGGATCTATTTTTCCCTTGCCTTAGATCTGGGATGGACTGTGAATGCTTTCACCATTACAATATGGCAGACACGATGCTATGCCAGTTTCAGGCCTACCCTTTATGGGACTGAAAGCATCCATCTGGGATTCTTGGAGCCCTGAATTTCCATGTAGGAAGTCTGATTATTCCACTGGAAAGACACACAGAGAGGCTCTAAGACTGCATGGAGAAGGTCCAGCCAAGCCCAGTCTTCCAGCTGTCCCTATCAAAGTTTCACACATGTGAGTATAGCTATATTGAACTCCCCCAGACCAGAGCAGCCTCCCACTAAATATCACCAAGTGACCCAGTCAACAGCCCATAGAGCAAAAGTATCATCAGCCAAGCTCTGTCTGAATTCCTGACCCACAAAATAGTGAGGTAAATGAAATGGTTATTGTTTTAAGTCATTACATTTTGTGGCCGAACAATAGAGAATGAGGATAATCACTGCTTCCCTTATATAAATGTAAATTATTATGATCGTGATGATGATGATACTAATACTACTAAGAGTATCTTACACTTCTAAGTTAATCCTCAATGAATAGATATATATAAATATAGATATAGTTATAGATACAGTGTTTATGTCAAGTGCAGCTATAATTTACTTTATAGACACTAAAGTTGGAGATGGTGACAGTAAACAGTCTTGATTATGGTCTAATATGACCATTGAGGGGGAATATTACTCTTACCTTGCCAGAACTCCATGGTCCAAAACCCAGGTTTTGCTTCCAAGCTAGGATAAGACCCATCTTATTGACCAACTTTTGCCCTGTAGTTGGGTGCAGGCTGCTTAGTTGTCTTCTCTGTCTCTTCTGTTAGACAGTGAACTCCTTGAGGGCAGCTGTGTTTCTGCCTCAGCCTCCCCACCTTGCCCAATGCTAACCCTGAGCAGGGTGCAACTTGCATGCTGGCAAAATACATGCATGAACTATGGGCATTTGCAGGACTTCTCTATTTTTCTGCATTTTGGGTCTCCCTCCAATTTCAATGACACAGAAAAGCAGAATAGCATAATTTAAAAAGTCATTTTTACAAATCTCAGGTTGATCACTTTCATGGAGAACAAATCTGGCATTTTATGCTGAGGGTAACAGAGAGAAATGATCAATAATGGCTTGAGACTTACTTTCACTCAGACCCAATCTCCCCATCTGAATATGGGAAGAATAATAACACATACCTCATGAGATTGTTGTAAAGATGCAAGGATTGGTGTTTGTATGCAAAAACTCTTTATAGAAAAAACACTGTGGAAAAGTGAGATTCTATAAAGCACATTAATATATTTACTAGAGCTACTATTTTGAGATTTCTTGGAGTTTTCCAAAATGATACGTGTATTAGTCCATTCTCACACTGCTATAAAGAACTACCTGAGACTGGGAATTTATGAAGAAAAGAGGTTTACTTGACTCACAGTTCCACAGGCTTAACAGGAAGCATGATTGGGAAACCTCAGGAAACTTACAAACATGCCGGAAGATGAAGGGGAAGCAAGCATGTCTTTACATGTTGGAGCATGAGAGAGAAGGTGAAGGGGGGAGTGCCACACACCTTTAAACCATGAGACTTCGTGGGAACTTACTCACAAGAACAGCAAGGGGGAATTCCACCCCCATGACCCAATCACCTCCCGCCAGGCCCCTCCTCTGACACGTGGAGATTACAATTTGACATGAGATTTGGGTGGGGATGCAGAGGCAAACCATACCAATATATGAATGCCAACAGCTGAGAAAATATCCAGTTTTGCTCAGGGCAGAAATGGTCCACGTGTAATACAAGACCTAATTGCAGTGAACAAACAATTTGAGAGCATGTTCATGGCACCCAAACAAGCTCTTGGTTTTTACCGACAACTCAAGAGCACAATTTGTTCCCTGGGCATTTTGTTTTGTACTTTTCTTTTTAATTTATGGTTTGTTATTAAACAATTACATTTGGAGATTGTTTAGCGGAGTGTGTTTGCATTTCTAATTGAACATTCTAATAATGATGTTTGTATTTTAGTTGGTTTTTAAAGGTTATTATAATTTCTATAAAGTTTCATACAATGTAGCAGCCAGAAAATCTTTCATGGAAAAAAATAAATGTATTTACTTAGACATTGATGGTTTCTTGCAATGCTATTGGAAACAGCATTTTGCAAAATTGCAGCCAAATTTGCGTCTTTGGAGCCGAAGGGAACCGTGATTTCTTCTCAATTAGCAAATCGGGTTAGGAAGTAGAAGCAACCTGGGGGCTGTCTTGAAGATTCTGGGGCTGGGTTTGGGCTCAGTGGGAAAGGGATCAGTGATGGATTGGGAATGTCTGCCACAGTACACCCGGGAGGGGTGTGTGTGTGTGTGTGTGTGTGTGTGTGTGTGTGTGTGTGTGTTGAGGGGATGATTACCATCATGTCAGCCAATATTGGCCATGCCTGATCTGGTACAGTCTCTACTCACTTCCTTCTCCCATCCTCCTTTTAACATGAGGAGAAGCACATCTATGAAAAGAGAAAGTGACTTGCTCAGGATCACACTGGTGAAACAAGACGGTGTCAGAACTCAAAGCCAGGAGATCTGTCAATAGGTTGAGTGCTTGTGAAACTCCCTTCCATACCTTTTGTACGGCTGAAGGAGGGTCTCGTTCCATGATATCCCTTTTGTATGGTCTCCTATGCATGTTTGTGGACAAGAAACTGATTTAGTTCATTACCTTCTCACTTTCTCATGATGGACTGGGCAAAAACACAACTTGTCAGGAGCTTTGAACAAGAACATCGGTAACTGAGAAGATGACATCAGTGGTGGCCTAGAAGGCAAAAATGCTTAGGGAAAGCAACAACTAAAAATGCCCTATTTTGTCTTTCTTTTCCAAATTCCCCATTGGCATGACATTTTACTACCAAAAAATTAGCTTAAATTATTTATAATATACCTCCAAAGCTCAATAGAGATTGTGTGGTCCAGTTAAGAAATATGGTAATCTGGTTTCAAATAGGATAATCCAGATTTCGGATGATTAGAAATAAAAGGCTTATTTTGGACATGGAAACATTGAGCTGAGCATTCCTCATCAGCCAAAATCCCCGGAGATTTAAAGCGTGCCAGACTCAGTTCCATGCATTCTGGGTAACAGAGTGACAGCAAAGAGGTGGTCCCAACCTCAGGGAATATTATTGGATCAGAGAGAAACAGCAATGCATGAATCCTGGAAAGTTGGAAAAGTAAGAACTAAAGAAACATTCACAGACCTGCTTTTAATAAAACCCAACCAAAACCCGGAAGACTTGCCACGGAGTACAAAACTGCACCTTAGGGCTCATGCGTGTCAGGTACAATTTGAATCTCAAACTTGAGCGTGCGTGGGGGTATAGGGCTGCTCTCTCTAATAGGTTATCACAGGACAGAGTTTAAAATACCACTTGAGTCATAACCTCATCCACTTAGAGCTCCAGAAAGGGTTCCCAAGGCTGATCAGAGACCTGATTTGCAAATTACTATAAATTAATATAGTTATAGTTGGGACATGAATATATGCTTGGAAATGCTCATAGAGTGCATAATATATGCCGTGTCTTAAGATGATAATAGTGGTAATTTCTAAGATGACTTTTCCTCTGGCTGGGGCCTTTCACCCTGTGATCTTGAAGTCCTTTACAAACACTAATTAATTACATTAATTTTATCATAAAGCTTGCTCATTACTGTACTTTTATTATAAGCTCTTGCCAGCTCAGATTTAATGCAACACCCTTATTGGAATTCTGCTCTTTGATATTGCTAAGGATCCACTCAGATATTATAGGTGCCGTTATAGGTTTTTTTTATCATACAAATAACAGAATAAAGGCTCTTTCCCTTCCACATGGTAATGCACAAAGGCATATTTAAGTGGAGCCCAGATCAGATACCCTGACCATACCTAGGACTGCACAGTAGGTGCAGGATCAGCGTTGGTGCTGTGTAGGGGTGGGTTGCAGCTGCAATACCAAAGTGAAGGATTGAGAGTGCTGTCTGGTACTCTGGGCTAAGAAGGGTTCTGAGCCACATCCAGGACTGGCAAGAGCAAGAGCTCTGGCCAAGTAGCCATGGACACGGGTGTGGGAATGGGGAGGTGTGAACTCTGAAGGTTTCCTTGTGGCTGTCCTTAATATAGCAGTAAACACTGAGCTAAGATGCAGAAGATCTGGGTTCAGTTTCATTTTTCTTCTTACAAGATATGTGACTTTACTCAATAACCTTACAGGACCTCTGTTTCTCTGTCTCTGAAATGGGTATATGAACGCTTGTCTTGCTGTATCTACAGGGCTTTGAGGTGATGTGCTGATCAAATCATGCCTGTGCAGAGTATTTCCTCAACTGCAGAGTATTTGAAGAAGCCAGTTACAGAGCAGAAAGCATACAGGCACTAGAGTGGAGATGCATGGGTTACAAAGTCAGACCAAGTGTCTCACTCATTTACATTGTGGCTTTGGGCAAGTCATTCATTCTCCTGAAGCCTCGATCTTTTCTTGTATAAAATAGAGATAATGACATCCTTGCATTACAGTCAATGCATCTGACTTGCCTATCTGTTCAGAGATTTAAGTGAAGCAAAAAGACAATAATGTGAATGATTGTGATCACCGTCACATAGTAGGTGCTGAAGAATTAGCTAGAAATACAAACTTAGGAAAGCACAAAAATATGCAAACAAAGAACTGTGAACAGAAGTGCACCCAGATGATAAACTAAGTTTTTATTCAGGGGTAGCACTATAGTTGTTATTGCTATTTTAGTTCGACTTTCCAACATTTTCTCTAATGAATATGTATACATTTTAGAAAGAAATAAAAATCAAAAGCACCGTGTTGATGGCTGCACAAATCTATAGATATAATAAAATTGCACAGGAACACACACACACACACACACTGGTGAAATCCCAATAAGACCTGCAGATTGTACCAATATCGATTTCCTGGTTTGATATGTATGACAATTATGTGGGATGTTACCACTGGGGAAAGCAGGAGATGGGTACACAGGCCTTCTCTGTATTTTTTTTTTTGCAACTTCCTGTAAGTGTATACTTATAAATAAAAGTTTAAAAACACTTTTTATTTATCGAACTAATCTGAGAGGGATCAAACAGTAGCTGCTCAAATGTTAATTCAATACATGAATGGATGGAGGGATGCATTCTTGATATTCCTACTTCTTTATTCATAAGTAAATTCCATCATGCTATAGACATGGTTGACGCTACTTTTCTCTGATCATGAGCTTTTGGCTTGGGAACAAGAATCTCTATCTGGAAGAATCATGGACACATTTTTGTAAATGCCAACTACATCACCTTTGAGAACAGACATTTTGTCCATGGTGATTCCAGACTACGGCTACAATGGGTGTCACAGAAGCATTCTTATAGGCTTAAAAAATCATTCCCTAAGGCAGAGAGTGGTGGCTCATGCCTGTATTCTCCGCTACTTGGGAGACTGAGGTGGGAGGATTGCTTGAGCCTGGGATGTCAAGGCTGCAATGAGTCATGATCATGCCACTCCACTCCAGCCTGGGCAACAGAGTGAGACCTTGCCAAAAAAAAAAAAAAAAGTCCTTCTCTGTAAGGCCAGAAGGGAGTGGATTGCCATCTGCTAGTGCATTGGATCTCAGTGCAGAATGGGAAGAGAAAACCAACCCAGCCATTGCTTTGGATATAACAGACCCCAAACGTAATAAAAATTGTGTTTATATGTTTCATTAGATAAATAAAGCTGACTTTGAGGTTGCTTCAAACCAAAAGTGAACTGAAACCAAGTTGACTGTACTTGGGGCAAAAAAGTAAATGCAATAGTGGCTGTCAATTTTGAGTGTCTCCTATAATAATATAAGCAGGGGCACTGCATATATAACGTCTTCTAATGTGGCCACGACCCTATGAGACACATACTCTAATCCAACCATGATCCTATGGAATACATAATCTAATCTGACCATGACTCTATTGTATATATATTCTAATCTGACTGTGGCCGTATGATATACATATCCTTAATTCTGTTTCATAGAGAAATAAAATATGGCTTAGAAGTTCAGTAACAGGAATTAGGGCATGACGATTAGTTAAGTAATGCTGCTGTAACAAATGAACCTTAGAATATCAGTGGTTTAACACAGAAAAAGTTTATTTCTTGTTCACACAACAGTCCCATGTGAATGTCCAAGAGATGCGTGGCTTCACATTTTCCGCAAAGGGCTTCCAAGGTAGGTGTGATGGTTAATATTGAGTGTCAACTTGATTGATCCTGGGTGGGTGTGTCTGTGAGGGTGTTGCCAAAGGAGATTAACATTTGAGTCAGTGGACTGGGAAAGGCAGACCACCCTCAATCTGGATGTGCACCATCTAATCAGCTGCCAGGACAGCCAGAATAAAAGCAAGCAGAAGAACATGGAAAGACTAGACGAGCCCTAGCTCCAACACTGGGGATTACAATTCAGCATGAGATTTGGGTGGGGACACAGAACCAAATCATCTCAAACACTTTGATGGCCTCAGTGACCTGAAACACAAAGGCCAGTTCCACCCTTCTGAGATGCAAGTGGGAGAAAAACACAACCACTTCTGGCTTTTTGTTCCTGGGATCGAGTGGACGTGGGCAGGGGAGGGGCAGGAGGACGTGCTTTAGTCTTTGTTGTCAAGTCTACAATCAGCTAAATAAATATGTAAATAAAATGAACATGCAAGGTAGTGTTTTTTGTTTGCTTATTTTCCTGGCAGCTTGCCCTGCTTCATAGGAATAAGCAGAGCTGCTATGGGTGAAGGGTCTGAGAGGAAGGGACTGGAAAGAGGATGGGAAGCACATGTATAACCCCACATACAGATTTCTTTTTTTTTTTTTTTTGAGACGGAGTCTCGCTCTGTCACCCAGGCTGGAGTGCAGTAGCGCGATCTGGGCTCACTCCAAACTCCGCCTCCCAGGTTCACGCCATTCTCCTGCCTCAGCCTCCCGAGTAGCTGGGATAACAGACGCCCGCCACCACGTCCGGCTAGTTGTTTTGTATTTTTAGTAGAGGTGGGGTTTCACCGTGTTAGTCAGGATGGTCTCGATCTCCTGACCTCATGATCCTCCTACCTCGGCCTCCCAAAGTGCTGGGATTACAGGCATGAGCCACCACGCCAGGCCAGATTTCTTTTCTTATCTGAGATGCCTTCCTCCATTCGTCCCATTATAAACCCCTGTGGAGCTCCTAGGTCCTCGAAGAGCCCAGTTTGGGGAACACTGGCCTCTAAAGCTCCACCCTCACCCATCTCTGTGGTTTATGTTTCTTTCTAGCATGTTCTTAATCATGAATTCTTCTTTGCCGAGCAGTCTGAATAAGGTAATGCACGCTTCTCAATCTTTATCCTCGAGGACTAACTTAACTTTGGGTTTGTCCAGCCCTACACTTAAGCCTGGAGTGGCCATTAGCCGCAAGTCACTATTTAAATAAAAATTAATTAACAATAAATATAACTAGAAATTCTTTTTCTCAACCCCGCTAGCCACACTGCAAGTGCTCCTAGCTGGATATGGCTATCCATATCAGCAGTGCAGACACAGACCATCATTGAAGAAAGTGCCACTGGGCAGAGCTGGCCAGTCCACTGAAATAGTCCTGTTGGTGTTAGAGGACAGAGGTGGTCATCACAGGATGCTCTTGTATTCCCTTGATGGCTAAGAGTTGATGAGTGATTCCAGAATTATTGTGCATGGAGATTTGGTTTCATGGAATTTTCCATTAAGTAGGGGCAACTGTGGGTTAGTGAAATGAGAACCTGCCTAGTTATTCTAAAGCCTTGCCTGTTCAGAATTGAGGGACATTCTACAAAGCACTTGACCAGTACTTCTCAAAATTGTCAAGGTCATGAGAAAACAAGGGAAGAGTGAAAACTATCACAGACCGGAGGAGAGAAAGAAGACTTGACGAATAAGTGTAATGTGGTTCCCTGCATAGATCCTGGAAGAGAAAAACGACATTTGGAGAAAAACTGGCCAAATCCAAGTAAAATGTGAGATTTAGTTAATAGCAGTGCAGCAAAGGCCATTTCTAAGTTTTGACAAATGAACCATGTAATGCAAGATGTTAACAGTAGGGGAAACTGGGCAAAGAAACTCTCTGTACTATTTTTGCAACTTTTCAATATATCTAAAATTATTCCGAAATAAATCAAGTTTTTTTTAAGTAGTGAGATTTTAATTTCTGACTCTGTCAGTTACCAATGGTGGTGCCCTAAGCAAGTCTCTTTTCACCCTTCTGCTTCTCTTCTTTTCATCAGTAAAATATGAAGAATAGCATCTGCTTCAAAACACTGCATGAGCTGATAAACGCACCTTGAAAACTTGGAGGCAACATAGACGTTTGAGTATTGTTTTTTTTTTTATTATTATACTTTAAGTTCTAGGGTATGTGTGCACAACGTGCAGGTTTGTTACATATGTATACATGTGCCATGTTGGTGTGCTGCACCAATTAACTCATCATTTACATTAGGTATATCTCCTAATGCTATCCCTCCCTCCTCCCCCGACCCCACAACAGGCCCTGTTGTGTGATATTCCCCATCCTGTGTCCAAGTGTTCTCATTGTTCAATTCCCACCTATGAGTGAGAACATGAAGTGTTTGGTTTTCTGTCCATGTGATAGTTTGCTCAGAAGGATGGTTTCCAGCTTCATCCATGTCCCTACAAAGAACATGAACTCATCCTTTTTATGGCTGCATAATATTCCATGGTGTATATGTACCACATTTCCTTAATCCAGTCTATCATTGATGGACATTTGGGTTGGTTCCACATCTTTGCTATTGTGAATAGTGCCGCAATAAACATATGTGTGCATGTGTCTTTATAGCAGCATGATTTATAATCCTTTGGGTATATACCCAGTAATGGGATGGCTGGGTCAAATGGTATTTCTAGTTCTAGATCCTTGAGGAATCACCACACTGTCTTCCACAATGGTTGAACTAGTTTACAGTCCCACCAACAGTGTAAAAGTGTTCCTCTTTCTCCACATCCTCCCCAGCACCTGTTGTTTCCTGACTTTCTAATGACCACCATTTTAACTGGTGTGAGATGGTACCTCATGGTGGTTTTGATTTGCAAAAAGCAATGACAACAAAAGCCAGAATTGACAAATGGGATCTAATTAAACTAAAGAGCTTCTGCACAGCAAAATAAACTATCATCAGAGTGAACAGGTAACCTACAGAATGGGAGAAAATTTTTGCAATCTACCCATCTGACAAAGGGCTAATATCCAGAAGCTACAAAGAACTGAAACAAATTTACAAGAAAAAATCAAACAACACCATCAAAAAGTGAGCAAAGGATATGAGTATTGTGAACATGATAGGTGATGCCATGGTTTTACTCTGATGCTAAGAGAGTGTATTGAGCTCTGTGAGGTTATATGGCTTGATTCTTGCCCTTGGGGAGCTTCCCATGCATTTAGTAGGGACTTTGAAGCTACAGGAGACACAGGAGGAAAGCAGTTGAGCTCACTGAGCACCTCCCTTGTGCCGAACACTGGGCTAGATCCTCTTCCCTGTGTGAAATCATGAGACCCCTCCAGACTCCATGTGGTAGGTGCTGTTCCTGTTGGCAGAGGAGGCTCCGCAGCTCCAAAAGAGAAGTGGAAGTGGCTCCACCCTCTTTCTTTGTTTGCCCCTTGACACCTCACCCTGCTCCCTTCATGGCCACCCTTATGACCAACTTCTCATGACACCTTTGTCCAATTCTGTTCCTGGAGAGTGGGAGGGGACATATTCTCATTGGGGAGGAGCATGGAGGTTGGAGCCAGTGTTTGTGTCCAATGTCCTCCATCTGTGTTGTGTCATGTGCCTTTGGGCCCAATTTCACTGACCTTCCCATCTCCTAACCTGTCAGTGAGGCTGTCATCACTGTCCTTTTTCTCAGATTATTCTTGGAAAGAGTGTTGCTTTCCACAGGAAAAGCCCTCAGGCAAGGTGAGCCCTCAAGGTGGGAGCTCTTGGGGTCAGGAGGATCATTCCTGCTCACCTGCAAATCCCATTGCCTTCCTGTTTCTGCTGATTCAGACATGCTCTGTCCTTAAAATGGAGTTTCTCCAAGTTTTATCCTGTGATTGATACTTAAGAAATTTCAAAACTCTTCAACAGCATCCCTGGGTCAAATTCCACCCCAGAGAATGTGTGCATGTATGTTACATGTGGCAGTGGCCTATGTGTGTGAGTGTATATGTGTGTGTGTGTGTGTGTGTGTGTATACAGATACATGCTATTAAAAAAAATGTACCCTAAAGGAGACATCTGCATAGTAATAGCATTGAACGCTGAAGAGAATGTGGGCTCAGGCCTTACTGCCTCTGGGCATTGGCCATGTGACCTTTAGCAGGTCCTTCCCCTTCCTCAACCCCCATTTCCTCTTGTATACAATGGTGGCTGCTATGTTCTAAGACTGCTGGGCCATTAGACTGATCTCATGATAGGTTCAGTCTGCAGTGGGGCTTCTGGCACAGCACTGTGGGGGAGGTTAATAAGAAGTGATCTCCACCCTCTGATTTTACTCTCGGCCAGGTCCAACCATGGCAAGCCAAGGAAAGGCAATGTTGTTTCCTAAGGTGTTGCGTTTCATTTGACTCTCTCCTGAAATCGCTGCTGGGGTGAATGTCTGGGTAAAAGTGGTGCCAAGGGAAGGTCCAGTCTTCACTGGATGGGCTGCAAAGGGTCCTGGGCAGGAGGGGAACCCAGCTGTGTTCTCGGGCCATATCAGGGTTCCTAATCTCTTGGTTACACCGCCTCTCCGAAAGTGAAGACAAATGAGACTGAGAAAAGATTAGAGGCAGATTGCAAAGTCCTCCAGGCCATATTAGGATCTTCCTTCTGGTGCCAATGAGAAAGATCCCAACATTTCTTGTGACCCAGAAGTGATCTTAATAGAACTGTTTTCGAAAAAGTTTAACTGACTGCAATGAGGAAGATAGATTGGCAGTTGCTCAAATATAACCTTATAATAATAATAATAAACTCTTGGTTTTGTTTAATAACTACAATTGTGTCTGAATTCACCTCCCTATGAAACAGCAGATGTAAAAGAGCTTTGTGAAAGTGAAGAAGGTTATACGAATGCAAGGTTATTATTAATATGGTATTAGGTTATTGCTTTACATGGGGACAATTTCTTTGTTCTTGGAAGACTTTGAATAGAGAAAGGGTTTCTCCATTGTTCAGCATTTGCTATTAGGGATGAAATTGAACTGGTTTAAAATTAAACTCTTGTTCCAATTTTAATGTCTTATGTAATACCGGGATTTTTTTGTTTACAATTTATTCCTGTTTCTGCAGGTGCTCCATGGGGTAGGATCCTGCACCTGAGAACGATAGCATTAATTTTGACAAAAAGGGTTTAAAAATATAAATGTCATCGTCTCCGGCGTAGTGAAGGTGGCAATGGATGACAGAAGGGCATTCTAGGATGGTGCTCCAAAATAGAATTCCAGATGCCTCCTGAATGTTCCCAGAGTACAGGCAGCCGTGCTGGCCTCATTTGCTCAGCCAAAGTATTCTGTTATTTAGAAACTTTCTGTGAGACTGGATGGTGTAGTGTAGGGTCAAGCAGACTGTTCATTACCTTTGCTGTCTTCTAATTGAATGGCTTTGGACAAGCCTCCTAACTTCCCTAAGCCTCAGTTTCCCCAGCTATAAAATTGAAAGATGGGAATAAGTTAAATTAGTTAATATTTTCAAAAAATAAAAATAAAAGACAAGCTCCACGAGGTCAGGGACTGCATTATTTTTGTTCTCTTTTCATCCCTATGCCCATTCTGTGAAGAGTTCACAGCCCTGAGGATCACCTGCATGCCACATTGATGCTGGTTTCCGGGGAAAACTTCCCAGCCCGTGGGATAGGATACTGACATGGAAACTTCCTGGTTGGCTCCACTCGATCCAGGTAAACAGACTCCAGAACCATCACCACCATTATGTCTCCCCAACACACGTGGGCCTAGCTCTCTACCTGTTAGCCCTGCTGTCTTCATCTTGCTCCCAGCAGCCCTCCCCGGACTCCTGTGACAGCCCGGGAGCCACCATCCCTATGTGCATGTAGAAGACAAGGAAGTATTCATCCACCAAGTCTGAAAGTTGTACCCATTGCTTCACTTGCATGCTGGTTGGAACTCAGGCAGGTGGACATCACTACCTATGGCAGTAGTTGACAAATGTCATTTCACTCTATGGCCAGGAAGAAGAGGAGACAGGTTTTGGCAAACAGCTAGCACTCTGTTTTTACACAGCTGATAAAGACATATCAGACTGGGAAGAAACAAAGTTTAGTGGACTTACAGTTCCACGTGACTAGGGGTGCCTCACAATCATGGCGGAAGGTGAAAGGCACATCTCACATGGCAGCAGATAAGAGAAGAGTGCTTGTGCAGGGAAATTGCCCCATATATAATCATCAGATCTCGTGAGACTTATTCTCTTTTTCTTTTATTTATTATTATTTTTTGAGATGGAGTCTTGCTCTGTTGCCAAGCTGGAGTGCTGTGGCACAATCTTGGCTCACTGCAACCTCTGCCTCCTGGGTTCAAGCAATTCTCCTGCCTCAGCCTCCTGAGTAGTTGGGCTTACAGGTGCACACCACCACTCCCAGCTAATTTTTGTATTTTTAGTAGAGACAGGGTTTCACCGTGTTGGCCAGGATGGTCTCAATCTCTTGACCTTGTGATCCGCCCGCCTCGGCCTCCCAAAATGCTGGGATTACAGGCTTGAGCCACAGTGGCTGGCCACAGACTTATTCTCTATCACAAGAACAACATAGGAAAGACCTTACCCCATGATTCAATTACCTCCCACTGGGTCCCTCCCACAACACATAGGAATTCAAGATGAGATTTGGGTGGGGGCTCAGCCAAACCATATCACACTCTCACCATAGATTGGCACCATCATATTTAAAAAATTTTCTCTCTGGTACATATAATTTTTTATCTTTTATTGAAATGTCAACTTATAGTTCCCTGATTACCACAGAGGTTGGTAATTTGGACATTATTTACCATTCATGTGTCTTCTTGTGGGATTTGCCTGTTCATGACAGCTGTCCCTTTAAAAAAAATTAGCTTAATTGCTTTTCCATGTTAATTTGAAGATTTGTTTTGTTTTGGCATTACAGATATTGATACTTGTTTGGTTATATGTTTTCAAGGATCTTCTGAATTGTGCTTTGTCTTTTGTACTTTGCCCAGGATGCCTTTCTCTTCAATAGAGAGCCCCTCCACCACCTCAATCCATGCTGTGCACTCCGGCCCTGCAGGACATCCTTGGCCTTTGCAGCCTGATGTGCTCCTTTCTGCCGCCAACTTTCACACACACTGCTCCTTCCACCCAGAATGACTTCCTTCTTCCTCACTTGGCCCAGTTGAACCTTACCTATTTGCCAGATCTCAGCTTAAACGTGGCTTCCAGAGGGAAGCCCTCCATGCCTCCCTATTCCCCACCCAAGTATAGATCAGGTTCTTTAGTTACCTGCTCTCTTGGAACCATGATTTCAGAGCCCTGTCTCAGTTAATAATTGTAGATTTGACTGGGTTTCTGTTGTTTAGAACAGTGTCTGCACCTAGTCAGCACTCCATAAATATTTCTTAGGTGAATAAATATAGACTGAGTATCACTTATGCAAAATGCTTGGGATCAGAAGTGTTTCAAATTTCAGATTTTTTCAGATTTTAGATGCTTTATATTTATTGGGGGAGCATCCCAAATCCCAAAATCTGAAATCCAAAATGTTCCAGTGAGCATTTCTGTTGAGCATTATGTCAGTGCTCCAAAAGCTTGATTTTGGAGTATTTTGGATTCTGGATTTTTAGATTTGGAATGCTCAACCTGCATATGTCTCTCAGCACCTCAAGAACACAGACATAATATATGTTTAGTAATCTTTATCACCGTCACACAACACAGTGCTGGGGCCTTGTCCTTACAGAGACTCAATGAGTAACTAATGAATAAGTAAATCTCATTTTTAGTAGATCTGGTATACTAGGGCACTCCAGAATATTTTTAAATGAATGAATGTATGACTATATAATATCCTACAAAACTCAGATTATAGTAGGAGCACAATATATGTCTCCCCAGTCTTTCTTAAGTGAATATGGCCTCTCCTGACTCACAGTTACATTAGAACATATTGTAACAGCAAATAACACTTTTTCAGTGTGTGTATGTCTTAGGTACCAAGCCGTATTAATCAGGATAATGCATGATAGATGCTGTAACAAACACAACCAAATTGTGGCTTAATTCAATAAAAATGGTTTAATATATGCACACACACACACACATACACACACACAATTTCCCATTCATTTCACAGTTCAATGTAGGTCAGGTGGCTTTCTTGGTTGTCTTCCTAACCGGTGACTTAGGGATCTGGATCTTCTCCAGTGCACGGCCCTGATGTATAGAAGGAAGAGAGTGAGTAAGCTAAGGCTCCAGTGGGAGATTCTAAAACACAGACATAGCCTTGCATACATCTCCTGGGGCCACTGTCTATTAGCTGGAACTAGTCACATGGCCACAATATAAGTGCAAGGGAAGTTGGGAATTGTAGTCTTCTTGTACCAGAAAACAGAAAAAGTATCGGGGAGTGTCCAGCCAGACTCTGCCAGAAAACTAAAATGTGTTTAGAAAAAGCAGAACCTTTTCCTCTGCAACTCCCTTTTCCCCCTGAGTAGCATGGCCCAGTGAAGAAATTGAGGGCTTTGGGATCAGAGACAAAGGAGTTTGAATTTTACTTCTCCGCTCCCTACTGCAGATGATTTTGTGAACTTGGTAAGTCTTTTAACCCTTGCAAGTACTACCCAGGTGAGGCTAAATAGGACTCAGATTTGGGTCTTGTTTATACCAGTCCACAGAGGTCTTAGTCAGTTTGGGCTAGGTGGCTTATAAAGTACAATAATCTATTTCTCACAGTTCTGGAGGCTGGAAAGTCCAAGATTCAGGCATCAGCAGATTTGGTGACTGGTGTGAGCCTCCTTCCCTGGTCCTTAGGAGGTGACTTCTTGCTGTGTCCTCACAGGGTGGAGGGATCAGGGGTCTCTCTGGGTTCCCTTTTAGAAGGGCACTAATCCCATCCATAGGGGCAGAGCTGTGATGACCTATTCACCTCCCAACGATGCCACCTCCCGGTATCATCAACTTGGAGGCCAACATTTCAACATATGAATTCTGGGGGGACACGAACATTCACATGGGTACAAGTGCCTTTTCCTGGTCTCAGCTAGGCTGGCTGCACAGGGCTTAATGGGAACGCTGGCCTACACAACATGCTCCCATTGTGCCATTTTAAACTGGCTGTGTTGAGAGGAGCTCATCCGACAATGTACATGAATTATCTTTGCTTCTTTGCTGCTACCATAAAATGCCTGGAAACCAGACCTTTCCCAAATTCCAGCTTGATGACAGGCCCCATTCTTTTTCTGTTTGTTGACATTGTATGGCTTGTTTTCTACCAGTGCAGCCATTGTGGCTGGCTCCCCTGGGGTTGGATGTTTTATTTTCCTTTGGCAAAGCTTCCTCCATTCTTTTCCCCACTGTAAGAGCCTGGCAAAAAACAGGCTTCAGTGAAATGGCCATCAGATCACTGTGCGCCTTGGCCCTGCTTGGCTATTTGTCTCTGGGGCACCTGTCAATTCAATTAAACAAGGTCAAAGCTGTGTTGGCTAAATGTATTATCATCACTTTTTAAATTTTTCACCTTATTGTAGGAAGTGGTAAGGGCATGAATTATAATTTAATTTCAAATCTCAATAACATACAAACACATAGAAATATAGACACATCGCCCTTCCACCCATACATACACACACAAAGAAAATAAACTGGAAGAAAACATGCCAAAAAATTTATAGTTGTTATCTCTGAGTAGTGGGGGTTTTGATTATTTTATTTGCTTATCTATATTTTTCTATACTTTGCACATTTTCCAAAGTGGGCTATTATTATTTAAAGTCTCAGCAGAAAATACATGTCATTCTCAAAGATTAACTGAAGAGCGTTTAGTGAAGCGGCTGTTGACAGGTCTCAGGGTTAAGGCTGCTGTATTAGTCCTGAGAGGTTAAATCATACGACAGAAACAACAACAACAAAACACCCAAATCTCGGGCGGGGTATGGTGGCTCATGCCTGTAATCCCAGCACTTTGGGAGCCCGAGGAGGGCAGATCACTTGAGGTTAGGAGTTCAAAACCAGCCTGGCCAGCATGGTGAGATCCCTGTCTCCACCAAAAATACAAAAATTAGCAGGGCATGGTGGCACACGCCTGTAATCCCAGCTACTCGGGAGGCTGAGGCAGAAGAAACCCTTGTACCCTGGAGGGGAGGTTGCAGTTAGCCGAGATCGTGCCACTGCACTCCACCCTGGGTGACAGACTGAGACTCCATCTCAAAAAAAAAAAAAAAAACCACCCAAATCTCAGTTTAATTCTTGCTCATTATGTACATGTTTAGTAAATAGTCTATGTTCTTCTTCACATTCTTTTTTTTTTTTTTTTTTTTTTTTGCCTTCTTTCTGGGGTATTGACTAATGGACCACCCTCTCTCTGGAATGTTGCTGGTCATTGTGAAAAAAAGAGAAAGAGAGCTCTGGTAGAAGCACAATATATATGTATTCCTGCACTGGCAAAAATGCTCCAAGCATATTCATATTGTCCTAGTAGACGATGAAGAAATCAGGAAGCACACTCCTTCCTAGTATCAAGCAGAAAGAACCCAAACATTGGGCAAAACAACCCTGATAACCAGCAAGAAAATAGCAAGAGGCAATGACACATTTTGTGACTAGCAATAGTGGGAAGCTGTTGGTACCTTTGAGTCTGCTTTGAGTCTGAACCTGTTCCTGGAGCCTAGCAGGGGAGTGATCTCCATGGCATGTGGTAGTGAAGCACAGTGACTGCCAAGCCAAGGCTGTCAGGGAAGAGGGGTGTCACCTACTTCTCCTTCCTTCTGCAATCTGATCTTCTGATGATGCGTCCCTTTAAGAGAACCTGATCGGAATCCAGGGGACATGGAAGCCTAGGTAACATAATCAATATGATCAGCCTTCTTGGACACCTGACAGGGCAGAAAAAGTAGAGAGGATCTGGAGGGACAAAAAATAAACAGTACAAGCTGGTATTAGTTGTAATCAGAAAATGAGGTGTTATTTATATAAAAATGAACCTCAGCAGACTAGAAATCAAGCAGCATCAGTGAACTTATTTTTACAGCCACGATTCTGAGCTAAACCTATGCTCAGCTTCAGGAATGTGGAGATGTTATCAGACATGGCCTGAGGCTCCCTGAAGAAGAGAGACATGTAACCAACAACTAAAACACAGGTAGTGGGTGCTATCTAAGAAATGTGGACAGGGGCCGGCCACGATGGCTCACATCTGTAATCCCAACATTCTGGGAGGCTGAGGCAGGCAGATCACTTGAGATCAGGAGTTCAAGATCAGCTGGCCAACATGGTGAAACCCTGTCCCTACTAACAATACAAAAATTAGCCAAGTGTGGTGGTGTGTGCCTGTAATAGCAGCTACTCGGGAGGCTGAGGCAGGAGAATCCCTTGAACCCGGGAGGTGGAGGTCTCAGTTAGCTGAGATCGTACCACTGCACTCCAGCCTGGGCGACAGAGCGAGACTCTGTCTAAAAAATTAGAAGATTAAAAATTAAAAAAAGTTAAGAAATGTAGACAGGGTCCTTTGAGAGTCCTTTGTGGTGACATGTCTGTTCATGTCAAGGTGTACCAGGGTAAACCCACTTCCCTTTCTGACATTTGGATTTCCTGTCTGCGGAGTAAGCCTCGTTAATTCCAGGCTCAGAGCTATGATCCACCCAAAAACACTCCATTCCTTGTCCTAAGAAGGCAAAGTATTGCTTGCCTCTCTAGGTTTGAATATTTACTGAGATTAATATAAGATTATGCATTCCCTTGATTCTGATTCATTTCAGCTCATCTTGATTTGGAGAGGGTTTGGAGGTCATGGCCCTGTGCTTATTTGCTTATCTGTCCACATAGGCATGTGTGTGTAAATGTACACACACAAACCCATACATAGTTCCTCTTTACTACTGCTGCTCCTCCACTTAGCAAACATGAAACACATCTTTCTGGTGCGTTATAGAAAAGGCTGGGAGGGGCTGGTTTTACTACATTAACTGAAGATGTGCTTGTGATGAATTATGAATGACCTAACATGTCTTAAATCATAAAGAAATCCAATTTAAGTTTCTACACACAGTTCAAAGTCTGCATTTAATCTATACTTTGCTCAAATCTATTGTGCATCTTAGTAGGTTTTGCACAGAGAAATGAGAAGCAAAATGTTGGGGTTTTGCATCAAGCAGATATTGACTAATACTTTCTGTTGCTTTTCATAGAGAAAGATCTCTTTTTCATTTTCCTCTTTCTCTCTGTGTGTGTACATTTAATATCCAGTAGCAATAAATAGCACATCAGCCCAAGAGAAGAAGCCAACTGCTATCTTTCATTCATTTCCACTGATGGTATAGATCTAGAAGACTCCTAGGAGGGAACAAAGAATCCAGTGCCTTTCTGTTGGCACATGTTCATTTCAACAGAAACCCTTCTGTTTTAACTGTGTCTATTAAAGTCTCTTCTTTTTTGTGAGGGATTGGAGTGGGGAACAGTTTCCAGCACTTAGAATTTAGTAAAGAATAGAGCAGTCATTCATAAATTCCATCTATGAAGTGTTTGGCTTTTTTAATAGTTAAATTCTTATGTTGAGATAATTGCAGATACACACACAGAGTCTCTCTATATTATATACGATACAATATATAAATATAATATACTAATATATATTATAATATATAGTATATATTATTATATATAATATATTAGTATATATTATTATATATATTATATATTACACACATAGCATATTATATATAATAATATGTCACATATATAGCACTTTACATATAATTATATATAATATATAAATATATATCATGGCTGGGCATGGTGGCTCACTCCTGTAATCCCAGCACTTTGGGAGGCCAAGGCAGGTGGATCACCTGAGGTCAGGAGCTCGAGACCAGCCTGACCAACATGATGAAACTCCATTTCTGCTAAAAATACAAAAAATTAGCCGGGCATAGTGGTGGGCACCTGTAATCTCAGCTACTCAGCAGACTGAGGCAGGAGAATTGCTTGAACCTGCGAGGCGGAGGTTGCAATGATCTGAGATCGTGCCATTGCACTCCAGACTAGGCAACAATAGTGAAACTCTGTCTCAAAAATAAATAAATAAGTAAAAATAAATATATAATATGTATGCTATATGTATTATTATATATGTTATATATTATATGTTACATATATTATATATGTTATATATATATATACACTACATATGTTTTTTATATATATATATATATAATATATACAGAAACTCAATGTATACTTTAGCCAGTTTCCTGACATGGCTATGCAAAGAGTTCTTGAATTTAATTAAAAAATGTAATATATAAAAGGAAAAGTTGATAAATCATTACTCTTCAAAATTATAAAATTTTGTTTCATGAAAGACCCCATTAAGAGGATGAAAACAAGAGCTATAGACTGGGAGAAAATATTTGCAAACCAATATCTAATTATATAGAGAAACTCCATGTACACTTTAGCCAGTTTCCTGACATGGTAACATCTTGCAAACTACGGTACAATATTACCAACTGGGTTTTTGGCTTTCGTATGACCTACAGATCGTATTCAGATTTCCCATTTCATTTGTACTCATTTTTGTGTAAGTATGTGTGTACTTTGTTCTATTTTGGTAATACGTGTAGGTGTGTGTATCTACCACTACAGTCAAGACCTAGAACAATCCATCATCACAAAAATTCTGTTTTGCCATTTTATAGCTACATCCATTCCCATGACCCTCTGCCATTTCTGCTATCCCTAACACTTGGTAACTACCAATCTCTTCTCCATTTCTATAATTTGTTTATTTCAAGACCATTACGTAAATGAAATTATACTGTATGTAACCTTTGAAAATGGGCTTTTTTCACTTAGCATAATTCCTTGGAGAGTCATCCAAGCTGTTGCATATATCAATAGTTCGTTCCATTTTATTGCTTAATAATATTCCATGATGGTATTGATGTATCACAGTTTATTTAAACATTCACTTATTGAAGCGCAGTGGGGTATTTTTTTGGCTATTAGGAAAAAAATTGCTGTAAATATGTATGTGCCCATTTTTGTGTCAACACACGTTTTCACTTTTGTGGGATAAATGCCCAAGAGTATAATTGTACAGTAGTAATTGCATATTTGGTTTTATAAGAATCTGCCAAACTATTGTCCAGAATGTTTGTTCCATTTTACATTCCCACCAGCAATACATGAATAATTTAATTTCTCCATATCCTTGCCAGCATTAGATGTTGTCACTATTTTTTATTTTAGCCATTCTTGTAGGTGTGTAGTGATAGCTTACTGTGGCTTTGATTTGCATTTCCCTGATGACTAATGATGTTGGACATCTTTTGATGTTCAATGTAAAACATGCTCTTGGGTGATATGTCTGTTCATGTCTTTTATCTGTTTTCTAACTGGATTTTTTTTTGTTTTTCTTTTTTACTGTTAAATTTTGAAAATTAAAAAAATGTATATTCCAGATATGTCTAGATACGTGGTTTGCAAATATTTTTTCCCAGTCTATAGCTTTTCTTTTCATCCTCTTAATGGGGTCTTTCATGAAGCAAAAGATTATAATTTTGATGAAGTATAATTTCTCAATTTTTCTTTTATATATTATACTTTTGCATTAAATCTAAGAACTCTTTGCCTAGTCCTGGGTCCTGAAGATACTCTCTTTCTTTTTTTCTCCCCCCCAAAAGCTTTACAGTTTCTCATGTTTACATTTATGTCCATAACACATTTTGAGTTGGTCTTTGATTAAGCTGTGAAGTTTTCTTCTGCCTCTGGCCATCCAATTGCTGCAGCACCGTCTGTCAAGAAGGCAATTCCCCTTCCACTGAATTGTGTTTGCACCTTTGACCAAAATCACTGGGCATATTTGTATGGGCTGATTTCTGGGTCTCTAGTCTGTTCCATTGGTCAATGTAGCCGTTCCTCAGACTATATCACACTGTCTGGATCACTCTAGCTACATGGTTAGGTTTAATATTGAGTGGAGTGATTCCTCCCACTTTGTTCTTCTTTTTCAAGGTTGTTTTAGCTATTCTTGGGCCTGTGCCTTTCTACATAAATTGAGAATTAGTTTGTCTATGTCTAAAAAAATCTATATGAGGTGTTTTTATGTGAGAAATGAGAAGCTCTCAGATGGGCAGCAGGGCCATCTTGGATGTCTCACAGAACTGCTGAAGATGAGGCTTATGCAGGGCTTGTCCAGAGGCTGTTAAAATCCTCAAGAGTCTCAGCAAAACTCCTACTAATGTCCTCAGTTGGCTGCACTGAAATAAGTGACTTCTCAAGAAATCAACCTGGACCTACCTTGACCTCCAAGCCACCTCTGTTTCTGCAACTTCTCCTGGGGAGCAATGGTCTTTTGCTCTCCTGCCTTCTTAGTGGCTGATTCGGACCCAGGACCAGGACAGAAGGATGCTCTCCCGGAGGTCCAGAGGGGACCCTGGAAGAGGTGGGAGGGGGACCAGGGTTGACACTTCATGGTTTCACACTGTTAGGGCTAGAGATCTTGTGAATGAGTTGTGAGATTTCTGCATGGTGGACAAAAAGAATTCTTCCTTTAAGGGTTCTTCTCACAGAGCACAGTTTGCCAAGGGATAGAGGTATCTGGGAGTTAACTCCTAAATTCCAAGGAGTAGGCTCTCCATGTATGGATTCAATCAGTGACTCAGTGGAAAGGTGTATCCATCAGCTAAGGAAGCAGCACAGTTCCCAGTGTAGCTGAACAGACAGGTGGGTGAGCTTGTCATTGCAGTGGTGTCAGAAATGCTGTGAGAAAGGAGGCCAGGCATGCAGGGCATGTGTGTAGGGAGGAAGTGGGCAGGAGGATGCATCTAACCCTGTCTTTGTGCACTGGGGAGATGTTGCAGGAGAAGAAAGTTATCTCCTGGGACCCCAAGGTGCACTGGAGTAAGCAGGTGAACAGGGCATGTAGAACCAAGTATGGAAGGGAGCATCTTCCGTTCTCTCTGAGTGAGAGATTTTCCTGGAACCAAGGAGCAAGGCTGGGATGTGGGTACACTAATAGGCCAGAGTGGAGACGCCAGCACTCTTGTGTCAGCTCTTACAGTGTCATGGGGAGCTGTGTGACAATCCCAGACTTCCAAGAAAAAGCAAGAGTAGGTTGATTCTTTTGGTTCTTTTCTGTACCTGAGTTCTATGAACAAAGCACTATGTGTTTTCAAAACAGCCAGTAGCTTATGTAATATAGCACTTCTCCCTCCCAACCCCTAGAACCCACCAGCACCCTTTACAGCTCGAGTGAAGACTGAGGAGTCTCCTCTGACAAAAAAATAATATTGCAGATTGCACTTGTTTTATCCAAATGAAATATTTCTTTATCACGTACAGCTCTCACATGAATGACACGTCAGTTCCAATTTGTGACAGGGAGCTAAGTTAATCTGGCTCCAGCTCTTGCAAGGCCACTCAGAGCACGTCCCGGAAAATAATAATGCAATTGTTCAAGTGTCACTGCAGCAGGGCTGGGAACTAGGCTGTCTGTGACTTTGTGCCCCCATGTAGCAAAACTGTCCCAGGTCCATATTATACAAACTGTGCTGGGCAGTGGGACAGCTTTGTGTGGTGGTTATATTTTTTTCCTGGAGGTAGATATGTCCTTCAAGAAGCAGTTGGGTTGGGGGGTCTTTAGCTCCGTGGTCTCAAGCTGTTCCTCAGTGGTCAAGCCAAGGTCCTGGCCTCAGGCATTTCCTCATGGTCTCAGGATGTTCCCTAGTAGTCAAGCCAAGGTTATGGTCTCAGACAGTTCTTTGTGGTCTCAGGGTGTTCCTCAGTCGTCAAGCTAAGGTCTTGGTCTCAGGCAGCTCCTCATAGTCTGAGGGTGTTCCACAGTGGTCAAGCTAAGATCATGGTCTCAGGTGGTTCCTCAGTGGTTACGTCAAGGTCATGGTTTCAGATGGCTCCTCATGATCTCATGTGTTCCTCGGTGGTCAAGTCAAGGTCCAGATCTCAGGCTGTTCCTCAGTGTTCAAGTCAAGGCCATGGTCTCAGGCAGTTTCTCATGGTCTCAGGCTATTCAGCAGTGGTCACACCAAGGTCATGGTCTCAAGGAGGTCCACAGTGGTCAAGCCAAGGTCAGGTTCTCAGGGTGCTCCTCAGTGGTCAAGCCAAGGTCATTTGGTTGGGAGAAAGAGAGGAAATAGTGACCTACTGGAAGCTCCTGGTCAGGTGGGCAGAGCTGTACACAGAGGAAATACCCAGGACGGTAGGTGAAGTCAAGAAAACTGAGGTCATGTAAGGGTCAATTGTCTGGTGGGCAGGTGTTGTGGTTAGTTCAGGGGCTGAGCTGCTCGAGGAAAGGGCTGGTTCTTTTCACCAGAATGTTCAGTGCTAGCATAGAGAAGGGGCTTTGGATAAATCTTGTGACTCCTTCCCTGAAAGGATTATACTCCTGTTTAGTTTCCCAAGGCTGCCCTTATAAAATTATCAAATTGGGTGACTTAAAATAACAGAAACATATTCTCTGACAGTTTTGGAGCCCAGAAGTCTGAAATCAAGGTTTTGGCAGAATTGGTTTCTTCTGGATGCTCTGAGGGAGAATCTGTTCCATGACTGTCTCCTGGTTTCTGGGGGTTGACAGCAATCCTTAAGTTCCTTGGTCTGTGGCTGCATAACCCCAGTCTGTGCCTTGTCTTCATGTGGTCTTCCCCGCTGTGTGTATTTCCCCTTTGTCTTCTTTAATAAGGACACCTGCCATTGGATTTAGAGCTCACCCTATTACACGATGATCTCATCTCAAGATCCTTAATGCAATGACTTCTGCAAAGACAAAAGAAGGTCACATTCACTGGTTCCAGGTGGTCACATCTTTGGAAGGGACACATTCAGCTCACTACAACCTCTAATGGCATCAGGCATGGTTGGCCCTGCTCCTTGCTTTGGTGAGCAGGAGGGATATATGCCTCTTCTTAGCAGAAGCTTTAACTGCCACTGCGTGGACCGGCCATGCTGTATTTCCTCATTATCAAGAGAACAATATATTCAGAAGGGGACTCTTCCATTGGTCTAGAATGAAGAAGATATATACATGGACCTAAGCCACAGACCTTGCAGCCAACAAGTAATAAGAGAAATGTACCTTTGTTAGTGCAAGCCCCAAGGACTCAGGGGAGATGTATTTACCACAACATAACTTTGCAAAAGCTAACTCAGAATATGCACATTGAATTTATGCGGTGTATTTTGGACAAATACACATTTGTGAAGCCCCAAGACACCATCTCAAGTTCAGAAATGGTCTAACCCTTTCTCCTAACATCAACCCTTGTAGTTCTTCTGAGTTTTATTCAGAATAGATTTCTTTAACTTCCCTCTTACTGGTTCTGTTTCCATAAAGATTTAAAAATGGCCATGGGCTTTCAGATGACTGAGGAGCAAAAGAGCCACAAAACCAAAGTAAGGGATAAATAAAAATCCTGAAATGCAAAAAAGTCAAAGACAGTCATGGCCTCTTCTCCAGGGCTTCCCACTCCTTCTGAGATGGTCACTGTGACCCATCACAGCCCTAAGATGACCCTGCCACTGTTCACCCATTCATTTAGTTAAGGAGTATTTACCTGCTCCTACTATGGGAGTTGGGCTGTTCTTGACTCCTCTGTGTATACCCTACATTTATTTTAGATTCCACATCAACCCACACTGACTCAGATTGACCCTTCTCATTCTCCTGCATCCCTACTCCCTTGATTTACGTCCTTATCTCTTACCTGACCTACTTTCAGGGCCTCCTGACAAGTCTTCCTGCCTTAACTCTCACTCCCAGGCACTTGCTAGGCATGGCCAAAACATTTTTTGAATGCCTGCATGGGTCAACCTTCATGCTAGGACCTATAGCCCTATGTTCCTGTGGAAGATACAGACCTGCAAGATGTAAATGCACAAATAGATGAATTTCAAATTACAAAGAAAACAAATGCTGGGCTGAGATGGAAAGGGAGCAGCTATAGTAGCTAGGGGTCAGGGGACCTCTCCAAGTAGGTGATATTTAAATGGAGATGAGAAAGTAGAGAAGGGAGTGTGAAACTTGAGCCAGAAACATAGAGGCTAGGAGTTGCAAGTGGTGGATTGGCTATTGAAAAAACTCCCTTCGGTGACCTGAATAACAAATCACTAACAAACACTGGTATTGCACTCTGTAACATGCCATAGTTCCTTTCCCCATGATCCCTCTCCCAGAGAAGTTTTGACATATTTTGGGTCATTGTTGAGAACATTTGTCATTTTGGGTGCACAGGGTGAAACATTGTTCTGGTTTAGGGGAATCACAAAGAAGGGGGCGGGGAGTCAGAGCTGTGTCTCCCTTCTGACAGTTAGAGTGGAAAATGCATCCCTTCTCCTTTCCCTTGGCTCATGGGAGCTAAGCAGATACTCATGCTCAAAGGTAAGGTGAGCTCATTTATCCTTAGCAATTGATGTGATTTAGCTTTATCCCCAACCAAATCTCATCTTGAATTCCCACATGCTGTGGGAGGGACCTGGTAGGAGGTAATTGAATCATGGGGGAAGGTCTTTCCCATGCTGTTCGCATGATAGTGAATAAATCACATGAGATCTGATGGCTTTATAAGGCAGGGTTTCCCTGCACAAGCTCTCTCTTTGCCAGCTGCCATCCATGTAAGATGTGACTTGCTCCTCCTTGCCTTCCACCATGATTGTGAGGCCTTCCCAGCCATGTGGAACTGTAAGTCCATTAAAGCTATTTTTCTTCCCAGTCTCAAGTATGTCTTTATCAGCAGTGTGAAAATGAGCTAATACAGCAACTGTGAGCCCAGTGGCATAGAAGTGAGGGTGCAGTGGCTCAGGTATTCCAAGAAGATAATTCTGGTGAAAGGGCATTTGCTATGTCCTCCTTTTGAAGCTCTTGCCTGATCCTGATTCTTCTGGCTTCTTGTTAATTTCCATGAGCCTCTCTGTCCTCTTCTAATAAGTTCTTAACTTGCTCAAGTTCACCAAAACCTACTTCTTTGTAATTAACAACTATAAACTCGGACCAGGTGAGTGGCTTGGGGGTGGGGAATGGAGAAGGGGCTATGCATTCAGATCTAGAAAGGTATCTGCAGTGTGTCATGGAAAGGAATGGAATATGGAAGTGGCAGAAATTCAGAACTTTAAAATGTAATCCCTCTGGGAATTTACAGAAATTCTTGAGAAGGGAGACATCAAAGGACTCAGAACAGGGTGCACAGATATTGCCTAGATTGCAAGAAAGTTGATTTATCCTAGATGACATCTGGATTCCAAATAGATGTTTAAGAGCGAAGAAATAAATTAATGGAGGAATGAATGAACAAATGAATGAGCATATGAATTATACACACAATCTTGACACTCAGTGACAGAGATTAATTTCAAATCACAAAGAAAACAAATGGGCTGAGATAAAAGGGAGGAACTATATTAGCTAGGGGTCAGGGGACCTCTCCAAGGAGGTGATATTTAAATGAAAATGAGAGTATAGAGAAGAGAGGGTGAAACTTGAGCCAGCAACTAATCAAACCTCATTGAAAACAGTTGCTTTGGGGGAATGAGTCAGTGGAGGAAAGACCAGGGAGCAGAATGTGGAAAGAGAAGGGTCAAGAATGGAAGAATTGTGTAATTTGTTGTCCGTCTCTCCCCTCAGGAGCAGTCCAGGGAGATGATACAGCTGCCTGGTTGTTGGTCACCAGGGCTGTTGGACACCTGTGTGGAGGACCTGGGAGAAGTCTTTTTCTCCACACTTGCTCCTTTCCTGCCAGGTAAGTTATGCAAACTAGAATCCCCAAGTGACCCTGTCTCTCCTGCCCCTCAAAGTTGGACTACCACATCCTTTCTTGGGTTTTCAATTCAGTTTAATAAATGCAATAACATGCAGAAATTATGAGTGTAAGGATGAAGAATTTCTGCTCTTGTACACACTGTGTAAACACCATCCAGATCAAAATATCAAATGTTTCTATGTCTCTAGAAAGTTCCCTGCTCCCCTTCTTCATTACCTCAGCCCTCAGTTTACCGATTCTAATTTTTCTCACCATTGATTAGTTTTGCACCATCATCTCTTAATGTTTCCTCAAAATATTGAATCTCTCCATGTCTCTCCATTTGTATCACTAACTCCCTAGTCCAAGCAACTATTTCTCACCCTGGGCCGTTGCAATGCCTCCCAGCTGTTCCCTTGCCTCTTCTACTACTCATTTCAATTGCCGTGTTGCAGCAGGAGTCACTTTACCTGCTAAAAACTATTCATCAGCTCTCCAGAAAAGCCTTCCATATCCTATAAGTTGTCCATCCACTCGCACCGACAAACCTCCTCTTGAGTCTTTCTCATTTTGCTTCCTGAATCTTACCCACCTATGTTAACCTTGAACTCTTCCTCCAGAGCACCCACACTAATTCATGTTCACACCTGCCTAAACTCTGAACTCCACTGCCATTTCCTCAGGAAAAGCGACCTATACCTCCTTAATGTGTCAAATTCCCACATCCCATTGCATAACTTCTGCTCCCTTCCTTCATAGCCCTTGTTCCAGTGGTGATTTTATAATCATTTGTGTGATGATTTCATTTATTTATTGTCCATCTTCCCCACTGGACTGTGAAGTGAGGGCCTGGGTCCAGTTCCACTCCTCACTGTATCAGTTCCCCTGTGCACTCTACCATATTTGGTTCAAAGAGTATGCTCAGTAAATACAGTTGAATGAATGAATGAAGGGAGGGAGGAATGAATGACTGAACATGGTTAGGTTCTGGCCTTTATCAGCGGCACAGCAATACTGCCAATTGTCAACCTATGGTGCATGGACCACTTCCCAGGTACCCAATCTCCTTCCATTCTTTCATTCTGTACACACTTACTGAATGCTTCTCTGAGCCAGGTTCTCGAATAAGACAAGCAGATATGGTGCCTGCCTTTAGGAAACGCAGCATGAGAAATCCAACAATGACAATACCATATGGCAGGACTTATCATACAGGTCTGAGAGCCCACCACAGAAGCCCAGTGAAGGAAATCCTTACTCTGTGGGGAGGGCCAGGGGAGGAGCTCTAAGAATGAGTAGTAATTCACCTGAAAAGAATACTGGAAGTGGTGCTTTAGGTGGCAGGAACACCATGGGCAAATGTGTGGAGGGTGGAAATGCATGCCGAGTTTCAGCTCCAGCAAATGGTTTGGCTACATTTCAGCTTGGGTTAGGGACAAGATAATAAGAGTGTCATATACAGAATAGGTGCTTGAAAAATCTTGATAGAACTCCATTAAAAGATACTCCAGGCTTCTCTACTTGACATTTCTATTCAGTGTGTGGTTTATTTAGCATTTGCTTTTTGTGAACTTTGGTTAGTTTTGATATTGCTGGAATTGGCAGTGAAAGGTGTTATAGTACTTTCCACCACAAAGAATGGGAATGGGAGTGCAGGGATCCAGATGGCTCCTTGAGTTACATGGCAGATGATCACCTGAATGCAAGACCTCATCCTGGTGAGGAGGACTTCAATGGCCCTGGTTCTCCACCTTCATGTGGGCAGCATCTGGGCTGTTGGCCCAATCTTGTGAGGATAAAAGCCTTTGCAAAAAGTGGTTGAATATTCATGCAGTGCTTGATAATTAATGAAAGGATTCATGTGCAGCTTAGTTGATGTAAGAGCAAAATAAGAGGTGGGCACATCTACCTAAGGAAAGAACCAGAAATCCAAACAGGATTCCCAAGACATAGTTGGAGGGAATTAGACTCTGTGCCTCAGGTGGATGACCTCATGAAGGATTTTGATGTAAATGTATCGTGGGGAATGAGCAGTGAGTCAGCTAGTGGTTCAAGACATTGAAGTTTGAGTGTCAGCCTTGACACAAGCAGTGCAACCCAGGATAGGTGACTTCTCTACTGTGGGGCTCAGTGTTTACCTGTGAACAACGGGAATCCTTAGAATCTGCATCACAGTTTACTGTTTGTGTAAAACTTACTTTATCACATTGCCCACTGAACTGTCTGGAATAACCGCTGTTCTGCAAATAGTAGCTGCTCCTTGTAGAGATCTTTCACCTCCTTGGTTAGACATATTCCTAGGTATTTAATTTTTGTGTGGCCACTGTAAATGGGATTGTATTCTTGATTTGGCTGTCTGTTGGAATCTTATTGGTATATAGAAATGCTGCTGATTTTTGTACATTGATTTTGTATTCCTAAGGGTCCATTAAAGCTCAGAGTTTTCTCCAGCTGGTGGTAGAAGGGGAAGTCAGGATGATTCCAAGCAAGAAGGATCCCACCCTCAGTTGCTGGCTCTGAGGTGTGGCAGAAGTCCACAGGTGAGCCGCCGAAAGCAACCTCCAGTTGCTGAGAGCTGTTCCGGTCTGACAGTCAGTAAGGCAGCGGGTACTTCAATCCTACAACTACAAGGAACTAAATTCTGATAGTTTGGAAGCATATTTTTCCCTAGAAACTTCGATAAGACCCTGGCCAAGGCTGACACCTTGGTGTAAGTCTTTTGAGTCTCTAAGAGGAGAACCCAGTGGAGCCCATCCAGGCTCCTGACCTGCAGAACTGTGAGCTAATAAATGGTTATTGTTTTAAGCTACTTCGTCTGTGCTAATTTGTTACACGGCACAGGAAAATTAACACACTCAGATAAACCACAAAGCCAAAACATTCCCATTTTACAAATGAGGAAACTGAGGCCCAGCAGGATTGGTCATCTTGCCCAGCATCACACTGTCTATGGCAGGGTGTGGACTTGAACTGCATTCTGCTAAACTCCCAGGGTATCGCTCTGCTGTGCCACACAGCCGTGTGTATTTAAATAGAAGAGCTCTGTGGTATATATTTCTTATTCAAATTACTCAATCGTTTGATCCACTTAGTTATTTAAAGGTGCAGAAATTGCTCAAAATAATAGAGAAAGGAGCATGCAATAGTATTACCTTTGTTGGCACTTAATGGGTAACTTGAGACCGAGCTTTCACGTTAGTTAATTATGTGACGGTGAGTCTAGGAGGCCTGGGCCCACAGGCCTGGTGTCTTTGGCTCTCCTGGCAGATGCAAACATGACAGGCTATTGCTTATTGATCCTAGGCCATGGATTTGGCCTAACTTGCATTATGGCATAATAGCACCCAGTAAATTGTAAGGGAATGGCAAAAGCTAAATGATGATCACATGTAAGCTATTAATGTAATTGTGTTCTTAAAGCCGCCTTCCTTAATTTACTCGAGTGGTGATTTCAGATTGAACTGGAGTCACAGCCCAGGAATAATTCATCCCCAGGCCTCACCCTGCATTTGAGTCAACAGCACATGACACACATGGTGCTTGCTGCTTTATTGTTGAAATCCCATAATCTATGAGGCACTCTTGGTCATGAAGTAGCTCGTTATTAAAATATAATGTTATGTTCACGTGTGATTATTATTTTAATTCAGTGCTCTGTTGACTTATACAAGGTGGCCCACATTCTTTCAGCCTCTACTCTCCATTCTCCTACAGTAAAGTTAATTTATACCAAGATGATAAAAAAAATTTGATTTATTTTACAACAGATCAGTAATTGTGCTCTACAAATAAGTTCGTAATGATAATCAACAGCATTTTCAACATAATTTAATTTGTCTTCTCCCGAGAGGTAGTTAAATGCAGTAATAATAACACCAGTGTTATGGACCCTGCAGCAGTTAATCATGGTCTGAATATGCAGACTGCCCCAATATTGTATTGACAGAAATTAAATTAACCATCAGCTTGGGCAATCAGTGGCTATATAGCTATTAAAAGCAATAAAGGCAACAAACCCCAACCATTGCCAATTACATTTTGACATATACAAGGAAAAGGACAGATGCTTTTGATTTGAGATTTTTATTTCAGTGAAAAAAAGACAGGAGAATAGCACCTTGAACTTACCAAGAGCTTCTTCCCCAAGGTGTGCTGAGCATGAGATGCATTCCCATTGGTGTCCTCTACTGATTGTCTTCTGTTTGTTAAAAGATAAAATAAAATTCAGTGACCAGGAGTCATAGTTTGTAAAATTTTAAGACATTTCTCTGATCTACTTTGCCTTTCAGTGCCCCTAACTCACACAGTTCCCTACTTTTTCATCCTAGCACTGTGGCATCTGACATAAGCACATTATGAGGACTGAGTTTTAAGGGTTAGAGTAAGCAGGGGTTTAAGAAAAGAAGAAGAAACCTAATATTTTTGAGGTTATAAAGACTCAGATTTAACAAACCCAATGATGCTGTGACAAAACATCATTTCACCATTATCTGGGGGAGATTCTGAGCTGGTTTAATTCAGTCCAAGACAAAATAGAGGCGTGAGGTAGTAGGACTTCTTTCTTTCTTTCTTATATTGTTCTCTCCTTTTTTCCTTCTTTCTTTTCTTGTTCCTTTTGTGTCTAGCATGCCACCTACGTTCTTGGGGGAGCTTTTAATCAACCTCAGCCTTTGAATCTGGAAGTTTTCCACATAGGGTTAGTTATATAGGGGTCCTGACTTAGCCATGGAGCCCAGATGGGCTTACCCCTACTGAATGGTCAATGGGTACCATATTGACTGTAGTTGATGGGAGAAGTCTCTTGCTGGACATCGGTAGCAAGGGTGATCAATAAGTCTTCTGGACACTGGCGTTGGGCATAGTACTCTTAAAGACTGGACCATCTGTGGACCTGGGCATGACTCCCATGAAACTCTCTGGTACTAGGAACAGATGGCATTTCGAGTTGGCTGGGTAGGGTCTAAATGCCAACTCTGTCTACATCGCCCCCCTGAGTCCTGTTATTCTAGATCCCCTTGGACCTCTCCTTCCCTGTGACCTGCTGTCTCTCCCCCTCCTCCACCTTGGAGAATATTTGAGGTTGGCTAAGATGCTTGACTTTCATGGTAGACAAAATATTGACCTCCTCTTCCCACAAAAAGAGGTCTATACCCTGATACTCAGAACCTGTGAATATGTTATCTTACATGGCAATGACACTTTACAGATGTGATTAAAGATCTTGACATGAGGGGAAATGTCCTGGATTATCCAGGTAAGCCCAATGTAATCACAAGGGTCTTTAGAAAAGAGAGGGAGGAGGTTCGGAGAGAAGAAAGTGGCATCACGATGGAAGCAGAGGGTGGAAAGGAGATGGGATGACGGTCAGAGTCAGCGAGAGATTTGAAGATGCTACACTGCTAACTTGGAGATGCAGGGATAGGCCATGAGCCAAGGAATGAAGGTGGTCTCCAGAAGCTGAAAAAGACCAGGAAATGGGGATTCCAATTTGCCCTCCAGAGGGAGCACAGCCCTCCTGATATCTTGATTGCAGCCCAGTGCAATCCATGTGAGACTTCTGACCTCCCAAATTGGAAGATAATACATTTGCACTGTTTTAAGCCACTAAGTTTGTGGTAATTTATTGCAGGCACAGTAGGAAATGAACACAGCTCTTTACCTTTTTAAAAACATGTTGCTTGTAAAATATATTATGTAGACTGAGTTCTTTGTATCTTAGATTTTTTAAACCCCAAAACTCAGGTGTTTGCGAGTCCGCAATGTTGGCTTTTGAAACACGCTAGTGTTCTGTCTGCTTTTCTGCCGTGTGATCCTTCTTCTGAGGCAATGGAAGTCACTGAAGGATGGTAGAAAGGACAAAGAGAACAAGGAGAACAAAGACAAAAGAACAAAGAGAACGAGAAAAAGAAAATTCAATCAACCTCTCAAATTGTTTTTCTGGCAGCTCTGGGTGAAAGGTTTCAGTTATATATGATGGGTCCTGAAGGCACTACCTCCCAGCCTACCCTCCTGACCATGCATAATTCTGGGCCTTGCCCTTCTCCAAAGTGTGGAGAGGTGGTTTGGGTAGGACACAGGCAGAGTAACCAATTCAGCTCAGTTTTCCTGGGACTTTCCCATTTTAGTGCTGCAAGTCTTTTGTCCCATAGCTTTCTTCATCCAGGGCAAGGGAGAAGTTGCTCACCTGAGCCACAGGTCATAAAAACCACAGCTGGGAGGCTGTCAGGGCCACCAGGGCCACCAATCACCTGGCATTGTTGTCCTCAAGCTGTGTCCCAAAGAACCTTAGGAAGTCCACTCACCTTCCTCAGGGACCACAGGGGAGGTGGGAGAGTATGTGTGGCAAGGACATAGCTTCGGGCTCCATATTCCTACTTTAAACAGTGACTCTGCTGTATTAGGCTACGTTTTGAACAATGACTTTTGGCTGATAACAATGCAAAACAAGGCAAAATTAGGCTTGAAGAAAACTGATATAGCATGTGTCCATTATAGAGAGGAAAAATGTGAGACCTGGAGAGGGGCAGTGATTCTGGAAGCACCAGGGTTAGAGCTCAGGTGTTCTCACTTCACGTTCATGCTCCTCTTGCAGCTCGTGTCCTTGTCTTGTAGGCCATGTTCCTATACACCTTCTCCAGCTCTGCACTCCTGATGGTGCTTTAGCCAACAAATCCTGCTCTTAGGCAATGTTCCATGAATACATAGGAAACAAGGACTTTGGCTCCTTGGAGCCTGCAGGAAGCAGAATGGTTACTGCAGTCTCTATCAGTTGAAGAAATCTCCAAATTCTTTCCTCCTAGATAATACCTTTTAGAAACTCAATTGCAAAATAAATAGTGTTTCTGGGAATATTAAACCTACTTCATTCACATCTTTGCCACCACTTAAGATCATGGAGCTGGGTCTGGCAGAAAAGAGAGAAAGTGTCCTTGGAAAATATTTTTCAAAAGCGCACTCTGCTATCCGCTGAAGGTATAGTGCTGAGAGATACATCCCTGGCCTCAAGGGGATTGTAATCTAAAGGAATATTCATGCCAATAAACGAGCAATGACAACAGGATAGCCACATTCTGGGCAGCAGAACTCAAAGATGACTTTGGAGTCCAGAGGAAGGGAAGGGATCCAACCTGATACTAGGGCTGGGAGGGGAGGTCATGGAAGATTTCTCAGAGGAAGCTGAGACTAAAACTTGGAAAATGTAAGCCAGGCAAGAAAGATCATCATCCACTTTGATTCCCACAACTGGCCTGGGAGGGAAAGACTCTTCAATTAAGAGAAAATAAAAGAAATTTTCTTTTAATAGACAAGCAAACTGGGGCCCAGAGAATTTGCTTCAAGTCTCTGAATTTGGTGGTTGTGGACTCTGATCAGAACATGGACTTATTCATTCCGAATCCAATGCTCTTTACACTTTGGGAGAGGTAGGGCTTGGCACTGCCTCTTCACGAGGGCACAGGATGGGCAAAAAAGAAAGATGGCATCATCTTTGGTTCCTTGAGGATCAAGCAGACAGCCTTTGAATGGGAGCTGACTTTACTCTTCAAACCAACTTCCCCTGCTTCAAGGATGAGCCCAGGGCTCTGCTGATGGAATTCAGATCTCAAATGGAATTGAGCATTTCTTGGCCCAAACTGATATTATTAGGGGGTCCTATCATCTCTTATACTGCCTGGATTTGCTACACAGAGTATACCAAAAGAAGGCCAACACCCAATCTATTTCAACAAATACCACTTTTACTTTGTTTATTATATATATTTATGTAACTATAGAAATTACACATTATGATTTTGTTTGAGTTTCTACAGAATCTTTGACTTAAAAAAATGTTATGACTTCAATTCTAGGCATTGCTATTCTATGGAAGTTAAAACACTATCTGAAAAATGACCATAACATGGACATTTCATTTAGAAATGGGAATTTGAGGGATTTATAACCTCTGGATTTATGAGCATTAAGAAAAAATACCACAGCCAGCAGAACCTATATAGTTTACAGTTGATATCAGACCGGAAATTTAACATGTGAATCATGTTAAAAAACTTGGGGTTGTGAGTGGAAGAATATAATCTTCTATCTTCCTTTTGAAAAGCCATGTGAACTTGACATTAAATCATTTCAGCTTCTTGAAAGAACAATCAACTAAAATAAAACCTCAAAGAAAATAAAAACGTTAGTGACATTTATACAATTATTGGTCAAACTCAGTTTGATCTTCAATTTAAGAGATTGCTCGGATTCATATATTACAGAGACATGACAATAGTGCAAGTATTTGTCAGTAATAAAGTGCATTTTGAGACCACAGATTGGCCCCTTAAGAATATCTATAGCGCATAATGTGAGGGGCCAGCATGGGAGAGGCAGCTTCCTATTTATTGCCCCTGGGCTTGCAGTAATGAAGAAGTCAAGGTATAGAGGTAATGCCATGAATTGATCCAGAAAAATATTTTCTAGATTATAGAGACCAGAAGGATCAAGGATCATAACTCTTCTTTTTCGTGGATAAAAATAAATGAAGCTCAAAGCAGGCAGATGTCATGTCTAGGGGCTGCACAGACAGTTCAGGGAAGTGATGTCAAGGATGGTTTTGTGGGAGGGCTCACTGTGATATCACATTTAGGAAGAACTTCTGGACAATAATAAAATAATAAATAATAAAGTAATAACAAAATAATCTTAATTTGTGTTTCTAGTTACTCCTAAGCACCTACCAGTGTGCCCAACCATGTTGGGCTGGGCCCAGAGGATGTGGAGATGATGTCAACAGCGCAACAGCAGCCCTGAGGTCAAGGACGCCCTTTATATAACCATGAAACAGAAAAAAATACATCTATTGTGCATCTGGCTGGGGGACAGAGTTCAATGAAATGTGGGAGAGTCTGTATATTTGGATATAATGAAGTATGGTAAATGCAAGGGCAATGCATGTCAGCAGGTTTTAAGATGAACCTAAGAACAGGGTCGGGGTTTGAAAAGGGTCTCAGGAGCAGATATTCCTGTGGGAGGACCTGACAGGTGAGAAGCACACAGTTATCAAATTAGAGAGGTGAGTTTAGGAAGAACCCACTCTACTCCTAGGGAAAGCAGAGGAGATATAAAAAAATGACACTGGCAAGCGTAGGAATTAATACCAGTGGTCCTGGATTGCCATGCTGGTGTTTGGATTCATGTATTTCATCAGGTGTCTGCAGACTATAGCTTGGGGCACAAATCTGGCCTGCCACCTGTTTTTATAAATAAAGTTTTATTGGAACACAGACATGCCCATTAATTTACATGTTGTCTATGGCTGTTGTCACAATACAACAGCAGCACCGAGCAGTTGTGACACAGACTGTGTGCCCAGCAAAGCCTAAAATATTTGCCATCCTACCCTTTAAGAAAATGTTTGCTGGCCCCTTTGTTAGTCACTGGGAAGGCAGGGGAAAATTTTGAGTGAAAAGAATAATCTGGGTTTATCTAAGGTGCACTGGATGGGGAAGGCTCAGAGACCATTTCTCCATTACTCTTTCTTCTCTTCTTCTTTGGCTGTCAGTGGTGTGCTGGTAAATGTTTAACAACTGGCTCTTTGTGGAGGAAGAAAAATCCACCAAACCTGAAGTACAGAGTTTGCCAATTTCCATGCTGTAAATATTTTCACTATGGCTGATATCAAACTACCAGGTGAGGTCACTGAAGGCAGAGTCGGTAAAAGAGATGTACACAGCCTGCTCTGGAGGACTGTATGAGCTGAGTCCAACACACCCTGCCTGGCTTCCCCTATAGAGAGCCTCAGTCATTCACCAGCAATCCTGGAAAGCCTCATGTACGATAGAGCCACAGAAAGCCACTTACTTCCTGTCTGGCATGGGCAGTAGCCCTTCAGACACTTTCTGGTCAGACAACCTGTCAGCAGCTGCAGAAGTTGACCCTGGCTAATGCAGCAAAAGAGCCACGTGCTGGAAGCCTGTGGGAGAGGTCACAGGAATGAGGCAAAGGCTGAATGACCACTTTTCTGGAAAGATGCTGTAGATCTAGGTATCTAAGCAGGAGGCTCTAGGTAGGACACTGGGGATGTTGGCCATCTAGGCAGCAGGAGCCACGTGGCTTTGCAAAAGGAAGGTTGCATAGAAGGTGATATTCTTCTACTCAGAACTCCAAGCTGATCATGTTTTTGTGTATGAAAGTCACCAGGTGGTGCTGACACGAGCTGGCAGGTGAGAACCTTGGTGTGGGGCCTCATTTGTGCAGCGCCTGGTTAAGAGACACACCAAGCTAAGCACTATCGATACATTCACTTAAATCCTCTGTGCAACATCTGGTATGAAATGCCTACTGTGGACCAGGCACAGTGCTGGACACTGGGATACAAATACAAGTAAAAAGAAAAACAAGAAAACAAATGCTACCCTCCAGACCTTGACATGTCGGGAAAAGAGGGGTGAATATTCCAGTAACTGCAGTTCAATCTGGTGGATGGTTAAAGGAATACACCCTGTGGTACTGACAACCTGGAGCCACTGTCAACTGAGCTAGTGTCCTCACAGAAGTGCCTTTAAAGAGTTACATTTTCATGCCACATTTTCGTCAAGGCTTTTACTATAGGATCATGTGAAACAAAGATGAGAAGATGTATTTCTGCGTTTTTTGGTAAAACTTCTGTTGAAGATAGTATTCATTGCATTGCCTAGTGCGTAAAAGGTCCCACAATAAATTCTCCTAGGAGTTTAGTGCTAGGAAAAAAAAATTGCTCTCCTATTAAATGTTTTGCTGAAACTTTTGTCAGATCATGAGACTTTGTGACTTATCCTGTTTCTCTTTTTCTTTAATTGCTAGGAAATTCCCACTTAATTACATTGAGGACATCACCACCATGATCATACTTGTTGATATGGTTTGGCTGTGTCCGCACCCAAATCTCATCTCGAATGGTAGCTCCTGTAATTCCCACGTGTCATGGGAGGGGCCCAGTTGGAGGTAATTGAATAATGGAAGTGGGTCTTTTCCATGCTGTTCTCATGATAGTGAATATGTCTTATGAGATCTGATGGTTTCATAAATAGTGTTTCCCCTGCACACACTCTCTTGCCTGCCACCATGGAAGACAGGACTTTCCTTCTCTTTCACCTTCTGCCATGATTGTGAGGCCTCTCCAGCCATGTGGAACTGTGAATCAATTAAATCTCTTTCCTTTATAAATTACCCAGTCTCAAGTATGTTCTTATTACCAAAGTGAGAACAGGCTGGGCGTGGTGGCTCATGACTGTAATCTCAACATTTTGGGAAGCTGAGGTGGGCAGATCATGAGGTCAGGAGTTCAAGTCCAACCTGGCCAATATGGTGAAACCCTGTCTCTACTAAAAATACGAAAATTAGCCAAGCATGGTGGTGTGAGCCTGTAGTCCCAGCTACTCGGGAGGCTGAGGCAGAAGAATTGCTTGAACCCAAGAGGTGGAGGTTGCAGTGGGCTGAGATCACTCCACTGCATTCCAGCCTGGGCGACAGAGTGAGACTCCATCAAAAAAAATTAAAATAAAATAAAATAAATAAATAAATAAACTGATTGAAATTATGTCTGGATCCAGTTAAATTAAATTATATATAATAATTTAATAACTATTATATATAATAATGATAATGGCATCATTTGCTGAGAGTCAATACTCGATTTGATGTGATTCTGATATTTTTAGAAATGGACTGTCTTATTGTTGAACAAATTTAAGTGAAATCCCTATAAAATTACATAATGGAAGTAAACACGTGTTCTTGCTAAAAATCATTGTTGCCCCATTCCCCCATCTCTGTAATTAATCAAGTTATTCTCCAGGTTGCTTGATTGGACGCACTGCTCCCAAGTCCCTCCTTCCACCGGAGTCCCCTGGGAACATATACCTCAGTGCTGGACCATTGCCTGAGTCCCCACTTGCCTCACCTCTTGTGAATCTGTCATTCTGACCCGGGGTTTTCCTGACCACTCTATTGCTGTTCACCACTCCATCCCTCCAACTGCCAGTACTGCACCTGGTCCAGAATTCATAAGAGACAAACAGCCTGGCTCTGCTTCCCACCGGTTTTCTCATCAAGGCTCAAGCAGGAAGATTCTAGGAAACTTTTCAAGTATTTAGGAATTTACATTGGATGAATGAGGCTCAGACTGGCTGAACGTGTGGCAGGAACTCCACTTTCAGGGTGGACAGGGGAATTTATTGCGTTAGATAAAATTCAGCTTAAGAAGCCACAAGAAACCTCACAGTGGGCATGAAAGGTGGCCTGCAGTTTGAATGGCTTTTTAGGGACCTAAAGGAGATGTTGTCTGAAGACATCAAAAACAAACTGAGACATAGATCTGTGCGAACTGTCGTTTTTCTCCTTTCTTCCTCCTCAGCCACATTTTAATACTTCCTCTGTTAAGGCCACTTGTCTCATCTTTCCTTTGCAAGATATTTCCCAATGAAAGATGAAGAAGGGCTGATGCATGACATGGAAAATTACTTTTCTGGTCACTGGACTGGCTGTAGATTTCCTTCCTGCCATACTAGTGTCCACCCCCTATCTGCAGGTTGATTTGTTAGATGTGGGGCCTCTTCTAGGTGAAGGAGAAATAGGTAGAAAGTTGTCATAAAACTGCAGGTCACTGTGCCTTCTCTGGTTACCTCACTCTGAAATGAAAAACTGGATTGCTATCTCAAAATGGCATGTCCCCCTCTAGGCTCTAAAATATTAAACATATATGCACACGTGTACACAGACATAAATAAAAGGCACTCATTGCTCACCTAAGCCAGAGACACTACTAATACATAAACAACCAAGAGATTTTTCCAGGTGATATTTCCTTCCTTGCAAACATTCACCTATATATTACTGCATTGACAGCAGAAGTCACATTACTAGCAGTTCTATTTTCCATAACAGTTATCCAAAGAAGTTTCTGCCTTGCTGAATGACAGGTTTGCATGCACGGACATAAGACCATGGCTGATACTCTGTTATGACATCCATCTTCACTTATAAGGAAAGATAGAGTTTCTCTCATCTCTCTATCACTGGTGAGTTTTCCTCCCTTCCTCCTCTATAAGGATATATGTCATAACAGAGATCAGCTTCTAGGTAATTTCTCTTTCTCTATGCAGAAGTTATGAATATTGCCAACTGCATACATGAAGTTGGTAGGAAGAGGGCAGAAGATTCCACTTGCCACTCTTTGTTTGTTGGAAAACAAACAGCACAGAGAACTGCCTTATCTCCTCAAGCAGCAAACAAACTTGGTTTCCTTTAATGGTATCCTTATTTTCAGAGATAGCAGCTCAGCTGAGCTAGACCATATTCCTCGATCACTTATCGAACCCTTCTCCCCCAGCAATGCTTTTACCTCTCATCTATCACCTCCTCCAACTTTCTTCTTGGTCATGCATTTTTTTCATTCTGCATCTCTCCTTATGTTCTCTCCCTTGTCTCTGAGTAAGGGGTCTATTCCTACTTTCCATGCCGAAGTCTTGTCCTTGTGCTACTGATTCAGGCCCTTTATCCCTCTCTAGGAACTTGCTTCACTGGGGTAAGCCCATTCTCTCCAACATATGCAGCTTCCCTGAATTGCTGATTGAAGGGTTCTAGCTGGCAACTCCAATGAGCCATGCCTGAGGCACCACTAGCTCACCTTGCCATCTCAACAATCAACATATACTCACTCATCTCTTTTACTCAGCATCTTAATTTACCTTCCAATGGCATTTGACATTCTCCTCCTTCACATGCTCTCTTTCCCTGGCTTCTGGAGCATCACCTTCTCCTCCTTTTTCCTGGGGCAGCCTCTTTGCTTATTTTACTGGCTCCTCATTCTCTGTATGCCCCTTAAGTCAGTATTTCATATCAGCTAGGAATGCATTCAGTAACAGAAAGTCCAACCTCAATGACTTAAACAAAGAGGAGGAAGAAGATGTCTGAAGGTGAGCAGAGGCTGGCATTGCTTTGCAGCTCAGTGATGCCGTCTTGGACTCCTTAGTGGGCTGGCTTCTATTCTTATGCTGTCTACCTCTTGACTGTAAAATGGCTGCCACCTTAAATCTCATGTCCTCACAGCAGCATCCAAAGCAGGAAGGAAGTACAGGTGCAAAAACCATATCTTTCTGTGATTTTCCCAGAAGCCCCAGCAGAATTTCTCTTGTGTCTTGTTGGATAGAACTGTGTTACAGGCCAATCTGCTCACCTCCACATGTAAGAGAGGCTAGAAAGTGGGTGTCTAGCAAATGGAAATGGGATTGCCATGATAAGAATCAATCAAGATGCATTCGCTGAGGCTGGGAGAAGGGCTCATCTTTTTAGAAATCAAAGTGCCACTATGTGTAATGGGTTGAATTTTGTTCCCCCAAAAGGTATGTCCACATCTTAACCCTCTACCAGTGGGGTAGGTATAAATGTGATCTTAAAACGAGATAGGATCTTTGTAGATGTAACTAAGTTACGGATCTCAAGATGAATTATCCTGAATTTAGGCACACTCTAAATCTAATGACTGATTTTTTTTTTTTTTTTTTTTTAGATGGCATCTTGCTCTGTCGCCCAAGCTGGAGTACAGTGTCATGATCTCAGCTCACTGCAACCTCCGCCTCCCTGGCTCACGCCATTCTCCTGCCTCAGCCTCCCGAGTAGCTGGGACTACAGGCACCCACCACCATGCCCGGCTAATTTTTTTGTATTTTTAGTAGAGACGGGGTTTCACCACGTTAGCCAGGATGGTCTTGATCTCCTGACCTCGTGATCTGCCCACCTTGGTCTCCCAAAGTGCTGGGATTACAGGCATGAGCCACCACGCCCGGCTGACTGATGTTTTTATAAGGAAAAAGAAAAGGATGTTTGAGACACAAATAGACACAGAGAAGAGACATCAGGTTGGAGACCATGTGAAGATGGCGGCAGAGATTGGAGCGACACAGCAGTAAGCCAAGGATTGCCAAGAGGCCCCTGAAGCCAGGAGGTGCAAGGAAGGACCTTCACCCACAGCCTTTGGAAGGAGTGTAGCCCAGCCAATGCCTTGATTTTGGACTTAAGACCTCTAGAACTGTGAGAATAAATTCCTGTTATTTTAAGCCTCCAACTTTGTGCTATAGCAGACTGGGAAACTAACAGACCATTCTACTCACTGAACCAAGCATTGGAGTTCTGTGAGCAGGGAAGACAGAATAGATGAGGAATGGTTGGTGGACAACTAGTGAATGGTTGCATGTCAGAGGCACCCCCCTGCTACTCTGCTCTTGATATTTTGTTTCATAACAAACTTTCCCTGGTTGACCTCATCCACTTCCATGACCTCAGCTTTCACCTTCAAGCCAGAGACTGCCAAATCCCTGCCTCTACCTCTCCCTTCTCACATGAGCTCCAGACCCACCTTTCATTTATGAGTGACTCCAGCAAACTATCGGACGGTCTCATGGGCATCCCAAACTCACAAAGTCTTGAACCAATCTAACTTCCTTCCTGAAACCAATTCTTTTGTTTCACCCACCCCATTGCCTACACACATATCTGTGCCTCAAGCTCCACCTTATAATATAGAATTTTTACATAAGTTGGCTTCATATCTGGTCTTGAAACTGTATTTGCCAAAAAATGAAACTTTTAGAGAAGAGGTGTGTGTCATAAAACTTTATAAAACATTTTGTTGGTATCCCTGGAAGGCCCTTCTTGCCTGATATTCACTGGGCCACAGAATCCTTCAGAATTCTGCTATCTGAATCTCTCGTGGGCTGCTCCTTCTTCCCCACCTGCACTGACTGGGGTGAGGCTGAGACACGAGGGTACAATGCATGACTCACTGAAAGGTCAGCCATGGGATACCAAGAGGCCATCATGACAATATCATACACACAGTGTTTTAGCAACTATCAAAACTTGGGGTGTTAAATAACTTTAGTGACTCAAATTTGAAACAAAAATGCCTCACTTCTTTTAAGAAGTCCATTTAATTAAAAAGTTTCATAAATAATTGTGCTGGGGTTTTCTAAGAAAAAAAAAAAAGGATCTTAAGCATATTAGGTGAGTTGCTGAAACCCCAAACAACTTGTTACCATTTGCAACTACTTATTAGTGTGAACCAGGATTTTTCTCTCCTGTACAGACTCCAAGTCTCAAAGTCTGTATACACTTCTCACATGGCTTCATCACCCTGTCATTACCTGTACAGGTGTTGCTTCTGCCTATTAATCTCACTCCCTTGAGGTAAAGGCCATGCAATGTATTCATGCTTATCCTTTGGTTATTCATTCAGGGATTACAGAATACTGACGGAGCACTTACTATGATGAACTAATGGCAACAAGATGTAGAAGCTTACAGCTTTATAGAAGGATGAACACATTGTAGCAAACATAATACTGTGCTAAATATGATTAACCAAGTGTGGGAAATGGGGCCCTTCCAGTGATGATTAGGGGAATAGAAATGGGGATAGATGAGATCTAACCTTTCCTTGGGAATGAGGGAAGACTCTGAGGGAGGGATCTAAGGCAGACTTGAGGACAAGAAAGAGTTAGCCAGGGATAAGCCATTTATGATTTCTCTTTACATTCACTAGCATCTATTACATGCCTGGTATATAGTAGAGGATCACAAATGCTTACTATTCAGATGGATGGGTGGGTGGGGGAGTGAAAAGATAGATGGATGGATGGATAAGTTGATAAATGAATGGGTGAGAGAATAGATGGGAGAATGGGTGAATGGATGGATAGATAGATAGATAGATAGATAGATAGATAGATAGATAGATAGATAGACAGATAGATAATTGGGTATCTAAATAAATCGGCAGGCAGAAGGATGGGTGAAGAAATGAATGGATGGGAGAATGGATGAATGAAAGGATGGGCGGATATATGGATGATGAATCAATTACTAGTCTTGACAGTTTTCAGTGGAGGATATTGCTATTTGAAAAATGATTTTCTGGTTGTTATATTATACAAGTCTCAATTACTCCAGGTATTGAGTATTATTCTTGTTAATTTGGACAATGTTTTAATAAAGAAAAGAAAGAAAGGTACTGTTCATTTCATAAGCATATTTTGAATCCTGAGTTCTGGATTCATTGCTAAGATACTCAAGGGGCTTGCCTATGGGCAGAATTATTAAAGTGAAAAGTGACAAATGCCATGGGTACAAGTAGTCATGGAAGAAGGGAAGCTGGAGTCTCTGACTCTCCCAGCCAGATCAGTTCACCTGATGTGGGCTCTCTAGGTACACCTAGGTAACTCTTTCTCCTTCAGAAGTCTTTTCACAGTTGTGTGCTATTATTTTGGTTAGCATCTATCTTTCCTTGTGGATTTTAAGCTCCATGAGGAAAGGAACTGTGTCTGGTTTTGCTCACTATTTAATTTCCAGGACTTATCACAGTGTCTGAGAGATGATAAGGTTTCAACAAATAAACAATGATTGGTTGATAGAATGAATAAAATAAATGAACAGTTTCCCAGAGCAGATAAGCTGTGTTCTTGAAGGATCAAGAGATCCATTGTTCAGGTTGACAGGGCTGGAAAGGACTTCCCTGGCAGAAGGAGAGGCAGGAGCAAATATTCAGAGAGAAAAGTCCATACTTAACTCAGGGACATTCAAGCCACTCCTTCTGTCTGGGCCACAAGGACAGAAGAAGCGGGTGATGCAGGGGGACAGGCAGGCAGGGTCCAGTGGCCAAGGGCCATTCCTGGGAAGCTGCATGAGGTCCTTTTGAAAACATGGCATGTGTGAGGGGTTTTAGGCAGGAGAATGAAAGCCATTTCAGCCTTTCCCCCAGGTCCTTCTGGGTACAAAGTGAAAGAAAAATGGAGAAGGGTATCAGATTGTCACAGAGCCCCCCATCACAGTAGGGGAGGTCATCCCCTCTTGTGAGAGCTTGGAGAAAAAGCCCTGGACCTCTCCAGGCTTCAGCTGTCCCAGCTGCACGTTGAGAGATTGGACTCATCACCTCTGAGGTCCTGCAGCATTAAGCATGCTCGATCTAAAAATGAAAGCCGGCTCTGTTTGGCGATCCCACTAACATCCCCCTGAAGCACCACCCTTGTGGATAATGGTTCTTTTAAAGCCACTCAGTGCTGTATTGACAGAAATTAAATTAGCCATCAGTGCGGGCAATCAGTGGCTATGGGGCTGTTAGAGGTAATAAAGGCGATGCTCTCAAACCATAGTCAATTAAGCTGTGACACAGCCCTGAGAGGGGACAGCTGCTTTGGATTGGAAGGGTGGCTATGAGACCTGCCTCCCACACTGAAGGCACAGGCTCAAACCTCGCCTGGAGGCTGTTGTTTCTAATTGGGACAGGCACCGCAGGGCTGATGTGACTCTGGGGACACTGCCCTTTGGAGGAAAGCTAAAGGCCAAGTGACTTTAGGGGTTTTGAAATGGACTCCAGAGCCTGGGGGAATAGCAGGGGCCAGACAAGTCTCATAGACTTCCTCCAATCAAGCAGCCAAGGTCAGCAGGGAAAGCCCTGGCATGGCATCAGGGAGCCTGCTTTGAAACTGCTGCAGTGCCCCCAGTTTGCTAGCACCTTCAGAAATGGTGGTCACCTCTCTGACCCTCAGGCTCCTTGTCTCCCTGATGAGCATAAAGAAAACTGGGTCACCAGCACGTTTTAATGATTTTGAGATAACTTAAGATGGGTGCCCAGCTCAGTGGGGGCTCAATGAATGTTACTTTCCTTCCCATAATGAGGGCCAGAGCCAGGCATGGACTCCAGCCCTCTGAGAATAGGCCCAGCGCTGCTTCTATCCCATCATGCCAGTTCTAGGTCAGAGGCCTGGCCTTCTTTCTTTTCAGTTTTAGGGATGACACACACTCTCTCCATGTCAAGGGAGGCAGTGGTGGGAAGGGGAGATGCAAGAGCTGAGGCAACTGAAGTCTCAACTCTCTTGTGCCTAGGTATGTGACAGGACACACAAAAGGACTCCTGCGACCCTCAGTTTTCTCCTTTATTAAAGGGTTTGTGATTCTTCCTATCCATGAGGATGGAATGTTTTTCCATTTGTTTGTGCCCTCTCTTATTTCCTTGGGCAGTGGTTTGTAGTTATCCTTGAAGAGGTCCTTCACATCCCTTGTTAGCTGTATTCCTAAGTATTTTATTCTCTTTGTAGTAATGGTGAATGGGAGTCCATTCATGATTTGACTCTCTGCTTGTCTATTGTTGGTGTAAAGGAAAGCTTGTGATTTTTGCACATTGATTTTGTATCCTGAATCAATATCGTAAAAATGGCCATATTGTCCAAAGTAACTTAAAGATTCAATGCTATTCCCATCAAACTACCATTGACATTCTTCACAGAATCAGAAAAAAACATTTTAAATTTCATAAGGAGTCAAAGAAGTCCCCATATAGCCAAGGCAATCCTAATTTGGGCAAAATATCATTGTTATTATTATTATTATTGAAGACAGTGCCTTACTCAGTCATCCAGGATGGAGTGTAGTGGTGTGGTCACAGCTCACTGCAGTCTCAAATTCTTGGGCTGAAGCAATTCTTCTGCCTTAGCCTCCTGAGTAGCTAGGACTACAGACATGAGCCACTGCACTCAGATAATTTTTTAAATATATTTTGAAGAGACAGAATCTTGCTATGTTGCCAAGTCTGGTCTAGAACTCTTGGGCTTAAGTGATCCTCCTGCCTTGGCCTCCCAAAATACTGGGTTACAGGTATGAACCACTGTGCCCCACCAACAAGATATTATTAATGCCTCTCTTCCACCACTAGAAGATAATAGCCAAGATAATAATAATGATAATAATATTAATATGAATAGTGATTACTATGGGCCAGGCACTATTCTAAATTCTTTAGATGTGTTAGCTTCTTTAATTCTTGCAATAGAGAGTTACTATTATTATGCACACTTTACAGTACAGGAAATTTGCTGAAAATTGCACGAATAGTAAGTAGCAGAGTAAGGCAGAGTCTGTGCTCTGAATCATCACAGTTTTCTATCTCATTGAAGACCTCACATCATGCACCTGCACACTCATGCACACACATATGCCTGCCTCCGGGATGCCTCCTGGATGCCCTGGGTGTGGTTCACCCTTGCTTTCTGGTTGCTTCCACCTCCTTCAGAAGCACAAGGCACAAAGGCGGCATGGCAGGAGTTACAATCATCGGGCTTGGGTCTTGACTCAGCCATAGCGCACGTGTGTGATCTTGGGCAAGTTATTTATCATCTCTGAGTCTTGGTTTCACCATGTGAAAAAATGAGGTTGCTAACAGTTGTTGTGAGCATTATATAAAATTAAATGCAAAGGCTGCACAGGGCACAGTGTCTAGTGCATAGGAAACCCTCTGTAGATGGTAGTAATTGTCAGGATGCTGTCGGTGTTGTTGCAATTTCCACACAGTACACCATTGAAGCTTCATTCAAATATTTGCCCTCAGGACCTAGGATAAGACCTAGCCTTTAGCAGCCACTTAATTAAAGGTTTGCTGGATGGAATTTAATATGCCTTGGTGAACTCAAGGAATCTTTTAACGCCTCATTCAAGGCATATGACCATTCTTTTCAAAAGACAAGCTTGGGTTGGTAGTTTCCTTTATAAATGAATGTTAACAACAGTTGAAAATATGTGTTCAATATATTTTTTGTGCTGCCAGTCTTAGTCATCTTTTAATTAAAAGTACTTTTTATTGAATGTTAAACTGTCAAGATTGTCTTTGTGTGAGGAGTGGGGAGGTTGCTATGGAGAGGATCATGTTGCTATGTGACTCTTGTGTCAGAACCGGAATCAAAATGGTAATGGTCATGTCAATTCTGATATATAAAAAAAGGATCCTCAACAGCTTCATTAAAGAGGGGAACTTTTATTTCTTCCTTTCTTGTCATTGTGCCAAGCATAACAGAAGGGGAAATATTGAATTTTGTAAAGAGGCAGACAATGGGGCCAGCTGCATGCACTGTCAATGGCGAGAAAGTTCACACCAGTTTGCTGGAAGAGTCATGGATGGTCCCTTTTCTCCAGATTGGCTGCTCCGTGGGAGGACTTTTTAATTTTATTTTTTATTTATCTCATTTTTCATTTTTAAACAATTTCTTCTTGTTGGAATGTGAGATCATTTTGGCTTTGAGCCAACATCTCAGATGAGTTAGAGACAATGTCCTTCAGACCTCCCTGTTGGACTCAGCCTGCCTAAGCTCAGGCTCAAGGTGTTGTTCATGTCCCGTAGACTCTAAAGAAGTGTAGACTCACCTTAAGTGTTCCTAGCCAGCTCAGCTCTGGACGGCACAAGAACCTTGCCTCCAGCATTTGAACTTTTATTTTGAACAGGCAGATGGACAGATGTGATCACAGCTATGTTCCAGGGCCCTTTGCTCTGCCAAGAACCTGGGCATCCCTCTTACTTTCCAGTCAGTGCATCTTTGCTGACACTCTTCCCTTCCCCAGAAACACCCTTCCTTCTCTGTGTCTCTCGCTTATTCTTTTTTTTTTTTCTTCATCAAAATCCAGCTTTAGCTTTTAATTATTCTTTGAAGCCAAGCATAATGGTCAAGTGCATAGGCTCTCGAGGCAGAAACATGATCGAGTTTGCACCGCCATGGACTAGCTGAGGGATGTGGGTAAATTCAGCAACCTGTCTGTGCCGGGATGTCCTAAGTTCCTATGAAAGAAGGTGGGGTTGTAATCTTTTTTTTCTCATTTCCTGGTCCAGCAGGCCTCAGCTCATGCGCTGTAGATCTCTGAGTGCTGTCAGTTTTTGTTACTACAGTTTCTCAGGTGTGGGTTTTTACTAGCAAGAGAACCAGAGACTAGGTCAACAGGTCAACTGGTGTCATGTATGGGAAGATAGTTTTTGGTCTGAAAACTGGCCTTCAATGGGACCACATCTGAAAGAGCCTTCTCTCTTTTGAAGAGTATTTTGTTTTACGTTTACTTCTCAGAACACCAGCATCTCCTGGTTCAAATCACTGGAAACACTATTTTTTTCCAATGGTTTATAATCATGTTTCTGTACTGACTGGCTGAATGGTTAGCTAATCAAGTACAATTTTACTAAGCTCTTACTGTATATTGAGCACACATGTAGACCTTGTAGGCTACAAAATGAACGTAAAAATGGGTTCTACATATTTTGGAACTTAAGCCCAGCAGGGCAGATATTATGGATTGAATTGTGTGCTCCTCAAAAATGTTTTAGTCCTGACCCCTGGTAACGGAGAATATAAATTATTTGGAAATAGTCTTTGCAGATGATCAGGTTAAGATAACATCATCAGGGACCTAATTGAATATGACTTGTGTCCTTATAAAAAGACACACAGACACATGCATATTGCAAGAAGTCACATGCAGATGAAGGCAGAGCTCTGGGTGATGCGTCTACAGGCCAAGAAACACCCAAAATTGCCAGTGACCACCAGAAGCTGGGAGAGAGGCCTGGCGCAGATCCTCCCCCACAGCCTCAGAAGGAGCCAATGCTGTAGACACCTGGATCTCAGACTTCTAGCCTCCGGGACCGTGGGAAAAAAAACTCCGTATTGTTTCAGCCACTCAGTTTGTTATACCAGCCCTAAGAGACGGAGCCAGGAGATAAGACTGTTAGCACAGCAAATCCTGATGTAAGGTGGCAAGTTGATTCCACCTCATGGAATCAAGTGTTCTGAGAGGAGGTGAGGCAACAGATGGCCCCCAGGGAGGCTTCCTAGAGGAGGTGACAACATACTGGGCTTCGAAAGTTGGATAGGATTTGTGGAGTCCAAATAAGATAAGTAAGCAACAATGAGGAAAGGGCCCTAAGTTGGGGAGGGCCCCAAGGTGGGGAGGGCCCTAGGTCATGGAGAACAAGGAAGAATTGTGAGAAATGGCTAATCAAAAACAAAGATCTCCTTCTGCAGGCACAATGACCTTGTTCCACAGGCAGCCCCCTCCAGCATGATCCTATAAAACTTCCCTCCAGCCCTTGCCTCTTTGCAGACAGCCCCTTCTCTGCTGGGCTGCCTGTTGCAACCTTGCAACATATTTTCATACTTTCTCTAATAAATCTGCCTTTCTTTACCTATGACTGTCTTAGTAAATTCCTTTACTGCCCAGGAAACTGGCCCTATTACACCTGCAACAGTATTGAGATCTGTAGAGATGATGGATGGGGTTGAGTAGGATGGGGAAAAAACTTGAGAAAAATGGTAGCACTAAGGATGTCTGTGACTAGGCCTTTTAGTATTTTTTTTTTTAGATGAAATTGCCTTCTTCCAAATTTATTTGTCAAATTAAGTGCTGGTGCCTCATCATAAAAGAAACTGCCCCTTTTCACCCTTGAGATTCCCTGATGTAAATGAGGACTGCCTTCCTGTGGGAGGTTTTGATTTGGAAAGGGATGCTGTTGCAACAAAAAGGTGATGGCATGTGCAGACATCTCAGGGCCAAATCCATGGACTTGTCAGTTCCTCTAGAAATTCTACTTTGGTAAGAATTATTGGAGATTTGAGCTGACAGGGGACAATCTTCTGCAACTAAATGTTTCCGTGGCTTGTTCTCACCAGGGACAACATCCACTGCCCCGCACTTCAGGATAGAAGCTTCTGAAGAGATCTCCAAATGCCAGCTTGTTTGAATTATTAAATGTTAAAATCATTGCATGTGTGTTGGGGGTGGGTTGGGGTTAAAGGATTCTCCGTATAATTCTAAAAAACAAAGAGCCAATATTGGTTCATTCATTGTGATAAATGTACCACGCTAATTTTATAATGTTACAGATGGGATATGGGGTATCCAGGAACTTTCCTCACTATCTGTGCAATTTTTCTATAAATCTACATCTTTTCTAAAATACAAATTTCATTTTAAAAAGCCAAAGGGTGCACAGATTATCACCTCATCCCCACTTCCCACCCACACCTACCCTTCAGCCAAGCCCTAGTGCCCTCCAGCCTTCCATCGTGTGAGGTCTGGTTTATCTGGGTAATTCTGCCATGTGCTTGAAGGCCGTGCTGTTGGTGTCAGTTACCTGCATGCTTACCTGTGCAGGCTGTGAGTGTGTGAGTGGCATGTCTCTATATTATGCTGGTTACGTTCATTGTGCCTATTTGGTTGCAATCACTTCTGTGTTCCAGGCCATTGTGTGGTTACGCACAGGGAGACAAATGTTCTCATGTGTAGAAATGCATGCCAGCGTGCTGGGGTGCTTTCGGGGTTGTGTGTGGTGCTGTATACTAGGGGTGCAAGCTTAGTCTTGTGTGTGCTTATGCATGAAATGTGTGTGTTCCCTGTGTCTGTGTGCAGGGTGAGTGGGAGTGGAGAGGGTGTGCAGAATGTTGCCAATGTGCATGTTTGGATGTGTCTGTGGGCTCTGTGGGCTTGGTGTGTGTGTGTGTTTGTGTTAGAAAGATGTTAGTCCATTCCTAGGCTTAGCTTATGTCCTTCAGAGCATCACACTCCCATTTTCCAAATGGTTCCAAGCTTCTTCTAAACTGAAAATTACAATTTCATCTTTCCCCTCTTGCTCACCCTTTTGGCTTCTGCATTCCCTTTTCCCCTCTCCTGTCCATGACATCATCCAAACCCTCAATGAAAAAAAGAGGAAATTTTAAAAAATGCCTTCCCTGGCAACCGAAATACCTTTAAGTGTAGCGTAATTACCACCACTCTGCCCCCTTCCCTCCCCCGCTGGGACAATTCCACCAACCCTACAACATACACTTAAATCTTCAACTTCTCAGAGACACTACACGCAGATGGGAAAGACTTGATTAAAATTACAGTGCTTTAGGTTCAACTTCACCTATTAAGAAAAAAAAAATCAGATCGGGTGCTGGACTTTTTTTCCCCTTCCCAGAGAAATAACTAGGCCACGGTAATTACTCAGGGCCCCGCTGCGTGCCCTCAATGGCTCCCTGGCGATATTTTCCTGCTACCTGTCTTTGTAGAGATGTTGACATCAACATGAATGATAACGGTGCCAGCACGAGGTGCTCCTCTCCCTTCCTTTCTCTCTTCCTCTCCCTCTTTTTTCCTTTCTCTTTCTCTCTTTCTCCTTCTCTCTTTTTTGCCTTCTTTTCTTTCCTTTTTCTTTCTTTCTTTCTTCTTTCATAGGTTCATTTTTTCTAAGTCTTCCAAAAGGAAAGGAGAGTTGGAAAGAAAAGCAGGTGCATTCTCCGTCCCCATGGTGATTGGAGTCTTCGTGTGCCTGTGGAGGAAGCTCTCCTGCCTTGCCGTCGCTTTCTTGTGCCTCTGAGGCTGCTCCCTGAAGCGGGGTGCAGGCCAGCCTGGGGCTGAAATGTCCCCTCCCCCAGCCTCAGGGCTACAGTGCCCTCCTCCTCCAGGAAGTCTTCGTGCAGGCCCCTCACTCCCGGAACTCCCTCGGAGCTTTCAGGATCCCTGTGTGCCTGTGGGATAGCACTCCGGGCTGTTATTCAGTTATTTCTGAGCATGTCTTCTCTCTGGCCTGATAGCTCTCCCAGGGCAGACATTCCTACCGTTCATTTCCGAATCCCCCTGTTGTCTGCACACAGTGGGGCCAAATTCTACACTTAGGTTCAGGAAGCACAGTGTCCAGGGCCTACAGTATTTTTTGGGAACCACAAACATGTTTCAGTTTTTTAAAAATAAAAAGGAAAAATCATATTATAATACTAATGAATAATATAAAAACTAGTAATATAATACAAATACTGTCCTAACATATATTTTTCAGTATTTTTTTCTGATGGAGGAAGGGGCTCAGGGAAGCAAAAGTGTCTAAGGCCCAGAAATATCCCGTCAGCGTTTGCGGACCAGCTGTGCGCACACCGTCTCTCAGAATTGGTCTTCCAGAGCAGGCTTTGCTGCCTAATCAGGACCCTCCACACAGGCTGCAGAAGGTTTCTCCGCACCCAATCAGAACCCTCCACACAGGCTTCAGACGCTTTCTCCACACAGGACCAACCCACCAGAACTGACAGCAGATTAGACCTAGTTCACATCTTTTGGTCTGTGAAGATTCATTTCTTTCATTATTTCAGACTCAGCTGATCAGCTTTGGTTTGATGTTGCATTTGAAAGACAAGAAGAAGCTGGGACAATTCCGGGTCTGGGGTCAGGAAATGTGTGTCCCAGGCCTGGGGCTGCGGCTGGCCTGCCTGTGAGCCTGGGGGCGGCACTTTGTCTCTCTGGGCGTCAGTTTCCTCATCTGTGGAATGGGCACCATTGCCTCATGTTTCACTCCATGTTACTCTGTGGGTTGGGCTAGAGGAGCATAAGAGGCCCTCACTTAGCACCAGCAATGGCTTCTTCATGATTTGTCAAAATGCAAGCTGTGGGGACAACTCACAGTGGAATCAGGAGAAAAGTTCAGCGAACAGAACCTGAGAGAAATGTGACCACCCCGTCTTGGTTCCTGCCTCTCCTGGCTGACGTACCACTGGCCTCCTTGGCTGGACCAAGGAGGACCAGACAGCCCGGTGGCCCCTGACTCCCAAGAAAGCTGGCTTGGTGAACACTAGCCTCCCTATTTACAGGGTGCAGGCCAGGATTCCACATGACGAAGAGAAAGATGATCATAGCACACGGGAACACCAGCTGCGCTATCCTCCTTGTGGGCCTCTGACTGGCTGTGCGGCCGTGGAGAAGTTGCTTGTCTTCTCTGATTCTCAGCCTCTTTATTCACTGACTTGTTCAACAGATGAATACTGAGCACTGGACTGGGCCTCCAGGGAGGTGGCACTAAGTCAGTTCTCCAGCAAGCAGAGCTCGGTGGGTGGCTGGGGTCATATTCAGCTCTGAACTCCACGGTTCAGTGCGTGCCTCTAACCCCAGGAAGCTCTGATTTTCTCCAGACCGGCCAAGGTTGGTTTTCCTCTCCTCTCATTGCCTGGAGCGCTCTCTCTGCTTTCTCAGCATGAATTTCAAATGTCAAGCTCCTGAAGTTGCATTATGTACACCACTTGCATTTGGGTTAGAAAATGAGCCCAATTAACACAGTGGTGTTTAGCTGGGAGAAGGGAGGCTGATTTGCTGATTGTTGGCAGCTCCAGGCTGGTGAAGGGCACTCGGATGAGAGAGAGCCAAAGAGCCTCTCTTCTTCTGAGCAGGACCAGGTGGAATGGCCCGGACGTCTCAGGAGGTTAAGGCAGCCTCACCCAACAGCAATTACTTGATGAAAACCTTCTCAGGGGTCTGGAGAACAAAATTTGAAAAATCATGATTTGGGCAGGGCGTGGTGGCTCATGCTTGTAATCCCAGCACTTTGGGAGGCCGAGGTGGGCGGATCACCTGAGGTCGGGAGTTCGAGGCCAGCCTGACCAACATGGAGAAACACTATCTCTACTAAAAATACAAAATTACCCGGGCATGGTGGTGCATGCCTGTAATCCCAGCTACTTGGGAGGCTGAGGCAGGAGAATCGCTTGGACCTAGGAGGCGGAGGTTGCGGTGAGCCAAGATCTTGCCATTGCACTCCAGCCTGGGCAACAAGAATGAAACTCCGTATCAAAAAAAAAAAAAAAAAAAAAAGAAAGAAAGAGAGAAAAGAAAAGAAAAGAAAAGAAAAATCATGATTTATCTCCAGTTTCCACCCGTTTTTCTTGCTTTCCAATGAGGTCTGATTAATGACCCATCTTTATCCAGCAGGCAAAGAGATAAAAATCGATGATGAGTGGAAGGCAAATGATGTTAATTGAACATTATCTCAGATCCTCCTAGCCATTTTCTGGGTTAGGTGGACATTATGATCCTTATTTTAGAGAAAAAGAAATGGAAACAGAGAGGTTAAGTGACTCACCCATGGTCACACAGCCCTGAAATGGCTGAGCTTAACTTCAAACCCAGGAAGGTCTAGAATGTTTGCCTTCTATAAGAAGGGGTGCTGGTTATCAAAATTAAATTATCCTCCGCCATGATGGTCTTTATCAATTGAGCCCTTTATATCTAAATTTCATGGGGTTGGGCTGATAGGCGCTGTCTATACACAGTGCTCCTTGGCAACAAGAATGACCTATTTTGTTTTCTACTTTCCAGAGATCCACATTGATAAATGACAATTTCCTCTTTTTTTTCCTTGCTTTTGTATTGTGTGTGTGTGTGTGTGTGTGTGTGTGTTTGTGTGTGTGTGTGTGTGGACCGCAACAGTACTAATGACAACTCTGAAAAATATAGCAACAAGAAACTCCATTCTTAACATCCAAGCCAGCCCCTTCAACACAATTATTTTCACTTTCACATCGTTTTTCTAATATTTCACTTAATTGTGATTGTATCACACTGTTTCTTTTGAATTTGACTTTCTATTACTTAAATTTTTATCATTAACTTTTCCTTATGTTTTTGCATGCTCTTGATTTATTTTTAGGAGCTGGGTAATACTTCATTTGGAGATAATTATGCATTATTAATCAGTTTCCTCAGTGTTGGAGTTTAAGCTTACTTTAACTTGCATTTCTTTCATTATTACAATGAAAAGGTATTTTTTCCTGCTTATTTATTATTTGTATTTGTATTTTCTTTTTTTTGGAAGTCTGTCCTTCACTCTTACCCAGTCATTTATTGGAATCATTTATTTATAACCAGTTATACCCAGTTATTTATTTATACAGTTTATTTATTATATACAGGGAAATAATAGTCTTTTCTGTTGTGATTTCTTCTGGCACGTCAAAGCTCAGAATGTTTGCAATCCTCCAGAATTCTGAAAGTTTAATCTTTAGCCAATATTTAGTTTAAAATAATTTTTTTAAGAGATGGGACTTTGCTCTGTCATCCAGGCTGGAGTGCAGTGACACGATCATAGCTCACTGCAACCTGAAACTCCTGGGCTCAAGTGATCCTCCCACTTTGACCTCCCAAACCACTGGGATTACAAGTGTGAGTCACTGTGCCTGGTCTAAATTTTTTGTATATTTAAATCTATCTATCAGAATCTATTCTGTATTATAGAATACAATTTGAATCTAAATAGATGTTTCTCTGAAATCACTAAGCAATTATTTAAAATGATTTTACTAAATAAGCACTCCATTTTTACTTTCTCACTTCTGATTCACTCAATAAATATTTGTCAGTTGTTAATATATGCCAGACACCTGCTTGTTCCTAGCAATATACTGAGACAAGACAGAATCTTTGCACCTTCACCAGTTATCTGGGCTTTTCACATTGTCCCAGTGACTGGGATGTCAAGTCTTTCTGTTCTTACCACACCATTTCAGTAAGTGTCATTTTAGAATATGTTTTAACATGTGGCAAGGCAAGATGTGGTTTCAAATACTACTTAGGAAAAGTATAACTGTCTTTTTATGGATAAATCTCATCATCTTTGCATCTGACTTCTAGTAACACTGCTGTGTGACCATTTTCCATGGGGTTCCCCAGTCATTATCATTTCAATAAGCACTATTTCTCTGGAGCATGATGCTATTACCAGGTATGAGAATCACAGATTCTTGGAGTTAAGAGACCTCAAGGAACACCTGCCATGGGGCTTTCATGTGCACCTTTTCTGCACGTGCTTCCCCAGATCAAAAAGGATCTACCACTGGTGCAAAAACTTGTGGCTGGGAATGACCAATCTAGTCTAATGCTTCAGCCAGTTTTGTTTCCTTTTTCCAATGACCTTGCCAAGCAGCTGCCCATTCTGTGCTTGGACACTTAAGAATGAGGTACCCATTTCTTGTTTTTGTTGCCTTCCCAGTTAAAGCTCTGAGAAGATGGAAAGCTTGCTTTGTGTCTCTGAAAAAGAAGAAGGTTCAGAGTGGGAGAATGAACTTGGCTCTATAGCTTTGAACTCTGAGCCCTTGGGCATCCAAGGGCTGTCAAGCAAATAAAAATGTCCATTTGAGTCATTAAAGACCCCTTTTTCCCCTGAGAAAGGAAGAGCTATCATTAAACCGCCAAGAAGCAATATTTATCAGAGATGTTTGACCCTCCATCCATCTGGCTGAGTTTCCTTGACTTAGTCATGAGATGTAAGCTCCATACTGGGGAGCTAAGAATCGCCATTCCAAGAGACTTCCTGCAAACCAGAACCAAAACGCATCTTGTTTCTTGATTTTTCTTTCTTTGTTTTAAAAATCCTGGTGGGTGTTTTTATTTCCCCTTTTTATTCAAGTTTGCTATATGTTTTGACCTTTTATTTTGGACAAAACAAGTGACCGCAGAGAACAAAATTGGAATGGACTATTTTTTTCTTCAAAAATAATAATTAAGAGAGAGCAAGATAAAGAAATGAAAAAAAAATCCTTCTGGATTTGGTTCCAGCTTTGGTAAAGTTTCAGGCCTGTGCTTATTTTAGCCAAACCATTTGTCCCATCCCTATTTATACAACAGGATGCGGAACAAGTTGTTCTTGCCTCATGTCCTGCTGCCTGTCAAAAAGAAATCTGTCTTGGAGGAAAAGCCAATTAACTCAAACATCTTTCATTTGGATGTGTTTCACTCTTGCCTTGAGTCTAATCAGCTCAGAGCTATAGGGCCTGGGCAGGTGCAGGGCAGAGCCCAGCAGGACTGCATGGAGGGGAAAAGCTTAGAGGTGGATCTGGAATTGAGGTCCTTTCTCTTACCAACCCTGCAAACTTAGTTAATTTGCCTGTCTCTGCTTTCTCCTCTGATTTGTAGAAATCATAGCAGTCATAATAGCCACTACTCAGTACTGCAGAATTATATTAAAATAGTAATAACAATAACAACAACAATAATCTGCCGGGCACTGTGCTAAGTGATCTCTATGTATTATCTAATTTAATCTTCATTACAACTGGAGAGAGAGTATTATTATTATCCCAAGTTTATAAATTAAAGGTCAAGCTGCTCAACTTGGCTCTGTCTTCCAGGTCTCCATGACACCTTGACATTCACAGAGTTATAATATGGAGACTTCGTGACCCATCAAGAATACTCACATATGACAAGTCAATTGAGTCCCAGAAGGTCAAGCGATGTCCCTCAGGCACCAACATCAATACCCACTTGCAAGTGTCTTGAGTTGACTTCTCTATCATTTGGGATGATGCTAATCGCCCTAACAAACCACAACCTTTTAGTGGCCAGCACAATAGAAGTTTATTTTGTGCTCACACATGAGATTGGTGTGGGTGTTTGTGTCTGGCCTGCCTCCACTTGGTGATTCAGGGATTCAGGCTCCTTCCACCTGGTGACCCTGCTCTCCTCTGCCCAGTTGGTGGGTAGGAGGAGACCCTGGAGAAGGTGCACCAGCTTCTTAACCACTACTTACATGTCACTGGAAGCAACTGGTCACATGGACACACCTAGATGGGAAGGAGCCTGGGCAACAGAGTCCCTGTCTGGGCAGTGGCTTCTCGATGACAGCTCTCCACATTGGAAAAAAGAGCTCACATTTTGGAAAACATGCCTCTGCCACGACACCTCATCCAATTCTATTCTGCTGTATCACAGACAGTTGAGGCAGGAAGATTCAGCATCTGGTCCTTCTTCCTAGTAAAGTTAAAGCGCCACAGGTTGCACATTAATTGACTTGGAGATTTGGAACAAACTCTGTACAGACTTCACTGCAGGCACCATGGAAGGTTTCAGGGCACTCTCTGACAAGCAAGATTCACTCCTGCTCTCCACAAATGATCTTTAGCCTGTGTCCTGGAAGCCCCGACCTGTGTCTCTCCTTTGTGTCACATTTTATGTTACCCGGTTTTCGCTTTTTAGAATTTTACATGAGGATAATAATGAAGTGCATGCTTCCCACATCTGCTTCACCTCTGCGCGCCTTGGGCCCAAATATTTCAAGGCTGGGATCATTACTTTGGATAGGAGAAGTGTAACTTGGATGAATACGACAAATACAAAACTCACTATAATTTGCAGAGAGAGGGAAAGGGGAGGGAAAAAAATAAGCATTAACTTTGGGAACAGGCCAGATGCGGTGGCTCACACCTGTAATCCCAGCACTTTGGGAGGCTGAGGCGGGCAGATCACCTGAGGTCAGGAGTTCGAGACAAGCCTGGCCAACATGGTGAAACCCGATCTCTACTAAAAATACAAAAATTAGCTGGGTGCCCTGGTGCGTGCCTGTAGTCCCAGCTACTCAGGAGTCTGAGGCAGAAGAATTGCTTAAACCCAGGAGGTGGAGGTTGTAGTGAGCTGAGATCACACCACTGCACTCCAGCCTGAGTGAAAGAGTGAGACTCCATCTCAAACAACAACAACAACAACAAAACCTTGGGAACAAAGACAGACACACATGCATGTCCAGCTGAAGCAAGCTGAGGGGAAAGCATCATTGTGTTAAAAAAAAATAGAGGCATTTTGTATTCCACAGTCAATATGCAGGACTTATAGCCACTCATTGGATCAAAGCACAGACTAGTTTGGGAAAATTCTAAAATCTGTGCCAAAGAGAGAGAGAGAAAGAGAGAGAAAGAGTACTTTTAAGTTACCTACTAATATCTTAGAGTTCCTAAATTTTAGAGCTGGTTGGAAACTCAGAGATTCTCTCAACCATTGGTCTCATGTTACAGTGAGGATACTGAGTCAGAACTTTGCCATCTCTGCTTCTAAAACTCTCTCTTCTAGCCTTTCCCACTAGGCTGCCAGATCTGTCTTTCTAAATTAGTAAATATTAATATCTGACAAAGTTGCTTCCCCATCTGAAATCTTTCCAACTGCCATCACCCACCAGAAAAAAAAGCTGATGATTGTCCACCAACTCAACCCTGTTCCTGTCCCCCGCTGGCTTTTCCTCATGCCGCCCTGCTGAACTGCCTCTGGCTGTCCTCATCCACCCACCACAGTGGCTCACACCCACAGGAAGGTCTCTTTGCTTGGTACTTTCCTTATTTCTACTTTTCCTTTGCCTGCTCCAGCAAACAGAAGACATTCTCTTCTCTGGATTCCTGCAATGCCTCTTGTCTAACCCTAGCCCAGTGCTTACCATAGGGTACCAGAAAATAGCTGTGATGAGTGTGTGTGAGATGGTTTACCCCTCTAAGGCTTTCAGGCTGCCTGATACTCTCTTCACATGATGATCCCCTCACTAGACTGTGGGATCTGGAAGGCAAAGGCTGTGTTTCATTGGTTTATTGTCAATCTATTCCCAGGGTCTGATGTAATGGATGCTCTGTAGTAGGCGGTGCAAAAACCACTTGTGCACCTGTTGACTATGGTCAGGCTAAGGTGACATTCTTGCTAAGCCCCTTGAATTTCCTTTGCATGGATATCTGCATGGCTGGCTCCCTTACCACTTTGGGGTTTGAAATGCTACCCACCAGAATGGGCTTTCTTGACCTCATAATCCAAGATAACATCCATCACTCTCTATTCCCTTATCCCGTTTTGCTTTCCTTATAGCATTATTATTATTATTATTATTATTATTATTATTATTATTGCCATCTGATTATTGCATTTCCTTGTTTACTTATCACCTATCTTGCCATCATTGGACATAAGTGTCACAGGAGTGGCCCCTGTTTGTTTTCTTCACTGTTAAATCTTTTATGCCTAGAACAGTGCCTGGCACATAGTAAGTGGGTCAAGTGTTTTTGGATGAATCATACAACCAATAGGTGTTTTATTCCATTACCCTTTCCCCTTTCCCAGACAGACCTCATGGTTTTTCTTTAAAAGAGAGAGAGAGAGAGAGAGAGAGAGAGAGAGAGAGAAACTAGACTAAAATCTTTCTCAAAAACACAAAAGTCTTAGAAATAGAAAAACAAGAAACAGTTAAAAATAAACAATTAAACCAAAACCTCCCCAACCTGCAGTGATTCATCAGACTACAGTCAACATGCATCCTTTGAAATCTTACTCAAGACACACGTGCTGCAAAAAGCAACAAGGAAGAAACGGCAGATTTCTCTGTTTTATTTTTATATACCAACTTGCTAGTTAACAGTGGGAGCAATCAATAAACTTTAATAGAATGCTATTACTTTAGGGTTGTAGTAAACTGAAGAATAAAGAATAATAGCTTTTCAACCTTTTATCAGTCCGGGGAGATAATTTAATATGCACAGAAAATGCATTATAATAATTTTTATAACTATGCAGTCCAGACCTCTCTAAAGATTTTCCAGGAACTAAGCAATGTGCAAAGAATCCAACCCGAATATATAGTACAAAAAATGTGGCTACAATAAGTGAGGGAAGCCCATGCTAATTCTATATTTTTTAAAGAAAACCCTGGATGTTTATACTAAAAATGCCACTGGGCTCTAAACTGGCATGAGACACTCATTGCTGTTTTGTTTTGTGTGTTGTGTTTTTTTAACCAGTCTTCCCTTAATGAAGTGGACTGATCATTCCCATTTGGAATCATTCAGACTGTAGACAAATATGCTAAAGCTTTAAGTATATAATTTTTAACCTCTTAGAAAGGTTGAATGATGTGTTATGAAACTATTACTGTGCACAGTTCAAATTCAATGCATCACAAAGGAGCTCCATTAATCCTAATTTAACACGCATCTGCTCACAATTTGGTAGAGGAAATAGGCCAAGAAGTGAAGAAACAGCCCGTGATCATGCACACAAAAAAAGCTTTTCGTCCATGTCCAGGGACCTGGGCAATTGCTTGACTCTCTTAGAACTCTGAACCTGCAGGAATATTGCAGGAACATCTTGTCTTTTGCCTCTTCCTACTGACCTTCCCTGGTCAATTCTCCACTCTGCTGAGTGATTGTTCCATGCTGCAAACCAAATCTACTTTATACCTGTGACCATCTGAGGTCCACAGCAGTAAGTCCAAGGTTAAGTGCCCCAGATAGCAGGCTGGGACTAGCGTGAGGAAAGCAAGCCACTCATCCTGGGTGCAAAATTGAAGACAATACTGAACAACTCGGTCATCAAGGTAAATAATATTTGAATGCTCTTTAAAAAATTCAAAGTTAATGCAAAAAAATCTGTCATGCACAAAAATCCATCGTGCACAAAAGATCAAAATTTTAAATAAATATGGGATCAGAAAAGCTCAGCTATATTGGAGCCCAAGGCAAAGGGAAAAACAAGTGAGACTGAGCCTGTCTTTGTTTAAAATTTTGATCTTTTGTTCACTGTGGATTTTTTGCATTAACTTTGATTTTTTTTAGTGCATTCAAACATTAATCTTGGTTACAGTGTTTTGATGCCCCCTCAAATTCTGCACCCAAGGCAAATGTCTCATCCGCCTCATCATAGTTCTAGACCTGCCAAATGGAATTAGAACCTTCTGCCTCTGCAGTCATATAGTCCTTTGTTCGTTTTGTCCTATGGCACCAGCCGAATTGGATTGCAGGTGCATGTCTCCACCCTTACCCTGGGAGGACAGGACTATTATCTCATTTGCTTGCATCTTCCCACAAGACATCCTCAACAAGTATGAATCATGTTGATTCAAACATGTAGAGTGCAGAGGAGGGATTCAAAGTTTTATCCCAGCCTCATCCCAGCCACTTCTTCTTCTGACCTACTTCCCACTCTCGTTCCCAGCCTCACTGGACTTTTCAGTGTTTCTTGATTTTTCCTAGTGGCAGACTCTTATGTTCTCTTTCTTCTGTTTTCTCACTTTGGAATTCCTTCCCCTTTCTCTCTTGCCATGTATGTGGGTGAAAGCCTGAGGGCTGGTGACAGGTGGCCTGGGGGAGCTCCCCGATTCACTCAGCTTCTGTGTGCCTCAGTTCCCTCACCTGTAAAACGGAGCAAGAACAGTGTCTATCTATGTGGTAGGACTTCTGAGAGTTAAATAAATGAATGTATGTAAAACCTTTAGCACAAAGCTGATGGGCGATAAGTTATAGGAACTAACCAGGTATGATGCAGTAGCTGGGACTAGAACTAGAGGCTGTTTCCACACCTTGGTCTGAAGGGCAAGAGAAGGGAGCACTTTCCCAGACCCAGACAGAGTGCTGTGTGGGGAAGACTGTAGCCGCATATCCAACCCACGGCGTTCTACGGAAGAAGTTCGTTCCCGTCCTTGCCCTGCTTTTGCTCTCACGTCTCTTGCTGTGCCCCCTTAACTAGATCTGGGACCAGGGGCAAGGGTCCTCACACAGGCAATCCGCAGAGGTTAGACTAAGGGGCTCAGTGCTGGGTAAAAAGGGCTGGCCCGTGGATTTGGGGTGGAGGAGGGCAAGAGGAAGAGAGGCAGTCCAGTCGCCTTGCCAGGGAGTCATCAAACATTGTTCCATTAGGTTGATGCAAAAGTAATTGCGAGTTTTGCCATTAAAAGTATTAATAAATGAGACAAAGTAAGTAAGGGGCAATGACTTCGTCTCCTGTATGGCGATCCCAAAAGAACCCGACTTCCTGTGGAGTAGAAACTTCTTTCCATCCCGCCAAGCACTCGCTGGGCCTCTCCACTGGGCAGAGAGGCTGGGGAAAATGTCTGTGGTGCCCTGATTGGTCTGGGGGGACCAATCAGGTCTTGTTTTTCTTGAGAGGAAACTTGTTCCCGGGGGCAGGTTTCCCCAAGCCCTGTCAGCTCTGATGATAAGAGGCTTGTGCGTGCTACTGAATTAGTCTGTGCCTGTCCAACCACCTTTAGCGCACATTAATCACACCCTTTTACTCAAAACAGTACAACTCTGATCTAAACCAATTAAGCCTGTGTTGTTTAGACAAAGAGATTAATATAGCTCCAAAAAGCATAACCTTTGGCCATAGAGGTGTCTTAAGATAATGAGTTTGATTCAGTAAGTTGGCTTTGGGGAAAGGTATATTTTAGAAGAAGATATCTATTTGTAGATTCTAAATCAGCAGGAAAAGAAATGCACCCAGACAAACAAGTCCTAGTTGTACATATGCAGGTATAAAGGAGGTTAAGGGAGTGCGATTTAGAGCTGATGGTTTGGAAATGCAGATCTTTTCTCCCTTGGAAAATCCAGCTGACTCTGACAAAGGAACAAAATACAAAATAAAATCAAGCAAAGGCAATTACAGCTATCGCACAAGTCTAAACTAGATGTTTTATGAAAAGTGTTGCTCAAGGTATAATCCTTTCTGCTCTTAGGGGAATCGAGGAGTGACTTCATGGAGGATATCTAGGAAGAGAGAAGCCACGGCAGTGTGGTGTAATGCAAGGAGCACTGGATAGGAGTACTTTCTGCTAGGTGGTGTTTTTGTTTAATGCTTGAGTGCTCCTATGGGCTACCCATTATGCTGGGTGCTGAGGATGGACTGATGAGTGGATTGTGGTCCCTGCTTTCAAGCAGCTGGCTGTCTCCTGGAGGACAGGAACTCATCAAAAAAATGTCACTGCCTTAGTGAGGCTATGGGCAAGCTGAGCACAGGTGCCTGGGAGCTGAAGGTCAAGACACTAAGTCCACCCCGGGGGACTTCAGCCAAAGCTTCTGAGAACGAGTCAGCTCTGAGCTGAGTCTTAAAAGATACAGAGAAGGTCTTGTGGCAGGAAGGTGTAGAAAGGAATTTTAGGCAGAAAGAGAGTGAGCAAAGGTATGAAACAGCAAGCTGTGAGAGAAATGTCTTAGCCACTCCTCTGAACTCCCAGAGCATAAACTTTGAGATTAGGAATGGTTGAGGACCATGGTCCCTAAATTAAGGTGCTTGGAGACTGTTGTTCAAACCATGAAAATAGGAAGGACTGTAAGCACAGGGCATGGTCAGCATTCTTTCTGAAATCACTGTGGTTACCACCAATTGACAGTGAAGGCCTGGTTACTTCACTTATCAAACTTCAGATTTCTCATCTGAAATGGTTGCGTTGGTTACCCGGGTCTGTGAAAGTCCTTTTCAGCCTATACTAATAATGTTTTTTTATTCTGTGTTTTTCATATTTTGCTATCTCGGATACTTACTGACTCTGGAGAGACTGCCCCTCCTAGGGTTAGTTAAGTCCTAGAGATAGCAAGTAAGTTACCCGTGGAGCAGGCTTTTCATGTGCAAACCAACCAATCGGAGCTCACACTCCCAACCACCTCCTTTATTCAGCGCTTACACTCCTGGTCACTGTTCTCCTGCCCTAATCATCTGGGTGGGTACTAAATAACTAAGGGTAGCCTCCATGCCCCACAGCCCACTTTATTCAAACAAGCCACTTCTAAACCTGTCTAGCCTACCCTGCCATTCTTCCAGAGAACACCACAGTAAAGATTCTTGCCTGTGTTCTCTCCCACCCCTCCTTCCGCCTCCTGACCAGCCCCTGGCTTCCTCTTGGGCCCCCCAACCATGGTGTGGTACCTCCCTTCCTCTTGCGGTCTGTGAGTATAGCAAGCTACCTTTCAACAACAATCATCTCCTGATCTGCTGACCGCGTATATAAATAAGAATAAAACCTGTATGTTCAAACACAGCAGTATTCCTGAATCACAAACGGGGCCCCAGGCTAGGCAAGTGGGGCTGAAATACACCCTTTGGCCAAAACCTGGACTGTGTGTGTCAGCCCAGGAGTGTGTGTTTTTTCAGTTTGCACAAAGGTGCCCTGCAGGCTCGCGTGGCCCCGGGGCAAGTTGTTTCACCTCTTTGAATCTCGGTGTTCTCATTTGCAAAATGGAGCATTGGTCTAAATGTGGAACGTGTTTTCCAGATTTTAGATTCTCTAACCTTCCTTGCTGTGGGACCTTAGACAAATCTGTTCTCCAAGTTCCCCATCTATCAAGCGGGTATAATTTTCCCTATTTCCATCCTTCCTTGTCCTGCAGACACTGAGTGGGAGAAGCTATCTGAAGCTGCTTTGTAAACTATAAAGTCCTGTACCAAGAGGGGTCTGCTATTAGTGGTATTGTTGGGTATGAGCCTGTCCCTGGCTGTAGGTGGGTGAGGCTTTCAGGGCAGTGGTATATGATTTAGCAAATTATCTCTTCAGTGTGCTACAGAGTCCGCCAGGAGTTTGCTCACTGCAGGATGAGGGAACAATAAGGCCTCGCTGTATTCAATAACAGTGGTTTAATTATCATGATTATCTCACATTTGTATAAAGTCTTTGCTTTCAGGATCTCAAAGTACTTTACAAACATTAAGCCTCTTGGTCCCCCCAGGGGAGATACTAAATTGATACATGAGCTTGCAGGTCTCTCCTCTTCCTGGCTCAAATGTGGTTTTCTCCCATCCAGGTGAGGATGAAACAGAATCTCACATCCACTGTGCAATGTTCAACATCAGATGTTTAGGGTGTATGTATAATGGGCCACGCTGAAAAATATTGAGAATGGGAATAGCCACCATTTATTGAGAGACAATTACATACAAGACCAGACCCCAGACCTGCATTAGATTGTGTCATGACAGTAATTACCCCCTCACTGTACAGATGAGGAAACTGCAGTTCAGAGAAGTTGAGTTGCATACCCAAGGTCACACAGCCAGGGAAACTAGACACATGTAGGCGCGACTTGGATACAGATCTGTAGGTCTCTCTGAGACCGAAATCACCACTCTGCACCATACTTAGCTGCCCTCCAGGGCACTGCTTGCTTTGAGTCAATGCCCTTTATTTTGCACTCGTGGAATGTGACTGTGTTTCTCTCACCTTGGCCTTGAGATTCAGCTGAATAGAGTAGGAGGAGGTGACCTTTTCAAGAGGCGGCAGTGAGCAACTCTGTGCTGACTCACCCAGGAGAGCCAGAGACACACCTCTGCCCAACCTCTGCTGCCGATGTTCCAGTTACTATCGGTGTGTACAAGTCATCCCTCACATTAGTCAGATTGCACTGCTATGACAAAACACTATGGACTGGTGGCTTATAAAAAACAGATATTTATTTCTCATAGTTGTGGAGGCTGGAAATTCAAGATCAAGGTGCCAGCATGGGCCAGTTCTAGTGAGGGCTCTCCTTTGGTGTGCGGACTGCCGTCTTCTCATTATAGTCTCACATGTGGGAAAGAGGGCTACAGAGCTCTCCAGGGTCCCTTTATTCAGGGCACTGATCTCATTCATGCGGCTCCATGCTCTTGACCTAATCATTTCCTAAAGGCCCCACTTTCAAATACCAACACCTTGGGGGTTGGAATTTCAATACATGAATTTTGAGGGGGACACTTTCAGCCCATTGGACCTTTAAACTTAGCAGTTTACAGCCACCATTTTATGATGTTCACACATTCTGTTGGTTAAGAATTTGGAAAAGGAGACCAGCTAGGCCAATCTCCCATGGCACAGGATCTCTGAGGCCTCAGCCAGGGAGACTCAAGCAGCAGTGGTGACTCAAAGGCCCAGGTCTGGAATCATCTGGTAGCATCTTCATTCACATCCCTGGTACCTGGGGTTGTTGATGAGATAACATACACACAGCCTCTTCATGTGGCCTGGGCTTCCTCACAGCGTGGCTGCCTAAGGATATTGAGGCTTCTCACATGGCCACTCTGGGCTCCAAGCATGACTGTTCTATAGTGAACAAAGTGGAAGCAATGTGTTTGCTATTATGTTTGTTTGTTCTTGAAGTCACACATGGTCACATCTGTTGTCTTCTATTAGCTACAGTGAATCACTCAGATCAGCCTAGACTATAAGGTTGGTGCAAAAGTAGTGGCAAAACCATAATTATTTTTGCACCAACCTAATAGACTATCTGGATGCCCACAAGACTGCACTCCCTTCAAATGCTGTGGGAGAAGAGTCCTCCCCAATGTCTTCCAGCTTCTGGTGGTTCCAGGCATTCCTTGGCTTGGACACATATTCATTTATTTATGTGTCTCACTGGATTATGAGTCCTGGAGAACAGGGAATATGTCTAATACATGTTTGAATTTCCAGAACCCAATTGTAGATCTAGCACCATAGAGGGTGGCCAGTAAAGATTTGAAGCATAAATGAGTCAATGAATGCATGGGTGAATGAATGTATAATGTGGGATGATCTCTCTTCATGGGCAGCCAAGTTGCTAATCATTTGGACTCCTTTCTACATGAGTGGAGTTTTCTTGTCCTTTGTTTTGGAGGAAATGAACCTTATTTGTGATTTGTATTTTGATAGCCTAATAAGGATTTTCTCAATTGCTGGAGGGCTGTAGGCGTTGATGAGCTCACAGGTGTCTTTTAGCACTAACATTATGTATTTTCTTTTTGCTATTTGACCCTGTGATCTGCTTCCAAGACTAATGGGTTGCTTTTTGGATTAACTGTATTAATCGATGTGCTGTAGAGATGTGATTGCTGTAAGCACCTTTCATCGGGAGGAAGGTGAATGAAGAACTCGGGCCTTTGGAAAATACATCCATGTGGCCTGTGTGCTGGGTCATGTAACATGTGTGTTTGCATAGATTGCATCTTCATAAACATCCCTTTTATGCCATCATGGTTTAAGTTAAAAAAGAATTTCATTGGCAAAGTGATTAGCTGCAGGGGGCAAAAATCATTCCAGTGAATACTGTTTTTCCCTTTGATACATCTCCAAATTGATGTTTCCATCTCATTGTTTTTGTATTTGTTTTTTAACTTTATCTAAAGATTTTTTTAAAATGAGAATTATTTAACAAAAGGCAAACTCTCACCACTTTCTTATGTAAAGCTGATGTGACAATGCAAGTGTCAACAAGAGGGCAAGATCCGTCTCAGGGAAATCTTGAAACCTCTAAGTGGAATTTGCATAAAATAGTTCTGGTATTATTATTCACTATTCTTTCCCTGACAGATATGTCAAGGCCTTGAAACCTAAAAGAACAATTATGCTATTGTATCTCTCAGAGGATTCAAGGGGTGTGTCTTTGGTGGAAAAAGTGCTATTAGAGCTTTGAAAGCCGTTAAAAGGCAACCCAAGGGACTCTTTAGCTAGTCATTTTATAAAGAATGCCTCTGCTTTAAGTGTCTTAAAGTACGTTTATTCAACTCTTACTTTCGGCTTAAAAAAACCCTGCTAATAATTAATGTCTGTACATTTTTTAAACGTTTGCATTAGCTATAAATAAAAACTTTAGATGGAGTCATCATTAAGTTTAACTATGATTCTTGTGTGATGGGACCTGTACCTTTGTCAAATGCCTTGCAACAAATTACCTGTAAGCTTTTTTTAAAAATTATTTTTTATTTAGCTAGCATAGTGGAAGCCATTGCCATAACCAATTATGGAGCAAATCAGGAACTAATCAGTAAATTCTTTCCCTGCATAAGCTGGCTTAACGTAACATGTCTGAACATTAAAAAAGAAACATTGATAAGGCATGTCTCGTTGCAGCTGGATGGGGTGCGGTAGGCAGTGATCCGACTTTAATTTCCTCTGAAACCTGCTGATTAGGTTATTCTCTGGTTCGGCTGGGTTTCCCTGGAAAAAGGCAATGCCAACTTTTGATGAGAACAGTTTTGAAATTCAAGAAAGACACAGAAAGGCACAAAATGCTTCTGTCACTTAAGGTGATAAAGCCAGTACCGAAAATGAATGAACCAGGGAAAACTTCAGTCAAAATGCTGCAAAGACGGTGCGGTCAGGGAAATTTTGATTCCAATGACCAAGAACTAATAATATTCACTGGCATGGATGAGTGCTCTGTGTTTTTAACAAGCGGTAAAGTGGTGTTCATTTTGTATACTTTAAACAATCCCAAGATGTTATTCATTTATTTTCATGGGTGTGTTCTTTCACTTCATAGTTTTTGGGAGTGAGAGGTGCCCTTGAATCCATCTACTTGGACCTACTGTTTTATGGATAAGAAAAGGAAGATTCAAGATGGGTAAACTGAGTCCAGTTATCCAGTGATGAAGGACGGAAGAGACCTGTGTAGGCTGTGAATACCCCCAATATCCATGCCTCCTCTTCCATAGTTACAGAATTCTGGCTGACGCAAGGGTAACCTTAATACTGTGCATTTTCCCACAGTCCTGTGTAGCTATGCAAAGCCATGTGCTATGGGTCCAGCCTGATAAAAGTGAAAGTGGCCTGTAAAATTCCTGGAAAACACTCCGATTTTCTCTTCCACTAGCACAGGACCAGCCACCTTGGAAATGGAGGCATATACAGAGTATAGCAACATAGAAGGAGACTGACTCCATAGGGCACCATCCCAATCCTGGCCTGCCTGCCTCCACGTAGGTGAGAGAAAAAAAGCTCTGATTGCTTAGGTCACTGTAATTTTGGGTCTAGTTCCTCGCATCCATACTTTACCTTAAACAAATGTAGTAACTACTGAAAGTGCTCCAGGCCGGGTGCAGTGGCTCATGTCTGTAATCCCAGCACTTTGGGAGGCTAAGGCGGGCAGATTACTTGAGGTCAGGAGTTTGAGGTCAGCCTGGCCAGCATGGTGAAACCCCATCTGTACTAAAAATACAAAAAAAAAAAAAAAAAATTAGCCGGGCATAGTGGCGCATGCCTGTAGTCCTAGCTACCTGGGAGGCTGAGGTAGAAGAATAGCTTGAACTTGGGAGGCGGAAGTTGCAGTGAGCAGAGATTGTGCCACTGCGCTCCAGCCTGGGCGACAGAGCAAGACTCCACCTCAAAAAAAAAAAAAAAAAAAAAAGTGCTCCTTTGGCTCCAAGAAGTGTGTTGAATGGGTTACTTCTGTCAACCTTTTCCAAGCATGGTGGCAACACAGCTAGAATCTAGTGGTCTTAAGCACCCTACTGGATGCTGTTCCCCCAATGGACAATGGTGTCATTTACTTAGGAATCTCAAGCACCCAGCAGAATCTGATACTCAGAAAGTGCTCAATCAAATTTTATAAGAGTTCAATGAATGAATAACACTATATGTAAGGATTCTAGATTGTCTCTCTGCTATACCACATGGTACCCTGGTTGTACTCGGTGGAGAAGTACAAGTTTAAGCTCGAAATTTTGTCCTGATCCCTGTCTCAATGTATTGTTTGATGACAAAATGATTCACTAAAGCCTTGTGGATTTGTCTCTTGCTTGTTCTTTTTTCTTTTTCCTTTCTGGTATTGTTGCATTTCAATATGATATAAACAGAGCATAAATCTTGGCTCTTGCCAACTGCTGTTTGGTTGGAATTGCCTGTATTGTCTTGACATTTGTTGAAGTCTTTAAATTAACAGAGGAAAGAATTGATTTTAAAAATGGCATTTGCATTAAGAGTTATAAATGGGCAATTTGGGAAGCATGAAGACAGATATGGAAAGTTATGCACAAATACTACAATTAGCATAGCAGTGGGGTCTTGACTCCATGAAATATACAGTCTTGTACATTCCTCGGGGACATATGTTATGTAGAGTATATGTGTGGCATCATTTGTATATCCAAGACTCATAGGTGAGCCAGAGGGTCACTTCCAACCTGGACAAGCTACAAAATCTCAGATTATTGGTGGATTTCAGGCCTGTTTTCCCCCCTGATGTCTTGAGTTTTCAAATACCTTTGTAATGGTTTTGGACAGACCTTATTTTTATATGGGATTAATGGCTGGCTCTTTTCAGGATCCCAGCTCAAGAAAATCTCACCGTACCCACAGGGTGAAAAGCACTGCCAGGATCCCAGAATCATTAGATCTAGAACCTGGACTATCTATCTTCAATTGCTTGGCACCTCCATTTTCTCAACTCCCTTAGCTGTTGACCTCTGTTTGTCTCTTAAAGTCACCGATGGCTTGATTCATCTCCTGGCTCAAGAGTTTCCTTGATCCTGACAACTCATGTCTTCGCTCAATTATTCATTTAACTATTGTCTACCCTCTACTCACAGGTATGGTGCAGAGTGGGAGAGAGGGAGATGAATAAGACCTAATCCCTTCCCTTAGGAGAGCTCATAGACTAGTAAGGATGCAGACAAAGAAAGAGGTGATTCCAATAAGATGGAGTGAGGCTGGCCAAGGGGAGCAAAGGAAGGCTTGGAGACCTCGTAGGAGTTAACCAGGGAAAGAGGAGATGGCCAGGGTGAAGGAAAGAGAAAGGCAAGAGATTCTGAGTAGGGCACTTTAGAAAAAGTTTTAAGACGGCATCAGAACATGCTGCAAAGTCAGAAAGGAAACTTTAGAAGGACTACAAATATGTAGTCCTTGGGTTGTATAGACTTGGGTTTCCAAATATTTAGAAAGCTGTGTCTGTTTTTAATTATTATTATTATTAGTAGTAGTGTTAGCAGTAGTAATAGTAGCATATATCCAGTATAAGAAACTCATAAGGCCTGCCGCGGTGGCTCACGTCTGTAATCCCAGCACTTTGGGAGGCTGAGGCAGGCAGATCACCTGAGGTTGGGAGTTCGAGACCAGCCTGACCAATGTGGAGAAACCCAGTCTCTACTAAAAATACAAAATTAGCCAGGCATGGTGAAGCATGCCTGTAATCCAAGCTACTTGGGAGGCTGAGGCAGGAGAATTGCTTGAACCTGGGAGGCAGAGGTTTCAGTGAGCTGAGATCGCGGCATTGCACTCCAGCCTGGGCAACAAAAGCGAAACTCTGTTTCAAAGAAAAGAAAAAAAAAAAGAAACTCATATTTTCAGAGCAGAGTCCTGATGGCTGTTCTAAGCAGACACAATATTGATCTCTGGCTATAGGTTTAACATCTGTAGGTGGATGAAGGGTGGCAAGTTCAATGATATACCCACAGGTAAACTAGTTTGTTGCTTCCTTTTTCGATCATACAATTCTAGAAACATATTCCTATTTCAAAGACATCAACAAGTTAGGATACAAATCACATGGCAATGCAAGGGCTTACTTTTCTTGATTCTTGCTACCCACAAATACTACAATATGAGAAATTCCAGTACATCTTTACCATCACGAGCATTAAAAATAATAACAATAAACACAATGAACACTTCTGTAGCTTTCCCCGCTTGCCAAGCACCATTTCAGGGATTTTATTACTCACTTAGCTTCTCTACAGCTCTGTAAGATTTAAAGCATTGTTATCCCCATTTTTCAAGGTGAGGAAACTAAGGTGGAGGCATTAAGGTCTCTTCACTGAGTTCACTCAGTAAGTGAGGGAACCAGGATTTGAACTCAGGGCTCCTGAGTCCAGAGCAAAAGCTACAATTCCCTCAGTGCTGCTGCAGAAAGATGCTCTAATCTTTTGCCTTATCCCCATTTTACAGGCTAGGACACTAAGCCCAGCAATAGTAGATAATAATCAACCTCTGGTCATGCATTTGGCAGTGCTGTAGCTAGAATGGTCCTTTTGTTCTCTCCAAAATCTAGGCTTTTTGAAATGCAAAATTCTGCATTAATATTGCAAATTACCTGGGCAGCTTTTATTTTGGGGAATGGGAGTATGTCAACAGGTGGTTGACATTTTTCACCTGAAAAATCTGGGGATTTGTCATTGTGTGGGTGTCGTCCGCCCTCTGCCATCCCTTTTCACTCTCTGACTCATCTCCAAGTCTCTCTTTCTATTCCTAGCCTCTTTCTTCTCCCCAGTTCCCCTTCACCACACGACTGTGAAGATGTCAGCCATCAGATTTGCTTCCCTTCCTGTTTTCCAATGTCTCCTTGACCCCGGAAAGCTCCCCGAAGCTCAGCCTCAGCTCACCTTCTCCTGTGACTGTCCCGCCCACTCCTGTGCCAGCAGGAGCCTGCAGAGCCCCACTCAAGCTGTCCAAGTTAAACTTTAAGCAGCACCAGTCAGACGATGAATCGTGGCATGATGGGAAACTTAAGTTATCAAAAGAACTTTTAAGTAGTCTGCAGTGCAAGCTGAAGTTGAACTTGTTGGGTGAATAAAAAGTAGCAAGGTAGACAGTACATGGGCAATGTATTGAGTCAAAGCGTTCAAAAGATAGGAGAAACCTTTAAAAAAGATTTTAGGAGTAAGATTTAGCAACCTGGGGATATGGGATAAAAAAGCAACTGCACAATTGTTGGGTAGAGATAACCCTCACTGAGTCCAGACACCTTGCTTCTAGGATAATTTCTCCTCCTACCTAATTAGGTAACCTTTGCTGATATTTCTAAATTGTATTATTTTCAGTTTCACTGACCTTAAGAAAACCCTCCTTATAAGAATATTTTAATGCACATTTTGCAGTTTTTCTTCTACTCTAAAATCTATAGATACTCAAAGTTGAAAATTTAAAATCAATTGAAAAGTAGAAAGAAGAAAGAGACCCCTCTGTAAAGACTCACCACGCATTTAATATTTTAGGCCCACCATGCATGTTGTATTTTCGTCTAATCTTCTACATGGAGTAATCTGTTGTTTGAGCTGCTTAATGCACATGAAGACATGCAATATATATAACATGCATTTGGTCCAAGGTATTGCAAACTCTTCCTACATGCAGTTTTAAGACCTCAAAGCGGTTTACCTGCAAGCTGTGACTTTTATGCTATTTCTTTTCTGTCCACTTATTCCAATAGAACTGCTTCTGCACAGCTTTCCAATTCAGGAGGAAACAGTAGCACGTCCAGAAGGTAGTTGGGGGAGCCAGTGAAGGGACAGTTCGCCATGTAAGAGATGGCAACACAGCCAGCGACTAGCAACTGTGGCGCTGCTACACCACTGGGCCCGAAGGGGTGGCAGAGCAGGCAGTAGCCAGAGTTCAAAGAAAGCTAAAACCACAGGAGGGGAGAGGGCAGTCCTGCAGGAGGAAGCCCAACGCTGCAGTCTGCGCCCGTGGAGTCCTCATGAGGACAATTTTGACTGCCTTTGTCCTGATCCCTCTCTCCACTGTGGCTCAAAACCAGCTCAAGGATTCATTAGCTATTTGGAAAGTTTATCGAAACAAAATCAAACAAAAATCAGGTTCAAAAGTGAGTACAGAGAACAGCCGTAATTCTATCTCTCCAGAGTTCTTGTCTTCCCTCCTGTTTCCTTCAAACAAGCCACTGCATTGCTCTCCCATTTTCCTTTGTAAAAATGGTATGTGGAAGAGGGTTATTGCAGCAGCGTTTAAATATGAAAACAGTTGCTGCAGACAAGGCCCTCCAGATATGCAACCTGGCGTTTCTTCAAGAGCAGATTCTACATGGAGAGGTGCAGCAGAAGCAATGATGCTCAGGACATGGCACTGGACCACTTGCCCCACGTCTGTGGGATCCTGAGTAGGAACCAGCATTTTAACAAGTTCTTCCATCTCTGAAGCTTCTCCAGCACAGCTAATCTGAAAGCCACTGAGCCAGAGGTCAAGAGAGGAGAGATCCTCTGAGACATACAAGGCAACCTCACTTGACCCCAGCAGGGTGACCAGGCATCCTGGTTCACCTAGAAAGGAGTTCCGAGATGTGGGACTTTCAGTGTTAAAACCAGGAAGGTTCCAGGCAAACCAGGAAGTAAGTGTTGGTCACCCTAACTCCAAGTTTGCTAAGTAACAAATCCACAATGTCATGTCAAGCTGTTCTGTCTTTACCGCATCTTTAGGGAACCTATGGTTAGCCTGGGTCTTGTGACCGTCACAAGAGTTAGGTGAGATGAGGTGTGAATCTCTGCATTCCAGTAGAGGAAACTGACACCTAAGGAGATTTAGGAAGTCACCTGAGGTAGGATCAACTAGGCCTAGTTTTCACCTGGGTCTGGATCTAGTCACTCAGGTGGGCTCAAACTTAACTCCAACACCACCAGCCAGTTCCCACAAGATGGTACTCTAGTGAACAAGTCTGTCTACACTGGAACAGGATTTTCTTGTGGTTTCTTTTCAACACCAGAATTTCCAAGTTCTCTGAATATGGGAGGTACTCTATAAATATTTGTTGGCTCAACAAATAGAGGAAAAACTCAATGAAGTCTCTTTCAAAATACACATAGGTGGTTATTTTTCCATATCGCTTCTCGGCTCTGCTCTAAACTCCTTGAATGTGGGATTGTGCCTGTCTATCTGCCACGGTACCTATACCTACAAGAACATCAGAGACAGCATGGTTACACAATACAGGCTTGCTGGATTTGTTGACTTGAAGGCAAAGTGCAGACTTTAGGCCAAAGGAGTTGATTTTGGCCACCTGGAACACACAACAGAAAGTGCTCTTGAGGCAATAGTCCGTGGCACTATAATAGTTTACCCTGATGGGAACTGCTTGGAGCTTAGGACAATAAAACCCTATTCTGAGGCTGGTTTTTCATGTGCAATACTGAGATGTTCTGAAGGAGGCCAGGCAGAGATTCTCACAAGGAAAAACAGTGTCCAGCTTCTTTAACTTACAATTCTTGGCCCATCTCCTGGGTGCAGCTGAGCCATTGACTCTTGGCTGCTCATGGCGGTTGGAATTCCTTGAGAACAAATCTGATTTCAGAGGAGAGAGCATTTCACAACTGATGTCCAAACATTTTCCAAACAAATTTGATCTTGTTCATTTTCCAGGAGAGGTGCTGGGGCTTCCATCACCTCTCTCCCTTTGGTCTCCATCTCTGGGGCAGAGGCCAAGCTCTCAACATCTTAGCAGAGTCGGAAACTTGAATTAATGCTATTTCTGGCTGAAAAATGATTTGGTGGCATCAAGCCCAGTTATGATGTTGAAATACAGAAGTGGATGAATACAAAACATGATGCGTAGACTTTAGAGGAGAGAGGCTGGAGTAAGGCAAGGAGACATCCCCAGCTAAACACCATGGTCTCTGTGGACAAAGCACCACCCGGCATGTTCAGAGTTGGAGAATTACTACAAATGGGACCCTCCCCAGTGTGAATGGTTCTTACCACTCTCAAAGTCAGACTACAAACAAAGCTAAAATAATGCAGAATGTTTTTTTCTGCCAGGACTGGAAAACTTGTTTTTTGCCACTAAACCAAGGGGAGTTCTGATTACATCTAGTGATAAAAAATAAAATTATATGGGTCCGGTGGCTCACACCTGTAATCTTAGCACTTTGGGAGGCTGAGGCAGGAGGATTGCTTGAGACCAGGAGTTAGAGACCAGCCTGGATAACACAGAATGATCTTGTCCTGCCAAAAATACAAAATTATACAAAAAATGTAAAAATTAACTAAGCATGATGGCTCATACCTGTAGTCCTAGCTACTCAGGAGGCTGAGGCAGGAGGATTGCTTGAGCTCAGAGTTCAAGGCTGCAGCGAGCCATGACTGCACCACTGGATACTAGCCTGGGTGACAGAAGAGACCTGACTTGGGTTTGGCTGCTGCCTGTGTCTGAATTTTTTGGGGTGAGGGAAAGCTTCCTATGGAGGTGAGCTTGCTACTAATAAGTTGGAGCTGTCTTCAGGTCCCTAGATATGGTATTGTTAAATCACATAACTACTTTTTTTTAACCTTTGCTGGGTCAAGAGCCCTTTTGAAATATAAACACAAAATTTTATCTAAAGATCTGAATTTCTGTTCCCCACATGCAGGTCTCTGAGCCTCTAGACAGAGACCTTGCTCATCTTTGAGCATCATTCACGTGGTATCAGTTTACTTCCCCATCTGTTCTTGGACCTCAGTTTCCCCACCTGTGAAATGAAGGTGTTGGACCCAATGATCTAATGTCCCACCAGCAGTGAGTAGATTCTGTGGCGGGAGGTCCATAGGTCTGTGTGTTGGAAAGGCTGAGAGTGGCTTAGGGGAATAGGACCAGACTGAGCTGGAGGGATTTTCGTCCAGAGATGCCACCTGAAGAATTTCCCCCGAAGGCTGCAGCACCAAAAATAACTTGCCTTTCTGTTCTTGTCACATGACTGAGTGAAGACTCTGGAATCACAGAAAGAAACAAAAACAAAAACAACAACAAAAAACAAAACAGTTGTAGAGCCACAGCTTGATAGCTTGATAAACGCAGGATACTCCATCTCTTGCCAACTCCGTCAGCGCTTCCTCACTGTTTGCCTCCCAGCAACACTCAAGGGCAATCATTCTCCTCTATGAAGCCGGCCGGGATCTGAGTTCTCTATGATTAAGGCATGGGCTCTCTGGGCTGCCTCCATCTGAGCAGTGGCCACCCCCAGGCTGGGCCTTGAAGCTGCCCCCATGGACACGCTCTGGCTTTGGACTTGCTCAAGTCTGGAGTCAGTTTACTCCGGGTCAAGGCTCCTTTTAGATCTGCTGCATTCAGAACAAAATGGGTCATTCCACCTTTTTTCTTGGTTTTTCCCTAGGGATGAGAGTCGTTTTACACTGGTATTTGCTTGCTTGAGAAGCATTTCATTAAAAAACAAATAAGTTGGCTGCACACATGTATACACAAATGAGTAAAACGGAGGAAATCTGAATATGGTCAGCAGGTTGTATGAACGTCTATTTCCTGGATGTGTTACGATGTTAGAGTTACGCAGGACACTGCACTGGGAAGGGCATGCTGGATCTCTTTGTATTACTGCTTACAACTGCATCCTAATCTCCAGTGATCTCCAAAGAAAAAGTTTAATTAAAAAAATAGGTGGTACTGACTATATGGTCCCAAGAACCATATTGTGTTTTTTATTAAGGTCAGGATATAAATGAATTAAATACATTTGACAAACAAGTGGAACTTGTTTGCAGGCAACTTCCACGGCAAGGTTGACTTATATAATGTATGTACTGATGTACTGGAGTTTTTTTTTTTTTTTTCGATCTGGGGGAGAATTATAACCTCTTCGATTAAATCTTATGGGCCCTTTCCCCTCACAGGTATGTGTGTGCATATGTGTGTGAGCCCATGCATGTGTGCACACACACTCACACATGCTCATACTTTCAGAGGTGGGTCATCAGTAGAGTCCACTCAAGCACCCCCATAGAAGAGAGAAGAACAGTGCAGGGGAGACCTTGGCACTCCCAATAATCTTAGTGCCCTGTCTCCAAGTGGAATAACTTGGCTTTTATTAGTTTCATATTTCAGATATTTGTTTAAGGTTTCATTTGGAAAAGGGGTTTCTCTGCTTTAAAAGCAATTTAAAATCCACTGATGCATTAGAAATAAAAGAGCAGGGGATGAGATCTGGGGGACAGGACCTGCCTTTAAGACCCCGGTTTGAGATTTACTAGCTACGTAATTTTCCTCATTAAGCGTCAGTTTCCTCCTCTCCAAATCAGTTTTGGGAGGTGAGTGGGAAGGAACTCTGCTTCACAGGTGTGCTGTGTGGATTTAGTGCCTGTTCTGCCTCCAACACAAAGTCTAGTCTGTTGTTTCATTGGCACTGGACAAAGCTTTGCTGTCAGCCAGAGGAGGTCTAGGAGGTCGGTCAACGGGCTCCACCTTTGCTTTTGTGAAATTGGCCCAACAGTTCCTGTCCTTCTTCACCAGAGGGGGAAGGAATCCATGACCGAGCCCAGACCCTCCATTCTTTCTTTCTGCTGCCAAGAAAAAAAAAAAAATGCTGACAAGCAGGGGGAAAAAATAACACTTGCAAAACTTTCCCTACTCTTGGGGAATTTACTTTGAAATTTGTGCCGGATAGAGTAATTAGTAAACTTGCTCTTAATAGTGTTGCGAAGATGTAATTTTTTCACACCTTCCCTGACTTTGACACTGCGGCTTTTGAAACTTCATTTTGCACTGTGCCTCATTGTTCTTTAATCTGCTGCACTCTGCATTGAGTATCACGGAAATTTCGCACTTACCATGTCAATAACATCTGGCAAAATTGCCACCTATTAAGAGTAAGTGTTCTTTTTTCTCCGGTGAGAAATGTGATGGTGTATTATATTGGTTTCCCTTGAGAGGCTAAGGAGACAATTTTAAAGCAGACAAATGCATTAAAGAAATAACCTGAACTCTAAGAAAAGGTTATGGAAAGTCAGAAACTTTTCCCCCCTTGTTCTTGGTTTATTTATTTATTTATTTATTTATGGGGAGGAGGGAGTACAAGCAGCTGCCTCACGAAGTGAAGGTGCTTTTTGCCTGCAACGATGCACCCCTCTGTGTCGGAATGGGTTGCGTCTGCTGTCTCCTCTGGAGCTGTATTTCCCCATCCAGCTCTAAACTAAATCGGAGCATTTCCTCACCTAAGCCCTTTGTAGGGCAGACCTGTTGGGGATGGCACCAGGTCCCTGCTCCTCTCAGCCATAGTGAGAAAGGCAATGAGAAGTGCCTTTGAGTCAGGCTCAACCACCTATTTGCAGGGTAGCATCAGGCATGTCATTGAACTTTCTTTTTTTTTTTTCTTTTATTATTATACTTTAAGTTTTAGGGTACATGTGCACATTGTGCAGGTTAGTTACATATGTATACATGTGCCATGCTGGTGTGCTGCACCCACTAACTCGTCATCTAGCATTAGGTATATCTCCCAATGTTATCCCTCCCCCCTCCTCCCACCCCACCACAGTCCCCAGAGTGTGATGTTCCCCTTCCTGTGTCCATGTGATCTCATTGTTCAATTCCCACCTATGAGTGAGAATATGCGGTGTTTGGTTTTTTGTTCTTGCAATAGTTTACTGAGAATGATGATTTCCAATTTCATCCATGTCCCTACAAAGGACATGAACTCATCATTTTTTATGGCTGCATAGTATTCCATGGTGTATATGTGCCACATTTTCTTAATCCAGTCTATCATTGTTGGACATTTGGGTTGGTTCCAAGTCTTTGCTACTGTGAATAGTGCCGCAGTAAACATACGTGTGCATGTGTCTTTATAGCTGCATGATTTATAGTCCTTTGGGTATATACCCAGTAATGGGATGGCTGGGTCAAATGGTATTTCTAGTTCTAGATCGCTGAGGATTTGCCACACTGACTTCCACAATGGTTGAACTAGTTTACAGTCCCACCAACAGTTCAGAACCTCTGTCTCCTCCTCTGGACAATGAGATCATCACAGCTGCCCTTTAGCACTGGCTTGAGGATGGGGTGTGTTTACCGGGGCCCGCAGGTGAGCAGAGCCTGGAACTGTTAGGACGCTATAGCATCGTTAACTCCCCAGTGCTTCTCTGTAGGTGTTTACCGAGAAGGCCACGTTTCCTCTCTCCATGGCTCAGCACTTGGGATTCGCAGACACCTGTGATCCATGAATTCAAATCCCCAAATTACACATCAAAACGTCCCAGTGTGACTCCAGAAGGAAGAGGATCATCCTACCTCCTCTCTCCCTAGGCCTCCGGCTCATGGCCCCATCAAGAGAGCCACCAAGCAGAACAGCCTCATGTTCTATCAGCTGCTCACTAATCACACAGAGGGAAGAAGGAGACCTTCACAAATAATGCTGCATCTCCCACTAGGAGACATTCTCTGCCACTGGCATGTTGTCACCTGCCTGGCTACTTTCTGATTCTGAGGATGGGCTGGTGTGGCATGGGCTCTGCTCCCAGCATGCTTTGAGACAGAGGCAGGCAGGTGCACTGACGTCATCCCGAGGACAGGTGAGCAGTACTGAGCACCTGGTGTATGTCAGGTCCCATTCTCAGTGTATCCACTCATGGGAATTTCATAACCACCCTTAGGAGGTAGGAAGTCCTGTTGTCCCCATTCCACAGATGGGGAAATGGAGTCACAGAACCGTTGAGAGTTTCGCCTGAGTTCTCACTAAGCAATTGCAGAGTAAAGATCACAGGCCCTGGCCTGGCATTCGAGGCTCACAGCACGGTCCCTTTCCCCTTCTGACTTGCCACCCACACCTTTCCCACGTAGGACCTATAATCAGAACAGTTTCCTGAATATTCGTGTTTTGTCCCTTTGTGTAATTTTCACATATGTGATTTCCTCTGCCTAAAATCGCTTCCTTGGCTCTGCTATCTGTCTCATTCATTCATTCATCATTCATTCATCAATTTTTTTTTTTTTTTTTGAGACAGGGTCTCACTCTGTCACCCAGGCTGGACTGCAGTAGTGCCATCTCAGCTCACTGTAGCTTCAAGCTCTGGGGCTAAAGTGGTCCTCTCACCTCAGCCTCCTAAGTAGCTGGGACCACAGGCTCATACCACCATACTTGGTTAATTTTTATTTTATTTTTTGTAGAGATGAGGTCTTGCTATGTCACCCAGGCTGGTTTCAAACTCCTGGGTTCAAGCAATCCTCCTGCCTCAGTCTCCCAAAGATCCGGGATTACAGGTGTGAGCCACCGCATGTGGCCTCATTTATTTTTATTCAGCGAAGCTGTGTAGAAAGATGTGGACAAGCAGGGATGTGTTTATTAACCTCTGTGTGTCCATTGTCCCCAGTCTCTGCACTTAACTTTTATGGAATATCGAATTCAGTGACATAAACCAAACTTCTGTTAAGGTCCTAGGACTCAATAAATTCAGAAGTCACAATTTGGCAGCCCATGAGCCTCAAATGCACCACAGATATGTATTGGTGAGCCCTCATAGGATGTTTAAATATTTGAATAGGGTGCAGACATATACAGATTTGGAGATTTTATAAGACAAACCTAGAGTTTGAACTTCTACTGAATACATTGAGGGCTGTGGCAACCCAGAGCCTGCATTTGTACATGGAAACTCTTGGCCCTGTTATATACAGCAGGCAGTCTGCACACAGTCCCCAGCCCTCCCTGGTGTCTTGCACTTGTCTTTGTTTTTTTTTTTTTTTTTTTTTTTTTTTTTTACTTATCTAAGATAACAGTTTGGCCCTTGAAGGAGGTGTTTGAGTTTACAGCCATTGCAAAGAGTTACTTTAAATCCTCTAAGCAATCCTTTCCTTATACATGATAACATGTTGAACATACCTGCCTGGAGCCAGGTCTGTGCCAAATGCCAGGGATGCAGAAACAAATGAGCACAATGTTTGTCTTAGATGGCATCTCCTCCAGGCAGCCTTCCCTGATACACCTTACTAGATTGGCGGCCCAGGCCAGATCCTCCTCAGAACCCCAGCTTACCTACCCTAACAATGATCACTGTTAAAATTAAAATTAAAATTGCCAGTGTATGAGTCTGATCCACACGGTAGACTGCGCAGTCTTTAATCACGGCAGCTGTGTCTTATTTATCTTTGAATTTCCAGCCTCATACACAGGACCTGATAGAGAGGTGGTTTCTGGTCCTGTTTATCTCAGAAATGGATGCAGGAACGGATGAATAAAACTGAACCTACTGGACCCTCGACCATGCATCTCTGAACCAAAAGACTAATCGAGTAACGCTGTAAGTGGCTGCTCTAAAATTCCAGTTCCCACTTGAAAACCATCAATATTTAGATGACTGTATTTTCTTTCCAAATGCCCGCAATATTTTATGTCCTGATAATATTTACGGTTGTCCTCAGAGATAACTAATTGGATTTGCCATCCAGCCCACAGGGAAAACGTATGGGGAATTGTCCCTCATTACTCACCTCAGAAGGTGGTAGCTCACTCCCCAAACTTATATCACTGTGATTTGGGGAAGACTGAAATGGTGCGGGAAGGAATAATGTCCCTGCTGTCACCCTGGTCTTTCCTTTGCATTTACCACTTGGACAGAGCCATTTGCATCTGAATTGAACCTGCATTAAAATTTCAAGTTTATGTACTGCTGATGATAAACAAAGAGGTTCCAGAAACAGCCCTTAAGCTGTGGAAGCTCATCCCCCTTGTTTCCTGCGGGACACCCTCCTCAGTGACCCCAGCTCAGAGGTGACCCATCTCTTGTGCTCCCAAAGCCAACTGTACATTCTTCATGGCACCATTTCATTTAAAATGAAAGCCAGGAGCAAGAACAGCGTTTCATGAGATGCAAATATAGAATTAATGTGCTCTCTTCACTCCTTTCTCTTTGTGTTGTCTTCCCTTCCATCCTGAATTTTCATCCTTGTTCATTTACCTTCCTAGAATTTTTCTAAGCTTCTAAGTTTTTTCCTCTTTCTCTTTAGGGAAATAAATAAAATGTAATGCATTACATTGAAGTGGTTCTTTTATTCTGTCTCTTCCACTGAACTTCATGTCTCTGAGAGTATGGATTGTGTCAAAGTTTACTTACATTTTCCCAGTGTCTAGCATGGTGTGACACTGTGATCAACAAAAGAGGAAAGAAAGAAAGAAAGGAAGAAAGAAAGAAAGAAAGAAAGAAAAAGAGCGAGAGAGAAAGAAAGAGAGAGAGAGGAAGGAAGAAAGGAAGGAAGGAAGGAAGGAGTGAATGATAGAAATCTGACTTTGCCATTGATCAAGGTCTCTGTACAAGCCAAAGATTGCTCCAGTCTTACTGCATCTATTATTTCATTTAATCATTACAACTCTATGTATATAGCAGGCATTGTTATGGTTGTTATTATTATTTCTACTATTACTTTTGTTATTTTTATGGGTAAGGAAACTGAAGTGCAGTGAAGTTAGATGACTTTCCCAAGGTCAATAAATCGTGGAGACAAGATGAAACCGTGGATGCCCAACTCCAGAGCACACACACACAAATCAATGCTCACTACAGAAATGTTAGGAACTCATCCTTTGTGTGAGTGTATGTGTGTGTGTGTATGTCTAATGTAATTGGTTGTAATTTGAACGTTGTAAACCCAGGAGATGGGATTATCTCTGACTCCAAAATCAGATATATTCTGCATCCACTCACTTTGATGTCACCAAGTGTAGTGGACATGCTATCAGGTCTGGGACTGACCAAACCCAGGGCATTCTAATGCAGGGGCCTTGTGGATGTGGCTCACTGAGCTCCAGGACCCACATTTTTCTGACACCTTTTTCTCAGGTGTTCCATGTCCTCTCTGCCTGTTGACCTTTTTCCCTGAACTCCTGCAAAGATCTATTGGGGCTGGAGTTTGGTCTCTGGGGGCAGGCTGGGTATTCCCACAGCCTAGAAATTCATGTGGTCAGACTCCCATGGGAGAAGATGAAGGAAAAAAAAAACAACAACAAAATTTATTCACATATGAAGATGGAAGTACCCTTTGACCACCAAAATAAAACTCTCACAAACAACGGTTGGCAAGGTGAAAGCATGGTTCTGCCTATCTTTAGATATTGAGGATTATGAAACGCAGAATTCTAAGATGTATCTCCAGATTCCTGTCCTCCTGGCATACACACACACCCTATAAACTTCCTTCCTCTTGAATGGGACAGAGCCTGTGAATACAATGAATGCTGCTTCACTGAGGAGGTTACACTGCTAGATGAAGGAATTTTACAGGCGTAATTAACGTTCTCAATCAGTTGACTTAAGGTCAGTCAAAAGGGAGATGGTCCTAAGTACACCTTACATGATCTTGTGAGTTTTTAAAAACAGAGATTCTCCTGCTGCCCTGGAGGAATCTTCTTGCCATTTTGTGATGGATCTATGGATGAGAGCAGGGGACAAGGACATGAGCAGAACCCCACAACCACAAGGAACTGAATTCTGTCAACAACCAATGAGTTTGGAAGAGAAATCTGAGCCTTAGATGAGATCACAGTTCTGCCTAACAACTGCACCTTGATTTTAGCTTGGCAAGACCAAGAAAAGGACCCATCAAGCTGATAGCAGACTGCTCACTGAGGGAGACTGTGAGTAATTAATTAAATTGTATTGTTTTAAGCTGGTAAATTTGTGGCAATTTGTTGCGTAGCAATAAAAAAGAAATTGAGATACTATGGTCTGAATGTTGGTGTCTGTACCAGTCTGTTTTCACACTGCTATAAGGAACAACCTGAGACTGGGTAATTTATAAGGAAAGAGGTTTAATTGACTCACAGTTCCACATAGCTGGGGAGGCCTCAGGAAACTTACAATCATGGTGGAAGATGAAGGGGAAGCAAGGCACATCTTACATGGCAGCAGGAGAGAGAGAGAGAGGTGGGGGAGGACTGCCAAACACTTTAAAACCATCAGATCTTGTGAGGACACACTATCATGAGAACAGCATGGGGGAACCCCCCACCGCCATGATTCAACCACCTCCCACCAGGTCCCTCCCCTGAAACATGGGGATTATAATTCGAGGTGAGATGTGGGTGGAGACACAGACCCAAATCATATCAGTGTCCCCTCAAAATTTATATATTTGAACCCATTATCCAGCATGATGGTATTAAGAGTTGGGGGTATTTGGGAAATGATTAAGTCATGAGGGCTCCACTCTCACGAATGGGATTAGTGCTCTAATAAAAGAGGCTGGAGAGGGCCCCTTACCTCTGTCTCTCATGTAAGGACACAGTGCTTACTCCCCTCTCTTCTAACATGTGAGATTGAAGGCACAGTCTCTGAAGCAGAGTGCAATCCCTCACCAGACACTGAATCTTCTGATGCCTTGGTCTTAGACTTTCCAGTGTCCAGAACCATGAACAATAAATTTATGCCATTTATAGATTATGCAGTCTAAAGTATTTTGTTGTAGTAGCCCAAATGGACTAAGAAATCAGGGATGTATCAGTTTAGTTGTTGCAACAACGATGCTGTGTAACAAGCAACCACAAAATCTTATGGTTTACAACAATAAACATTTACTGCTCATGCATCTGTGGCTCATTTAGGAATCAGCTGGGTGGCACTGCTTCTCATCACAGATCTGGGTTGGCTGGGACAGCCCCAGTCCTCTCCTCCAGGCCATGCATGTTCTTCTCTTGGTAGTGGCAAAAGAGCCAAGAAACAAGCAGAAATACAGGAAGCTTCTTGGGCCTAGGCTCAGAACTGGCATGCTGTCACTTTTGCCCATACAATGTCAGCCAAAGTAAATCTGGTGGCCAAGACCAAAGTCAAGTCCATTCTACCCTTGAGGAGGTAGGTCATGGGACAGGCGTGGAAGCAGGAAACAGTGAAGAATTTAAGCCAATAATGCCATCTAGCAGAACAAAGGAATGACAACAGTGGCAGGCATATTTATTGGTGATGATAAACAGGACCCATGGCCCCCAGACCTGTCATCTCAAACAGCAAGCATGATGGAAAGTTCATTTTGCTAGGACAGGATTCAGTTAACACCAGTGCAATTCATTTATAAGACACCTTCTTCCACCTCCTCAACAATCCAATTCTAATTTACAATTGAAGGCAGGAATTTGACTTTTAAGGAACATATGTGCCACACCTTCTGCCTGATTTCCATAAGGGTCCTTTGTGCTGAAGAAGCCCTAAGGTGGTCCTGGGAGATGCCACACCTTCTGCCTGATTTCCATAAGGGTTCTTTGTGCTGAAGAAGCCCTAAGGTGGTCCAGGGAGATGCCACAAAGATGCCCCATCCAGAGACAGTGAGGGCATTGGCTGCTCTTCAAAGTCAAGGAGGCCACATGTGAGTGTTTATTCTGATGTCATTGGATGAGAACAGGCAGGTCCAGGGTGGTACATCCAAATGGTATCTTTATTGAAGCAGGATTGAATTCATTTATTCACAGAAACACTTATTGAACACATAGTAAGCACAGGGCAGTGTAGTGGACCCTAGGTGTGGAAGTGCAAATAAAATATTGTGGGGGTCCTTGAGGGATCACATTCTGAGGAGGAAGATGGTCTTCGAAAATAATCAGTTACCACGCAGAGTAGTATACACGAGAGAACTCTGTGCTGGGTCAACTCAAAGACGGAAGGATGGGATGGTCAGGAAAGGTTTCATGGAGAGACACAAGGGGTCTTGGTCTTGAAAGAAGAATAGTCTCTAGGAGGGGAGGTTGAGGAGAGTGGGTCTTGATTAGCAGAGAGAACAATGTCTACAGACGTTCTTTGTATTTTGGAGATCACAGGCTCCCCAGAGAATCTGTTGAAAACTCTAGATTCTCTTCTAGGATCCATGCCTATGAACATCAGTGTTTGCCTACAGTTTCAGAGTTTCTCAAGTTGTCAACAAGCTTGTTCTCTTCTGAGAGGCCCTTAAAGTTTCTATTCACTCCACCTTCTTCTCAGGAGAGCCTTGTCTCTAGCCTGGGAGCCCCTGGCAAGATCCTGGGACCACCGCGCCCAGAGCTTCCTTTCATCCAGAAGAGTCAGCATCATGCCATCTCCTGATTGGCTGTGGTTTACCTACACCTGAGGGGATGCTGGCTCCAGTGCCAGGTATTTCTAGGAGCTCTGAAGGGTGAGGCAGGGTGTGCTCCGGAGTGTCTCTGCCGAGGCATGTCAGTCAGTGAGATGTGGGGGTGGCAGCCTCCTCCACAAACGCTATGTCACCTCCTGAGGGACACGGGGTTGACTCTCCACGCACTAGCTCAGGGGAGTACACCATTCTGTCAGTCAAAGGTGCCTTCATTTGTATCCTGCGATTATTTTTCTCTTAATTTGTCTTAGTTCCTCTCTCTCTGTCTGACTGCTGATCGTTCAGTTTCTGCCAAGCAGGAGAGAAGAGCCTGAAATGAACCCAGAACTTCTGCAATGTAAGGCAGGAATATAATTTAACAGGTCTCTGAAGAATCCTGACAGCAGGCCTAGTACTGAGCTATGCTCCATGAAATGTATGAGAGGCGAGTTTCCTGGATTGCAGTGCTGACCTAGGTCTGCTCTGGAATTGTCGCTGGCTCCCCTGTACCACATGGAACACGTTTGGTCATGGCAATTTTTTAGTCTCTGTAGTACAGAAGAGATCAGGCTCACTATTAACAAAAACAACAGCAGCAAAGAATTTTTAAAGGCTGGGGAAGGTAAGAGTGAAAGGAAGAAGAAGAGTTATAAAACTCAATAAACATTCCAAGCTTGTGCTCATTTTACAGCCACGTGCTGCTCCCAGCCTGGGACTTTGACCTCTGATCTCCACTTGCCAGGGTCTCTCTTGTCACTGGGGTGTCACCTCCAATGCCACTACTCCCTTAACCAGGAGATCTAAATTTGTCCTAACTATCCAACCATTCTCAACCAAATCATGCTGTATCATTTCCCTGTTTGCACCCACTGAAAACTCAGATGGCCTTGTTTTTTTATATTTTTGCATTTTTGTTTTCTCTCTTCTTCCAAAGAGAACACAAGCCCATTTTGTAGTGCCAGTGCCTGCAACAGACACGCAATAATTATTTACTGGAAAAAAGTGGCTGGGCATTCTGGTTTGCTTTCTGGGGTGCAGAGGCCCCAGACCAGCCTTGAGGATTCTCTGATTTTTAATTTCTCAGTACTCACCTCTCTTCTTCATTTGATCCCCTCTTTTCAACATCCATCTCCCCGCAATACACAATTTTGCATATGTTCACATACACAAAGACACACAAACCCACACAAACGTACACAAGCACATTCATACAAACACATAAATACATATAAAACACACTCATACAAGTGAACACACACAATTGCACACAACAAAACAGCACATATAAACACACACACACACACACACACACACTCATACAGAGAAGGAAGCCATCACTAGTTCAATCAGGAATTATGTCAAGGAGCGATTTCCCCATAGGAGCCTAAGTTGGGAAAGGTGATGGATGAGTAGTAGGTGGGGGCTTTGGGGTTGGGGTCAGGGAGTGGCCTTTCTTGCAGAGCCAATGGGTCAGGGACACTTGGAAACAAAACCAACCTCAACTTGTTTAGTTTCGCTGTTCCTAATGGTAACCTAAATTCTCAAAATGTTAAAAAAAAAAAAAAAAGAAAAAGATAGAAATATCTTCTAAGACTCATGCAAGCCTCGCTATGTTTTTATGAGTGGGAGAGGCAGGGCTAAAGCGTGATGAACAGTAGTGTTTTAAATTAACTTCTGAACTTTATATGAGCTGTAATGATCTGTTTATCTGTCTTCACCAGCCTCATAATGGCCAACTAGAGGGTCAAGACTTGAGCCTTTAACATCCCATTATGCATCTCAGAAAGACTTCTGCCCGGGTCATTATTGCTTAATTGTACCTTCTTCTTCTTTGAGTGACTTTATTAGGCCATAAGAGAAGCCTTAAGTAGCTCGTTGGTGATAGAGAGTCCCGCCCGTGCGACCGCTCCTGCCCTGATATTTACCGTGATGGGCAGGAACCGAGGATGTCTCCTGGCCGAGAGAAGCCAGTGGAGTCTAAATCCCTTTTGCAATTTGGTAGAAAAACTTGCTTTTGTGTTGTCTTGTTGGTTTTCAGCATGGCCATTTCTAGTGCCCTCTTTTAGGTTTTCCAGCTCCCATGAGATCTTCCTAAGTTTTTTCTATATATCCATTGCTTTCCTGGGTGGCGGGATGGTGTCTGGAACAAGGTCTGAATGGGTGATGTACATCATCACACCTGTCTGTGCCTCAGTTTCTCTACCTATAAAAGCAGGATAGTGACCCCTAATTTTTCTTTTCTGTAGGCCCTTCAGATGACTAAAAGAAATCACTGGTGGGAAAATGCTTTGCAAACCGTGGAATAAGACCTTGTGGGTTAAATTTTGATGAAGGTAAAAACAGCGTTGCCTCTTTTCTGTCGTCTGTGTGTTTATCCTCCCCTCCCCCAATAGTGGATGACAGTTCTGCCTTTTTCTACTTTCCTGGCACCTTTACCTTACAGCTTGCATGTCCAGCTCTTCCAGGTTGATTGCACCCCATTGATTACCCCATCGCATGTTTGACTGTCCTTCCCCATTGGACCCAGTGGTCCCCGAGGGCAAGGTTTGAGCCTCCCTCACCCCTGAATCCTCAGGGCCTGGCAGGGGCCTGGAGTTCACGATGTGCATGTTTCTGTGGTCACAGAGCAACCCACATGCTTTTGCGTATTTGATGTGGGGGAGCGAGATCAGGGAGATCTGGTCACCCTGGGGGCACCCACTCTGTGCAAGGCCCTTGGCTGGGTGGCTTACATCATTGTCCCCTTGTAAGTGATTTCTTTCATTTTGCAGAGGAGGAGACTATGCCTGAGGATGATGAAGCACCTTTTCCAGGGGTGAGCACCTCTGCGGCTCTCTTCTGAGCAACACCTTCATAGAGACAACTGCCTTCCAGCCTCCCCTGTGAGCATTTCTCACAGCCCCTAGAGATCATCCTGTCCAAAAGTGAGCAGGTGGTCTGTGCTGCCCATTACCTCCAACTTTTCCTGCCACCTTAAATGGGATCTCCATCCACCTGCATTTGTGGCAGGTTCTCCACCTTTGGTCCCCATTACAGGTGCACGAGTCCATCCACTTCTCACTGCCTGCCCAGAGGCCACCGTCAGTCACCTGAGCTCCAGATCTCTTTGCTTCCTCTCTTGCCACTCACTAATCTCTTACTCATACTGCAGTGATGTCTTCAGAGTATGCATCAGGTGAAGTCCCTTCCTTTCCCAAATAAAACTATTTGTAGGAGAGAAACCTACAGATTGCTCTCCCTGATATGTCTCCCATTCTAGCCTCCTCCCATGTCATCCTTCAACCTGTTAGCCAGCCTCGCTGGTCCTCTCTCCCTTCTCTGAAGGTGCCTTGTTTCTTTACAAATTGTGCTGTCCTTTGGCTGGGCACAGTGGCTCACACCAGTAATCCCAGCACTTTGGGAGGCTGAGGCAGGCAGATCACCTGAGGTCAGGAGTTTGAGACCAGCCTGGCCAACATGGTGAAACCCTGTCTCTACTAAAAATATAAAAATTAGCCGAGTGTGGTGGTCTGCACCTGTAGTCCCAGCTACTTGGGAGGCTGAGGCACAAGAATCACTTGAACCCGGGAGGTGGAGGTTGCAATGAGCCGAGATTGCACCACTGCACTCCAGCTTGGGTGATAGAGTGAGACTCTGTCTAAAAAAAAAAAAAAAAAAAATTGTCCTCTTCCCTGTTGCAGCTCTCCTGGCTCTTCAGGGTGATTTCTCCAGCAGCAATATTGGAATTATTAACAGGAAAGACTTTTTAAGCGTGATGCAAAATCCAGAAGCTCAAAAAGTAGATTGATGGATTTTTCTTTCTATAAATTTGTAACTCCTGTCTTGCAACCTATGTGATATATGTCAGACTAGTTTCTTTCATATGTAAAGAGCTTCTACAAATTGTTAATATTGCAAAACAATCCAATGGAAAAATACTGAAAGAACTTTAGTAGACAATTGGCAAAAAGGAAACAAATTACTATTTAAAATAGATTCTCAATTTGTTTGTAATAAGGAAAATGCAAATGGCAATGGGGGAATGGAAAAATGGACTTTGTAGATGTGGTATGTGTGAGTGGTCAGTTAGTGCATCGGCTTTGCAAAACGAATTGGGGGTTTGTGTCAAACTTGACATGATTCATACTCTTTAACCTGGCAGTTCCACTTTAGCACTTTAGCTTTTTGAGGTACTTACAGAAATTCACAAAAATGTGATTTTTGTGGCTTTGTTAGGATAGTGATTAATTGGAAATGATTTAACTTACATTTGTAGATTAAATAAAATGTCAAATATTCTTACAATGCAATGCCATGCAGCCACTAAAAGAAAGAAGCAGATGTATATATCTGCTGTCATGAAATGATCTCTAAGATGCATCTTTAATTAAAAAAAGAAAAGTACAGGCCAGGCACGGTGGCTCACGCCTATAATCCCAGTACTTTGGGAGGAAGAGGCGGGTGGATCACCTGAGGTCAGGAGTTGGAGACCAGCCTGGACAACATGGCGAAACCCCGTTTCTACTAAAAATATAAACATTAGCAGGGTGTGGTGGCACATGTCTGTAAACTCGGGAGGCTGAGGCAGGAGAATCGCTTGAGCCCAGGAGGCAGAGGTTGCAGTGAGCCGAGATCATGCCACTGCACTCCAGCCTGGGCAACAGAGAGCGACTCCGTCTCAAAAAAAAAAAATGTACAGAACAGTGTGCTCAATGTATTACCACTTATTAATGGGAAATGCTATTGCTTTTTGAAGGGAAAATGGTAGTGATAGGGTGCACTTCACTTTTGTACTGCCGACTTTTCTTTTAAACAATATATGTGATTTACCTGTTTAAACAAAAAAATTGGTATTAATTTTACAATAATATATTGAATGATGTAAATCTACATTTTGTATATATGTAGATGTATTTCTATAACTACATAAAATAATTTATCATTATATTATACACTGTACCTATAATAGGACATAACTGTGGCATGCTATGTTACAGGCTATGGTTATAGTATGACGTAGAGCTGTGGCTAATGTTATATACCATAGCCTAGTCATGACATATTGTAGGTACATATATATTAGTAATAACATAAATATATAAAAATAGTTATGCAAATATTTACATTTATATTCTGAACAGATAAAAACTGGAAGAAAATATAATGAAAAGTTAATTTTGGTTTCTCTGGGTGGTGAAACTATAAGTAGTTTTTTAAAACTTTTTTGTATATATATGTTTTAAAATTTGCATTGTAATTATTTGTGTATATGTGAGTATATATATGTGTATGTATGTATGTGTGTGTACACATATAATCAGCATAGATTATGTAGGCTGTTTAGTTTTCATGTGTAGTTTTCTTATTTCTGCCTGTTTTAAAAAAACTAATAATATAATTATACATAATTACATAAATATTCTGTTACATTTCTATCTGCCAAAGCAATTTCATATTAATTATTTCCTCTGGGTGCCCCATTGATCTGGAGATAGGCAGAATGTACATTAACACTACCATTTTACAGATGAGTAAACCGAGGTTCTGTCCAGTTCAATGGAAGGGTATGAGTCAGAGCCAGGGACTGTTGGCCAACTTGGTTTTAGGTTGATGATGGACTGGGTTCCAGGGAGCAGTAAGGGCTCTGGAGATCTGGAGACTGCCAGCCTCTCATTCCACATGTGCCCTGTTGCAAGGCCCTCGAAGCAACGCTGCCATTTCCAGGAGTACTGGGAGGAAGATAAAGGGATGTCCACAGTGGGCACATTAAGGATCTCTTGCTTTTTTCTTCTCTCCACTGCATTAATGTAGTTTTTAAAAATCATCATCATAGATCGGAAAATACATGAACGTATTGCATGTGAGTGTAATGAAAAACTGGAGAACACGCCAGTCTTTTTTTTTTTTTTTAATCTTTGTTGCATAGTTTTTTATCTTCTTTTTGTAAACAGAAAAAAAAAAAGCCTCGAGTCTCTGAAACAGCTTCCCATTCGACCTATGCAGGTCACATTTACATGTAGTTCTTAAACTGGTGGTTGAGCCTGCGTTTTGGCATTTACCCTTCCCAAATGCCTTGAGGAGGGAGCTTCATCTTTAGCCTCAGATCACGTCACTCTCGTGCTCAAAGCCGTCCGCTGGTTTGCATCTCACTGGGTGTAAAAGCCGAAGTCCTTGCCATGACCTTCGAGCTCCTGAGTGATCTCCCCCACCTCTGCCTCCCTCTGATTTGATCATTCTGCTCCAAACACATGTCCCCCCTGCTCTTCCTGAACACACCGAGCAGGCTCTGCCCCAGGCTTTGAACTTGCTTTTCCCTCTACTTGGATCTCTTTTCCCCTAGAGAGACAGGTGGCTTCTTCCCTTGCTGCTTTTTATCCTTACAGAAACCTCCCCTACCGTACGAGTGCTTTCTTAACCTCCATGTGCGTCATACTAACACATCACGCCACCCTGGGACTCCACAGGACTCCACATTTCCTTTAATGATTTATTTTTTCCCATAATGTGTATCCCCATGTGGCATGCTGTATATTATCTCCCGCCCCACCAATGGCTGGACTGGAAACCTCACGAGGACAGGGATGGTATCTTTTTTGCTCATTGCCAGCATGCAGGACCGTACAGAGGATGGAGGTAGTCAGTGATGCAAAACTGATTTTAAATTGTTTGGTGCTGTGCCAGAAGGAGTGATTATTCTCACTATGCGGCTTCCTCTGACCTCTGAACTCCTGCTGGAATGATCTGGACCGCTCAGTTTGGCATTTTAATTATATACTGTCTCATGTTACAACTTAAAGTGTTCTAATTTTACGTATTTGCTTATACGGTAAACATGTATTCAGCTTCACCTATGTATACCAAGCACCTCAGAAACCTGAAATCATTCCTTAAGACCAAAGAACAGATAACAGGCTGATAGCATGCTGATTTTGTTTTTTTATCTTCCACTTCCTACCTAGGACAGTGCAAGTAAAGAGTCAGCCCTCAAGAAAACAGAACAAAAAAGCAAGTCACTGGGCTGTGCACATTTAGTAAGCTCCACTGGTACCAAATGCTTGTAGGTTAATGAATTAGGAACATCAGTTTTCTTGGTGCAAATATGCTCCCAGCTTAGTTAAGAGGTTCTTCAGTTTGAATTTGTTTGGATGAAAACAAGATGGTTCCAAATTTCTGTGTAAATCTGAAACCAGACAAGTTTCACACAGTTGCACATTTCAAAAAAAAAAAAAAAAAAAAAGTTCTGCTCCCGTTTGGTAAGTATTCTGTGTATCTGAAAGGAGAAAAAAAAAAAAAAAACCTTGTAGTTTCCAATTGCAAAATGAGTCTTTATTTCCTCTCCAAAACCCTTTATGTGCCGTGAGTTGGTGAGTGTAAACCGGCTTCCTGGTGTGTGTGTGCAGCCCTGGGATGCCACAAGTCACATTTGTGACATGTCGGCTCTGGGAAATGCTGTGGAACCTGTCAGAACAATCCGTTCCACATAAATACAAAATGCTCTTTCTCACCCATGTCACCACGAACCTTTATTCAGGGCTTAAAACCCAGCTAGGCCTATATGAACAGCGTATGTTCGGAGCTTTTCCTACACACACAAACACGCACACACATACACACACATCTTTATCTTTCTGTCATTCTCTGCATTAACTACATTCTTAAAACCTGGAGGTATGCCAATCTTTTTTTTTTTTCAAAGAGGAAAAAAAATCAAAAGTTTTTGGTAATTGAAATTCATGACAAATTACAGACAGTTTTTTTCTTTCTTTTTTAGAACACCGTGTTCTTAGAAAAGTGTCTTCTTACTGAAATGAAAAAGCGTGGAAGCCGTGTGCGCCCGTGGACGTGGTTTTGTGACTCATGGCTGCCCTGGGCTGACAAGGACCAGTGTTTGATCTCTAAATCACGGGAAGACGAGTGTTGGATGTCAGGTGGTGGTGTGGTATCAGAGAAAATCGGTGGTCTTTTTGTTTTGCACCTGTGTTCTTTTGCTGTCGGCAAGGTGGGCCCAGGTAAAGCCAGCGTAGGTGAGCAAGGGGTCGCTGATTTTAATTGAGTAGTTATTCCAGTAACACCATCTATTCTGTTCACAGCCAAATGGGGTGGCCCCCTCCAATTTATCCCTCAGGCAGATTTCAAGAAAACGCTGTAGTCCAATATAATCGATGATTTCATATCCGAGAAAAGGTTTTTGTGTTTTTATTTTGTTCCAGTGTTTGCTTTAGGACTGATACTACCATTGCTTTTAATAAACTCCTTTGATACATTTTCTCCCCAGAAGAGACTTTTTTTGTTGTTGTTTTCAAGGTCACACAAAGAATATAACTTTGGTTTATTAATGGAAACCTTCTAGCTACTGGTTAATTCATTACTGCACAGTACAATTTTAAAAGTCACCAACAATGTGGTTCTTTGTCTTTAATTTCTTTGGATGTGTGGTTGTGTGTGTGCGTATGTCAGCACCTTTTTACCTTAAAGAGATACGCGAATCCCCATGAATTATTATACTTTCACTTGTTTTTGTGCCCACTTAAATTTATAGGTAAATATGTGTAAATTTGGGAAAAATATACTTTTTCCACTGTTCGAATTTCTTTCCTCAGAACTTTCCTAAGACTATAAAACTACAGCAGAGATGCTGGGGGCGCTGGGATCTGGGTGAGAGAATTGAGGCATGCACCTTGGGTGCAAAATTTAATGGAGTGCCAAAAAGGCAGTAATTAAGAAAAATGATAATTGGATGCAATGTTTAAAAAAATAAAATGAATGCACCAAAATTCACAATGAACAAAAAATTCAGATTTTAAATAAAGGCAGGATCTGATCCTGTCCACTGATTTTTAGAAGAGTGAGATGTATGTGCAGGCTTCTGATATCTCAAAGACAATTTTGGGAAACATCTTGCACAGAATCTATCATCACGGATTTTTATTTTAGGAGAAGATGTTACCTATCACCACGAGGGTAAGTTTTGACAACCGAATTTCTCCCCCTTTGCTCTTGCGGTTACTCCACAGACATTTGAGCATTCCGCGACAAAACTGTTTTCCAGTCCTGGACAAATACTTTTTATTTCTGAAAGCATCTCGCAGGGGGAGCTAGGGAGTAACACACTGCTCAAAGACGCTCTTTATAAAGGGACTTTCTGTGTCGTTTCTGGATTTTGATAGCAACTTTTGAGTAGGGCCGAGCAGCCTTTGCAGGAATGGGTGGATGGCGGCTAAGGTCATTGTCAAGGACTTGGGATCAATTAGTATGCAGATCAGAGCCAAGGAGTTCAAAGGTATTGTTCCAATTCAATCACATTAGCCAGGGCAGAGATGAACAAACAGCACGACCTTAATCACCAAGCCTTACCCATTCACTGGGTGTGTGTGTGTGTGTGAGAGAGAGAGAGAGAGACACACTAAGATCTGGCCAACCATGTGAAGATATGAGAAAGCTGACCCCCAAGCCTTATTATTTATAAAATATAATATGTACATTTCCTTCCGTGTATATTTGAGGGAGAACTTAATTGAAGGTGAACAAACTGGCTCTGTATTTCAATGCATGCCTTCACACATACACAGACACATTAAATGCCTTGCAAAAAACCAAAATCTCACTAGTATAATGCCAAGGTAAGTTCTTTTCCCTCTTACTTGCAGACAAGCCTATTCAAAATGTGCACAATTCTTTCAAGTCCCCCAAGTGAGAGGACGTGAAATTCCACATTCTAAAATACAGTATCTGCAGTCTAAATATACCTTTCAACTGTGTGGTTAGAGCTAACATGGAGATAAATGAGGAAATTTTGAATTTTTAAAACATCACAGGAAGAAGGATTTTTTCCCCCTTCTCTCTCTTCTCAAAGGAAAACCCAATTATTTTCCTGATTTGCCGATGTGATGCATTGGAATGTGGGCAAACCAGTGGCCGCTACTCATTGCCTGTGTCCTTAAAACATACAGCACGGAAGAGTAGGGACACAGATGCATAGTGTAAATACGCGGGTTCCATCTATAATTATATCTACAGCACACATGAGATACTTTTATGGTTTGGGTGGAAATGAGGAACGACAAGGGGATTAGCCTTTGACAAAATGTGACATTTAAGCAGGTTCACCTGGTTCTGGAACCCTTTGCCCTCCGAGTCGCTGTTTATCTGCGTTCACATGTAAGTTTGCTGCATCAATCTGGATAAACATTTGCTAAACCCAACAATGACTTCTATTGGAGTGGATTACCCCGGGAAGCTGTAGGCTGCACTGGGGGAGAATTCCGCCTCGGTATCTTCATTTCCATCTAAAATCAAACATGATCCGGTAACTAAGGTTTTCCGAATCCAGTCTCTGCCCCCACCTCCGGCCCTGGGAAGACAGTTAATCATAGCTGGCGAAGATGAAAGACGCGCAGGGAAACGCAACTCTAGCAGGCAAAGCTGCACCCCAGGGGGTCATGAATGCTGGGGGAGGAACCATGATTCCTTGATGCAATAACATATTGAGACACTTTCGGCTTTACACTCGCTATCAAGTAAATATAGGATATCTCACCCATGAAGGGTGATTATTGCTCCTGAAAGGAGGAAACGACTTATTAAGGTCTTGTTCAGGAGCAAAAGAAAGATAAGAATCATTATTAATAGAGAGAAACAATCTGGGATTTTCCCTATAAAAATGTATTTCCCCTTAAGACTATTTTGGCAGTGGGGTTATTATTATTATCATTATTATTCATATTGGTCTGAAATTGACTGTGCTTTCAAAGCAGTCCTAATAAGTAGAGGTTTCAAAAGATAACTTTTCCCATTGCATCTCCCGTCACATATTGTTAGTAGCGCTTTTATCTGTAATGCAAATAAAGACATTTTAAAATGTAAATCTGTTACCCAGTCCCATAAAAATATTCATTCACTGTTTGGTATTTTATTTGAAAATATTAAGCCACTAAAACAAAACAAAACAAAACACACGATCCTTAAAACCAAACGTTTACCCAATTATTCACAGAGGCATCATTTCTCCTTTGATCCTACTATTGTGATGTTTTCCCTGAATTTTGGTTCAAGACAGACATTTTCCTCTTCTTTTTTCTTTCCCCTAAACAAGGTCATAGATTTTTTTCCCCCTAAATGAAGACCAGAGCCCCCAGTGCAGGATTAAGTAAGTCCTTACAGTGTTATAAAAGTGAGTGCTTCTTTCCTATAATAAAAGGTGTTTAAAAGGTTCGCTACAGCTTTAAACAGAATTACAATTTACTTCTTTCAAGTGTCCAGGCCATAAATTCTTCTCAATTCCCTCTCTCTCTCCTTGTCGGAATTAATGAGATCAGATCTGATCAGGGCGCTGATGTGTTCAGCGCCAAATCACACAACAGCGCGCGCACCGTAATGGAATTTGCATCTAATGCATACATAAATCAAACATCTTTCTGGACATTTTCATATGCATAATGTCATTTCATCCAGTTCTCTCTGTGCAGAGGGGGAGATTTTTCTCTCTGAGAGAATGACTTTCTTTAATGCTTTCATTTTATTTTCGCTGACTGCAGTCCGGGAGAATGCGCTCGGTCGGAGAATCTTTCGGGGCGCGGTTGACAGTTCTTTTTCCAAGAGGGGTCCTTCACATTTATCATGCCTCTTCCTCGGGGGCTTTGTTATGCAAATGTGGCTGAAATTGATAATTCCAAAGTGCTTCATTTCGGCTCCTCGGCGGTTGGAGATGGTAGATAAAAAGAAACTGACAAGACACACTGATTGCCCTCAATGCATGTAACTCTCTTGCTAACAAGGCTGGATATTGTTAAAAATTCCTATTGTTATGAGGGTGGCGCTCCCATTATGCAGGCCTTGCAAATTTCTGATTTGAATATTAACCCTTTAATCACCCCACCCCACAGACCCCTCCAAAAAAAAAACAAAAAAAACACACAATTGCCATCAAATGGCTTCAGAACCCCAAACATCAAATTATTCTTCTATTATAGTGAACAGCTGGGGTACACTGAAAACACTTCATTAATCATTTGTTCCCAAGGTAAACTTTACATTTATTTTCAAATACAAAGAAAAGGGGTTATCTTAAGCAAAGGGGAGCCTCCCCCCAAGTTCTAAGTAAAGATGTTGGAACGGCATCGCCCTGAGTTTGCACAAAGGGCTGGAAATTGATAATTGAGAACAACAGTTTGTAAAAGGAACCTGGCCTCTCCCCCGGCCCCTGCTCCTCGTCGGCAAATGGAAAGATCAGTATTTTCACTTGGCCATGCTTCCGCTTTTCCGTTCAGACTAAAGAAGGCCTCAGGGAGGGGATATGTGTCTGCCGTCACCAGAGTTAAGTTTATTTTACCTGTTTGACCAGACGAAGGGAAAAAAAAATCTCCCAGCGTCCTTCTCTTAGTAGAGAGGGGATGCAGAAATCTGAATACCATTTCCAGGGAAGAATTACAAATTGAGGCAGCTCTGGGCATTAGCATACCAATTAGGTGCTGGCAGCAAACTGGGATTCTAAGGAGGTGCTGCGGGCCTTGGGCTGCGGCTGCTACGGGGTCAAAACACCAGGAGCTCAGAAGAACGTGGTTATTTCTGCTCAAAATCAAGGCCTGGTCCTTCCAAATACCAAGACCAGAATCTGGACTGGAAGGCCTCCTGTTTCTAAACATACACATGCACAATTACAATTTCCCAGAAAGTGATCAGACCCATTCATAGCGTCTCTGAATGAAAAACAGAAACTTAACAGGAATTCGCCTGTCAGCTAATTAGAATTTAGCGACTAGAATTTCTTAGCAGCTTTCCCATGGTGGCTGCATCTCCAGAAATGTCCACCAGGTAATTGGCCTCGCTGTTAAACCTTGGAACCACTTAGAATTATGTTTTCTTTTGAAAATGTTGCTAGGTTAGGGAAAGAAAACCTGCAGGTTGGTGAATTATGCTTAATGTTTTTTTCTCTCAAATGAAGCTCCTGAGCTTGGAAAAGAAAGCATCACGGGGCTTAGAGGCTAGAATTGCCTTGATGGTGTGCTGTGCCCGACGCCCATCAGAGGCTGCATCAAAGGGCTTCACCTTCTCAGTTCTGCAGCCGCGCAGAGCAGTACCTGCCAAATTATGGCAAATAAAAGAGGCGCCAGATCCAACAGACCTCTCTTACCTGCTGCACTAAAGAGGTGGTGCTCTGTCTGGCTGTTTGTGAAGTGCTGCCTTCCGTCCACACGCTTGGGGCTGTCGTCCAGACACACGTGGAAACACATGCAGAGGGGCACACAGATAGGGTCACTGCAAACGTTCTCAGGGATGACAAAGCCACTCACAGACCCTCTGCACACATGACCCAGGTGACTGCCGAAGAGACCTGGTCTCTCTCCTTGGCAGCCTTCACGTGCATGTCAGTCCAGGTACGAAGGCAAATTACACCACTCTAAAAGATTTTTAAAAAATGCATTGGTTTGTGTAGAAGCAGATTTTGATAAATGGTGAAGTTAGGGGATCATTCTCATATTTATAGTGGCCATTGGGCCCACGAACTTGTCTCCTGTCTTCATTATATGTTTTTGATATTTACGCTAGCTGCTAATCTCAGGAGCTCGGCCACATTTTCATAATTAAGATTGCAGCCCACACTCCCTAAACTTAGTGTGAGTCATTAAATCAGCAGGTTATAGTCAAAGTTGCAGTCAAAACAATGCTTATTCATTAATATCTGTTATGCTAATCAGCACCAATAAATGTGAAGGTAGCTAAGCGCTTACTCCTCCCCTGAAGAATCAACTAGCTTTTAGAAGCTTACACTTTCCTAGGAAAAGAGAAGCCTTATCTTTAGTTCACAAGAAGCTTTTAGGATGCAAGATTTAAAGATGTGTCTCTATGTATTTAATGTCTATTTTATTTTCAATTACACTTTGCGGTGAATCTGAATACCTAACGTTATCTATAGATTGCATGATATCGCTGGGCACTTGAAAGTGAGTTTTTCTGAGTCTATTTGATTTGTGAGTATTTTTTTTTCATCTGCTGGCAGAATGGTGCTCCCCACTCTCCACCCCAGGTTCTTCTTAAAAGGAAAACTTGGTAGTTTGTTCCCATCCGTGCACTGACTAATGCTCAGCAGGCACCGGGTGGTAATGACCTAGGGAAGGGGGTGTAGGCACAGGCTAGGATGTGGGCATCCTGGGTCTTCACAGCCTCTGCCAGGATGAGGGGCCTGGGATGCTGCTTTGTGTGCACAGAGGAAAGGTGTAGGAATGCCCGTGCTCGCTGGCATTTAATTTACCAGTTGCCTCTGTGCTGGGGCTTTGGCAGATTCTGCTGGAATCTGAAAGACAGGCTGTCATACCGAGGGCCTGCTGCCGACTCTGAAATTGAGAAACTTGGCAGATATGCAAACAGTAACTGGGTTTGAGTTGTTTTGATTACAAGTTAAACAGAGAGTCATTGGCAGGGCCAACGTATATCTGCCGAGGTTCTCACTCTCTCTCTCTCTTCTCCCCTTTCTTTCTCTTCTTTCATTTTCTTTCTTCCTCTTGGCCAAGTGCGTGAAAGTAGCTGGTAATTTCTGCAGAATCCAGTAACACCTTGGCTTTGCAGAGCTGGGATATTGTGAGAGAAGGAGAAAGGGTCAGTCTCTCTCCCTTTGGACTTACTTTATGTTGTGTTGGAAATGAGGCTGGCCATATAAAATTTAGCCCTGAATTCCAAGCCTTCAACACATTCAAAATTTCCCCTCTGGGTGGTTTACAAGGACAGAGCCCCATTATTCTTTCTAAATTTTGCATTATTTAGAGATGTATGGAAAAACATGCATGAAGAAAACATTTGAGAAAGCCTTTTAAAAATAAGTCATGCTTCCAATATTTGCCCAGAGAGAAATAGAAAGAGAGAAGATCTGCTTTCGCTGTGCTGTTTCTCTTTGGTTTGATCCAGGTTTGGGCCCTCAGCACGTGTCTACCTAGTCGCACCCTGCATGTTTGGGACAGTGAGCATTTACTCTTACCGGAGTAAAGTCAAGTCTTGCCTCCCTGGTGACCATGTGTAGGGGAAAAACGAAATAAAGAAAAGAAAAGTAAGAAATCTCAACTGGTATCACACAGGTGAATTAAAGGCAGCTGGCCTTTTAACCACATTTCCCCATTGTCAAAGGCCTCTTTCCATTTCAGCCAGGGGTTTGCACAATGCTCCATTCTGGACTGAGCTGCTCTTGCAATTTTAAGGTGAAATTTGTCAGTTTTGGAAAGAGGGCAAGGACAACATCTAACTGTCACTGCCATTGTCTTAAGCTGGCTGGCTGGAGGCAGATTTCCAAGAGGCTGTTTCACGTGGCAAAAAACACATTCGATTTATAGAAATGAGACTCTTTTCTTTCCCCCACAAGTAGAAAGCTGAAACTCTGAACACCCTGACAGAGTTCTTGGAAAGAGCCCAAATATATCAAATCAGACTTAAAAAAAAATCCACCAATTTGACCACAAAAATACTTTATTGAAAAATGTAAAAAAAAAAAAAAAAAAAGGCCAGGAAAACACACCACCTCACTGGGCTCAATAATGTGTCCCTAAAGAAACTGAGTTCTGAAAGGGCCTCATTTGGACAAAGTTAATTACTGCACAATAATTGCATTTTAAATTCAGTTTCTTTCTAGAAGCAGTGAATTTTAAAGCTCATGATTAGGGAAAAAAGTAAGTTCCTCTACCTACAACTTGTTAATTGCCTTTGTCAAAAACTGATGTCCCAAGACTTCCTCTCCCCTTGAAGAAATAGAACTTCTGAGTTGGTGGCAACACAGTCTCTGCAGACAGGGCTGAGTTTGCAGCTTCTGCTCTGAAGAGCTCAGCACTGCACATGCCCACCAGGCCAGGTGGACTCCCAGCATCATGCTAGAGCCCCGTTCATGTGCCGCATGGACTGGGGGCAGAAAGGCAAAGGACAATCACTTTAGTTGAGCATCTCCTCTTAGTCACTCTTTTCTACATGAACTCTGGTTTCATTCTCCTCGGAACTCTGTGCATTGATACTCCCGTGTTTGTGGGTTTTATAAAACTATTTTTATTGTGGTAAAACATGTAGCATACAATTTGCCATCTTAACCATTTTTAAGTGTACAACTTGGTGTTATTAAGTAAATTTATAATGTTGTGTAACTATCAACGGTACCTATCTCCAGAATTTTTCATCAGCGCAAACAGAAATTGTACATCTCATTAAGCAGTAACTCCCTAGTCTCCTTTCCTTGCAGCCTCTGGTGGCCTCTGGTCTCTCTGTCTCTGTGAGTTTGCCTGTACTTCATGGTGAGTGGAATCACACAGCTCTGTTCTTTGGGTCTGGCTTATTTTACTTAGCATAATGTTTTCGAGTTTCAACCACGTCACTGCCTATGTCAGAATTCCGCTTGTTCTCGTGGCTGAGTAATATTCCGTTGCGTGGTAGACCACATTTTATCTGTCCACCAGCTGATGGACACTTGAACTGTGCCTATCTTTTGGCTACTGTGCTGCTATGAACACTGGTGTACAAGTGTCCGCTTGGGTCCCTGTTTTCAGCTCTTTAGGGTCTATTCAGAGGAGTGGAATTTCTGGGTCCTGTGTTTAACTTTTTGAGGAATGTGAGATTATATTTACAGAAAAGGGCACAGGGGCACAGAAAAGTTTAATAACTGGTCTATTCTGTATAAGTAGCCAGTTGCAGAACTAAGATGTTGAGCCAGAGTGTGAATTCAGTATCTGTTTTCCATCCTACTTGCTTCCCAAAGTTAAAACCTTCATTCCTGACCCTCGAGAGGACACTTGTCAGCTGTAAGGTGAAAAGCTGACCCTTGAACCTGCTGTCTTGTGACAGCTGCATCAATGGTCTACAAATTCCCCTCCTCCATTTAGGCAAACTGTGGGGCCTCCTTGAACCTCCAGTTATCTGCAACAAGGGTAAGAGGATGTCCTGCTGATATGGTGGCATGTATATATTATATACAGACTGAGTGACACGCACTGAGTTTTAAATAAGTAGTATGCGGCCGGGCGCGGTGGCTCACGCCTGTAATCCCAGCACTTTGGGAGGCTGAGGCAGGCGGATCACGGGGTCAGGAGATGGAGACCACCCTGGCTAACACGGTGAAACCCCGTCTCTACTAAAAATACAAAAAATTAGCCGGGGTGGTGGCGGGCGCCTGTAGTCCCAGCTACTCGGGAGGCTGAGGAAGGAGAATGGCGTGAACCCGGGAGGCGGAGCTTGCAGTGAGCCGATATCGCGCCACTGCACTCCAGCCTGGGCGACAGAGCGAGACTCCGTCTCAATAAATAAATAAATAAATAAATTAATTAATTAATTAATTAATTAAAAAAATAGAAAAAATAAAAAATAAATAAGGGGAAAGACCAAATTGACATCATTTATTGTTGGTTAGGGGAGTGGAAGGGGCGTATGAATACTGGTAAACTAAAATGACTGGGGACTGGGCGCGGTGGCTCACGCCTGTAATCCCAACACTTTGGGAGGTCAAAGTGGCATATCCCCTGAGGTCAGGAGTTCAAGACCAGCCTGACCAACATGGCGAAACCCTGTCCCTACTAAAAACACAAAAATTAGCTGGGCGAGGTGGCGTGCGCCTGTAGTCCCAGCTACTCAGGAGTCTCAGGCAGGAGAATCTCTTGAACCAGGGAGGTGGAGGTTGCAGTGAGCCGAGACCCTGCTACTCCATTCCGGCCTGGGCAACAAGAGCAAAACTCAGTCTCAAAAAAGTAAAAATAAATAAAAATAAATGATTGGGGATTTCCAATCCTCACTGCTGACTCCTTTTTCTAAGTCCCTGATGAAATTCTTCTTTCTTTTCTTTTTTTGAGATGGAGTCTGGCTCTGTCACCCAGGCTGGAATGCAGTAGTGCGGTCTCGGCACACTGCAACCTCCCTCTCCCGGGTTCAAGTGATTCTCCTGCCTCAGCCTCCTGAGTAGCTGGGATTACAGGTGCCCACCACTATGACGGCTAGTTTTTGTACTTTTAGTAGAGACGGGGTTTTACCATGTTGGCCAGGCTGGTCTCGAACTCCCGACCTCAGGTGATCTGCCCACCTAGGCCTTCCAAAGTGCTGGGACTACAGGCGTGAGCCACCTTGCCCGGCCTGAAACTCTTCTCTCTAATGAGCACAAATCCCAGAGGCTCCTGAAAACATCCACTGTTCCACTCTTGTCTGTTTTCTGTGTGTGGAGCTGAAGAGATCTTTAGAATCGTGGGTGGGTGTATATGAACAACTAGAGAGCATGCACTTTATAACAAATGTCCTGAGTGCTTAAAAGTTATTCTGTACTGATTGAACATGGAAAGCATCCAGGGAGATTAATTTTATGGGCTCTTTTTATGGGGGTAACAGATCAAAAGCCCGCCTTTGGATTGGTTTCATCAGATTTCATTGGCATCTTTGTCTTAATCACTCACTGATTTAAGGTAGAAATTTAATTTAATTTAAAACTTTTTTTACTCTAATCTCTTATGAAATTAATCTGCTCTTTCAGTTTGGGAGTTCGTACAATTGCTATTTTTATCATTTTAAAATCTGTTAGCCAAAGTAAAATGTTTTTAACTTTCCATTTCACACACCCAAAATCGGTATCAGAAAACAAGTACCGAAATTGTATTTGTTTGGAAACCAACTCATTCTTTTCAGAAAGTAACATTAAACACAGCCAATTTTCACACGAGGTGATTATTAAAACTTAAGAATCGTTTGAAGTTGGCATTCCCCTGGGATGCTGAGGACTTTTCCATTTTTTGAGACTAAAAGCCTCTGTTAAAGGTAAACTTCCTTTAATTAGTGAAAGCATCTTTGTTACGTAACAAATTCAAATCTTTCTTTTTTAAGGCTTGTAATTTTTTTTCCCAGTCCATTTTTATTATTATTTTTTTCCCCAGTCCATTTTCTCTGTGCCTCTTGCCCAAACCAAAATGAATTTCCAACTTTCTTCCAACTTATCCCTGATTGCTTAGGGCTTTCTCAGTTTTAATACTGAAAGTCTGAAGCCCAGGAACCCCCTGAACAAAAAAAGTGGGACAGCGGCTTTTCTACTCCTTGACCCTTCTTTCAAATCCTTAAACATACAAATAATTGCTCCAAGATTCATTAGTAAGCAGGCCTTACTAATATACCAATGGACTGGTTAAGCTGTCTATGAGTGAAAAACATTAGTTCAACCGTGCAGTCACAGTTTGTCATTATGGCTCTGATACATTAATAACAGTGAGGACTTCATGTTGTTGATTTGACAGAAGGGTTGTGTTTGGCTGTAGTTGTGTACTTTTCTTTGGGTATGTTCACAATGTGCATAATAAAGAAAATGCATTGTAATACGCTTGTACCATAGTGTATGTTTGTGTGTCAGGTGCAATTCCTGCATTAGGAAAACACATTGCTAAATGCCTGAGCAAGACACTGGGTGGAAATGAACCCATGTGCAGTTGGCAATTCCATTCTAAGTCTCAACATCCTGGCTGTTTCACACTTTTTCTTAAATACTCCAAAGAGGCTAGTCTATATTATGGACTAATGGCCTGCAAAGTTGCTTTTTGCAAAATGAAGCCCTTTAAAGCTTCATAAATTCATATATAGAGTCATTTGAAATATACCAATGTTTACATGTCTATCAATTTACTTGTTAGAGGCTTTGTGAAGACTATTTACAAAGAGTGTTAAATTTCTCCCCCTTTAAAAATGTTAAAACATTTTGATTTGAAAAAGTGGGTTCCTAATCATGAAAATTTTAAAAATCTTTGAACTATTCAGGCTCCCTCAATAAAGAAGTGCACTGGGAGAAAAAGACAGATACAAAGTGAGAAAGAATGATTATTTCCTTAGTGGCAATAAAACTGCATGAATTAGGGGTATGTACATTCTGAGTGATTTATAACACTTGAAATTTATTTAAAAAATGGTTTCATGTAAGAAAATAACAAAAGCTGGTTGTTATTCATAGAATGGATAAAAGAGCATGAATCTAAATTTGGTTCTGAACAGCTGTCTCTTAAAAGGATCTTATTATACCATTTATTTAAATTATTTTCTTAAATTTTTCTTTTAGACAGTGCACTTAATCCTGCAAAGTGGCAGTATATATTTGTTTCTATTTTAACTTCATCAGCATTCCCTTCCTTCACAGTTTCTCTGTTGGTGTAACTCTTGGTCTCAACTTATCAATAAGGCGTTTAATAACTACACTTATTTTTCACTTGCCTTATGTTATTAACTCTTTGTTACAAGTACAAAGACCATCGATTTAAGTGAGGTTTATTATTCTGAGGCTAAAAATACCTTGTAAATTGCATAAACTTAGCAATTATATATGTTTCCTCAAATGAAAAAAAAATCAGAATTTATTAGAAAACAGCCTAAATGGATGTCACCTTTGGTTTTAAAAGCATTAAGATTGATTTTAATGCCTCTCCAGCTCCTTTAACACTTATGTACACATGTAGGATAAATAGTTAGAAAGCAATAGAGCACCTTGTTGTTATATTAATAAAATACACTTACATCATCATGGTTAGAAAGAAAAGCAATACACCACATTTGGAATATAAGCTCATTTAGAGCAGAGCGCAATATAGTTTTATGAATTAAAAACCAAATCAAATAAATTCAATTAATTTCAAGCTACCAACTTAGATTCGAAAGCCAAATGTCACCAACAGCTGCAGAGAGAGCTCCTCTGATGGGCTACATGTGGTTCACAATGACAGTCGACAGCATCCTCCGTATGGGTCTTTGAGCCCATGCGGTGACAGTCCTGAAGCTTATCTGAGTTTATACCTATTGCATGAGAACGGTAGCTCAGACTTGACCGTGGGTATATTACACGTACTCAGCAATCTCTAATTTCTCCTAAGGAGGCAGCCAGGCATATAACGAGGTGCTAGGGTTTGGAATTGCACAAGACCTGAGTAACCACAGGGCCTGAAGGACTCAACTTGTTTAGGACTCTCCTCATCTGTAAAACGGGACTGATTTTAGAGTGGGTCCAAGAGATGTATGTCCATGTGCATTACAAGAACATAGGTGGTTCCACATAAAATATGAAGGTTCACCATGTCGTAATTTGAAATCATGCCAATCAGAATACAGATGAAGCAGAGGGTTTCAACTTTGTCCTGTCAAGAGAATTGTACATTGTATGGATGTCACAGCTACATTGCGCTTCCTTCTTAGTCTGGACAAATGACATGCCTGCCACCTTTTTCAGGATTACGCATGTCGTGTGAGTTTTGAACTTGGTAAGTTCATCAGGAATGAGGACCTTCAGAGATATTGTTGGGAAAGTGGGAACTTCCAGTATTGTCAAGAATGCCTGTGAAATTGTTCGCAGGACACCTGGCACTCCTCAGGGTCACAGGCACCCAGCATCTCCATGGGTCACCTCAGTATCACCCTTAGGAATCTGTGCTGAGGCTTCCTCATGAAAGACATGGGGTTTCTCTCCTCATCAGGCAAGCATAAAATTTGTTTTCTTTCGAAGCACGAGAACATTGCTGTTTATTTAAGGTATGAGTCTAGAAGCAGAGTGTGAAGTATTTCATGCTTTCTGTAGTAAACCAGAATGAATGATTATTTTCCATTTCCGTATAGTTTTTTTAAATAACTAATTAGAAAAATTAAAAAGTTTAAATATGAGCATTTTCCAAAGTCTAGTTTCTATTAATAACTTCTTTTTAAACTGAATAAATGGTTTGTCATGCCTTGCACAGAAATTGTACAAATTAAATCAAATTTAATTCAAAAGAATGACAATTTCAGTTGTGTTAAAGATAGCTAATTGGGGCTGGGCACGGTGGCTCACGCCTGTAATCCCAACACTTTGGGAGGTTGAGGTGGGTGGATCACTTGAGGTCAGGAGTTCGAGACCAGCCTGGCCAACATGGTGAAACCCGGTCTCTACTAAAAATACAAAAATTAGCTGGGCGTGGTGGCACATGCCTGTAATCCCAGCTATTAGGGAGGCTGAGGCAGGAGAACTGCTTGAACCCAGGAGGCGGAGGTTGCAGTGAGCCGAGACCGCACCACTGCACTCCAGCCTGTGCAAAGAAGCAAGACTGCATCTCAAAAAATAAATAAATAAATAAAAAATAAAATAAAATATTTAATTGGTGCTGTAAGATTAGATCCAGTTGGTTGTAATTTGGGGAAAAATATTAGAGATCTGAGGTACATTTTCCAGAATTGAATTTCACAATATAACTTTCATCACCACGTATACCAGGACCTGAAAATAATATTGAAATTTCTTGTCTAAAACTTGTGAGGGAGGTATATGTACTGATTCTATCTAGAATTCTGGGCTGAAACATAACAACGCTGAAATTTTCAAGGTTAATTATGTTGGAAGCCTAAGGCTGGGTTGGAGCAGGCGAGGGCTTTTAAAACAAAAATAGAGGAAACAAAATTGTAGATACATCTTTGAGGGGATATGTTTTTGTGTCAGTGATGCATGTTTGGAAAGAGAGAGGGAAAAAAGAGAGAGAGACAGAGAGGGAGAGGCAATGCTACAGACCTCAAGAATCAAATTCTTTTTAAATTTGCACGCTACAAATATTCTTCATTATAAAAAATGTTTCCGGGCTGTGCCTGATGCCAATGTGCATTTCTTCTTGTTATTATAATCCTTGTCTTCACCTGTGATATGTTAGATTATCTTGGAATGTTAATGCTTGGAATACCATAGGAAAAATACTTGGAAAGTACTTATAAAGTAAATAAGCTTTCATTAAATATAATTGTCAAGCATTAATCATTATAATGCTACTCCCTATGGGAATAAGGGTGGATATTCAATTTGTTTTGATTACGCATGAGTTTTAACAGAAGCCTGGTTTGCTGTATTCCTCACAACAAGTCTGCTTGCGTCTGAGTCCAGGAGCCGGTAAAGAGAGAGCCTTCTGTTTGGGTTGTGAATGAAAATCAGTCAGTTTTTATTGTGTGCAGGGAAGTGATAAATATTTTGGAAAACAGGAAGAGTATTTCTATACCACACCTCCATCAGATCTAGAGAGAGCTCCGTCTCTGTCATCCACACTGCCTCATGTACAGGTGCTAATATTTTTATGCTAAGCAGTGAGATTGGGAACTTTTCATCAGAATCTGAAAGAGGTACAAACATGCTGCCAGTTGTCACTGACAGCTAGAATCTTTTTTTGGGAACTCCTACTACCTGAATTTCCCAGGTAATTTTTAGGTGAAAATGTCAATCAATTCTAGACAAATTCAGATCACCCCTGTGAATGGCACCTTGAGTCTTCTTTTATAAACCCACTGTTTCGTCTCCCCCTTACCCAAGAATGTTTTCTAATAAACATTCCATGCTAAAAAAAAAAATATCTGAAGCCTACTGATGATGGAAATGAGGGTAGAGTTCAAAGTGTAGCAGTGGGGCAAGGAAAAGGGAACTAGCATTTACTCAGCACCTACCATGTGTCTTCATGCACCAGAAGATGAGAGGTTAAGGGTCTTACCTTCAAAGTTACGTAGTTGGTAAGTGGATTGCTAGAGTGGCACCCCAACTGTTTTCACTTCAAATCAATGCTCTTTCCTCTAAAGCATTTGTTTTCCTTTACAATGAAGGTTTGTTTTTATAACAATTGAGGCAAATTCAGTGTTTCACTAGGGAAAGGAAATGATGAAGAATAATGTGAAATTGGTTAAACAACAGAAACTTATCAGACATACAGGGGATAGATCTCCAGCTTCCCCGACAGGGCTCCCTTGCACTCTCCTGCCTTCATTTTGTCGAAGTCGACCTCACCCGCAGGTCAGGAAGGCACCTGCTTAGTGATGAGCCCTGTGCTAGGTTCTGGAAAGGAGCAGGGGACACAGAGATGAATGAGAGCTCCCCTTTTCCTCAAGAAGTCCACACTCTCTCATTAGGAGAGATGGATATGCCATTCATTTATGTTTTAAGCATATACTGAATACCAAATACTGTGGCTCCATAGGACTGGGCACAGTCCCTATGTTGAAAGGCAAGTGAAAAAAACATTTGGGTCAGTAGAATATGACAATCAGTTATAACCCAAGCCTTGAGAGTGGGAAAGATGAGAGTTATGGGGGATCCACCCAGACATCTTGGAAGGTGGGGTGGGATAAAGAATATGTCCTGGCCGAGCACAGTGTCTCACACCTATGGTCTCAGGACTTTGGGAGGCTGAGGTAGGCGAATCTCTTAAGACCAGAAGTTTGAGACCAACCTGGGCAACACGGCGAAACCCCATCTCTACTAAAAATACAAAAATCAGCTGGGTGTGGTGGTGCATGCCTGTAATCCCAGCTACTCGGGTGGCTGAGGCAAGAGAATAACTTGAAACAGGGAGGCGGAGGTAGCAGTGAGCTGAGATCACGACATTGCACTCCAGCCTGGGTGTCAGAGCGAGACTCTGTCTTAAAAAAATAAGGAAATACTTCCTGGAAGAAGTGCTTAGGAATTGACCTGATAAGATAAGGAGAACCATAATGGCAGGGAGGAGAGAGGTGATTTGGAGTGGTTTGGGAACCCGCCCACAGTTCCAAAAGGCTGAAGGTAGATATTATGAGGTTTGAGAGACACCCAACATGCCATCACAGCCCCTGCTGGGGAATTTTGGATTTTATTGTATAGTTTCTGGGGCTGCAGTGAAGCAATTTGGTCTGGACAGGGGCATGGTCGGTGGGGCATCTGAGACCTGTTGTTCCATTGGGGGTTGGTAATGAGGAGTTGCTGTGGCTGAATTGTGTCTTTCCCACCCAATGTGTATGTTGACGCCCTTAACCCCCAGTGTGTCAGAATGTGTGTTTGGAATGGAATCTTTAAAAAACTAATTAAGTTTTGGGAGGCCGAGACAGGTGGATCATGAGGTCAGGAGATCGAGACCATCCTGGCTAACACGGTGAAAACCCATCTCTACTACAAATACAAAAAATTATCTGGGCGTGGTGGCAGGTGCCTGTAGTCCCAGCTACTTGGGAGGCTGAGGCAGGAGAATGGCATGAACCCGGGAGGCAGAGCTTGCAGTGAGCCGAGGTGGTGCCACTGCACTCCAGCCTGGGTGACAGAGCAAGATTCTCAAAAAACAAAACAAAACAAAGCAAAAAACACAAAAAACAAAAAACAAACTAATAAAGTTAAAATGAGGTTGTTAGAGTGGGCCATGAGCCGGTATGACTGGTATCTTTAGAAGCAGCAGCACTTAGGATAGGGCCTCACACTGACTGAGGAGCCCCTGTGTGAGGTCACAGCCAGAAGGCACTACCTACAGGCCAACCCTGCTCACGGCTTGACCTCTGACTTCTAGCTTCCAGAACTGTGACATAATAAATTTCTGTAAAGCCATCCAGTGTGTAGTACGTTGTTATGGTAACACAAGATAAATACGAGGGTCAACCAGGGACCCCGGAGAACAGGTAGGAGTGTTTTGCTGGAGTGGTCCTGATGTGGGATGATGGCGGCCCAGATGAGAGGGGTGGCAAATGAAACAAGCAGAAAGGAGAGATGTAGGCCATGGAACAGACAGAAGAGGACATGGCCAGTGAGTGAATGTAGGTGATGAGGGAGGCAGGAAATCTGAGACGATGCAGGTTTGGGGAAGGGGTGATTTGGGTAGCACCATTCGCAGAAGGCAGAATCATGGGCTGATTGATCAGATAACTGATCAAAGGCAAGAAGCAGGAGAATAAAGTCCTGTAGGAGACAAGAGGGAGGATTCAGACGTATGTTACTTCTAGTCCCTGATTCTTTTCAAGGGTAGTCTCTGGACCTTCTCATCCATTCCCAGCTCCTAGTACGTGGGCAGTGAGATGGGAGAGGTGGGTCACTGCCCCACTGCCCACCATGCTTTTGTAATGCTCCCTGCTCACCCGTTCTGTGCTTTAGCCTCTACACCTCCACGTGAAATGTGGACAATGAACTGAAAGGACACCCCAGGCCCCTTTCCTAGAGCTGAGCAAAATCTGCTGTGGTCCCCATGTGTTTATGTGCTGATCACCTGGGTTGACAGTGGAATCTCACCTCCTTATTTCCCACTTGGGAATTGTCTTCCTCTACAATTCTTTCCTATTTCAACAATACAAATAAACTCAGAGCAAAGTCTGTGGCTGTATTTCTTTTGTGTCTGCAGCAGGCCCAATCCTTGTTAATTAATTGCAGAACTGAGCTGATTGCCAGACTTTATCTGGCATTCTTACGAACACTGGTTCATTTTAGTGACACTTTTTTTTTTTTTAGGCTTAATCAGAATGGTTTTAAACTTGGCTTCCCCGTTCTTAAGGAACTCTTTATTGTTTCCTCCTTGGAATTCCTGGAGCACTTTGAAAGTTCTCTGTAGCATCCCTTATCTTGTTTTCTGATAAATGGGTGTTTTTCATCTTTCTCTTTTTGAGGACAGATACTACACTTTTATTTATCTTCAGCTCTTGGTAGAGCAAGAAGACTTTGAAAAGTATTTAATTGAACATAACAGAATCAACCAAATGAAGCCATATTGTCATGCTTGCCCAGTAGAATTCCAGCTGACACCCTTCTTTGATTGTTGGTTAATTCACTGACACTAAACATATGCTGGGCCCCAGCCAGGCAAGGAGAAACAAAATTGATTATCATATAGTCCCATCCCTGCCTTCAGCAAGCTTCCAGTCTAGAAGCCCATGAAAACTCTCACTTGAGGTGTATATCAGTCAGCTCAGGCTGCTGTAACAAAATACCACCAGGTAGCTTAAACAACAGGTAGTTATTTTTTTACAGTTCTGGAGGCTAGCAGTATGAGATCAAGATGCCAGCAAATTATATTTCTGGTGAGGCCTCTCTTATTGGCATGTAGACTGACACCTTTCTGCTGTGTTACCGGGTCCTTCCTCTATATGGTTCTGGAGGGAGAAAGAGAGAGAGAGAGAGCGAGAGAGAGTGAGCAGGCTTTCTGCTGTCTCTTTCTTTTCTTGGAAGACCACCAGTCCTATCAGATTAAGGTCTCACATTTATGACCTTCCTTAGCCTTTATTACTTTCTTATTGGCTTTATCTCCAAATACAATCACACCGGGGGCCAGAGCTTCAACATATTAATTTTGGAAGTAGGACAAAATTCAGTCACTAACAATGTGTTTCTCATTCTTCTTCTTGACAACCCTTAGAAGTGGGTGCTTTTACTGTCTTCTTTTTTGAGATTTGGAAGTTTAAGTTGAGTCCCAGAGCTATTGGGAGGCAGAGCTGAGCTTCCAACTGCAAGGCTGAGACTCATAATTCCTCCTTCCTGCTGAATGCTGCGGGCCCCTGAGTCAATGGGCCATAGCCAAAAGTTTGCAACATCTCTCCTCTACTACTATGTATTTTGTTTAATCAAATGTAATGAGGTTTGTGGAAGCAGTAAACTGAAGTTATTTTCAAGTAGGAACTGTATTTAGCACTGTTAATTGAATCAGTCTAGTTAGTTAGAATAGAACAGTGGCTGTTTGCCCCATAATAAGGAAATTGAGCTTCTCATAAAACAGCTAATTCATGTCCTGTTACACTGTAGAGCATACCACAGGCTGAGGACCCAGAGTCCCCCACAGTCCAGCCTCAGCTCTGCCTGGACTGCAGTGTGGCTTTGTGCAAAGTCATGGCATCCTCGGTGTCTTCAGGCCTGATTGGCATGAAGAGGGAGCAAGGGAAACTTGGCTGTCCAGTGGAGCTGGGTGTACATGATCCATTGAATCCTCTCTGGGCCATTCTAATGGTGGGCTATTGTTCAGATTTTACAAATGGAGAAACCAAGTCTCAGAGGGACTAAGTAACAAGATGAGTGAGATTGTGGACATAGAAGCATGTGGAAGACTCTCTGTATCTCATGTTTTACCTGTCCTCATGTTTTACCTGTCTGACAACTGCATCCCAATGTCACCCTTTAGGGGACATCGATAGAATAAAAATAGCTGCAAACACTTGTCTACCTCTACTGAGATAGAGAGTCTAATTCCCCATCCTTGAATTTGGCTGGCCTTAGGGACTTACTTGACCTTGAGAATGCAGTGGAAGTGATGTTCTGGGGCCATGAGAAGACTTGTCTCTTCTGCCCTGGACTCTTAGAAACCAGGTGCCATGCTGCATTTTTTTGAGGTGAGAAACGCTATGTCCTCAGATGGCAGAAGGGCAAAAAGGGGTAAATTGTCTCTGTCAGGTTTCTTTCTAAGAGCAACTAATCCTACTCATTATGGTGGAGCCCTTGTGACTCAATCACCTCCCAATGGCCATACTTCCCAATATTGTTGCATTGGAGATTAAGTTGCAGCATGAATTTGGCAGGGGACACCATCATTACAACCTCAGCAGTGCAAAGAGGCTCACCAACTAGCTGCACTTGGATGAGTTTGTGAAGCTTTAGATCCATAGTCCCACGGCCCACCCCTGGAGAATGAGGTTTCCAGGTGGGGGCCTGTGGAAAACGTCCCTGAAGTTCTGATGGCCAGACACAACCAGGAGCCCCTGGTCTTCCTCCTGCAGCACCTGTCCATCAATATCCTTGCCAAGTTCCCTAGATGTCTTCAGGTTCCATGTTTGGCCTCTTTTCCTGGAGGCCCAGCTCCTTGAGGGTGGGCGCCATTTCTTTAGTATTTTTTCCCTAGCTTGCCACCCACCCTAGCACAGTCTGCCATCCTTCCGTGAGTGTCCCAGGAATATCTGACAGCTGTCAGCTGGAAGAATGACTGTGTCGACTCCCTTGTTTCCTAAGATGACCATTTGGCCATGGGTTCTACCTCACAAGACCCATCGTGTTGAGCTGGCGTTCATTAGCCTGCTGGGCCCGCATGGAAAGTGTCTGTAAGCGCCCAGCAGCAGGACATCCTGGTGATGAAGGCAGAGGCTGGTGGGCAGGCACCCTGAGCTCAAGCACTAGTTCCTTATGAAGGAAAGGAACAGCTTTGGGCGAGTGGGCGACACTCTCCAGGGCTCTGTTTCCTGCTAGGAGAAAAGGGTTTAACAACAGTGTCTCCCTAAGGGTGCCATGAAGATTAAGGTAATCCTGCAATACCTGGACAATGACCATCGTTTAGTAAACTGATGGTAGCAATATTCTCCACCTTGCCACTTCAGAGCTACACAGACAATGACTATGCTTCCAGTTTGTCCCCAGAATAACAATTTTTGTTTCTCATACCATTCTTCATCTGATCTGATAACTGTTCTTAAGTGTTCTGCAAGACCTTCCAGGATGAGTCTTTTCCTGTAGAATTGAGACATCGGAGTCCAGGCCAGAGAAGGGCAGGGTTGCTGGTGAGAGAGCCATGTGGTACCTAAGGGAGGTGGTGTGAAGGGATCACAGCCAGGTGACCCCTCACCACAGTGAGCCGCTTTCCCAACAGGCTGGACTCCTTGGGACTGCAAGAGGAAGGACAGGAGGGCCCAACCTCCATTCATCAGCTTCCTACCGACATGTGCAAGTCCCAAACGCTTGGGTGGGAAACTGGAGGTAGAGACCAGACTTCTGGCAACCCAAGATGCTGGAATTCATTGGTATTTAAAAACACTTCCTTGCCCTTTTTCATTATACAGTCTAACATTTAAAGACTCCAAAATCACTACTGATTAGTACAATGCAACGTGGAGAGCTTGGAAGAGGTGTTGGAAAAAAACACTTCACTAAGAAGTCATAGTCTGAGTTGATGCATCTTGTAAATAGATAATTTTTCATAAACCACTTGAACCTCTTGGCCTGGCCTATTTGCTGAAGAATTGCAGGTTGCTGGTGAGAAATGCCATTCTCTGTTGCCTGAGCCATGCAGTTTGGCACTCTGGAGTTGCATGTGGACATTCAATGTTGTATTGTTTCAGATGCTTCTCCAAGGGCTTGCTTTGTGTCTGTTGTCTCCTCAGCTCCAGTAGAGAGGGGTGGGTTCTGTCCTGCTTCTACAGCCCCTTACGGTGCCTGGCCTTGGTCTAGCAACATAGTAGGTGCTTTAAAAGTACTGGATGAGGCCAGGCACAGTGGCTCACGCCTGTAATCCCAGCACTTTGGGAGGCTGAGGCAGGCAGATTGCCTGAGCTCAGGAATTCATGACCAGCCTGGGCAACATGGTGAAACCCTGTCTCTACTAAAACACAAAAAATTAGCCGGGCGTGGTGGCATGTGCCAGAGGCTGAGGCAGGAGAATCACTTGAACCCGGGTGGCGGAGGTTGCAGTGAGCCGAGATTGCATCATTGCACTCCAGCCTGGGTGACAGAACAAGACTTGGTCTCAAAAAAAAAAAAAAAAGTACTGGATAAGCGGATTTGGAAAACTTGGGAGATTCTTTCTTTCTTTCTTTCTTTCTTTCTTTCTTTCTTTCTTTCTTTCTTTCTTTCTTTCTTTCTTTCTGTCCTTCCTTCCTTCCTTCCTTCCTTCCTTCCTTCCTTCCTTCCTTCCTTTCTTCTTCTTCTTCTTCTTCTTCTTCTTCTTTCTTTCTTTCTTTCTTTCTTTCTTTCTTTCTTTCTTTCTTTCCTTCTTTCTTTCTTTCTTTCTTTTTTTCAACATGGAGTCTTGCTCTGTCACTCCGGCTAGAGTGCAGTGGTGTGATCTGAGCTCACTGCAACCTCCGCCTCCTGGGTTCAAGCCATTCTCCTGCCTAAGCCTCCCAAGTAGCTGGGATTACAGGTGTGCACCACCATGTTCAGCTAATTTTTGTATTTTTAGTAGAGACGGGGTTTCGCCATGTTGGCCAGGCTGGTCTTGAACTCCTGACCTCAGGTGATCCGCCCAAAGAGCTGGGATTACAGGTGTGAGCCACCACGCCTGGCCTACTGTCTTTAACTTCTTACTTTACTGTAAAAGAAAATCCTTGGAAATCCATGGAACAAGAGAGGGAATGAAGTTTTAAAATAAATTTACTTATTGTATAACCACATTACTGAACATTTTGTAAAACAAAGGAAAACGAAAAACAAAAGATCATTCATACAGCCATGGCTGAGAGAAAGTTGCTGTTGGCCCTGGTGTCTTCTCTTAGGTTCCTTTCACCTGTTTGCTACTATTTCATGCTGTTGTAATTGTGTGTGTTTTAGTGTCCCTTGAGTCCCCCTTCACGTTACGGTGCTGTGGTTTAGACTTGTGAAGTGATGGCTTTGACCAGGATGGTGTGATTTCACAGAAGCAGGTGGGGTTTGAGTGACACTTGTTGGTGTTGGAGCCCTGTGAGTGACTCTGAGTGAGTCGTTTTCCTCTCTGAGCCGCAGTTTAGTGGTTCATAAAATTGGAGCAGCAGCCCATTGTTGGTTTCCTAGAGGAGCCGCACAGATGTGGGGCTCCAGTGAGAGAGACCCTACCAACGGGGGCAGGCTCCATAGGGGCCACTCTATGGAGTGGCCTTTATGAAACCCTTTAAGAGATGCATAAGAGGGGAAAAAACCAACCCTTCCTCCAAAACAAGAGCAAAATGCACACAAACTTCAGGGAGTAGAAACAGAAGGATTCCAAGTCCAAGGTGGATCCAGGACTGAATAATAATGGACCCCAAACCTTTCCTTTTCATTCTTCCTCACTCTGTTCATTATTTTAACACTTTCTCCATCTCTCCTTTCATTATCAACTTTTTGTACCAAATCGTCTTCCTCTTAACATTCTAACTGAGAATGCACAACATAGAGATCTGTTTGGCCAGAATAAAAATGTGAGAAGCTTGTATTTTTAAAGCTGTGCTCTGTGGTTTTAAAAACTGCTTCCATCACTAAGTAATAGGAGGGCCACTGGTGCATCCATGGCAAGATTGGAGAAGAAGGACATTTTTCAAGGCATTTCTACATGGGATCTGCTGAGAAAGGGCAATGACAATTAGCTCCATCAAGGCATCAATCAATCAATCAATCAATATCAAGTTAAATGGTGGACTATGGTGTTGGGCTGGCAGACAATATCTCCAATTAGATTTTGTTTTGTTTTGTTTTGTTTTGAGACAGAGTTTTGCTCTTGTTGCCCAGACTGGAGTGCAATGGCAGGATCTCGGCTCACTGCAACCTCTGCCTCCAGGGTTCAAGTGATTCTCCTGCCTCAGCCTCCCCAATAGCTGAGATTACAGGTGCTTGCCACCATGCCCAGCTAATTTTTTTTGTATTTTTCATAAAGACAGGATTTCACCATGTTGGCCAGGCTGATCTTGAACTCCTGATCTCAGGTCATCCACCTGCCTCGGCTTCCCAAAATGTTGGGATTACACACATGAGCCACCGCGCCAGGCCTCCAATTGGATTTTAAATGCAGTGGCTTTAATCCCTTAAATTCATATTTATTTGGACCAGTTACTCTGCATACATGTAACGGGTTTAGAATAGTCCCTAGGGCGGCCGGGAGTGGTGGCTCACGTCTGTAATCCCAGCACTTTGGGAGGTTGAGGTGGGTGGATCATGAGGTCAGGAGATCAAGACCACGGTGAAACCCCGTCTCTACTAAAAATACAAAAAATTAGCCGGGCCAGTGGCGGGTGCCTGTAGTCCCAGCTACTAGGGAGGCTGAGGCAGGAGAATGGCGTGAACCCGGGAGGCGGAGCTTGCAGTGAGCCGATATCGCGCCACTGCACTCCAGCCTGGGCGACAGAGCGAGACTCCTTTAAAAAAAAAAAAAATAGTCCCTGGGGCAGGACTAGAACTGAGTAAATATTAGCTGTTATTATAATAGCCATTATTATTATTACTGTTTTTATTGTCTTCACTCACAGAACATTTTGAGTCTGCATAAAGCAAAGGACCCACACGGCAACATAGGAGGGAGTTGGGTAATTCTTTTTCTTTACGAAGTGTCATTAAAAGATGCTATTGACAGTATTGGCAGCTTCATTAAGAAGTCTGTTGATGATGGTAATAAGGCTGGCACATTTGGGATTCAGATTGACACTTCTCAAGACAGTGGCAGAACTTGGGCTGGCACAGCAATGCCAGAATGTGTCTCAGGTTCTGGGAAGGGCTGGGTGTCTTCTAAGGGAGCTAGGTCTGGTTGGAGAGGCCCTCGCCTGGGGTGGGGGGTCTGGGGCCCCAGTGCCTGCTTAGCTAATTATTTTCTGTCTGAGGACTTTGTGCTCATCACTTCACTTCGCTGGGACTCAGTTTCCCAGCTGTAGCTGACAGCCTGCTCCACGATGAATTCACCCTCATATATCTGAGTCCTGGAGGTTCTGTCATGCCATAGGCACTGGCACTAACGCAGAAGCAGCAAAAAACCAGGCTTTTAGCAGAAGGTGTTGGCATAATATCAAATTTATGTTGTAGATTGTTGACACTGGAGATAGGTGAAGAATGGATTGGAGAGGGCAAGAAGAGACACTAGGAAAGCTTCGCCATCACCCTGGCAAAAGATGATGCAAATGAACCAAGACAGGTGCTGAGGATGGTGGGGGAGGGAGGCAGGCATCACCTCCACCCCCAGGACCAGAACACCCTTCCCCATGAAGAATATTCTGCATCACACATGAACTTGAAGGAGAAGGAAAGCTTAACAGAAAATAAGCAATCAAGGACCATTTGAACCTCCATGTTGGGTGAGATAGATGTGTGATAATCTGGGCTCCTGGGGCATTCCCTTCTATAACCTGTGAGTGGCCCAGGGTGCTGTAGGTCTGTCAACCAGGCTACTTCTGGGCTGTCCTTTCAAATCCTGAACATGGTTTTGGACTGCACCTCCTTCCTCCCTGCGTCTCTCCTCCCTCCCTCTTTTCTTTCCATTTTGCCTTTCAAGCAATGATCATTACACATCTTCTTTGTGTTAGACGCTGGACTTTGTGCAGAACCAACAATTGAACATCTAGCTAGTTTGGTGCTCCGTGGGTTACTGATTGAGAACCATTGGTTGGGTCTATCTTTAACATACTCGTTTCAGTGCAACATCTGCAAATAGAAAGTAGCTAATGGCCTTATCAGTCAGTAAGTATAATTCGGTTACAACAACATGTGATTTTTAAATGAGGCACAATCACTAATAGTGGTGTTAAAGACTGATCCCTGTTCATCCTTCTGCCACCAGGATGTCTGTCAGTCAGCCTGAGGTTGCTTCTTGGTCTTTTATCTGATTCAAATGTGAATGTGCTTTGGGAATAGGCTTGTACTCAAAATGTAAATAGGTGTTTTACTCTCCCTCTTAAAGCTATTACTATGTCGATAGATGTCTTGCTATAGTTAAGGGTCTGTCGGCATTTACATTAAGGAGTCTTATTTTCCAAGGCTTAAAATGCCATTAAAATCTGTTCGACTTGGTTGTTCAAATGACCAAATTATCCAAATTTCTTCTAAAAATCTAGTTGGTTTTTATTCATTGGGGAAAATATGCACATCATTGTAGATTCTTGGCTCCAGAAGACTTGTAGTGTTTCCAAGACTAACAAGCTGACATTTTTCATTCCTGAACCACATGTCTTTGGTCATTTTGACTTTTCTTTGTAAAAGTCCCTCACATTTATAGGGAGGCTGCTGTTAATTTAGGCAGTCATTAGGGTTATATTGGGGTAATTTCAGCATACACTGTGCTTTAGCTTTTTGAAGAGACAGAAAAAAGTGGGAAGATGTGTTGCATGTTACTGCATGCAGGGAACTCTGTGTGCATTTAAATGTTATCTCATTTAAACCACACAATAGCCTTTGGTGGTAGGAGCTCTAATCTCTCTTTCACAATGGAGGAGACTGAGGTTCTGAAATTTAATAATGATGTTGGAATTGTAGTTCAAGACGAGGATTAAAGCCCATGACCTTTGCATTCTACCAATACCTCATCATCAAACATCTTTGAAGCTGAGCGCTGTGGTGTGTACTTGTGGTCTTAGTTACTTGGGAAGCTGAAGGGAGAAGACTGCTTGAGGCCAGGAGTTCCAGGCTGCAGTACACTATGATTGCACTTATATAAAAAAAAAACTTTGTGATGGTTGTGCTAATCATGAAAGGTCAATCAAAACACAAAACCAAGGTCAAAAATTTTAAGAGACTACACTAATTCTAGGAGTTTTGACAGAATTTAACAATCTTCCAAAAGTTGGGCGTACTGTTAGCAAACCAACCTCCCTCTCTCGCTCTTTCCCTCCCTTCCCTTCTGCTTTCAACAAATATTCATTGAGCATGTACCATAATAAGCCTTATTATCATCACACTTAAATAATTATATTAATTTCTGCAATAATTTGCAATTAATAATTTCTGCTTCAGAGCTGTCACTCACATGATTTTTTCTGCATATGAGGTCCCGTTTAACCTCTGTCGATTCTTTAAAGCTCAGTGACTATTATTCTGGTTTGCCTGGGACTTTTCCAGTTTACTGTAAAATGATCAATGTTACCCTCTTTCCTGTTCAAAATGCCCTAGTTTAGATGATAGTCTATGTGATCACCCTATGATGGGGCTACATCTAGTCTTAGCTACTCAGTAAGGCTTTTACTGAGAATCCATTCCACTAATCTTAGGGGAGATTTTTCAATCTCTCTTCACTTTTCTGGTCAATCCTTCTGGTCAATTAGGTATTCTCTAAGTATTATGCTTATATTTATTTATATTGATAGTGTCTTTTGTTCTGTATCCTTGGTAACCTCTACGATAGGGATAGAGGATGTTCTAAAACGATCTGTTGAATTAATCAGTGATATGGTTTGGCTCTGAGTCCCCTGCCAAATCTCATTTCGTAGCTCCCATAATTCTCGTGTGTTGTGGGAGGGACCTGGTGGGAGATGATTGAATCATGGGGGCAGGTCTTTCCAGTGCTGTTCTTGCGACAGTGAATGGGTCTCGCGAGATCTGATGGTTTTAAAAACGGGTTTCTCTACACAAGCTCTTTCTTTGCCTGCTGTCATTCATGTAAGACATGACTTGCTCTTCTTTGCCTTCTGCCATGATTGTGAGGCCTCCCCAGCCACGTGGAACTGTAAGTCCAATAGACCTCTTTCTTTTGTAAATTGCCCAGTCTCGGGTATGTCTTTATCAGCAGCATGAAAATGGACTAATACAATGAGCAAGTGAATTACTTGGAAAGAACATTATCTTCCCCTCCCTTACTTTGGTCCTTTCCAGCACTTTTCCTTCTTGAAAACCCAGCTGTAAGCCCTTTTCTGCAAGAGGCCTTCTAGAATTCCCCCACATTAGTCGATTCTATTCTGTCTTCATCTGTTTGGGTGCTTATCCTAAAATATGATTGAAAACAATAGCACATATGTTTCTTCTGTCATCCCTCCTGGTGCCTAGCACATAATGATGTTCAAGTATTAAGTGAGAAGTGAATGAAGGTTTTCCTGAAGCACACTTCCTCACTGTGGTTTACCTAATGATCTGGGCACCTTAGGGAACTTTCAGACTGAGGCAGGCTAAGGTGTAACAATCATTTTGAATGACAGTAATTTCATTAAAACATTGACTGTAAAACCCTAGCAGGCAGTAAACAGCACTAATTAGTTCAGTCACAGTAACTGGCTAGAGATGTGCATTCTAATATACATATTTTTCTCACCCAAAACTTAAGTGCATATTTGTTGAGTTGCTCTATCTTTTAGGTCGGGGGTAGGTGGGTTAGTGGTTGTAATAACTGGGAAGGCTCTCTGAAGCTGCTGGTTTGATGGTTGGAAGCATGGAATTAGACATATGTATTAGTTACCTACTGCTGCATAACAAATTATCCCCAAGTTTTGCAGCTTCGAACAGCACACATTTTCTATCTGATAGTGCTTATGGGTTGGGAATCTGGGTGTGGCTTAGCTGGATGCCTCTAGTTCAGGGTCTCTCCCAAGGCTACAGCCAAGGTGTTTGCTGGGGCTATAATCATTTCAAGGCTCGACTGGGGACATTCTTTTTCAAAGCTCACTCATATGGCTGTTGGTAAGATTCAGTTCCTCGTGGACTAGTGGACCAAGAACCTCAGGTTCTCACTGGTTTTTGGCCAGAGACATAAGTCCATTTCCAACAAGGCTACCCACAGCATGGCAGTTCTCTTTGCTCATTACGAGGAGAGGGACAGAGAGAGACAGAGAGAGAGAGAGAAAGAAAGAGGCCACAAGTTTTTTTGGAACCCAATACCAGAGTGATCATAGTATTTTCCTGTACTGGAATCCCAAATGTGTTCTGGAACTACCTGGAACTATTGGAGATCCAGAAGTCACATGAGAAGACCACTGTCTGAGACTCACTGAACTGGCCTACAACCTGGGACCTCTCAATTAAATCTTCCAAAGCCCAGCAAGAAGACCTGGCTTATAATGTATTGGCCAAACTATTTAGCAGTTTTTGCAAGCAGATCTTTGTATGTTGCCCATCCCTTCCATCTCCTATACAAATGAACACATGTCCTTTCATTAAGTCCTCAGTGGGTGTATGCACTTCTGTCATGCATTCACTCATTGCAAAGGTAGGTTTATGAGACTTTTTTTTTTTTTTTTCTGAGATGGAGTCTTGCTCTGTCACCCAGGCTGGAGTGCAGTGACGCAATCTCAGCTCACTGTAATCTCCGCCTTCTGGGTTCAAGCGATTCTCCTGTCTCAGCCTCCTGAGTAGCTTGGACTATAGGCACACGCCACCACACCTGGCTAATTTTTGTATTTTTAGTAGAGACGGGGTTTCACCATATTAGCCAGGCTGGTCTCGAACTCCTGACCTCAGGTGATCCAAGGTGCTTGGCCTCCCAAGGTGCTGGTATTACAGATGTGAGTCACCGCACACAGCTGAGATTTTTATTAAATAAACACCATGGTACAGTTGCGAGGGTGGCTGAAGTTGAGTCCCTGCTCTGTGGCATCATCTCAGTTACTTATTTTCTTTGATCTTCAATTTCAATTTCCTGAGCAACAAAATGCAGAAGTAATGTTTCAAAAGACTATCAGGTGAATTGAGTGTGAGGCCAAAGAGAAGGCCCAGCATAGCATAAGAAGCTTAAAAGTGGGTTTAATGAACAGTAATTCTTCCTGTTCATTCCTTCCTTTTAACCATAGGCATTTTACTTTGCACAGTGAGGTGAGGGTGAGGGTGGGAACTTGAACCAGGGTCTCAGAAGATTATACAAAGTATAGCACATGGAAGATGTTCAAGGATCATTTATCAAATCAAAGAGTGAATGAACCCATGATGGAAGGAGTGAACACACAGCCTGAGCACTCAAGAAACTTCCAGACCCTTGGGTAGAAAGCATGGCATTGCCAAGGGAGCTCTCACAGATCACAGTGGGTTTCAGCCCAGGTGAGGGGAATGGGTATAGGAGGACTCCCAGGATGCAGGCATGTTGAAGAGGAAGCAGGGGCGCTTTAGGCCTTGGGGCTGGCAGGAGCAAAGGCATCTAGGCTGTGTTGTGCCCAGCACAGGACAGCAGCATAGCAGGTTGATTGGAGGATGCCAAGGAGCAAGACGGGAGCTCCAGGAGGAGGGACCCTGACTGTCAGGCTAAAGATCTGGTATCAGTCTGGCGACAGTGAGGGGCAGCTGGAATCCGGGCCACCTTTGGGACGTGCCCCTCCAGCAGGAGCAGTAGCAGCAGCAGCAGCAGCAGCAGTCATGTGGGCCGGAAGCATGGAGAGTCACCCTTGGTTTCTCAGACTGGAGGGAGGGCCTCCCGCTTCCCATTCCTGAGCACCACCCTCTCCGATTACTAACATATCACCCACCTCCATTTGGGATTTGAAAAATTCGAAAATATCTTATTCACACCTATGTATATCACTTCTCGACTTGAAGTCTAACATGCTCCCCAATTTACATATAATTCGTTTGACTCGTGTAAACTGCATTAACAAAAAGAGGAGCAATGCGATAAATTACTAGTGACAGAGGCCAGCCTGGATTGCAATTATTTTTATAAGCCCCTGGTAAGCAATGATGTCCTGTTTTTACAGCACATAATATCCCAGCATTATTGAAATGCCAGCAGCGTCCACGAAGCACATCTGTGCTAACCGGTCACACAGGTAGCAGGGCCATGAGAAAGTACAGTGGCTGGAGAGGCCCAGTCCTGCTCCGTGGCCTTGCAGTCATCATAGTCTGGTGCGCTGTGGTCCCCTCCAACAGGAGCGAGTTGGAGTGGAAGGCGTGCATGGAGATTGCAGCTGGGTGGGCTTGGATTCTGATCTCCTTATTATCTTTCTAGTTATAAAAATTGAGCAAACCTCTTCGTCTCTCCTGACACCCGAGTTTCTGGCCTATAAAGTGGGAATGCTAATAGGGGTAGCTCTCCTGTATTGTATCAGGGAAGGAGGAGAGACACGGAATATCTAAACTAACAATGATACCAGCTAATAGTTTGTTATTAATTTATTTATTTATTTATTTATTTATTTATTTATTTATTTATTTATATTTTGAGACACGGTCTCACTCAGTTGCCCAGGCTGGAGTGCAGTGGTGCAATCATGGCTCACAGCAGCCTCAACCTCCCAAGTAGCTAGCTGGGACTACAGGGACCCACCATCATGCCTGGATAATTATTTTTGGTATTTTTTGTAGAGACAGAGTTTAGCCATGTTGCCCAGGCTGGCTGGCCTCAACCTCCTCGGCTCAAACTATCTGCCCTCCTTGGCCTCTTGAAATGCTGGGATTACAGGCAGGAGCCACCGTGCCAGACAACACTAGTATTTATTGAGTATATACATGTGCCAGGCACAAAAGTATGTGCTTGAGATTTGTTTTCTGATTTAACACTGCGGGCTCCCCTCTGAAGCGGGTGTGATGAATATAATTGCTATTTTACAGGAAATGAGATGAAGAGGTAAAAAAGCGAAGTATGTACCCAAGATTACAGCTAAACTAGGACTTGAACCCATGTCTGTCTGAAGTCCGAGCTGAAACTTTGGCCACTAAATTGCCCTGTCTCACTACAGGTAAACGATCTTCAGAGCATCCTCACTTGCAGGAGGGGAGATGAACATGAGAAGCTCCCAGGGGAGGTGATCTGGGTTTGGGCACACTGACCCCAGGTGTGCTTAAGGATAGAGAGTTCATCTTCATACCTGCTAATCAGTTCTCTTGGCCCCAAAAGATGTACAGGGTGTGGTTGTGTGTTTTGCAAATCTGAATAGCGCAAATCTGAAATTTTGATTTATAATGTATCAATCATCTTAGTTTACGCACAGATTTTGAACTAATGCAAACCCTACTTTACATTTCCTGCTCCAGAGAATTAATCTTGAATTGTGCTAGTTTTGAATTATGTGAGGCCTTTGGGAATAGGCCTACATCCCTCGCAAGAAAATTAATCACCCTATAAATGACTTAACCCGCCTCTCAGGGCTTTGCGGTGGAGACTGAATGCAAGAATGCAAATTAAGTGACCAAAAACCCGCATTCGCAATACCTGAGTTTGCTCCCCTCTCCTAAGTGAGTAAACTCCACCCCAAAGTGGCCTCCAGCCCCCTGGTTCTTCCTTCCTGCTGCCTGCAGGTTTCCAAACTCCCCCTGGGGCGTCAAGTGCCAGCTCAAAGATCCCCCCAAAACTTGATCTACCCCACAAGCACCACTACTTCATGCAGGGCAGTGTGCCCCTGGTTCTGTCTTTGCCTTCTCATCAAGTCAGGGCCGGAAGACACATCAGTGTGTTCTCCCCATCACCGGTGACTGCAGAGAAGGGCCCAGCAGAACAAACACTTTTTTAAAACGCTGCAAATAGACAGGTGGATGAAAATTTTCAGATGTGTGAAATACTGTCTTGGGCCCCATGGCAATTTCTGGATCTAAGTTTGTGATTTCTAGTTTAATCTTTATCTTCTCCTCCTCCCACTGTCTCAGCATCTAGGCTGGGGATCTTTGGCCCACAGAAACCACATCTTTCTTGCTAACCTGTTGTCTTCTTTTCTATGCAACCCCACTGCTGGGGGAAAGGCCAAGATGGAGGACTTCATTTGATTTATTTTACAGAAAGCCAATGCTGGAAAACTCTGTAGTGGTGGGTGGTATTGTTTGACACCTTCCTTTTCAGGGGAAGAAGCTGAGACCCAAAGGGGCAACTTGAGCCACCTGAGGTCACTCTGTGGATAAGCAACAGCTCTCAGAGGTTTGCGTGAGACAGGCCGGAACTACTTCTCTCTGCCCTCCCAGGATCTTTGCATGACATGATATGAAACCAAGATTCTCAACAACCAAGATTCTTCTGTGGGGCCCAGCAGAAGTATCTGAGGAATCTTTTCAAAAATCTGCATGAACTTGCTAAGGCTGCCATTAACAAGTTCCACTTTTCTGGGTGGCTTAAACAACAGAAATGTATTTCCACACAGTCGTGGAGGCTGGAAGTCCAAGGTCCAGGCATCCACAGGTTTGGTCTCTTCTGAGGCCTCTCTCTGTAGCTTGTAGATGGCCGCCTTCTCCTTGTGTCTTCCCACAGTTATCCCTCTTTCTGTATCTGTGTCCTGATCTCTTCTTATAAGGACACCAGTCATATTGGATTGGTGGACTCATTTTTAACTTAATTACCCTTTTACAAATTCGATCTCTAAATACAGCCACATTCTGAGGTACTGGGAGGACTTGTTCTATTTGAATTTTTTTTTTTTTTTTTTTTTTTTTTTTGTGGAGGGACACAATTTGCTCATAATAATGTGTCCCCTGGCCCTTCAAAACTCATGTCCTTTCTGCGTGCAAAATACACTGACTCCATTTCAACGTGTTCAAAAGTGTTAACTGATTCCAGCATCAACTCTAAGTCCAAAAGCTCACCTAAATAGCATCTAAATCAGATGTGGGTGAAACTCAAGGTATGATTTATTCAGAGGCAAAATTCCTCTTCAGCTGTAAACTTATAGAACCAGACAAGTTCTCTGCTTTCAAAATACAATGGTGGGGCAGGCATAGCATAGATATCCTATGGGAGAAATCAGAAAGAAGACAGGAGCCACAGGTCCCAAGCAAATTCCATTAGATCTTAAGGCTCAAGAATAACCCTCTTTGACTTCATAATCTATGGACCACCTGGTCCCTCCCTAGCAGCTTCTGTGGTGGTTTCTCGTCATCTCCCACCATTGTCCCAGCAAATAAATACTATGACCCAACAACTCACCATGTGCCAGAAACATTTCCTGTATGTCAGTCAACTCATTACATTCTCACCAGGGCCCTAAGAAAGAAGCCCAGTGATCAATTCCATTTGACCAAGGAAGAAAGTAAGACATAGAGAGGTCAAGTTCTTCGGCCAGGGCCACGTAGCTTATTAATGGAGTTGCTGGGACTTGAACCCAGCCAGTCTGACCCCAGGGCCTTTTCTTATACCGAGACCTTGGCATTCCAGGTGAGGCTCCTGCTCACCAGTGTTAGACAATCTCTGACCTGTTGTGTCAGCTCCAAGTGTTTACTGGTGTAAATGTTTCTTCTCCTCATCCCCAGAAGGAGTTAAATGAGACAGAAGTCCTCCTCGTAATCCTCTCGGTGCTCCTGTAGCTGGGACAATGTGTGATGCACAGAACACTTATAAGTGTCTGTTAGTGATGAGTGAATTGGGGGAGGCTGTGGTCCTTCCCTGAAAAGGTGAACCAATTAAAACTCAAAATCACCTTAGCAAGATACCAAAGAGCAGAATTTCAGTGGTCCCAGCCCCTCTGGAAGCCCCTGGAAGCTTATTTTCATTCTGAATAGACCTCCTTTGCTTTGCCTCACAGAGAGTGCTTCCATTCAACCAGTAATTAGTGTCTCTAAGTGGAATCTACTTAAGAAAGGACACAAAGCCTGAGAAAGTTGTATTATGCCATTTATAAATGTCCGGTGATCTGCTGCTGCACTGTGATTCACGGAGCTGAAATAAATGATTTGCTTCAAAAAAAAATTATGAACGTTCATTCCGCTGGTAGAATCTCTTAATTCCCGTTACACATGTCAGCATATTATGACTGGAAGCTGTCAGGTTCTAATGACTAAAATTTCATTTTTCAGACTTCTCACACTGTGTGTGAGGACTATAAGTTAGAAATATCTCTGCAGCTAAGTTTCTTCCTCATCTGGTAAATTTAGCTCTTTCTTTCTTTTCTATTTATTTTTTAAGTGTCCATGTTTACATGAATACCTTGAGTAAACTAATCTCATGCTTCATTCAATAAACGAGGAGGTCTACTACTATGGTGCTTTTCTTCCCAAAGCTGCTGTCCTTTTTATGGGACATAATGTGTCTTGACAGCTGACAGATTCAATGCAAAATTATTTTTACTTGGCAGAGTGGATCAAAATATGGATTATTTTAAAGAACATTAGCACTTTTTTGTTTAAAGTAAAATATATTGTTTATGCTTTGTATGGATAAACAACCTTGACATTGGCTGTAACTTGTTTTATTATCCTTGAAATGGAAATTTGTTGACACGATATTCAATAAATAGAAATACTTCGGTCCTGTTCACTTAACTCGCATACTATACTAAATAGGAATTATTGATCCTCCAGTTATTACACTTGTTCCTGAAATGCTCTGTGGAGGGCAGGAAAACCAACTTCCAATTCAGGTTGTTAATAGATTGGTCGCAAAATTTATGTTATCCATGTCCAACAAATCACTAATAAAAGCTTATAAGAGGCTAGATCATCTGCATTGAATTACTCATTCTTCCCCCCATAAAAAGCCTTTAGCTAGAGACTGACCAAAGAATTTAAAATCTCTCATTATCTATAAGTCATTGCTCAAAGTGTCCCTAAATGGGATTAAAGCATCGCTGCTCAGATTTCCTACAATGACTGCCCTCTTCTACTTCCACCTTGACTTAAATTAAAGGCTAATGATATGTTTCCAGAGGAAAGAAAGAGATAGCTTTTCCTTGAACGACTTTCCAGGACTCCAGCATCTAATCTGTTACGGAATAGCTGCTATGCCATGGTGGCCGACTGCATCTGTTTTTCTGGGAATATGGTCCAGGTCTAAGTGGGTCTGGTGACCACGTTGTCATCTCCATACAGCTGGTCAACTCAGTGCAGGAGGAAACGGGACGTAAGCACCGTGCACCATCCAGGGGCTGTTCTCTACCTTTGTTTACTGCCACTGCAAGGATGTGTGCTTCAGGTGCTGCTTTGAATACTCAGGGGCAGTCAATGCAAATGTTCCCTCCACTCAGTCTCCTTCCCTCCCACCCTCCTTTCTTTTTCTTTTTTTCTTTCTTTCTATCCATAAGCATTTATGGAGCACCAACCATGCACCAAACTCAGTACCAGGCACTGGGACCCCCAGACGGATCGGGCTTCCTGGTGCTCAAGCAGGTCTTGGTCTCCTGGGGGCTCAGACCAGCCCATGTACTCAGACATTTGTGTGGCATGACAGTGTGGGTGGTGGCAGGATGCCCAGTGGGAAAGGCCCAGGCCAGGCATGCTGCTGGCCTGCCTAGTGACTCCTGTCTTTACCCATAAGCACCTGGAGCCTGCTGAGGATTAACTGTGAATGAGTGACCATCACACTGTAGGCCCTCAATAACGGATCAGTGTTATTATAAGGCTGTCCTAGAGGTGCGTACCAGGGGCTATGACTTCTTTACATGAGGCAGCCAGGAAAATTTCACAGATGAATGAGAAAGCCAATCAGAAGCAGGAGAAAACTGGGCTATAGAAGACCCTGGTTTGACTATATTTCATGGGGATAGAATGAATTGAAATGAAGTGAAATAGAAATAAAAACAAAACCATTTGAGTAGGAGTGAGAAAGCAGTTGCAAATACCCCTAGTGTCGAGGCAGGTATTGCACGTGAACATTGCAGACAGGCCACGAGGGGAAGCGATGCAACCTCAAAGGCTAGAAGGTTCTTACCCATGGTTGCCAGATTTGATTCCTTCAAAAGAAGCCCCACATCTGGCTTAGGATGCCAGATCTCCAAATGTTTAAGGGAAGAAATCTATTTAAAACCTTTTAAAGACACCATGCATGATACACCAAATGTATCTTCAGGTCACATAAAGATTGTGGCCAAGCTAATGTCTGCCTCTTGTCTGGACATACCGATTTTATTCTTTCATTCAAAAACGACTTGCTGGTACTTATCATAACAAGTCAGTAGAAACAGTATTAGTATTCATACCAAAGAAGGCGGTATTTGAATCTGAGCTCCAGTACCTAATTAGCTGTCTGACTTTGGGTCTGTTACTCAGCCTCAACTATAAAATGATGGTTTTCATACCTGCCTTACATGTTGTTAAGAAGATTCAACCAGCTGATGCGGGTGAAATTCCTGATACAGGGCCTGGTGCACTGTGTATACTTCACAGAGTTTTTCCTTCAACTTAAGGGGTAAAAGAACAAGTTGGAACGAGCCAAGGAGTGACCAGGTGTGTCAGAGGCAGCAACAGGTTGGATCAGGGAACAAGTGCAGAAGGAGTGAACCCAGGCTTGACCAAGGAAGGCTTTTTGGGCTTCTCCTTCTCAGCAAGGGTGTGAAATGAAGTCTAGCCAGTTTGGAAAGAATAGCTCCAGATGCTCTTCAGGGTCAGGAGTGATTTTGATCCGTGGTGACCCATTCAGGTGGAGCAGATAGACTCATTTATTCACATGCACAAGCCTGGTGTTTCAGATCCTGATCTGACAGAAAGGCCAGTCTCGTAGGAGATGCCTGTGAGGCCAACAGGGGCAGTTTGGTGTTAGCATCTTGAGCCAGGATGCCCAGAGTGACCCTTTCCCTTAGTTAGGGTGACTTAGTCAAAGAAGACAGACATCTGGTCTGTGTGAGGTTAGGTTTTAAAAACAAGTTCCATGTATGTCTTGTTTACAAAACAAATTGTGCCCATCATTGTAGAAAATCCGGGAAATGCAGACAAATGTAGAGAAGAACACAAAAATCACAACTAGCTACATCCTTGGCATTTCCATGTTGATCCTGCCAATCCTTTTACTTTGCCTTTCTAGGTCAGTTACATTGAGTGGGCCCTTTTTCTGGCCTGGGTAAGCATGATGTGGCTTTCAGAAGAAGCACCAGTCTGCAATCCAAAGAGGAAATGGAAAATCTTTCTAAATGCTTGGCTTCTGTCTCCCCAAGGCTCCTCTCCCCACTCCCGACACCAGGCCTCTCCTGTCTCCCTCTCTCTCCCACCCCTGCCCTTTCTCCTTCCCACCTCCCCAAACTGGATTAGAAACCCAGGTCCTTTGAACTGTGCTCATTTTCATCCTATTCTCTTCAGTCACTCTCTGTTAGGGTGGCCAGATCAAATCTAGGATGATCAGTTAAATTTGAATCTCAGACACATCATGAAAAACTTTTTGTATAAGTTTATCCCATTGAACACTTGAGATATACTAAAACATATTCATTGTTTATCTGAAATTCAAGTTGGACTGGGTATCCTGTATTTTTATTTGCTAAAACTGCCTGGCTACCTCACACGGAAATCAAACAAGCCCACCTTGACTTACTTTTGCCCCAATCTTTACAATGAGGTCGAGGAATAAAGAAATTGAGCCATGAAAGTCAAACTGCCCCTTGGAAGGCTTGGTTGGACTGGGATAGAAAGGGAGCACACTATTTATTTGTTCATATATATATATATATATATATATATATATATAATGTGTATATTCCCACATATTTCTTTCATGAAAGTTGGTTGTATGTGTGTATGTGCACATACACACACACACACACACATATATATATATATGCATCATTATTTTTTCAGTAATCAGCATATTATATACCATTAAATATCTGGGGGAACAATCATTTTCTAAAAACCACCTAAGCTGTAATTAATATGGAAATAAACTTACTCTAATTATTAGACATTTTCACTATTTTCATTTATTTAAATTATACATATTGCTGCAGTAAACATTCCTGTAACTTTTTCTTCTGTTTTTGAGACAGAGTCTTGCTCTGTTGCCCAGGCTGGACTGCAGTGGTGCAATCTTGGCTCACTGCAACCTCCACTTCTAGGGTTCAAGTGATTCTCTTGCCTCAGCCTCCCAAGTAGCTGGGATTATAGGCACCTGTCACCAAGCACAGCTAATTTTTTTGTATTTTTAGTAGAGATGGGGTTTCACCATGTTGGGCAGGCTGTTTTCGAACTCCTTACCTCAAGCGATTCACCCACCTCGGCCTCCCATAGTGCTAGGATTACAGGTGTGAGCCACCGCGCCTGGCCATGTAACTATATTTTTATCTAAACATTTGATTTTTTTTGTAGCTACCTTCATAGGAATAAAATTACTGAGAAAAATTGGATAAATATTTTAAGCTTCTTGAACATACTACCTCTGGAGGGTTACTTGTGCTTCTTGCATCAGTGAATATTTCTACTGATCACTGCAAGATGCCAGCATGCAAGCTCAAAGGGAGGATCCCCTTCCTCATGGAGTAGAGTCCAGTAAACCTCCCAACACTGGTGAACAAAGGCTCCCGTCTCACCATCCCTCTCCAAAGTAACCAAGAACAAAATACCAACTCCTTATTGTTTTAACTTTCTGGTTTGTATCACTGTGACCTTACACAGTAGAAGGGTGAGGGATCTCACTTTGATGTAAAACATTTCGAAGTCTAAGATTACTCACATTTTTTTCTTTTATAAATAATCTGTTCACCCTACTACCATCTCCATAATTTTGTAAAATATTTTTTCAAATGCTAATGAATCAATGAATGGATTTGATTTATTTAGCCTTTTATATAGGCTTTTTTTTTTTTTTTTTGCAATGGATTCTCACTCTGTCGCCCAGGCTGGACTGCAGTGGTGCAATCTTGGCTCACTGCAACCTCTGTCTACTGGGTTCAAGTGATTCTCCTGCCTCACCCTCCCAAGTAGCTGGGATTACAGGCATATGCCACCATGCCTGTCTAATTTTTGTATTTTTAGTAGAGATGCGGTTTCACCAAGTTGGCCAGGCTAGTTTTGAACTCCTGACCTCAGGTAATCCGCCCACCTCAGCCTCCCAAAATGCTGGGATTACAGGTGAAAGTCACTGCAACTGGCCTTTATATGCTTTTTACTTCAAGTTGTATATTTATGCATTCTGCCCATTTTTTTTGAGATATTCATGTGTGGGTTTAATTTGTTGGATATTTTTGTGTCTAAAGGCTATTAATGTTCCTCCTGATATTTGTAGCAAACATTCTTTTGTTTTTTTGCATTGCATTTTAAATTTTGTTGATGATGGCATTCAACAGAGAAAGTTTTAAACTTTTATCTGGCCAGGTGTACTGACCAATTTTGTGAAGGGTTTTTTCTTAGTCCGTTTGGGCTGCTACAACGAAACGTCATAAACTTACAAACAAAATTAATTCATTTCTTACAATTTTGGAGGCTGAGAAGTCCAAGATCAAGACTCAGACAGATTTGGTGTCTTGAAGAGCTCTCTTCCTGGTTCACAGAAGGCCACCTCACTGTAACCTTACATGGTAGAAAGGTGAGAGATCTCTCTAGTATCTCTTTTAAAAGGACACGAATCTCATTCATGACGGTGGAGTCTTCAGGGCCCAGTCACTTTCTAAGGGCCCAACTTCCTAATACCATCACTTTGAGAGTGAGGATATCAACATGTGAATTTTGCAAGGGCATAAACATTCAGATCATAGCAGGTTATACCACGTGTTTTACATTTAGGGAGTCTTTTTACTGGCCCAGAATTTATTTCAGTATTCATCCACGTTTTCCACAAGTCCTACTATTTATTTATTTTAACTTTAATTTAAATATCACCTACCTTAGGTAGAAGTTTTCCTTTGTGTAATATAATATAAAACCGACATTTCTTGGGGGCATAATAGTAAAGATGTTAACATTTTTTGGTTCTTTTTGGATGCTGTATTTGTGCTTCTTCTGAAAGTGATGTGTGCCAAGATGGCTCATGTAACCCAGTTTTGACTAGGCTATTGATATTCTGTCTGGTTAATTTATTGAACTGGCTTAAAGCTATACATATTTTCTTTTAGTTAACTATGTAAGATATTCTAGATATATTGTCTACTGATTCATAATATCACTGGTAATGGATGATTAATGAGTACTCTTCTTCTTTGTATAACTTGAATTTATTTTTTCCTGTCTTATAAAATATCTGGAATGTACAAAACAATGCCAAGGATGAATGGTTGGGGCTGGAGCCCTTGTCCTTGTCCTAACTTGAATGGGAATGTATCTGGAATACAAGCATTGCATATTATACAGACTTTTGTTTAAACGCTTCAAAATATATATATTTTAAGAAATGGATGTTGAATTTATAAAATTTATTTTGGCTTCTACGAAGATGGAATCATTTATATAGTTTATTTCAACGTTGACATCTTAATGTGATGTGATGAATTAATCGATTGCTAATATTACGCCTTCCTTATATTCTTAATAAAATACCTGGGATTCTCTTAATGTGTATGTGAATTCAGTTAGCTAGTATTTGATTTAGGATAATGCCTGTGTTCTCATGAGTAATTTAGATACCTGGTTTTCTTTTTTGTCCCATCCATTGCTAGCTTTTGATATGGGTGTAAAGTGTCTTTATAATATGAATGAAAGATTTTTACATTATTATGTGTGCTCTGGATTAAATCATAAGTAATAATAATTGTCTATTATTCGAAGTTATATAGAACTAGCAAAATTACTTGGCCTAGGAGTCTTTTGGGGATATAATTATGTTAAAGATTTTTTTCCATATTTTCCCCATGGCTATAGGTTTACAAAAGTTTTCTAATTCTTCTTGGACAAATTTTTATTATTTCAACTTTCCGGAATTTTCCAATTCTGGAACCAAAGAACAGAATCTATGCAACAAAAAATTAAACAGTAAATAGAAAACTATCTATCTCATTAGATTTTCTTTACATATGTCTTTATGTAGGACTGCACATCTGTATTTCTAATTTATAAACTTATATTGTATCTAATTTCCCACATCCAATATGCATATTTATTTGTGACATTATTAATTTGGATTTAATAGTGGTTTATTTGTTGTGTTGTACATTTCTAAATACCAGCTCTTACATTTATTTATTAACACTATTTTCTCAGTCTATAATTAATTTATATATGATTTAACTGCATTTATTTTTTAGTTTCCCTTGTCATTAGATTTATTTTGCTCTTCTTGAGATGGTTTGTTTGTAAGCTATATATTTTTTTAATGTGATATTTTAATTTTTCAATTGTAGTTTTTCTTACTGTACTTACTGAACCGATTTGGACTTAATTCTTATGTTTAGTATTTAGTAGTTGTGATCTACACTTATTACTATTTGTCCTGAACCATGCTTTCTCTCTTCTTGAATTGTTTATTTTGATTAATTACTGAGTCATTTCAAGTATATCTGCAATCCCATTTTTTAACATGAGTATAGTGGTAGTATACTTTTTTTTATTTTTGCATAGCTGAGTGTCTTTCTTTTTCCTTTACAAATCATCCCTTTGGTGTAAAATTATTGAGTAATTTTCTTCTCAAAACTCGTTAGACTGTATTTCACTTTACTCTTGATATGAACAATTTTGAAGTCTGAGATTACCCACATTTTTTTCTTTTGTAAATAATCTGTTCATCCTACTGCCATTCTCACAATTTTTAAAAATAGTTTTTCCCCAGAGATTCAAAATTCTTTTCAGACAGGAGTTTCTTTAGAAAATGGTTGTTTGGAATAATTTGAGCCCTTCTGAGGAACGAACTCAGATATTTTCAGCTCTGAATTCTTCTCGATATATTTGATTAACCAGTTACTCTGTTGGCCCTGGTCATGTCCTCTGAAATGTCAGCTCTCTTCACACACTGCCTCTTTACTGTGTCTTCCATATCTTCATCTTCTCTCACATAAGTTGTATCTCTGTGTCTTCTTTCTCTAAATTAAGCATCAGGAAACATTTTCTGTGAAAGGTTAAATAAAAAATATTTTCAGCTTTCTGGGGCATAAGTCTCTGGTGCAATTACTCAGCTCAGCCTTTGAAATACAAAAGCAACACATAAACAAATGAGTATAGCTGTGTTCCAATAAAACTTTATTTACAAAAACCAGTGGTGGGACAGATTAAGCTTATAGACTGTAGTTTTCTGATTTTGCTCTAAATACCTGGAAGCCTTCTTGTTTGCTTTCTATTTACTGATTTAATTTTCTGCTGTATAGATTCTGTTCTTTGGTTCTCTAGACCAGTACCATGTGAAGATTGAGTGTGCAGGCTTAGGCTGCTTGAGCTTAAATCTCACCTGTTCCATTTAGTAGTTTTTTTGAGTTGGCCAAGATATTTAACTGCTCTGTGTGTCCCAGTCTCCTTATCAAAAAGCCAATGTGGAGACGTGTTTGAAGATTTGACTGAGCTAATAGATGTAAACTGCATAGAACAATGTCTGAGACTGTGTTAGCTCCCGGTAAGTATGAGCTATTATTGATTCTTTCATAATTTCTTTCAGATCCCTTCCTAAATTTCAGGCTTCATTTGAACCTGCTACGTTAAAAATAGTTTATTTCTTATTATGCCTCTTTTTTTATGTATTTTATTATATTTTAGAAAGAACACAAAGCAAATACCTCATAAAATGTTTTCCGTTTTTGACAACAAATCCCTTTCTCTGGTATGCTCTTCATCTATGTGTTTACAATGCTGGTTCCCATTTTTATACTTGCTTTGGGCATGGTTTGCTTTTATTTATGTTTATTATTATTTAAATAAGGATTGAGTTTCTCCTCACTATTATTTTTACTATTTTCAAAATAATCTTCTTGGATTTTAATCCAGAGGCCACATTGAAATGTAAAGTGTGTTGACAAATTTCAGGTATAATGCAGGTAAATGATCCTGTCAGACTCTGGCCTCAATTCAGTTTTCCTGGATAAAATTTTGCCCTGGGATTATTTGAGAAATCTATGACTCTTCTTATTTGAATTACATGCTGTCAAATTCATTGCTCCCAGTGCTTGTCTTGGAGTTTTCTTGAGTTTGTGCTTTCCTTATGTCTTAGTATGCAGAGTCCTCTTAGCTTTGATTCTTACTCCTCTTCATTATTTGGCAATGAGGAGTTTTAGCCTTCTAAATGGCTGCAGAAGAGGAAGGTATCAACGAGCAGACGTGAAACTGGGGGTAGTTCTGCAGGTTACAAAAGTACCCAAGGCCCGGTGCAGTGGCTCATGCCTGTAATCCCAGCACTTTAGGAGACTGAGGGGGGCGGATCCCTTGAGCACAGGAGTTTGAGACCATCCCGGGCAATGTGGCAAAACCCTACCTCTACAAAAAATACAAAAATTATCTGTGCATAGTGGCACCTGCCTGTAGTCCCAGCTACTTGGGAGGCTGAGGTGGGAAGGTGGGAGGATCACTTGAGCCTGATAGGTGGAGGTTGCAGTGAGCCAAGATGGTGCCACTCAACTCAAGCCTGGGTGACAGAGTGAGAACCTGTCTCCAAAATAAATAAATAAATAAATAAATAAAGGTACTCAAAAGGGTAGACATTATCACCAGGACTTATAATCAGTGGTTCAGCCACCAAGGTGCTAAAGGGATCTGCAGATTGCATAGCTGGAAATTTTCTCCTGTCTTCTTCTGCTAGTCAAGTTGTTTTTCTTCAGAATTCACCCATGAGTCACTGACAATCTTTTCTTGGTCACCTCTAAAATAGAGAGCGGGCACTTTATCTTTGAGATGGCTTTGTTTCCAGTGGCCATAATTGCTTTGGTATTTCGGTGTTTATGTGTGTTTCAACAGCACAGAGGGGCAAGCTAACTCAGGCAGAACTCCATGGCCTCCAGCAAATTCCCAGTATGTGATTCTTGGTAAGACAAAAATTGAATGGAAAGAACATGTGCTTTGGAATCAAGCACATTTAGCAGGTTATGAGGCTGATTCTGTCAGTTCACTGCATGACTTTGAGGAAATCATCCACCTCTTTAAACTTGATTCATCTTCAGTATAAAAGTTGGGATCACAGTGTCTACACTCGTGCTGTTGTAAATATTTAATACAATATAATAGTAAAGGTCCAAGCAGAGATGCTCATTAAATATTGTCAGTATTGATCCTTTTGCCATATGCTGGTATCTACAGAGAGAGGAAACTTTTGTTTCTTTTTTTTTTTAAGTCTATAGAAGTTTGTTGTGTAGACAAAGATTATTTATAATATGAAAGACTCATTTGTCCATCTGTAAGCATTAATATGAGCAAAAATACATTAGACTAAACCCTATAGAGTTAGTGGTATTTGATATTTTTACCACTAGCAATGGTAATGCCATATGGTTCAAATAAACGTAAGCAATTCATATTTATCTGTGTGTTTCTAGAATTGTTTTATTGAATGAATAAAATGGCATAATTCACTTAAAAAATCCAGAGCATGTGGTTACGCTAAACCTTAGGTTGCCATATAAGTAGCATGTGTGAGAATTTCTTTGAATGTAATGAGACCTAGAATGAATGTGTAATTCCTCTGAAATGAAGCTTCAGGAATATTTTTGGGAGTCTGTGGCTGAATGGACAAAACATAGCCTGTGGTTGAATTCAGACTCCACTACATATGTGGATGAATGGCACTGGGCACGTTCCTTACCCTCACTGAGCCTCCGAGTCCTCATTCATTCAATAAATGCTGCCACTTAGGCCTGCTTTAGGGATTGAGAGAAAATATTTCAAGGTCTAGTTCAGTGTCTGATCTGTAGCAGGGGCTTAGTAAAGGGCTATGACGCTACAGCACATTTTCTTGGTCATTGTAATGGCAGAGACTTTGTAGAGAAAGAGGAGCAGGTATTTTGGTGTCTTTAGAAACCACCCATAAGGTGAGAAAAAAAAATTGGTTCCTGGCACAAGAGAATTGAAAGAGTTCTTTCTAGGCCTCCCAGTGATAGATGAGGCCACGGCATTGTGAAAACTGTCCACTCTAAAGGGTAGGGTTGAGGTGTGAGGTAGACAACTTGTAAGGTGATTTCCAAGATCTCTGCCTCCTGGTATTCACATCCTTGTGTGAGCACCTCTCTTGAACGTGGGCTGGACCTAGTGACCCACTTCTAGTTAACAGGATATGTGAAAAGGGAAGGGATATCATTTCTGAGATTAGTTTATAAAAGATATGACTTCTGTCCTGAGTGCAACCTGTCTCCTGTTGTTTCCTTGCTTGCTTACAAGGATGAATCCTCCTGTCCTGTTGGGACCTGCCCTATGGAGAGGGCCATAGGACAAGCAAATGGGGATGATTCCCAGCTGGTGAAGAACTGAGACCTTTAGTCCAGCAGTCCTTGTGGAGCTGATTCCTGCCAGCAACCACGTGAGTGTGCTCAGAAGCAGATTCTGTTCCCAGTTAAGCCTTAGATGCCTGCAGCCCTTGATAACACCTTGGCTACCTTCTGCGGGAGACCCTGAAACAGAAGACTCAGTTAAGCTGTGCCCAAATATTCCTGACCTATGAAGCTGTGGGGCAATACATACTAGTTGCTTTCATTCAGCCACTATGCTTAGGGAGAATTTATGTGGCAACAAATGACATGAGGTATGTGTGGAAACAGAAACAATCCTTTTGTGTTGCTGTGGAGGTACAAGGTACCTGCTGTAGAGGCAGTCAGGATACAGCGTGGCTCTGAGACCTTCTTTCCTGGCAAACAGCTGGTGGAAGTCGAGAAAAGGGATCTCGCTGGGGTGGATGTTCCTGCGGCCTGGACATCAAGATCTGTCATGTAACATAAATCAGAGAAGATCAATGCTGCAGTTGTAGGGAGCTTTGCAGCACCATTTCCACCATGATGGACCTCAAACTTCTCTTCTATGGGATACATGGTTAGAAAACCACAGCTATGGAGGAGGAAGAGGGCAATAGAACCGTTTCTTGGAAGTGATGCCTCTCAAAGCCTAATTCTCTCAAGTCAAGCTAAGTCCCCATTCCTTCTGGTTTGTCTCCACCTTTCTCCTCTGCAGAGCAGGCTGCACAGGCATGGTCCCCCCCACATGCAGACATACCTCATTCCTCAGGTCTGCCCTGTTACCAGTTTTGTCGTGCATCTCGTGCTAAACTTACTTCTCAAATGGAAAGCTGCCTCAAGGGCAGGGTGGCACGGTGGAGAGGGCAGGGGCTCTGCATCTGACCTGTCTGACATCTGATCTTGGCCCTACTGGTTACTTGCTGGGCAGTCTTGGCGAATTTGTTTAATCTTTTTGAACTCTGGACTCATCAGCAAGAAAAAGGGAATGATAATATGTACTTTACAGGGCGGTTCTGAAAATTAAGCCAGACAAAGTGCTTGGGACGAGAGCCTGGGACGTTCTGACAGCAGTGTGGTTGTGGCTCGTGTCTGTGTTATTTTTCTGATTGTCTCCATGCAGGGTCACAGTAGGATTCACATGGGGTCACTTAGGCTCTGCCCTGGCCGGCAAACACTGCACTCATAGGTCCCCTCCTCAGAGCTCTCCAGCCCCAGGACAGATTGGGGGTGATATCAGGCAGGAGGACTGTGCTGGGATGTGACCCACTGGGAGGCCTCCATGTGGGACAGAGCCAGAGGCAGCACCTGGGCCGTGACACCAGTGCCTGGGGACGTGGTTTGCCTGGGAGCCAGGTGGAGCTGATCCTCCTTCTGGTGGGTGCTCTGTGCCTGAGGCATAGCTGGGCTGCAGGGGGTGGAGGACTCCTCATTCTGTCACTGCCACTCACAGGGCCTGGAGAGCTGTGTCTGTTTCTGGAACCTCTGAATCACAGCCTCCTTGGGTTCTTCTGAAGGCACATTGCACCTTCTAGAAGGGTATGACTCAGAAGGAAAGAGAGAAAAACCTCTACTGGCAAGAGGAAATGGCTGCAGTGTTTACTTTATCTGAAAATGGCACACGCTTTTATTAAGACATAAATGCCAGTGATGGATTCTGCTCTTGGCGTGTGGCTGTGCTCCCCAGCCCTGAGGTGAGATGGTCAGGAGATGTGAGACCCTACAGAGAAAATATTTACCATGCTGAGCTGTCATGAGACAGAGTAAGTGGGCAGAGGGCAGCTGGTTCCTTTGACCACCTCATTCTAGGGAAAATAAACAGGGACCCTGGAGCAGTCACTAACAGAGGGGAGCAAGTATCCTCTCTCTGCAGTAGAATCTCTGAAAATTCGGATAACGTTAATTGTGCCACTGTGGTGGCAGTGCAAGAAATTCCTGTTCATCCCGCTGCAATGATGATTAAGGTAACAAACACCCAGTCGGGAAGTCAGGCTCCGGCCCTGGAGAATAGTTGAGGATCGCCTGTAGCATATTGTTCCACTCTGCTGGCATCCTAACTAGACAGCTTTAGTTTTAGCATAAAATCCATATTCCAGACCTTTATGGAGCAGAGAGGCAAACTCCAATGCTGCCGTTGCAAGCATCAAACAGCATTAGAATGAATTAAGGAGATTTAAGACTCTCGATGCTGTCGGGGCTCTTCTCCATCCCCTCTGTTTTCTCCAAGGAGCTGTTTTAAAGGCGTGGGGGGCAAATTGGAAGAAGGGAGTGGGAAAAACGCAAACCAATCACGCTAACCTCGCTCCGGAATCGAAGTCTGACTCTGTACCACGCATGGATTTAATTGGGAGAGAGGTCTTTTAGAGACACTCTGGGTGGGTGCATAGATCAGTCTGGAGTTTCACAGTACGGCTTCTTCCAAGGTCAGAGCATGTGTCCAGGGTCTTCCCCGCTTCCTGGTGGACGGGAAGGCGTCTTCGGTCCGGTGGTTGACAAAAAATCCAAAGAGGGCGTCAGATGTGTGCACTCTGGTGTTTGGAATTTAAGTAAAATCTGTAATTTTCCTCCTGCATTTCCTCAGAGAAATTAGCTATTCTATTCACTGCATAAATTTTCAGGTTTTGCTAGCACGACACTCAGGGTGTTGAATTTTTTATGACAAAAATGCTGTAATAATTGTTGAACAGATGTAAGTGTTGGAGACTCGGCTCTGGCAGACCTCACGAAACCTCGATTAGCAATTTAACCCTGTCCTCCCTCCTGTCCGCACGCCGGGGAAGAGGAGTTGCAGTTTTGAATGGCTTCACTGGGATATGCACAAAGGCAGAGAAAGAGTTTTCTGGAGAGCAGGGGAAGTCCTTTAACGAGCTCTTATGCCCAGCCAGAAAAGGAAGAACTCGGTGCAGCCTAACCCTGAAATTACCACATTACCAAGTTGTCTAGCTGGGTGATTAATAAACTAATTGACACGGGGGACACTTGTCACTGGCGAAGCAGCTCCCTAGCCAAAGCGAGGAGCAACTACATAGCGTCTCCCGGGGAGCTGGGAAGTGACAGTCTACACCCGCTTCCGGGCTCCCCGTGACATAGGCCAGCCGGGCCTCCATTTACACCTCAAAGCAAAGTCACAGAGGGATCCGCCCCTTTCCTGGCTGCCTACACAGAAAGCAGCCATGGGAGACTTGCCGAGGACTTTGTCCACCAAGTGATGAAAGCATGCAAATGCCTCCGAATCAAAGGTAAATCAAAAGAAAATGGCAGCCCGCAAGAGGAGGCGGCGGTGACAGCCCGTCAGCCGTACAGCCACCCGACAGGCCTGGTGGCAGCGTGGAGGCTGCCAAGAGAACCGCCTGAGGAGGCTGCCGCCAAGACAGATGTCACGGCGAGGAGGGCGCGCTTCCGTCGCTTTCGGCGGGGCCTCATGGAGCAGGAAGTGGTACTACATGTGCCACTTAAGAGAATAATAATACTAATAAAACTGGGCGTTGTGAAGGGGGAGAGGTGGGGGAGAAAGGCTGGTTAGAGAGAGAGAGAGAAGAGGGGAAAGGCATGTCACAGTGTTTGGTAAAGGAGGAACTGAATTGATGGCCATCCTGAAGTTTGTGTGTGTGCGCACATGTGCGTCCTTTAGCAGGCTGGCTTTCCCTAGGCGCTTACAGCATCTTGAGAGGCATTGTGCTGGTGGAGACGTGGGGTTCTGGTGACAGCTGTGTCTTTGCAAGAGAGGAGAGGTGACCACAAGGCCACAGAGGTCCTCTAGTTTTTATAGCCCTCTTTTCTGCCTTTCCTGGAAATTGACTTTTGGTTTCCTGCCAAGATTGGGTTGCCCATTATACAAAAAAGCAGACTCCTGCTTGGGGCATTGCAGAGTTGCAGAGATGGAGGGAGACAGAGGCAGGTGAGGAAAGCCTCAATGTCTGATTTTCTCTGTGTCTGCCTCTGTGTTATTTGCGGATGGGTCGTGAGCCCCAGCCCAGCAGCCCACGATATTCGGACCTTAAGTACTGAAAATAACCTACTCCCCTTTTCATGGGTATTTTAAATTAAAATTAATATATAACAGGCCAGGTTTAGTGGTTCACGCCTGTAGTTTTCAGCACTTTGGGAGGCTGAGACAGGAGGATCGCTTGAGCCCAGGAGTCTGAGACCCACATGAGCAACGTGACAAGACCCCATCTTTACAAAAATAAGAAATAAAAAAAATTAGCTAGGCATGTTGGCATGTGCCTGTGGCCCCAGCTACTTTGGAGGTTGAGGTGGGGAAGATCACTCGAACCTAGGAGGTTGAGGCTGCAGTGAGCAGTGATGGCACCACTGCACTCTAGCCTGAATGACAGGGCGAGACCCTGACTCAAAAGAAAAACGTGAGTGTGTATGTGTATAATAATAATTACATATATATATATAGCCATTACAGCAAGAATGTCCAACATAACAGCTCTTATGTGTTTTTTGTATGTCAAGTTTTTCTAAAAATTGCTGACTTTGAGGTGAGACTTCTGTTTTACCTGTGCTCTGAGCAGGTGTTTGGGCTGCATGTTGGGAAATCCAATCCCAGAAATTGTGTAAAAAATAAACTATGTTTTTTTAAATTCTAAGATGATTAACTTTTGTCTAGGAAGTGATTGCAGATAGGTTCTTAGCCATAAATGTATAAAATTGTCATAAACCACAACATATTGATTTGATCATAAGAAATTCACTTTTCTAAATGTCCCCCCTCCTCTAAAAAGCATTTGGGAGTAATGCAGTCAATATAACAAAGAGTCTAAAGATATAATGTCCAAGTGCCTTGGAGGTGAAAGACCTTACACTTTATCTTATTCTTACCATTCCTACCCCAGCTGCATTTTATAAGCAGGAGAGTTGCTGGCTTTATAGTGTAGGAACAGTTTTAGTGCCTCTACCATTATCCCATTTTTGCAAATACTTCCAGAGGAAGTAATTCTGAGATTGCTGAAAATTCTCATAGGTGTAACTATGTGATAAGTCCTTCAGGGCAGAGAGAAGATGGGTAGAATTAGCCCAGCCTGGTGAAGTGTGAACAGGATGCCCATGGGTGAGAATCTGTCCTGGGTCCAAATAAAGCCTACACAGTTGGATGTGTGACCCTTAGCATCTCCGAGGCTGAATGATAACCCTCCCTACAGCAGCATGGCCAGTGTTAAAATGTACAGAAAGCTCACATTGCAGCAGGTGATGTCGGAAGGGCTTCATCAATATGTGCTGTACTGAGCATCATAAAGCAATCAGGCGCTGGTAACTGAAATCCTGGGATGGGCTCTATTTATAATTTATTGTACACTTAGTTTAAGTGTAATTATATATATATATATATATATATATATATATATATATATGGTTTTTTGTTTGTTTGTTTGTTTGGTTTTTTTACAAAGTTTTGCTCTTGTCACACAGGCTGGAATTCAGTGGCATGATTTCTCCTCACTGTAACCTCTGCCTCACGGGTTCAAGCAATTCTCCTGCCTCAGCCTCCCGAGTAGCTGGGATTATAGGGACCTGCCACCATGCTCAGCTAATTTTTGTATTTTTAGTAGCGATGGGGTTTCACCATGTTGGCCAGGCTAGTATTGAACTCCTGACCTCAGGTGATCCACCCACTTTGGCCTTTCAAAGTGCTGGGATTATAGGCACGAGCCACTGTGCCCGGCCGATATATTTCAAAGTCTAAATAAAATGCAATGGGAGACTGACATTCACTTTTAATACCATTTCACTAAAAGTTACCATTTAAGGGGATCATCCCTGTGGTGGTTCAACCCAGATGTTCCAGATGTTTCTTCCTTTTTCATCCATGATCTGCTGGTTCTCTTCACAGTAGCACTTTTGTTTTATTTTTAATATACTGTACATTAGTCTATCACTGGATAAGCATTTTTTTCTTGCAGCAAGTTCCTTATTCCTAAGAGCAAAATGTCCTCAATCTTTAAGTCAGAATTTAAGCACTTTCCTCTTCAAATATCTGTAAAAAAGATTGTCTTCTTCCAATTCTCTCTGTTCAAATTCATGACGTTCACTTTTAGGTTACCATTATTTTATTTAATGTAGCTGAAACATTTCAATCTGATTCCATATTAATATTTCCCTTTTTCAGATGAGGAAAACAAAAGCTCAGAAACTATCTTGGAGTCAGCAAGTAAGAAGGAGCTTAGAAAGGCTTAACATTTTCCATGCTTCTGCCTGGCTTCAGAGCCCATGCACTCTGCCTTACCACGGCAGGTGAAAGATGGCCCCAAATTCTTAGGTACATCTCCTGCCAAAAGACCCCTCCTATGGGTTCTGTGACTACTTCAATGAAAAGAATAGGGCAGAAGAGATGATGAGAACTTAACATCTGGCAGTGTCCATTTCCTGTCTTTTGAAACTTTCTGTTAAAGGCCTGAGCCACGTATGAAGTGTGAATCTTCACACCATGCAAGAGAAGCCACATGTTATTGCTCTGGTCAACAATCCCAGCTGACCCAACCAGATAGTGTATCAGGCATATGAGTAAAGCATTCTTAGATTCTTCAGTCCAGCCCTTCACCAGCAGAACACCATTCAGCAACCCTTGTCGGCATCATGTGGGACAGAAGAACCACCCAGCTGAGCCTTATCCAAATTCCTGACCACAAAATCATAAGGTATGATTGCTGTTTTAAGCCAAAAGTTTTGAGATAGTTTGTTAAGCAGAAATAGCTATTGATCAATTATCATGTATAATTGATTATAATTACAAAATGCCAGGACCCTGTTGGAATTGTCTGCTTCATGCTTTACTTTGTCTGAGTAGCTTTTGAACATCTCTGCAAAATCACAACCACAGCTCTTTACATTGTATTGATCTATACCTAGACTCTTTATCCATATCCTTTGTTTTGCTGCCAACAATTCTTGAGTGGACTGGAAAGAATTCACTGTCTCTGGCTCTTTGGTTGCAAGAGTAACTTTCAGGCTTCTGGTTTTAACAACATGGCAGACTGAACCAATAAGCATCACCTTCTTCATACAAATACACAAAAATACTGGAGAAGTATAAATTTTAAAATGAACACATAAACTCAAAGAAAGGGAATGCTTAGGTACTCGAAATGAAAGTTCAGTTTGCTGATACCATACTGTCCTTCAGAGCTATTGATTATAGGCCTTTGGGTCTGAAATTTCTTGCCTACAGAAAGACAGGAGATGCGGCTTTGAATCTGTATATGGTGGGAACCAGAACTGAATCCCCAGCATGAGACATGCACATTTAAAAGACCTGATAGACTAAGAGAAGCAGCGAGAAAGCTTTCTTGTGGCTTGGTTTCTGGGTAGGAAAAAAATGCCTCTCATGAGAAATCAGTTACAAGCTCATACAATGCACGCAGGGAGGGTCCAAGTTTACATTGCCCTTGTGATGTAAGAATTGAAGTCAAAAACACTAGACACAGGTCTAGCGTCCCTGCAGAAAGAAATGCAAAATTTTATTTTTAGTAACACATTCACAAACTTGGGCCACATGGAATTCTGATAGGTTTAAAGACAGAGCAAAACTAAACCAAAGCTCTTTGGAAGACAAACTCAATAGAAAATCATGAAATTGCACTAGGAAAGAAGATACTGAATAGGGAGTTAGACACAGCAAGCTGAAGAATGGGCATCTCAAGAAATAGAACTAATAGAATACTTTGAAAGGGACGGCAACATAAGTATATTTATATATGTAGAAGGATTTAAGCAGAAGGGTTAGAAAAAATAGGACAAAAAGAATTAAAAAGTAGAAGATGAATTTTCAGGTTGATCCAAGGTAAAAAATAGATCCCTGTATTAAAAAGTCCCTGCATACCATTAGTACTTCTGAATACAATGATTGAAATCTTGTGATTGCTCCAGGCTGGAATTTTATTCTACAGTCCTGTAAGGTACAGATCATTGGGTAAATGGAGAAAATTTTCTCCCCAAAGAGAGAATGACTTCTTTCATATCGCTGAATGGAGCAACATGTTTGGCCAAGTTCCTGTCCCAGGGAGGAGAACCTTCAGCTTGCAACAAGTCCTGGCCGTTGGAGAAACCATGAGACTAGACCTTGTGTAAAGCAGCTGATTCTGCCATGGGGGAAATGCCCTTTTGTTTACTGAGCTTCTCCCACCCATGCCTTGCTCCACTTTCCTCTAGAAGCCTGAGATATTGGGAATAAGAGTCTCAGCCTCCAAGAGATGGAGAACATATCAAGAGAGTCTGGATTTCTGGGGTGATTAAGTTCACTTGATTCATTAGCCTAAGTGCTCAAGTAAATTTCAAATCACAGTGTTATGTGTGATTGTCCACGTCCTTCCTCCAAACACTCCCCACCTCCCACCCAAGGGCCCATGTAACTTGCTATTGAGAACCTTTGATTTCTTAGGTATTTGGGTGATAGGGTTTTGTTGCCTCTCCTGAAGAAAATAGTGGCAATTTGTACTCAGCTGTGGAATAAAGGAAATCATGACATATCTTCATAGTGGATTTCCTATTTGATGGTTCCAGCCTATTTTCAATATCCACAACCTGCTGCACCCTAGGAAAATTGACTTCCTCCACTGCCACCCCATTCCCCAACCCCAGAGCTAGAATCTAGGTGAAACAGTGAGGCAGGGAAGCCTTCAGGAGGGAATGGGGCAGGGTGGGGGCTTGTCTCAGGTCACCATTCTCAATGTTGGCTGCACACCAACTTTCAACATCCCAAAGCCCAGGCCTCACTCAGACCAATGAAATGAGAATCCCTGAGGGTAGAAAAGGGCTTGGGATGCAATAAAAAATACGGAGTAATACAGAATGTGGGTCATACTTACAGTAAAAGATTATTTGTTGTTTATCTGAAAATCAAATGTAACTGGGTCAACCTATATTTTTATTTGCTAAATCTGGCAACACCAACCCATGCAATACTGCTGTTCAAAGCTCCCCCAGAGATAGCAACATGCAGTCGGTGATTTTCAAACTTCAATGTGTTTAAGAATCACCCCAATTGATCATTAAATACCAATTCCTGGGCCTACCTCTAAGAATTCTCATTCTGTTCTTCTAGGGTGGGGCCCAGAATGATCAATTCTAACCAGTTCCTGGGTGTTTCTCGGGCTGCTGGGACTCCGTCCACACTGCAAGTAGCAGGAGTGTGTTCCAGCAGATCTGGGCATTGAACTCAAGTCTTCCAACTCCTCCATCCTTCCCACTATGCAGAGATTGCATGGATTTTTGTGTGGGTCCTTTGGCTATAGCGTGAATCTGTTTTCCTAGGTTCTCCTGTTGGTTCTCATCTCAGATCTCTTGCTTGAGGAGTTAGTTCCCGGGATCTAATTGTATCTTATTAGTAATAAGTTCAAGTCAGATGCTAAAGCTAAAAAACCCCCTCCCCACACCACCACCATGATTGATTCTATTTAGGATCTATTATTTGCTCTGGCTATGATAAGCTGTCTGGGGGAATAAAGGAAACCTACGGCACTATCTCCACTCTTAAAGGAATTTGTTGCGTCTAAGACAAGAAAATTACATTTAGAGAGAGAGAGAGAAAAGGCAATGTGTATTCTTCTTTCACATTGGGAGTTATTTCCTGAAGAAATTAAAGAGATTCGGCAAAAAGAGAGACATTGGAGTCCAGATCAGAAGGAAGAGGACTGGAAAGAGGAGGGAAGAGAACAATTCTCCCAGAACCTTCTAAAAAATTACTTTTGTTTCCAGCAGTTTTACCTTTGTTCAGCAACTTATCAACAGTGTGATCTTGGAAATGTCACCTTAACTCCATAGCCTCAGTTTCCTCTTACGTGAAATAGTCATGCTGACACTAACTTTATAAGTTGGTGAAGGATTAGAGGTAATGGTTCTAAAGTGGTGGTTACAGTACCTGATGCTTGCAAGTTCCCAAACTCAGCTGCCCATGTGAGCTGGGTGGGCAATGTTGGTGAGCAGGTACATGATCAGGCCCGCTCCAACCCTTGGTCATTGCCACTGTGTTAGAAAACAGCCCTGGAAGCCTCATATTCCAGTTTTCTGAGACAAAATGAATTGTATTTTTGTGGCATCTTCCAGTTTTTAGATGCGTGCTCATTAGTTTCAGAAGCGTTCATTGTCTATGGCTGCTTTAGTGCTTTACAGTAGCAGAAGTGAGTACTTGCAACAGAGACCATAAGGCTGCATAGCCTAAAGTGTTTACTCTCTGGCCCTTGGTGGAAGAAATTCGCCAACTCCTGGACTAAAGATGCAAAGCAGAACTTCTGGTGGAGGGAGTGGCCCCTCTGTTGATGGTTCCATCTGTTCCACTCACTGTTCTGTGCCTTCTCATCTCCTCCCTCCACTCTGTGTCTTCTTCTCCCTCCATGTCTTTCACTCAGTCATGGTTTCTGCTTCCTCATAGCTTCTGTTTGCAGAAGGCCTTCGGTGGACAGCCTCAAAGGTCTCACTACACCATGGACTTTCAGCTTCAGCTGTCACCATCACCATCATCTTTTTCCAGTTTAGACTCCAGAGATGAAGACTGTGTCTTGTCCAGTTCATCTGTTCTTGTTAGGCCACAATATATGTCTCTGTTCAGCCTCTGGATTGGATTTCCTTGGGTCAAAGTGGCCACTTGGCTTCAGTTGATTGACATCTTTGGTATGGTCTTACTACCAAGACCTTTGTGATTGGAATTAATTATCTTTCTCAATCTTTTCATGATTCTATCCTGTACCATGGCTTTATCTCAATTAACCAACACTGCCCAGATTTCTAAGTACAGTTGACCCTTGAACAACATGAGTTTGAACTTTGAGGGTTCACTTATATATGGGCTTTCTTCTACCTCTGCCAGCCCTGAGAGAGCAAGACCAGCCCCTTCTTTTCTTCCACCTCCTCATCTACTCAACATGTATCTTCATTCTCAAGACGATGAGGATGAAGACCTTTATGATGCTCCACTCCCAGTTAATAAATAGTAAGCATATTTTCTCTTTCTTCTGATTTTCTTTTCTCTAGTTTATTTTATTGTAAGAATGCAGTATATAATATATGTAACATACAAAATATGTGTTAATCAATTATTTATGCTATCAGTAAGGCTTCTGGTCAATAGGGGGTTTTTAGTAAAGTTTTTGAGCAGTCATAATTACACATGGATTTTCAGCTATAGAGAGGGTCAGTACCCCTAATCCCCACGTTGTTCAAGAGTTAACTGTACATAGTTTTACTCCTGTTAGGAATAATGCTCAAAATCCTAAGGAAGTTAAACACTCGAACAAAGGATTCTTAGCAAAGCAATTTTACTTCTGCACAGAAGGGTGCCCCCTTGGCCAGTCACCATGAGAGCACACCTGAACAAAGGGGCACGAGTGCTTTTATTCTTGACACCAGTCCTGCCCCTGTATCCTTTTCCCATTGGCTTGGGTCATGTTGTACAATCTAAACTAATCCTGGTTGGCTAAACATTTGATTTTTTTTTTTTTTTTTTTTTTTTTTTTAGATAAGATGGGCAAGTAAAAGAAAGTGGAGAGGAAAGGGGAAGCCGTGTGTGTAATGAGCTAGAAAGTTAGTCCTCTTTCCAGATAAGGAAAGGAATGTGAGCTGGTACTGATAACGCCTGGTTCTGTGGCATGCCTGGGCAGCTAACAAAGGCAAAAAAGAACAAAAGGAGAAAAAAGGGAAAAAAGGAGGGGGTACTATGAATTAAAGAATGAAAGATTGATCGGGTTATTTGAAGAGAAACCTCATCATATCCCACACTCCTATCTCTAAGTAGCATCACTCTTATTTTGTAGGTGATGAAATTGAGACCTCGCAGTTAAATGTTTAAGTCAGGATGAACTACTTTTCCAGGGATGGTGAAGCCGGAGCTCTGGATGGCACTCCTGGATCTCCTAAATCTTGATTCCGTGCTCTTTTCTCCCCACTTGGCTCCACTGTTTTGGCAGAGTCCCTTAAGATGGACCTGATTGGATGATGTGGAACTAGCCATGCAGAAAGAACAGAGGGTGGGAAAACAAATGAGGTCAGAGAGTCCTCATATTAGTCGGTTCTTGCACTGCTATAAAGAACTATCTGAGGCTGGATAATTTATGAAGAAAAGAGGTTTACTTGACTCACGGTTCCACAGGCTGTACAGGAGGCATAGCTGGGGAGTCCTCAGGAAACTTAACAATCATAGCAGAAGACAAAAAAGAAGTAAGCATGTCTTCACATAGCCAGCAAGAGAGAGAGACAGAGACCAAAGCAGGAGGTGCTATACACTTTAAAACAACCAGATCTCATGAGAACTCTTTCAGGAGAACAGCAAGGGGAAAGTTTGCCTCCATGATTCAATCACCTCCCACCAGGCCTTTCCTCTAATACTGGGAATTACAATTGAACATGAGATTTGAGTGAGGACAAAGAGCCAACCATATCAGTCCTCTTCAGTTGTTGGTACCTATGTGGGGAGAAGGAGCTGTGTAGAGTGGGTGTGACTAAGTCGGTCAGAACTGGGAAGCATGGCAGACTAGGCTGTCCTGCAACCGGAGGGTGGTTTCAGAATCCAGAGCCTGGGATAGCATTCCCTGGACCCTCAGTCCATACCTGCTATCTACAGGCAGCTAGAGAAAACGTAAGAATCAGCATCGGTCACAGGTGACATTGGGGCAGGGCACTGAGCTCCCTGCTCTCCACTGCGGCTGCAGTCTTTAAACTCCTTATTCTATCCAGCACAGACAGTTTGCAGACGAAGGTTTCTGCACCGGCATCTCTGCTCAGAAGAGATTTGCTGATGTAACAATTATTTGCACTATTTATATTCAAATGTTCTTTTAAAAAAATGCAGCCTCTAAATTTACGGATAGTAACTGTGTGCAAATCAGGAAACTTATCTCCTTTTTATAGTCTAAAATCAAATTACACTTTACATTTTTCTCACTTGCAGAATATTAGATTGTGATGCCTAAATGACTTGTGTTTATGAAAAAGGTGAATTTTAAGAACAAATTTTAAAACTGCATAAGCAGTTTAATGGGTGTTTTTAGAAAGTGAGAATGATCAGCTGGTAAGCATTTATTATATATTAAACTGGAAGTTATATCGTCGCATCCGTTAGCACTGAATTCTGAAAATCATCATGGCCCAGGTTTGTGTTTATGAAATGATGGACCACAGGACTGTTAAATAAAGTTGTAAAAAAAAAGTTGGTCGATGTCCCTGTTTTTTCACTAGTTTTCTGACCTGTAATCTGAGATCTGATTGAGTTCTCAATATCCTGCAAGTCACAGATTCTATCCCCATTTATGCACACGATTGTAGTTGTCTCATGGTTTTCAGTGTTCTTAATGAGCTGTTAACAAGCTGTCAATTACCTATGCAAATTAGGGAGGCCAACATTGAGGGGTGGCTGTATCTGCAGTTAAAGAGTGCTACCTTGGAATGTTATGAAATCAATCATTCTTGCTTTAATAGCTATCTTTACTCATGTGTCTCTTGTCATGTCTGGGTCTTTTTTCATTATAATACCTACCGCATAAGAAAAGCCCTCTGGGAATTTTGAAGGTGCTTAGAAAGGAGCTTACCCAAATCTTTCATAACTTTTAACTTGGCTTAAAGATTGCCTAAAATGCAGGCTTACTTTTTCACCTGTCTTTCCAGGCACACTAAGACATTCTGTGGAGGAAGGAAAGCCATTGCTATTCTTGTGCTGATGAAAAGTGGCTTCTACTCACCTTTTAGCCCCAGATCTGGAGGACTATTTGGGATCTTTTGCCCATGTCTCCTCTGCAAGATAAATAGGTCTTTATTCCCTCCACCACTTGGTGAGCTCCTAGGTGCAGGTACGTTGATGATTAATAAGTCAAGTTAAGTGCTAGGGTTGACACAGGCAAGCTTATTCACTCAACAGTGGGCTGAGCCCCATGTTCTAGGCACCGCAGCTGCAAGAGTGAACCACGGCAAGATCACGTTCATAGAGCTGAAGACGTATAATAAACAAAAGCCATAATAAATGGGGAACAGAATCAGGGGTATTAGAAGGGGATGCGTGGTATGAAAAACAGAGAAAGAGGAGCGTAAGGAGGGTCAGGAGTGGTTGCGGAGAAGGCAGTTGTAATCTAAATGGAATGATCAGGTGAGGCTTCATTGAGGTGGGTACATTTCAGCAAAGACTTGAAAAAAGTGAGGTTGTTGGCCACAGAGATTCCAGAGGGAGAGCATCCGAGGCAGAACAAAATGCGAGTGCAAGAGAAGGTTTCGGAACAGTGAAGTGGTCAGTGGGAGGAAAGTTGAGGCAGCTATGGAAGGCAGGGTGCGCTGAGGCCAGGGCTGGAGCAGGAAGGGCAGGTCGCATGGACCCCCTGAGGATAAGCTCCTTGACTTTTCCTCTGAATAAAATGGGAAGCCATTACTCTCTGTGTGTGTGTGTGTGTGTGTGTGTGTTTCTTTTAAACCTGCTACCTGAAATAATGTTTAGGTTTAAAGAAGAGTTGCAAAGAGCATACAGGTGTTCCCTGTACTCTTCACTCAGCTTTCTCTGCTGTTCACGTTTCTCATAGCCATGCTCCATTGATCAAAACTAAGAAATCAACTTGTGTACGATACTACTCACTAAACTGCGTGCTTTATTTGGATTTTCCCAGTTTTCCATTAATGATCTTTTTTTTTTTTCCTGTTTCAGGATCCAGATTTGCTGTTCAGTGTCTCCTCAGTGTCCTCTAATCTGTGATTCTTTCTTGGACTTTTCTTGACCTTGAAACTTTTGAAAAGCACCCAAGTATTGTGTAGAATGTGCCCCAGTTTGAGTTTGGCTGATGTTTTCTCATGGATACTCTGAGGGTATGGATTTTGAGGAAGAATCCCACAGAGGTGATGTGATCTTGTCTTCCACTATGTCAGGGGGTACCTGGGAGCCACATGACTCCTCACTGGTGATGTAATCTTGGTTACTTGGTTAAGGTGGTGTTGGCCAAGTTTCTCCACTGTAAAGTTACTATTTTTAGTTTTCCATACTCTATCCATTGGCATTAAGTTGCTAAATCCAGCCCACATTCAAGAAAGGAAGCGTTTCAAGAAATCTGTAGTCATATGTTAAAACCACCATACTAATTAGAAAATTTGGGAGGAGAAACTTTGACATGATGAAAATATCCTATTTCTCATTAAAGCTTTGCTCATTAACTTTAGCATTCATCCACGGACCTGGCCCGCAGCATTTATTAATGTGATGTTCCAATGGTGCTTTTCTAGTTCCTTCAGAACTTCATTGCCAGGTTCACAGCAGGAGTGGCACACTTGATTTCTCTTTGAAAAGTGATTCCAGGGTTCATGGACTGAAATAGGAAGCCAGTGTGGAGGTCATTGTGATGACTCAGGTAAGGGATGGTGGCATCTTGGGCCAGGTGGAGGCAGTGCTCTTAGATTATCTGTGGAACTGCTAAAAGCATGGAGATGCCATCATTAAGGAGGGGGAAGGCTGAGCTGGGCCATTTGGTATGGAGTAAGCCAGGTGCTCAGTTGCATTAGGCATCCCAGTGGAGATATTGAATAAGCAGCCTCATAACTGAGTAAGAAGTCAGGAGTGAGGTCCCTTTCACCTTGGAATTTCTTCTTCAAGCTGAATTTGAGCTTTCTCCATAGCGCATCCTCATTAAATATTCTCATTTTAAAGGCTAAAAGGTAAGCCTCACTGTGTTGTTCTAAGAATTACATAAATTAATATATGCCAAGCTCTGAAACTCAATAAAAGATGTTACTTGTGTTAGCAGAATTAAAAGATCTCTTCCTCCCATAAATCAGCAATTCTACTTCTAGGAATAAAACCAAGGAAAAAGTGTACCTAATAAGACAGATAAAAAGAATGTTCACAGCAGCATTGTTCATTACAGTAAACAAAAAAATTGGAAACAACCTAAATGTTCATTCTCAGGATGGAAAAATACACGCTGATATGGCAGTTACAATAGAATATTATAGCACAGTGAAAAACGTATAAACTAGAGCCACATGTTCTGCAGTGAATAGATCAAACAATATTGAGCAAACAAGTAAATTGCAGAATTGGTACATTCTTCAATCTATTGCAATGTTATTTTGGTTGAAAGGTATAAAGAAGACCTGGCCTCTCACATATGTATAGTTGGAAAAGTCAAAAGTCACTTAATAGTCTTTTCAGATAATTTTGGATAATTTTCTTTGACAGTACACCAATATTTGGCAAATAGTAGTTTCTTAAGGGTTAGTTGTAATGTAAAATCTGTAATAATGCCAGTGAGTTTTTCATACTTTTGTATTAAAATCTATTATCTATATTGAGCTTCAATGAAATTGATGGCAGACTCGTGCGATTCTGTAACGTCATACATTGGTCTTTTGGAAAATATTGGTTCACTGAGTTGTGCAAATCTTCCAAATGTTGATACATGCAACTATAAAACATTTTAAAATCCACATTAGTGATTACCAGCAATCTCAGCAGAAAATGTTTCTAAGTATTGGGTCTCCGTCAGCTCACGGTGGTAGACAGACATTTTCGCAAATTCAAATGTTTTAATTTGAATTCTGATATTGTCAGTTGCTTCCTTTGAAATGACAGGCTCATTTTACTCATTTTTGAGAAAATGTCTGCTAAACACTCTAGTTCAAATAGCCATTATTTTTCTGTCTGTTGTTCATTTATGTAAAAATGTTGTGTGAAAACTGTGGCTAGTTCAGCTTGCAACTCAAGCAAGCAAGCAAGCAAGCAAGCAAGCAAGCAAGCAAGCAAGCAAGCATACACGTGTTTTCCTCACAACTCCATCATACTTTGGGGTGCAAGAGAAGTGTGCTATGTGTACTTCCCATTTTGTAACACAGAATACCAAAAAGAAGTACCCATAAGGGTCTAGATATCATAAAATTAATTTTTACTGCTTCATCAAGAGCATTGTTAAGTGAAACTGGCCTTGGTTTTTTAAATTTAGGTGTGTGGCAGTTAGTAATGCAGGGATTACTAGAAGAGTCTGTGCCACGGCCTTGGTTCCTGCTAAAAAGATGGCATTGGGAGAAATTTTAGAGAGCTTTCAAACTCTTTTTATTCTCATGTTCCATATGGTCTAATTTTAGCACAAATAATATGCCTTCACACTAGATTGTAAAAGGCGTGTGATTGTAGAGATTTTATTTTGTGATGTATTGTCTTCTGCAGTATCAAAGGGAAAGAGGTATTAACGTGCATCCCTCTATCTTGTTTTTTTTTTGAGACAGAGTCTTGCGCTGTCGCCCAGGCTAGAGTGCAGTGGCACGATCTTGGCTTACTGCAGCCTCTGCCTCCCAGGTTCAAGTTATTCTCCTGCCTCAGCCTCCTGAGTAGTTGGGACTACAGGTGTGTGCCACCATGCCTGGCTAATTTTTTGCATTTTTAGTAGAGACAGGGTTTCACCATGTTGGCCAGGATGGTCTTGATCTCCTGACCTCATGATCTGTCTGCCTCGGGCTCCCAAAGTGCAGAGGTTACAGGTGTGAGCCACTACATCCGGCCCCCCATGTTGTTTTTAAAGCCAGGGTAATTGTACGATTTTGTTACCAGCAGTGCTAACCTGAATGTGACCTGGTTACCTTGGAAATGCAGGAACTTATATGAGTGTAGTATAAAATAAAATGTGGACTGATTCCCAGCCTAAAAAATAAGCGGGTTTGTCAGTTTACCTTTTGCACCATGGACACTAATGCCAATTGAATGAAAAGAGGCAAGCAATGTCTCACTACTTCTATGAGAATAGTTTTGATCTTGTAGACACCCTGGCAGTATCTTTGTCATAGATCACTCCTGTAAACTGCCCCTTTAACTCAAGTCTAGACATTTTGGTTGGTTGGTTGATTGGTTGACCTATTGTGCTCCTGTGCCCTTCTCAGGGCATTGCTCCACTTGTTGTTTCCTCATGTGTAGGGAGCAAGCCACACAATTTTTCTCCTTTCCCCCCATCCTGGCCACAGCTTAAGAAAGTGGTGAGAACTTGACTAGAAAGTACCTAATGCATCGGCAAGGTGGTGGCCCATCAGACTCTCTTTTTGGAGAGTTTGAATAAGTCACAGAGTTGTACCTAGTCAGGCATTAGAGGCAATAAAAGTGGGGACCATATGGAATGGAAGCCATTTTTGTCAACCTAAATGTTGACAAGGATGCAAAGGAAGCCGGTACATTTCTGCAGGTAGAAGTTGGAAAATGAAGCAGTGTGGGGAAGAGTCAGGAGGAGGGTCTGTGAAGTGTCATTGGGAAAAGACAGAGATAGGGACAGAGATAGAGATGAGAGAAACACACGGAAAGACAGAGTGAGAGAGAGACAGAGAGAGAGACAGAGAGAGAGACAGAGAGAGAGAGAAACTGACTTCCAATAAAGCCCCTTATGTTAATTTGATTACTTTTCCTCACAACATAGAACATGACAAAGGCTCCAGGGGAAATTCAAAGTGGAGAGAAGGAATTAAAAACTTGAAGTCTTTAATTATGAGAATGCACCAGGACTCTTAAAAACCTCTATTAGAAATTCACTTGAAATGAACATTTCAGGACTTTTAGATGACACAGTAAGTATAGTTCTATTTTTTTTCATTCATCTCCAGAGGATATTTTATGTTAAAAAATAGGTTTTGATAATCAGAACCAGAACTTAAGTTCCTGACCTTGGGCCACCAGTAACCCTGATTGCTCTGAAATGTGCAAGAGCTCTGGAGACCAGGATTGGACATTCTGTTCAGCATAAGCCCTCTTTAGATCTCTCTCTGAAACAACCCTCACCAGATTGCCTGTTAATCGCCCCCGTTGCATCTCCGTGGTCAGAATGCCATTTCTGGCTTTATTTTCTGTTTTCTATTTGTACATAAGATAATCTTTTTTTTTTATTTCCATCTGCAAACTCTGGGGGGTAAATTTTGAGCATGATGCGCGGAGGTTTAGCCATGGGACTCTCATTACCGTTAATGGGAATGACAGCACTCAGTTTCAGAGCCTGAGAACATTTACCCCTTGGATGATGGTGTTTTGTGGTTGGATTTTTAATTGTATTTACAAATAAAGCTGACATACAAACAGCGGCGGCTCCCAGGAAGACAACATTGTAGAAAACGAGTGGGGAGTTGGGACTGTCCTTGGATACCCAGCCTCACACAATTCAGAGTTAGAGAAGGGTGGTGTGGATCTCTGCACCTCATATTATTATTATTATTGTGGTAAAATACACATAACATAAAATTCACCATTTTGAAGTGTACACTTTAGTGGCATTAAGTACATTGCAATTGTGCCACCATCACCACCATCCATCTCTGGAACTTTTTCATCATTCCAAACAGAACTTTATACCCATCCATTAAACACTCAGTTCCCATCCTGCCTCTCCCCAGCTCATGAAAACCACCATTCTGCTTTCTGTTTCTAAGAGTTTGACTCCCCATAGGCCTCAGGTAAGTGGGATTATACAGTATTTGCCCTTTTGTGACTGGCTTATTTCACTTAGCATAATGTCCTCAACACTCATCCGTGTTGTAGCATGTGCCAGAATTTCGTCTTTATTCAAGGCTGAGCAATATTTTGTTGTGTATTGATCTACCACACTTTTAATCCATTCCTTTAATGAGAGACTCTTAGTTTGCTTCCACCTTTTGTCTGTTGTGAATAATTCTGCTATGAACATGGGTGTGCAGATACCTGTTTGAGTTCCTGCTTTCAATTTTTTTGGGTGATATACCCAGAAGTGGAATTGCTGGATCATATGGTAATTCTATGTTTAATTTTTTGAGGGACTACCATATTGCACAGATTTTACGTTTTCACCAGCAATGCAAGAGAGTTCCAATTTCTCCACATTCTTGCCAACACTTGGTCATTTCCTGTTTTTTTTTTCTTTTGTTATTCGTGTGTGCCCGTGTGAGTGTGTGTGTGTGTCTGTGTATGTGTGTTTTTAAGTAATAGCCATTCTAATGGGTGTGGAGGTTTTCTGCATCTTGATAAACACCATACGGATTATATATTCATTCATTTTTTTCTTTCCTAACCCCACTTTCCTCAAACTTAAAAACTCAGAAAATGCTCCTTGAACCGAAGAATTGATTAGGTCTCCCCACTTGAAGTACCCAAAACGCTCTCTGCATGTTACCATTGCTACGTGTGTCACATCATTTCTAATTTGTGGATTTGTGGTTTATATGTTTGTTATCCTCACTATCCTTTGTGTAGCTGTTAAAAGCAGTATCTATCCGACATGGGATCTGGCACCTAGTAGGTACTCAATACATATTTATTAAATGAATGTATTTAAACCAATTCTGTTCTGTGTGACAAATGAGTCTTTAAATATGAAGAACAGAGAGGCTTATTACCAGGAAGACTATATCAAAATTCAGATCGTGCAGTAACAAAATAACACGACTGTAAACACAGAGATGGGAAAAAGTAAATTGACTAAATTATTAGTGTCATTTTGATTTCAGAAAGTGCTGCTTCTTTACACATAAGCAGTTACAAATGCAGCCTATAAAAGTTAATATTCATAACATGATTATCTTTCAATGAAAGTATTAGGGAAACACAAAATAATAATAATGGTAATGTACAGGGGGCGGGCTTCCGTGGTAACCCCGACACATCAATTTCGACATTTAAGCAAGGAGCTGCGGCACTTTAAGACAGGAGGCTCCGACGCCCAGTTTCAGAGTGACCCTCAATAAGTACATGAGAGATCATGATTACTTGGCATTTCTTGATTACTGATTATTCAGAAGGCACTTTGGAAATTGCAGATAGCTTGCTTGCCCAGGGGAATTACAATCCAAGTATGATCAACAAGGCAGAAGCTGTGCAAGGAAGGTTAGACTAAAAATACTGAAAGGATCCTGGTTTTAAAGCTACTCTTTTCTGCATTTTTCTTCTTTCCTTCTTCTTTCTGCTTTTTAGTTTATGCTCTGGTTATTTGCACATTTTAAAGGAAGGTATAGACAAGTTCGTTCATGTAGGGGGTGGAGAAGGGGACTTATATATTGGGCTAAGGGAATTGTATGAGATGAAAATAGGAGAGTTAAAGAAAGGTAAAATTTAAGGAATTTAGCACTGGAAAAAGATGTTAGACATCACTCATTCCCTTCATTTCGCAGATGAAATGAGTAAGGATTTAAAAGAGAAGGGGTCTTGGCAGGGCCGAGGATCACACCAATTGGCAGCAGCAGAAATGGGTGTATGGCCATCTTCTGCTGGTTCCTGGATCCAGGTTGGAAGATGATCTCAGGTATAAAACTCAGAGATATGTACTCAGGAAAGAGCAACAATCAGACAAATGAATTACAGCAGATAAAGAGGCTCAAAGTGGTTGGACTTCCACGAACTCAGTCCTTTTGAGATGGGCCACGTGGAAACTCCAAATAGAGTTCTTGCCTCATTAGGTATGAGAGGACGATGCAAGAGGTCCATAGTACTTTTGGGGGCCACAAAAATATTTCTTAATTTCTTTGATAGTCAAAAGAAAAATATAAATATAATAGTAACAAATGTATTTATCAAGGAAGGACAAAGGCAAAAATGTCTCAGCTCCCTGAAAGTCATGAAGCAGCCCTGCCTCCAAAGTACATGATCAGAGCTCAAATTTCTCATTGATCATCACCTTCTCAGTTTGGGGAGAAAATTCATGTGAGCAAGTTGGGCTCAAGATCTGAGATTAGAAGAATGACAATATTTCTATATTATTTAGGGCTTTCAGTAGCGACCAGCAGAAATTCAGTTTAAATTGGCCTAAGCAAAAGTGAGCAGTGACTCTCAAAACGTAAAAGTGCAAGGTTCTCTGATTTTGGGTACAGTGGGAACCAGGTGTTGAAGCGATAACATTCAGAATGTGTCTCCCCTCACTTCCAGGTGCTACTTTTCTCAGCACTGGTGGTGTTCTCTGACAGACTTGGATTGAAGAGGTGTTAACCAGCAGCTCAGAGCTTATATCCTGCTAGGTTCGATTTCACAGGGGTTCCAGCACATGCCCCAACAATTGACACTTGCAGCAGGCCTGGTACTGTACCTGGTCTTCACTTGCATCATTTCATTAAACTTTCAACTCCAGTCTATTAGGTAGGATCTAGTCTCACTCCCCTTTTAGAGGCAAATACACTGAGGCTTCTGGAAATTAGTGACCCCTGGTGCTTTCTCCCATATAGTAATCATTATCTAGATGTCATTTCCCCTATTTAAGATGTCACTTCTTGAGAGCTGAGGTTGGAGCAACACGCTTGCTCCCTTATGTGAACTCACCCCACCTCCATTTCCAGAGAAGCCTTCATAGAACCTGCAGTCCAGAAGATGCTCATTAAACATTAGTTCATGAATTAATAACTTGGCTCATTGGGTCCCCAAATTACCTTAACTGAAAGGGCTGACACATGGGTAGGCTTATGAATGCAGTGTGCAGATGAGAGTAAGAAAAGTTAGGAGCAGAGGATAATAAGATGTGAAAGAAGCCAAGGAAATTGAGTTACTGTGCATTAGCAAACTTTAAGCTTAAAAGATATTATCTATTTCAACTACGCTGTCTCCTACCGGTTTTCATAAGAGACTAGGATACAAAGAGGTGAAGAGACTTGCCTAAATTGTTAACACAAGTAGTAGCTCCCATGTATGAAGCCTCTGTTTTAGACCAGGCACTTCACGCAGTATTTCCAGTCTTCACAATGATCTCACAGCAAGGAATAATTTTTCTGACTTGACAGATGAGAAAATTGAAGGTCTGAGAGGTAAAGTTTCCAATACCACAATGCCACTAGTGAGGGACATGGGCAGGATTTGAATCCAGATTTGTCTCAAGCAAAAATTCATGTTTTTTTTTTCCTTCCCCTTTTACCATACTGTGCTGTTGGCTGTGCAACTGGAACTAAAAGTAATGCTTCTTAACTCAGAGTCCAGTGTATGTAATAGTACCTGACTCTAAAGCCCCCTGGGAGAAGACCCCTGTCTATTAATTCCCTTTCTATAGCATCTCTACTAAACACCATGGGCCATTTGGGGCCTAATAAATTTCTTTTATTGGTGAAGGTTATCTTTGGCATAATAATAAGAAAAAAAATCTTTATTATAGAGAAATAAATGGCAATTTTAAAACAATTTGAATGTAGAATAGGAAAGAAAAGGGAACATAGTCAATTCAAATGTGTTCATGATAAAAAGAAAGGCAACATGGAACCTCACACCATGCATAGCTCATCATTCCCTTCTTCTTGGGTCAATCTGCTTGCCCCAGCTTTCTCATTCATCTTTTAAAAAAAACTGATATAAAAATACCTTAGATGTTCCTGAGCACAAAACAATGGGGTCCCAGGGCAGAAAGGGCAGAAGGAGGATGTAGATAAACATAGAATTATCCAGGTCAGCAGAATTTCTACTTTCCTATGACCCAGCTTAAAATATTGCCACTTGCTTCTTTGGCTCATAATGCTATCTCTTTCTTATTCTTCTTCATTTTTCTTTGAGACTATCACAAAACAGTAGCTATCTTATTTTTTTATTGCACTTATCACCATTTGAAATATTTTCATCATTTATTTGCTTACTTCTTTGCTGTGTGTCTCCCTCTATAAACTGTATGCAAACTTATACTTCCTAACTGCCTTGTTCACAGGTATATCCCCAACTGCTAAAACATTACTTGTCATATAGTAGGTATTGGAGGAAAAAATGGACCACTGTTGAAAGAATAAGTGGAATTAAAGCCACTCAATGGGATGTCATGGTCTTGTATGCTTAGACAACACCCTGGTCTCTTCTGACTCCTATTTTCAAATGGATTTGATTCTTCCATGCCTACCAGGACCTGAGTCCTGAAGGGGAATTAAGAGTTCTCCAGGGGACAAAGTGGGGGAACAACCCAGGCCAAGGGGCCATGAAAGAAGGAGATCCCGACCTTGCATCTCATTGCTGCTATGGTGTCAAAAGACTCCTTGGAAAGTTTGAAACTTGGTGCCAAGTGATTAGATGGAGCTTTTTAGTGTGTGACGACTGCAAGTTGATTTGTAGATGATTGAAAGTGGATACCTGCTCATCTGGTGGGATTCCAATCAGAGCTGAACACCTCTTTAAGTCAATAGGATTTGCCATTACAATCAATGGTTTTCCCTGAGTGTAAATCTCCCAGTCAAATCACTAGGAAGTGATCAATGAAACTGCTTTTTGATGTCAGTAGGAAATTAGTATATAAGGTAAGTCGATGGGGAAAGTCTCCAACTTTCCTCAGGAAACTTTTGATTCTTCGGTAATTTACAAATCAAAATGATATGCACAGATCTCCTCCCCACCCCAACATTAACAACTTGCTCTTCAGAAATCCTTACCCAGTCTCTCACCAATCTGTGAGGCTTCTTGGTTTCAAATGTCAGCTTCTTAGTCTTTGGCAGACAGTATGGAAGTAATGTTATGGTGTGTATGACATACAGTAGGTAGTTTTTCTTTCATTTACTTGCAATCACTGAGAAAGAGAGAGAGAAAGAGAGACGGAGAGAGAAGAAAAGAAACACCCTAAACAACTTCCCATCCCTTATTATTTCATCAGTTGCTGTATATAATCAATAAAGTTCCCTGACAGACATCAAGGTGTTATGGCCACTCTTAGAGCCTATAATCAGTACAAGAGTTTCATGATGAGTTTGATATTCAACTTACCCAGGTGACTCTCGTTGGGCTACTGGGTGAGCTTGAGGAAGTGAAGAGGTTGGTTGGATATAGTAAAAGCCACACTTCTAAGCTGCCTAAGAATGGTGAGGCTTGATGGTGATGCCTTGGCATAGAAAGAGGTCAGCAACCCATGGTTCCACATGGTGGCCAGGAGGCCAGAGAATGTAGGTTTTATTCTGCCCGTGCATGTCCTCAATTGCCAGGTAACCATGGCCACAACCTGTGTCTCTTACTCTGGTTCCTCAAAATCCACCAGAACACAACGTAGTCAGAGTCCTCTCGCTTCCACTTACCACTTAAATGACTTTAAGAATTAATGATTTAATAATAACCATAAGCATAATGAACAGCAACCACAATAGTAGCAGCTCATACCTTTTGAGCATTTAACCACGTGCCTAATATTGTCTAAGTGTCTTCCATGCGTAAACTTATTAAGTCCTCATAGCATCTCTCTTAGTTACTATTAGTATTGCCATTCTACATGTGAAGAAACAGAAGCACTTAAAGTTCGAGTCACTAGCCAAGTGTCAAATGGTCAGTAGGAGACGGGGCCAGGAGTTGAATCCAGAAATTCCGATTCTAGAGCCCAAGCTCTTTACCAGCAAGTCAATCTCCTCCCCTGGACTCCAGTTCATTATTTCTTCAGGGTTGTGTGTGAGGCTTGGGTGAGTGTAAATGTGGACGCCTTCTCTGTAAGCTATACAAATAGAAATTAGTATGTTCAAGCCTTTGGTAACCAGAGTGTCAGTCTGAGAGCATGATCCCTAACTTAACTTCTGTCCTAACACTGGAAACACAATTTAAAAGCACACACTTCTGATGGACGGGCCAGTGGTGTTATTCAGAGGCATTAAGGAGAATATTGTCATTATAACCTTTCAGCAAACTGCCCCTTGGCTGGGATGATTATCTCCCTGCTCAGAGCATTCACATATGGCAGTGACAGCCAGTCTAGCATGAACAGATTCAATACTGCATTTATATGAATTTTGTCTTCTTAACCTGTGGGTGTATTTTCCTCCGTTGCCTTACATGTTCCTGGTGATTATTACTCTGACATTCTTGCCATTCTGACTTTTCTTAAAATTTGATTTTCCTCCCTAAAGGATGATGTCTTCTTCCTCATTGTGTCCCCAACACTCAGCACAGCATCTAGAACACGGCAGGATCATCATCTTTTATCTGGTTTAAATTTTCTTTAACATTAATATTTTGGCATTTGGAAGCTTATTAAACCCATGTTCTAAATTCTGAGATTTTAATTATGTACGTTCCTGCTTGCTTCTCAGCCAGTTAGGTACCCTTTTTTACAATTTTGTACATGGCCTGAGCTGGACTCCATGACATGCTTAATATGTGTTGTCTCTATTGGTCAGAATGAAGTAGGTTATGCTGTTGTAACAAACCCCCCTAAATCTCATTTACTTATAAAGCCAAAGGCTGACTTTATGTTGCTATTAGGTGGGTTGGCTTCATATCTTGTCACTGTGGGATCTGGGTTGAGGAAGTAACCACCGTTATCTCAGATTTCTGGTTTCCACAGGGAGGAGTTCTGGGAGACCTGACCCTAGCAATTGAAAGACACATGCATGACTTCTACTCATCTTAAAAGCTAGAACTGGTCACTCAGGCCCACTCTAAGCCAAAAAAGTGAGGAAGTGCAATCCTGCAACATGCTGGGAAAGTGGAGAGCTGGCAATATGTGGTAAGCCGCTCTAATGACTACCACATGGTCTTCAAAAAGTCCAGTCTAGTCTAAATGACAAGAAAGGAACCCATTAATTAAACTGGAATACAAGAGAAAAAGTGATGAGTAGTTTAAAGGTCAAAAATCATGCAAGGTGAACGGGAAAATGAGAAATAACTTTTTTGCACATCTGTTAGATTTGAATACCTTTACATATGGGTTCTGACTGACCTCTCAGCAGTCTTATGAGACAGATGCTATCGGCTCCATTTTTCATGTAGTAGAAAACTGTAGCCAGTCAAGGATTTGTTGAAGGCCAGTGGGGGCACAGCTACTCTTTCCCCTATTTCTCATGTAAGTAACTTGATGCCTTCTTCTTCATTGTGTCTTATCCTGTCTTGTGTTTATCCTGTCTCAGACAGCCCAAGCACAGTGTGTGACATAAAATAGGCTCAGTAGATGATGACTGGAGGAAAGAGCCTATGAAGGGTTGCTTCTGGATTAAAGAACCAGGTTGGATCCTCCAAATGTATTCAAGTACAGTCAATAAGTGGTAGCTGGTGAACCCTCTTCACTACCAACTATGACCAGAAGCTCTCCAGAATGTTGTTTTTTATCTCCTTCTTTCTCTCCCCCTTAGGGACCAATTCTTATGTTGACTTAGAGAAGGATGTACTATTTTATGCATATCTGAGACAAACACAGCCCACAGCCCTCTTTAAATAAAAGTTCTTTTCCTTCTCCCTCTATTTCTTCTTTATTTTTTATTTCCATTTTTTTTTGTCATTTTCTGGAGTTTTGGAAATTAGGCCATGAATATATGGCCTAATTTGTATGTGTCTGTGCTTGCAAAATCAAAAAAGATACCAGAAAAGAATTTTTTGTTGTAAATATGAGATGTTGAGTTGTTTTCACTTGTTGAAAAGAAGAAGTACTTTTGCATTTTATTGAGTAGCACAACACTTTGAATCACATAATTAACATTTAAGATAAATATTGTAGATATGATTAAAGTAGGTATAAAATGCTTTTCATCTAGTAGCAGGACAACTCCTTTTTTGAGGAAGATATAAAAACTTAATTATTTAAGCAAGCAACAAATTGAAGTGCAGACTCTACTTGCAGTCAATGATTATTTCAGAAATATTTTTGAGCACCCAGTGCTAATAACTATTTTAATTATAATAGCATCTCTACATGGAGGACTTATTGCACTCAGCATTGTCACAAAGCATTAAGTGTTATCTCATTTGCTCTTTGCTCCAACTGTATGAAACAGGCAATCAGGCCATTATATTGTCCCTGTTACCTTGAGGAGTTAACCAGGTTTAAAGATGAGAAATTACTTGTCTAAGGTCATATGGCTGGAACTCAGTACTGTCTGGCTTTCAAGGTCAACCTCAACCATTTCAGTTCAGTATACCCATTCATAGTGTGTGCCAGTTACATGGATGCACAGACAGACTAAGAAACATATTGATTAACTCCCTAATTATATAGTGGGTGAACTGGGGTCAAGAGAAGAGGCAACTCACCCTAATTATCCTATCACTTGGCAGCAGTACAGGAACTCATGTCTGAAAGCCCTGAATCTTAGAAAGTGAAGTTCTTTGGGCCCAGGCTCTGGATTTAGACAGACTGAATTAAAACCCACATTCACTATGGCAGAACTGAGTAACCTCAGACACATGTGAAGCTCGGTTTCCTCATCTATAAATTTGGTGATCATTTTACATGTGTGTGCACACGCATGCTTCATGCCTATGTGAGGGTTAAATGAGTTGCTGTATGCAAAGCCTGCCTCATCAGAGATGTTTAATCATTTATTTTACAATAATAATTATTATTAATTCACTGCACTTTCTACTGCAATAATTTTTTAATACTGCAGTGAGTTGCTTTCGAAAACTTTTTGTTTTAAGCTAATCACAGTTGAGAATGAGGAGCCTAGCCTGGCCATGGCCAGGGTGGGAAGGAGAAATGGTCACAGTCAATGCAATTTGCATCCTGTGGTCTGTATGTCTAGGTCAAGAGAGCTCAAGATGCAAGAAGGACATTGACCTCTGCCATGCATTTAGTGAAAGTGAGTTTTTTGTTAGTACGTAAGACCATAAGCTGGAAGCGCTGTCCTATTGAACTTGCCAATATGATTAAAATTTATGCTGTCCTAATTATACTGGGAAGACAGTGCAGGCCACCAAACTCTACTTTGGAAGGAAATCCATCACTGCTTGCCTCTTTTCCTGGTTCTCAAGGATGTCCACAATGACCCTCAAGCCACAGGACCTAAAGAAGAGAGCACAGTGCGCCAGCAAGCATGTGGGGGCAGGGACAACTCCTGGCACCAGCTCTGCCAGGGCTAGCAGGGACCTTGAGCATGTTATGCCCCCTCTCCTAGTTTCTGAGATCCAATGAGGCACAGAGGGGAAGAAATACCTAGGTTCTTGGTTCTGCTGTTTGTTGCAGCTTTAGTAACTTGGCTTCTGTGAGGCTGAATTACCTTATCTGCAAAGGGAGATAATAATTTCTAACTCAAAGGAGGACTGACAAGGGCAAGTGCCAAAGCATATATAGACCTCTGGCATGATGCCTGATAATCAATGCTCAATTAATAGTAATAATGATGATCACACCAAAGGGTGTTTTATTTTTATTTACATGACCATGAACTTCTCGAGGACAGAGGCTTTATTTTCCTTATCTATCTACTTCAGTGCCCAAGACAGTCTCTAATAATAACAGGGTCAACAATAACACCAACATTTATTAGGCATTTACCATAAATTAGATACTGTTCTATGGACTTTAAATACACAAACTCATCGAATCCTCATGTTATTCTTATGATGTGGTTGCTGTCACTCTTCCCACATTCAGCTGCGAAAATGGGGGCGGAGAGAAGTTAAGTAACTTGCCCAGGGTCACACAGCTTTTTGAGATGGTAGGAGGTGCTCAGTAAATGTGGAATGAATGAATGAATGAATGAATGGCTTGCCATGATGCCTATCTGTCGATCCTGACCACAGCTCCTTGTGTGTTCCTGTTGTTGTTTTCAGGTGCTGGGCAGTTTGGCTGGAGGGATTTGCCAGTGGCAATGGGTACAGTGATTAGGGAGGCTACTGGTGCTTCTGTAAGTCCTGCCTGCCATCCATGTGCAGCGATAGTGAAAATGATGGGAGATTAATAGGAAATAATGGGATAGTGAGTACAGCACTTAGGCAGCTTTCCATGAGCAAAAAACCTCACATTTAGCAAGGTGCAATTAGCTCTCCAAGACAAGATGGATAGGCAGGAAATGAAATAGGCTTGCGGTGATTTTATTTTTATACCTGGGTCCGCCCTTGGTCCTTCGGCCTAGTTAGCACTTCCGAACCTCCAGCTGACTCTGCACTGCCTGCTAGCTTTAATACACTTCGACTCTGGCTTGCTACACAGCCCTAATGTCGAACACACGAAGCAGACAGCTGCCCAGAGGCATTCTCCATAGAAACTCTCATATCACAACAGAGCTCAGCTTTCCACTACCACGCCAGGCCTCTTCCTTCCATCAGTGAGCAACGTAGCAGGTTGCAGACGCCAGGCAGTGTCACAGAAATGTCCTAATAGACACATCGGGGGAAAGCAGGGCGGCTCCCGTTGCATGCCAGAAGCCTTTCCATCATACCTTCTCCTCCACATAAGCAGATTAAACTTCATTAACTGTTCTTAAAAGGTCTACATGCATCCATACCATAGGAACATGAAATGATCACCTTAAAAGAAATTACCATTGTTTTCTTAACAGCCACCGCGAACTCCAAGGCATTTGCACAAAGACCTGTTTTGACTTTTCCCTTTCCAGAAGATGGACTATATATGTTTCCCTAAATGCAATAATTATTTTATTGCCCTGGCTTCTATCTGGGCACACATTCCATTTTCAAATGTAAATAATCATTTCCACCTTTAATAAATTAGATGGAACCTGTCTTGCTGGGAGAATGAACATTTCAATATCTTCAGACACACAATGACATCGTATCAATATTTAAAATCATTTTATGCATGTATTCCAAGTTGTCCAACTTCATTAAGGCCACTCATCAAGCCCTAGCTAGAATGTATTCCCATTGGACTTGTAGGCCTGGGGGCATACCAAACAGAAATTTAAACTAACTCACCTTTTTAATTCACATTATTCTCAAATATTCTCTTTTTTAACCCCCTGCCATGACTAAGGCATTTAGACTGGGCCATGATTTGGTACATGTCAAAATTTAACTGACACAATCCCCATTAGTATGTCAGAATGTGTGTGCCCTGGTAAAATACAGTATCCATCCCTCCCTACTCTTTGATAAATTACCCACTAGTTCTTTTCAGCACTCGGTAATAATTTGAGTTTATTGCTTGGTGTTTCCGTTAAATATTTACAAACATTTTAAACTATGTATAAATGAAACTTTCAATGTTTTGCCAGTCTCATCCTTTCCCCTGACTCCAAAATAAAAGAAAAATCTCTTGATCTATTTTTCATATTCCTGAAGATGCCACACGTGAGCATTGATGCTGGGAATACAAATATCCTTGCAAATAAGATCAGCCCCTCTCCCTGCCATTTGTGTCGACCAGGGTGGATTTGTTTCCCAAGATATGCATTTTCTAGCCGATGCTGAAATCCCGCACTGCAATGCCAATAAGCAATTAAGTCCATGCTGAGGAACTTGCAATAAAACCTTCTCAAACAGGGCACAGACTCAGAGAAGGTTGGAGAAGCCTGCCTCCACGATGCCACCTTTTGCCAGGCAAAGGCCACGGAATGCAAGCTCATACTTCAGGGGCAACCAGGCATCCGTGAGAGAAGTGGCTCTTTAGGAAAGGGAGGGGGAGGTGGCATTGTTGTAGTCTATGAAGGCTGCCATAACAAAATACCAGAGGCTGGGCGGGCGAGGCCGGGGGCGGAGTGGGGGTCGCGGTTAAACAGTGGAAATGTATTTTCTCACCGTTCTGGAGGCTGGAAATCCAAGACAGAGATGTGAGCAGGGTTGGTTTGTTCTGGGCCCTCTCTCCTTGGCTTCTTCAGCGACTTTGCATGGCCTTTCCACTGTGTGTGCACATCCCTGGTGATTCTTCTGTGTGCAAATTTCTTTTTCTTATAAGGATTCCTATTGGACTAGGGCCCACCCTGCTAACTTCATTTTAGCCATTTAAAAACCCTATTTCCAAATATGGTCACACCTGAGGTACTGGAGTTAGGGCTTCAGTGAAATTCAGCCCATAACAGTGCAGGGCTGTTTAAACAATAAGACAGTGGAGGGAATGAGAAGGCAAGGAGCAGCGTGAAGGATGAGAGGAAAAACGATGATCACAGAGGCAGAAAAAGGACCAGCAGCTGGGAAAAGTCCAGAGGAATTCAGACTTCTTTGTGCAGGGAAGAAGGCTGGAAACACAAGTGTCCATTATCCATCGTAGCTCTGACACTTGCTTACTGTCAGCATCCACTTCCTTTAATGCTTGTCACTGTGTTTAAAATAAAACCTCAACTCCCAAATCCCCTGCGCAATTGGTCTCCTGCCGCGTCTTCTCCAGGAGCTCTCCTACCTCTCTTAGAAAGCATGTGGCCCTCTTTCTTTTCTCCAACAGGCCAAGCTCTTTCCCACCCAAAAGCCTCAGCACATGCTTCTCCCTCTGCTTGGTGGTTCCCTACAGCTGGTTAATTTCTCCTTATCTTGCAGATCTCAATTTAAATGCCTTCAAGTTTAAGAGGTCCTTTCTCGGCTGGGTGCAGTGGTTCACGCCTGTAATCCCAGCATTTTGGGAGGCCAAGGCGGGTGGATCATGAGGTCAAAAGATCGAGACTATCCTGGCCAACATGGTGAAACCCCATCTCTACTAAAAATACAAAAATTAGTTGGGCGTTGTGGCACAAGCCTGTAGTCTCAGCTACTTGGGAGGCTGAGGCAGGAGAATCGCTTGAACCTGGGAGGTGGAGGTTGCAGTGAGCCGAGACCATGCCACTTCACTCCAGCCTGGGCGACAGCATGAGACTCCGTCTCAAAAAAAAAAAAAAAAAAAAAAAAAAAAAAAAGAGGTCCTTTCTCTTTACTCTTACCTGAGAATGAAACCTCCTTTTTCAGCATCCTCGTTCCTTTCTTTGGAGCACTACGTTTGTTACTACCATTTGCAATTGTTTTATTTGTTGGCTTGTTTAGCGTCAGCGGAGGGAAGAAAGTGGCTCCCTGTAAGGAAACACTGAATTTGAAATTCTCATGTCATATCCCGGTGGAGACACCCAGAGGTTCTTAGGACACAAAGGCGTGAATATCTAAGCTAAAGAAATGGATTTAGAAGCTTCCAGTCTAAAGTCTGTAGTTCAAACCATGAACTACATGAAGAGGTCCTGAGTCGGAGAGTAAGAGGGAACCGGACAGAATCCTGAGTGTAATTTCCATATTTAAAGCTCCTATAAAGCCACTAGATAGTAAATAAGAAAATGCCCTGGAAATTTAGAAACAGTAGTTGCTCAGTATCAGTGTTTCTTATACCCCAAGAGGAGGCCAGTTATGGGGTCCCAGTCTAGAAGTCATAAGACATAGATCCCTCTGTGGCTGTGTCTGAACTAGCAGCTCTTTCCTGATCTGGGCCTCAGAGCTTCTGTCTGTCCAGAGGGCAGGCCATGCCACATGGTATCAAGAGTCTCCTCGAGGTCTGCTGTGCCTTTGGTTGGCCAGTGACTGCCCAGCACAGAGGAGAAATCATAACCCTCTCAGTTCCCTGGAGTATTCTCTGAGACATGTCCTTGTGAGCAGTGGCCCTGCTTGCAGCACAAACAAGAAATAAACTCCTGTGTGCCTATGTTCTTGCTTCTTTAGGTGTTTATTTCCTGTCTCCTCTTTCCAGTGAGAAACCATCTCATCAGGGCTGGTGGTGGGGATCCCGGGGAATACCCAGGGCCCGGTAGGGCAGACGGCATCCAGGGCTACAAAGCTTCATAGCAATGCAAAGTCCAGGTAGAGATTCATTGCAGAGTCGATGCCAAATACCTGGGCCAAGAGTTTCCCATCTGCTCTCTAGTCTCCCCTTCCATTAACCGCCAAGATCTCCTTGTTTTATAGATGAGACAAATGACTTGTCCCTGGTGGTTGGAACTTAGGTTTTCTGAATTCAAATCTCAGTGTTTTCTATTCCATCTCAAGGTACTGAGGACAAGGACTCTTCCTTCTTCATTGGTCAAGTCTTCCTTTTTGGGCAAAGTCTATTCTTTGTTTCATCAAGCATAGACTCAAGCATAGACTCATTCTCCCGCTCCTGAATGAGTAATGAAAGCAACTTGCCGGTTCTTTGAGGTTCTTGAAAGTTCTGAGGTCAGCTTAGTGCCTCTGTGGTCCTGTTTCCTGGGGTCAAATGGAGATAAGGATCACTTACATTACAGAGTTGCTGTGGGGACTAAATGACCCCACAAATGAGAAATTGGCTCGATGACAGTAGGCATTCAATGCACATCAGCACATCTGAATTGAAAGGCATCAGAGAGACAGCATTTAAGCTTGGGGTTAAAAAGCACAGTGTTTGGAGAGGTGGAGTGGGAAAGTGAAGATATTCCAGGTGTACAGAAGAATTGAGTGCTGCCTTTCCTCCATACTTCCCCCCGGTTTGGGAACTTTGGGGATTTATTTCTTAGTGTGGGGTAATTGCATTTTCAAGTCAGTCATGTGCTCATTGGAGTAATAGAGCATTATTTGAGTCACTTCCAAAATGAAGTGCTTATCTAAAAAAAAAAAAAGAGAGAGATTGAAGAGCTCCCATAATATTAAATTGTTCTGCACTATTCGTGCCTAAATCTCGATGCTTTCCAAATTCAGTACTTCACATTTTAAAAGAGCTCTTCATGTTAGAAGTGAATGAGGTGTTCTGGGCTCACGCACTGTGGGCCAATTTAGACTCCCCCGATTGTGCTGATAACGTGAAGAGCGCTCCAGCTATGTAGAGTGCAGCTCCGGCATCCATCCGCTGCTCTCACGAGCCCCTTCTGAGCTGGAGGCAGGCTGGTCTCTGGAAGGTCTGTGCCCATGGGGGCAACTCTGGGCTGGACCCACTCCAGGCCTCCAGTGCAACATATTGTTCTCGTTCTGAACAAAAGTCTGGGTCTCAAAAAGAATTAAACAATTAGGCAACAGAGTATAGGGTTTGTTTCCACCAGGCCACCAGGATGGAATCCTTGTAGAGCTGGTTTATCCGTTGTCGGAAGGACAGAGACCAGCTGTCATTAAAGTGCTACCCTATGCTGGTTGCCAGTATGAAGACTTGAGTTGTCTGTTTTATTAGGCACAATAACAGGGTGAGATATTTATACACTGTGGAGGCAGAAGCTCAGAGACATTAACAAATGTTCCTACAGATAGGAAGGAACATCCCTGGGCCTGGACTCGGTTCTACCTATTCCAGTGTCTGTGCTCCCCTCCCAGCTAGGCAGTGTGGAGAAAATGTGGACTTGGAATTAGAAATGGAGCCCGGCCATTAAATATGTCTTCTGACTCAGTGTCCAGAGTTCCTTCTGCTCATAGCACATCGGTGCCATTTTCTGAAAAAAAAATATTCTTTGGTAGGATGGTTCAATGTCAGAGTTTCAATGCCAGTTTCATTCACAAAAAACAAACACATTATAAATATAGACCACTAATCACGGAAGTAAGTTCCACTGACAGCCACAGATAAGGATGTGGGGATTGAGGTGTGGAGGTGGCACATGGCTATCGGAGGTGATGCGGTAAGACAGCGGCCAGACTCGTGTAGATTCTTCCGGTCTTGGCTTCCCTGACTGATACGGTTTGGCTCTGTGTCTCCACCCAAATCTCAGCTCGAATTGTAATCACCATAATCCCCACTTGTCAAGGGCGGGATGGAATGGAGGTAATTGGATCATGGAGGCCATTTCCCCCATGCTGTTCTCATGATAGTGAGTGAGTTCTCATGATATCTGATGGTTTTATAATCATCTGGCATTTCCCCTGCTTGCACTCATTCTGTCCTGCTACCCTGTGAAGAAGGTGCCTGCTTCTCCTCTGCCTTCCACCATGACTTTAGGTTTCCTGAGGCCTCCCCAGCAATGCGGCACTGCAAGTCAATTAAACCTTTTTCTTTTATAAATTACCCCATCTCAGTTATTGCTTCCTAGCAGTGTGAGAACAGACTAATATACTGACCCTATATGCAAAATGAGACTCCTGACCTCTCTTAAAGTGTCCTATTTTTCTTTTTTCTTTCCTTCTTCTTTTTTGAATTCCAAATCTCATGCTGTGTAAAGTGCATATTCATTTCAGGGACACTGTTTCATGTCTGTGTTACCACCTCCTTTTCCCTGGAGGGTAGGGTGTGTGTGGTCCTTTTGGTTTGAGAGTAAACTCAGTGCCTAGTACAGAACCTGGAACATAGTCAAAACTCAACAGATAGAATGTGAAGATGTAAATGGGAATCAATCTCTTTCTTCCACTTCTCAGGTGTGGTGTGGGGGGACCTGGTTTTTGAACCTACAGCCCTAAGACTTGCTCTTCCTTTCTGCATAAACTCGGGCCAGTCTCTTGATTTCTTTGGGTCTTGATTGATTTTCTCCTGTGTAGAATGTGGATAATCACACTCTCTTCCCAGAGTGCAGTGAGAGTCAATGGAGAGAGAATTTGTGAAATGTCCTGCCCAGCCACAAAGCTGTGATTTGGTACATTTGCTGGTTCTGTCTCTCGGGTTTCACCATTTCCTGGAGTCTTAGCCCTCGGGAGGAAAGAGATGGAACCAAAGAAAAGGCTTTTTTTGGGTGGTTGGTGATGCGCTGGCTACACCACAGCCTTTGGCAAGGTGAACACATGGCCAGGTTTACTCTGGCGGTATTCCAACATGATCCCTAGCCAAATCTGCCCTACTTCCCTCTGGAAGCCACTCTTAGACCAGCCATCTGGGGACACAGATAAAGATCTAAGTCCAGTGACAAAAGATTCAAAATAAACACTAAATAAAAGTGAGTCGAAAGGGATCAAAGTCAGCATTGATTTTGGTTCTAAGAGAGCTGGATAAGGCAGTTCCAACTTTCCAGTATAACAATCAATAGGTGAGATTATGTGGAAATATTTATCATGTGACATTAACCTAAGGTATTTCTTATCAAAAACTGTCCCCACTTAAAAAACAAAACTGCTTGTTCATCTCATCCTTAGCTCAGAGACTTATATTCTCCCATACTACCTCTGTTCCCAACTCTCCAATTTGCCATTGGGTTCTACTGCTTTCCAAATGAATTAAAACAAACTAACAAACAACAAAAACAAGAAGCTTCTTCTGCTGTCGTCTGCTCCTTCGTGGTTTGCGCTCAGTGGCTTTGTTCATGTGCTTCTCTTTGCCCAGCTTGCTTTTCCTCTGAGAATCCTACTTTTGTCTTGTATCTGCTGGTCTGCTCATACGGTTAGCATAAAATACTGGCCCTCTCCCACAAACCCAACACCAAAGAGGTCAGGAAATTAAGGAGTAAGCGAATGGACCTGAACAGTAATATAGACATTCCAAGGAACTCTGGGGAGACTGAGGGCAGTTATGCCTTAGCATGGCCCCAAGGATGCCTGCATACCACATTTAGTGGGGTGGATATAAGAAGGGAGCTTGTGTATTTTATTTTTTATTTTTTCCATATTATACTTGGAATATCTTTGCCAACCCTTTGACCTCTTTGAGACAGAAAAATAGCAAAGTCAACTCAGCCATGTTGGGGTCACTAAGGAAGTATTACCCCTGAGGGCAAGATGGAGATGGCTGAACCAGCAGTGCAGTCAGAGAGACTGGCTGCTGGGGGCTTCCAGCTTCACTTCCTTCCTTCGCTGCAAAGGATGGAGGCAGGGAGACAACCTCTTGCGGAAGAGCCATGCCTGGCTACATGGATGGAAAGCTGCTGTAAGGTGAGGCTTTGGGGTTACAAAGTAAATGGGCTGGCCAAGCCCAGACTTTGGCATAGGAGGTCTCTATTCTGGGCCACATATCTCACTCCTTCAACTCTTCAGGAGACTAGAAGCAAGGGCCTGAGAAGCACAATCACAGTAAAAGAAATGCTGCTCCTAACATGCAAGGATATTGGACGATGAAGCAGAAACAGGCAGTTACAAAGCAGAACCACGTGGAAAAACTAGGTATGAAATATGCAATACTGAATATAAAGAGTTTAAGGAGTGGAATAAAAAGCACAATGGATACAACTTAAGGATAAATTAGTGAGCTAGAAGGTCAGTTTAAAGAACTCTCTGAGAAGGCAGGAGCAGGTAGAAAGAGTTACAAAAAGCAAAAAAGTTAAAATAAATAGAGGCTAGAGGCACATCTGTTGATATAAATAAAATAGGCAGTCATAGAAGGAGAGAAAAAATAAGGAGAGGAAGTATTTGAAAAGCAAATAATAATAGAATAAATGAATAAAAAGAGATTCATAGCCACAGTTCTTATGGAATGCCTAATAGAATCTATAAGTAAAAAATCACTTAGACAACATAATTATATTTAAGTACATCAAAGGAAAAGAAAAAAGTGACAAGCTATCCAAGAGAACATACAGATCACCCATACAGAAATAATATTTAGATTAAAATCTTATTTCTTAATAGCAACATTGAATAGAGAATTATTTTCAAAGTGTTAAATTAAACTCACTTTTAAGTTGTAATCTTATACCAAGCTAAACTATCTCTCAACACACAGGCAATATAATGATATTTTTAAGTGAGTAAAGACTCAGAAAGTTTACTACCCCATCATGCCCTCTCTGAAAACATCCTTGAGAGAAGGGCACCTGAAGGAGGATGTTTTGAAAAATATGGATATTAAGGATGAGCACATAGATTGGTAAAATTTATTGCACTAAGTTTTACCCATGCACACACATGTCTGTGTGTGTTTAAAGTAATATCCAAAAAGAAGGAAGTAAAAAGATAATCTACAACATAAAAAATACAGTTAAAATTCTACATAATATAACGTAATACCATCAAGTTTCCTGTGGTGAGAGGAGGGAATGGGGTTAGGAATAATGTCTGGGCAACTAGCAAAAGGTGAAGACAGCCAAAACCTTTTTATTCTGGAGAAAGCTCTTGATCTAGGTTCTCTCTGGTTTGTCCACCATCACAAAGCCTGGTTTTACATCCTGGCTTCTCTATTCTATGCCTGTGCCACTTTCTGGACATTTCTCCAATCCTTGGTTTCTCATCTCCAAATCCTGGATAATGAGGCCAGCCATGATAGGTTATTCATGGAACTTTGATATAGAGCCTGGCTCCCACTGGATGACAGCCCTAGGTACTGTACAGATGTTAGCCCTCTTTGTCACAACCCAGAAAAGTATCCTTTTTGACAGTAAAAATGTAGCTTATGTGTCATCCTCTTTCCCAGACCTTGGCACAAGGTATGCAGCAGTAGGACACTCTTCTCATCTTTGGAGGCTGAAGTAGCTTAGAGGTATAAAGGGGTAAGTCAGATCTGAAAATCCAGTTTATTTCATTCAATTTTGCAAATACAATTTACAAACTTGCCTTTTCAACCAAATATGTGTATATGGCTGAAGAAATCGGGGCTCCTGCAGTGCCATTAATTGCCCAGTTTGTTTCTTGGGAGTAGAGCATGGGCACTAACACATGTTCATTAGACGTCTTAATTGGAAGCAAAAATCACCATGGACACCATGGACACGATTTAAAAAGAGTAAAGCATGCTGGTCAGTTTTCATTTGGATTTTGTTTTATTTCATTTTATTCCCAATTCTCCCAAAGCCCAGGAACAGCAGTTCACGATAAAAAATAATGGCCTGAGAAATGTCCTTCTGTAACATCCCCACAGCTGTGTGAGTTTGCATAACTCGAATGTGCCTAGTGGGACCCATTTTGTTCTCTGGCCCTGCTGAGAGTGAGTTGGGGTGCCTACATGTGAGTGGCTTGGATCCCCACAACTGCTACCCTGGCACAGCCCAGAAGATGGTCTTAAGAGAACAATATCTTCCCTTTTGCTTCTCTGCTTTATTGCACTTGTTCAAGTGACAGCATTCCAGAGTTCCCATCCTCTTGTCTGGATGTCCTGCCAGGGGGCCCTTGAAAAAGTCTTTATATCTCCAAAGATAATAGAGCAACTTGCCACTGCCACTTGTCTTTCTACCCCCGCCGTGTAGATTTCCCCTGGATCCTGGAATGACAAAAGGTTCCAAACGTGATAAAGGACTTCAATGGGATTGGACACGAAGAGGTGTGCGGCAAGCCCTCCTATCTCTTGGCACTTTTCTCTTTATTCTTTGATTAAAGTCTTTTCCCTTACTTACATCCCCCATTAAGATGTCTCAGTGTCATTTAGGGTGTTAATTGAGAGGAGGTTTAAGCTCATCAAAGCGATTATAAGTGATAGTTAAAAATTTCTATATATGGCCTGTGCTGGAATCGGCACGGTGGGGTGCCATTTTTTCTTTTATCCAACTGACATTGGTAATAATAGATGAAATTATTACTAAATCGCAGCTGCAGAGATGATATCATGATTTTTTGTGTGTAATCTTTGATGAAAAATTAATTTTTGAGAGGGATAATTTAAAATGATTTAAATAGTATTATACTGAAGTCCTTGCTGGTAATTAACACCAATCTTGTCAGAAGGGAAACCACTTTTGCAGCTGTTTCTAAAGATACCTACAGTATTTGTAACTTTTCTGCGAGTAAAATTATAGTGTTTGGACTTTATTTTTACTGCACAAGGACCATTAGAAGAAAAGGCGTCAGATAGAAACCTTTGTTCTCTGAGACCTGAGTCCTGTTTTGTATTTGAAGGCCCTGATCAATGCCTGTTTAATCATCGCTAGACTATGGACCAGAGTAAGGCTGGGTCTTTATTTTTATTTTTTCAATATATAAAAGTATTCATAGTGGATGCTGCATACATACCTCTCTTTAGTTCTTAATTATTAGTTACGTAAGAGCATACTACTTGATGTGCACAGGATTTAATTAACAGAACAGATGGCTGCTGGTCAGAATATTCCTTCATCTTCATCAGTGCCTTGACTTTCTTCAAAATCCACTTCTTTCATCATGGTGGCAAAAGCTTTCTAACATGGAACAGCTGAAAATAGATTTTTCTTCACTAGTTTCTTCATACTTTAAATGACAGAAGTGAGAGAGTGAGGGGTGTGTGTGTGTGTGTGTGTGTGTATTGTGTCCTACGTATAAAGACCAGCAAGAGAATAAAAAAAGAAATATAGTGAAATTTAAATAGCAAAAAAAAAAAAAAAAAATTGAATGAGAAAGTGGGATAACTGCACAGTCTTCTGAGTCCTGAGTTTTGCTTTCTTCTTTTTTAACAGGCACGGTGATTTTTCTGACAAGATATATGGCACTAGATATCCACGGCAATCTCAGTATCTGCCACCTTGTGATTTCTTTCCCCCTCAACTTTGTGCTGAGAATGGGAGAAAAGGAATGAGTAAAGGGAAAAATGGGAGAAAGGAGGAAGGGAAGGAGGGAGGGGTGAGAGATGGCAGGAGGTCTTGAAAATTGTTATGCAGGGTGTCTGTTCATTAAAATAGGAGCTACGGCCTCAGCTCCTGCCGTGGGTGCAATTTTATTTCACCAGGATGCAATTGTCACTCTATATGTTTCCATCAAGAAAAGAAAGACAGAAACATGTTTTTTTTTGTTGTTGTTGTTTTCTTAAAGTCCCTTTTGCAAGCAGAAAAGACAGTTTATTGGTGGAGGCGTGGCATGCATGCCTGTGAAGTTTGCAATATGGAGATGCCGGCAGGTAAGATTGTGTTTCTCATGGCAATGTAAGAAGGTGGAGGGCCCTCGGCAGGCCCGTGGGAAAGTGCATCAGCCACAAGGCCTTAGGGGACCCCTGAGAGGAGGAGACCTCTGGGAATGAAGAGCTTTACCCCTGCAGGGTGAGAAGTGGGTCGGGCAAAGAAACCAGGCTGCCATTTTGCAGCTGTTAAGCCTAAATCATATCTCTTGTTTCAAGTTGACTCTTTCTGAGTGCTTCCGTGTGCCAAGCACATTGCAGGTATTAGGAACTGAATCTTCCTATAAAATCCAGGAGGTGGGGGGCATCATCATGCTGCCATAAATGACAACAGAGGCATGGTGAGGTAAGCGGCCTGCCTAAATCACACAGTGTGGCTCCCGGTCAAAGAGGAGAGTGAGGGATGGGGGATGTCAGGGCTAGGACTTTAGAAGGTACACAGTGAATGTTGGTGAAAAAAGTGGGTGAATTTACTTCCCTTCTCACAGCCCTATGAATACCCAAACTCCTCTCTCCTTCAATCCTCCCAAACTCCTCTAACCTTCAATCACCTCTGATTCTAAAACCCATAGATTTTAGGATTAGAAATGCAAGCTCTTAATATTCTTCAAGACCATGCTCTGATGTTATCAGCTTCTACCATAGAATCAGGAGCCCTTTCCTCTGAAAATATGTCCATGCTTATGGTAACCCTTACCCGATTTTATTTTACTTATTTGTTTTTAGGTTTGTCTTTCCTGCTAGACTATTAAGTTTCCTGACGGCAGAGACCAAGAATGTATTCACTTATGCATTTATTGCTTTCATTTCTCATTCATTCATTCATTCAACAAATACTTCCTAAGGACTTACTGTGCACTGGGTTTGGCACTGAGGATGATACAAAGATAGAAGATGCAGCCTCTGCTTTCCAATTGCTTACAGCCTGGTGGGAAACAGACTAGTGGCATAACTGAATGAATGACTTCCTGAATGAATGACAACAATATAAAATCTGATATACTTTAGAGGGAAGATTGGCCAACTTTCTATCTAAAGGACCAGATAGTAAATATTTTAGGCCTTGCAGGCCATACAGAGTCCATGGCAACTGCTCAATTTTGCCATTGTAGTACAAAAACATCCTCAGATAGCACGCAATATGAATAGGGGTGACAATTTCGATACAGCTTTATTTACAAAAACAGGCAGTAGCCCAGGCCTGAAAACCACAGTCCCCTGGGCTTGGCATAGACTTAATCCAATTGAAGATCAAGATAAATATTATTCCCCAGTCCATCTGCAGGAGCTGCAGCAAAGGTCAGAGGGAGTTGGTTGGGGGTTGGTTGCCCTAAGATCGTCATATGACTAAGGGGCAGGTAGACCTATTTGTCACTGAGTACTTGGAAGGGAAGAAATGGTGTGGATTGATGCAAAGGAATTTCACCTGTTCACAGACTTCAGTTCTTTGCTCTCCCTGGGCTCAGACAGTCCTGAGAAAACTTGCAGGAAGGCTCATTCATTTGGCAAGGCCAGAGGGCGAGGCAGGCGTGGGTAGGGAGTGCCGAGCCAGACCAGCCAGCAAGCCCAGATCCTGCGTGTCTATCAATGTCCCTGTGAGAGCATGCCATTAGGCTGCAGTAAAAACCTGGGGATGCATCATGCCCTTGTCTGCTCCCAACACACCCTTCCTTTTGCTGGCACGTTTCCAGAGGAGGATCCAGCATCTTGAAGCCTGGACGAGTTTGGTCAGTCTCGGCTGGGTGGTCAGGGCTCTCACTGAAGGGGTCGTAGCCTGCTTCTCCATCACTGTTCTCTATCTACTTGGTCATTGTCCCCACATGCATGTCCACACTTTTAGGACTCCAGATGGGGCAAAGGGACATTGTGTGCTACAATGTGGGACATCCATGGGCCTGGAAAAAGGCTGACCCATTTTAATGAGTACAGGTATTCCAGATGCAGAAGCAGGTGCCTTCACTTCCTTCACAGTCCTAGGTACTGTGTCTCCATTCCACAGAGGAGGCTAATGAGAGTCAGAGGTAAGACAGTGTGCCGAATGTCTAGGTAATCCACATGCTGTGACTACAAAGTTGATACATACCCAGAGTCAGCGACCATTAATGTCCATTCCAGCAGGTACAGCTTAACCACGTTTCAGGTCTCTGTTCAAAGATCACCTCTTTCCTGAAGCCCTCACCAATTGTCTCCATATGCCCACACTTCTTCTCATCTGAGTGCCCAAATGACTGTCTGTACCTCTCATGTGTGCGCAGTCATCATCTATCTTGTGTTCCAGGTAGTCGTGTATGAGCCACCTCTCAAACAGGCTGTGAGTGATCCAGGTGCAGGGGACCTGCTGGAGTGAAGCTTTTGGCATGATGTAAGCATCCAATGTGCGCGTGTAGAATTAAGTGAATAGAAGAAGAAATGAATTAGATAAATATAAAGACCAAGTAGATAATGGTCTCCAAGTCCCCAAGTATCCCCTTCTCCTGTAAAAAGAAACTGATTCCATTTAGAAGAAGAAGGAAGAAGGCTCATAACAGGATGAATCAGATGGGGATGTGGGGCTTGAAGGAAGCAATGACACAACTGGGTTCGAATCCCACTCGGGCCCCGGCCAGTGGCATGTGTGTGAGCATGGGTGTTCTCCCAATCTCCCTAAATTCTCTTTCTTCATATCCTTGTCACCTGGGATGTTTGGAGGGATGCTGTGCCAACAAAATTAGCCTGATGAACATAAGTGCTGGTCTGATAAATAATCAATAATTCATGGGATTCTGGGTTTGTCTTGGTGGCTTGTGGATCTTAGACTGCAAGCTCCATGACAGTAGGAAACGTGCACACTTTGCTCATTTCTACATTCCAGAACCCAGCAGAGTTCCCAGCACTTATAAAGTAGGGCTAAGTAGATACTTATCTTGAATAAAGGAATGAATAAGCTGCTTGTTTGTACTTTTCAGAGTCATGGCCTGCCTCGATGAGGACTTGGTTGGGTGTTCATCCCACCTGCATCCTAGGCAGGCTATATGGTCTCTTGCTGCCCAGCCTGGCCCCCTAAGGTGGGAGGGTCACAGAGGCAACCCTAGGAGAGTGGTGGGCTGAGCCTGTGCAACTCCTGCCTCCCTGAGAGGCCCTCCCCAGACTGTGGGAACACTGCTGAGGACCTCAGGGAAGGCATCCTGGAATGGTGGCTGTCTCAGGCTGACTGCCTGAGGGCCAGGGCTCTGCCAACTCTCATGTCAGACTTGCCTACACAGGCTGGCACCTTCCAGAGCTAACACTGAGCCCATCTTCCTCAGGGCTCGCACAGGGCACCTTATCCTCTTGATTGGCTGGGTCTTGCACCTTTTAAGAGGGCAGATTTTGAGCATGTTCTCTACCACACCCTTTTCCACCCCCTTCGTGCATGGGGAATGAGCTGATAGAGGCCTCCCTTTGATGGAACTCGGGTGGGAATCAGATGGGAACTGAGCCCAAGGAGATTAGGCCCCAACAGGGTGGATTAATCATTCCAGCCATCACCCTAGCAAGGGCAGCATGACTCACAGTGAGCAAACCATATTGCCGATGGCAAATTGGAGGACCTTTGTCGCTACAGGACCAAATCTCCCTACTCTTACACACGAGATGTGTGTGCTCTTTGGTCTTGGAATTTGTTTACCACCTTTCCAGCTGGAGCAATACTGGGCAAGGAGCAGGCATCCTGTGAATTTACTGAATGAATCTGCAACTATGTTTTGGGTTTGATTTTAAGATTATGCACACTTGTGGACCTATCGCAAACAGACTAAGAACTGAGCCTAATGACATAAATTTTCCATCACTACTCAAAGTCATAAAGTACTAACTGATTGAGAAACATTCCTTATGGGCTCACTAGCTGAGTTTCTTGACCTTGGCACTATGGAAATTTAGGGCTTGTCTAAGTCTATTTGGGCTATTATAACAAATATACATCTTGTTTGGATGGCAAGAAAAAACATTTCTTGCTCACAGTTCTGGAGGTTGAGAAGTCCAAGATCAATGTGCTGGCAAATCTGGTGTTTAGTGAGGGCTGGCTTCCTGGTATGCAGACATAGGAGAAGGGGGGGTGGGTGGGGGGAGAGACAGAGAGAGAGAACGATTTTATGTCTCTTCTTATAAAGGCACTAATGCCATTCATGAGGGTTCCACCCTCTCAACCTAATTACCTTCCAAAGGTCCCACTGGCTAATACCATCACATTGAGGGGTTAGGGGTTTAACATATGGATTTGGGGGCACACAAACTTTCAATCTGCAAAATTCATCAGCATCCCTAGTTTCTACCCACTAGATTCCAGTAGTACCATCTTCACCTTCCCACTTGTGATAATCAAAAATGTCTCCAGAAATATCTTATAAAATGTCCCTTGGAGGGCAAAATATTGAGAAGCACTCCTCTGGGAAAGGTTTCTGAACTCCTCAAGAAAGAGGCACTAATTTTGCACCCTGTATCTTTTGGAATGTGTCATGTCCTACCAGGTCTCGAACTTTCCTTAGGGCTGAGATGGATACTCAATGGAATCAGTCCATCTTGTCCCTAAATTGAGACACATAGATTTAAGAGACAGAATACATCCTCTCTCACCCCTGAACACCAACCCCTCCAGCCATTGTTTCTGCATGTATTGCCCTTCAAATTTTTCTCTTTGCTGCCTCTCTGAATCCTTGTCTGTGGAAGTCCTGCTAATTCACTAAGGTCCAGCTTCAATCTCATCTCTTACATCAGATAGTTACCAATCCTGGTGAAATGTGCTTTGCTATGATCTGGATGTCTGTGTGCCTCCAAATTTATATGTTGAAACTTTAATCTCCAAGGTGATAGTTTTAGGAGGTGGGCCTTTTATGTCATGCAGCAATGCCCTCATAAATAAGATTAGTGCCTTTATAAAAGAGCCCCTAGAGACCTGCCTTGCCCCTTCAACCACATGAGTGCTTCATGAGAAATCATCATCTATGATCCAGGAAATGGCCCCTCATTAGACACCAAATCCGTTGTCACCTTGATCTTGGGCTTCCAAGCCCCTAGAGCTGTGAGAAATAAATTTTTGTTGCTTATAAGCTATTGTTTATGGCATTTTGTTAAAGAAAGCCAAATAGAGTAAGACAAAAACTGGTACTGAGAAATGGGTAAGCTGCTGTAACCAATACCTAAAAATAGATAATTGCCTTTGGAATTAAAAGAGTTGTGAAGTGCCTACTAAAAAAAGCCTACATTCTTAAGAACAGACTATTAAGGATGATCCTGGTGAGTGCTCAAAAGGAGAAGAGAAGAGCTTTAGAGAAAGCCTCAAGCTTCTTAGAGAATACCTAAGTGGTGGTTAACAGAATGGTGGTAGAAACATAGATGGTACAGATCGTTCTGATTAGGTCTCAGACCAAAAGGAGGAAAACATTATTGGACAATAGAGAAAATCATCCTTGTGAAAAAGTGGCAAAGAAATTGGCTGTATTATATTTGCATCTTAGTGTTTTGTGGAAGATAGAATTTGTGAACAATAAATTTGGAAATTTGGCAAAAGAAATTTCTAAGCAAAATGTTGAAGGTGTGACATGGCTTCTCTTGACTGCTTATCCTAAGATGTGAGAAGGTAGAAACAACTTAAAAATAACATTTTTAATCAAAAGAGAAGTACAACTTAAAGGTTTGAAAAATTATCAGTCTGTCCCCATTGTAAAATTAAGAAAGCATGCTCTGGAGAGGACACCAAGGATGTGTCCAGGTGACCATTTGATAAGAAGATTAGTATGAATCAGCTAGGTGCTATTCATTAAGAAAATGGAAAAATGACATGAAGGCATTTTGTCGATTATTGTTGCTGCTTTTACTAACACAAGCCTAAAGTGCAAAGGCCTTAGAGGCAATTCGATTTAAGAGGAAGAGCCAAGGATGCCTGCAGGACATCAGCTTCCCAGGGCCACCTAAATACTTTGCTTCCTGCATTTTGGTGTAGTGCTCCTTGGATGACCCAGGTGTGGATCCAGTCAGCCCAGGTGTGGTACAGGCCACTGTGGCTGCCTCACCCGAGGGTACAGGCAGTAAACCTTGGAGGCAAACCTTGGCAATGTCCATGTTTTGCCATATTCATCAGTGTATAGAGTGCATGAGCTGCAGGGGTACGGCTACCTCCACTTAAATTTTAAAGAATGAAGCTGCCTAGAGCCTGGGGCACATGACCCAGGCATAGGACCATTGCAGAGACAGAGTCACTAAAGGGTCCCCACCAGGGCAGTGCCTAATAGAGATCTGGGGTGTAGCTGTCCCAGGACTCTAGACCAGTGGAGCTACTTGTCTGTGATTCTAGACTGTGGGAGCCACAAGCATGTGACTTCAACACATGAGAACTGCAGCATGGGCTATACTCAGCAAAACTGTTGGGGTGAGGTACACTAAAGCCATGGGAGCAGGACCACCAGGAGTGTTGGGGACCCAACCCCTGCCTTAATGTTCCTGGAAGGTGGGAACTCTGACCAGCGGGCCTGAAGGGCAGAGCGTTGAGTCAAAGAAGATTATTCTGGAGGCTTAAGATTTAATGCTGTTTGCCCTGTTGGGTTTTGAAATCTTTGTGGAAACTGTAGTCCCTTTCTTCTTTCCTGTTTCTCTGTTTTGGAATGGAAATGTCTATCTTATTCCTGTTCCACTATTGGAGTTTGGAAGCACATAACTTATTTGATTTCACAGGTTCACAGCTGGAGAGCAATTTGCCTCAGGATAAATTCTACCTTGAGTCTCATCCATATCTAATTTAGATAATATTTAGATGAGACGCTGGAATTAGGCTTTACAGTTGATACTGGAATGAGTTAAAAATTTTGAGGCCATTGGGAGGGAATAATGTATTTTGCCTATGAGAAGGACATAAATTTGAGTGGGGGGCTGGGGCAGAATGCTATGATCTGAATACTTGTGTTCCCCCAAAATTTATATGTTGCAATTCTACCCCAAAGTGGGACCTTTATGGAGATGATTTAAATATAGGCCTCTGTTTCACTAAAACGTATGTCAGTATGATTAAAAAAATGCTATGTATCTCATAGAATGTGATTCTGCCCTCATGAACGAAATTTGTGTCCTTATAAATATGCCCAAGGGACCTGGTTTATCCCTTTCACCATGTGAGGACAGAGCAAGAAGGTGGCCACTGCAACTCAGGAAAGGCAGTCTCATCAGACCTTGAATCTGCAGGTGCCTTGATCTTGGACTTCTCAACCTCCCGAACCATAAGAAATTAATTTCTGTAGTTTATAAGCTCCCCAGTTTATGATATTTTGTTATAGTAGCCCAAATGGACTAAAACATTACCTCTTCTGTATTCTCTAGTTGTCTTAAAAAATTCATTTTACCATTGATCTCAGTCTCTGTTCTAGCAGTTCTTATTGAATATGAGACAAGAATTTTTGTATTGAGATTCAGCATGTCATATTTATTAAACTTATGAACCATGGAGGTGAACTGCTCTGAGCATAAGTTCCCTCTTCAGAATTTATGACATGTGCAACTCTGAGAACATTGTTTAAACTCTCTAAGCCTCAGTTTACTCACATGTAAAATGAAAGCTCATAAGAATAAATACCAACTTCACATGCTTTTGTCCCTTAAAGAGATGGTATGTGGACATTGTTTAGTTGATATTCACTATCATTAAGACATAGCTGCCTGTTATAGTAGATTATGAAACCCTGGAGATCAAGGGATTTGTATTAGTCTAGCATAGTGTCTGGCACATAGTAGGTATCCAATAATATGTATAAAATTGAATTACAAATCTTTCTCAGGTTTAAATATTAGGTTGGTGCAAAAATCATTATAACTAGGCTCAAATACATCTTTATTAATCAAAGTAAGAACCTTACAATCAACACATTTTTGCCAATGAGAAATAAGTTTGTTTACTCCTGTAGGGTAAAAATCTGAGCTTCAGGATTCAATGAACTCTTGGAAAGCATTTTCTGCATCCTGCTGGTTGTGGAAATGTTTTCCCTGCAAAAAGTTTTCAAGATATTCGAAGTAGTGGTAGTCAGTTGCTGGGAGGCCAGGTGAACATGGCAGATGAGGCAAAATTTTGTAGCCCAATTTGTTCAACTTTTGAAACTTTGTGCAATGTGCCATTGGGTGTTGTCGTGGAGAAGAATTGGGTCCTTTCTGTTGACCAAAGCTGGCTGCAGGCATTGCAGTTTTTGATGCATCTCATCAATTTGCTGAGCATACTTCTCAGATGTAATGGTTTTGCTGGGATTCAGAAAACTGCAGTGGATCAGACCAGCAGCAGACCACCAAATAGTGACCATGACCTGTTTTTGGTGCAAGTTTGGCTTTGAGAAGTGCTTTGGAGCTTCTTCTCAGTCCAACCACTGAGCTGGTCATTGCTGGTTGTCATATAAAATCCACTTTTTGTCATATGTCAATCTGATCCAGAAATTGTTCGTTGTTGCATAGAAAAAGAGAAGATGACACTTCAAAACAATGACTTTCTTTTTAAATTTTTGCTCAGCTTATGAGGCATCCTCTTATCAAGCTTTTTGCCTTTCCAATTTGCTTCAAATTACAAACGACTGTAGAATGGTCGATGTGGAGTTATTTGGCCACTTCTCACGTAGTTGTAACAAGAGGATCAGCTTTGATGATTGCTCTCAATTGGTGGTTGTCAACTTCTGATGGCCGATTGCTACATTCCTCATCTTCAAGGCTCTCTTCTCCTTTGCAAAACTTCTTGAACCACCACTGCAGTGTAAGTTCGTTAGCAGCTCCTGGGCCAAATGTGTTGTTGATGTTGCGAGTTGTCTCTGATGCTTTACAATCCATTTTGAACTTGAATAAGAAAATTGGCCAGGCATAGTGGCTCATGCCTGTAATCCCAGCACTTTGGGAGGCTGAGGTGGGCAGATCACTTGAGGCCAGAAGTTCGAGACTAGCCTGGCCAACATGGTGAAACCTCGTCTCTACTAAAAATACAAAAATTAGCCGGGCATGGGGGTGCACACCTGTAATCCCAGTTACTCGGGAGGCTGAGGTAGGAGAATCACTTGGACCCGGGAAGCAGAGGTTGCCGAAATCACACCACTGCACTCCAGCCTGGGTGACAGAGCCAGACTCAGTATCAAAAAAAAAAAAAAACAAAAAAAACTTGAATTTGCTTTTTGTCTAACATTATTCCCATAGTCTAAAATAAATATAAAATAAGGAGCAAGTAATACGTCATTAGTGAAAAAACATGAAGTGAGAAATGTCCATTAAAATGATGTATAGCATAACTACATTCATGTAAGAGTGTATTCCAATATCTAATGGCAAATTTCAACAATGCAAAAACCACAACTACTTTTGCACAATATGACCCTGTTTCGCTAACATGTTTGTAACTGGAAGGAAAATGCTACCTACCTCACAGAACCACTCTGAGAATGGATGAAATAAGGTGTATTGTGGAAACAAATCAGCGATGGCCCCCAAGCCCCCAGCCCTCTGGTGCACATTTTCTGGCTAGCTCCTCCTTTCAATTAAATTACATTTTATGGAAAAAGGAGCTTTACAGATGACACTGATATCCCTCATCACTTGTATTAAATTAATCAAGAGGGATATTATCATGGGTGGGGCTGACCTGACCAGGGGAGCCCTTGAAAGAGACAGGAAGCAGCGGCAGACACTCTCCTGTTGGTCTTGAAGAAAACAGTCACATTGTGAACTGGCCATGAAGGGGGCCTTTTGGCAGGGATCTGGGAGTGGCCTCTATGAGCTGAGTGGTTCTTTGCTGGCAGCAAGCAAGAAAACAAACAAGGACCTCAATCCTTTAGATGCAAGATACTGAATTCTACCAATAACCATGTGAACCTGGGAGAAAATCCAGCCTCAACTGAGACTTTGGCCAGCAGACTGTATTAAAATGTACCCACAGGATTTTGATTTTGGGAGGTAATTAAATGATGACATGGAGAGCCTGATGCCATTGAAAGAAGAATTTACTACTTACATTTCCCAAGAGAAGGAGGCTTGCCACACCACAAGCCAAGTGGGGAAGCACCAGATTTGGTCAGGAAGCAGAAGGAGGAGCGAGGCAAAAGCTTAGACCACAGCCTCTGTTAGGACAGTGGTAGATAGTTGTTAGATGGCAATGTCCCCTATTGGGCAGAACTCAAAACACAGATGCTGTGGTTTATGTTGAGAGGGTTGTAATACTATTTTCATTCATCTGCAAAAACTGGATCACGGGGAAGATGTAAGTAACTTTGCCCATTAATTTGATTTTATGATTTTAATGGATGCTGATACGGTTTGACTGTGTCCCCACCCAAATCTCAATTTAAATTGTATCTCCCAGAATTTTCATGTGTTGTGGGAGGGACCCAGGGGGATGTAATTGAATGATGAGGGCTGATCTTTCCTGTGCTATTCTTGTGATAGTGAATAAGTCTCATGAGATCCAATGGGTTCATCAGGGGTTTCCACTTTTGCTTCTCTCTCATTTTCTCTTGCCACTGCCATGTAAGAAGGGCCTTTCACCTCTCACCATGATTCTGAGGCCTTCCCAGCCATGTGGAACCTCTTTTTCTTCCTAGTCTCAGGTATGTCTTTATCAACTGCCTGAAAATGAACTAATACAGTAAATTGGTACCAGTAAAGTGGGGCACTGCTGAAAAGATACTCAAAAATGTGGAAGTTACTTCGGAACTGGGTAGCAGGCAGAGGTTGGAACAGTTTGGAGGGCTCAAAAGAAGACAGGAAAATGTGGAAAAGTTTAGAACCTCCTAGAGACTTGTTGAATGGCTTTCACAAAAATACTAATAGTGATATGAACAATAAGGTCCAGGCTGAGGTGGTCTCAGATGGAGATGAGGAACTTGTCGAGAACTGGAGCAAAGGTGACTCTTGTCATGTTTTAGCAAAGAGACTGGCAGCATTTTTCCCCTGCCCTAGAGATTTGAACTTGAGAGAGGTAACTTAGGGTATCTGGTGGAAGAAATTTCTAAGCAGCAAAGCATTCCAAAGGTGACGTGGGTGCTATTAAAAGCATTCTGTTTTAAAAGGGAAACAGAGCATAAAAGTTCAGAAAATTTGCAGGCTGACGATGCAGTAGAAAACAAAAACTCATTTTTTGAGGAGAAATTCAAGCCAGCTGAAGAAATTTGCATAAGTAGCAAGGAGCCTAATGTTAATCCCCAAGACAATGGGGAAAATATCTCCAGGCCGTGTCAGAGAACTTCATGGCAGTCCCTTCCATCACAGGCCCAGAGGCCCAGGAGGAAAAAGTGGTTTTGTGGGTGAGGCCCAGGGTCCCCTTCCTATGTTCAGCCTAGGGACTTGGTCCCCTGTTGTAGCCACTTCAGCTGTGGCTGAAAGGGGCCAATGTAGAGCTTGGTCTGTAGCTTCAGAGGGTGGAAGCCCCGGGCTTTGGCAGCTTCCACATGGTGTTGAGCTTGCGTGTGCACAGAAGTCAAGAATGGAGGTTTTGGAACCTCTGCCTAGATTTCAGAAGATGCATGGAAACGCCTATATGCGCAGGCAAAAGTTTGCTGCAGAGGTGGGGCCCTTATGGAGAACCTCTGCTAGGGTAGTGCAAAAGGGAAATGTGGAGTCAGAGCCCCTACACAGAGTCCCTACTGGAGCACTGCCTAGTGGAGCTGTGAGAAGAGGGCCACCATCCTCCAGACCCCAGAATGGTGGATCCACTGACAGCTTGTACCATGCACTTGGAGTAACCGCAGACACTCAACACAAGCCTGTGAAAGCAGCCAGGAGGGATGCTGTACCCCGTAAAGCCACAGGGGTGGAGCTGCCCAAGACCATGGAAACTCACCTTTTGCATCAGCATGACCTAGACGTGAGACCTGGAATAAAGGAGATCATTTTGGAACTTTAACATTTAACTGCCCTGCTAAATTTTGGATTTGCATGGGCCCTGTAACCCCTTTGTTTTGGCCAATGTCTTCCATTTGGAATGGCTATATTTACCCAATACCTGTACCCTCATTGTATCTAGGAAGTAACTAGCTTGCTTTTGATTTTACAGGCTCATAGGCAGAAGGGACTTGCCTTATCTCAGATGAGACTTTGGACTGTGGACTTTTGCTGAAATGAGTTAAGACTTTGAGGAATTTTTGGGAAGGCATGAGTGGTTTTTAAACGCAAGAACATGAGATTTGGAGGAGCCGGGGGTGGAATGATATGGTTTGGCTGTGTCCCCACCCAAATCTCAACTTGAATTTTATCTCTCAGAATTCCCACGTGTTGTGGGAGGGATCCAGGGGGAAGCAATTGAATCTTGAGGGCTGGTTTTTCCTGTGCTATTCTCATTATAGTGAATAAGTCTCATGAGATCTGATGGATTTATCAGGGGTTTCCACTTTTGCTTCTCTCTCATTTTCTCTTGCCGCCACCATGTAAGAAGTGCCTTTCACCTCCTGCTATGATTCTGGGGCCTCTCCAGCCATGCAGAACTCTAAGTCCAATTAAACTTCTTTTTCTTCCCAGTCTTGAGTATGTCTTTATCAGCTGTGTGAAAATGGACTAATATAGATGCCAAATAAACATACTATTTATGGCAACAGAAAACTGAAATCTTGATTTCAGCATATGCTATCCTGAGTGGAGAGCTTAGCTGCACTGTGCCTGGACCCCTGGCCTACTGAAGCTGTGAGATAATAAATAGGAATTGTAAGCCACTATGTTTGTGGCCATTTGTTACACAGCCATAGAAAACCAATACATGTACATAGAGCTGACCTATCCCCAGCATAGACTAAGTGTGCAATGAATGATCTTTTTTTTTTTTTTTTTTTTGCCTTCCTCTTCTTCCTCTGTCTTCTTTTTACAGAAAATGCAAAGCTTACTCTACAAACTCACATGGGGGTAGAATACAGCTATACATATTTTTTTCCTCCTAAGACTAATTTCTCTTTTGGGCAATTCAATTTCAGTCAATGTAGAGAGCCTCTCTTCCTTCCAGCCTCTGTTCTTTCTCAGGTTTGGATGTTCTCCTTGCATCTTACTTGATTCCATGGATGGGTTCTACCTCTTGTCCACTCAGTTTCAGGGGAATCTTTCTGTGGTCAGGCTGAGTGCAGAGAGTTGGTGAGGCTGACCAGGGCCCTCAATGAAGGCCTAGATATTCCACGAAGCCGTTTATTCTCTGGAGTTCCACATTTCCCTGGAGTTCCACATAGAAAACAGGCCCAACTTGTCTCTATTTTCAGATTCCATAAACCTAGGTGGGGGTTGGAGGCATAGTCCCTTTTCTTGTTTTTGTTTGTTTGATTGTTTTAACAAACATTTTATTCTGGAATAATTTTAGTTTTATAGAAAAGTTGCAAAGATAATATGGAGAATTCCCATATACCCTTTGCCAAGTATAACTTTCCCTTAATGTTACATTTCTCTAGTCTATTTTTCAGAAGTAAGACACTAACATTGGTAAATTACTATTACCAAAACTCTAGACTTTACTTGAATTTCATCAAGCTTTTCTTTAATGTCTTTTTGTTGTTGTTGCAGAATTCAATCCACGTTACTCCATTGCCATTTGTTACCACGTCCTTCAGTCTCCTCAATCTCTCAGTCCCCTTATTTTTCGTGACCTTGACAACTTTGAGGAGGACTCATCAGGTATGTTGTAGAATGCACCTCAGTCATGGTTTGTGTGAGATTTTCTCATGATTAGACTGGGCCTATGGATTTTTGGAGAGGAGACAACAAAACTTAAGTGCCCTTTTTATCCCATCAGAGCATGGGGCACATGGTATCTACATGGCATCACGGATGGTGCTGACCTTAATCACATTGTCAAGGTACTGTTTGCACTAAATAAAAAGCAGTGTCCACATCTTTATCTCTCCCTCGCATCATCCTTCCTTCCTTCTCCCCTTAGGCTGAGGTCAGGAGACAAAAGAGGGAGAGTTGTAACTTCTTCAACCCTTCATGCTTTTGTTTATTTCACTGTTTCCCTAAGGATCTGGGCTTTTGGAAGACAAAAGCCAGAGAAATACAAGCAGCATATTATATTCTGGCCTTGATGTTCTCTACCTCTGAGGCAATGAGCACAAGAAAAGTCTGGCTGTTCAAAGAGGGTTGGGGAAAGAATTTTCAGGAAAAAAAAAATTTTTAGTTTATATTTCAGAAATATTATTCTGCCACATTTTGCTTGAAGCTCAGCCCAGGGTTTCCACTGCAGCTGCAGTTTCAAATATACTGCCCCATTATCTCTAGAAGGTTTTTTTCACTTATTAGACATGCTACCCAAAGTTCTATTGTGCAACAGAGTTAAAGGGCCTGGAGCCCTTGCAAAATTTAGGACGTATGGAAAAAGCCAAGGTTACAGCTGACACCATCCTTAAATATTGGCTCAACAGACAACTTGCCTTGAGATACATGAAGAGGAGTTAACTGCACTTAAGTAAAAATTCAGAATTTGGGCAAAAACACATTCAGAAAGAACATGTTGGAGATATGGTTGTATGCAGACAAAATGATTCTAAAACACTTATTTCCCAAATTTCTTATTTGAGAGCCAGTTTGACTAATTTTGGGAAGAATCTATAGTGTGCACTAAGTTCCTTCCATTTTCCTACTGGCCTGATAGAACCTTCCTGATTCTTCGTTGACCCTGCAGCTCTAGCTACAGTGATTGGCTAAATGGTGGGCACCTGACTGGAGTTGGACTAATCATAGCTCCTCACATCCCTGGCCATCTGATTGGTTGCTTGTGAACACATGACTCAGACTGGGCCGATCCGAACCCCAGTTGAGCATGGGGCATGTAAGTAGGAGGAAGGGAGAGAGGGAAAGGACTCTGATCTCTAAACAGTGAGGATCTGAGCCCAGGAGTTGCTGGTAGCCATGGTTTCAACCTCATAGAAACAGATATTCTAAGGCCGTGAAGTTAATGTGTGGGGAGAATCAGGTAGAGATAATTCTGATGCCCTCCCCACCCTTATTATGCCTGTACCCATGGACACCCTACATTTGGATTATGAGCCACTGATCCTCCTTTCTGCCCAAGTGAGTCTGTGTTACTTTTCTCTTGCTTAAAAACAAAGTCAGTCTTGACTAAGAAAGAGTTATGTCTCACAATCAGGGCAGTGCAAGGCAGGGGAAGAAGAGAAAGCTCTAAATGCCCCACCTCAGAGAGTCTTGGGTTCAAATGTGATTCCCTGATGCTCCATTGATTATCTGTGCGATCTTGGGCAAGATACTCAACCTCTCTGGGCATTAGTTTCTTCATCTACACAGTGGGAAAATTAGGAGAATAAATAGTCTTCTGAATCTGTAGGATGTGGATTGGTAATTTTTTTCCTCTCCCTCATCACTATTCAGAAACATTGCCTTACATCCAGTTTATTAAGTCCATACTGCATAATTATTTTTGTTTGAAATTCTTCATTCCACCAACATACATTGGAGTTGCTCTATCATGGTGTCTTCTCCCCTGATGAAGGCATGTGTTCCAGGGGTGAGCAGGTGATGCAAGATAGGACAATCTATGTTCATTTCAGGGTTTTTCCTAGAGGAAAAGAGGGCTTTCCTTTTGGGACATGGAGCAGTTATCTCCCCTGATACGTGGAGGAAGTCTGTATCCAATAGGAGAGAAGGCGCTGAGCAGTGAGAAACAAAGGAAAGAAGGATGGCAAGATAAAATGAATTTGGTGACATGGAATATTGATGTGACTGAATCCACCTTAATGCTGAGCCAATAACATACTAAATCTATACATTTTTTTTTTCTAAAAGCTACTTCATATTGGGTTTCTGTTACTTGCACCTAAAGAAGTCCTAATAACAGCATATTTTATTCCTGCCTTGAACATATTTTCTGATGTGTCCAGAACAGTCTCATTTTATGTCTGTTATTCTGGTGTAGTTAATAATAATAACTAACTTAACTCCCAAAAGTACCCTGGTTTGGTTGATAAATTTCATATTACTTAACCCAATGTACTTGCCCCAAAACAAGTGTTCATGAGGGCAGGGAGAGCCACTTATTTGGAGAAAAGCAAAGGTGGAAGAAGATCAGGAGAACCAATAGGAATATTTTTATTGTGGGTTTTTCTATGTGTCTTTTATTTTTTATGGCTTCTTTCTGTGCATGGAACAAGGTGTTATTTTTTGTCTCCCAGTGGTGAAAATAATTCCAAACAAAAATGATAAATACCAGACTCAAATTGGAAGTGAAAGGATCCAGAAGATGGTACTTGCTGAGAGTAATGGAACAGGGATGGTGCCACAAGAGTTCTTGGGGAAGTTTTGAAGAAAGCAAAGATGTTTTGGGGACATATGCAGTCTGCAGTCCTCCACAGAGACTGGAGCCCAGCATTTTGAAAAGAATGCCAATTGGAAGAATTTGGAATAAAGAATTACTCAGAAATAGAAACTGTTTTGGCAGGGTTGAAATGTTATATCAGTACAGAATGATTTCAAATTAATGGGCAGAATTCAATTTTGTTCATATGCATGCTCCAGTTTGGGAAGGGAATCAAGTGGAAGGGATATATGGGGGCTTTGAGAGACATTGAGTTCTTAGACAGTTCTTCCTTCCCACAAGTTAGAATTTAGAGACGAGTGTGGCCAAACACTGTGGGTGTGGTAAAAGTATGTGTGAGTTCAGACAATGGCAGTGACTGGCAGGGATGCTCTTGACCAGGACTAGGTCTATTACTTGAGATAATATAAAGTCTGAATTATTTCCCAGCCCATGTCATAATATCGTGGGGCTTAGACCCTTCTAAGGCTGCTTACCTTGCCAGGGAAGTGCACTTCCCCCTTGTAAGTATGAGATGGCAATGAGAATCCTGTGTGTGTCTGTATTTATCTGTATCTATATCCAGGTCTATATTATCGGATAATATGCCTACACATTCAGACACACATAGAGCCCCCAGTTCTGTTCCCCAAGCACTTACTAAGGACCCACTCTGTGCTGGAGTCTCTGCTATGTTTTGGGGATATAGTGAGGGAAATGTCTTACAGTCTCCTTCATGTGTTTACTATTTATTAATGCCAAATAGAGAAATAAAAATGCTGTCACATTTACAGAGCCCTTTGGCATTTGTGAAACACATTCACATCAAACAGCGCTGTGAATACAGCAAGAGCCATTCCCCTTATTCTACAGATGGTGAAGTCAACTCAGAAAGACCAAGTGACAAGTTCAAGGTCACACAGCCAAGACTAATCCACAACTCTGCCTCCTACATCTTCTTAAGTCACGTTTAACTATCTCGTATTTCTGTTTGAAATATTTAATTCCAGTAAGTGGGGAATTCTGAGTGGATACCGTGAAGTAAACCCATTTTCAGGCTTTATACCACGAAAACACACATGGACAAAAAGGCAGCATAAATCTCCTTGACTTGTGATTTAATATTGGGACTCCAAGCCCCGGGGAATATTTTCATTTGATTTCTTGCTCCCTTATGCTATAAGAGAGTATTTTTAGAGGGTCAATAGCCTGGTTTAATCTATCATCTCCTTCCTTCCTTCCTTCCTTCCTTCCTTCCTTTTTTCCTTCCTTCCCTCCTTCCTTTTTTCCTTCCTCCCTTCCTCCCTCCCTTCCTTCCTTCCCTTCCTCCCTCTCTCCCTCCTTCCTTCCTTTTTTCCTTTGTTTCTCCTTCCACCTCTTCCTTCCTCCCTCTTGCCTGCCTGCCCTCCTTCATTCCTTCCTCCCTCCCTCCCTCCCTCCTTCCCTCCTTCCTTCCTTCCTTCCTCCTTTCCTTCCTTCCTTCATTTACTTGTTAACTCAACAAATACTTATGTCCATTCCTCTGTGACAGAAACTATACTAAGGGCCAATAATTCAGAGACAAATTAAATTCATTTGCTGCCCTTGAGGGGCTCACAGTCTTGTGGTGAGACAGAGCATCCACTTGGGAGACTGTGATCAACGTTCACCAAGGCTTGGACAGATAGTTAGGAGAATTGACCACATCCACTGACAGACCTCACAGAGGGAGCAGTGGGCATGGCCTTTGGGAGGAGACATTGGAAGGGCCCTCCCAGCCTGGGTAGATGTCCACACCAGCAGGCGAAGCTGCTGCAGAGTGCCCTCAAGGGAGTAATCCACTCCCAGGATGGAGGGGCAGGCCTGCCAGGAGGGCTTCAGGAAGAAGGAGTGCACGCCAGTGGCCTCTAGTCATGCAGGCCTGAACTGGCTGCTGAGATGTGCAGAATGATTCTTCCTGATCCAGTGGGCACTGGAACTTTCAGTGGGCAGGCGGGCTCTCCTGGAGAGGAGGCTGCCCTCCATCTGAAGTCCCTGCTCTGCTCTCCTCTGTCTCTCCCACGCGTCCCTTCAGGCCTTTCATGCACTACCCAAATGTCTTAGGTGGGCTGCACCTCCCTGGAATGGGCTCCGGCCTCCTCCCTTAGCCCTTGTATTAGTCAGCTCCAGCTGCCACAACAAAAGTACCACAGACTAGGGACTGAGGAAAGCATTTATTTTTCATCATTCTGGGCTGGAACTCTAAGGTCGAGGGGCTGGCCTAGTTGGTTTCTGGTGAGGGCCACTTCCTGGGTTTCAGTCTTCTTGCTGTGTTCTCATACAGGTGAAAGAGAGAGACCACCCTCCATCTCTGATGTCTCCTCTTATAAGGACACTAATCCTGTGGGACCAGGGCTCCACCCTCACAACCTCGTTTAATCTTAATTACTTCCTTACTGCACATACAGCCACACCAGGCCTCAAGGCCTCCACAGGAAAATGTTCAGGGGATCCACTTTAATTTTATTATTGTTATTATTATTATTTTTTGGGACAGGGACTCACTCTGTCACCCAGGCTGGAGTTCAGTGGTGCGATCTCAGCTCACTGCAACCTCCACCTCCTGGGTTCAAGCAATTATCGTGCCTCAGCCTCCCAAGTAGCTGGGACTACAAGTGCCTGCCACCACGCCCAGCTAATTTTTGTATTTTTTTGGTGGAGATGGGGTTTTACCACATTGGCCAGGCTGGTCTCAAACTCCTGACCTCAAGTGACCTCAAGTGATACACCTGCCTCAGCCTCCCAAAGTGCCAGAATTACAGGGATGAACCATGGCGCCCAGGGGATCCACTTTAGCCCCGAGGAGCAGCCATCTCCTCACAGCACCTGGCCCAAGCCCCTTCTCACTCCTGTCACTGCCCTTTCAGCCCCATACTCTCAGATTCAGGATTTGTGGATGGGGTCTGGTGCTGGCATTACACACACACACACACACACACACACACACACACACACACACACACACGCACAGTTGCTTGAGTGATTGTTTGATAAAACAATACACATACCTGGTACAAACTTCAAAACACATGAAAATGGGATGAACAGTAAAATGTGACTGGCTCCCCCTCACATCTCCCAGCCACCAGTTTCTTTGATACAGAGAAACTCACGGTTTCTTGTGTATCCTTCCAGAAGTGTCCTATCACTGTTCAGCCTTTCACCGAGTGGATATTTCAAGCTAGTGGCAGCACAGGGTCACACTGCTCTCCATCATGCCTTTGGTACGGATCCATCTGTCATCGAGAGCATCGCTATCTGTAAGAACAGAGCTGCCCCATTTTAATGTTCCATTCTAGGGCTATCCCAAAGGATATTTAACTAGAATACTTGTGATAGGCATGACTTTATTCCAAGTCTTGTGGAGGAAATGAATATGCAAACTCCTTTGGTAATTCTGTTGTCCACTGAAGTTCAAGAACCTCTTGCACAGTCGAATGCCAGCTCCTTCCTTTGTCTTCCTGAATTTCCCACAACCCTCCCCCTCCTCAGTTCCTACACCCAATGGCTGACTTCTACAGTCATCAAGCCCCATAGTAGCTGTGGCTTCTTCTGGCTCACTCTCCTCATCTTTGGAACAGGGGCAATGCACTGCCCACTGCTGATGAGGTTTGAAAGAACTAAATGGGTTAACATCAGCAGAGATCTCAGAACTTGGCCTTCACATAGTAAGAATTGGGCAGATGTAAGCCATTTCCCCCACTGCTATTCTTACTCCCCAGAAATGTCCCACATCCAGGAGGCTGAAAAACTGGGTACTATTTCTCTCCACCTCTTGGAAATACTGAGATAATTACATTTCTCTTGGAAAATATCAGGTGATCTGCATTCACTGGGGAAATGGTGCGTAAACTGATCTCTCTTGCCTTTGCTATGAAAGTCATTTGCAGGTAAGAACCCCAGGATTTGGAAGCAGAATTTCTGTATTGACACAACTATTGGAATTCCTTCTCCAAGATTCAGGTGGGATGGGATTCAGGAAGCAAAGCTGCCACTGCAGCTTCCTCCTTCCATAGTCCAGGTGACAGAAGCGACAGCTTTCTTCTTCCCAAAGGGGAGGAATCGCAGAGATGCCAACTCTGCCGCTATGTAGGCTTCCCTGAGCCCCAGACTCCTGAGTTTCCGGAGAGGGAGCTGCGAAATTCTGGGATCCTATTCAGAGCACTTGTGATGTGCTCAGAGATGATATTAAATGTTTTATATCATTTTGGCCATGATACAGACACATTTGCCTCTGATTCTGAAGAAGCTCAGCATTTCATTAAGTCATTCCTCACTTGATGCACCCTCCTTCCCCAACCCTCTTCTTTACAAATTAAGAAAGAAGCCAAATTTTTTTATTTCTGCAACACTGTAGGTGTGTGTCCTCCATCACTATTTCTTAACAATGTGTGCATTGAACATATAGGTGTTCTCAAGGAAATCAAATATTATACATTTTATACTTTAAAAATAAGACTCTTCTAAAACACATGGGATGCTTTGGCCAGTCTACAAATTGTAAGGCATAAACGTTAAGCCCAGGTACCCAGATGTTATAAAATACCCATTTGATGTAGCTTTTATTTGCCATCAAAGGCTGCTATCTCACAATGCAGAAGCAAATCCTGTGGCAAACTTTGCTTTGCTTCAATCAGATAAACAGAAAATCCTGTAAAACTGCATTTATCTAGCCTACCCCCAGCCTTCCATTCTGGGGAGAGGGCTTATTGCCTTGAGACTTTCTGTCTTCTGGAAACACCCACATGGCCAGTCAGCTCATGGGGTAGGAAAGGATGTCTCTTTGCAGAGTCCCAACTTCCATTCCCTCTCCCACACAGCATGATGCGGGCACTCAGGCGGGCAGACAGTGACTAATCGGTGGTTATTTAGAACAAGGGCCACCAGCCCATCTGCTGGGTGATTAGGATTCTAAAGTGAGTGGGCACTAATTCTCCCCTCAGGGCCTCACAGCCGTGTCAGGGAGGTGGGTAGGTACTCAGACTAAAGTAAAATTGGGAGGCCTTGTGGGGAGGGATCAGTGGGCAGGGAGATGAAAGAAAGCTTTCCAGAAGTCTAGTGCTGAAATTTTGGTGTGACAGACATGTAGGAATTCCCTAGGCAGAAAAAAAGGAAAGGTAGAAGGAACAGCATATTCTAAGGCGTGGAAGCATGAGAGACAACTGTGGGGTCAGTGAAAACAAGGCTGGATCATAGGATGCTATTGGGGAGGTGGTGGCAGCATCTCCTCCTTCAGCAACTGCTTTCTCCTTGAAAGCAGGTCACTGCCCAGCTGGCCAGGCAAGAATCATCACAGGCTTCTCATGTGTGCGTGGGATCTAAGAGAGCTCTTGATTGTATTTCCTTTAACTGTGCTGTATTGGTTTGGTTCTGGCCTGGCCTATCAACTCCTGTGTTAGGAAAAGTAGTCTACTTTTTCTTCTTCTGCCTTGCTTCCTCAATCCATCCTTGCAACCACATCGGAATAACTTATCTACAAGTGTACCTTCAACAGGTCCCAGTGATCAGCAGCAATGTATTCCAAACTGTAGTTAGGTGTCAAAATCACCTGGAGTGGAAGGAAAGCTTTAGTAAAATTCAGTTTCCTCGGCCCTGTTCTAGACCCACAAGATCAGAATTTGGAGATGGTGCTTTGTGTCTGCATTAAAGACACACCCACATCCACACCCACCCCCCCACACATATATACATACTCAGATGCACACACACTCATGCACATACACATATGCACATGTAGTGTGTTGATCGATTGAGTTCAGTCATTGATTAACAAGGTAATATGCCAAATTAAGAATCAAAGTTCACATCTAAGATAACAATGGAAGTCATAGGAATTGATCCAAGGTAGTTCCTCTCTGGCTCTGGGTTTGTTATAAAAAGACATAGAAAAATAATCAATTTTTGCCTTGCTGCCCACCCCCGATTTTAGGTTTCTCTTTGTAAATAACCCCCACCCCTCCAACTCCATAATACTCTTGCTTAGATTGGGTGGCTTGGCAACGTTGCCTTTCGCTTCCTCACCACCATGGCTTCAGAGTGGTGGGCTTGTCACCAAGTAATAGCCTACCAGGATACTTTCCCTCTCACTCCATCCACCTGATTGGCTTACATATTGGCACATGATCCAACTCCTATTCGAAGAAGAGATGATCTGATTGACACATTTAAAGTTGGGGTTCATCCCTGGACCAATCAACTGTAGTCAGGAAGTTCTGGTTACTTGGCAAAAGCAAGGAATGCCAGAGGGCTCTTCCTTATGGATGATGGGGATGAGAAAGCTCTCATTGAAGGGGGATTTTCTTTTGAGCTGAGTTGACTCCCCAAAATATCTTCTAAGAAACAAAATGTGCAACAATTAGGGACTGATTAATAAAATCTTGATTCATTCAGCTCAGAGAGTATATTGTTTTGTGTCCATAACAATGGTAGTTATGGAAGTCTTGTAACACCTGGATGGTAATACATTTATGTGAATTTTACGAGTTAGCCAAAAATTGCATTTAAAGGCTTAATTTTAATTTTAATTTTGGATGGGAAAAGTCTTTCGCATTGTCATGGGTCTTTAAGCCAGTTTGTCCAAATCGAATAAGTCTTCAGAAATTTTGAGCCAGATTGCTTTCTTAGCAAATGAGGAAACTGAGGCCCAGAGAACAGAAGGGATGCTGTGTGATGCCCATCAGTGAGACAGGTGCAGCACATACTGGACGCCAGGTCTCCTGACTCTGGACCAGTGCTCCTTCCATTACACCATGCTGTTTCTTGCTACCTTGGCTTTGTGGTTTCCTAAAAGAAAAACAAATGTGGGAACATTAACTTGAAACATAAGGAGAACGCCTAAGCATTCAAATCCATTATGGAAGAGGTAGCTCTCCTGGACCCTGTTGAAGGATAATGTGCTTGGACCTGTTGTTGGTTCATCGGCTGGTGCTCCATCATTCGGTACCTTGTTCCCAGACATTTTCATTACAGATTCTGCCTGCTGTGATGCACTGGCACCATGCCATTCCTTATGCACATGCCAAAATGCTTTTATAAAACCATTAGAAGAAAGCTTTCCTAATGAGAACCACATCGGAAATGAATTCCTGAGATATCAGTTTGATATCAGTTTGAGATATCAGTTGACATGCCTGAGATATCAGTTTGACTATGAGTGGGCACCTTACCTGTAGACTTGCAAAGGAACAGTCATCAATGGGAAACCCAACCTACTATGCCTTGCCCTGTCTTTCCTACATCACCTGTATGATATATGGTCATTCACATACCTCCACCACCACCAACTACAATTAATACAACTACAGTCACAGAACGGAGAAAAAAGATCATGGTGCAGAGAGTCATAGCTATCTAACATTGCTGAGTGTTGTGCATGGCTGAGGTCTCACCATTTCAGATTGCATCTTTGATGCACAAAGAACATGGAGAGAATAGACAATGGCCGTATCTTCTTTGGAGGCATCAGTAGTAAAGACAATGGTCTTTCCCCACATCAAAGGCCTGTAGGAACAGAGAAGACATTGTTGTTCCTTTGATGAGAGAAATCAATACTTAGGATGAAAAATATAATTGATTGGACATAATGAAAAGTTTAGGCAATATATCTTGTCTAAGTTCAGGTTGAATCTGGAAGACATGATCATAAATAATGCTTCTACTTTATTAAGAATCATCATTAATATTTTATTTAATATGTAATATTTATTTTATTATTGCTTTTTTGTGTATCTTCATAAGAAACTTCCTTCCACTGAGATGACCTGGAGGTGTCTCTATGACTTGAGTTTGTCAAACTGACATACTTCCTATATGGATTTGACCTTGAATGGTCTCTTGATCTCAGTGACGTACTGGTTAATGTGTAACAGTTGATTTTCAAGAAAAAAAAAAAAAGGCCCTTGATATGTATGAGTGGATGATTTCTTTGGTGTAAATACTCACATTGTGGCTGATTTCAAGCCTCCAATATCATGTCACTGAACAGGAAGTTAGAAAGAGATGGGCAGTAGTGCACATCAGATTTAAATATATTCAAGGTCCTAGATAATAGTGAACTATAGTAAAATCATTAGGAAGTGTTATGTTTGGAGTGCTTATTATCTTTGATTTTAATATGGAGTATTTAAATGTAAGCTTATGTAATTTAATTTTTAATAATATCTGTATTTAACAACTGGACTGCAAAATTTCTGAAAATTTTACATTTGTCTGTCATGAGCTGGTATGAGTGGGTCACAGAATACCTGTTTCTTCATCTTTAAAGCGGAGGGTAGTATTGCTGCCTGTCCACACAAAATAACTGGATGATGAAATGTGCTAAGACTATTTAGAAGAGAGCCTCGTCACAGAAAATAGTCAGACCTTACCTTTGTCTGTCAATATCCTGCTTTACAGATGCAATCACACAGTTCTCAGTGGCCATACTTGACCTTGCAATCTTGCTTTCTGACTCTGGGCCAGGTCTTTTTCCACTGCAGAATTTTTAGGGTACTTTTTAAGCTTCACAGGGCGGAGTCTTTCCAGGGGCAGTATGGCCTGGAGGAAGGAAACGGATGTTCAATTCATGCACCCCTGCATTTGAAATCTGGTCTTGAGCCAAGCTCCTTGAGCTTCCTGAGCTTTGTATTTCTCATCTGTAAAATGTACTTTAGTAATGCAAGAACAGCAAATGATTTGCACACGTAGAGCACCTATCACATAGTAATTGCTCAATAAACGTGAAGGGTATTCCCTTTCAAACTAACAGCCATTTGACAACTAAGGGGTCCTTCTTTGCAAGCCAGTTAGAATATGTCTGTGAATAAATCTCATTGGGGACACAGGTCTACCCTATGGTATCTAAGGGATTCTAAATAAAACAGTGACCTTAGATATCTCCTCTGAGTTGAACATGTGAGCCCCATACTGCTAGCACCTTCTAAGCTGACTTTCTTCCATGTCTAGTCTCCTTACACATAAACATGTCTGCTTCCTTCCTGATGAACTGAACCGTTCTGCTCACAGACCAGTTCTTTGATATACTTAGTGTTTTCAACTAATTACACCGTGAAGTCTCCTGGCAGTCCCCATTTGCAACATTTGGCACCATTCCTCCTATTTCATTTATATTAATGATGGGAGTAGTCTGTGTACCATAATCAGTTAAAAATCATGACTTGCCTTATTAATAAATACCAGATTGGTGCATGATATTGTATTGGCTGAGCCCTCATTAGACAGCCCCAAGCTGTACCAGGAGTGGGATGCTTGTGCATTTCTCTTATAAAGTCTCATTTCTCCTTTCTCTTTTGGTTTTTCCTGGTCTTTGCAACTCAGAACAACAAACTTATCCTGTGAGATTTTGGTATTTTTAAATCTGATCCCATTTAAGCCACTTTATCCTTTAGGTAAGTTTCCTTTCCTTCCTTCTTGTCTTCTTCCATTCCTTCCTTTCTTTTCTCTTTCCTTCTTGCCTTCTTTTCCTCCCCTCCCCTTCTTTCTTTCTTTCTTTTCTTCACTGAGGCAAGGGAAAGAGACACAAAGATAAATGAACCACTAGTTTTCATCTGGAGGAGATCTAGGTTCTATCAGTGGCCCCTCTACTCTTCACTCACTATACTCCCACCACCTTGGACTTCCAGTGACCCGAACACGCCAGGATCATCCCTTATTGAAGGGCTCTTCTATCTCCCGGGAACTCTATGACTGTGGAGCTGCACCTGGTGGCTCCATCTTGTCCCCTAGCTCTCAGATCAACAGTCTTCTCGTCATTAAGGCCTTGCCTGATGCTTCCGGCTATGGCAGCTCCCTCTCCATGTCTTTCTCCATTGCATCATCCTCTTTCTCCTACTTCTCAGCCACTGCAGCCATCTGAAATCATCCTGCTATTCAATAATTCTCTTTCTTTCTTGTCTTTCTCTCTGACTAGAACATAAGCTCCTGGAGGCAAAGGACCTTGCTAGTCTTCCTCACTGGTGCTCAGCTCAGGCTTGGCATCAAGTAGATGCTCAGAAAATATTTCATAGCTGCATGGCGGGTTAGGACAGACAAACTCAGTCTACTTGGGCTGCTGTAAGAAAGTCTCACAGACTGGGGGACTTAAACAAGAGAAATTCATTTCCTCACAGTTCTGGAGGCTGTAAGCCCAAGATCAAGGTGCCGGCAGTGTTGGTGTCTCCTGAGGCCTTTCTCCTTGGCTTGTCAATGGCCACCTTCTCCCTGTGTCTTCATGTGGTCTTTCTTCTGTGCCTGTCTGTGTCCCAATCTTCTTTTCTTTTCTTTCTTTCTTTCTTTTTTTTTTTTTTTGAAGCAGAGTCTCGCTCTGTCACCTGGGCTGGAGTGCAGTGGCTCGATCCTGGCTCACTGCAAGCTCCGCCTCCTGGGTTCACGCCATTCTCCTGCCTCAGCCTCCTGAGTAACTGGGACTACAAGTGCCCACCACCACTCCCAGCTAATTTTTTGTATTTTTTTAGTAGAGACGGGTTTCACTGTGTTAGCCAGGATGGTCTCGATCTTCTGACCTCCTGATCCGCCCGCCTCAGCCCCCCAAAGTGCTGGGATTACAAGCGTGAGCCACGGCGCCCGGCCTCAATCTTCTCTTCTTATAAGGACAGCGGTTGTATTGAGTTGAGGCCCACCCTAATGACCATCTTTTAATTTAATTACCTCTTTAAAAATTCTATCTCCACATGTAGTTGCATTCTGAAGTACTGGGGTTAGGCCTTCAACAAGCAAATTTGAGGTTCTCTCAATTCAGCCCTTAACACCCAGGCAGCTTCAGCATTGAGAGAATCATCCATCCAGTACCTGAAAATGAGCCACATGCTCAACAGCAGTGACCGCCTCTGCAGGCCAGTCCGCTCTGCTGCATTCCTCAGCTGTCACTCTCTCACTGTCTGTCTTGTGGAAAGAATAACATTGCCTCAACACTTCGCTGGTGCTGTTCACTTCCCTGTAAGCCATGTTACTACCTGGGCATCTTTGACTTATTTTCTTAGGCTCAGCTCAGCTGTTGCTCCTGGGCTGGGTTCAGGTCCCTGTTTTAAGCTTTCTTAGCATCAAGTCCCTGCCCTGCATTACATCATCTTTTCACGTTGCCACAGGATTCAGGACTCTCTCATCCCACTTCCCAGCAGACTGGGAACTCTTTAAGATCAGAAGCCACACCTTTCATTTCCGTATTTTCATGAGTCATTTGGTAGGCATGCAAGAAGCATTCACTCCATGGACAAATGAAGCTACTTCTGAACCTAGCTTCAGTCTCTAGATATATGAGGATTCCCCAGAGAAACAGAGCCAACAGGACACGTGTATAGAAAGAGATTTATTTCAAGGAATTAGCTCACGTGACTGTGGAGGCACAAGTCTTAAATATACAGGGTAGGCTGGCAGGCTGGACACCGAGGAAGAGCTGCAGTTCAAGTCCGAGGGCTGTCTGTTGGCAGAATTGCTTCTTGCTTGGAGGAGGTCAGACTTTGTCCTATTTAGGACTTCAAAGAATTGGATGAAGCCCACCTACATTGGGCGGGCCATCTGCTTTACTCAAAGTTTACCAATTTAAATGAGAATGTCATCCAAAAACACCCTCACAGAAACATCCAGAACAATGTTTGACCAAACATTTGGGCACCTTGGCCCAGCCAAGTTGTCATATAAGACTAACCGTCACAGCGGGGAAGACCTTTTTGTGTGTGATCTTCATACATGAACAGCTTATGTGGACAACCTCATTACTGTTGTGAACTAAGGCACTCCTCGGTGAAGCTGTCTAGAGATTCCACTAGGTTTACCCAGACCACAAGGCATCCCCTGTTAGTGGTTGTGGGAGGTGCCATTTGTAAATAGCTTTGCCTGCTGTTTCCTTTTTTTGTGTGTGTGTGGACAAGCTGAGGGATTTAGTCTCTGGGTACCCATCTGCAACCTTTCCAAGAACTAGATTTGCTTACAATTTCAAATAGAGCCTGTAAGACACTTTGGCTTCACTTTCCCTGTCTCTCCCTCATTCTCTCCTAAGTACACTGTTAAATAATGGATTTGTGAAATGAATAATAGGCTCTGGCGGTAGCGGTTGGTCAGGAAATGTGTGTGGGCAGCTGGAGTGGTGAGAGGAAGCATTAAGCAGGCTGGTCTCTGGTTTTGGTTGTTTTTGTTGGGGTTATGTCTCCTCTCCACCCCTGCCCCCGCCTTGCTCCTTCTTTCACTTTTATCTCCTGGCATTGGGTCCTGTTGGGGTTGGACAGAAGACACGGGAGAGCCCACCAGAACAGTCTGCTCTTCCCAGGGTATCCTTCCCTGTGATACCCATGACCACAGGCAATGCAGGGAGAAGATGATGCAGAGGAGCTTAGGATGCAATTTTTTTTTCTTGAAAATTGTGACAGAGAAAAATACATGCGTACAAACTGATTAACCACCACCCACAAAAAGACATGAACGAAACCCTCTGTACCCGAGTCACAGCAGAGACTTCCAAGCCTCACCAGAGCACATGACCTCATGGTCTTGCCGTCCCAATCCTTATCAAAATCTAGGCATGATAAATGACAATGTGCAGACCTCCAGAAAGACCTTGGATACATGTGTTTCCTTGCGGTATCTAATTTTATGCTGTGGAGAGACACAGAGTGGGTGTGGACAGACTGTTCACTTCTCACTCAAAATCTCTTTCCATCTCCTTCTGTAGTGAGAATACCCTGATTCATTTGGAATAGGAATCACCTTACCTTTCCCAGCCTCACTTCTGGCTGCGAGAGCTCATGGAGCAGCACTGAGATTAATGGCACATGTGCAGAGGCCCTGGTGTGGGGCTTTTGTGAATGTTTTTTAAGGTGAGTCGACCCAACTGGCACACACCCCCTTGCACCCTCGTATTTCCTCCTTTTGCCCACTGGGAAAGGGACATGTTACCCTCTAACACGACAGTGCCTTGTGAATATACACACGCACATCTGTAACACACACTCATTTGGATGTGTAAGCATACTTCTGCACATAACATAAACATGTCCATGGTCACATATGTGCACACACAGATGTAAACCCATATATATATGGTTTGTACATTTTTTTGTTTGTTGACGTATGTACATTTCAACATAAACTTACAGACCTACTGACACATACAAGATATTCACATTAAACATACATGCCTGCCTAAATACATATGTATATGCCTACATCTCTTTCTCTGCTTTACTCAAATGCGTATCTGCTCACGTGCTAACGCACGGTTGCATGCATTCATTTGCATCTTCTTTGTACACACACAGACTGAAGGAGAGGAGAAATAGTGGATGTCTACAGGTAACATAGTGTCACGTATGAAAAACTATTTGGGCTTTATCCTCGAGGAACAGTAATTTACCCACTATCTGTGTAAAAGGTACTGGCTATTCTAAGTGGGATTTGATGTGGGGTTTGAGTCTGAAGGAATTTACAATTTCCCAGGGGAGGAAAAAATAGGAGATGTCCACATGGTCACCTAAGAAACACTGAAACCAATATAAAGAATGTCACAAAGCCATTGGTGAACATCCACCTTGAAGGCAAAAGTGATTGGAGTTTCCTGGGACAGCATCCCATCAGAGGTCAGCAATAAAGTCCATGTTCACCAACCAAGGCTGCTACATACAGTTGCACAGAGCATTCACTGTGCAAGGGCGCTAGAACAACATCAGATCTTCTCTCTGCCTTTCAATCCATTCACTTGCCATGGGACTGCACTCTTCAAGAAGAAAAGGCATTTTGGTGGTTTCTAACATGCATAAAGTTACTCTAAGGGCTAAGGGAAGCACAATCACTAATTGTGTCGAAGATACCTCACCCAGTCCCCGTGGAGAGAAAGGTGCCTACATCTCAGAAGAAAGTCATTTGGCTTCCAGTAGCTCTTCGTATGTGACTCCTTGGCTTGTGGTCAGCTTTGCCTTTGCAGCTTGCATTCATAAGCTTCGGGGCTTCTATAGTGCATTGGGTTAAATGAAAGGGATGGGGCAGACAAAGCCCACTGAATTACCTTTAACCAGCATGGAGCAGCACTGAGAAATTGATTAAAATATGCATTCCCCTAATAGAGCGGCTGGTCCCAGTCTGGAAATTAATTAATGTTAATAGTACACAATCAAAACTGCTTTTGGAAATCTTCTTAGAACATTAACTAAAATGTTCATCTTTTTAATGCATTTTCCTGAGCCACGGAGGCTAAAAGCTTCGCTTGTTCCATGCAAATGTGAAGGCGAGGAAAAAAAAAGCAAGCAGATTTAGGTATTTCAGGCTTGATAATGCTGGCTTTTCTGGTTAACCTGAGCCTGCTCCCAGGGCCTGGGCAAGATACCTCTTTTAGCTACTGAGACGGAGAGAGTGACCTGAGGACTGCAGACAGTCACCTCTGCATTTTATGCTGTGGACCACAGAAGGGGAAAACCGGCAGAGAAAAGGAACAAGAACTGAAGGGAGTCAGTTGAGGATCACCTGGATGTCTGGCCCTGGTGTGAGGGTGGGAGGCACAGAGCTTTAGGTGACACCAAAGGTTTCCTCAACTCAACAAAATGGTACATTTCAGTGATTTCCAAATAGAAGCGTTTTTGTAGCACCAGCTCCCTTAGTAACTAACTGTCTGCCAGTATAATGAATTTTTAACTTGCTTGGCCCCACCCTAGTCACCATGTACAGGTTTAGGGGGATTTGGATGCTCCAACCCCTTCAGTGAAAGTCCTGGTGAGCCTTGCCATGGCCTTACCCTTCAGTTATTGGTTTCCTCAATTATCATTTGCCTACTGCCTACTAACTAGCTGCTGAGCAAAGCATTCCTCTCAGGAGGTCAGAGTTTGGTGTGGGAGATAGGCATGCAGGCAGGCAAAGGGTGGTGCCTATCACAGAGATGTGCCCAAGCTGAAACAGAGCTCAGAGGAGGGATGCTAGCCCAGGAGAGGGCAGAGGCTGGTCTGAGAAGGCTTTGGATAAGGGATTGGCCAATCGAGGGATTAGAAGCAGCATCAGGGGTGTTCATGAGCGTGTGTCTGTGTGCGCACATGCATGTGCATGCTGAGTATGTTTGAATGTGTGAGCATATGTGTGCATGTGTGAGTGTATGAGAGTGCAGCCACGTGTCAGAGTGTGGGAGTGTGTATGCAAGTATGTGTGTGTGCATGTTGAGTGTGTTTGAATGTGTGCATGCATGTGAGTGTGTGATTGTGTGCACATGTGTGAGAGAGCATATCCATGTGTGAGAGTCAGTGTGTGTGCACATCTTTGTGCACGTTGAGTGTGTGTTTGAAAATATGAACATGTGTGTCTGTGTGTGTATGTGTGTGTGTATGTTGAGTGTATGCACATACTTGAGCATGGATATGTGTGTGAGGGTGCATATGGATATGTAAGTGTGAGTCAATGAGTGTACATGAGTGTGTTTGAATGTTTGCATGTGTGTCAGTGTGTAATCATGCAAGTCCAAGTGTAGGAGTGTGTGCAGGAGTGCATATGCATGTGTGAGTATGTATGAGTGTGTGGATGTGATTCTGGGGGCAACTAGGCTGAGGCAGGCATGAGCCCATGGGTACAGGGGCAGGAATGGAGGAGAGATTTGCAACTTATGAACAGGGCTGGTTGGAGAGATGCCAAATACTGTATAGGAGGAGAAAGGAAGTTAGTGCCATGAAAAGGAATTGGGTGAATGTAGGAGCTCTTGTTTTGTTTTGTGAGATCATAGGGTGACAGGGGGAAAATCAAGGGGAAATACCTCTACTGGTGAAGATGGTCAAGCTGCCATATTTACTCGGATCCCATTTTCTGAGAGCATTCATTAAAATGTTCTCTTCCTTATGATTAAGGCAAAGCTTCTCAACCTCAGCACTGCTGGCTTGTTTGTGGTGGGGCTGTCCTGTGCACTGTAGGATGGTCAGCATTTCTGGCATCTACCCGCTAGATTCTAGTTATGATGAGCAAATCTGTCTTCAGACATTGTCAGATGTCCCTGGGGTAGTGGAGGTAAGAGCCATTGGTTAAAGGCAATGAGAGATTATGTCACCAAACCTAAGGATCTTTGCCTGTTGATCAGTGCCAACCTTGGGCTCCTAAAATTGCAACTGGTTTCAGCAACTGCGCTTCTCCAACTAAAGCTTTGGCAGTTTTACTTTACTTAAATTTTGAATTTGCATATATTTTAATCTGCAAAATGGAATGAAATATTAAAATGTATTCTGGTCTTTTTTAATGTAGTTTTAACCACCCCATCAGTGCTTCCTGGTCATAAGAGTGCATGGGAGATTTTCATTAAAATGGGACCATTTATCTTATTATATTATTTTCTCAGTTGAGGTGAGCTCATTTTAAACTTTTAATTTCTTCAATCTCATTGTAAAATAAACTGTGATAAGATAAATACTAACTTTTAAATAATTGAAAAACAACTATCAGATTCTTTTACAGTTTATTATTTTCTAGCATTGAGGAAAAGGAGCTGACTTTGGGGGCCAGGCTGTACTGGGTGACCACAACCCTGAATTCAAGCCCACTCTCTTCCAAATTTGAGCCACGAGACTTCCAGCAAGTCTGTGACCTGTTTCCCTTTTTGTTTAATGGGAATTTCATCTGCATTTTTCGACTGTTGGAGAATTCAAATCAAATCAGGGCTATCAAAAAATTTGAAAACTGAAAAAAGTGCCACATAAATAGAAATAATTATTATATAGGTCGAGCATCTGTTCCATGATGAGCAGGTCTATGCAACCCTACCTCCAAAGGCTGAAGAAGCTGGGAGGCTGAGAAAAGAGGCTGAAAAATCTTGTTTCTCAGAAAGAAACATTTAATAGGAACTTATGATGAGAAGCCATATCTCAAGCAGCCGAGGATGGTGGATCCCTGCATCTGCCTTCCGGAAAGTATATATAAACATATTTATTTAAAAGACAGGGTATCACTACGTTGCTGCAGTGCAGTGGCTATTCACAAGTGCAATCCTGCTACTGTTCAGCACGAGAGTTTTGACCTGCTTTATTTCCAACCTGGGCCAGTTCACTCCTCCTTAGGCAACCTGGTAGTCCCCCAGTCACTCCCTGGAGGTCACCATATCAATGCCAAGCTTAGTGCAACATCCAATCAGCATAGCTCACCACAGTCCAGAACTCCTGGGCTCAAACGATCTTCTTGCCTCAGCCTCTCAGCAGCCGTAACTACAGGCAAGCCAGGCAGTATTCTTTATATAGCAAGTTTTAGGGTAAAACATGTGCATTTGATCATGTCTTCACACTTTCTTGCCAAGACTTGTGACTACTGAGGAGGTTAGATAAGCATCTTTATGAGGGGTTAGCTATGCTACAGGCATTGTTTAAAGGACTTACTGCAGAACCCCTTGGTATACGGGAATCAAACATCGGACATCGCGGGGGTTTTGCTTCAAGATAGCGTCACTCTTGCCATGCAACAGGCTGTTTTCCTACAGAATCTTAAATCTGAAAATTCAAAATCTGAAACTTTTTGAGTGCCGGCATGATGCTCAACAGAAACGCTCATTGGAGCATTTTGGATTTTTGATTCTCAGAGTTGGGATGCCCAACCAGTAAACATAAAGCTAATTTTCCAAAATTTGAAGAAATCTGAAATCCAAAACACTTCAGTTCTGAAGCGTTTTACATAAGGGATACTCAACCTGCAATGTTAATTATTATAATTCTGCAGAAAGGTTGAATGGTGTAAAATCAGGTAGCACTGAATACAAATTTTAGATCTGCCACTTACTGGTGGTGAAAGTTCAGGTACGTTACTTAAATTTTCTAAAATTCTGTTTTCCCATCTGCAGAACTCAACAGCAGAACTCACAGCATGGAATTTAAGGATTACAGGCCAAAGGTTTTGCAAAATGTGCCCAGTGTGAGGCACAGAGTACATGCTCAAGAAACAGTAGCTATATAATCAATGTGACCACAGCTATTATTATTATCACTATTGTTAATTTTTCAAACTCAGCCTACATTCACATTTTGTTAAAAGCTCATATGGCTGGGTTTTTCACCAAAAGCCAGGACTTTTGGCATTCGAGTACAGAACGGACATACAGTCAGTTTAGTCTCATCTTATTTGCACAATTGCAATGGCATACCTTCTGGTCACTGCTTTTTTTTTTTTTTTTTTTTTTGAGACGGAGTTTTGCTCTTGTTATTCAAGCTGGAGTGCAATGGCACAATCTGCTCACTGCAACCTCCGCCTCCTGGGTTCAAGCGATTCTCCTGCCTCAGCCTACCAAGTAGCTGGGATTACAGGCACCCACCACCACACCTGGCTAATTTTTTGTATTTTTAGTAGAGACAGGGTTTCACCATGTTGGTCAGGCTGATTGTGAACTCCTGACCTCAGGTGATTCACCCGTCTCAGCCTCCCGAAGTGCTGGGATTACAGGCATGAGACATGCGCCCGGCCACTGGTCACTGCTTTTAAAAGATGCTGTTATCAAATCCTCAAGCATGTGCCAGGCTGCCCATGGCATCTTCTATTTGGTCCTCACAGTAGCCTTGTAAGACATGCAATATTATTAGCCCTGTTTTACACACGAGGAAATGGAAAGCATAACAGGCAAGGAGGCAAAGACTTTCTTGTTTTCTATCTGCCTTCAGCCTTATAGCAGGCATTCAATAAATATTACGACTGATTCAACGGAGGGATGAATGAATGGAGAAGTTCAGGGAGTTCCCCAGAACTGTCCTGAGTGGGATTCCCAATCAGAAATCCAGGCTCTGGGCATCCCCTAGGCCTAGGGCACAGATGCATTTCCTGTCAGAGGCTGCTGTCTTGCATATCCATCTCTGTGGTGCTTTATCTGTCCTTTTTTTAAATGTATGTTTGCACCTTGTAAAGCACCTCTTCCCTTGATTTGAAAAATGGGAGAGTAGGGGTTGATTGTGGAAGAGCACCTGGTACTTAGTGGGCCCTTTATAAATGCCTGTGGAGTGCTTGGGCCACCAACCACAGACTCACAGTCTCATGAACCTCATTCATGCCCACCTCTGTCTTCCCTAAAGAACTGCAAGTTCTTTGTAAGCAAGCCTGTGTGTTTGAAACTCCGTTCATCAAAGATTTGATAGCTTGAAGAGTATGTTGTTTTAAAGCAGACTTGCCATGCTACCTAACAATGATACTGTTGATAACAGCTCTCATTCATGTAGCACCAAATGAGTGCCAAACACAGTGCAGGCAGGGTGCATGCCCTTCCTTATTTTATCTTTAGAACAATCCTATGAAGTTAGTATTGTCATTAGTATCATCATCATCATCATCATCATCATCATCATCATCATCATCATCATCATTGCCATTCCAGTTTAACAGGGGAGGATTTGGGAGAATGGACAGGGGAAATTGATTGCCCCAAGAAGTCAGGCAGGTGTCATAGTGAACCCTCAAAGCAACTCCACTGGCAGTGGCCCCATGGACTCTCGTCTCCTTTCTGCACTTTGGGGACAATGTCCAGCCTCTCCTGGTTTCCCTTCTTTAACTCAGAGACACTCTGAGCTCTGGCTCCCAGTGAAGACCAAAGCAAGGCAGGTCTGTTTCTGGCAGGTGCTGTGGCCACTGCGGCTGCTGGAGCCAACATGGACTGCTGTAGATTTTCTTTGGAGGGGCACTCAGATCCATTTCAGTACTGGGTCATTCATTTGAACCATTAGTGTCTTAGTCTATTTGGGCTGCTATAAAATACTATAAGCTGGATAATTTATAAACAATAGACACCTATTTCTCACAGTTCTGGAGGCTAAGAAGTTCAAGATCAAGGAGCTGGCAGATTCAGTGTCTGGTGAGGGTCCCCTTTCCTCTTCATAGAGGACAGCTTTTTGCTGTGTCCTTACATGGTAGAAGGGGTGAGGGAGCTCTCTGTGGCCTCCTTTATAAGGGCACTAATCCCACTGATGGAGGCTCCACCCTCATGACCTAATCACCTCCCAAGGGCTCTACCTCCTAACACCATCACCTTTAGGATTCCAGTGTATGAATTTGGAGGGGACACAAGCATTCAGACCCTAGAGATTAGAATATCGTTAGCTCAAGCAAGCTCAAGTGTCTTTTGGGCATCACAGTGAGGAGCACCTGGCTTTCACTGTAGTCCACGCACGTCTCCTAATCACTGGCCTTAAGTCTTGTCGGTGCCCTGTTCTCTCACTTAACCCCAAGGTTGGAATCCAGCAGCTCCTGACTCCTCTGGGGATGCCTTAGACAAGCCTGGCCTTCTTCTCCCACAGCCTGCAAAGTGCCCCAAGGCAAGGCCCGAGGGGCATGTCTCCCTTTCATCTCACAGGCCCTCCTTTTCCCTGTGGGGCAAATCTCTCCTCCCTGCGAGTTGGATCCATGGCCTCCACTTGCAGCTAAGCTCCACCAGCTGCCTCCACCTGTCCACTGCTGGACAGGGGCTTATGTTCTGACCACCTCTTCTCCTCATTTGAAAAATAGAAGAGTAGTGGCTGATTGTGGAAGAGCATCTGGCACTTAGCCCTTTATAAATATCTGTGGATTGCATGGATGCACCAACCATAGACCCGTTGTCTCCAAAGGAAACCAAGTCACAGTGGGCGGTTGGGACTCAACCCTCACAGTGCCAGGGTTGTACTGAGGGCTGGACACTGCCCCTTTGGACCTTCACCAGGTCCCTCTTACTAACTTCCACACCCTCTCCTCCGCAGATTGTCATAGACAAGCCCGTGCCCCTTCTCTGCCCCCATCAGCTCCTCTCCCAAGTGCTGTCTCTGTGCTCGGCTCATGGCATCATGCTATCTCTTAGAAACATGTCGAGGTAGGTTCACTGACTGTCCCTAAACTGGCCCTGTCTAACTCTCCAGCCTTCTTGTATCCAACAACTCCTGCAATATTCTCAACTCTGGCCACTGGAGACTATCCACAGCATGTCCAAAGCCCGTTCTACTTGCATGCTGACGTGAGGCTGCAGGGGAGGCTTCGAGCCTCAGAATCCAGCCCTGCATGTCCCTGTCTCACAGCACAGACCATGCCCCTTCGGTGTCTTGTAGTTTTCTTTTTTCCCTCATTGGACTGGGACCCTCCTGAGGGCTGAGGCATCTCTTATTCACCTCTGTTTTCTTAGTGTCTGCCCAGACGGGATTTTGACATGGAGTAGACGCTCAGTAGCTCAATAGAGCTTTTTGTATACATGAAAGATTTATCACGGTGCCTCCAGAAAGAATGATGGAACTTGCATAAACTGACACGATTATTATTGGAATTCATTTATTAGAAAAAAAACTTCAGATATTTTATTATCCCAAACACTGCATTTCAAGACATTTTTTATGCCAAACCTGACAAATGGATAGCTTTCCCCAGGTTTTTTTTCTTTTAATTATTTGCATTCATTTTCTGTTTCAAAGACATTTTAACATTGGGCAACCAGCTGATGGCTTAACAGATGTTATTAATGGGAATATTAGAAAAATTAAAATCAGAACTTTTAATATAAGTTGAATGAAATGCTCAACCACCCGGCCAATCGAAGGACTGATTATGCATTCTGGGAGCACAGGAGAAGGTGAAGGACTTGAGTGGTGTTTAGTGTGGGGAGACAGGAAGTGAGCTAGGGAGCGGGACTCAAGTCCCACTGCAGAGACCCTCAGGAGCCCTGAAACCTTGGGCCACTCTCCTCCTCTTCCTACACCTGAGTTTCTTCATCTAGACCCTGAAGAGGGGCTGAATGAGGTCCTCAATTTGTACCCAGGAGCTTTCTAGTCCTTCAGAGAGAGCTGTGAACCCACTAAACTGCATGCAAAATTGAGGTGGATGCGCATTTTTCCAAAATAGAGTGTTCACAACTTTTATGAGATTTCCAGAGATCTGTGACTCAAAGACATTTAGTAACCATTAAACTAGGCAGTTTCTAAGCTTTGTTCACTTGTTAATTCATTCATTCTTTCAGTCATTAAAGTAGCAGAGATTTTTGGGTATGTGGTAGGTGCCAGGCATTCTTACAGGCACTGGAGATACAGCAGTGAACAGGAAGAAGTCTCCACTGTACTGTTTCCCACTCAGACCATGCTATTTATGTGTGCCGAGAATCCTGTCTTGATTAATATCTGCATTGACCTTGAAAGTCAAACACATTCCTCAGCTATTTGGCTTTGATCAGGTACGTAGGATCCAGGGAGAGCTGGACTACTGTGAAAGGCTGGCGGCTGAGCCTCCAGGACCCCACTTCAAGAGGCAGACATGCTTTCTGGAAAAGTGTTTATTAAGGAGCAGGCAGCCACAATGCTGGCCAGGCTCAGTGCCTCGGGGACGGGCAGTGGGCACAGTGGGCCCAGCTAGTTCTAGGGCACCGGGATGCGTGACACCAGACAGCCATTTCCATAGACAGCAGGAGACAGATCAGTGCAGTCTCTCCCCTCAGCTTTCTGTGGCAACAGAGATTCCACAGGGTAGTGGGATTCCCAGCCCTGTGGCAACTTCCTGGAGAGGAGGACGGTGGAGATCTAGGAATCAGGGCAGCGGCAGCTCCCAGACAGGGTGGCACTTTGATGGGAATTGAGTTACCTCAATCCCAGGGATCAGCAGACACAGATATGCATATGGCTTTTGGAGCCCTGTGTGATCTGCTGTTAGCCCCAGTTCAGGATGCCTGGAAAACACAGGTCACATTTACACCCAGGTGGCTCATTTGTGAACAAGGAGCCTGGAGGGGCCATTCTAAGATGTCCTGCCTGCTCTTTATGGGGGGTTAGACAGGCATGGCCTGGGCATGGGTCAGGAGGGGTCATCTTCTCTCCAAGGGTGGTGAGAGCATGTTGTGGCCCAGAAGAGGTCCAAGGAAAGGAGACTGATATCCGCCTTCCACCAAGCTGGGAATGGAAGACTCTGTGATGGAGCTGGAATCCAGGGAGATGTGAGGACCTGCCACACAAAACACAGAACTCCCATTAAATGTGAATTTCAGATAAACAAATGGATATATTTTCAGGATAAGTATATCTCCAATATTGCATAGGACATACTTCTCCTGAACAAATTGTTTTGTTTGTTTGAAATTCAAATTTCACAGAACATTCTGTATTTTTATTTGCTGAATCTGGCAACCCATCCAGAATAAGAGCATGGCTCTATATCTATAAAATTTATTTTTTTTTTTACAAAAACTGATGTCAGGGCCGATTTGGTCTACAGGCCATATTTGGTTGACCCCTGATCTAAGAGCGTGCGACACAATCCAAACAAAGTTGTGTGGATGAGACAGAGCCAGCTGGTAGCGCGGCCAGAAGCAGGAAGTCCCTTGTTTGCTAGAATGGCTCCTAGCACACAGTAGATTCCTAGCCAGGGGACTTGTTATTAATCTATGCACAAAACTTACATCAAAAAGGTATGAAACAATTGCATGAATGCCCTTATGTGGGTCAAGCATGCACACACTGCAAGGAAAGGTATAGCTTGCTGGATAAGGTATAATATAAGGTATAGCTTGCTGGCCCTGAGGCCCCACCCACAGAACATAGGTCTGAGGTCCAGCACCTCCTGGTTACGTTTTTGTGAGACATGACTTCATCTCTGTAAGCCTCTGATTCCTCATTTGCAAATGGAAGCTAAAAATACTTATTTCATGAGGTTATACAAGGATTGATGAGTTGCGTTACTTATAATAGTGTCATACAGTTCTCACTTTTTCCTTGCCAGCCCTCAGAGATTCCTTCTCCTCGCTGCTCCTCCTCTCCCAGGTAAGTACACATTGCCCCAGAAAATAGAAAGACTCTTCTTCCCTTTAACTGGCTCACAATTAAAGGAACAGAATCCCTCGGTTTCTGCTGCCAGATCACATTTGCTAAACAATCATTTTGCTAACTGGGATTCAGACAATGTAGGAAGAAACACTTGAAAACAGTTTTAATTGGTGTTGAAAATAAAAAAGGGGAGAAAAAAAAAGTCAGAACATTATTAATTTTTGCTGCCGTAATGACCACTGTAGAATTGGCTGGTTATTTCCCCATTAGAACATAATGACATCCATTGTTGGCGGCTCTGTACTTGATTATAAGATAATGACAATAATTCATTGTTTGCCGCTCTTTACCTTGAGACAAGGTAACCATAAGTTTAAAGGAAGATGTACAAGAGGTAAATTATATGTTGCTAAATATGAAACAGCACCTCACTTGTCCTGGTTTATAACAATAAAAACAACAATTTTAGATAGAACATATATTTAGTAGGTTTTCCCCCTAGGAAAGACAGAGACATTGATCATCACATAATTACTACAAAGGAAAATCCTGCTAAATTGTTAGGTTTAGATACGATACAAACCATCTTCTTGAACTATGCAAAGAAAAAGGAGCTTTTTGAACCTTTTGCTTGCTGTTTGAACGAAGCCTTTTCTAATCACAGAGCTGGAAGTCACCCCAAAGCTCATCAGGGTGGGGGTTTTCAAGAACCTTTTAAAAATGCAGCACCTATGTACAAATATGGTTGTTTATGGATAGGCCATATGTGAAACAGATTTGAGCCTCAAACTCAGTGCTTTTCCACCACACCCTCTGCTGTGTCCCCAGTCATTTGGCTCCTGCCAGCTCCTGCCTGCAGAGGCTGCACCCACTTTGCACTAGCCCACAGGGTTACAGCTTGGCCTGCTTGGTCTCTTTTCTCCACCAGCAGTCAAATGAATCTTCTAACCCCCAGATCAGATCCATCACTCCTCTGGAGGACAGTTTGGCAATTTCTTACAAAGCTAGACATGGTCTTACCTTATGATTCAGCCAGCGTGCACCTGAGCTTGTATCCACATAAACTGGAAACAAATGTCCAAGCAAAAACCTGCACACGAATGTTTACTCATCATTGCCAAAAACTGAAAGCAGCTGAGATGTCCCTCAATAGGGGAATGGATGAACAAACTGGAGTTCAGCCATACAGTGGAATATTATTGAGCAATCAAGAGAAATTAGCTATCAAACCATGAAAAGACATGGAAGAAATGTAAATGCACGTTACCAAGTGAAAGAAGCTGAAAAGGCTATATACTGAATGATTCCAACTATCTGACATTCTGGAAAAAGCAAAGTTAGACAGTAAAAACATCAGTGGTTGCCAGAGTTTCAGGGCGAAGGAGGAGGGGTGAGCAAGGGGAGCACAGGATTTTTAGCGCAGTGAAACTATTGTAGATGATGCCATCAGGGTGGATATGTGACACTTATGCGTTTATTTGAACCCGCAGAATGTACAACACAAAGAGTGAACCCCAATATCCCCTAAGGACTTCAATTAATAATAATGTGTGAATATTGGTTCATCGATCTTAGCGTATGAACCACACTAGTGCAAGACGTTTAGTGGAAACTGTGTGAGGGGAGAGGAGTAGGTGAGAACTCTCTGTACTCTCTGCTCAATTGTTCTGTAAACCTAAAACAGCTCTAAAAATAAAGTCTATTATTTAAGAAAAAACCCCCAAACTATAACTGAGCATCGCTGTCGGTTAAAAACCCAAGTCCCTACCGAGGTCTCAAGCCCCTCCACAGCCCGCCTCTGCCATTTCCATGGTTATTTCTTCCACTTCATCCCTCTTGCTTCCACGCCTCATGCTGGCCCTTCCCTCAGCCCCTAGTCTTGCTCTTGACCTGTTCCAATCTCTGTCTGAATGCCACTTGGGCCATCCCACCTAGAGGATGGTACTCCATGCCTCCTGCTATCTTCTCTCACTGGCTTTTGTTTTCTTCTTATATGCTGCCCTTTATTTTTCTCTTTATTTTCTGTCTCTTCCACTACAAGTTCACTGATGCTCCCCCAGCACCTGCCAATGGCTGGCACATAATAGGTGCTCAGTAAGTATTTGTTGAATGAATAAAGGTGGGGCTGCTTCCCCTCATCTCTGTCCCCCAGGAAGCTCCACCCTGCTTGAAATGTCCTGGAGATGCAGTTAAACAACAGATCTATCTGTTGATCTTACACCATGATGTTGGTTAGGGTGTGGGCCCTGCAGGGCCCCGTCGCCTGATGGGGCATCTTATGTGGCACTCTTTAACTAGGGACCCATGGGGGAAACCCCACCACGTTCTCCAGGGCTGTATCTTGAAAATGGTCTTAACACAAGCTTGAAATGTTTTTTTTTTATTCTAGCTTTAAACACACACACCTACACACAGAGAGAAATGTTAAGTTTGCTGATGACGTGTGATATGGTTTGGCTGCGTCCGCACCCAAATCTCATCTTGAATTGTAGTTCCCATAATCCTCACATGTCGTGGGAGAGACCCAGTGGGAGGTAATTGAATCACGGGGTGGTTACCCCCATGCTGCTGTTCTCATGATAGTCAGTGAGTTCTCATGAGATCTGATGGTTTTATAAGAGGCTTTTCACGCTTTACTCAGCACTTCTCCTTCCTGACATCACGTTTGCTTCCCCTTCTGCCATGATTGTAAGTTTCCTGAGGCCTCCTCAGCCATGTGGAACTGTGAGGCAATTAAACCTCTTTCCTTTATAAATTACTCAGTCTCAGGCAGTTCTTTATACAGCAGCATGAGAATGGACTAATATAATGTGACAAGGTTTAAAGTCTCACTAAAGCTCGCATGTGGCTGCTGGATGAAGACCTGCAATCAAGATGCAATCTGTGCAGAGGAAGGCCAAGGTTCTGCTGGCCCAGGGCCAGCCCTGCCGTTGTCTCCTGTGCTGTTGGCTCCAGCAGGAGCTTCTTTCATTGAACGTGCTGAGTGGAAAATTCTCTCCACATCTGGATGACACCATCTTCCCAGGCCACCTCTTGGGGACATTCTGGTTCTACTTTCTCCTTCCCTTTGGCAGAGCCTCGTACTTAAGTGCGTGGTCTTGAGCTGGAGTGTCTGAGTTTGCAACCCAGCTCCACAACTTATTAGGAGTGTGGCCTTGGGCAAGTTACTTATGCCGCTGTGCTGCAGTTTTCTCATCTGTAAAATGGGAGGACGGAAAAGGAAGAGTTCAGATTAAATGATTTTGCACATGTCAAGTGATTAGAAGAGTGCCTGGCAAATTGTAGGTACAAATAAGCACTAGCAATGATGCACACTGGTCGTGTCAGTGGCATTTTGAGACTTCCCATCCCCATTAAGTGTCAGCATGACTCATCTCTTCTCCATACCTGTACATAGATGTCTCAGCCAGTTCTGTCCTGGGCAGCAATCCAATGGCTCTCTCTTCAACATTCCACATTGTATTTGGACTGGAGAAGCTGAGGTTGGAAGTTGTAATGTGGCTGGGTCAAGGTGATAGAGTAAGTTGGTATCACTCAAGGGATAAAAATCTGGAATCTGTAGGAGATGCTGGCATCTACTTTCTCCCTGAAAACGTCACAATGAAACCATAGGGCCACTGCCCAGTCCCACAGGTGCAGCGGTGCTTCCTCACTGTTCTGAGAGTTATTGATCTTTTTGAGACTTAAGGTGGGGTGGACATGAAGACCCACCTCTCAGAGCTCCAGGGCATCACTGACCAAGGGCTCCAGCTGCTATGCTCTGAAATCTGTCAACCGCTATGTTAGTTCTCAGGCCACATGTCCCAGAGGATGCTCTTGGCCAAAGACTGAACACAGCAGGCCCATTCCTGCGAAACCCAGGACTTCCTCACCCAGCAGCTTTGCTTGAAGACTCCTTCAGGGCCTTGCAGTATTTCCTTCAACGGCACTACAGATGCAGACATTTCTGCCCAACCTTCTTTCCTTCCCTTTCTGCTTCACATGGATCAGATCTCTGTCACTGCCAGACGGTTCTACCTGTCTCCCTTCACCCCCTTTGCATACCCGCATCCTAGGCATCTCCTTAAGGAAATCTTTTGCATGTCTATTCCTGTCTGGGCATCTGCATCTCAAAAAACTTGGACTGATATCCGTGTGACATAATCTTTTCCCGGTAAGGTGCACCTGTACACAGGCAATCAGAATTCAGGGACTTTCAGACACCTAAACTGCATCTGCCACAGGTCTTCATTTAAAAATGTCAGTATTTGGCTGGATGCAGTGGCTCACCCCTGTGATCCCAGCACTTTGGGAGGAAAAGGCAGGAGGATCGCATGAAATCAGGAGTTTGATAGCAGCCTGGCAAACAGAGCGAGATCTTGTTTCTCCAAAACACTTAAAACATTAGCCAGGTGTGGTGACGCACACCTGTAGTCACAGCTTCTCAGAAGGATGAGGTAGGAAGATTGCTTGAGCTAGGAGTTGGAGTCTGCAGTGAGCTATGATCACACAACTGAGCTCCACCCTGGGTGACAGAGCAAGACCCTATAAAAAACAAATGAACAAACAAAAACCCCAAAAGCCAAAACTGTAATCATTTAAAGCAATTGAAGCATATAACAGAAGAAATTGTCTACGCAGTTTGAGATCAGTTTGCTTATTCATTCAACAAACATTTACTTGCTGTCTATTTTCTGTCCAGTCTAACGTCAGCACCAAAAGTGCACAGCTACTGCTCTTAAGACGCCCCCAGGCAGGTGGGGGAAACAGGCAGACAAAGAAGTAATACACTACAAGTGATTTTGTTGAAGCGCAGTTGGGCATGAAGAAGAGAGAGGGAAGCCCATGTTGAATCTTGAAGCAGGAGTAGTTTGACAAGAAAAAAGAGGAGTATGTGTTTCTTTGCATGGGGAAAAGCATCTTGTGAGCTCAGGTCGATAAAAGAACATGGCTTGAGGCTGACACGGTTCACCACAGCAGCTAAGAGCACAGGCTCCAGAGCTAAGCTGCCTAGTTCTGGGTCCTAATTCCACTACTTCCTAGTGTGTAGACGTGCATGTGTTTCTAACCTCTCGTGCTAGAGTAGTGCCCTGGGAAAAGGGGCTAGTCATGCCTCATGAGGCTGTTGGGAAGATTGAAATAGTTCATAAGTACAAAGCTACTTAGATCAGTAAATGGCACGCACTCTTAAATATTATCCGCCATTTTGGCCACTGCGTCAAAAGTGTCAGGTAATGAGATTTAAAGGGTGATTGGATTACACTGAGCACTGCGGGCGTTTTCTCTGTAGACAGTGACTCTGCATTTTCTGGACCTTATGCGCTTACTAAGAGTTGGGCAGGCATCATCTTTGAATTTCATACCCAAAGCACAGGAGGCACCAAAATACTCCAAGTCTGTCTCAGGAAAGGGCATAAACATAGAAATGCAGCCTCCCAGAGGAATCTCAAAACCATCTGGTTCTCCCTCCCACCCAAAGCAGGAAACCCCTTCACAGCATCCCAGAAAGAGGGCCCTCCAGCTTCTGCTAACACACTTCCAGAAAGAGGTCCTCACTCCCTCACAAGGCAGCTTGTTCGGGTGCACCCAACTGCTGAAAAGTTTGTCCTGACATTGAGCTGAAGTCTGTCTCCCTGTAGCTTCCACCGCTGTTCCTGGTTTTCCATCTGGAATTCCAGAGAACAAATCAAATCAGCTCCCTCACCCCTGCAAAGAAGAAAGAAAAAAAAAAGATTTGAAACACGTTGGTTGTTCTTGAATATTTTCTTCAGGGTAATTGTGTCCGATTCTCCCACCCACTTTCCCCAGGACCTGGTCTCTAAACCCTGTGACCCCCGGTTGCCTGCCTCTTCAGGGCTGGAGGCCCATTTGAAATTGAACTTTGGGACTTGTCTTGCCTCTGTATTCTAGAGAAAGCCAGTGCCCCAATTTCAAACTGCTGCTGGAGGAGGGGTACTTTTTCTCTTCTCCTGGAGTTTTATCCCAGGTGGCGGGGATTTCACTAGCATAGCACTACTGGCCTCTCTCTGTCCCCTCATTTGCCTTACTTTAAGGGTAAACTGTTTGGGAATTTTGGAACGAATACCCTGGGATGCTTGGCTCAGGTCTCCTTCTATTCATTTATTTAAAAATAAATGGAAAAGTCATAGAAAGCTACCTGTGCCAGAGAATGTGAGTTCTGTGTGTTCCTGAATGTGGTCAGTTTTGTCTTAGGTTCCTCGGGAAACGGTGATTGCAGTAACCCACTCTGGGAGATACGTGCTAGGGAGTCCACCCACTTGCAGATAGAAGCCTCCTTCTCCTCGAGCTGCTGGAGAAGCAAGGTGTCATTGTGACTGATGGTTTCCAAATCACATGGGGGGAAGGAGTGCTCTTTATAATGTTCCCCTTAAGGCCCCCAAACCTGCATGTGATGGTTCAATGGGAACCCTGATATTTCTGCAGTTGGATGGTTTTTTTATACACGTGTTCTCAGACTATGCATAGTCACAGATATACAATTTTCAAAAAATAGTATCTTTAGACTGCATAAAACATTCTGAAAGAGCTACATAATTGTCTTCATTTTAAGTTTCCTTTTCAAACTTACCAGCAGTACTTTCATGAATGTCTAATCTAGACAATCCTTGATGAATTGACCTGAACAGAATCTCCCCATAATCCAATTCAGCATGGCTAGATGGCGACCACTTTAGCCTTATCTCAGCGAGACCCGTGACCTTTAAAATAATCACATTGTCCTCTCTATGCATCTTTAAGTACTTCCCTAATACATGGGGACAGGCCAGCCCTGGGACTGTAGTGCTCCTTCCTTAAAGAGATCTAAAACCTCCTCTACATCTCTCTTGTCCAACTGGCTGGAGCTATGTTTTTTTCCATGCGGTACTTCGTCAGAAAGCACCAAAAGTCAAAAAATTTGCATGCATACCCAAGCTGAAAACTTCAGCTTTTATTTTTCATTTTGAGAGTATGAAGTCTGAGTTCTTGTTCATACTCCATAAACTCAAAAGTCCTTTTCATCAACACCTTTTTTGAAATGATACAAGTTTCACCTACCCCAAAACACCATACAAAATATTTATTTTTTTAACTGCCATTTTGAAAACAGGTAGGTATAGAATATCTTCATTAGTTAAAAAGTACGTTTTTTCTTCCCTGTAGCTTTCCACTTAAAAAAATCTAAGTTTCCAGTTTCCTTTCCCCCAACAATTGTTTAATCGAATATTTTGACTTCTAGTACCAGTTAGAGGAATATATATATTAAGAGAACTATCCTTCTATTAGAAGGAAAAATGGCTTGCCCTTATCTAAATGATTTACACACAGAGGCAAACATTGTAATTCAGGAAACCACTTGCTGTGGTTCAGAGAACCAGAGAACTAACATCCCTTTTTTTTTTTTTTTTTAGTCTCCTTCTGTATTTTGTTTGTTTGTTTGTTTGAGACAGGGTCTTGCTCTGCTACCCAGGCTGGAGTGCAGTAGTGCAATCAGAGCTCACTGCAGCTTTGACCTCCCAGGCTCAAGCTGGCCTCCCATCTTAGCTTCCCAAGTAGCTGAGACTACAGGCGTGTGCCACCAAGCCTGGCTAATGTTTTTCTTTTCTGTAGAGATGGGGTCTCACTATGTTGACAGGGCTGGTCTCCGACTCCTGGGCCCAAGTGGTTCTTTTGCCATGGCATAGCATCTCATAGTGCTGGGATTACAGGCATGAGCCACTGTGCCCGGCCTCTTTGTCTCCTTCTGCTTGGACATCAGGAAGGTTCTCTCTCCCCACTGTCTCATTTGTACCCCACCATCTGTGCAGAGGCCTGGCCACTGCTTCTCTGGAAACTTCTCATGAATTCAGAATCCAACTCCCACTCCTAACGGAAACTCAGCAACCTCCTGGGACCTCCAAGTTCCCAACTTTGCCTTCCTTCTGCCTCTCTCAGCTGAAACTGAAGTGAGTCATTTGGAAAGCAAGTTGAAATTATTATTACTATTAATAATTATTTTAATACATTCACTCTGGGAAACTTTAAATTCTCTACCAACATGCGCATACGGAAGCTTCTCAACATAAGTCCTGACCTGGTCACCAGGCACGGAAGGAGACTTCCCAGTGGTATTTTATAGAAGAGGAAGTTGAGTCAAAGTGAGAATGAAATGACCTCTCAGCAGCTGGTAAATTTCATATTTGAGTTTCAAAACCAGATTCTCTAAGTCCAGCATTTCTCTTTTTATACCACACTCTCCACATCATCTCTAAAATGGGTGTAATTAGACCTATCTCATGCGATGAGAATAAAGAGTAAATGAAATGAGAGATGCAAAAAGCCCATCTTACTTGCAGTAAGTTGCTATAAATATAAGGCATGTTATCATGAATGCTTGAAAAGCTTAAAGCCTAGATTTTCTACTTCCAAGGTCCATGTCATCTGCCAAATGTCCCTTCTGAAGTTCAGTTACCTTATCTATCATTAATTAGTATTTATGTGTACCTGTAGGGTTGATATTTATTATAAAGTCTGTATTGGAGTCACTGGCATATAGTAGATGCTCATTAAAAGTCAGTTTCATTGTTTATGGGAACTCAATGATAACAGGGACTGATGTGAGCTTGAATCAGGAAGTCTTTATGAGTAGCGTTTTTTTAATACCTTCTCATTTAAAAAGAAATCTAAAACCTCCAAAAACAAAAGCAAAACACCAACAATGATTTTCATAATGTTCTAAAGCAGCAGCCCCCAACCTTTTTGGCACCAGGAGCCGGTTTTGTGGAAGACAATTTTTCCATGAACCAGGGGAGGTGGGGGAGGACTTAAGGATGATTCAAGCTCATTACATTTGTTGTGCACTTTATTTCTATTATTATTACATTGTAAAAATATAATGAAATAATTATATAACTCACCATTATGTAGAATCACTGAGAGACGTGAGCTTGTTTTCCTGCAAGTAGATGGTTCCATCTGGGGGTGATAAGAGACAGTGACAGATCGTCAGGCATTAGATTCTCATAAGGAGTGCACAACCTAGACCCCTCACATGTGCAGTTCACAGTGGAGTTTGTGCTTCTATGAGAATGTAATGCCACTGCTGATCTGACAGGAGGCGGAGCTCAGGTGGTAATGAGAGTGATGGGGACCAACTGCTGTGCAGCTCAGTCCCTAATAGGCCACCAGTACCAGTAGGTGGCCTGGAGGTTGGGGACCACTGTTCTGAAGTTCCCTGACTCAAATTAGTTAGTCCAGATGGGGTATTCTTTCACCCTGCAACCCATTATTTGAGTATGTAACTGTTCACCATTCATTCAACATAACTCCTTCCAGTGGCTACTCTGGGGAGTTTTGGCCCTGGAATTGGAATATGGAAATGCACGAGACACAGGTCCTGCCTTTAGATAGCAAAGGGTCGTAGGAGAGATGGCAGGGGATGAGTCATAGTAATAAGCGTGATAAGTAACATCAATTAACATTACTTATTCACTTATTTCATTGATAGTAATATTAATATCTGTGTAGAGGGGGCAGGGGAAGGAGCAAGCAACTGACAAAGAGCTGTAAGGAAAAAAAAAAAAAATCAGTCACTGGAGTGTACACTCCTGAGGAATACACTGCAGCTCTTCCGGATAAGTCAGAAGATCATTCCCGGCAGGAGGGGGCAGCCCCGGAAAAGGGAAAGGGACATTAAGTTCAAGGAATCATATAGGTTGGTACAAACGTCATTGCGGTTTTTGCCATTACTTTCAATGGCAAAAATGGTAATTATGTTTGCACCAACCTAATACGGCTGCCCATGGCAATGGTCAGCGTGTGATGGAGAGAGCGATATTCTACCGGGGCAGTTGCTGGCAGGGAGCTCTGATGAGGCAGGTGGGCCGTGATGGAAGGATACGGTGTATACCAGCACGTTAATTTTCAGAGAAGAGCGTCGTTAGTGCTTTCCTCTCTGCAAGCCCCCTGCCCTGCCTGTATCTGCAAGGCCTATTGGTTCTCCACGGAGCCGGACTCTGACTCGCTCCAGCACAAAATGCCTAAGCCCTCGGAGGTGCTCCGTATTGTGAGGGCCACCAGGCCCCGCCAGGCGGTGGGGGTGAGCCGTGAAAGGAGGAGAGGGCCCAGCCTCTCAAAACCTGTTTAAGACAACATGAAAAACCACTCACGTACTTTCAAATAGGTGAAATTTCACTTTCAGCTTTATTTACCTGAGAATGAATTTCAGTCTGAAGAGGCCTTTATGTCGTTGGAGCCGAAGCACCCGAGATATAAGCAATTTTCAACGAGAGTACTACACATTTGTCTTTATAACAATTTGTGTGTAACAGCTTTTATGCAAATGACACTAAAGTGGCACCTTTTTTTCTAAATTGGACATTTTTATGGTTATAATTTTCTTCTGTAATAACAGCAAAAAAAAAATGGCTGTCCCAGTGGAGTTGAACATTTCATCTTTGAGCACTGTCTTGTGAAGTTGGAATGACAAGTTTCTTTCATTTGCGCCAAGAATGTCAAAAAAGTGTTCTTTGTCTTCCTTGTCTTAGTTTTCAGGGGTGGTTAAACTTCAGGTGTCATCGTCCCCCATCAGCAACCCTGAGTAATCAGAATGGTCTCAGAAAATCCCCACACAGCTTCCAGGCCCCCCAAAAACTGCCTGCTCTTTCTCCTTCCAAGCCGAGCAGCATAAATTAACTTGGTTAGATTTCAGTTTCAACACGTTGTTGGGTCTTTTACATTCATGCCCACTTTTCCCTAAGTCAGACAGGTGACTTTTATAGACAATGAGGTTTAATTGACTCCAGTACAATGGAATTTATATACAGTATTCCAGGCAACCATCCCGAGATACTCATAGAATAATTCACGTTATTGTTGCTTAATCGACCGAACATTTTTGCAGAAACAACAGGAGACGGTGTGTGTTTCAAACAATGACTTAAATATATCCAAGGACTCGGTGAAACAATATCTATAATTTGTGGCAGTGGAGGCCTTTGGGATGGACGAAACTAGAAGGTCTCAGCAAGCGCACATGGGAGGAGTAGAGAGAGGTGCCGGGAAGAACTGGAAAGAACAAAGGCCTGTGCCCGGCTTGACCTTGGAGGTGTTTCTCCCTCTTTCTACGCTCTGATTCCCGAACGGTTCCCCTTCACCTTCATTCTAAAGTCAATAGTTAAAAGGGGTTGTTTTAATACATTCAGAGAAACTTGCTGTAGTATTAACTCCTGATTTTTTTTGAATTTGGAGATAACAAGAGAAGAAGAAATTGGGAGGCAAGAGACCAAAAACTGTGTCTATTGTGTGGTGACAAATTGATGTGCATCATGGAGGAAAGAGACTCCAGGACATGTAGACTTGAACTCAAACATTGAGAACTTGCTAGGTATTTGACACGGAGGAAGTAACCCACCCTTTCTAAACTTTTGCCTACCCGTGTCTTAGTCCTTTTGGGCTGCTGTAAGAAGATACCTTAGACTAAGACATTTATACACAGCAGTCATTTATCGATCTCAGTGCTGAAGGCCAGGGAGTCCAAGGTCAAAGCACTGGCAGACTGGGTGTCTGGTGAGGACCTGTTTCTCATAGAGGGTGCCTTCTGTGTGTCCTCACATGGTGGAAGAGACAAGGAAGCTCCATCAAGCCTCTTTTATGAGCATGGATCCCGTTAATGAAGATAGGCTTCATGACTTAATCACCTCCTAAAGGCCCCACCTTTTAGTACTATCACATTGGGGATTAAATTTCAACATATGAATTTTGGGGTGACACAAACATTGGGTCCAAAGCAACCCACCTGAAAAATGAGACCAGTGATATCTGTCACACGAGGTTCTCATGAAACTCAAAGGAGATCATAAGTATGAAACATGCTAACATCTATAAATGGATGCTTATGTTTTTATCATTATGATGAAGACTTATTTTCTTTTCTTAATTGAACTGACATTATAAAGTCACCCAGAAGCTACCTGCTATGTTGTTAATACCACCCAACCCAAAGGGTTGTAGTTCGTAGCTTGAAAATGGACACCCCTGAGGAGCCACCAATCATACATCATGCAATGCGTGCTCCTTGGCTTCTTTCCTGAGTCGTGGCCTTTCCTTTGCCCAGCAACACATATGCTGCTCAGCCATGCTCAGTCCTAGGCAGGCACTGGAGATTCAGAGAAAGGCAGGACATGGTCCCTGCCCCCACAGTTAGTTCCAGCTAACTCTAAGTACAGGGTTTTGATTGGATGTATACTGAAGCCGTGTTTCCTCCCTTCATCTCCCCTGGAGGGAGGGTTGTGTCCTGGCTGGTGGAATATTGGGTGATTTTTACTTTTAATTTTAACCCTTTTATTTAACCCTTTGTGAAATATATGAACTTTTTTGAACAAAAATGTGTTATATATAAGATGAAAAAACTGCTTTCACTGTGAAATGAAAAAAAGACTTATAACAAAAATAGTTTGAAAGGGAAGTTGGCCGTCTTTGATATACAGGTTTTGAATTAGAGAGGCTTTAAATGATAAATGGAATGTGTAATTTGTTTTAGTAGAAAAGTTTATCTATCTGTCTACCAATAGACAGATCAGATAGGTAGGTAGGTAGATAGATTAGATAAGTGATAGAAGATAGATACATAGATAGATAGATAGATAGATAGATAGATAGATAGATAGATCTGGAAGCTAGATTTGCACATATGTGGGTACACTGTGTACATGCACAGCTGTGCGTATACACACACATGCCCACACCTATCAATATAGAGGCATTTGTGAAACAGCACATCTTCAGCTGAGGCCACTTGGTGGGATTCCTGTGCTTTGATTTCTTCCTCCTGGCCATCTCTTCTACCCCTGGATGGGATGTCTTGGTGTTCTCACTCTGGCCCTCCTTCATCCAACTGCCCTTGATCCTCCACATTGAAGAGCAAATGACAGGACTAGGCAGGCCTGGCTCAGGACCCCAGACTTTAACCACCAGGCCTCTGATTTCAGCATGCAAGTCCTCCCAGGCCGTACAGAGGAAGGGGAGAGCGGTCTCTGGGGTTCCTCTCTCCACATACCACTTGTTGATTAGTTCACTTGTTTATCCTTCATGCACTTTAGTCTCCTTATCAGCAAAATACGAAGAATGAAGACAATCTCAAAGACTGTTAGGGGAATGAGAGCCCTTGATATAGGTTGGTCACTTTATAAACATCACTTCCTTTTTCTCTGATTTGATGGCTGGGAAGAAGGACAGTGACTTTTAAACTCCCTATAAGCTCATTAATAGGAATTAAGTTTGTTTCAATTTTCTATTTTCAGAGAGTAATCTTAGAGACATTATAGTTACTATCCTTCACCCACGGGACAGATGAAAAAACGAAGTATCAAAGTAGGTGGTGCGTAAAAGTGCTGGTGACAGAGACCAGTCTATAGTCCAGCCAGCAGAAGATGTCTATTGGGGAAATCTATTCCAGGGTTTTATCCCACGTATCACAGTGTGCTGGCAGCACAGTTTCACCTTGCATCTTGCAAGCAGAAATGCTTAGGGGCCAGTGTGCATACATCAGCATATATCTATATATCCTTACAGAAACCAAATATTGAAGCATGTCACCATTCTAGGATTGCTGCAGAAGACAAAGCAATTTGCATGGATCCTTTGTGAGCTTTCTTTTGCAGTGGTAGAAACTCATTAAAATCTCATGAAATCCTTCTACACAAAATGTGAAGAAATGCCGAATGGCCGCCCTAAAAGTTAATATGTGTGTGTTCAAGGTGAGGGGTTGCGGGCGGGAGGGACACATGTATTTGAAGCAGCTCATCATTGGATACAGCTGCCTAGAACAGGAGCATTCCTTAGCATATTTTAATTACTGTCTGGCTGCCCCTGTAAATAAATGAGCCAGTGGCTGGAGCTTGGAGGAGGCTGGGGACGGAAGCAGAGGTGTGGAGTCCCAGTGGTGCCTCTACTTGCAGCAGGGCTGAACTTGGGCATGATTTTTGCAGTGAGAAGAAAGCCTGCTGGCCTACCTGGGATTAATGAGTACCCAGGGAATGTGGGATGACTCTAGGCTGGAGCTGGGGTCATTAAATTCCGCTGGTCATTAATCCCCTGGAAATGCCCAGGGCTGAGGTCATTATTCTTGGGAGATAAAAAATTCAGGACCAAACAGCACAAGAACATGAATATCGTGCATGTCTCAGATTGGTGGTGTGTTTTTCAATTTGTTGGCAGAGTCCCATTCCAGGAAAACAAATCTCTGTTCCATATATCCATTGTGCATGCATTGATCATTTCAGCTTTAATTTTGAATCCAACCAGCATTTTTGGTGTGTCCCTACTGTGTGTCAGGAGCTGTTATAAGCTTAATTTCCTTTAGCCCCCAGGAGGTAAAGGTCATACCCTTCAGTTTAATTATGAGGAAATTGAAAGTCGGACAGTGTAAATGATTTAAGTCACACAACTATTCTTCAGTCTCTGGGCTTGGTGCTTTTTTCCTGCATTGAAGCCGCTTGCCCAGTGGTGCAAATTGTTAAGTGGTATATCAGACGGCAAACATCTTTTTTTTTTTTTTAATCTCTTCAGCTAGTTGTCCTTTTTCTACAAGACAAAAAAGACGCTCAATTCCACTTTAAAATTGCTGCAGTGGCTGGGCACAGTGGCTCGTGCCTGTAATCCCAGCACTTTGGGAGGCCGAGGCAGGCGGATCACTTGACGTCAGGAGTTTGAGACCAGCCTGGCCAACATGGTGAAACCCTGTCCCTACCAACAATACAAAAATTAGCTGGGCGTGGTGGCATGTGCCTGTAATCCCAGCTACTAGGGAGGCTGAGGCAGGATAATTCCTTGAACTCAGGAGGCGGAGGTTGCAGTGAGCTGAGATGGCGCCGTTGTAAACCAAACTGGGAGAAACAACAATATTCTGTCTCAAAAAAAAAAAAAAAATTGCTGCAATCTCTGATGCTGTTGTAAGAACAGCCTGTGTGGCACGTGCCATCTTCTTGCAGAGTGGATTAAGCTTCTAAAAAGTGTTCTACATTGTTCTGAGCTAACTAGTAAATTAGACTGTATGATTACAATGCCTAAAACCATCTTGGGCCAACAGCAAATGCACTCTGCAGACAACCTTACTTCTTTGTCCTTTAGTTTCTTTATTTGTAAAATGGAGCCAATAATTGTGGCACCTTATGAGATTGTTGTGAGGATAGATGAGCTAGTGTTTGTAAAGTGCTGAGAACAGCATCCAAGGCAGAGTAGGACATACAGACGTAGTTGTAAAAGAAAACAAAGTAAAATAAAATGAAGTAAAACAAAATAAGTAAAAACAGATAAGATAAAATAAAGTGATATAAAATAAAATGCATTATTAAGGCTGGAAATAGGCACTACTATAAGGAGTGTATGTTCTTTCAACTACTTTAGTGTGTTTGAATGCATAAACTATTTTTAGATATTTATTGGTCTTCAATACAACTTTGAAATGGCTTCCAACTTCTACAGTTTTATTCATACCTCCTTGCTGCCTGCCACTAGTGCATATGCAGATACCAGCAGAGCAGGGCTTGTTTGTTGCAAGTCTTTGAGACATTTTGCAGGAACCTTATGCGTTCTTTTACATGCAAAGAGAAAAGAGCACCAACGCTTTGAATCCCAACTACGTGCTTAGAACTTTATATAAAAACAAGTCTGCAAGTGAGGGTGTTTTATCCTTATTCTGTAAGGCTTCAAGGTCTTGGAGGGTTAATAAAAAGTAGCTCCAGTCACCCAGCTGGAAGGGGTGGACTGGGATTTGAACCCAGTGAGGCAACTTCAAAAGCTTTGGCTTCTCTTGCGCCAACAGACAAACATTTGTATAACTGTTTAATGCATCGGTTTTATCACCACTGTAATTTCTAGTAATATACTTCTTCTTACCTTTATTTATTGAAAAGCATTTTTTAATAGCAGTGGCAAGCAAAAGAACAAGAATTAACAACTGAGCTACAGTCTCTTCTAAAAATCAAACTGTTGTCTTTTTTGGTCTATGGTCCTTCCCAGAGCCTTCGTATACACATGCAGCACTTTTACATAGTAGTAATCATAGGAAAGACACATGTTTAATTCAGCTTTTTTGACTTAATATTAAACCAAGGTAGGTAATTTGAAGGACTTCATACATTCTGAAGCCTTTGCTCTAATGTGTTTGTTAAAAAAAGATCAAAACCCCTAGTTACGTTGCTGGTATGGTCATAACTGAATACTGTTCAGCTTCCAATAATTACCAATTAGAGCAGTGTACATAATATTTAAAATTGCATCAGAAGAAGGAATAAGTCTTCCAGGAGCAATGATAAGCCTTTCCATGATAATAGGACACTGCACATGTCTGTTATGAAACCACAGACTTCTAGACACTTCAGAGGGTCTTTGGTTTGGTTTTTCAACATAGTCAATGATCAATGACCGATGCATTTATATTACTGGGAGAATTCTTTTTATTCATTATGTGAACTAAATTTCTGTAGGCCCAGAAGTCTCACCATAAAATTTACTGACATGGGATATTTAACATTCGTATCTTTGTCTCAAATGCAAAGTGACACCATTCATTCATTCAGTATGTGTTTATTGATCACCTGTTTTCAAGGTGCCAGGTTAGGACATTGATTTGCAAACTATGAAGTGCATGTGAGCTCCCAGGGATAAGAAGATACAGATTCTGATTTGGTAGGGTGGGGATTACAATATGCAACATTCTTATCAAACTCCAGGGCCCAGGCAGATATTGCTGGTTAGTGGACCACGCCCATGCGGTGCTAGAGGATACTGGTGGCAATGAACCCATCAATCCAGCCCGGGGGGCGGCAAAGAAGCAAGTAGGCAAGGGCCAAATGAGGTTACTTCAAAAAGTGACAAATGCTGTGAAAACATAGAGAGAACCTGGCTATGGGGATGCTGGACCTGTAGGATGCTCAGGGAAAGCCTCTGTCTTGGAAGAGGTGACAGTGAAGCTGAGAGCTGTCAAATGAGAAGGGTGCAAACATGGGAAACTCAGGAAGATGAGCATTCCAAGCAGAAGGAAGAGAGGTGCAAAGACCCCGAGGAAGAAACGAATGGGTTGTGTTTAAGGAACAAAGAAATTTAGTGGGGAGAGAGTAAGTGAGGAAGAGAAGAGTGTGAAATAAGATCAGAGACATAGGGGAGGACCAGGGTGTGTCAGGCCCTCTAGACCACAGTGAGGAGTTTGGATTTTAGTCCATCCACACTGGGAAATCATGCCCTGGCTTTAGTAGGGCAATAATGTACTTGGAGGGATTTTTTTTTTTTCAAGGAGCTCTTTAGATAGGGTATGGAGGGCAGGTTCTAAAGAGGTGGGATGGGAAGCTATACACCAAGTAGACATCTGATGCCAGAGCCTATAAGACAGATGATGGGGTTTGGACAGGTTTGGTAGCAGCAGAGATGGAGACCCACAGATGGATGGGGCATATACCCTGGCAGCTTTTCTTTCTTCTATCAACCGACTGACTTGGGTGCTGCTAATGTGTCAGCCCTGTGCCAGTGTTGTCTGCTGATAACCACCTAGCTCTGGGAAGACCCACTCTATCCAGGGAGGGAGACAAGTGAGAGACTCGCCATTAGAACACCAGGACCAAGGGCTTCCCACGTACAGTGCTCACAATGAGAGCAGGTGATGATGTCTGTCCTGTGTTAGGCACTGTGCAATCCATTTCCCTTGAAGTACTTGCTATTATCTCACTTTACAGATGAGTAAAAATTGGGAGTCGGGAAGGCTGAGTACTTTGTCCAAGGCTAGTGAGAGGGTAACCTGGGGCCAGTGTTGCTACCTGTGGCTGTCTGACTCGAAAGCCTTTCCTGTTTCTTGGAACCCCACGCATCTTTCCTGGAAAGCCTCATTTTTCTACAGTCCCACAGAAAGACCCTTACACTAGTGACCACCAAATGTGGGTCTCTGCCTTAGGTCGCTACCCATCTGTTACGAGGCATATGCATGAAACTCTGCTTTCAAACTTCATTTCGTTGAGCCTGTCATGCCAGACAAAAATTGTGTGACCTAGCTTATAGTAGCTTTTGCCATGAAGGTATCATTTACTGGTGAGTATATTTTACTGCACCATTATAGATCTCTTCACTCAAGCAGCTGTCTAATATGTTGAATAGTCTTTCATCTTGTCAAACACTTCCATGCGCCTTTCTACAGCCTTCTCAGCCAACATGTACACACCTAATCAATCTAACGCCACTGTCTCCAGACTTTCAAACCCAAAAGCACTGCCCCAACCACTTTCTTAAAGAGACAATCCCTTTTCATTGAAATCTTTTTATCACATTCACAGAAGGGCTTCTTATTAGTGGATGCTTTCAGAGTGGTATAAAGGAAGAGGAAACTGGGATTTTTTTTATTGGTACATAATATGTGTACATATTTATGGGGTAAATGTGGTATTTCGTTACATGCATAGAATGTGTGATGATCAAATCAGGGTATTTACGGTATCCATCACTTGGAGTGTTTATCATTTATGTGCAATGGGAACATTTTAAGTCCTGTCTTCTAGCTATTTTGAAATATACAATACATTATCATTGACTATAGTTACCCTACACTGTTATCAAATATTAGAACATATTCCTTCTATCTAACTGTATGTTTGTACCCATTAACCAACCTCTTCATCTCCCCCACTGCCCCACCCATGTACCCTTCCCAGGCTCTAGTATCTATCATTTGGCTTGCCTGCATTTCTACTAGATCAGTTATGGAAATCTCTTGCTACAACAGGAAGACACATGGGCTGTTTCTCCTGCCGTCTTGCGGGCCTACACATATACACATTGATAAAGGAGGTTTTATCAGTGGGGTCTCATGTATTCATTATCTCCCACATGAAGCCTAAGGCTTGCAGAAGTGGCACACGATGTCTTCCATCTTCGAACATCAGAAAGCACCTAACCTCTCAGTCTCATCCAGCACCTTCCATCTCCCCCATCACCTCACTCTGTGCACTCCTGCAATATTAGTGGGCATTATTTTATGCCTTCCTGTTTTGGCTGTCTTCCCATGGCCTATAACACCTGCCTCCCCTGATCTTTCTGATGAGCTCCCTGACCAGCCTCCAAACTCTGTGGAGACATTATCCTCCCTAGAAAGTCCTTTTTGCATCTCCCAGGGTGCATGGCTTTGTCCTCAACATCTCAGGGGGCCTTGCCTGCTCTTCCATTATACATATTTATGAAATGATGGTATATATCTTATCTGTCCCTGAAAGGCAAATTGCAAAAACAGCTCCCATTCTCACCCCTGCCTGCGCCCACACCCTTTGCTACATAACTTTGAAACACCTTTCCACTCTAACTTAGACTCGGCAATGTCATCCTTGGCCAATAAGATGTTAGCAGATGTGATGCAAGCAGAAGTTTGCAAAGCCCTGATGCTACTGGGCTTGCCCTGTCTCTTGCATCTCTGCTCTTGCCATGAGAGCATGTCCAGGCCAGCTCCCTGAAAAATGAGACTAGAGCCCACTCATCCCATTTCCACCCCCCCCCAACAACTTTGTGGACTTTTAGACACTTGATAAGGCCAGGTGAGATGAGCAGAGCTAACAAGCCAGCCCCCCAAGGTCCAGTAACAATCATTTTCTTCCTGTTTTATATAACTGAGCTATTATTGTTTATTAAACAGCATTATTATGGCTGTAGGTGACCAATACACTCCCCTATAAACCTACATTCTCCTAAAGAACGGACATTGAATTTAAGTCATATTTGTGTCCTCAGGTCCCAACACTTAGTTAGGAACTCAATCAATGTTTGTTGAATTAAAAGCAAAATGATTTTCAAATTCTATATACATGATAGCAGCTCTATAATACTTAATCTGGAGCTTTTGTTATGACGTGGGAAACTCAACATCATTTTTCTCTTTGGACTCCAAGTTACAGAATTTCCACTGATAGATTGAGCCTTCGTTTGTGTGAGGATAGAGGGGAACCCCACTTTAGAACAATATTACCAATCTCCTCGCAGAACTATCCTATAAACCAAGTCTGTGTACAAAACGTTAATTAAAACCTCTTATTTTTAGTGTAAATATTTTACTCATATTACTTAGGAGAATTGTGTGCAACGAACCACGTGGAGGACAGAGATCACTCATGAGTTAATAGTCACCCCTAAACCAGTTAATCGAAACAGATTGTGAAAAAGTCCATAGATAAAAATGATTGCTATTAAAAAAAAATCAAAACAAAGCAAACACACACACACATACACACACACACGCACACACAAAACATTCTCTTGCTAGCCTTGCAATTTAGTGATAGACTGTGGATTTCTCAATTGAACTTTTGTGTCTCGGTATGATATTTTCTGTTTAAATTTCAGATTTGCTGCAAATACATCCACACAAAGGAGGCACTGAACACATAGGTAGATGTGTGCTCTGTTTTAGACTTTCTCCTTAAAAAAATTATATATGTATATATATAGAGAGAGACACACACACATACACACATATACACACATTTGTATTTGAATTAGTCAGGATGGAAGGAGGTAAGTCACTTCAACCTTTAAGCCCCTTTGACATTCACAAGGTGCTAAAAGTCAGCTGGGGTCTCAGCTCTGACGAATTTGCATCTCTTTGAATATGACGCTTGAAAAACCCCAGCGATAGATTAAATTTTGCCAAGGAGAAAATGAGAGAGAGGCTTCCATCTCTCAGGTCTGCTGGGAGGATCTTTATGGTTGATTTACTTTTTTAAAATAAATGTTTCTTTATGTGTTTCCCTCAGTTCCTGCCCAGGCTGACTCTATCATACAAGCTGTAACTTCTGCCAGTCCTATCAGCCAGCAAACAGTAAGTCAACCTGGCTCTGAATACGAGGTGAAGGGATATTTCAATCTAAGCTGCATATACCTTCTGTGTTTTCTGATTAAAATTTGCAAGCAAACCTTGGAATAAACTCTACCTGACACGACTTCTAAAATAATTTACGCTTTTTGCAAACCTCGAATGTAGGGATTGATTTTAGTTCCTGTCACTATATTTCAGATCATCAAAAATGGATCAGGGCTTTTAAGTGAATTTAATGACCAAAGATGTTTCCTTTAAAAAAAGAAATCACTGAGGTTAGAAGACAAAATTCCTTATCTAAAGCCACAGAAAAGTGTTCTTTTTTTTTCTTTTAAAAGTGGCCCATATTGATCATCAAAAATTTGAAAAATTCAGAAATAAAAAGAAGAAAAAATCACTCTTAAACAAATCAGAGATTCATTCTTATGCTTATTTTAACACATAAGCATATTTTTTCCAGTCTTATCTGTGTCTTTGTGTTTTTTGATACAGGTAAGCATAGAAAGCAAATACAACTTTGTTTCCTGATCTTTTCATCTCTTGCAATAACGATGGTGATAATTAATTAGAATGAAGACGGTAACATCCAAGCACAATTGATGAGGAAATTTTTAAGCTCTATGCACAAATTGCCTTGCTTTGTCATCAAAACAACCCTACAGGATGGGTTTTTATTATTTTCCTTATTTTTAAGTGTTAAGCAATTTGTCCAAGGTCACATAATCAGAATGTTGGAAAACAGTGACTCAGATCAAGGCAATCTTATCCCTAAAAGCTATGCTCTAAATCACTATGCTATGCTATAACATATGCTTTTTAAACATTATCATAAAGTCACTTTATATGTTTATATGTGATTTTTAGTGATTGTATAGTATACCAGGAGGCTCCATTTACCATGTATCTATATTTCATTCTATGCAAATATGCCTTAGGGAGGTGTGTAAGGTGGAAACCCTGTACTATAACATTATATAAATGACCTAATATCTTTTAAAGTCATTTCTTTATTTCTGGACATCAAGTGTTATTGTTTATTTGTTCTTCCAATCACACTTTTGGTAGAGTTAAAAGAGCACTAAATATCTCATCAGATAGACCTGGGTTTGGATCCCAACTCTGCAACTTACTACTGGTGTTTTCTTAGAGAAGCACCTTAATCTGTCTATATCTCAGGAAAGATAGGGTGTTGCAAAAATTAAATAAGATGTCATGGGTGTTAACTGTTTAGCACAGTTGCTGACACATGGGGAGCGGCTAATATCTAGTAATCCTTTTCATTATTAATCATTATTTATGACAGCTCTAATGTTTTTAGCAATATTGTCAATTATGTGACCATAAATTATCTGATTCAATCTTCACATCAATGCAATAAAATAAGCATTATTTATTGTCCTTGATAGATAGAACAATGAGGCTCCCACACGTCCAGCGATTTTCCCAGGTGAGGTCTGCCTCGGTTCCGGGGAATCTGATTTCGGAGGCTACAGTCTGAGGTTCTTTGCTGGGAACTGAGGTCCCATCCCAAGTGCCTTAATGACTGCCAAGGAGTTTAAGGGTAAAAGGGAGAACTAAAGAAACTTTAAGTAGGGAGTGGGTGAGATTGTCTGTCCAAGATCTGTCTGCTGTAGCTTATGACTTGAAGAAAGAGTAAGAATGAGAACTAATTATAGGGCTCTTATTGGAATTTAGGTAAGAGATGAAGTAAATATGAAAGAATGACAATGAAGTTGGAAAGAAGTGAATGGTTCCAAGAATTATGTTGGAGATAGAACTTGGAGGATTTAATGCCATGAAGGAGACAGGGAAGAAGGGACAATAACGTCCAGGTCTTTGTTTAAGGGATGGTGGGTAAAACCAATAGATTCATCACACAGAAAAAAGAATGGTCAGAGGAAGATGGCCAGTTAAATTTTGGATAAATTGACATTAGGTTCTTAATAGATACCCAGATGAAACTGACCAGGTTGCAGTTGAATGTAGATGTATGAAGCCCAAAAACAGAAAGCAAATTAGTGATCTGGATTTGTGTGCTTCTATTGACAGTGGTTGGGGATGTGGAACTACATAGGTGTGTCTAGGGAGAATGTGAAAAGAAGGGAACTGAGAATAGAATATAAGGAAAAAGGTCAGTTAAAGGATGAGCAGAGGCTATGCTGTACATTAGTCAGGATGGGTTAGGCTGTGCTGAGGTAACAAACAAAGCACAATATCTGAGTGGACTGGCACAATAGACTCTTATTTCTTCCTGTGCAAAATGTAATGATGATTGGTGGGGGCTCTTCTCCGTCTCTCTCCATCTTGGGATGCAATCCTCTTAATAATTGGCTTCCAGAGCCCCAAGAGAGGGAAAGAGCATATACACAGACTCTTAACTGCTTTATTTCAAAGAGATACATATCACTTGTGCTGATGTTCCATTAGCTGCAGTAAGTGCAGGCCATGCCCTGACCATAAAGGAGAGGCTGGGAAGGATTGTGGGTGCAGGAAGAAGACATGACACGATAATTGAACACATAGCATCGTCTTCATCTCCAACTCAGGTGGATTCCCAAATTCAGTATGAATTGTAAGCCTCTATTCAAGCACAAGAAGTAAGTGTTGATGTCATAGCTCAGGTTGGTATGCCTTGAGGTGTGACGGGTGCTGTGCATTTCTGCTCTTGTGGGGAGAGATGAGCAAGATACCAGACAGGACAGAAGCTGGTAGAACTGTCCTAGCTCTAGAGGCTTTGCACACAGGTCCAACATAGTCTACAGGAGTGTTGGAAACTTTTTCCAGGGAAAGTCGTCAGTAGAGCCCAGCAGTCTAGGCCACAATTAAGCTCAAAATAAGAATTGTAATTCTTACCAATTGATCCTGATGTAGCAAAACTCTAGAGCAAGCCAAACAGTTCCAGGATCACTAAGGAATCAGAGAGCAGGACATGGAGATGAAGCCTGGAGCTCATTTGTCCTGAAAGGCGGAATCTTACTTCAGTAAGTATCCACTGATAATTCCAACCAACTCAGACTGGGGACTTGTGCAGTGCAGGCTTTGAACATCAGTCACAGGGGCCCAAGGGGTGATATTTGTCCTGCTTTCATCAGGACTGGATTGAGTTTTGAGCAAGGAAGAACTTTGAGGCTGAAGGAGACTCCAAGTGAGAGGGCGTGGGAAAGTTTCCACGGGCACATTCTTGATCTTCCTGCATCTCAGCTTTGGTTCCTTCTGGTCTCTGTTGCTGACGATTTATGTCCTAATCCTTTAGGCACTTATTCCCCACCCTCTCTGGGTGCTGGTTTCCTGATTCCCGAGTGGGTAGAAAACAGTCATGTAGGTGATCTGTGAGGTCCCTGACCCTTTTAAATCTACTAATCTATAATTAATTGAAATATTGTAAAATGCAGCCCACATTAATGTATGCTGTTAGGCAAGCTGTTATTTTCATTAATCATAGACAGCTCTTCCCCACACTCCCAGTTAATGGGCACCGACTGCAGGTTTCAAAATTCATTTACAGGGGGCACTTGGAAGGGGGATGCTGTGTCCAAATAAAACTTCTCTTGAAGTTTAATTGCAATTCACTGCCGAGTGAGGCAGAGCCGTTTCCAAGTAAGAGCAATTCTCTAATGCATGCCGAGTTTTAAAATAAAAGTTAATACTGCTCATAACCGTGGCTGATGATACTAGGAAAACACAATTGCTTGAAGCATTTGAAGGTAAAGTATTTATTCTCCTTGCTCCAGCAGAGAAACACCTCATCGGAGCATTTGCAGATTCTGTTTCTCCTGCCTGCAGAAAGGGTGGGTGTGGCCAAGTTCATCTCCAGCTTCGGAAAGGCTTGGTGCCAGAAGCCCTCACTTTGCCCTTCTCAAGTGGGCTGTAAGGGTAACATATTTATGATAAACAAATATTCTTAATTCCCTTTTCCCCGCATTTCTCCCATCACTCCCATTCACCCAATTCCAGGCCACTCTGTTTTTAGGAAGACCATGTTGCACCCTGGACCTCACTCTCTTGCACTTTGCGTTAGCCGGTTATGCCTGAGCAAACTCTCCTGGAGGAAGCTGGAAGCCAGGTTCTAGCAGAGGCTTGTACAGAAGAGGAAAGTCCTTAGAAGAAAGAGAGAAGAACAAAAGACAAATTCCTTAAAGAAAGAGAGAAGAACTAAAGGATACAAGGGCAATCGGAACTGGTAACCTAAGGAAGTGCATAGTGAGGCAGGAATGGGCACAGCACTTCAGAACTTGCAAGGTCCTTCCCACCCTCCACTCCCAGCCAGCTCCTCCCCACCCCATGTGGCCTGAAGGGCTGGGATGAGGAAGGAAGATACAAGACTGCGGGAGTTACATGACTTGCTGTAAGCCACCCATTTACTCCTTGAAAGGTCTGAGCTTGCAATTCAAGGTCTTCACTGTACAGGCAGCCAATCCCCATTGCACTCATATTCCCATCATTCCTCCCTCCACTCCCCTGCTCGGAGGCTTCCTCCCTCAGTGGCTTGTGCAGCGCCTGCCTTGGCTACCACCCTATGGCATTGCTCACATCTCCTCTGCTCTCTTCCTAGTAATGTAACTAGCTGTCTGTTTCTATTTGCTGGGAACTCTGAGGGGTGTAACAATCTTTAATCATCAGAACAACTTTACGAAGACCACCCTGAAGTGCAGAAGGATAATGCTCCTGGCTTGTATCACAGAGCTAGTAAACGACCAAACCAGAATTTGGTCTGAATCCTGAGATCGTTCTCTTACTTGTAAGCTACACACTTTCATGTACTGAAAGAGAGGTAGCTTTGGTTTGTGACTTTATAAAGCAAGGACCCATCCCATTTGTACAAATGGTACAAATTTAGGTACCATTTTTCTGGAGATGCAGGATTTGGACCAGATGGGGAGAGGAAAGAGCAAGCAAGGTTCTGTGGTAAGAACATATAACAGGTACACAGGTCACAAGACATGGAGCAGGGCAGGTGTGAAGCACAGGGGAACATGAGAGGAAAGCCAAGCTCTGGAGGTGAGGGGCCCTGGGAAACCCATGGAGAAGGAACGCAGAGATGTACAGCACCATGAAACTTGGAGGGTCCCAAAGAGTGTTCAGTGAAGAGCTGTAGACTAGAAGGAAGAGATGGAAGAAGGGAGAAAAGGAAGGAAAAAGGAAAGGAATGAAAGAGGGAGGAAGGAAGGAGGAAAGAGGGAGGAAGGAAGGAGGAAGGGACAGAGAGAATAAAGAATGAAGGGAGGAAAGGATGGAAGAACGAAAGAAAGCAAAAGGTGGTAATCTTGTGCCTCATGTTTATACTCAGGTGAGAGTAGAAATTTTCAGAGACATGAAGCTCATCATTGACTATAAATCTGATTTCCTAGGAAAACTAAAGGTTTTTTTTGTGTGTTTGTTTTTTGAGACAAGTGACACAAAATTCCATCAGAAAAAGGGTAGGGTAGCATGTGCCTGCAGTCATTCAAGTCATTTATCTGATTCTTAGTTCCATGTCCCCTGGGTTTGCTGGAGAGGGAGAAGGCAGCAACAGAGACAGCGTGGTGGAGTGAGGTGAGCATCAGGAGAAAGCTATCTGGGCTCTCTTTTCTGATCTCTACCATCCGTGCATCCTTCCCTGAGCAAGACCTGACAGCAGACCTCTTAGAGGTTCAAGCACATCATCTGTATAAGAGGGTGATACAGTTTGGATATTTATCTGCTCTAAATCTCATCTTTAAATGTTATCCCCAATGTTAGAGGCAAGACCTGGCAGGAGGTGTTTGGATCTTGGGGACGGATCCCTCATGAATGGCTTGGATCCATTTTTGCAGTAATGAGTGAGGTCTTGCTCTACCAGTTCATGAGAGATCCGTTTGTGTAAAAGAGTGTGGTACCTCTCCCATCTCTCCTGCATCCCCTGTCACCATGTGACATGCCAGCTCCCCATCACCTTCCACCATGATTATAAGCTTCCTGAGGCCTCACCAGAAGTTAAGCAGATGCTGGTGCTATGCTTGTACAGCCTGCAGAACTGTGAGCCAAATAAACCTCTTTTCTTTATAAATTACCCAGCCCCAGGCATTTCTTTATGACAATGCAAAATAGATTAATACAAAGGGACCTCAGTGCCCTTGGTGATGAAGTGCAGAATCCTGGACGAGACTATTCCTGAGAGCCAGAAGGAAGGGTATTACCTCTCTCCACAGTTTCCAGGGCCTTTACATACACATTTCCATGCTGCTCCTTAGAACAGCTCTGGGGTTTTGGCTGGTGAGGGCTCATTATACCTATGGTGGTGATGTCGTCAGTGTGTGTCACTGAGACTCAACTGGAGAAGTGAGTTTCCCAAGAGCACACTCAGAAGAACAGAGCCAGGGCCAAGACTCACATCTTCTGCCTTCTTTATATGATGTTGCCTCTGCAAAACTCATCCTGTGAAGGCAATTCCAATCCCTCCCCACCCTGGGTTTTAATTTATAAGACATCCTATATGTAAATGGGTCATTCCAAACATCCCTTTTGGCCTATTCCTTTACTTACAAACTATGCCTCCAAGTCCCAAATGGTGCCAATTCTCAAGGAGAGAAATTTACTCATTATATTTAGAATTTTGAATGAACATTTCACACAGAAACCTGGCTGAAAACAAATATTTCACTTGCCCATAATGCAAAACAAAGCTTGGGTTTAAAAATAAACACAGCACTGAAATGACAATTATATTGACGAGAATACCATAAACAAGCCCAGATCCTGATCAGATGCCTCTCACATGGTGTGCCTACCTTTAACATGTTGGTGTTATACTTTGTCTCCCTATTTAATTAAAACTGTGTACCTAACAAGGGCCATATTGTTCAAGGAGTTTGTTCTTGCACTTGGCTTTCTATGCAGCCATCAAAACAGCCATGTTTCAAGTTGTATTCCCTGCCAGCTTTGCTAGATTTTGTATTTGCACTTGCAGAGTTTTTTTTTCTTTTTCTCTTTCAACTTTTATATGGGAACAAATACTTAACCCAGGTCCACCTTCTGAAATCTCATTCTCATCAGAAATTCACCACGTGGGTAGATTTTTGCATAGCACCTATTTTAGGGGCTCTGCTGTTTCTATTCTGACTGCTCTTGAATTTTTCAACTGTCACTCAGATTTGCCATAGTTCCCCCTTGCCGTTTCATTAATCAAACACTTCTCATCATGGCGCTCAAGGCCTTTCTTGACAAGACTCTAGCCTGTACCTTTCACAAAAGCATCTCACACACTGTCTATTAGCAAACATTTAGTCATTTATCCCACAATACATACCAAGTAGCTATTGCATTACAGATGCTGTTTTATTTGCTTCTACTATGTGCACCATGCTGAGAGAGATGCATTCCTTCTTTCTCAAGATGTCCACAGTGCATATAGAGGTGAAAAGTGTCAGGTTGGCAGAAGGAAAGGATGAGTTTTTCATTCACAGGATATGGAAGACAGATTCTGGGAGGGGGTGGTGTTTGGATGGGACTTGAAGGAGGAGCCATTCAAAGACAGAGGTAAGATCAGTGGAACTTTCAAAGGGACAGAGTATGAGTCCAGAGTACATGGACTGTTTTTGGAGAATGACCAGTGGTATAGTACATTTGGAACCTTAAAAGTATTTGGGGAAATACATTGATGAACCACACTTGAAGGGGATCTTGGGGACAGAGTGTGGAGGGCTATGAGTGCCACATCAGAAATTCAGAATATGATTTTATGAGTGCAGGAAGACAGACTGAACTTTGGAGTGTCCTACACACTAATCAATTCAGATCCCCCATTATTTTCCCAAACATGCCTGGCCTTGCCTGTTTCAGGGCTTCAGTCTTCCTCATCTCCTCTGCCTGGAACAGTATTCTTGTATTTCTGCTCATGAATTTCCACCCATTTCTGTATCATCTGCGTATTCCATGCATGGAGTATTCCACGTATTCCATGCGTGGAGTTCTCCTGAAGTGCTTCTGCCTCCATGAACATCCGTGTGTGTGTGTGTGTGTGTGTGTGTGTGTGTGTGTGTGTGAATGCCTTTTGCTTCCTGATATGATTGAAAGCAGATACAGGGAGTAAAAAACACAGAGATTCTTCAACATTTCTAGTCTGCTAATGGCACTCTTGATTGTTTTCACAAACTCATTCTGTTTTCTTGCCTTGTTTGAAATATATTCCCAGTGATTTTTAATATTTTTCATGAGCAGTAGACTAGTCACCTGTTCAGCCTGCCATCCTGAACTCATAACAAAAGTTCTTTAAATAGCTTGGAATCACCATTCTACTTTTCTCCCTCACATCACATTTTCCTAAAAAGGATAAAAGTCTTCACCTAACATACAATTAAGACAATACCAGTTTGTTTTTTTCCTTTCAATGTAGTGAGGTGACATTTCACAAAAACTACAAAAAATATCTAACTGTCCATTGACTTTCCTTGTCCTTCTCTCCCCAGGAAATTCCACAGTAACAAAGACAGAAAGCTACTCTCACTCTTTCTTTCTGCAGTTCAGGACCACTTTCTTTAGTTTGTGGCTGTTGATACACAGAACCTGGTATATGGGAGAGGTCCAATTCATCCTTGTTGAATGAGTGACTATAGGAATTTGTTATCGAGCCCTGAATGTGAGTTGGTGTTGGTGATAGGGAAAGTCTCTTGCTCCCCTTTGTACTAGTGAATTGGGATTGTATTGGTGATTGAATGTTGGAACTCAGCATTGATCCTGCAGCTAATCTAAGGATGCTGGTGATATTGCAACTGCAGATACTACAGTACCACCAAACACACAGCAGCACCACCAAGCACTATCCCAGTTAATAGATCCTGTGGGACAACAGCCTATTTATAGCCTATTTCTAATGAAGTCAGTTATGAAAAACATAAAAATAAAAATACTCTCTGAATCAAGTAGCAGGAGCAGACTTTCAAGACAAGATGCTGTTTCAGTTGCTTCTGCTTTATTTGTTTGAAGATGCAATATTAATAATGACCATTTATTTACTACCTACTATATACTACACACTGGGGTATATGCTTTGCATGGGTTATTGTATTTCAATCCCACCAAAAATTTAGGAAGCAGATACTGCAATTGTTTCCATTGTTACAGACGTGGACATCAAAATGTGGAGAGTTTAAATGGCTGGTCAAAGTCATGCATCAAGTATCACAAAGAACAGGATCTCAGCCTCAGGCATTCTAACATGAGAGTTTGAGTTCTTAACCACTGGCCCCCATGCCACCCCTGTGCTGCTCAAGGTACCACCCAAAGGCTCAGGGTCAGAATTGCTTAAGCTGTGTATTCCATGGACTCTTTGCAGACCTGTTGGAGCTGAGACCCAAGCATCTAAGTTTTTAATGTTAGAGGAACAAGTGAATCGTATTCTCACCAAAGATTTGGAGCCACGGCCTTACCTCTTGAGAGCCCAGGATAAGGGGAATCATCGACCTGGACACGTCTTACAGCCAGGGAAGAGAGGTTTCCTTGAAGCCAGGGAAGAGAACAGTGCAGCTCTTTATGTCATGGGCAGGAGGATGGGCTGGGAGCTCCAGGTAAGAGCTTCTTTGCCAACAGTAAAGACTTCCCTGATTCCTAACCCAGGAATCTGGTGATGCCCCAGTTCTAGGTGGCAGAGGCTCAGATGACTACAATCTTCTGGACTGTCCTCTATTTAAGTCATATGTGGTCTGGAAACAACTTTCTAGGCAAGAGCCAATGCTGAGGGTCTGGTCTGAAGCCCTCCCAGGCTTCTCGTCTTTGAAAGTGGTGCCTCCATATCTCACATCTGGCACATCCTCCAGCACCTTCAGAGAGAAGTCTTTGTGGGCTCTGCCTCTTTCCCAGCAGTGAGAGGTGGATGTGGAGGTGATTCTAGTCACAGGCTGGCTCACTGTGGCTGCCTGAGGCATGGTGTGCTCACTGCATCCAGGGTGGCAGCTGAGAGTCATTGGCCTCCACAAGTAGACAGTGAACTTAAAAAGGCAAGCTTGGTCTGGTTTTTCCACTGAACTTCCCCTTTGGGAAAATTAATCTTTCCCATCAATCAAGATTCTTTAACAGTTTTTAATGTCCTAATCACTCCTAGGTCTTTTTCTGACCTCCACCTTGTGGGCTTTATCAAGCTTATTAGGGCCTTTGGAAATGTCTTTTTCTCCCCCTTCAACTTAAAACCTCAAGATTAGCCTCCAGATCTTCTGCTTTTTGAAATTCCGTTCAATACAGAAAATATTTAGAGAATACCATGCCAGACTCTTATTAAGACACAGATCTTGTCACAAGAGCAATCATGTTCTAACTGAGAATGGGCAAAATCTCTGAAACCATGAGCTAGCCTAGAAGAATAAGCAAAACATTGCAGGAAAACAGATGAGGCATTTATTTTATCAAGAGAGGGTTCTTAGTGAGTTGTGATCCCAATTGCATGAGACATCATTTTAGATAGCATTTAATGTTAGCTTTGTGTCATATTGCCACTTCCCTTACCGTACGCATTTTCCAGAAATCTAGAATGCTCCCTTTAGGTTGTAAAATTAACAGAATGAAGATAATACAGCCAGACTGTGGACTATTTCAAGGCAGTTACTGTGCCTTACTCCTTGTCCTGTTCCTGGACTAAACTCAGAGCTTCAAGGTATCAGACAAGTGAATGAAGAAGTGAGGATGGAATCCTTCCTATGATCGTAAATGACCCTTAATATTTGCAGTATATTTTCCAAGTTTCAGAATCTTATCACATACTCTAGCATGTTTTATTCTTGTACATATTCTGTGAATAAGAAAGTGAGGTATCATTTTTATAATGAAATTCAGCTTTCACCAGCCTAAATGCAGAGACCTGGAAGAGGCCAGGTTTGGACTTGATCTCTGATCTGCCTGGCTTTTGATTCTACACAGATTCCCCTATATCACCTGAGGAATTAGAGTTGAGTATTATTATTACTATAACTGAATATTTTTCATGGATTATTAATCTTTTTTCCTGAGTTGCAATTCATGGATTATTAGTCTTTTTACTATTTGTGATAATTAGCATATGGTAAAAGCAAAAGAATGTTCAGACAAAATGACTTCACTTGATTCTAATGTTTGATTTGAGAATTTATGTTTGGTGAGTGATGATGTTCATTTCGTTGGAATTTCAGAGCCAATAGGCATGGCTGATCATATTAACACCCTCCCCTCTTGACTTCCTGCTTATCACAGGCTACTGTCATACTCCTTTGTCACCGTGGTTTCTGCACTTCAGGATTCTTCTGTGAATCCTTCTCTTTTTTATCTAAAAGGTGGTCCTGCTTAGGTCTTGATCTTCAGCCCCTTCTCTATGCCCTTTCCCTATTCCATTTCATCCAACTCTCTTGGCTTATTTACATTGTTAAGCCCATGGAGTCTCAATTTTTATCTCTAGTATGAACTTTAGTCCGTCATATCCAAATGCTTACTTGGAATCTCACAGACCTTCTTATTTCATTCAGTAAGTATGCACTCATTACTTACTACATATTTGGTACTCTTCCAGGCATTGAGAATACAGCAAGGAAAAGACTTAAGGTAACTTATCCATCCATAACTTATTAAAGTGGAACTTCATTTTTCATCTGTGAAACCTGTTCTCTGGTTTGTCTTAACTTAATAAATGAAGTGCCATTCATCCAGTGTTCTAGATGAAAGCCTGGGAGTTGCCACAATTCTTTCATTTCTTTGACTTCTCAAATCCAGTCCATCAACAAGTTCTGTCAGTCCTAATCTTAACATTACTCTCAAGTTCTTCCCCTTCTCTCCATGTCTGTTGCAACTACAACTAGTCCACGAAGATCACCATCGTCTCTTATCCAGATGACTGCAATAGTCTCCTGACTTCCTGTCTTGGTGCTTCTGTCCCTTTTGCACACCACAGGAAGAGTGACCTTGAAGTATGTCACTGGACCACACCATTCCCTGATGAAAACCACTGATGCCTTTTCTTTGTATTTGGGAAACAATTCAAACTGTTAGCATGGCCTTCCCATATGTCTTCTGGGCAATCTGACCCCTGGGCGCATCTCCAAACTCATCTCACATAATTCCTTCATCATCTACCACCCCCTAGTCACATTAGTATGCATACTGGTCCTTGAATACACCAATGCTCTTTCACATTTCAGAGTCTTCCCATACACCATTCCCTCTGCCTGGAATATCCCTTTTTCTTCTGTTTGTTGCTTGCTTCTTTTTCAACTTTTGAGCTGAGCTTAATGATCTCCTCAGAGAGGGCTTCTTTGATTGTTCTTTTTTTTTTCTGTTCCAATACTTTATTCTTTATAGAATTTAGCACAACTCATGATCATTTTACTGATATTTGTGGTTTAGGTTTTTAAAAATATCTTTTTCTACTAAAATATAAGCCCATTACAGGTAGACTTTGTGTTATCTTGTTCATCGGTTTTATGCCTAGTGATTAATCCAATGCCTGATATGTAGCAGGCCCACAATAAACACTTCTTGATTGAATAAACGATTATTTTGCCACATGAAAGACTAACAACTGAGATTTTGCTTAAATTTCATCAAATATCTAAGGCAACTTATTGATTTTTTTCTGAGGAAAACATAAATAATAACTGGGCTCAGTGACATTTTTAATAGTCATGAAATAATTACAGAAAAGTCTTCATCTAAGCATACAGTCAATAAGTGTTAATATTGTCTCTCTTCCAGACCAGGGTGTCACATGAAGAGATGTTTAGGGAGCTACTTTATATGGTTTCTGAGATTGCATGTAATGACATTTATCATTTGCCCATGCAAATGTGATTTAATCTTAGTCGGTGATCCTTTATCAGTCCCTCCTCTGTGCGAGATTCCACGGGCAAAAGTTGAATATATGAGTCTTGGAGGAGCATCCAACCTGCAGAAAGGGACCACGACGATTTCAGACCTAACTCAAGGGAGATGATAAGAATGTAGCAGTCTTTGGTACAGATATGGAAACATATATATGTTTTGATAACACAGAAAAAAGAGATTGAATTTTCCCCTAGGAAAAGAGGGACAGTAATGGCATTTTTGTTGTGTCATGGGGATGAAATAATATCAGGATGAGAAAAGGGGAGAAGGGAAACCAAAAGAAGCCGGATGCACTGGCATCTACGTCACAGATTGAGAAGCATGTTCCATATCTTTTCCAACTCCATAATCCTGTGGGCCAATAGTACAGGGATTTCTAATGTTTTGTGATTTTTGTTGTTGTCTGTTTACTTGTTTTTACCAAGGGAATTAAAAATCAGAGGATCAGTGAGTTTTCCTAAGGACACTCGACTCCTAGCAGTGAGAGGTCTTCAATCACGGCTTGTGGATCTAGGCTTCTGAACCTAGCTCTGTGCTAGCCTGTCCCATGCAGATGTTGAATTAAACGGGTGGCTTCAGATCCCCCTTCACTTTTCTACTCCCTCCCACCAGTCTGAGAAACACTCTGTGATGATTGATTTCCTCGCAGAATGTGGGTCCCAAATAGCCAATAGTGTCACCTGTCAACAAATTTCCCAAACTTTAAGGGGCAAAGTTTTAACTTTTTAAACATTCTCAAAATCAGAGAAAATGTCTACAACTCCTACATGCTGGGCCCGCTCAGCTTACACAATGTAGTGTGGACTCTGCAGTAACTGGTTATTTCACAAAGCCATGGGCTTCTGCTCACCTTCCCTTCCAGAGTGCTCTGTACGCTGCCAGAACCCTTTCTCTGGAATGGAATCATTTAAGGCTGTTGAAGGCTTCTCTCTCCTAACTGGCTGGTAACCAAATGTTGGCAAGATGACAGCCATCTAATGCAGTGCCCAGGGTCTCAGAGAGGAGAGGTGGGAGCAAGGATAACATCTAAGGCTGCTCATTATTGCAAGCACCTAGTATTGAAGGAGGCCATCACTTGGATCTGGAACTAATGCTTTTTGTTGCAACATATTGTGCTGGCGCTAGGAGGAGGCTGGCACTAGGCGAGAAAGCATAACGATAAGGTGGATGCCAAGTGCTTCTGTGAAGATGAGACAGATCCCCGTTTCATAGAACTGTCTTAATCAAAGAACCTCAAGAGCCCGCCCCTCCTCAATATACACATTCTGTCCCATGTATTATTCTAATCCTCACTCAAACCACCCAACCACCTCATACCTATGTACACACACCCACTTCCCACTAAACTTCCTGATGGCAAGAGCAAGGACTAGAGAGGGCAAGGACATTCAGGGCCCGCTAATATAAATGTAACTATCTAATAGATCAATTCCAGAAAGATAACAGGGCGCAGGCTTTGAGAGGCTGAGAAGAATTGAATTTCCTTGTCTAACAGAAGATCCGGCTCTTTCTCTTGTCTACTAAAAAAGGCTGGGCATTAGCACGCCAGGTTCTCAGAGAACTCGCCAGCAGAGAGGCATCAGGTGGACTCTGGAGAAGGTCAGACCTGTGACCAGTGAGTTATGGGCACCCAAGAGATGGCTGAGATTTGAGTTTACATCACTGCCTCCTCTGCTAGTGTGACTGCATCCTCCTTCCATCATCAAAACCCTCGTTTAACCTTGGCCTTGAATTCAGGCCAGCTACATGCAATGGTGTGTGCTAGCTGTGCTATGAGGAAGTAGATCCCTGCGGTGGTGGTGAGGAAAGACTAAGGTACATGATTCTGAGGCAAGCTGGGGGATGGAGAAACCAGCAAGATCAAAAATAAAGAGGAAGAAGAGGCTGTGAGAGCCTGGGCATCCGATGCTCTTGACTCAGAAAACCATAAAAGTCTTGGAGAAGATTCCAGTGCTCCACAGAGCTCTGGGGTCCCAAGGTTGAGATGTAGGCTGAAGGGAGGGGGCTGAGGAAGCTGTGCAATCCATCTGCAAGAAACTGGACACAAGGCCCAGCCCAGCTCAGCAGGGCTACAGACTCCACAAAGGCCTTGGGAGCCAAGCAGGGGGCAGGTGCTTGTGGTATACCCTGGGCCGCCGTCAAGCTTCCAAGTCTCCCAGGAGGCCAGTGCTGGCCACCTCCCAGCCTCTCTCTAGCCCATCAGTACCCCAACCTTCCAGTGTCTTCTGCTTGGTCTCCTGCCTCATTTACTTAACCCTTCAAGCTGAATTGGTTGTCCTGGGCTCTGAACCCAGGCAACCAACAGAGCAGAGCATTAGCTTTCGTGTTAATGGCAAATGGGGGAAGAAGTATCCAGAGGAAGATCTGAATAGTTTCCATGAACTTAGAAAAATAACCAAACCTAACAAAAGACTGAGCTCTGTGCATTCTACAATGCAATCGCTCATTCATTCATTTATCCCAACTCACTCATCTCTTCAGCCTCACCCCCCTCTCACACACGTGCTCCCTTACTGAGCATTGCAGTCCAGCCTGACATCTCAATGGAGTTGTTTTTCTGTTGTCTTTCCTCTTTCACCCCAACCCCTATTTGTTCCTTTCCTCCTCTCCTTTCCCTCCCAATGGCAGTTTTTTTTTTTTAATTTCAGAAGAAAACTTACAAAAATTGTTGAAACATTCACTACAAAGCAAAACCTTATTTTTTTTTTAACATTCAGCAGAGAGCTCCTCGCCCCCAACCCCACAAAAAACCGGCAGCCATGTCAAAGACACTGCCTCCCCCTTTGACATTCATGCAGTGCTCTGAGTCAGCTGGGGTCTCCGCTCTGACAAATTTGCATCTCTTTGAATGTGACGCTTGAAAAAAGCCGGAGCCGCTAGATTAAATTTTTTTTTCCGTCGAGAAAATGAGAAAAGCCTCTATCTCTCGGCAGAGTCTACTGGGAAGATCTTTATTCTGATTCTTGTTAGAATTGTTTATCACCCTGACAGGCCAGACTCGGACGAGATAAAGGCTCCGCTGCATCACGGGGCCTGACAGTGGTAGGACATGCAGAAAAATGAAAGAAGCTGGAGAAAATATTATTAATAGATGCCGACTTGCTTTGCCTGCACGGCACGTCAGGGAAGGGAGAGGGGAGCCATGGCTTGATTGCAGGCCTATGAAGTTCTGTCCAAAAAAGAAGCTATTTTTCATTAAGTGATAGAAGGGCCTTTTTCATGTTCTTTCCTTAGGAGCTGATAACTTATGCAGGGTTATTCTAACCCTGCTGATTTCTGTCAGGGGAAGAAAACTCCTGAAAGATGGCTTTGACATGTCCTTTTCAGGGAAAGAAGGCTGGTTTGACAGACACACAAGCAGTCGGGAGGCCTGGCCTGGATAGGCTCAAGGTCCCCAGATTCTGGTCGGGCATGTGTTCTTGTGTCTAGGATAGATGGGGAAGGGGAAAGAAAGACTAAGCCAAGAGCCCCTCAGCCTCGAGGGGGGCTCTCTGCCTTATGAATGTAAGGCTTCCTCAAGTGGGTCTGTGTGTATGACTCCCTTCCTGGAAATACACCCTTGGTGCTTCCATAAGTTGATGCCTTCCCAGCCACATTGCCGTTTACTGCTGTATCAGTCTGCTTGGGATGCCAAAGCAAAATACCACACACTGGATGGCTGCAACAAGAGAAATGTATATTCTCGCAATTATGGAGGCTGAAAGTCCAAGATCAAGGTTCTGGTAGGGTTGGTTTCTCTGGAGGCCTCAGTCCTTGGCTTACAAATGGCTTTCTCCTTGCTGTGTCCTCACGGGCCCTTCTTCTGTGCACGCACACTCTTCTCATCTCTTTCTCTTCTTATAAGGGCACCAGTCCAATTGGGTTACAGCCTCAGCCTCATGAACACATTTAACTTTACTTGCCTTCTTACAGGTCATTCCTCCAAATAAAGTTACACTCTGAGCAACTAGGGCTTAGGACTTCAAAGTATTAATTTTGGGGAGACACAAATGAGTCCATAAGAATGATGCAGCAATTTCTTCCATCTTTGTTTTTCTGGATTCAGGCAGCAGAATCTGAGAGTGGGACCTGATGCCAAGGCAGTCCTGCAGTGTCCCTAAGGAAAAGCTTATTCTTAGGGCTGGAAGCTATGCAGATTTGTCTCAGTCAGCTGGCCCCTGGCACCAAGGAGAAGGCCCTTGTGAGGAAGGTGGGGAAGGTGGCCTCTGACAATCCTTTTTCCCTGATGGGACAGCTGTAGTGGGAGAAGAGCCATGGCATGCCTCAGCACTTGGACTGGTAGCTGAGTGACCCAAGGCAAGTTGCTTAACCCTCTGCGCATTGGTTTCCTCTCCTGTAGAGGTGGTAGCATTTCTGTTGATGCCTAAACTGAATGGGGACTGAATGAGATAAGGGGACGTGATAGCTCCTCATCTAAGCTGGAGGATCGTGTAGATTATAAAGGATAATTACAATTGCTGAGGGGTGGGCACATGGTGGGTGTTTCCACCTGTCAGGCAGCACTGCCATGGGTAACCCAGTGAGTCTGGGCATGTGAACTTTGTCCAACTTTGGTCTCAGCCATGAATCTGTAGGGGATTTATCTCCAGAGTTTTGTGGGAACTGGTGAATTTTCTCTGTAATCTGAGTCCTGATGCTGAATCTCCTCCTTCCCCAACCCAGAAGCCAGAAGGCTGGCTGAGGGCTCTGTGACAACTCAGTCGGACACCCACTAACACCAGGGGTATTCATCCATTTCACACTGCTATAACTAACTGGCCGAGACTAGGTAATTTATAAAGGAAAGAGGTTTAATTGACTCACAGTTCAGCATGGCTGGGGAGGCTTATAATCACAGTGGAAGGTGAAGGGGAAGCAAGGCAGCAGGAAGGAGATTGATCACAGGATGAACTACCAAACACTTATAAAACCATCAGATCTCATGAGAACTCACTCAATATCAGGAGAACAGCATGGGGGAAACTGCCCCCATGATTCAGTTACCTCCACCTGTTCTCTCCCTTGACACATGGAGATTATAATTCAAGATAAAATTTGGGTGGGGACACAAAGCCAAACCATGTCACCAGGAAATGGCAAAATTCACTCAATTTAACAGTTTGGGGTCTGTGGGAAGAACCTCAGTGAAACTGGAGGTGAGCGATGTGGTTCAGGCATTTCCATTTCAGTGGGATTCATGGAGCATCTGGGATGACCAAAGACCTTGTGCATAAGGGACTAGACTTATGTAGACATAGGTGACACATTTGCCTTTTCTGTGTCATTTACTACTTTAGAACATGACTTAATTTTTCAAACATGACTTAACTTTTTCAAGCTTCAGCGTCCTTGTTTCTCAAATGGGTAATACTGGAGACAGCTGTATTAATAAAGTGTATACATTGTTGGCATGACTCCTGAAGTTAATAAGTGCTCAGTTTGCAGTTGTCATGATGTTGTTGTTGCTGTTGACAACGGTGATGATAATGTTTGATGACGATGGTGATGGCGATGACAGCAATGATGGTGATAATGATGACAATGATGATAATGATGATGATGGCAGTGATGATGGTGATGATGACCATGATGATGAAGAAGATGATGATGAAAGTGATGACAATGATGATGACGATGATGATGATAGTGACATGAGGATGTTGGCAATAATGATAACAATGATGGTGGTGATGATGACAATGATGAAGGTAACGACTGATGATGATGATGGTGATAACAATGATGATGATGAGGATGGTGATGGTGAGGATGGACATAGTTATTTGCTTGATAACTAACACATGCACAACACTGAAACGTGTGCTGGACAGTACCCTGGATCTTTCTGTGCTTTGTCTCATTTAATGCTCAACTTTAATGAGTAGGCATCCTTTTTATCCCCACTTTAACGATGAAAACCTTGATGTTCAAGAAAGGTCAATGAATTGTCCTGGGTCATACAACCAGTAAGAGACTCTGCAATTGGCTGGGATAGTGCTGGGCCTTGGCTGGAGAGTTGGGGAGGGTCTTTCATTTTACCACGTGAAAGACAGGAAATTACCAAACATCCATGATGGGAGTAAAATCCCAGAAGAGCATCTTCACTTTATAATCTAGAAGGTAACTGAAATTATTGGCCAATTGTGTACAAAGTCACCTAGTAAGTCATGTAGACTGGTAGAAATTAGTCACTAGACCCTAGTGATTAATAAAATGAGCAACACTCAAAAATGAACTAAAAGGTCCCAAGTATTTTCTGGCATGGACTGACTAAATAGTTCCTGCAGGGATTCACCTTTCACAGAAATCTTTTGCTCATCCTTCAGCAAACAGGTTCAAAGTCACTTCTTCAATGAAGCCTTCCTTAAGTTCTCCAACATAGGTTACTGCCTATCTTCTACAGTGATGAAAAACGTCTTCTATGGTAATGAAAAACATGTAACATATTTGCAGATTTTCTGGCAGAAAAGTATCACAGCACAATGAAATCATTTAGGGACTGGTTTGTCTTCCCTCCTTGACTCTCCCAGTGGAAAGATGGAGGCCCTGCAGGACCCAGGACTTTGCCTGACACCAAGATGGTATTCAGTGAACATCTGTAAGCAGAACCATGGAAATTAAACAGCCTATGAATCATAAATATATTGAATATGAATCTTAAATCTGTAACGAGAAAAAAGTCATGATGTTAACAGAGAGCAAAAGTTTTATTTTGAAATATGCAATTTAGAAATAATAATGAAATTAAGAGTTATATTTTATTTTATTCAGCACAATAATAGCTCAGGCCAAGTACCAGGGTGGTGGCAGGGTTTGGGCTGTGTTGCAGAAATATCTGGGGTATGAGTTCTGCCCTGAGGGAGCTTCCCTCTAGAGACAAAGCAGCCCCTGAGAGTTACTTTTTCTGTTGTCATTGAGCAACCTGAAGGAAGAGGTGAATCTTAGAAATAGGAGGAGAGAAGACACAGGATTGAGCCTTTGGGCCACAGGAGTGGAAGTTTAAAGAATGAGTGGGATTTCTCTAGGTCATCAAACACTTGCAGTATATGCAAAAATGCTCCTGAAAGAAGAAATATGAACGAAGACCAGGAGGCATGAAGGAGGGTGGCAAGCTGAGGTCCATGAGTGCCAGGATGAGCTTTAGGCTCTGTGTGGAAGACAGGATTCCAGCCATGGATTTTTCCCCCGTTCATCACAATTCAGTTGACCTTTCTGGGTGCAGATTCTTTATCTCTAAAATGACCGTGATGAAGTAGATAAGGGAAGGGTCTCTTCCCAGCCAAGTGAGTCAGATTATCTATGGCTTGCTTTTCTTTGATGGCTTGAAAATGAAGTCTACTCATAACTGATTAATTCCCTTCAGAAATTAATTGAAAAGAGTTCTGATATTGGGATGAGGTCTACTTCTTAATTTCAACTTCTTCCTATACCTGGGGTCAATTCTGTTCAGCTTAACAAACATTAATATGGTGATAACTAGGAGCCAAACATTGGGAAATCTGGACACATTTGAGAATAAAAGGTGGTACCACTCATAATTATGTTGTAAAAACAGGTTAAATTAAATGACTATACTAGGGAAACTAAGATGTGGGATCACCCTAGCCATATACCATATTAAGCACTTGAGAAATAGAGCGAGTAAGAGATTCAAGTTCTGCTCTCAGAGAGCCTATAGTATAGTTGGAGACACAGCCATATTTATTTACTCTCATATTTATTTGCTGAATTGTTTACTTATCTTCTCCAAGCCTCAGTTTCTGCATCTCTATGTTGGGCCTAATACTGGCATCACCCTTGTAGGATTGCCCTTGATGTTAATAGATACTTCTAAGGATGATATACACACAATCTTTTCACAGTGGCTGGTACTGAATGAACATGCATTGGTTCACTGCCTGGAATGGTATTTGACATAAATAAAGTGTTCAATAAGTATTTATTGAAGGAATGAATAAATTAACGTTGACCACTGTTATTGTTGAAATTGTTGTCCGTCATGGGTCCCGAGGTGATTTTATAATATAGTTTAATAAATATTATGATATAAACAAGCATAAGACCATCTATGCAGAAAAAAAATAGAGCACTGAAATCACCTCAAGAGAAAATAAAGAAACAACTTCTGGAGAAGAAGATACTTGAACTAGGGGTTAAATCATGAATAGCGAAAACCAAAAGTTGGAGTGCGGAAGGCTGAGAGGAGGGTGAGTGTGCTCCAGGCAGAGATGACAGCACAGACAAAGGCACAGGACTGGGGCACAGCAGAGTATGTTTAGCAAACTACAAGTGTTTCTGGATCTTAAATGCAGGACGTGGGAAGCAGCTGTAAGTGCAAGGAGAGAGGAAGCCAGTCATGACTTATTGTAGGCCATGCTAGGGTTAGACTTAACCTTGAACAGGTTGGGGAGCCATGGCAGAATTTTGAGCAGAGTAGTAACATGGCTTGACTTATGTCTTAAGTCACCATCAATGTTCTTGTTTTTCTTCTATTATTAACATCCTGTCTTGCATTTGCAGACAATACCTTTCCTCCAGTAGATCTGGTCCGGTGGGTCTGTACTTGAGAGTAGCTAGACCTTCTCTAGCCAAGGTGTGGGTCTTAGCTAGATCTAAGCCAATCAGTCTTGTCCATGGATTTTGCATCTTAACTAGAGTGAAGTCTTTTTAAAGAAAATGGCTGGGACTGGTTGATCCTGGCAGAAGTGCTTGGAGACAGTCTGTGAGTTCCTGCTGCCCAGATCCCCAAGAGGGCCCAGTAATTTCCATCAAAGCTACAGTATCCCAGGTGCCTGCTGTCACACAGACCTGCTGGACTTACTGACAGTATTGCTGAGATCTGCTGTCAGCCCCAGTCTCCCACTTGCCTTCTAACCTTATGTTAGTGCTTCTTATTGGCAGAGCAGGGCTAAAGTCAAGTAACTAGAGACTGAGAAATGTAGTTTATAGGTTCAACCCTCTCTAACAAAGAAGAGGATATAGAAAGAAAAACATGAAACTGAGAGCCAGGATGCAAATCTATGGCACACTATTTTTTATGACTCTCTTTCCCACAGAGGTATTTTAATGCAGGTTTACACTAGAGGGCCTGTGATGTTAATCATATACTAAGGCAGATGAGGCCAAAGTCAATGAGGGCCAGATGGAATGATCAAAACTGGTCAGGCAATTATCACTACAATGTAAATCCCCTGAGTGCAATGATTCTCTTTCTTATTCATTCCTCTAACCTGACTCCCAATCTCCTAAAATAAGTGTTCAATCAATATTTGTTGACTGTCTGGCTGACTAATGGGAAACTTCCATTCAATGATAGCTATAACTGAAAGTTGAAAAATCTTCTCACTGGCAATTTCATATGTGATCCAAAGACCTTTGCAAACTGCAAATGTTCTTCGATGGGTGGTCACAATGTTCTATAGGAGACCTCAAGTCTCATAAACCATGTGCTGTGTGGATGCCATAAGCATTCATTAAGACTAGTTAAACTACTGAAACAAAAAGATCCCAACATATTTAAAGGCTCACCTATAATAATAAAATCCAAGATAGTTATATTTGGCCATCAGGCAGTTTGTCTTCATGTTATGATGCAGGAACCCAATAACGTTCTATTTTGTGGCTCTGAACTCCCCTAATATCTTGCTTTCCTCAACTGCATTGAGCTGCGAGAACGGGAACAAGAATATGAAGTAGACCCACTGCTTCTTAGAAGACTTGGCAGAAGTGACACTAATCACTTGGGTCCATCCCATTGGCAAGAAGTAGCCCTGTGGCCAAGGAAACTTAAAAACATGGAAGAGCTGTGTGCAGTATGTGCAGAGGAAGAGAAGGAAGCTGATTTCTGGGGAAGACCTGTCTCTGCCCCGACAGTGTGCATGTGCATACATATGCATGTCTGTGTGTGGTATAAAATTTTTTCAACATAGATTTAATTCAATATTGCAAAAAGGGCGAATACAGTTTAAAAATTACTTTGATGATAATTATTTAATTTACTCAAGTTTCACAAGATCTCATAGTTGCTGCTGCTTTTGTCTTTTTCTCTATTTATTTGTTTATTCCTGGAAGGGGAAGGAAAATATATATTTGAGGATTTACTGTGTTCCTAAATTTTGCTTAGTAAGCCATACATATCATTTCATTGACTCTTCCCAATAACTTCGTGAGTTAGATTCTGTCACTCTTCTTTCATAGATAAAAGCACTGAGGCTCACAAAAGTGAAGTAACTTTCCTCAAGTCCCAGGGCTGAGAAATTGCAAACACATAATTTGGACTGAAGTTTGCCCCCTATTCACTGGGGCCACCTGTCTGCCAATGGGAGTAGGAAAGGCATTCACCATCAGAAGGCCACAAAGAGCTCTGAGGAACAAGTACACAAGGAGGTATTCCCACACATGGGTGGCACTGGTTTTCATATTAAATACTTAGGAGCATCTCCACTCTCACAAAGAAATGTGTTCATTCACAGTTTCATAAAACATGGTATTTCTAGTTTATCTTTTATGTTTTCTACCATAGATAGCGACACAGCAGACAAAGGAAATTGTATTCTATTGTAAGAAAACAAAAGAATAAACAAGGCCCTACTGAAGGGAGATGACAGGTGTTTAGGGTCGTGCCTGATGGCGAGTGAGCGTCCATGAGGTGTGAAGGATTCTGCCCCTGACAGCTCCAGCCGCTGTGGCTACAAGCAGAAATGGAGCCCACTGTTGCCTCATTTTCCAACTTTTCAAGAGAAGCTGAGGCTGTAGATGTAAAATTCCCATTTGAAATATTAGATCAAATGAAAAAATAATAAGGTTGAACAAGTCATAGTCACAGGCTAAATTCAGCACCAGGGACAGCAGGGGTGTGACCTCTGCTTTAGCTGATACTCTCAGGCTGCGGGTCCACAAGGCAGGAATTACTCACCCATCATCCCAGCCTCTCCTCTTTGTGTTACAGACAAAGCTGCAGCACTGCCAAGGACATGGATCTCTCAAGCTCCTGTCTGGCACATTGCAGGAAGTAAGGGGCATGTCTAACCACCACGCTCAGCCAAGCCAAAGAACAAAGGCAGCGGCACTCTCTCTGGACCTTGGGGAATAACACAGCCCTCCCAGGCAGAAGATGCAAGCATTCCTGTTGCAGTGCAATTAGGAGCAGCGAAGAAACTCAGACATGTGCCCCTTCTGTGTTGGCAACTGATATGACAGAACTTCATGAGGTGCAAAATACAGGCTGTGTGTGTGTGTGTGTGTGTGTGTGCACACTCGGTGCTATATGCTGCAGCCCAAGTTTCAGAGTGATTTTTAACTTGAAGCTGATGAGATGGGATATTGTGTCTTTTTTAAAAATGTAACCAACAACAAACTTTGCTTGGTGTAATTTTAGCAAGGACGCAAGTGTGCCAAGGTGCAGTATGTTATTGTTGAACTACTGTTTTGACAAAATAGTATGTATGTGTGGTTGTGTCTGTGAGTATAAAGGAGGCAAGCAAAAAGAGAAAAAATGATATGTACTTTTTAGGGAAGTGAATGCAATAACAGAGAGACAAGAAATTTAGATTAGAAAGCTGTTAAGTTTCACTGTTGTCACAGGTCTTCTTGGAAGCTGTTTGTCTGTAAAGAGGCACCCAAATACTCAGCTAATTCTTAAAACATTTTTTCTAGCAAGTATCTCTGGAGCTTACCCTGTGCTAGGCACAGTAGTAGCCCAGGCCACTCCAAGATGCACAGGACATATTTCTGCTGCCCCATGGTCCACTGGGGACAATTATATAGATCTGCACAGAACTGCCCCATCATTCCATAAGTCACCAGAGTGGACAATATTTTATTGCTATAATTAATGCAAAGCTCTGCTGGTAGTGACTGTCATATAGCAGCATCCCCAATAAATTAATAGGCACAGGGTAAGGTGTTTTGCACTAGTGTTTCTTATTCTCATAACAATATCAGATGAGATCACATTATAAAGGAGGCAAAACAGAGGAAGGCAATACTGCAGAGTGATTAATAGATCAAGGCCTGGTTCAGCCTCTTACTAGTTGAATGACCTTGGTCACTTTACTTAATTGTATTATTCCCCACTGTGCTTGTCTATGATTTATGGATTATAATAATGCTATTGTATTCGTTAGTTTTGGTGCATAACCAACCATCACAAAATCCAGCAGTTTAGGCCACAGCCACTTATTATCATGCATGCATCTGTGATTCAGCTGGGGCATGTCTGATCTAGGCTGGACTCTGCTGAGGGTTCTGATTCCAGGGGCAGCTGCCTTGGGTCTTATTCTCACTGCAGGTCTCTGAATCGGGTGGGTGGCTCTGCTCCACGTGTTCTGTGTTTTTGTGGGGCAAGTGGGCTTGCTAAGGCATATTCTACCTATGGCAATGGCAGAAATGCAAGAGAGCAGGCTCCATCTCAAAAGTGCTTTTGAAGTCTCTGATGACATTACAATAGTGGTGGCCCATTGGTCAAACTGAGTCACATGACCAAACTTAGAGTCATTTAGTGGAGAAGTAGACTCTGCTTCCTAGACACAAAGTGGGGGAAAGAGTATATATTTCTGAGCAATAATATAATCTACTAAGCTATCTTTCCCCCAGAGTTGTTTTGAGAATTGCATCTAAAGAATGATATAAGGTACTTAATAAAAGGTTAGGACACAGTGAGGGATCAATGAAGCAAGATAATTTGTTATTAGTAAGAATTCTCTTTACGTGATGGATGATCCAATTGAGGTAGACGTTAAGTAACTTGTCTAGGATTACACAGTGTCAAGTGAAGAAACATGATTTGAAATCATATTGTCCAAATTCCATTCATTTTGATAGAAACCTATGGACCGTTGGGCACTGGAGGATAGATTCTAAAGATCCAATAAAGGCAGGGTACGCATTCTAAATATACAAGCTGGCCCTATTTAGGAAGGCAGATTACTGTCTTGAATGTTGAGAGAGCAAACCTAGGTGAGCAAAGACCAAATCTAAGTCCTGGGAGCTAGAGTAAGAAAATAAATCACTATGACAACTATGCATTGAGACCCCTGTGTACCAAGTCCAGGGTGAGGAGACCAGGGGCCTGGGCCCTCCGGTGAGAGCTAATGATTGTTCCTTTGCTGTGCCTGCTTAAAGGCTCTACAGCCTGACCCCACACACTGGCCCTGGGGAGCGTGTGCCGGCGGCTGGAGCTCTCCCTTCTCTTTTCAGCCAGTCAGTGGGAAGAAAGAGATTTCCTCTAGAACCTTTCATTTGCTAACATTTATTTTCCTCCTCTGATCTTTCTTTTCCTCCCCTGAGGACCTTGAGTTTATAAGTATTAAATTTTTTAGAACTCTCTGAAAGTACTACATTAAATGCAGACAAGGCTGACGGGTTCCCTGGGCATTTGGTGCTAATTTCTAGCATGCCCCTTGTATATTGGCTTAAGTCACTTGCTTATATGTTGCAGTCTACTTCCTGCCCTCTCTTCACTCTGTGCCCTCAATCCCTAGATGGCAAACCCATTGTAACGTTGTACCCAGCACATGCTTTAACCAGGTCACCCATTCAAAAATGGGTGAGTGAATGAATGATGGATGAAAAAATGTGGTGAATAAATAAATGAGTCAACCAATTATACATAAATGGATATATGGGTGAATGAAGAAGTAGATGGGTCAACGGGTGGGTGCCAGAAGGTGAGGGGGAACATAAAAGAGTAGGTGACCTTTAAGCCCCAATTACAATTAGTCTTTGTCAACAACTTTTCTTCTGTTCTCACACTACTAATAAAGATATATTTGAGACTGGGTAATTTATAAAGGAAAAAGGTTTAATGGACTCATAGTTCTACATGGCTGGGAAGGACTCACAGTCATGGCAGAAGGCAAAGGAGAAACAAAGTCATGTCTTACATGGTGGAGGCAAGAGGGCAGGTGCAGGGGAACTTCCCTTTATAAAACCATCAGATCTCGTGAGACTTATTTACTATCATGAGAACAGCATGGAAAAAACCTGCCCCCATGACTCAATTACCTCCAACCAGGTCTCTCCCATGACACTTGGGAATTATGGGAGCTAAAATTCGAGATTCAGGTGGGGACACAGCCAAACCATATCAACTAGCAAGCACATCTTGGTCAAGAAGATCTATTAATTACATTTATTGCATCAACTTTAACTCAGAACCTGTAGGAAGGAGGGGTCTTGCATTTGTGTCAGTAGGGCTGTCTTGGTAGTACAGTTTTGAGGGAGATTATAAAATTTGAGACAAACTCCTGGCTTCTGATAGACACTTGGGTAAATTACTAATACAGCAGGGCAGAGAATTCAAGCATGGTATCTGAACTCATTCAGCTACAGTCTCTTGTTTATCTGTCAGGAAAGCAAATGGAACCTGCGATCTGTGTATTTAGGGGTGTTCTTGAGGGAGATGTTATTGAGGGGGCGGGGCATAAATTGCCATGCAATTCTAATGGAACCTTTCAGACCACTCTGCACTTCTGAGTTGACAGTGACCTCCTATGGCAAGGCAGGACATGGCACTGATACACAGGGAACCCTGGATGGTGACTCCTGGGAGGCACTCAACATGAACTTACCCACTCTCTAGATTGGCTGCCACCTGAATGATCTCTTTCTCCTCTTACTTCCAGTGGAACTCTTTCTTGTAGCTCTCTTTTGATTCTAAGCTGCCTTAGACTCTCACTGACCTTAGACTCTCATTGACCTTGTTGTAGGCTACAGACAACTGGAGAGTAATCTCTGTGTTAACTCATCTCTAGCTGACCAGAAGGTGCTATTTTAGCTGACTGTGGGATAATGGTGACAAGATGTCATTTCCAACTATGCTGATTCTTCTGAGCGTGCAGGAGCACCTTTGTTGGAAAAAGTGATGGGAGATTAGAGAGAGGAGAAACCACTAGAGTAGACTCTGGAGTGGCCGTGGAGTCACATCTTAGAAGTGATGGCATCAGAGCTGGGCTGTTATAAGTAAAAACAACTTCAGAGTGCAGGGACGGAGAGAGAAGGGGTTTATGGCAGAGGGTGGGAACCCACAAGCAACATGTAAACTGAAAGGAACCAGATGCTTAGGGTATGAGATCTTGAGAAGGCTGACATGGTTAAATCAGTTCACTCCCTGGGCATGAATGAAAAGTCCAAAAATTATTTACAAAAGCATCCACTTGCATTTCATTCCCAAGTGGTCTTTTAAATGCCCAACAGGATTTGGTAGGTTTGGTGAACCCAGCCAAGCTCCATCAAGCAGTAAAAGACTCGAGTGTCGTATAACACAGCCTAGTGGAGTCTACTCCACAGTTCTGCTCATGGCCACTGACATGTCCTCACCCTGCAACTTCATTCACCAATTCCTTGTTTCTAGGTGTTCCAACCTTATATAGGAATATCTTCATCATGTTCTGCTTCTCATTTCCATCTCTGTAGTTGAATGTGGTCTTCTCTTCCTGGGGGATGAAGGATTAACTGTACACATTTACTTTCTTGAGGGCCTTTTAACTAGTTGCCTGGCTTAGTCTATCTTTTTAATGCCTCTGATTACTGGGGTAGGGGATAGGAATTTTGGTCATAAGATGTTCTAAGGACATACTTCTATCTGCATAAAGTATTTCTAACATGTAGAGCTTAAATAAATATCCTTCTTCTAAGTCCTCATGTCCTCATGTCTACACTGACTATCGATATAAGACAGCCATGGGAAATATGACTAGAAAGGCAAGTAGAGGCCATTACTCAATTGCTAATGATGGAAACACACAAACTTGTCTGAGATCTGGACTCAGTAAATAGCATATAACATGGCATTCTAGATGATTTTCTTCAAATGATAGTCTGAGCATTTTCACATGGCATCATGAATTCTCAAAGTCATAACATAGCCCTGACTTTGAGCTTCATCTTCTATCTCTCTTCACTATTTCATTCTCACTTGAGCCACATGAAGATATTTATCATTCCTTGAACATGCTGAGAACTTGCAGAATTTGAGACTTTGTGATGTTCTTCTTGTAGCTTCATGTGCCCTTATTCACCATCCCCATCTGGCAAATCCATTAGACCAAGGTCCAAAAGCTCATCTTAATATTTACGCTCACTTTTAATATTTGGGACATGACAATGAGAGTACTTTATTGTATGATATATGCCTGCCTTACTCACCAGTTTGTGAGTAGCTTGAGAGCCAGAACCCATTGTCATGTTTGCCACCTTGCAGGTCCTCAGTAAATGTTTACTGGAGGAAAGAATGAATGAGTGTATGAATCAATGAATGCCTAAGTGAGGCAGTCAACTAATGAATGAAATGAGTAGACGAAAAAGTAAATAAATATGGAACAAATGAATGAATCAACACATGAGAAGTTGAGCACAGCAATCAAGAAAACAAGTGAATACGTGAATCAGTTAGTGAGAGCGGGTGAATATATTTAGGATGGATGGGAGAGCCTCCTGGATACTCCAGAGAGGTTGGAGAATTCCTTTTTACATATAATGAAATATGGGACTGAATCAGGCTATCCTTGTGTGACTATCCCAACTGGTTCCTTCCTCCCTCATCAAATGACTGAGCCAAATATAAAAACCAGAATGCCATGCTGACTAAGGTGAGTGATTTGGAGTAATAATAAAAATGTGTTGTAAAAAATTGTTCCTATTAGATGGAGGTATGAATGATGTTAATTTTTCACCTTCCAGTATGCTTCTCACAGGAGCTCATCAAAAAAGCCACCCCAGATTCACCAATTTTCTCCTAAGAAGACAAAAAGATCTGGAAAGTAGCTCCCAGCTTGGGAGCTAGGATCTAAGAGGTACCTTAAAGATTTTTGTGATGGTGACACCGGGACTGCACTTCTGGTTTTGTGAGAAGCTTTGGACAGTGTCTATCAAATGGGAAGAATTTTACAATGAGTTTGGAATCATCCTGACTGCACCTGCATCCCCATCCCCAGCCCCTATCAAGGAAGCCAACACTTACTTTCAAGTATGAGAGACCCTGCTGGATGCTTAGCTTTAGGAAAGTGGAATCATGGACAGACATCAAGACTTATAAATACCAGGACATAATCCACACAGAAATCAGGAATTAGTTGAAAAAAAAAAATCTAGGTACCTGCATATTTGGAGAGAGTGCTAGCGGGGAAAAACCCAAAACCTTGCAAATTTTTAAGAAGGAGGCTGACTTTGCTGCCCCTCCCCTCCTCACACTGCAATGTGGGCTCTAAGCCAAAATTCTCACTTCTAGAGAATATTTTTTCTTTCTCTCTCTTTTTTTTTCAAATATGCATTTCTTAATTTTGGGGGGACCCAAATAGACTTTGCTAACTTAGGTTCCTTCAGACCTATCAAGCCCTAGTGTAATATGACTGGATAACTCCAAAGCATTTTCACAAATTGTAAGTGGAGTCAGAATGTGGAGAAAATCCCCTATAAAGCACTGACCCAGTGTAGGTTATGGTGCAATCTAGACAGGCCATGGGTGGCAACTACAGTAGATCATTGGGTATAAAAAAGAGAGGAGGGACCATTTTTGACACCACGGAACCAATATTTAGTTTAGATTTTTATTTTTTATTTTTTTATTTTTGGCTTTTGGCTGCTAGGGCTGCTGGGGAGCTGTTAGCTGTTAGAGACTTTGAGCAAGTACAAGATATTGGTGCCATGTTGTTTTATAAATGCAGCAGGCATAAAAGGAGGAATCATTTTAAGTATTTGGAATTTTTCACATAGCCACCTGTATTAGTCCTTGTGTATTATTAAAAAGGAATACCTGAGGCTGGGTAACTGATAAAGAAATGAGGTTTAATTGGCTCATGGTTCTACAGGCTATATAAGCATGGCACCAGCATCTGCTCAGCTTCTGGTGAGGCCTCAGGAAGCTTTTAGTAATGGCAGAAGGTGAAGGGGGAGACCGCGCATCATATGGTGAGACAGGAAGCAGTAGAAAGGGGAAGGGGAGGTTCTAGACTTTTACACAACCAGACTTCACATGAACTGAGTAAGAAGTCACTCATCACCAAGGGGATGGCACCAAGTCATTCATGAAGGATCTGCTCCTATGACCCAAACACCTCCCACCAGGCTCCACCTCTAACATTGGGGATTATAACTCAACATGAAATTTAGAGGAGAAAACATGCAAACTATATCAATCAAACCCTGGCACCACCCCAAATCTCATGTTCTTCTCATACTGCAAAATACAATCAAAATCTTCTCACATTGCAAAATACCCTCCCAATAGTCCCACGAAGTTTTAATTCATTCCAGTGTCTAGTCCAAAGTCCTGATTCTCATCCGAGACTCATCTTGTTCCACTATGAGCCTATAAAATCAAAACAAGTTATTTACTCCCAAGGTAAAATGGTAGTACAAGTATTGGGTAAACATTCCTGTTGAAAAAGGTAGAAATTGGCCATCAGAAAGAAATAACAGGCCCTACACAAGTCCTAAGCCCAGCAAGGCAGTCATTGAATCTTAAAGCTACAAAGTATTCTCCTTTGATTCTTTGTCTGGCATCCAGGGAACACGCGTGCAAGGGAAACTCTGCCTCTGTGGCTTTTCACGTTGCAGCCCCTCTAGCTTCTCTTACGGGTTGGAGTTGAGTGCCTGCAGCTTTTTCAGGCAGAAGATTCAAGCTTCCAGTGAATCTAACATTCTGGGGTCTGGAGGGCAGTGGTCCCCTTCTCATGGCTCTGCTCCTGCAACAGACTTCTGTCTGGGCACCTGCAAGCTTACCACAGCATGGAAACCACCAGAGCTTATGGCTTGTGCCCTCGAGTGGTGGCCCAAGCTGTACCTGGAGCCCTTTGAGCTGAGGCTATAGCTGAAGCACCTAACATGCAGGGAGAAGTATTCTGAGGTTAAGCAGGGCAGCAGGTCTGGCTCCTGAAACCATTATTTCCTCTTAGGCTTCTAGGTCTGTGATAGGAGGGGCCACCTAGAAGATCTCTGAAATGCCTTTGAGACCTTTTCTCATTGTCTTGATATTAGCACTGGCTCTCTTTTAGTTATGTGAATCTCCTTAGCCAGTGGTTGTTTCACCGCCTACTTGCATTTTTTCTCTACCACAAGGCTGGGCTGCAAACTTTCCAAACTTTTACACTCTGCTTCCCTTTTAAATATAAGTTCCAACTTCAAGTCATTTCTCTGTTTCTGTATCTAACTGCAGGCTGTTAGAAGCAGCTAGTTTACATCTTGAATGCTTTGCTGCTTAGAAATTTCTTCTGCCAGATACCCTGTTATCATTCTTAAGTTCAAACTTTCACTTCACAGACCCTGAGACCATGGATATAATTCATCCAAGCTCTTTGCTACGGTGAAACACGGGTGACTTTTACTCCAATTCCCAATAATTTTCTCATTTTCATTTGAAAGCCCATCAACCTGGCCTTCACTGTCCATATCTCTACCAGCATTTTGGCCATAACCACTTAACAAGTCTCTAAGAAGTTCTGAATGTCCTCTCATCTTCTGAGCCCCTCAAACTCTGTCCATTACTCAGTTTCAAAGCTGCTATTATATCTTCAGGTATCTTTATGGCAATACCCCCTCCTCAGTACCAATTTTCTGTGTTAGGCCACTCTTGTGTTGCTATAAAAAATGCCTGACTGGGTGATTTATAAAGAATAGAGGTTTAATTGGCTCACATGTCTACAGGCTGTACAAGCATGGCAGCAACATCTGCTCAGCTTCTGGTGAGAGTCTTAGGAAGCTTACAATCATGGCAGAAGCAAAAGGGGAAGACTGCATATCAAATAGTAAGAGAGTGAGCAAGAGAGAGGAGTAGGGGAGGTTCCTAACTTCTAAACATCAAAATCTCACATGAATTAACTGAACCAGAACACATTTATCACTGATGGGTTTGTGCTAAACCATTCATGAAGGATTCGCTCCCACGAACAAATTACCTCCCACCAGACCCCACTTCCAACATTAGGAATCACACTTCAATATACGATTTGGAGGGGAAAACATTCAAACTATATCACCAGCCTTTCCTCTTAAGGTCACCTACTAACACCATTTGCATGTTCTCAATAGACCGAAGTGAGGATCTAATTGCTGTAAACTACTCGGAACTGCTAGAGAGTGACGTCTTTAATTTAAGTAAGGCTGACTTTATAGATAGTTTGGAAGGGTGGCCCTGACAACAGAGTGGGGGTAGAAACAGATGGGAGGGATGGAGTGCAGATTGAGGGCGATGGCAGTGATCACAGGTGGGAAGATGAGGAGCTGGGTGAAAGCCGTCATAGAAGGCTGCATCAATGCTTATGCATGGGCAGGAATTGGATAGGACTTACTGACCAGTTGGATCTAGGAAGAGTGGGAAGGAGGAAGGAAAAGTTTAGCAGATGATGACATTACTATTCACCACCCCTCCTACCCAGGCTTGTGTAGGAAGGAGAATAACATCTACATCCATAGGAAATATGAGTCTTCTGTCAATTTCACTAACTCAATGTTTTTGAGTTTTCCAATATTAGACTGTCCTAAGTCAGCCTGTATTTCTCCTTCTAAGTCTTCTAAAGAAAGAGCCAAATGTTTCCTAATCTTTATATCTTAAATTATCTCATATTCACTTAGAAGCTCTTGATTATCTGTGATAGATAGTAAAATGGAAATATGTGAAATTGTAGCTGAAACGGGAGAACTCCTGGAGGAGCGATTTATGAAGAATACAGGCTATGTTTTAAACTTAGGGTACAGAAGTAGTAGAAAAATGTCCTCCATTAATGTTTTACAATTGTTTTTTATAATTTTCACCTCTATATCATATAAAAAGATTTATGGATTCCCACATAATAGTAATTATATGTTTAGTACTTCTTTGGTAATGTAGTTAAATTTGAATTTACTGGGAATCCTTAGTGCTTGGGAACTGGAGCGAGCTGGCTTTGGATGCCAGCTTTGTCTCTTCTAAGTGGGTGACATGTGCCAGCTGCTTAAGCTTTCACAGTTTTAGTTTGCTCATCTATAAAATGGGAATAATATAATCAGCTACCTCTCTGGACCACTGTGAACATTGAATGAGGCCATGGATATAAATACATGTCCTAGGGCCTGATACACGGGAAGTAATGAATCGGTGCCTAGTTGTAGTAGCTACCAAAGAATGATCTTTTGTGCATAGTTTTCTTATAACTAAATAAAAATAAAAATGACAAGAAGTTTTGTGTACATGGATTTGAGGACCTCATTGTAAAGTTTTTTTTCTCTCTAATGTTTGGGCATTAAATCTATCACCAATTGAGAAACCTGGACATAATATTTTTTGTTAACATTAATCTTACACCACCAATTAAAAAATAAAGATAGATCTGTCTATATTCCGAAGACAGACTATGGGTATATGAAGATGGGATCACTGAACCTTGCCTCTAATGCAAAATTCAATTTTGATTTCAAATTTAAAGGTCTGCAATTATCCAGACAATATTATAAGCATATTCAAAGTTTGGCTTTCATCTCATCTGGAGGCACACTTTCCAGGCCCACTCTTTATCTACTTACTTACAGGAATGCAAGTAACACTAGATCCATAAATTCCCCACGTCAGAATAAAATCACAGTCCTGTGTGTTTCTCATCCAAACAGCTTTTTTTTTCTCTATTCAGAGATAGATACAACCTAAGCATCTCCACCATGAATTTTGTTATAAAAAGCAGAGTTTACATTTAGAAATGGCCAAAACCTCCCACTTGTATGTCAGCCCAGAGGAAGACAACTTTAGCAAAGTATTTAATAATACACATACTTGAAGGGAAAAATCCAGCTGAAAATCTTTGTTAAGCCTGCAATATTTATCAATATTTAAATTCTTAGATTGCATGGCACTTTTCCCCCCTAAGTCACACGGCTATGGGTACTCACCATTAATCTTCCTTTCTCATAGATGTTTTCTTTCCGAAACAGTACTTAACAGGGATAAATGTGGCACTCATTTTGCCTTTCATTCATTTTTATTCTCTTATTAGTGTGAAAGATAACATGGAGCATGTTCTGCGGGCCAGGCACTGTGCTAGGTAATTTACATTAATTACTGTAGTTAATTCCGTAATCTGACAACATCCCTGGGATGTAGGAACTATTATTACCTGTTTGAGAGGAGGAAATTGAAGTTCAGAAAAGTGAAGAAATGTCTCGAGAGGTATTCAAGTGAGAAGCAGAACTATATCCTGGTTGTAGTCACGTGTGGATAATGGAAGCCATTTTAAAATCCAGATTAAATTTGAATTTTGCATTACAGGCAAAGTTAGACAGTGACTCAGTTCTTCTGGTTACAAACAAACTAACCATGGCAGTGACTGGCTGTGAAAGACCAACAACTGACAGGGGCATAGATAAGAAGAAGGCACGGAAATAGAAAAGGAGATTTGTGGCAAACAGATTGTAAGGCAGGCTCCATCATTCCCACTGCTTGATGTTCACGTTCTTCAGTTATTTCCTCCCCTGGAGTGTGGATGAGAGGAGATCCACACTCAAAGGGAGTAATTTGTTTAGAAGCAAGTCATAGAATTTGACCTGCTTTTAACCAAAAGAAAACAACAATGGGGGTGGGGTGTCAATTCTGTGGTTATATTATAAGACCATGGTATCTGTTTTGCTGAGAGACACTCCCGCCCTTGCTGGCTTTGAAGAAGCAAGCTGCCATGTTGCAAGCTGCCTTGCAGAGGAGGCCACATGGCAATGAGCTGGGGGCAGCCTCCAGCAAATATCCAACAAGAAACTGAGGCCCATAGTCTGACAGTCTTCAAGGAACTGAATGCCATCAACAACCATGTGAGCTTGCAGGCAGATCTTTCTCCACTCAAGCCCCAGATGAGACCACAGCTCTGCAGACCCTTGTGAGACCCTGAAGCAGCTAAGCTATGCTTGGACTTCTGACCTACAGAAACTGAGATAATAAATATGTGTTGTTTTAGGCTGGTAAATGTGTGGCAATTTGTTACAGAGCGATAAATAACTAATACAAGATCTTTCAAAAGCACATCATGGAATGTATACCTCATTGGATAGCATAATGATCTTATGGGGAGGGTTGTAGACTTGGAGTGAAATTGCTTTCATCAAAGTCACCAAAGTCCACTGGACACATTTCACTAGTCAACGAATGCCCTCTGGGGGCATTTAGTGCCATTTAACAACCTTCTGTTGGAATACCTTCTCCCTTCTCTTCCATGACACTCATCACTGGTTTTCTTACTACTTCTGACTATTCCTCACATCTTTGGGGACGTGCTTCCTCTGCCAATCTCTGGCATATGCGCAGTCCCTGAGGATGCACCACCAGCTCTGCTTCTCTTTCCTCAGATGCGCTCAAGGCATTCAGTGCAACATGAATGCTGATCAGCCTTAGATCCACGTCTGTGCCTTGAGCTCTCCCCTGCGTTCCTGACTCAAAAGACCAACTGGGCTTCTTCTTTTGGATGTCCTTGGGAAAGCTCAAACTCAATCTTACTCTTCGATTCACTACCACAAAGAGTGATGCCTACAGCCACCACTCCTCAACCCTCCGACCAGCCACATAGGTCAGAATGTGGCAGATGCCCTTGACATTCCTTCTTCTTGAAACACTAATTCACTAATCCTGTTAGTGTTTATCTCTGAAATAATTATCAAGCCCACACTCCTCCCCTATTCCAGCCCATGATGACTACCACTATCTCAATTAGGTTTACATTCATTCCAAGGGACTATTAAAACATTTTTCTAGACAATTTTCCCATCTTGCCCTCCTCAGTCCACTCCACACATTGCTGCTAAAATGACAAAATAACAGAAAGATAGAAAAATTCTACATGAGCCCCTGAAGCCTCTCTGCTTCTCTCATGTTAGGACCATTGACCATGAAACTAATGTGAAACTGAGGATGTTCAAGTTTATAGGTGTTCACTTGTGGAGCTCTTTCCAGCATGTCTTTCTCATTTAAAATAAATATTTACTTTTGTATTCAATTGCATGTTCATGATTCTGTATCATTTTTCTCAAAAAGTGAAGCCACACATGCTGCTTACAATCTTTCTTTGGTTCTGGGTTATGTCTGAGAGGAAGGCCAAGCCCCTTGGTGGGACCTGGTCCTTGCTTGGCTTATCCATCTCATCTTCACTCTCTGCCTCACATCTTATCCCTGAAAAGGTAGAACAATTTGCACTTTTCACCACATATCATGCTATTTAATGTCTCTGCACCTTTGCTTATGTTGTTCCTTTATTCTGCAATTTCCTCCCAGCCCTCATCACTTTTTACCAATGCACATCCAGCCACAGCTTCTATTGAGTAACTTCCCCTCTTTCTGCAAGACTCCACTCTGGAGTCCAAGGAGACTTCTTGGATGCCCTTTCTCTTCCCCAACAGATCTCTGTGCCTTTTTATTTGTGCTTTTACAGCACCTTGAGCTTTTCTTTATCATGATATTGATTGACTAAGTGTCCTCAGTGCCTGACAGAGGGGAGACCCGCAGTGAAAGTTTGTAGAGCTGTTACCAAATTACAGTTCTGAAACTTGAACAAGTTACTGGACCTCTTCAAATCTCAGTCTTTTTCTTTGTAAATAGAAAATGTTGTTACAAATAGAAAATGTTGTTACATTATTTTGATGACGGTAGCAAGGTTTCAATTACATTATGTAAAATAAAAATGTTTGGCAAATATCAAGCGTAGTTGATGCAAGTAGAACTGCCAGTATTAAGGTGTTTTCAGAACCACAGAAGTGGTCTACTCACATCAAGCTGAACATTTAAATGAATATCAGACTCCAGAAACCAGATAGAAAAATATGGTAAAAATTGTAGGGCAGTTAAAATCATAGGTATTAAGGCTAGATGTCCTAGGTGTAAATTCTGGATCTGTCATTTACTAGATTTTATAAGTTTAAGTAAATATTCTCTCTGTGCCTCAGTTTTATCACCTGTAATTGAAGATAATGATAGGGTTGCTCTGGTGATTTAATGTATTGTGCATTTTTACCTCTTAGAGTAGTGCTTGGCCCTTAGAATAAACCTTTAAACACGAACCACCTTTATTGTTATTATGATTAACAGAATTTGAGAGAAAGACCCCTTTCGATGTCACAATAAAATCAAGCCAGATTTTAGCATAGATATCCAAGCTGCATAATCCCATCGCCAATAAAAATTTTGATCATACTTTTGTACTCACAGATAACAATGATAGAGTATAGAATGCACTAAGATATCACTAGCAGGTTCAATCCCAAGAATGGGGATGCACAGGGTGCTACCCAAAGCAGAATGCTGATTTTCTTATTTTTAAATATTTGAACACTTGATATACATATATATATGTATACACACACATATATACATACGCAAATTTAACAGTAAGATTAAAATCCAAACAAAGCAAACTTGGATGAAATTTTAGCACGTGGATTAGTGAAAAGAAAGTAAAGAACAGAAATGCTGAGGCAAAGATTTTTAGACATAAATAGAATTAGTGTCTCCTTATGTTAAAGCTCTTTCGGATTTTACAATTTCAGAAAGTTCATTGACAGGAAGATATTATAGAGAGTTGTATGTAAGAGGTACCCCATTATCTACTTTAGTGAGTGGATGAAAAAAGACTGACAAGATGAACCGGGCGGAGGCAGTTTCCACTTCTAGTTGCCTGGGGAGGAAATATATACTGGTACAAACAGAAATGCTGCTAGGTTGTTTAGCAAACTGACTACAGTGTCAAGACTATCCAGATGCTGAAACTTCAGTGAAAGTGGGAACTCAGAGAGAGCAACAGAACACCAGAGCCTCATTTTGTCTTGAGTGCTCTTTCCAAACCAGAAGGTGAGCCCAGCTCTCAAGGCCCATAGGATCCCAGCAGACTAGAGACAAAGGCCAAGGCTTTCAGTGTGTCCATATGTGTATATAGCAAGCTGGGATCCAAAACATCCTCAGCGTAAGAATGAACTAGACACCAGACACAAATGTGCTTTTCTAGGGACTTCTGTGAAAATTGCCTGTCTTAAACCCTGATGGAAATTGGGAGTAAAACTAAAAAATCTCATGGAATATAATTTAAAATGGCTCCGGGCTGGTTATACACTCAGGTACCTGGCAAGAGAAAACACACATCCTTTTTGGAGGAAACCATTTTTACAACAACTTTAAGGAATACCTATAGATAACATTTTCTTTAAAGATAAACTCATAATTTTAAAATATTACAAAATGCAAACAGACAAAACACAATTAATAAGACTTGGCAAAAACAATAAACAGAAGAATCAAAAGTAAAAAATAGATATTGAAATTATCTGACCCAGAGAATAAGTATTTTTTGCAAATTAATCTGTAGTGACAAAACAAAACAAAACAGATTAATGATTGCCTGGAAAAGGGGATACAGGAGGGGACAGGAGGGAAAGCTTAAACGAGAAAACCTGAGCATTTGATGGACATATCCTCTCTAGATTGTCGTGACGGTTTTGTGAGTGTTAGCATATATTAAAACATCAAATCATACCCTTTAAATATGGGTAATTTATTGTATATTAGTTATAACTCAATAAAGTTGGTTAAAATAAATATTTTAATGTGTTTTAAATAAAAAAGACCTTATTTACAATATAATAATAAAAAGAAAATAATGTAATTTTAGTGCTTTAGTTATATAGGAAATTAACTATAATTTTAATCACAAACATAAAAGATTTCTAGCAACAATAAAAAAGAGAAAACATGGGAAAGTATGAGATAAAATTAGGGCATGGTAAAAATGAGTGATCAGTTGTATTAGGAAAAGACCCAAGTAGAAAAATAAGACATTTAAAAAATAATAATAGTTAGAATTAAAGATTCAATGGCTGTTTAACAGTTGGTAAGGCACAGGCAATTAAAAGTTTAATGAACTAGAAAATAGATTAGAAGAAATGGTTCTAAATGTACCTTAGAAAGACAAAAAGGATGTAAGAGTGGTCAGTAAATATTAAACACAGAGTAAGAAGGTCTAACATGTCTCATCAGTGTTCCAAAAGAACACAGTGAGAGAATGTGCAGAGGTGATATTTAAGAGATGAAGGCTGAAATTTCCCCACAACTGATAAAAGACATGCATATGCAAATTCAGCAAGGAAAATAAATCCCAAACAGTTTGAATTAAATAAATCCATAGTTAGACATGTCACAGTTAAAGGTGCAACACCAAAGACAAAGAGAAAACCTTAAAAGCAGTAGGAGGGGAAAAAAAGAGAGTTTACCTTTGACATTTGAAGGCAAGTTTTATTATTAGGAACAACAATAAAAGCTAGAAAACAGCAAATAATATATACCACAATACTGGAAAAAAATAACAGTCAGCTAAGAATTGTGTACATCAGTGACAATGTATTTCAAGAATGATGGTGAAAGTAAGACAGTTTAGAAAACAAACACAGAGATTGTTTAACCACCAAAAAAACCTCTAAAAAAACTCTAAAAGTTGTTATTTAGGCAAATAAGTCCAGAAGAAAGCCTTGAAATTCAAAGCAGGTAAAATAACCAAATGAAGTGGTATCATGTGAAGATTTCTAATCAAATATTGGCTTTATATATAAAAAATACCAAAGATTTGCAAAGATTAAAAATATATCAAAATACTCAATAACAATACACAAAAGTCAAGAAGAAATATCTTGAATTCCTGTTTCAAACTCTTTGTGTTATTTAGGAAAGAGGAAAAGATATCAATAAGCTCTAGTCTATGACAAATTAAATATGACTCTCAGCATTTTTGAATGTTAATGAAAAGAAAACATTGTTTAAAACAATGTTTAAGCTAGGAGACAGAAAGGATAAAAATGGCACAATTAATTAAAAAGTAGACAAGAATTAGACAAAGCACATTTAAAAATACAGGTTACTAGAACCTACAAAATAAATTCATACAAAATAAATCCAAATATATAAATGATTACAATAAATGTGTGTTATCAGATGCTTCAGCTGAAAGATATAAAATTTCAAACTCAATAAAAAATAAAGCTCAGTACAAACTATATAAAAGAGAAATACCTGCAACACAGAGGTACAGATACCTTGGAAGCAAACGGATGGGAAAAAGATATAACAGGCAATTCTAGTCAGAAGGAAGCAGGCATAGCTATATTTTTGATAATTATTATTTTCCGAACATACGTAGATCACATAGAAAAACTGACCACATATCAAGAAAATCTACATTTTTGGACACTTAGAGACACAACTCTAAACAATTCATATATTAAACGAGTAATCATAATGAAAATTATAAATAGTGCTGAACGATAAGAAAAATAAACCATTCAAAATGGATGTGATACAGCTAAAGCAATATTTAGAGAAAAAAATCATGTCCTTGAGAGATTATTCTATAAAAGAGGAAAGGTTAAAAAATGATTAGCTTATTCTCCAACTTATGAGGTTAAAAAACGCATAAACCCAAGAAATTACACAAGTAGGAAATGATTATTTTAAATAAGTAAAATTAATGAAAGTAATAAAAAACATGGAATATAGAAAGAAAAGAAGGTACAAGGAAGAAATAAAAGAGAAAGGAACTATAACTACCAAGTAGAAGATATGAAAATGATAACAAGATATTATGAACAACTTTATATTGATAAGTTTTAAATATTAGGTATAATGAAAACCTTCTTAGGAAAAATATATTGTACCCAACTGACTCAATAAGAATAAAACAAACTATAATAGCCCTACCACAAGTAAGAAAACTTTAAAAATCTTTTTTTAAAAACTTCCTACAAAACAGTCCAGGCCCAGTGACCTCACTAGTAGGCTTTACCTGAGAGTCAAGTAATAAATAACTTAATTTTACACAGATTTTACAGATTACAGAATAGAACACAGCTCAACAAATTTGGTGGCCAGAGTAAACTTGATATCCAAATCTCACAAGAACTTCGTGATTACGGGACAATTTTCCTGTGCATATAGATGCAAAAATCTTTAAAAACTATTAGCATGCAGAAAGCAGCCCTGTATAAAAAGGGATCATCCATCATGTACAAATTGGGTCACTTATAGAAATGAATGTTGGGCTTAACATTGGGAAAATAATAAATCTTATATACCTTATTCATATAATATAGGAAAATTAGATGATCATCTCAGTAGTTGGCAGAAAAAAACATTTGAAAACGCTTGATGACAATTGTACCTACTTAGGAGAAAAATCTCTTAATAAACTAGGAAGAGATGAAAACTCAATCACAAAGCCTTTAATACACATTATCCTTAAGGCTGATACACGGACACATTCTCTGGAGGTCAGAGACAAGAGTACCTATGCTATTACCAGTGCAGTCATCATGGTATCAGCAGTCCCATCCCAGACAGTCCAATTGAGAAAGAAAAGTTACAAGGTTTCAAAAGGAAGTAACACCTCTAGCACATTTTGTGAGTAAAATGATTGCCTATATAGAAATTCTAAAAGAAGCTAGAGGTAAATCATTTGGATTAGGAGAGTTTAAGTTTTCTAGGTCTAAAATCAATCTACAAAAATTGGTCATCATTGTATATACAGCCAATGAACAGATAGATAATGTAATTTAAATAAACAAATAATTGGTAATAACATCAAAAATGTAAGAAACTTAGAAATATATCTAACAAAACATCTTCAAGGCTCTTATAAAGAAAATTAGAAAAGAAAAACTGCTTTGAGAATTTAAAGACCTGTAGAAATTGAGATATCATGGATGTATGGATTGGAAGATTCAGTGTCATACATACGGCAATTCTCTCCAAATTGATTTATAGATTCATTGTAATTCAAATATTACCCCAACAGGCTTTGTGAGCATGTGGGTATGTGTGTGGAAATTGATGAGTTTATGGGCTTGCAAATGACAGAAAAATAGAGATTCTTCTGAATGAGAAGAATAAGGTTGGTTGTCTGACTTTGACAGATATGAATGTTTATTTGAATGATAGCAATTAAGACAGTTTTATATTGTTCCTGGGCTAGACAACCCAACCAACAAAATTGATTGAGTCACAAATTGTGTGTGTGTGTCTGTGTGTGTGTTTAATGTATGAGCAGATGTGGCTTTATAGATCAGTGGCAAAATAATGGACTTTTAAATACATGATACAGAACAATTTGTTATTCATATAAAAAAATAGAGTTCTACCTCACAGTATATACAAAAATGAATTTGAGATTAAAAAGACTTACATGTGAAAAACAAAATGGTTAAGTAATAAAATATAATATAGTGTAATATATTCATGAATTTCTGTGAACAAAGGTTTCTTAAGGCATGAAAAGCAAAATCCATTAAAACAATTGATACATTCAAAAGACAGCAAAATAAAGGAAAACATAGACTAAAAAATGCAAAAAGTATTCATAATACATATAATTGAAGTTATATATATTGGTTAGTATACAAGATAAATAAAGAACTTCTATAAACCTATCAGATAATTTCAAGTGACCTAATAGAAACATGGGCAAAAGGCTTGAACAGGCACTTCACAAAACAGGGAACTCAAATGGCCAATGACAGAGGAAGAGGTGTGTGATCCCATTGATAAACAGGAAAATGCAAACTAAAACCATGATGAGTTACTATATTACACTCACCAGATGGCCAAAAATTATATCTAACAGTAAGAACTTATGGCGATAATAGCAATGAGACTGTGACATTTCTTAAGAGAGTGTAAATTGGTGCAATCACTTTGGATAACAATATGCCATTATCTAATAACATTGAAAATGCACAGATCTTCTGTCTCAGCATTTCCCTGCTTAGGTGTACACCCCTAGAGAATCTCCTCTACATGTACATCTGGAGACAGGGAGAAGAATGAGTCCAGAGAAGTTTGTTGTAGTAAAACACTGGAAACAGCCCAAATGTACACGAGTAATAGAATATTTAGGTACATTCTGACATAGTCACACAAAAGAATATTGTTCAGCTATGAAAATAAATGAAGCACAGGTACATATAACAACACAGGCAAATCTCAGAAACATAATATGGAGCCCCAAATCCAAAACAAACAGGCAACAACAACTGCAAAATAGCGCACATTGTCAAGAGAATTCGTTCAGCATGATTCCATTTATATAAGGTTTAGAAACATGCAACACTGCAAACAATAATTTTCAGGAATACAAACAAATGGAGAAGCTATAAAGAAAATGAGAGTGTGGGAAACACGACGAGGGAAGGAGCCAGGATGGGGGAGGGAGGAGCATAAGGTTCTAATTCTTAAATTGGGTTACACAGGTGTTTTCTTGTATTTTTAATTTTTGTGCCTTATATATATTTTAGAAGAATTTGTGTATGAATTCAATCATTTATAAAAAAGAATTTTATGTATATTTATAATATAGTTAAAAAGCAGACATATGTGTAGCTGATGATGGGAATTATTCCAACGTTGATGAATATGCTGTCAATGTGGGTAAGAGAGATCACTTGGATCTTAGGCATTTTGAAAGACTTCATGGAGAAATGAAGGTTTAAAAGAGGTCCAAGTTTTGTTGAGGTGAATTTCATCCATGGTGAGGATGAAATTCCAGCTTTGGCAAGGGAGCAGAAAGTGCAGCTTTTAAAGTAGGGAGGGTGGACTTTGAATACATTAGTACCTTAAAAATGGCATTTCAGAGTAATTGGAGTTCGGCCAGTCTAAGAATAGGTAAGCAATAGATGGTACGCCATGTCATGTAAGTCTCCATGTGATACTGTGGTTAATAGTGACCTTGAGTTTGAGCCCTCTGCCAACTTTGTAGCTGTTTGACCTTGGAGGAGTCATTTTATTACCTTGAGCCTCAGTGACTTCTTCCACATGATGGAGATAAGAACTATGCATACCCCACAGTGTTGCTTTGAGGGTTAAATCAAGGAATGCATATAATGTACCTTGAATAGACTGATCGACACTGAATGTTGACCACTGTTTTATGATGTGGTTGAGGTTCCTACTAGGAATGACAGATAGAAAGGACAAGAAATGCCAGGATACACAGGTGTGAGGATCCAAGTGAGACAGGAGGGACATCTTGTTTTGGGAACCAGAGCCTCGGCCAACTGGAGCACTGTGGACCTGAAAAGACAGGGGATGAGAAGAGGATGAGAGGGGGGAGTAGGAGTCAGATCGCGGAAGGCTTTCTGTGCCATGCCAGAAATCTTGAACATGATTTGCAAATGATGAAGGCAATACCTGAAGGGTATTCGGCAGGAGAGTAGCACTCTCATGTGGGGAATGAGTATGATCTGAAATCTAAGCCGTGTGCCTTTGGGGCTGCATCCGCCCAAGTGACCATTTTATTGTTAGAAAGATCCTTCTGGCTGCCTCCTTGTGGAGAGTGGCTTGGAGGGGGCCAGATGGGGACTGATCAGACAGTCATGTGGAAGGCTGCCACTGCTATCCCTGCACAAGTTATGAGAAGGTCCTACACTAGGGTGGGGCCAGGAAGGAATATGAGCAACACAAAAGCGGCATCTCTGACAGGATCTCTCGGGGGTGGCTTAGTCTCAGAGCTTATTTTAAATGCCAAAAGGGAAATGGGAGCGGCATAGGGGGTGGGGTGGTGGGGAGGAAGGAGAGCTCAGATCTTATCTGGACTCTTGGGCTGTCATCGGAGCTGCTCAGAGCAGGTGCTTCAAAGCCTTTGGCTTTCCCCTGCATTCGGGCCCATGTCGGGTACACACACAAAGTGGGCATGCATTATTCAGGTGGCATCACATCCTCTGTGCAGCTCATCAGAGCTTGCTGCTTCGGGCCCTCCTTCCCCAAAAGCCCATTGTTAAGAATTATAAACAAACAGGATGGACGCCTCTACAGTCACTACACTGGTGCTGCCGGCGGGATCTGCAGTCATAACAGGAAATCGTGCACTTGCTGCAGAAAGATTTTTTTCTAAGAGGCAGCATGAATGTCATTGACCTAAATTCTAGTGCCCTAGCCTATACCTGCAGAACTTTTCAGCAAAGAAATGTCAGTGAGAGGCAGATTAAAAGGGTCTCTAACTATTTCTTTCTTTTTGCTTTATGAGTATCCATTGCCATGAATATCTAGTGACCCTGAAACCTACTTCCAACTTTGCAATCAGCTCCCCAAAGGTTGACTTAAAGATACAGATAAAAATGATGAGGGGGTATGGATAGAGCAGAAGGTGCTGGCTTTCTACTAGTGGAGGCTGATGTCATCTGTGCCGCAACCGAGAGTAGTGATAGTGGCACCCAGTCCCACCCTACAGGGACCTGCCCGACTACAGGGCTGAAAGGACAGTGCAAGGGACTTCAATCTTTCAGATCAATTACTAGTTGTTCTAAAGGACTGTGGCAATACAAATTAGGTCAGCATCATTTTCTCCTTTACAGATAAGCTCATCTAGATGCAGTAGCCAAATGAATTGCCCAAGATTTGGAGCTCAGAGAGTTTGCTCAGCTGGCCCCTTTTCCTCTCACTCCAAGAATGCATCATCTTAGCATCTCACTCATTCGTTTATTAATTCACTAACTCGCTAAGTATTTGTAGAGTGCCTACTACATTCATGCATGGCGCTGGATGCTCAAGATGCAGCACTTAATACACTGTAATCCCTGTCTGTAAAATGGTCGTAGTCAAGTAAGAGCAGATAAGTTAGCTACTAGATGGGACACAATGTAAAAAGTGCTGCAACGGAGTTGTTAAGGGATTCCAGAGTAGCCTCCCTTAGCCCAGGCTGGGGTATTCAGAAAAGGCTTCCTGGAAGAGGGGGCATGGATGTTGGTCCATAAAGGGAATAATCTGGATTTAGCAACAGGAAAGAGGAAGAAGGATGTTCTGCCAGAGGCATTTGTAATGTCAGTTGGATTGGAAATAGCAGAGCTCTGGCCAGCAATCATTAATTTCACTTGGGTTAGGGGAAGCGCATACCATTGGGTGTGGCAAGAGCTATTAACAATGGTGGGTAACAAGCTAAACGGATATGAGAGGTGTTGTAACCACTCCATCTAAATAGTTAAATCGAAAGAACAATTCTATAAAGTAGTCACTAGGAATCTCTTTTAAGATTTAGGAAACTGAGGCTTGTAGAGCTGAAGTGACTTGCAGGGTCACATGGCGAGGCAAGTGAGAAAAAGATTTTAAAATTTTGGCCCTAAAGTCTGGCCAGAGCCTCTTTTGGTGCAGAAGTTCTGATTCCTCTTCTTTTATCTCATCATCCAGAGAATAACCAACCTGGAATATGTGTAAGTTTCTGTCTGAGCACTGGTATCATTGCAGTGGCCTCCTCCCTTTGCTCCTGGGAAGGGGCTGCCACTGGACAAAGCATGGGACATTGGCACAGTGGATAATAACACTGCATCAGGAGTGAGAATTCTGAGCACATAGGTCCCTCTACAGCTCAGAGTCCCTATACTCATTTCCCTACCATAGCTATAGGGTCTCCCCAGAACTTGGAACTCCTAGGCTGTGCCACCCTCTTGTGATGAAGTGAGGAGAATGAATGTCATTGGCTTGTTTTCAAGAAGCACCTCACATACATGCAGAAGGAAAAAGTTGGCCAAGGTAAGTCCAAGGGGAGTCTCTGCTTTTCACCCTAGTACAGTGAGTCTTGGGGAAAAACTGGTCTTGCTGCAGCAATGAGTTGGGCCCTTAGTGTGGTTTCACTGAGAAACAGGAGGTAGCAGGGCTCTGCTCATCTTGAACACCACTCTGTGTAGAGACAGTGTTGAGGCCAAAGTTGAGGTCGGGGGCCCTGTGTTGGCCAATGCTGCGTAAGGGGTCGTGGTCACCACAGCAGGTTGCAGGGCTTCTCAGGTTTGACTTGGAGTTCTAGTCCAGCTAACACCAGCTGCGTGATTTCGGATGTGCTGATTGCCTCTCATTATCCCCCTCCTAGAGGTGAGAGGCGGGGCTGAGAGGGCAGGTAGGTGACTTGCCAAGGTCATTTGGTCAGCAGGAGGCAGAGCTCAGTTCCAACCAAGGAACTGTCAGGATCATTCTGTGGATCTTGAAAAAAAAAAAAAAAAACTCTCTGTGCCTCAGTTTCCTCACCTGTAATGAGAAAATTAAGTTATCTTCCTACCTCAGAGAGTAGTGAGAACCACCTGAGTGGAGAACATGTTTTCCAAGGTCTCACCGACTCTGAACATTCTGTCCCCTGTGCCTGGAGTATTTGTTCCTCAGCCTTGCTTTCCACTTTCCCACCTCTCCTGCACCTAATTCATTCCTATCTATTCTTTATTTCAGATTTCTCTCTATTCTTGAACCCAGATTCAAACATCATTTTTGGAACAAAGCTATCTCTCATCTCCAACTGCCCACATTCAGAGCAAATTCCTTTGTGATATTTGTTGCAGCTTGTGATTACAATGCACACCTGTGTGCCTGTTTGATTACCATTAACCCAGCAAGGCTTTATGCCCCGTGAAGGCAGTCACCGTGGCTAACATGTGCTCCCCATTACACTCTTGGGCCAAACAAATATAGAGAACTCTCAATAAATAGGGTACATTACCAGTCGCACAGACAACCCTGACTTTTGGAAAGGCTGCAGAAATGCAGCAGCAGCTGACTTGTTGAATGAATGCGTGTTTACTTCTCTCCGTGACTGCCAGTCTCCCTGACTAGGGTTTACCAAATCCCTGGCAGTTTCACCTTATCCGCTTGATGGTGTTGTCCCACATGCCTATTAAAATAAAATATTGCACTCCTAACGAAATGATTGTATTCTGCATAATGCACCAGTAATTAACCTTGCAAAGTTACTTTTCAAATCGCTCATGAGTGTTCATTGCTAGGTGTGTGCAGTTACCCCCCCTTCTGTTTATATCTGCATAACTGTATGTGTTGGTTGTGCTATTTTAATTCTCCCTGTATATTTTGACTTTATTAATTGATTCCATCTGATTACATTAATCATGAGTAATTGAGATGTAAAATAGTTTTCAGCTGAAGTTTTTCAACAATCCTTACAGTAAAGAGAAGGGGACCAGTCTCCAATGGACAATTGGTGCTAGAAGTATTCATTGTTTACCACCTGTTCAATGTAAGTGCGATTCATGGAATTCCAAATTTCTAATGCTTCATTGATTTATCAAAAGCACATTTTTTATTATAATGGACTGCAAATGTAAAGCGAATCTTTAGGACTAGATGTTTGATCTCTAATTTTAAAAAATGTGAATGAGTAAATGTTTAAATACACAATAACACTTGGAAAGGCTGGTTGTGAAATAAAAGGCAAATAATGCATAAGCATAAAAGCAGAAAGCTTCTCTGTGCTATAGGAATCTTCCCTCTGGAGGTAACCAGTGACCAATCTTGTGTCTTCAGGCTTTTTGTTATATGTTTTTGTCTGCACAAGTATTTTATTTTTTTACACAATAGGAATTCAACTATCTATTTTGTATCACAATTAACTTTAACCAATAGAGTTTGGAAAGCTTTTCATGAGAGATCTATGTTTTCTAAGCTGTCTGGTATTCTATATTATATGTATACTGTAATACATTTAATGAAGTTTATTTAGCTTGATAGCAATTGTTGACCTGTTCACTGTTACACCTATACCCGCAAATTTGCCACAAAACAACGTTGTACATATATCATAATATATAGGATAGATTCCTAAAAGTAGAATTCCTAGGTACTTTGTCCTGCCTGTATAATGCACATTTTTATTTATTTTGCCACACAAACAAATAGGAAGTTTGCTACAATTATTCAGTTTACTTGGGCCAGTAGTCCCTGAACACTCCACAGCAATGCTGTGTACAATTCTCGCATGATGCTGGGGGAAGGGGTTCATGCCTGTAATTCCAGCACTTTGGGAGGCTGAGGTGGGTGGATTGCTTGAGGCCAGGAGTTAGAGACCAGTCTGGGCAACATGGAGAAACCCATCTCCACAAAAACTACAAAAAATAGCGCAGTATAGTGGTGCATGCCTGTAGTTCCAGCTAGTCAGGAAGCTGAGAAGGGAGGATCACTTGAGCCCAGGAAGTGGAGGCTGCAGTGAGCTGAGATTGCACCACTGCACTCTAGCCTAGATGAGAGAGCAAGACACTGTCTCAAAAAAAAAAAAAAATTCTCAGATGAGCCCCCCATGGTGATGTATAATTTATTTACAAAGCCTGTTTTCAACTGCATGCCTCTATTGCTATAAACAAACTGTCTTTCTAAACTCTAGTTACCTCTGCTGGCCATGTACATCTTCTTCAAGGAAAAAAGTTGACAATTTCCATTTCACTTTATTCTGGGTTAAATTGGTAGGAATGCTAATTCCTATTCATTTAGAGGGATTGTCCTTCTTTAACAAATTTGTGAAAGTGAACAGAAGTCAATGTTTCTGCCACATTTTCATGGAAGAATTGCCCTCTAGGCTGTGTAGTGCAGTAGTTATGATCAGGAATTTAGGAGTCCAATGGGCTGGGCCTCCCTTCCTTAGGAGATCCTGGATGAGCCACTCAGTCTTTGCGCCTCGGCTTTGCCATCTGTAAGGCTGTTGTTTTCTAAGGAGTACATTGGTCACATATGTTGAGCATGCAGGACAGCAAACATTGTGATTGTTGATATGTTTGTAGCTGAGAAGTAAAAGATAGAGCTTGAAAGCTAAGTTATGGATTTAGACAGACCTGGGGTCAAAATTCCACCTGGAAGCTTTTAAGGTAGATGATCTTAGGCACCTTAGTAATCTTCAGCTTCCTGGTCCGTAAGTAGAAAATATAGCAGTACCTATCTTGCAAGGTAGTCATGAAGGCTGAAAAACAGGTGCTATGTAGAGTGCCTGGCAGGTAAGCAGTCAGTGAATGGTAGCTGTTTTTATTCCTGTTACTGAAATATTTAGACAAAAAAGTACTGTTATTCACTTAAGATGGGAAATCTTTCTTGAGGCTCAATGCTCAAATACATGAACACTCCACACATGAAAATACATCTTGTTCTCCACCCTACAAAGGGCCAACTAGGTTGGGTGCTGAAAGCTCATTATTTTCCAGGAGATTTTTATACAAAAATCGATAGGATGTGTTTTCTCTGGAAAAAGAAAGAACTTCCCATTCCTTCTAATCGATGGCAAAATTCCTTGAGAGAATAACAAAGCAGAAGATGGCACTGCGGAAGGTGACCCTCTCACCTCTGGGGCTGGTGACTTAGATTGGCTTTGCCACCTCCACTACAAAGACCACAGCTTTGCTGAATTAAAAATAAAGACGTAAGCCGGTAAACACAAAGTGAATGGAGCAGATTGTTTAACGTGACTTTCCCTTATCTGCACAACACATGCATAAGATAATGCTGTTGACATTTTTGTCAAGGAAATGAGATGCGGACCCTTAGCATCACTTTAGATGGAAGTCAGGGGGAGGAGGCATGGCAGTTGGTGTGCCAGAACCCAAGCATTCGATGACAAGACAGACACAGGGATGTCTCACATGCTCTCCACACCAAGTGGGTAATTGCACTCATGGCTCTCTTGTTTAACTACTTGGGAGACAGAATGATCCATCCAGCCCTGGAAAAAATAAAACGGAGTCACATATAAGCCACCGAATGTTAGCAGTGCAAAGGAGTTTGAAGATTATCTCTTTTTGTGTGTGTGTGTGTGTGTGTGTTTGTGTGTGTCTTTCCTATTATAGGTGGTAAAACTAAGAAAAGGGACTAACTCATGATCAAAGAAAGAGGTAGCGTCGGGGCAAAAGGCTAAGTCAAGTGTCCTCCAGTAAAGAAAGATGCTCCTATTGAAATATCAGGGTATATTTTGCCTAGGAACTCTCTCTTCTTCTGTAAGCTGAGAATATATTTTACTTCTACTTATAAGTCCTCCCTACAGTTATTGTTGCATTTTTAGTCCCGAGTTGCTTGGTTTGAGCTGCAAGTGTGCTTCATTTAGGCAAATTCAAAGAGAGTCCTTCACACTGTTAATTTGCTGAAGCATCAAACTAACGGTACGGAGAGAAGAAGATTAAGTTCTAGTAGTTGCCAATCTTGGGCCACAGCATATTGAGTCTGGGGAGGAAAATTAAAATAAAAATAAATTCACACCTAGACACTCATGGTGGAACTGGAAAATGGTAAGGACTGAGACAATTTCAAAAGCAATCAGTGAGAAAAGTCAGATTACTTGCAAAGGATTAACAATTAGGCTGACAACAGACTTCTTGTCTTCAATCCCAATGTCTGAAAGACAGCAGAATAATATCCTCAAAGCACTGAGTAAATATAAGTCTCATCCTAGTTCTATACCCAGTTAAATGCTGATTCAAGACTGAAGTAAGGCGTTTCAGGCAAAAAGGACATCTAAGACAGGTTATCACTCAGGGACTTCTGCTGAAAGAACTGTCAGAGGACATTCAAGTGGAAGGACACTCAAACACAAGAAGGGGAGAAATGCAAAAATACAATGCTAGGCAAATAAACTGTCTGACCATACAGAGAGATTTATAACAAACAGTAATTATCATAAGTATGCCTTTGAATAGGTTTAAAAACAAGAGAATACTGAAATATTAGACAGTAATACCGTGAAAGAGAGAAGAGGGAATTAAATTCTCTGTAGTCCTTGTAATATTCAAGGGAACAATCATGTTGACTAGACTTTGCTAAGTCAAATGTGTATATTCTCCTTTTATTTTCAGTTGACACATAATCACTTTACATATTTACTGGATACAGAGTAATATTTTGATGCATGTATACACTGTGTAATACTCAAATCAGGGTAATTAGCATATTCACTGCTTCAAACATTTATCATTTCTTTGTGTTGGGAACATTCAAAATCTTCTCTTCTAGCTTTTTAAATTATTATGAACTATATTTATCCTATAGCGCTATAGAACACTAGAAATTGTTCCTCAAATCTAGCTACAATTTTGTGTCCATTAACCAGCGTCCCCCTATCCTTTCCTCCCCACTACTCTTCCCATTCTCTGGTAATGAAAATTACACTTGCTACTTCTATGAGCACAACATATTTAGCTTTCACATGAGTGAGAACATGCTGTATTTACCTTTCTGTGCTTGACTTATTTCACTTAACACAATGTCCTCCAGGCTCATCCACCTTGTAGCAAATGACAGGATGTCATTCTATTTTTATGGCTGAGTAGTATTCAGCTATGTATATATACCATATTTTCTTTATCCATTTTTATGTTGATGGTCATTTAGGATGATACCATGTCATGATTATTAATAGTGCTGTGATAAACATGGGAGGGCTTGTGTCTCTTTGACATACTGATTTCATTTTCTTTAGATAAACACTTAGTAGTGGGATTGCTGGATCATATGGTAGTTTTATTGTTCGATTTTTGAGAAACCTCTATTCTGTTTTCAATAATGGCTATACTGATTTACATTCCCATCAACAGTTTATGAGTTACCTTTTCTCTGCATCTTTGCTGGCATTTGTTAATTTTTGTCTTTTTGATAATAGCCATTCTAACTGGAGTGAGATGATATCTCATTATGGTTTTGATTTGCCTTTCCCTAATTAGTGATTGATGTTGAAGATTTATTTTATGTACACGTTGTATGCCTTTCTTTTTGAGAAATGACCCATTTTAAAGATGTATTATTATTATTATTATTTTGCTGTTGAGTTGTTTTAGTTCTTTGTGTATTCTGGATATTAGCTTCTTGTCAGGTGAATAGTTTGCAGAATTTTCTCTCATTCTACAGGTTGTCTCTTCACTCTGTTAATTTTTTTTTTTTTTGGTTGTGTAGGAACATTTTAGTTCAATGTGGTCCCATTTATCAGCTTTTGTTTTTGTTGCCTGTGCTTTTGAAGTCCTAACTATAAAACCTTTGTCTAGATCAATGTTGTGAAGCATTTCGTCTATGTTTTCTTCTAGCAGTCTTATGGTTTGGGTCTTACATTTAAATCTTTAATCCATTTTGAGTTACTTTCTGTATATGATGAGAGATAGGGGTCAAGTTTTATTCTTCTGAATGTGGATATTTGGTTTCTTGAGCTATTTATTGCAAATTGTGTCCTTCCCTTTCCCCAGTGTATGCTCTTGGAGTCTTTGTCAAAAATTAGTTGGGACCAGGCACAGTCACTCATGTCTGTAATCCTGTCACTTTGGGAGTCCAAGAAAGGAGGAGCACTTAAGCTTCAGAGTTCAAGACAGGCTTGAGAAAGATGGTGAGAGCTTGTCTCTCCAAAAAAGCAAAAAGCAAAAAAGAAAAAAAAAAACTAGTCTTGTGTGTTTATATGTGCCCAAGGGCCTAGCCACTCAGGAATCTGATGTGGGAGAATTGCTTGAGCCAAGAAGACTGAGGCTGCAGTGAGCCATGTTCCCACCACCTCACTCTAGCCTGGGTGACAGAGTGAGACTGTGTCTCAAAAAACAAAATCAATTGGCTATGAATATGTAGATTTATTTATGGTTTCTCTATTATGTCCCATTGGTTCATGTGCCTGTTATCATATCAATACCATACACTTTTTGTTATTATAGTTTTGTACTATATTTTGAAGTCAGTAGTATGCTGCCTCTAGCTTTGTTATTTTTGTCCAGTATTGCTTTGGCTATTTGGAGTCTTTCATGATTCCACATGAATTTTAGAATTTTTTTTATATTTCTTTGAAGAAGGCCATGAGTATTTTATAGAAATTGCTTTGAAGCTGTAGATTGCTTTGGGCAGTATGGTCATTTTACCAACATTAATTCTTCCAATCCATGAACATTTTTTTGTCCTCTTCAATTTCTTTCATTGATGATTAATAATTTTCCTTGTAGAGATATTTCGTCTCCTTGGTTCAATTTGTTTTAAAATATTTTATTATTTTTTGTTGCTATGGAAAGTGAAATTTCTATCTTTATTTCTTTTTCAGCATGTTTGTTGATGGTGTATAAAGACATCACTGATTTTTTTATGTTGATTTTGTATTCTGCCACTTTACTGAATTTGTTTATCAGTTCTAAGAGTTTTCTTGTGAAGTCTTTAGATTTTCTATACATAAGATTTCTTTCATATAAAAAGAAGGACAGTTTGACACCTTCTTTTCCAATTTGGATTTTTTTTTAATGTTCTATTGCCAATTACTTTAGCTAGGACTTCCAGTACTATGTTGAACAAGAACAGTAAAAATGGACATCCCTTTTTGTTTTAGTTTTTGGAGGAAAAGATTTTAGCTTCTCTCCATTTAGTATGATATTAGCTGTGAGTTTTTCATATCTCACTTTTATTGTGTTGGGGTATATTCCTTCTATGTCTAAGGTATTGAGAGATTTACTATGAAAGGATGTTGAATTTTATCAAATGCTTTTTCTGTATCTGTTGAGATGATCATATGTTTTTTTTCTTCATCCTGTTGATGTGATGTGTCATGTTTATTGATTTGAGTATGTCGAACCCTCTTTGCAACTCTTAGATACATTTCATTTGATCATGGTGTGTTGTATTTTTGATACGCTGTTAAATTTAGTTTGCTAGTATTTTGTTGAGGATTTTTGCATCTGTAGGCATAAAGGGTATTTGCCTAGAATTTGTAGTATCCTTGTCTGGTTTTAGGATTAGGGTAAAGGTGGCTTCTTAGAATGAATAAGGAAGAATGACCTTCTCTTTAACTTTTTTGAATAGTTTACAGATAACTGATGTTAATTCTTTAAAAGTTTAGTAGAATTCAGCAGTAAAGCCATCTGCTCCTGGGCTTTTCTTCATTGGGATACTTTTTATTACTGATTTAATCTTGTTATTCATTATTAGACTTTTTAGGTTTTCTATTTATTCTTGGTTCAATCTTAGTATGTTATGTGTGTCCAGAAATTTATTCGTTTTCTCTAGAATTTCCGATTAGTTGGCATATGGTTGTTTATAATTGTCTCTAATGATTATTTATATTTATGTGTTATCAGTTAAACGTCTCCTTTTTCTTTCTGATTTTATTCATTTGGGTCTTCTCTATTTTTTTCTTAGTCAAGCTAGGCATTTCTTTTATTTTTTCAGAAAACAACCTTTTGTTTTGTTGATTTTTTGTATTTTTTTTCTCCATTTCATTTAGTTCTATTATCATCTTTACTATTGCTATTCCTCTACTGATTTTGGGCTTGGTTTGTTCTTGATTTTCTACTTCTTTGAAACACATTGTTAGGTTGTTTATTTGGCATCTTTCTACTTTTTAGATGTAGGCAATTTTTTGCTGTAAACTTCTTTAGTACTACTTTTGTTGTAGCCCATAGATTTTGATATGTTGTGTGTCTATTTTCATTTGTTTCAAGATAAATTTTAATTCCCTTCTTAATTTTTCAAAGAGCCATTGGCCATTCAAGAGCACATCATTTGATTTACAGGTATTTGTACAGTTTTCAAAGTTTCTCTTGATATTGATTTCTAATTTTGTTCCATTGTGGTATGAAAATATACTTAATAAGATTTCAATTTCTTGAAAATTTGTTGAGACTTGTTTTGTGGCCCAACATATGGCTTATCCCTGAGAGTGTTCCATATGCTCATGAGAAAAATGTGTATTTTGTATCTGTTGGATAAAATTTTCTGTAAATATCTGATAGGTCCATTGAGTCCACACTGCAGTTTAAATCTGACATCTATTTATTGATTTTCTCTTTAGATGATATTTTCAATGCTGAAAGTAGGTTTTTGAAGTCCAAAACTATTATTATGTTGAGATATATCTCTTTAGCTCTAATAATATTTGGTTTATATACCTGAGTACTCTGGTGTTGGGTGCATATCTATTTATAATTATTATATTCTCTTGCTGAATGGACCCCTTTATCATTTCATAATGACCTTGTCTCTTTTTATGTTTTTCTCATTTAAAGTCTATTTTGTTTGATGTAAGTTTAGCTACTTCTGCATGCTTTTGGTTTTTGTTTGGCTGGACTATCTTTTTTGATCCCCTCACTTTCAGTCTATAGTGTCTTTACAGATGAAGGTGAAATGAGTTTCTTGTAGGCAGCATACTGTTGATTCTTCTTGTTTGTTGTTGTTGTTGTTTTTAATCCATTCCCCCAGGCTGTATCTTTTAATAAGATAAGTTAAACCTTTTACATTGAAGGCTGTTATTGATAGATGAGCACATACTTCTGTGATTTTATGTGTATTGTTTTCTGATTGTGTTGTATACATTTTGCTCCATTCTTGCTCTCTTATTGTTTGCCTTTGAGGTCTTGGTGGCCTTCTGTAGTGATTATGTTTTATTCCTTTCTCATTTGTGTTTTTGCTCTACCAGTGAGTTGTATACTTTTGTGTGTTTTCATGATGGCAGATACTGTTCTTTCATTTCTAGATGGAAGACTTCTTTAAGCATTTCTTGTAGGGTAGGTCTAGAGGTCATAAATTGCCTTAGTTTTTAATTGTCTGGGAAATACTTTGCTTCTTCTTCTTTTTTTTTTTGACGGAGTCTCTCTCTGTCACCCAGGCGGGAGTGTAGTGGTGCCATGTTGGCTCACTGCAAGCTCCACCTCCTAGGTTCATGCCATTCTCCTGCCTCAGCCTCCTGAGTAGCTGGGACTACAGGCTCCCACCACAATGCCTGGCTAATTTTTTGTATTTTTTAGTAGAGACAGGGTTTCACTGTGTTAGCCAGGATGGTCTCGATCTCCTGACCTCGTGATCCACCCACCTCAGCCTCCCAGTCTTCTTTACTTTTTAAGGATAGTTTTGCTGGGTATAATATTCTTGGCTGATAGTTTTTTTTCTTCTCTCTCTGTTTTTTTTCTTTCTTTCAGTACTTTGAATATATTATCCCATTCTTTCCTGGCCTGTATGGTTTCTGGGGGGAAATCGGCTTTTAGTCTAATGAGGATTCTCTTACATGTGACTTGACACTCTTGCTGGTTTTAGAATTCTCTCTTTGTCTTTGACTTTTGACAGTTTAATTAAAATGTGCCTTAGAGAGGACCATTTTGAGTCAAATCTATTTGAGAATATTTAAGTTTCTTGTATTTGAATGTCTATATCTCTCCTACAATTTGGGAGGTTTTCAGCTATTATTTTATTAAATTTCTTTTCTGTGACTCTCCCCCTCTTTTCTCCTTCTGGAACTCCCAAAATGTAAATATTTTTCACTTACTGGTGTCACATATATCACATGGGCTTCTTAAAAAATCTTTTACTTTTTTTTTTGTCTGACTGAATTATTTCAAAAGACCTGTCTTCTAGTGCGGATATTTTTTCCTCTGCTTGATCTAATCAAGTTTAAGTATTTTATTGCATTTTTTATTCATTGAATTATTTAGTTCTAAGATTTCTATTTTTAATTTTATCTATCTCTGCTTAATTTCTCATTCAGATCATGAATTGTTCTTTTTTTTATTTCTTCACATTTTCTATCTCTGTTTTCTTGTGTGTTGCTGAGTTTCCTTAAAAATCATTACTTTTATTTTGTTCAGGCATTTTATATATTTTTTTCTTCAGGAGCTGTTACAGGAGAACTATTGTTTTCTTTTGGAGTTATCATGTTTCCTTTTTTTTTTTTTCATGTTTCTTGTGTCCCCACATTGATATCTTCATATCTGGTATAACAGTCACTTCTTCCAATTTTATAGAGTAATTTTCATAGGGAAAGACTTTTTCCTGTAGATGTATTGATAGTGTTGGTTGGGCAGCATGCTTTAACTTTGGTTCTCGGTGGGCACAGTAGCGTAGTCTCTATATGCTTTCTTTGGATGTAAGAAAAGCAGCACTGTCTGCAAATTCCTCAGTGGCTTAGACTGTGGTTGTTTGTAAAGGTTGTGAGGTGGTTTTACTGGGGGCAGGGCAGGTCCTCAGGTCCCTAAGGAGCACACATGGCCATGTAGTGACCCCACCACTGGAGGAGACAAATTCTGGCAGTAGCAGCAGTGGGTTCAGGGTAGGCCAATTCTCAAGCCCCTAAATGGTATACACTGGTGCCAGTGGTGATGGTGGTGGGTTCTGAGTGGGCTAGTTCATGAGCCCCTATTTTGTGGGCCCCTGGGTGGTATATACAAGTTCCAGCAATGTCAAATATGTTGTTTACATATAATATAAAGGAAAACACAGATACAAGAGGAGATAAAATAAAATAATAAAGACAATTCAATTAACTCAAAAGAAGGGAGATTCTAAGGTAAAAATATCAAAGGAAACATGAAAAATAGAAAAATAAAATTATTGAATAAATTTAAATTTATTATTAGTCACAATTAATGTAAATAAGTGAAACTTGCTAGTTATAAGAAAGGTATTTACATTGAAGCAAAAACAAAATAGTTTCCAACTATATTCTATTTGCAAGAGGTATACATAAAACAATGAAACATAAACGTTGAGACTAAAGAGTTCTGTTTATTTTATTTTATTTTTTTATTGAGACAGGTTCTTGCTCTGTCACCCAGGCTGGAGTGATTGTGGCTCACTGCAACCTTGACTTCCTGGACTCTTGGGAGGACTCCCACCTTAGCCTCCAAGTAGCCGGGACTATAGGAGTGTACCACCACGCTTAGCTAATTTTTTTTTTGTATTGCTTTTGTAAAGACAGGATTTTGCCATGTTGCACAGGCTGTTCTTGAACTCCCAGGCTCAAGCAATTCATCCCACTTGGCCTCCTAAAGGGTTGGGATTACAGGTGTGAGCCACTGTGACTGGCCTAAAGATGTTTTATAAAAGGACAGAAAAAGTAAACAGTTTAAGTAGAAAATCCCAAGAAATTTACAAAATAATCCTGGAAATAATAATTGAGTTCAACAAAATCATAGGATATAAGACAAAAAAAATTAATTACATTTCTGTATGGTAGCAATGAATATATGGGCACTAATATTTAAACATACAATACCACTTATAAAGATTTCAAAAATAAAAATACTTAAGTATAAAACAGATAAACATGTGCACAATGTGTATAAAAAATAAATAAAAAGAATTCTTAAAAAATTGAAAAACATATCATGTTTATGTATCGGAAGCGTTAACATAGTAGAGATGTCAGCAATCCACAGATTGGTAGACAGGTTTAATGTGATTTTTATAAAAATCCCAGCAAGTTTTTTTTGTACATATAGACTAGATTATTATAAAATTTATATAAAAAAGCAGAAGGAATAGAAAAACTAAAACAATGTTTAAAAGGAAGAATAAAGTGGGAAGACCCTGTTTACACAGTTTTAAGACGTTTTTATATAGCTACAGTAATCAAAACTGTGGTGTTGGAATAGAAATAGACACGTAGATCAATGGAAAAGAATTGAGAACCCAGAAACAGATATACCAAATCAAATATACCAAATGATTTTTGACAAAAATGCAAAAACACTTCAGTGGAGGAGGATAACCTTTTCAACAAATGGTGCTGGAGCAACTGGACATCCAGGGGAAAAAGAAAAAAAAACTTAAATGATCTACATCTCACATGTTACACAAAAAATAAATCTAAAAGAGATGAGGGACTTAAATGTAAAACCATAAATGTTTTAGAGAAAAACATAAGAGAACATTTTTAGTATCTAGAAATAGGCAAAGACTTGACATCAACACAATCCATCAAAGGAAAAATGGATAAGTTAGATTTCATCAAAATTAAAAGCTTTTGCGTTGTTAAAACCACTGTCAGGAAGATGAAAATACAAGCTTCAGAATAAAAGAAAATATTTACAAGCCACATATCTGGTAAAGAACAATTATCCTGACTATATAAAGAATTCTCAAAACTCAATAATAAACAAACAAAAAGCTCAAACAATCCAATTGGAAAATGGTCAAAAAATAACAAAACATTTTACTAAAGAGGATAGGTTATAGCAAATAGGCACATGAAAAGATAGATGTTCAATGTCTTAGCCACGAGTGAAATGCAAATTAAAACCACAAGACAGGACTACATATCTATCAGGATGGCTAAAATAAAAGATAGTGACAATATCAAATGCTGATGAGAATACAGAGAAATCAGATCACTCATACATTGTTGGTGGGAATGGAAGATGGTATAGCAACCGTGGAAAACAGTTTGTCAGTTTCTCAAAAATTAAATATGTAATTACCAGATGATCCAGCAATTGCAATGTTTAGTGAGCAATTTATATCAGAGACATGAGCAATTTATACCACAGAAATGGAGACTTAAGTTTACACAAAAATCTGTACACAAATATAGCAGTTTTATTTATAGTAGCAAAAAAATTGAAATAGCCTAGATATCATTTTATGAGTAAATTGTTAAACTTCAATGCATCCATACTATGGAATACTACTCAGCAATAAAAGGGAACTAATTTGATTTATACAATGATCAGGATGGATTTCAAAAGAATTATGTTGAGAGAGAAGAGTCAATCTCAAAATGTTGGCCAGCGTGATTCCATTTATATACCATTCTTGAAATAAGAAAATTGTAGAAAGGGAGAAGAGAGCAGTGGTTACCATGGGTTTAGGACGGGTGAGGGCAGAGGGAGGTGGACATGGCTATTAAAGGGTAACCAGTGGGAACCTCATGTTAATGGAAGTGTTCAGTGTCTTGACCACACCTCTGTCAATATCCTGGCTGTGATAGCACACTAGAGTTATGACGGTACTCTTTACAATTTCTCACAACTTCCTGTGAATCTAGAATTATCTTAAAATAAAAAGTTAATTAAACAAACAAGCAAACAATTCTCATCTGTAATCTATTTATAAGGGGGACACATACAAATGACACAGAAATGTTTAGGATAAAAAGTTTTTTGAAAAAGACTGTAAAAGTACAATCCAAAAGAAAGCTGGAATACAATATCAATATCTGACAAAATAGACTTTGAAACCAAAAAGCTTTAATCAAACCAAAATTTATGAAGGATGATTCAAGCAGTAAAAGTAGCAAGCTTGATCCAATGACATGTGTGGAAAAGGAGAGTAAAGGTTGACAAAAAATTGAGACAGAAGTACCCTTGTTTAGGTGTATGTATATTATGGCATTTTGATCTGCAGATGAGAAAGTAAGAAAAAGCTCAACTGCCTTCTTCTTGCTTAATCATCACTTTCTCTGTGAGCTACTGAACTTATCTGTGGCTGTCCTGATGGTCCATTTCAGAGGCTTCTAAATGCCTACCTGTAGAACAGAGGTGGTTTGAGAGGTTGTTTTCACCAGTCTGCAGTGAAATGAGAAAAATAAGAGATGCAGCATGATTTTCATGACAATAACTTTCTTTGTTTCAAAGAAATGCTTTTGTCCCTGTGCCTTTAAAATGTCCTTTCTTGTATAAAATTATGCTGCTGATGTTACTATGTTTATTATTGTTGTTGTTCTAATTTCTTTAATTGGCAAGATTCGGAGTCTGCAGTACTTAGAAAAATTGCAAATAGATGTTGACTCTTTTGTTCTTCCTGAATCACCTCAGTGCAGAGATGAGAGTCTGGTGTTAGGTGACTGGTGCACCTTGTACAAGCTCACATCACTCTTCATGGTCTTTGTAATGATCTTGAGGCCTGTGTTTTTATTCTCCCCATTTAACAGAAGAGTAAACTGAGTCCAGATAATTTTGTTAAGCACTGATATTTTAGATTTTTGCTTATCATTTGACTCTAAGTTCAGATCACTTTTTTTTTTTTTTTTTTCAGAAAAATTACACTCTCCTATTACCCAAGTCATGTTTGAGTGGGATTTCTCTATGGATTGATGCTGTCCCAATCTTTGGGTCAGAGGTCCCAGTTGATTCATAAAAGTACACCTAGTTTAGAAAAAGTGACAGTATTTATTTGGGGGAAAAAGTTTTGAGCTCTCTGCATTAGGATCCTGCCAATATGCCCTCTCAAATTATATGCTTCTTAAGAAAAGAAGTTTGCTTTAATAAAAATAGATTCTATGCGACATGTTATTCTTCATAATTGGACCAAAGAGCACAAGGAGCACACACTTACAAGATAATCTGAAAATGAACGGACAAATAATATAGTAATCACCAAATCCTTATTACTTGAAGCCTATCTGCGCCAGGAGGCCCTTTCTCCCTTGATGATCAGGCCTGACCCCTATTAATTTTAATAGGAGTTAAATAGTCACGTCAAGGGAAGTATCAGGGAGTGCATTTGCAGCAAACCAACCCCAGAGATTAAGACCTCCACTTTTGGCTTTCTGCTGAAAATGTGACACATTGCCTGATGCTTATCTGCTTTTAATTGTGTGTTGTGTGTGTATGTTTTTCTCCCTTCTTTTTGCAGAGGAGGCAATTTGCAAATCGTTGCTATCTGCCTCCCTACAAGGAAGAGATAAATTATATGAGAGACTGTGGCGTTTGGCCTGTTTGATATCCTTTGCTGATAAATTGAAGTGTACCTTCATAATTAATACCCAATCTTTTCTGATAGGCTTTGCCACGCTAAACCTTGGAGGTATCTAACTGTAATGAAAAACCATTGTTGTGATCACCTTGCTCTTTTTTCCCTTTTTACCCCTTTCATCAAAAATATGCACAGAGGTTTTGTTGGACAGAAAGATCTCTCGGTTTTATTAAGCAGCATCTTCAAAGATTCAGCAGAGACAGACTTGCTTCTGTGAGCTTTGTAACATGTAAGTGACATTTCCCTGCGTTTAAATATGGCTTTGTTAGGCAGTGCTTGCAATCAGAATGCAAAAAAAAAAAAAAAAAAAAAAAAAAAAAAAAAAAAAAAGCCCCACTGTTAGAACCTGAAACCAAAGAGAAATAGATCCTCCTTTAGTTTCACTTTTGAAATAGGAAGTCGAGGGAAAGTCAAAATCAGACAAATCAAATTAGATTTAAAATTCCTGTGAACTCTCAGAATGCACGATCAGGATAAACATTTCTTTCTGAACCAAACAAAGCAAGACACCATTTAGTAAGATTTTATGATGGATAAGTGAGACTGCTCATTTGTGTACGACTTCACAACTAAGCAAAGTAATTAGAAAATTAGCTCATCAGCTCCCCAACCTTCTGACTCAGATGGGGCAAGGATTTTAGAAATAAGGCCATTTTACAGATAAGGAAATTGAGGCACAGAAAGTAGGCATGACTTCTCAAGGCAGACGTGGGATCAGAATATAGGTCTTCTGATATCTGCTGCAATTATTTTGCCACAAAAGAAGACTCTCCAACATTTTATGGTGATTTACATGTCAGTATATAGATATGAGGATTTTAGCCAAAACAGAGAAGAGATGAAGCCTGTGCCATCTCATTGGCTAGCCATCCCCTGTTGTCTTTCATTCTCTCTTTCTGCAAAACCTGCCACACCACAGGCTTTTTGAGGAGCATTCCTCTCACCTCATGCTCACTATTCTTGTTCCAGAGTCTTACTACGAATTTTATTCCTGGCTCCAGATCACATTCACTAGCCCTTGCTATTACGAGCGAAGTCATATTCCCCTGCCCATACACAGAGGCCAGAGCAAATCCTCAAGGCCTGGAAGGGGCAGCATCTTGGAGACACTTGGCAAGATACATGGCTGGAGACCTCAAGCTACCCTCCTAGACACAGATAATTTTTTTTAAGTTTCTGATTTGCAGAATTTTTATGGGGAAACAAAAGTAAATCAAACAAAACTAAATAAAAGACTGTATTTTTAAGGGCCTTTCATAAGTCGAATTGGCTCTTGCAATTCTTGTGACTCCACAACATGAAGCCATCTATCCACCCATCCAAACCTCCAACCTTCATTGGTCAAATATTAATTGAATCCCTGCTTTATATAAAGATCCTGCCTGCAGTGGAGCTTACATGCCAATATGAGATGGAGACAATGAGTAACAAACAAGTTTAAAGCAACAAGTAACAGACAAGTTGAAAGGTGATGTAGAGAAATGTAACACAGGGAGAGAAAGTGAGGAGAAGATCTACTACAGAAAATATGGTCAGTGAAGATGTCTCTGTAGAGGTGACATTTTAGCAATGACCAAAGAGAATAAAGCATGTAAAAAAAAAAAAAAAAAAACAAAAAAAACAAAAGAAAGGTCATTCTATGAAGAAGGAATGACAAGGTACCAGCATTTTAAAGGACATGACAGTGGCCCATTGGAAGACAGCATGACACCCAGTGAGGGAGTGTCATCTGGGGACCTCTGAGTTCAAGCAAATGCATGAATAAATGGACAACCCCAGCTGCCACTGACCAGCCTCATCATTTTGGGCAAGTCCCTTGTCCTTGAAATTGCTTCCCAATCTTGAAAAATAAGAGGATAAATAAACTGAAAAAAATATTTTAGGGTTACATTGACTTAAAATCCTGATTCCATGTAAAGCTTGCCCCAGAGACTTCATCATCTTTCTTCTTTCTTGTTACCCCAATCCTATTTTCCACCCAGATTAGAAAGCTATCATGAGTCCTCTTTGGACCCCAATCAGGGACTCCCATGGAAGTTCAAGAAAATCAAAGCATGAGAACTAATGAGATCCATCATGCATTCTTGGTGAAGTATTCTTAGCACAGTTGTGAAGTCTTTCTTCAGAATGAAATCCAAAATTTGATCAACAATGGGAGAAAATGATAAATTTACCCTTAATGTAGTAAGTGGACAATAATTACTCTGAAGAAGACAATTAATGTGGGTAGATAACTCTGCCAGCAACTTCATATCCATATTCAGTTGAAGTGTCATCTTGAAAAGAAGATACTCACTTTTTAAGCCAGAAGACACATGATTTAGGAGAGTATGCCTGTATTTCCCCACTGCCCTGATAAATACATGGAAGGCATAGGCAGAAAGACAGAAATACAATAATTGTTCCAGAATAAAAGAGCTTTGACCCCTTCCTTTGAAAATAAAAGCAAAATAAATTCATGAGTTGTTCATTAATACATTATTTTATCTGTTATATCTATTATGTAAAAGATTGCTTTATTTTCTTTCATTGTTTTGGAGTTTCATTCTAAACCTGTCAGTTGCAAGAATGCTTAAAATTTGGAACACTTGTTAATAGTTGAGTGCATGATGATAAAAGCACTACTGCTTTTAAAGACAAAACACAAATCTTAGATTTATAAGAAAAAAGTTCAGGTCATAGCTTTCCATTTACTAGCTGTGTGACCTCAGGCAAGTTACTAGTTCTGTGTGAACTTTGATTGCATAGTCTGTACACAGGGAGCATCACAGTCATCCAACTTACTTCATGAATGAAAAACAAATATGAATGTATTTTCTCTGTAAATAGCAACACATTGACAATTATGAAGAAGGAGAAAGAAGAGAGGAGAAAGACAAGAAAAAGAGGAGCGGGAGAAGAAGCAGGGGAGAAAGAACTTAAGTTTTACTGATTTTAATCCCATTTAGAGCAGAGATCTAACTAGAAGGATTTGATGGCAATTGGCAGTTCTCAGACCAAAATTCTCTTTAGTAAGTCCAATAAAATTTCCAGAGCTGCATGTGTTCTTTGAATTCATTCCTTCTTTTTTTTTGTCTTCAGTGTTAAGGGATTAAATATTCCTCAGAAAGTAGCATATTATATTGATATTGGCCATCATTTGAGTTTTATGGAGTCTCCACTGTCTATAGAATAAAGAACAGATTTCTCTAGTATTTCAGGGCTTTCGTTATTTGTTGTTAATCTGCCTAACATGATTTTGCTCTCTCTAAAACTATTTAAAGATCTGGAATCTACCCCAATTTGCCTAAATGCAGAGGAGATGGTGAGAAGAATTAATGATCAGAGTGGACTCTAAAATTGTCCTACAGCCAGGGAGATAGGCAACTGATCCTAGGGTGACATAGAAATGAAGAGCAAGTTGGAAGGGGAATGTTGGAAGTATGACTAAAGGAGTTCAGAGGCATGGATATTCTACAGAAGATTATTCTTGAGATCCTTTCCACCACTGCAGTAGACAAGTATTGTGTTTCCCTAGGTAAAAAATACCCCTAAGATTCACAGTATTGAAATGGTTTTATTAAGCTTATAACCAGTAGAAGTGGACCTAGAGTCCAGGTCTTCAGATGCTGAAAGATGTACTTTGTTGACTATATATAGCTTGTGGTTACATTGTGGAGAGTCTCAGAATCCAGGCTAAGGAGTATGGAATCTTGGCTATAGGGTAGAGAGTCCAGTGAAGAGTTTTGTGCTGGGAAGTGACTTGATGAATGTGAAAGCTTGGTTCAGAGGCAATAAAATGTTCATGGTAGGTCAGTTTGGAAGTAGCCAGGATCTGATTCGCAATAACAGCAATGAGAATAATCAGAAAGAGGTAGATGTAAGAAATATTTGAAGGAAGGTACATGCAAAGAAGTTATCAAAGGCAAAAGGGAAGCCTGGGAGATGCGAATGGCTTAGAATTACATGCAGAAGATGAAGAGCCAGACCAAATGGGACATAGGAAAGACATAGGTCCCAAATGGGACCCAGACCAAAATAGGACCTTATGTACAAAGGTACATGCTTGTGGGTTGTGCATGGTGGATGAAGTTTGCATTGCACACAATCTGATTCCTCCTGGAGGTGACAATAGGTGGTTGCTAACGCTGGAATCAATATTGTTCTCTGAGATTTAAAATAATCAAATCCACACATAATGGGTGTGTTAGCCCTCTGTGGGCTCCAACCTAGCAAACGATTTCTCACTGTGCATTGAAGTGTGGGTACAGCTTAAATCCCAATCCGGGGGCTCAACAATAATGTCTGAGAATTAGAATCGGAATGAGGATATCATGTAAGAAATAGATACCTTTGTTATGCTTATCAGGAGAAAACCCTTTATGAGCAGCCAAGGCCACAAAAACGGGACATCCAGCCATCTAGACCTGACAGTGCCCAAAAAGTGTCCAAGTAAAATTAGTCCCTCACACAGAGTCTTTCTGGTGGTGATGCAGGTGTGGAGTTATCCTAGCCAGGTGTCAGAACCACGTCTCCACTTTCTGGGCCCTGATGCTCTGCTCACTAAGCAACTTTAAGCCTCAGTGTCTTTCTCGGTGTATCTACCTACAAAGAGTAAATATTTTGTTCCACATTAGTATTTTGAGCATTTTGTCAAACTGAGTCAAATAACATTTTGGAAGCTGTACATCTGACTTTAATGAGCTTGGTTACTGTCAGTCTAGACATGAGACCATTCTGCCAACCTGACTGAGTTCCTGAATGTGCAAAGATGAACAGAAAGTTCTGGTTTGGACCATGGTGTATTTATGACTTGCTGTTTCTATAAATATTCTTCTGTGATTACATGCTTCCCTTTCAGATGATAACACTCTGTGAACACTTGATTGATTAGGAATAGGTCACCTCTGTGTGAGTTCCTGGATGGACCCATCTAGATCATGTATACTTACTTTATATCTTTTATACAGGAGGCACTCAGTAGAGAACAAATGAATGAAAGTTTGTTCACCTTTAGCTTATAAAGGTTCTATTTTGATGCCATCTATTTTTCTTTTTGTGAAATATCTTCTCTAAATCTTTTCTCCCACCAAAATCAGTATTGGTAGAAGCGAGAGTTCTTATAAACATTTCACTGAGCTCAAACCACAAGGCCTTTTATTAATGACACTTCCAAGCTCTGTGATTGTGCTCAAATTGGCAAAGGGGAGTTCTGTGCTCACAGAATGTAATTCAAGAACCAATAAAAGTTGATTACATACATATGAAACGTATGGACTGGGGGTAGGAGTCTTGGATGGCTTACAAAGCAGGTGTCATGTTTCATCTTCTGCATGGGGTTTTATGGGAGGCCCACACGAAGCCACAAACATCTACATTGTCCCTTTCACTAAGCATCATGTAAACAGAATCATGTTCTCATTCAAAAATACATCTGCAACATTATAGTTCAGAAAGAGGTCTAGGTTTTCTATCAATTTTAGCTCCAACTGGAGAGTCCTGCAAGAAACTCAGTAATTAATTAGGAGGTGCACAAGGTCATCTTTCACTATGAACAATTAAAATAAAATAGACTGTTAGTTCACCGATTAGAGCTGTGGCAGCAGGACGTACATGATCTTATGTAACGGATGAGCTTTTTCTGTTTTAAAATACATGCAAAAATAAAGCTATATCCCCCTCCCCAATTATAGCATCTACTCATATGTGTGATTGGGAAGGCTTTGCTGTTTTTCACAGCTAAAGACATGTCTGGATACTCATTGGTGTTCTCTCAAGCCTCGTTTGAACCCGTGTTGAAACACAGCTACCTCAGGGTAGCGATGTGGCAGCTGTTTCCAGCCCCACAGCACAGCTGGTTTTGAGCAGGAAATGAGGGAGACCTTCTCCAGGGAAAACTACAGGGAATTTTTGGTGAACAGAATGCAATTACCCCAGCTGGAAATATGCCAGGTTATGATGGTACACACCCGACTGTTGCAAAGGCATCAGGGCTCTCTCCCACATAGACTGTGTTTTAAACAGAAGACAGAATGAACATATCATTATGATCCACTTAATCACTATAAGGTAATTATGATGATGTTAATAACTATGATATTTTTCAATGAAGCTTCTTTAACTTTCCAGGATTAAGAGTGAAAAGTGGTGGACACAACAATTGAAAACAATAGACTCAATAATAAACAAATGGTCTATCAGTCATAGCGCCACCTTGATTTACTGCTTCAACATAACTGGCTGGTATGGATTCATTCTTGAGTAAGTGCTGATGACTGTTCCGCTGGCGAAAATTGAGCCTGCTCTTGTCAACATAGAAAGCAAGACTGGCCTGTAGCACCGCAAACTCTTTCTAGAAATTGCATTTGTTTTAGAGTTTTACAAACTCTGTTTACAGACATTTCCTCTGTGCTCTCATGGCAATTTGAAAAGCAATTTGAAAAGATGTGTGTTTTTATGATTCCCAATTTGCAGATGAGAAAACCAAGGCTTAAAGAGATGAACTGACTTGTTTACAGTAATATACTGGCAAGGGTTAGAGTGATTACACTGCATTAGTCCTTCCACTTCACCACTTTACCAGAGAAAATTTGAATAATGCACATTCATTCTTCCCCTCTAGAAATGCTAATTTATGTTTCTCAACATATTTTTTAGTGCTGGATTTTAAAATTATGTAAGAAGTAGTTTTGAAGTTGAAGCCATCAAAAAGTTCAATCGTGACTAGTTGACTAGAAAATATATTTGATAATAAAAATTCAGTTCAAAAAAATGGATTACATAATCCATTTTGCTAAACATAGCCTGCAAGAATCTAATGAGAGTCAACTCCGAAATCAATCACTTGAGAAACTAAATTGTTAAAGTTCTTGAGAAGTAGTTTCCTGATAAATGGCATTCTTTGACAGAGCGTCTGGGTAAATATGGTGCACTCATGATTGATCCTCAAGAATCTTGAGTTATTTTTAAAAGAATATTTCATTTTTATATTTATATTCGGTTGCCACTAATGACACACATGGATTCAAATTTCAGTTCCACCACTATTTGAATGACCTTGGATGTGGTCCTTCATTCTGGAGTGAGTCGTCAGAAGGTGGAATAAGATTGACATCATATGCATGGTTGTGGATGATTAAATGATATATATGAAAATGCTCAGGATGACATCTGACACAAAGTATGTGCTCCGAAGCTTTAAAAAGTCATTTCCAGAAGTTATTTATAGTTACCTACCTTCAATCAAAATAAAATACTAAAGGAATTTAGAGGACATACTTCTTAATAAATATATTAATTTTCATGATAGTCTCTTGATATTTAATTTGGATATTTAAACTCAAACGTTGAATGAACTCAACCAAATTTAGAATTGCAGATACAAAAATCACAGAAACAGGAACATAGCAGAGAACTGTTTCAGATTATCAGAAGCCCAAGGCCCTTGAGTGCCATAAAAACTAGTATTTTTCGATTTGATTGATTTTTGGCTATATTTATTTATTTACCTAATATTTGTTAAATGCCTATTAAATAACAGGCAATGTGTTAGCTGATGAGAATGTAAAACTTCAAAAGAGAAATGAAGATAAAAAGTGTGTTTTTTTTTTAATCTCAAGAGAGTCACAGAATAGCTGCTAATCAGATGTGGAGACAAGTCATTTTCATATAATAATTGTATTTATTTAGCAGTGATGGTAACTTAAGATCAAATTCACTTGGAGACTCCTTTATGGTTTCTCAATAATCTCTAGTGTTTGGAAGCATCACGAATCTTCGGTTATGAATCGTTTGCTGTAAAGGGGAAAGATGGTACTTGGTGGTGGATCTGGTCCACTCAGATGTCATAGGTCTTCCTTCTTGCCTCCATCTGGGGCCCCTTTATGTTGGCTAGCAGGATTCTTGTATATAAAAGGGCAATGCTGAGATCGCGCCACTGCACTCCAGCCTGGGCGACAGAGCGAGACTCCGTCTCAAAAAATAAAAAATAAAAAAAACTAATAAAAAAAAGGGCAATGCTGTTTTCTAATATATAAATATTTTGATTCCAGGTCTCATTTCACAAGATGTCTCTGAGAAACAAATGGGACATCTGGCATCAAGTCATCAATACCATGCGAGGCCAGAGTAGCGGATGCAAACGAACTTGTTCCCCTTCTTTTGTAAGACCTAACTTTTATTAATTCAATCAGAAACGTTCATTAATTTTTTTTTTTTTTTTTTTGAGATGGAGTCTTGCTCTGTCGCCCAGGCTGGAGTGCAATGACGGGATCTCAGCTCACTGCAACCTTCTGGGTTCAAGTGATTCTCCTTCCTCAGCACCCACCCCCCCTCCCATGTAGCTGGGACTACAGGAACGTGCCACCATTCCCGGCTAATTTTTTTTTCTTTTGTAGTTTTAGTAGAGACGAGGTTTCGCCATGTTGGCCAGGCTGGTCTTGAACTCCTGACCTCAGGTGATCCACCTGCCTCGGCCTCCCAAAGTGTTAGGATTACAGGCGTGAGCCACCGCTCCCGGCCAATTTTTTAAATTCATTATTATACTTTGCAATATAGACAGTGCTCTGTATTAAGACTAGAGGAAAACAAAATCTTCAGGGCACTGCCAAATCAGAGCTGTCACCTCCAGCATCTTATCTCTTTCTCATGGTAGCCAATAAAAAGAAATGAGAGGGAACAATAGAAAAGGAAAGGGAAGAGGAACAAGAGAATAACAATTGCAAATATGGAAGGCTCCCTCACACCTACTAAAACCTTTGTCTGCAATTAGATATCACTATTTTTAGCATTCCTAGCCCAGTCCTCCCTCCCAATTTAATTGGTCTGCCCGTGTCAATGAGTTTCTACAGAAAGGTGGTTCTGCCACCTTGCAAGACCTACCTCAATATGTAGTATCTAAATTTCTTTCTTTTCATTGTCCAACTTGTGACCTTTAGGAAAATTCACAATGTTCATTATCCATTTATTTTCAAACCAGTCTTATCTCATCCTTGAAACATTTTTGGGCACTGGAGAAATATAGTCTGGCTAAATTTTCAAAATGATTTTGTTTAATTTTCAGTTGATGACCTGTGCTGAGAAGAACATAGGGCAAGGAGTTAGCAGGGACGTAGGTTGTATCCTAAATGACTCTGGCTGTGTGATCCAAGGAAGTTACCAGACATTTTTAGTTTCCTTGTACACAGAATGAGTGGATTGAACCCTAGATATCTTTCAGCAATTTACTCAGCAATTACAGACAACATTTTGACCCTGATGTCTCATAAAGTAAGTCATCATTGACCCAGTATAATTTTTTTATCATTTCTTCATTTTATGAGAGCATTTAAGGCTACAGAAATGATTGGCATTCACTCTTCCTTTTCAACTTATCAAATACTGGTGTCTCTAAGTATTTCCTTGAAGACAGGAGCTGTCTTTTTTCTTTGTGATGTTTTTATACATGAAATTAGTCTCCTCATCACAGTAAACTGAAGCAACATTAAAATAACAGGAAGGCACTAACACATGCGTGTGAGTACACACACACACAGACACACACACACACACACACTCCACTGGAAATTTGGCAGCTATGGAGTTAGGGAGATATGGTGAGGTATTTGGTGGGGGGCATTTTTCCTATCTTTTTCTTTTTCAGTATTTTTGGGATCAAAATTTGGCATGTTACTGTGGCATTTCTATTAGGATGTGGTGAATTGGGGAAATGAAATATGAATTGAAAATAGGACTTAGGTAACATGATAATTTACATAGCCTCTTTTGTGCCAGTAAGAGATTGTGTTTAGGTGTAACTGGGCTCTTGGAAAAGACATCTAGCTTCTTTACATTTCACTATCCCTTTTTTCACCATCATCCTCTCTAGAAGCCCCAAGCGTGGAGAGTTTGGAGGCTGCCTTTAACATCAGGTGGCAAGCCACACCCCTGTGCCCTTGCACCCTTGCCGTGAGAGTACACCATATTTTTCATTTCTTCAACTTGCATTGGCAATCTGTTTCAGCATAATTTACACATTTACACATTTTAGAGAGCAAGGCACAGTCATGCAACTTAATTCCAAAAAACATAAGCACTGAAGGCTGCCTCCGTACATTAGCTTTGCAAAGCATATGAATGCCTTTGCAGAAACCCAATCCAAGGCACACGGCTGTTTGGAATACGTGTCAGGAGGTACCTGCTGCTTGTCATTTTCCACCCAATGTTCTCTGGAGTGTCCTTACTTGGTTGACTTTTCAATGCTGATTTGGGGTCAGCAACTGGTTTATTAGCAGAGGTACCCTTGTAATTGCACAGAATAGAGCACAAGTGTCACCTCTCCTCTCTCCAGCCCTGTGGCCACACCCCTTAAGGGTGAACTTACCCCACTGGGACATCATTTTTATTTCCATAGAAAGAAAGAAAAATAGTTCTTTAATAATCTTGTGGTAAGGAATTAGTGAAAGAGCCTTAGCATAGTACGTCCTCAATTGATACCAGTTTTCTTCTCTTCTTTTCACCAGTGGGACATGGTTCTCTGTTTTTTTTTTTTTTTTTTTTTTTAAAAAGGGAAAAGGACAAATCATTTGCAGGACAAAGTGTGTCTTACATCTCTCCGGAGGAAGGCTCCTCTGAAAGGCACTGTTTGTGACCCCCTGTGACAGTTGTCTTGGTATACAAGGTAATTGAGTTTCTCTCCTATTCAATCGGGCTGCTTCCTTAAAAATAGTGATTAAAACAGACTTACTGGAGGGCAGGATGACATTTATATGGACTGGAGGCATTTTCCTGTTCATTTTGTTTGGGGAGTAACCTTTCAGAAAGGGTAGATTTAATTTAGGGAACACTTCATTAAGCGGGAATTGATTACTAGAAGGAATATTCTTACAATAAAAAATGCCATCATCTCCGAAGACTGGCTCAGTTAAAAAAAAAAAATCTGACAGTTAAGAGAATTGAGGATTTGGGGAGGTAGAGCATGCTTCTTTAATTTGGTGGATTTTTAATTTCTTTCCTTTTCTTTCTTGGGTTTTTTTTTTTTGGTTTTGAATAATCAGTGGTGTTAAAGTGTCTACTCACTATTGCTGGCAACTTCTGATGAAGAATACATGATTAGGGTCATACAAATAGAGATACTTTTGGTGCTAATTCACATATTGAGTATATTCAAAGAGTAATTGATCTTTCCTTTTACCCTCAAAATCCACCCCTAGTTATTAGGGCTATTTTGGGATCTTTTAGGGTTTGCTGTAGGTTGAACCTTAGAGGGAAACTCGAATGCCTAGCAGAAAACTTCAAGGAACAGGATTGACTTTACTAACTTGGAAAACACAATAGCTTGGGGGAATACAGATTTAGACAAACACAGCAATTATTGACTGAATCTTCCCTTTCTGAACCTTGTACTCTTAGAGCACAAAGGTGCTTTTCAGTGACCTCTGGGTTCTCCATGGTAAGTTTATTTGCATGACAAGGTTCTTCCTATGTCTTTTCATTTTGTTGTCGAGTTTTTCTGCACCTTTTAACAGTCTTTGCTCTGCCTCTCTTGGTTGTTTAGTTGAGTGTTCTCTAGGGCTAAATCTCAAAAAGACTGTCTTAAACCAGGTTTTCAAACAATTTCAGCTTTCCTCCTTGAGATCGGCATGGCTGCCCAAATAACAATGGCACCATCCACCTTCTCCACTGGCATAGTACCAAGCCTGGCAAGATAAGTCATGGATATTCCACTCTTAAAGATGCCTATTCAATCGTGTTTAGAATCTAGTGTGAGCTGCCGGCAATCTTATGCAGTAAACTGATATTGTTGCTGTTTTAGTGAAGTGTTTTCTGGACTAGAAAGACTGCTATAGCAGCATGCAAAATGTAATAGGTTTTCGAACAAAATAATCTACTATGTATGATGAAACATTATGGCTTTTTAGCATTTATTGGTCAGAAAACATCCTGTGTATAAGCTTTTATATTTCTTTGTGAGATGAAAAATTTTAAAAATAAATGTATTGCTCAGTGCATCTTTTAACAAATTGTTCCAGGCAACAGTTATCATTTTTTTCATTTTTCAAATTTGCAGAGATTTTACAAGATCTTGGAGCAGGGGAGATACTGTGAAACAGGCACTTTTATATACTAGTTACAGAGGGGGAATTGGTATAATTTGTATGGAAGGCAATTTGCCAATATGCCTTTGGGGACATTAAATATGTTGGTACCCTTTGACCCAGTAATTCTATTTCCAGGAATTCATTCTAAGCAAGTAATCCAACATAGGTAGCTCTTTTCCATAAATTGGTTTATTTAAACATTACCCGAAATCGTGAAGGAAAAAATATTGGAAATTACCAAATGCCCTTAAACAGGCGAATGATTAGGTAACATTTTGTGCATATGTATTAGGTTACGTTAATAAAGAAATTTTAAGGATATAAAGAAAATGCTTATTGATAAAGGTAAAGGCAAAATAGAGAAAGCAAAATTATGTGAACAGTGTGAACTCAATTCCATAAAATGTATATGCATAGAATATGAAAAGAAATTATAGCAAAATATTTATTATTGGTTATCTCCTGGTCTTAAGATTATACACCATTTTTCCTTTTCTTCTTACTTTTTTTCTGTGTTATAAATATGTAAAATAACTAAAGACATCCTAAGTAGTAAAAATAATTTGACCTAAATTGTGTATGTGTGTGTGTGTGTGTGTGTGTGTGTGTATCAATGAAGAATTTTTTTTTGTTTTTATTTATGTTTTCTTTAGGAAAATAAAACATGTCTAGTAAGAAAGATGAAACAAAGAAAGAGTTGGGGTAAGTTCACATTTTTCAAACCAACTTGTGCTTCTAAAATAAAATTCTGCCTCTCCACACACTGGGTTCCTGGAAGCTAACCAAAATCTGCTCAGTAATATTAACTCCACTTAAAAAAAGGAAGAGAACATATTGAACTGCATTCACTTATGGTCTGGGTGCTTGGAAGAAATCAGCTGGTGAGTACCAAAGTGATGACTGCATGTTTCTATTTGCATTTTGAAAATTGACAGATAATTGAAAGGAATCAGCATATGAAATTTCTCCAAGGAAGCCAGCTGAGAAGCCCGAGGAACCCTGCCTACGGAGGCCTCCTGGTGCCTGAAGTCTGGTTGCAGAATGTTCTAGAACTGTACACCTCTTTAGTTATTGTCGAATAGATTCTCTATCTGTGTGCTGGGGACTGGGAATAGCTCCATCTGGTTGTCCAGTCAGTGCAATAACAACACTCCATATTCAAAGCTTCCTTTCCATCATTTTCTTCAATTACGATTTCTGCAAAATCACTGAGACCCTACATGAGAAATAATCAGAAACAGTAATCCATCTTGGTGCCATTTAAATATCCACAGAGATACTTTGTCAGAGAACAGTCTTGGCAGACATTCTTTTAAAATACATTTATTAGTTTTTTAATTGGAAATGGCAGCAATGGCTTTACCTTAAGCAAATACTCAATATACATATTTTTAAATAATCATGAAGATCAAACAATATTTTAAAGGTTTCAGACATGCACGAAATATGCATGCTGATAGATTTTTTAAAAGTGAAATCCATATAGAAGTGTAAAGAAATAGTGAATACTCCCCAGTTAAAAAAAAAGCAATAAAGGTATTTGTGGAGGGAGGGAGGAAGGTAGTGAGGGAGAGGGGAAAATTGGGTTAGGGGGCAGAAAGAGAGAGAGAATTACAAGAAACGCTGGTAATAAAAGCATGTACTTTTTGTTGTAGCTGTGTACGTTTGAAAATAAACTACCAATGTGAAAACATAAACCTGAATTTACCACTTCACTCTCCCCCTGGGGTAGGGGTATAGGCACTGAGAAGCAAACAGGATTCATCTGAGAACATCGGTTGCATGTCTCTGTGCTTCAGTGTTCAAGTCTCCCACAAAATGTATTTATTTAGCAAATGTCACCCAAAACAGCTTGGTAGCAGATGAGGTTTATTTAATGGCAGTAAAACAGGTGAAACATTCCCTACATTTTTCGTCTCTGTTTATGTTTCTATCAAAAAAAAAAAAAGTGAGCTAGTTACAGCTCTTTACACACTCACACAGAACCATGGCATATATTTGAGAAATAACACAAATTTTGCTTAGTAACTGGCTTGGAAAATAGAAATCCCTGTATTTTCTCAAAGCAATTTATGATTTTTCTGTCCAGAGGACAGGATCATCAAATCCAGACTCAACTTCACTTTATTTTTATTTTATTTTATTTTAAATGCTTTCCCTTCAAGATTTGCAATCTCAATTTGGCATCAGTTTTAAGTTCCTTTAAGTCTTACGTTCTCTTCCTATTTTAGCTTTACTATGCTTTGGAGTGTCCTCTCAGTAAGGAAAAAAATCCACCCGATCTCTTCCCCAGCCCTTTCATCTGTAACCTTTCTACAAGTAAATGCTAATTGAAAAAGAAAGAACACCACTAATCTTGGAATTTAAATGCATTTAACAAAACCAATCTCACTCTAAATTGTTGTTTCGCCATTCCCTTTTCCCTAACAGATGTCGAGAAACTGCAATTCCTATTAAGAACACTTGACTGTTTACTCAGCACGAGAACGTCAGCCCCAGCCTGCATCAATCTAAATGCGTTTCGAGACGTCAGGCCCCCGAAAAGTGCAGACGGTTAGTCGGTTATTTTTAAATGTAATCTTCACATAAAAGAATCACTGCACTTTCCCTTTCACTTTGTCATCCCTTCTCTTTTTTAACGATGGCATCAAGCAAAGGCGTAGAAGGGAATTTTATGGCCGTTCCATTTGAGTTGCTTTCGGCATGAGCTAGTGGATTTGTCATGCGGCGAATTAAATTATTAGTTAAGTTTGTAAATTGATTGGGAAAATAATGTGCTGGCCGATATTCTACAGCCTACAGGCTTAACATGAGGGGTGGAGTTGTGATTGCTTGATGGTGTGTGCATGTGTGTGGTGCCGCAGATAGAAAGGTTGAGGCAAAAGGAGTGTTATGTTGGGGTCTCGGGCTTGGCAAGGGCTGGTGGGCGGGAACGAGAGGAACCTCGTGTCCACATCTGAATCTTGAAAACCCTTGCGTTCACTTGGCCTGATCCTCAGAGCATCGTATCATATTTGTCATTTGTTTAAAAGCACTTGTTCAGCAGTTGGCATGTAACATACATATATTGCACACGCAAGCTGCGTGATTTTGCTGTGCTGTGTTTGCACCCGGTTTCCGGGGCCCTTGTCATCTTGCCAACACCAAGCTGCACAATTTGGAAAGATGTATTTTCAGAATTCTCGGCATTTTCACGTTTTCCCTTTCCAGTTCACTGTCCCTCTTACTCAACTTATTAAGAATGGAAGAGAAAAAAAATGCAGATGAGGAAATAGCATTAACTTAAAACTGGAAAGAACATTCCCTGTTTGGAATGAAAGGGAAACTTGTGCATGTGTGGGACCCCTGATGATATGCCAGGCATATCGAGTATACCGCAGGATCACCTGGAGTCTGCGCAGCATCTGAGTGTCATGACTCTTGCTTGCTCCATTTTATAGATGAGAAAACTGAGGATCTACAAGGTTGATTCGACTTCAAAGCTGATCTGTTAAAGATGCCAGGCCAGCACTGAAGCTTATGCTTCATTAACAAAAACCACACAGACTTTCCTTTCTCATTCCTTTTTAAAAATCTTTTAAAAGAGATATTTGAACTAGCTGGGAGTAGTGGCTCATGCCTGTAATTCCAGCATTTTGGGAGGCCAAGGCAGGTGGATCATTTGAAGTCAGGAGTTCGAGATCAGCCTGGCAAACATGGTGAAACCTCATCTCTACTAAAAATATAAAAATTTGCCAGGAGTGGTGGTGTGTGCCTGTAATCCCAGCTACTCAGGAGGCTGAGGCAGGAGATTCACTTGAGCCTGGGAAGCTGAGGTTGCGGTGAGCGGAGATCAAGCCACTACAGTCCAGTCTGGGTGAGAGAGTGAGACCATGTCTCAGAAAAAAAAAAAAAAAAAAAAAAAAGATACTTGAACACATACGTTAAGTCTTTTACCACGTGGTAAGCTTCTGAAGGATGGACGCTTGTTCTGATTTAACTGTGTCTAGTCCCCAGCACTTGTTTCCTCCTGCTAGCCATATATTAGTGGTCAAATGATAAATTACAGAATTGCTAAGTGCATTCATTGCTAGAGTTGCAGTCACACCAGCCTCCTCTGTGTGATTTCCAAGCAGACGTTAATTTTGCTGGCTTGTAATATACAAAAGAAATATCGGCGGGGTGCGGAGGCATTTGGGACCTGGCCTGGCCTCCAAGTCCATTCATTGGTGTGTCTGGTTCAGACTGAGAACCATCTTCCCTCACGTGTTCTAATTGATTTTCACGCCTTTGAGTTTGACTATGTGCCTGAGCTGGGTGAGAACAGGCCTGAATTTGGAGGTTGGAAGTCCAGGCCAGCTGGTGGTTCTGGGCTCTAGAATCCAGGGCCCTAGGTCTGCACTTCACTCTCAAGTAGCTTCAGGAGGATTATCTTGTCCGAGAGTCCGTGTCCTCCTCATGATGGCAAAAAGTAACAGTCCCTCCGTCCACCTCCATCTCTCAAGGATACTGCAAAGTACAGTGGCTTGTCTGGTAAATGTATAGTAAGTTCCAGTTACATTTAGTAGAAATGATAAATTTAGGAATTCAAACAAGGTGCAGTGCCTCAAACTAGCACCATGGGCTTTTCCCTTTTCCTCCTGCCTCGGGCTTATTGTCTGCCTGTCCCTCTGCTGGGTTCCCTGCCTCCCTTCTCTTTCTTCCTGTTTGCTGCTCAGTCTTCAGTTCCTATCCTCCAGCCCCTGAATCTTCCATCTTCCTTTCTTAACTCTCTTTCCACTTTCCTTAGGCCTCCATTCCCCCTCCCTTATTTGCAAATCCTGTTCTCAGGCTTTGCTTGTTCTTGGTAAGGCGGAGCAATGGACATGGCACTCCTGAGAGGCACAGGAGGAAGCACTTTCTGTTGTCTTGAGGGAGGACGGGCTCCCAGGAATCACAGCTCACCCCAGGGGTGTTTTGATGAGGTCGAACTGGCTTGGAGCAGAATGCTAGTTAGGTTTTATGTACTCGAGATGCTGAGATACTTACAATCCTTCTGCCCTGGTTGAAAGGCTTGCCCCTATATATCTCTGGAGAGTCAGAAGGAGGAATCCAAGCTTTGGTGGTCTCTCTGGCACAGCATTTGCATATGCTAAGTGTATCAGGCTAGTTTTCTGCTTGTAATCTTCGAGTTTCCGGAGACTAGATCACAAGAAGAGGAGGTGAATGTGGCAAGGGAGAGGAAGGGAGACATTAAGATTTAAAATCTTAAAATAGTTTAGACCAATTCCTTCCTTTTATGTAGGAAGAAATCAGTCTCAGAGAGTTCAAGAGAACTTTCGCAGACTCACAGAGCAAAAAAGAGGAGAAAAATCCAAACCTATGTTTCTTGATGTTTGTTTGTTTGTTTTCTCCATTCTATACTAATAGAAATGGAAAGGGAAAGAAGAAGAAATTAAATCAGGAGATGAGACGGAAGAAGAGAAATCAGAGGATCTAGTCCAATTGTTCTTTCCAAGCAATCCATTGGCTAAACCCCACTTGCTGGATTTAGAATTAAAGGACCAAGTAATGAGCCATATGAAATTGAACAAGCCATTTGAATTCTCCCACTTCCACATCCCTTATCCACCCAGCAACACATTAGAGCATTCTTTTGATTCTTCCTTTAAAAGATCCAGTTTGAAATTTGATATTGTTTGGATTTGTGCCCCCACCAAATCTCGTGTTGAATTGTAATCGCCAGTGTTGGAGGAGGGGCCTGGTGGGAGGTGCTTGGATCACGGGGGTGGACTTCCCCCTTGCTGTTGTTGTGATAGTGAGTGAGTTCTCAGGAGATCTGTTTGTTTAAAAATGTGTAGCACCTTCCCCCTTCTCTCTCTTTCTCCTGCTTCAGCCATGTAAAATATGCCTGCTTCTTCACCTTCCACCATGATTGTAAGTTTCCTGAGGCTTCTCCAGCCATGCTTCCTGTACACCCTGGGGAATCATGAGCCAATTAAACCTCTTTTCTTTATAAATTACCCAGTCTTAGGTATCTCTTTATAGCAGTACAAGAATAGCCTAACACAAAATTCAACTAGCACTGGATTTACCTACCTTATCCCCTACAATGTATAAGCCAGGAACAATTCAATACTTCCAATTAGTTTTTGAGTAATTTTCACTATCTCATTTTACAGACAGTGAGACTGAACTTGAAGCTTCCTACATGTGTACCTTTTTTTTTCATTTAGGGGAAGCAAACTGAGTGTGGTGGAAAGAACACAAACTTTAGAATCAGGTACATTTTTGTTTTTTTTTTTTAAACCACTTTCTGTGTTTCTCAGCACTAGTAATGACGCTAAACTTCAACTTTCTCAGCTGTCAAAGGAAATAAGGAAGCTGACCCTGAAGAAATAATGGGGGCTAAGTGGGAGCGTGTACATAGAAGCCCTCACTAGAGGAGTTGACTCTCCAGGAGGTGAAAGTGAGAGAAAGACACACATCACCTGCTGTACTTCCATTTGGAGCTTGGTTCTTAAGGTGGGTGAACAGAGTAGATAAAGAAAGATTACAAAATCTTCCTACATATGTAATTTCATTCTGTTCATTCAGAGAATTAAACTGAGCCCTCACTAGGATTGAGTCATGCTTCCTGGTTTTGAAACTGTCAGAATGCTTGAGAAAACAACAACAAACAACTATTACTGGTGGGTGAAGAAACGAGAAAGTTCTTAATGAGGCAAAAACAATGACTGCTAGAGCAAGCTCTGGTCCCACAGAGCACTAATGGTCCCCACGCATTCCCAGGCTCCTGCTGTGCAGTGGGCCCCCTGGGCCTCACGTGTAAAAGCAAAAAGGAAAGAAATAGAACCATGAAATGCATAGTGTATCTATGTAAGCATTTTATCCGTAGCCTCAGAAAAAAAAAATGAGAAGAATGAATAGGAGGTCGGTTAACTGTAGTAACTTCAAGTCTATGTTCTTCAATAAGGATCCAGGTGGTCCCTGTGTAGAAAATAATAAAGAAATGCATGGTCTACTGTTGTATAGGCTTCTGGGAGGATTTGGGAAGTGTGAGAATTACAGGCTCTGCTGCAACCTTGCCAGGTATCGACAAGGTTGCCCAAGAACCCTTGTGCAAAAACTCAACCAGACTTTCCAAAGCCCCTGCAGATGCCTCACTGGCATTCAGCTTTGTTGAAAACAAAACAATCAAAAAAGTAGTTCAAGTTTGCTATTACAGCCTTCTTGCCTCCCTTCCCTCACACAAAATAGCCCTGAGCCCAGCCCCATGGTTGTGAGAGCCTGCCCACCTCTCACTTTGCACTTCTCTGTCCTGTGTATCCCCCTGGCTTGCCTTTCCCATTTCCATGTCTGACCCATCCTTCACATTGTGAATGTATCTTTCACCGGGAGCCCCTGGACTCCTTTAGCCCTAGGCTGCCTCCCCGCTGCCTGGGATCTGCAGGGCCTCCTCTGCTGCACTGACTTCTTCTTCTAAATTGCAGTTCTTTCTTCCCCGGGACAGTCTCCCCCGGACCAACCCTGGGTTGGTTCTGATGACACTAGCACACTTCTGCAAGTCTCAGTTCTGCGTGTGCCAAGCAGAGTGTCGGGTACATTCATGAATGTTCACGCACACATGAGTGGACATACAGGAGCCACTGCTCTGGAGTGTCTACCAGAGGGGCATTCACTGCAGCTCTGTGCCTTTGAGGCTGGGCTCTGTGCTAGGCTTTCTGCTTTGTGCTTTTGAAACCACGTGGCTTAGGTTGGAATTCTGGCTCGGCCACTTCCTGGTTGTGACCTTGGATGAATTCCTTAAATTCTTGGTACCCCACCTGTTTCCTCACCTGTCAAGTGGAGAGATTCCTCACCAAATGAAGAGACTAACGCTACATATCTCCCTGGGTGTTGTGAGGGTTAAGTGAGTTGATACATATAAAACACAGAACCAGGCCCAAGCATTGTTAGTGTTTATTACAGGCCAGCACTTTGGATTTAGAAGACATGGGCAGAGAGGCTTGGAGAGATTCATCAGTCCAATTGCTGCCCATGCAGGTCCAGGAACTCAAGTTCAGAGAGGCCCAGAGCCTGTGTAAAGCCAGTTTGGTGACAGGCTCAGAGAAGACTCTGACTCTTTGTGGACAGTGGACATTATCATGTGTGTGTGTGTGTGTGTGTGTGTGTGAGAGAGAGAGAGAGAGAGAGAGAGAGAGAGAGAGAGAGAGACATACAGAGAGGTGGGAGGATGGAGGGTTAGGGAGAGAAGACAACGCCAGCCTGTTTCCAAATCTGAGCAGATTTCTAATTAGGATAACATTCAGCGATTCTTACAAGAAAATATAAGAAAGGAGGAACTCATCTCTGGGCCTGCTTAGAAGTACGTGGTGGCAGAAGGTAATCAAGCTTCCTTGAACCTCTGCAACTGCTCGGCTCAGAATCTGGCACGAGCTATCTTTGTTTCCCTATCTTTTCCTGAAGCCTTTAGCAATCGCTAACAATCCTATTTACCCTGTGTACCAGACAAACACTGTTACCGTCGCCATCTCACTATTTTTATCTAATATTGAAATTTCTCTTCCTAAGAGCAGCCCTGAATATATTATGATATCTGCTGAATAAATGATGTGCGTAATATACTGTGCAGAGATGGTATTTATGAAGCCCAGGTCTAAGCTAAAAAGAAGGATTCATTCAGTTCTCATTTGAAAGGAAATTCAATTGGATAAATTTTCAAGAAAGCAAAGTCATGTATTTCCTTTTAAACATCCATACAAACTTTTGGATTCAAGGCCAATTTCTTCCTATCCCTCCATGAGAGAGATTGCCCTGCCATTTGTAACATATTTTTTTTTTCCTACAGAAATCGAGGTTGTCTCCCTGTTCCTAAGTGAGGCTTGTCCCATTAGTACCATCATCATCTTAGTAGAATAAATATAATGATATGTCAAACACATTTAACAGTGTCTGAGACATTACAAATCACTCTCTCTAAATGTCTCTGAGTTAAAGGGGCTTTAAAGCCTTCCCATTTTGCAAGGGAGGAGGCTGTACAACAATAGGAAGTGCTAGGAAGTGGATCGCTGATTTCTCAATGGCCCTTCCAGCTCTATGAGGTGTTTTAATATTCATCACACAATTGTCTTTCACCTCTTATACTTGGTGTAGAGTAGCCATAGTGATGGTAGCAGTTATGGTATTAATAAAACTATTCTTTGCTTATTACAACAGTTTATAAAGTACCACTCTCTAGTGATACATTGGGGGACTGAGGTCAGAAGAAAAAAAGTGGGTAATTTGTGCAAGTTCACATGAGGAATGAATAAGGAACCCTAGTTCAGCTCAGGACTTGTGCTCCTGATGGCAAGTCCACCGTCTGTCTTTGTGAGTGTGTGCTGCTGCTGCTGCTGCTGTGTTTGTCTTTCCCTGGGGGCTTTGACCCTCGTGATTCTGACTTGGGAAGCCAAAATCTGGTCAGCTTTGTTAACACAAAATTAAAAGTCAGAAAGTCAAGTGCGTGGTTAAAGAAGTGCTAATCCGGTCGGGTGCAGTGGCTCATGCCTGCAATCTCTGCACTTTGTGAGACTGAGGTGGGTGGATCACTTGAGGTCTGGCCAACATATGGTGAAACCCCATCTGTACTAAAAATACAAAAATTAGCCGGGCGTGGTGGCATGGGCTTGTAATCCTCCCAGCGACTTGGGAGGCTGGGGTGGGAGAATCCCTTGAATCCAGGAGGTGGAGTTTGCAGTGAGCCTAGATCACGCCACTGTGCTACAGCCTGGATGACAGACTGAGACTTTGTCTCAAAAAAAAAAAGAAGAAAGAAAGAAAAGAAGTGCTAACCCTCATTTCTGAGTTTCCTCATCCTGGGATTTTACCTCTACATTCATTCAATCTGCCCTTAAAGACAAGAAAAAAAAGAAGGCTTGAAACAATAACAACAACACTGCAAAACTTTCAGGAATTTTCTAAATAAATGTCTTTCTTTTTCAGATGGGGAAAACGATTTTGCAGGTGAAACTCAGAAAGATGAAGCAGCTTTCCAGAACCACAAAGCGAACCGAGGGCAACATGAAGACGAAGACTCAGGTCTCTTTATTCTTCTCAAAGTGATCTTTCCATTGTGTCGCGAGGCTGCTACTTGGCGATCTTCAGAACATTAGGACAAAGTAACTCACCAATCAGGGGTTTACTGCCTTACCTGCCGGATCTGTTAGCCTCCACAGACCTCAATCCTACCCCCCATAAGATGGATCACAGAAGGTTAGCAAAATGGCTTAAAGAGTCTTTCTTTTTTCAGCATCTCAGGGTCGGATGACAAAAACATGCTCAGAGCTGCATTCCCCAAAGCAAGAGTCATGTGGGCAGGCACACAGGCTGGGTGCAAAGGAAGGTCAAAGAAGTTTGGAAAAATTCTGTTTTCAATCGTTTCTTTGCAGCAGATTTAGAAGGATCATGTGCCCTATGTGAATACCCTAGAGGGACAAGCTATGAATTATTTCCCAACTTATTTGTGTAGAGACTTTTTTTTTTTTTTTTTTTTGCAAAGAATATCTTGCAGTACTAACGATCTGTGGATAATACTTCAAGTAAGGATGCTTTAGACCACTGGTCAACAAATTATGGTCCACAGATCAAATATGTCTTGCAAATAAAGTTTTATTGCTGCACAGACACATTTGGAACGCAGAGACTAAGTGGCCCACAGAGTCAATATTTACTATCTGGTTCTTTAGAAAAGAAGTGTGTATCCCCTTTAGAGAATAGTACTATGGGCTCCTTGTACTTTATATTGTAACTTAGAGCCTCAGCATTAGTTACCATAAATGTTGGAGACAGAACATTTTCCCTCCTTCCTAACAGTACAATGGAGTCTATCCACTGAGATGGTTGTTATGGACACATGCTTAGAGTTTTCACTTACAGTCCATCTAAGCATCCATTCACAGATGATATGGTTTGTCTATGTCCCCACCCAAATCTCATCCTGAATTGTAGCTCCCACAATTCCCATGTTTCATGGGAGGGACCCAGTGGGAGGTAATTGAATCATGGGATGGGTCCTTCCCACACTGTTCTTGTCATGGTGAATTAGTCTCACAGGATCTGATGGTTTCATAAAGGAGAGTTCCCCTACACACTCTCTTTCTCTTTGGCTGCTGCCATCCATGTAAGATATGACTTGCTCCTCCTTGCTTTCCACCATGATTGTGAGGCCTCCCCAGCCATGTGGAAATGTGAGTCCATTAAACCTCTTTTATTCATAAACCAGTCTCAGGTATGTCTTTATTAGCAGTGTGAGAACAGACTAATACAACAGATAAGTTAACTAAGACTTGCTTGTAAATGTGACAAACTTGAGATCATATAGATGGCCCAATTCCAGGGCTGGGGTGGTTACATCCACTGCATAATGGCCTTGTCCACTTCATGCTAAGTGGGAGAAACTGGGATGGAAAGGCTAGTTCTCTATTGGAAACTGCATCCAGATTGGAGGCCCATTCTAAGTTTCCCAGTGAAGAGGAATTGCAATTGAGCTTCTGCCTGTGTCATTCCAGGGCATGCTAACATTTGCTATAGGTTTACATCTAACCTTAAATTTGTAGTTTTTTTTTCTTTTGTTGCAGATTGGTTTTCAGTGAACTGAATACTAAAAAGATATTATAGAGAGAAACAACCCGCCTGGCTGATTGTTTCTTCCCAAAATGGATGTGATGATGAGCGAACACTTTCATTTACATAAACAATCAGTTGAAAGGCCCTCACCAAATGTGAGCATTCATATTTGATGACATCCTGATTATAACCATAAATAACAATATTTTCATTGTTGGGTAATAAACATCATTATCCAGTGTGTTTTAGGTGAGTGGGCACTTAACGGGGTAAGAAGGAGATGATCAGGAAGATTAAGGTGAGAGCTCAGTAAGATGAGAAGAGATAACCTTGCAAATTTAAGGTATGCAATAAACATCTTTGCCAAGGGCCTGTTTGTCAATACAATTAGGTTTTTTGACTCAAACCAGATAACTTGTGCAAATAAAATGTATCACAGGAGAAAAATCTTTTAATCACCCTGCAAGCCTGTGTCAAAGGACAAAATGTGCCAGGTTCTGCCTGTGGTGAGCTCATGGTCTGGCGAGATGACCAGAGCACTCATAGACAAGCCATGACAGTGCAGTGTGAAAAAAGTGTCAGAACAAACAAAACAAGTTTCTGTGGGTCTGTTTCTGTGCAGGTGTTCTATGATCCTGTGATTCTGATTTCATTGTTTTGTTCTTTTGCTTTGTTTTGTCTTTGGTTGCTTATTTTTAAATTTCCATTTCTGTAGTTTTAAATTATTGTATTCATGTAGGATATACCTTCATAAAGCTCATTAACCTTCAGCATACAGGTTGGTGAATTTTTATATATAAGCACACTTATGTGACCACCAACTAGATCAAGACACAGGATATTCAGTAACCCAAATGTGGACACTTTGTTTATTTTATTATTATTATTATTTTTTGTGAGACGGAGTCTGGCTCTGTCACCCAGGCTGGAGTGCAGTGGCGCCATCTCGGCTCACTGCAAGCCTTGCCTTCCGGGTTCACGCTGTTCTCCTGCCTCAGCCTCCCGAGTAGCTGGGACTACAGGCGCCCACCACCACGCCCGGCTAATTTTTTTGTATTTTTAGTAGAGACGGGGTTTCACTGTGTTAGCCAGGATGGTCTTGAACTCCTGACCTCGTGATCCACCTGCCTTGGCCTTCCAAGGTGCTGGGATTACGGGCGTGAGCCACTGTGCCAGTGAATTGTTTTAAACCTCAAAGCAGTGTACCTTATAAATAAACAAAGGAAAATAAAATTACAGAGACCAAAAGAAAAATAAATTCTAAAAAGATTATCAGCCAGTGGTTGCACACACCTATAGTCCCAGCTACTCAGGAGGCTGAGGCAGGAAGATCCTTGATCCCAGGAGTTTGAGGCTGCAGGGAGCTATGATCACTCCGCTGCATTCCAGCCTGGGTGACAGGGTGACACCCTGTGTCAAAATAAAATAAAATAATAAGATTATGAAAGAGGCAGTGGTCATGAGCATAGGCGTTAGCACAGAGACAAATCCAAAACCTGGAGCTGGCATCCACAACCTGTGAGTCCCTAGAAAATGCATCTCATCTCTTTGAGGCTCAGTTTCCCCAACTGCAAATCACCAATGACAATACCAAATTGGGAGGATAAGAACTGTGAGATTGATAGGGAGAGTTGTGCAGGTAACTGTAGTAGGACAGGTAGAAGCCCCCCATGATGTGGCCCACAATGAGAGGTCAGGAAATATTTGCTAGTCCTATGATGAGAAGATGGCAACAATGCAGAGGTTCCACTTTGCAGCAGGTCAATAGTTTGTATGGCCTCTAAGTTATGGATTTACTTGTTCAAAGGAAATGCCATTCATAAGGGAAGAAGAACATGTCATTGATGAGTTGTGAAGAAGGTCCTTGCTTCTCCATCACTTCTGCCATGATATAAGTTTTCTGAGGCCTCCCTGGCCATGTAAAACTGTGAGTCAATTAAACCTCCTTTCTTTATAAAATACCCAATCTCGGGTATTTCTTTATATCAGTGTGAAAATTGACTAATACATACAGCATGAGTGTCTAAGCCTCTCTGAGCCTTGCTTTTCTCATTGTTATGGGGAGGTAGTGGAATCTGTGCTCCAGGCTAGTTGGGAGAGTTAAATGATGTGTTATATTACCTCCTGGTCCATGGTAAACACTTCCCAAATGTTGACTTCTCCTTCTTCATTCTGAAAGCAGACAATTGGGAGAAAAGCTCTGTGGTTTTTTTTTCTCCTTTGCAAACTCCAGTACATTCTCACTGACAAATCAGGACCACAAAGAGAGAGTTGATGGGAGAGATGAATGAAGCACCAGTTCTTGCCTCTTCTTTTAATTCAAGTTTTATCTCTATGGATAAGCATCATCAGACACTGGTCAAACATTTTATGGTTTAGAAAGGAATTATAATTCAGAGAAAGAAAATTACATAAAAGGAAAGAAGTAGTTACAAAATAAGTTCTCTCATTCTATGTATCTTTTTATTTTGTACACTAATTTCTGGATATGTCTGTTAATCAGCATTTAGCTGTTTTACAACTGGTACAATTATTTTGTCAAAGGTCATAGGGGTTTTTTGTAGTTTTTTTTTAATTAATCTTTGAAAATAAAGTTAATTTACAGTTTATCAACTTAGATTACTAGAAATCGCTCCCACGGGCTTTTCAACTGCAACAAAACCTCAGAAAAATGAATTTTTAAGACTAATCTGTAAGACTTAAAAACATTAATAACTATCATTGAATCAGCAGGAGAAAAAATAGACTGTCTCTTGTCTCCCTCTGCATTCAGAACCAAGGTTTTGTATTTTCCCCATAAACATTCAGAATCTGATTTTCCTGTTCTTTTTTCCTGCAAAACAAATGGCGATTTTCCATGATGACGATAATTATATAGCACCTAAGGGCTTAAAAACACACTCACTCTCAGGCTGTCTATGAACATGCTCTTAGCTCACTCCTGAGAAGAAAGGAGTTTTATTGACAAACTGTTTTTCAGTTGAATGAATTGAAGCTCAGGGAGGTGGGCTGGCTTAATCAAGCTCAGGTGGCTACAAGTGGTTGAGGCAGGTCTGAAAACTGAGGAAGGAACCAAGGCTGTGCACTTTCCTGTGATTAGAAAGATGGGGTCTAAATTGTACGTACTGAACAACCAAATTGAAGATAGCCCTGTCCCAATACCTAGGTCCCCTCTCTTCTCAGTCCTCCCCATCTTTAAAGCCCCAGGAAGGTATGCCCAGATTTTGAGAATTGACTACGTCATTCCAAGCCTCAGTCCAAAGTGACCAGTTGAGTGTTTCCAAAGGGCCACGGTGCAAGAAAGCAGAGTGGGCATCTCCTATTTGAAATTCAGGTCCTTCCCCTGACATGCATTAACCATGTGATCTTGTCCAAATTGCTACTTCTTTTTGACCCTAATTTTCCCATCTGTAGAAAGGAAGAACAATATCCACCTAGTAGCATGATTATAAGTATTAAATAAAACAATGCGTGCAAACGTATGAGGATCAGAGTTAAGCATATAATAGATGCTTAATAAGTGCTATCCCAATTTCTCCCTTCTCTGGAATGAGTTCACTTTGCTTGAACACATTGACGTTGATAGGCATATATGGAAAATGTGAGGTCTGGTGAAGCAGAGGTTGCAGGAGGTCAGCAAACCTGACTCTCCTTCTTCCTGAGAACATGGCAGACCACATTAACTGGCCTCCTTTGCAGTTAGGCATTGCTGTGTGGCTCTGAATATGATGAAGAAAATGATGGTGAATTTAAAAGGATGGTTCTTTTCCTTCAGGAACACACATTAAGAATGAACTTCAGCAAGCAATAAACTTCAGATCTGGCCAATCACTGATAGTTGGGAGTTTACCTGTTATAGTGGCTAGTGTTACCTTATCCAGTACTTACCCATGCAACGTGGTTCATTCACTTAGAAATAGCTCACACATTTACATACACAGCAACGTGTGCACACACACAGACACACACACACAGACACACAGACACACACACACACACACACACCAGAAATTTAACATTTTTGTGGATACAGTGAATGTTTTATGGAATTTTTAAAATTCTTGATAGTATCGAGAATTCAAAAATTTATACTTGGAGAGACCTTCAGAGGCCAATTGACAATTTCCCTTTTATAGCTGTCTTGCAGTTGACCACCCACTGCTTGAACCTCTCCTCTGATATGGTGCCCACTGTCTCCCATGAAAATTCCTGGCCAAGACAGCTCTAAGTGTTACAATGTGGGCTTCATGACAAGATCAGAGCTGCCTTCTCTAATGCCTAGCCATTCACCAGGGCTCCACCCTCTGAGAACCAAGAGCCTGCTTGTTTTCCTATAGAAAATCCCCTTAAATAATTGAAAATATAGCCAGTTCCTCCATAACCTTTGTTTTGAAAGTGCACTTTTGTTTAATGTGATTGATGTCGTAAGGAACAATGCAACATTACAAAACTACACCTAGCTAGATGGAGCCACATAGAAATGTGAGACAACTTACCCTCCCATCTCAGGTCACCCTTCCTCCATCACTTCACAATAACTCACAAGCCTCCCTACTTCCCAGGCCCCCTTCCGCAAGCAAGCTTCAGCCCTTTCTCAAAGTTAGTGTTGCATTTATTGTAGCATGCATATATTTATTAACTACTTAACTGGTGCAAAACGGCAGTATCTCTTCTATTAGGTCATATATTTTTAAAAATGTGTCCCTGATGAAGTTTTTAAATGTTGTGCCCTAGCCTGATTTCCTCTCTAATCCCTGGGATTGTGAGTGATTTTTAGGAACACAGATGTCACAGTGTGGCAGAACTGACTGTAGAACTTGCCTCTTCCTTTGGCTTGTTGATGAGATAGGGGAGTGTTTGTCATTAAGGTACATCTTCACATTCTCTCAATAGAAAAGAACCTTGCACCAGGCTTGGCCTGTGCTGGAAACTCAATGATGAGTAAACACAAGTAGTTCTTGTGTTTCCAGAGCTTACAGATTATAGTCCTCCCAACCTCTCAATTCTCCTAGGAAGAAGAACAAATAGACAAACAAAGGAGGATGACAATGAAATGGTGTAATTTCTGGCTCAGCTAATCCAACCACTGAAAACAGAGAAAAAGGAGAGAATTCATGTTGGTGGGTCACTTGCACCAGTGCCTGTGCCAGGTGTTTATATAACCATTAGGTCCATTCAGCCCAGCTACAAGCCCTGGGGTGAGCTTTACATCTTTCATTTTGGAAGTGAGGGACTGGGGAGTTTTAGCATCTTCTGAAGACCTAGGGCTCAAATCCCATTGAGCTCTGACACTAATTCTTACGTATTTTCCAATATATCATGATTTTCCCCAGTGTGCTTTCTGCCTTACCCAGTGTCTACTCTGTTGAATTAAGGACCAAATATGTTTTTGATGCTGACGGTTCTTTGCATGGTGTTCACATATTAGCCAGGAAAGTGGGAGTTGGAACTACCAAATAAAAGTAGGCAGGATTTGCCTGACCAGGGAGGGCAAAAGACAAATACAAGTATGTAGATTGTTAACAGATATTATTTGACTTCAAGCCCAATTCAGAACTAATAAAGTTTGCATAATTCATACAATCATAAAATGAAACATTTTGCAAAATTGCATCACATATGGAAGTGATGACCTATCATCTAGTATCTATGAAGTGCAAGGGTGATTTGAAAGCTGTATTTCAAGGGGCCTTTGAGAGATCATTTGGGGCCAGAAATGGCCAATATAGTGGAGTTGTGGCCATTTGGTGCCGGCATGGCAACTAAAAGCTGGAACTGCAGCCAGGAATGCAGTAAAAAGAGACTATGCATCCTGTTTCTACGACTTATATTCATCACCGCAGACAACCAGGTAATTCAATTATCTTTGGCCTTGGAAGTCTGTGTCATGTGGTTTTTGTGCCTTTCTCTATCAGTCCCTGTTGTTCCGTCAGACCTGAGGGTGGTGGCCCTGGGCTGGATGGAGGAGGGAGAGCACTGGTGTGTACATGGACAGGAGGCTAAGAAGAAGAATCTGTGTTATTTACTCTGAAAGTGATGACAATGATCTCGTGGTCCAGAATGCATTGTCCCTTGGAGCCCCCAGTAAGAATAACATAATTCACTTTTATAGCATCACATTTTATACAAACTATTTTGTTGGTGAAGAAAAACGTCTCATCTGACATGATTGCAGGGGAACTCTCCTTGTGTTCTTTCTCTCCCTTGCCCCTAATATTCTTGCGCCCATCTATAAGAGCACATAAAATGTGTGGTATGCAGGATGGTAATGAGATGGCAGACTTTTTCTAACATCAGAATTTCAATAAGGATGAAATTTGCCTCCAAAAGAGGACAGTGATCTTTTCACAAACACTGTCCTTTGTCCTGAGGCACACAAAATCCCCAAATCCCTAAAATATTTCATCTGAAGGTAAGATAATTTTGCTCTAGCTTAGGCTGAAAAAGAAAGAAGGGGGAAAAGCCATCTATCAGATGCAGCCAGAAAAGTCCTGTTGCTTAGGGAGAAGGTAAATTAAAGGCTCCTATCTTATCTGTATTTCAATTAAAATCTTATTTTTGGTCCCCGGCAGTGCAATCCGTTGAAGTCTTTCCAAGTTAAAAAAAAAAAAAATGCCATTTCAGTAGGTGGACGTTAAAGAAATCTTTAATGGGTATGTTCTACATGTGATATGGGCTACTTTTCATGTGGGGGAGAAATGACATGAACAATATTTTGAAAGAGATGAAATTTATAAAAGTCAGAAGGGCAATGGATGCATTACCCTGGTGAATTCTTTCTCACAGGGTCTTTTTATTCACTGAACCCCATTTGAATATCTGCTAACCCACCCCCAATACTTAAGAAATTATAGCTAAAGAGGTTGGGGAAGGAGATCCAGGAAAGGGAGTTAGGAACTGTCTGAATATCTCGTTATCAAAATCCTTTTGAGGCACCGAGTTCAGGACTGGGATTATCACAACAAAGCAGGCAAAAAGAAAGAAGCCAGTATTCAGATTAGACCCTGCTACCCATGTGAGTAACTCTTATTGAAACAGCTTAGTAGAACCCAATGAATAAGACCTAGTGCTTCATGCCAAATTATAGACTAAATCGGGAATCAAATAATAAATAGACCAATCAACCAATCAATCAATACAATTAAATGCAAAAAAAAAAATATAAACTAGGTTCCAAAGTAAAAATAAGGCAATTGTAAAAAGTGAGATTTATGTCAGCCATCAAGGAAACACTATTGAGTAATTTGTATGTCCACAGCATTGTGCTGTATAATCCTTGGGGGGTAAGGATGGAGATGTGATAAAGGAGTGATATGGCTTGTCTCTGTGTTCCCACCCAAATCTCATCTTGAACTGTAATTCCCACATGTCTAGGGAGGGACCTGGTGGGAAGTGATTGGATCATGGGGGCAGATTTCCCCCTTGCTGTTCTTGTGATAGTGAGTGAGTTCTCATGAGATCTGGTGGTTGATAAATGTCTTATGCATCCCCTGCCCTCATTCTCTGCCCTGCCACCATGTAAGATGTGCCTTGCTACCCCTTCACCTTCTGCCATGATTGTAAGTTTCCTGAGGCCTCCCAAGCCATGTGGAACTGTGAGTCAATTAAGCCCCTTTTCTTTATAAATTACCCAGTCTCAGGTATTTCTTTATAGCAGTATGAAAACGAACTAATATAAAGAGTATGTTCCAGAGTGAAGGGAGGAGGTGTAGGTTCTATTGCTAGCTTTGCTACAAATGACCAAGACAAAGGTCAGTAAACTTTTTCTGTGAAGGACTAGATAGTAAATATTTCAGGCTTTGCAGACCATATGGTGCCTCTTGCAACTACTCAAGTCTGCTGCTGTAGTATGAAAGCCACCGTGGACAATATGTAAATGAATGGGCATGACTGCATTCCAATAAAATTTTCTTTATGGACATTGAGATTTGAATTTTTTACATGTCAGAAAATATTATTCGTTTTTCCCAATCATTAAAACATATAAAAACCACTCTTAACTCACAGATGATACACAGAGAGACAGTGGCCAGATTTAGCCTCTTGGTGATAGATCAGCCAAACACTGATCAAGATGATACCTCAATACCACCATAAGGTGGTCAGGTTCACTACTGAAGAAGTGATTTAGATAGTGCAAGGTGTGAATTGTGAGAGCACCTTAAGTACTGGAGTTCCAAGAGAAAGCATCAGCAGGACTACTGTTGGGACAATTAGGCTGCATGGGGGAGGAGAGAGGCTGTGGCTCATTTGTTAGCTAGAAATGTTATCAGAGGGAGTGATGGGCTAACAATAATAACGTAGTATGTTATCTTACTGAGCCAACATTTACTGAGCACTTACCCAAAGCCAGGCACTGTTCTACACATCCTTCCAATTCTTTAAGCTTTACGTCAATGGAAAGATATAGGTGTTTTTTCTACCACAACACTGCAAATGGGGAAACTGAGGTCAGGGGAGTAAACTAACTTGTGAGAGGGCACAGAGCTGATAAGTGATAGATCCAGAAAACACTAGAGCTGGGAATTTGGAAAATGCCATGTAGAAGTACAGACCTGGAACTCAGGGGTCAAATTGTCTGAGCTCCTATCGGGCCTTCACCCCTTGCCAGCTCCAGGAACCAGCTTCCTAAACTCTGAGCCTCACGTTCCTCCTCTGTGAGACAGAACAATCATTGAATCTACTTTCTAACGTGAGATTGAGAAATAATCAAACTTATGGCTCATAACTAGTGACCAATAAATATTGGTTAATACTACCATTAACTATAAATTGTCCTAAGTCTTTTCAAACACATTTGAATGTGGAGCTATTAGTACAGTATATTCTTTGCTTCGAAATTCCCTCAGTCTGACTTTGATTCCTCTGAATCTGTTCTTTGTATCAGGATTTGGCAAATGAGGCCATAGTCCCTCCATTTATAAATTCATAAATATTATGATATTGTAAACAGCAGGGAAAAGTCCTGAGGACGTTTTTAGACAGCCCCTGGAAAAGCCCCAGGAGTGCGCATGTTGTCCCAGACTCTGTTGGGTCTGGAAACATAAGCAACAACGGCACTGCTGATTGAATGCAGATTCGATGGGCTCCAAGGGACCTGGAGGCGAATCTCACCTGACCCCTGCCTTCGAGGAGGGCGACATGCAAATCACTCCCACCAGCATTCTGGGTGCGTACACAGCCAGTCCCTCAGGTGTCTCATCCTGAGGAAGACCCATATGATCAGCTCAGCAGACTCCATCTTGTTTTATGAACATCCCTAATTATTTTAGACAATGGGATTTTCAAATTTTGAGGATTTTCTTTTCTTTCCAGTAGTTCTTGATTTTAAAATCAAGATCAGATCCTACGATCCCATATTCCAAGTGCTCACATCCTAATAATTTCTGGAGATTTCATGATCTTTAGAACAAGTTCAAATCTCAAACTGTTTTTTTTTCCCCTGACGTTCAGGATCTTTCAAACTCTCATTCTTCTATTTATACAACAGAAATTTATCAGTTTTTATTTCTATCTTTCAATACTTTTACAAAGCACAGGATCTAGCATCTCTGAAATTGGGATGTACCTTAAAATCAATGGCATACTTCCAGGACACATTCTCAACACTGTATGCCAAGGAGCACTGATGACACAGTGGACACAGCCTGCATGCATGTGTACATCAGAGGACCTACATTGCAACTTGCAGATTCTCAGAGATAATGGTAACCTGGACATAATGGTAACCAAGATTTAAGGGCACAGAATGTTTTTTAACCCCCTGGACTCAAACAGTTGTGGGAAGTGGTGAACCAGTTGGGTTTATCAACATTCCCAAATAGGAGTCAAAAATAGGCCCGCTGTCCATAATTGCAAAGCCAACTTAATTGTCTGGCTTCAATAACCTTTGTTCTTTGGTGCATTCTTTTAAGCAACACTGCATCATCATCATTCTTGATGGCAGAAAAACAAACACTCTATGGAACCAACACAGACTCCAACTGCCAAAGTGACTCAAGAAAGTTGCAACCTGTGAACGAGTTTTAAGACTATTAAGACCGTACCTTCCTTTTGATCACAAGAATTATATATAATGAAGCTCTACGTCTACTTAAATCTAAAGGATTTCTTTTGTAAGTGTAAAATACAATTTCTAAGTAATAATAAAGAATTGTGCTGTGGTTTTATTATCAATGTTATTTTTTTCTTTTTTATTGGTAGTACTGAAGATATTGTTTCATCTTACAATTGATGATATCTTAGATTCAATAAAATATGGTTGTGTGCTAATCACAGACCATACTGGGATCAGAGACACCGAAGAACAGAGATAGCCCTTGCTGTAAGGACTCAGAATCTGCTAAAATGATATCAGCCCCCAGGTCCTCTAGGTATGATTTCCTTGGACTATCCCTTCCGTATTGATGCACATTTACTTATCCTTCAAGACCCAGGTTAAATAACATCTCCAAAGAGATATTTTCCCAGATAGTGCATCATCTCTCATTCTCTGCAGAAATAACAACTTCTTCCTTGGCACCTCTATAATGTTTTTATTATAGTCGTGGGCACTGGAGCCAGGCACCTTGGTTTAAATCCTGGCACATCCTTTTGCTACTTCTGTGGCCTTAGGCAAGATAATTAGGTACACCGAGCCTCAGTATCTTCATTTATATTGTGGATCTATATCTCATTCTCATCTCAGATAACTATTTTAAGGATTAAATGCATTAATATGGGTAAGGCACTTAGAAGAGTATCTAGCATAAAGTAAGCAGATTTGACCATTATCACGCCACAGTGTCAGCCTTGATCCCACTGTAATTTGGTTCATTGTGATGTGGGTCTGCATGTAAGCTCCTGGAGGCTGAAATGATGCCTGCTGTCAGCTTCATTTCTTTCTCTGCAGAGAGTACGGCATTTGGCTCAAAGGACAGAGTCGTTCATTAAGCCCATCCACAAACATTTGCTAAACACCTAGTACACATTAGCAATTGTTCTAAGCTCTAATAATAAAGCTCTTAAAAATATATGTGGAATGAATGAGCTAATAATTATTCACTTTACAAATAGTGGTGTGATAGCCAGAAAACACACCAAGCACTTGGGATGCATGAACTCTGCACGTGATCTCTGTCATGTTTTGTGTATTTTGCATAATGTTTATTTGTTTAAACCAATAAATACTTTCCTAAAATTACAACCACCACACCTGATAGCATGGTCTTGTAGACTGCTGTCTGGTTCAACTTAACTCCCCTAAGGGGCTATCTCTGACTCATCAGGGATCATGCCTCTTTGTAATGTTAAAAGTCTCCACATGGAGTCTGCCGGAGTTAGATTCCAAATGTTTCAACTTCAGCTGTTCACTACTCTCCCTCTGCTCTCCGAGTTGTCTCAGCTATGAACCTTGTCTCCAGCCTGTACTCTTTCTCAATACTTCCAAGCTGACATAGGCTCAATTTCTTTTTTGGTTGTGTTTTTGTTTCTCTATCTCAGCCCTTCTTCCTTGCTATAAACCAAATGTTTGTGTTCCTGCAAGTTCATATGTTGAAATCCTAACCCCCAATGAGAGAATATTCGGAGGGAGGGGGGACTTTGGGAGGAGATTAAGTCATGAGGGCAGAGCCTTCAAGAATGAGATTATCAAAGAGACCTCAGAGAGCTTGTTTGCCCAATTTGCCATGTGAGGATACAGTTAGAAGACGGCCATCTATGAACCAGGAAACAGGCCCCCATCAGACACTGAAAGTGCCAGTACTTTGATCTTGAACTTCTCAGGCTGCAGAACTGTGAGCAATAGATTGCTGTCCTTTATAGACCTCCGATTATAGACCTCCCAGTCTATGGTATTCTGTTATAGCAGCCTGAATGGACTAAGACAATCCCAAGCATAACTTTCTAGATAACATTTGCCTTCCCTCATAGGCAACCTCCCCAGTTTCTCCTCACCTGACAGCAGCTGCAGAAAGGTGATGTGTAGCTGCAGGTGCTGCTCACCTATTATTTCCTAGTCTCCAACTTCTGGGCACAGGGTAAGTCTGTTTCAGGAACTCTGTAACAGCTTTGGCCAATGTGTTGTGAACTAAGGAAATATGGCTCACTTCCAGGTAAAGCATTTGTTTGCATGTGAAGACCCTTCAGTTCTCTGTAGCCTTCTGACCTGGTGATAAGAATAGTCATCACGCTGAGTTTTGGAGTGAGAAGTCAAGGAATAGAACCCCGTTGACCTCATGATGGACTTGGGGCATGAGAAAGGAATAATGATCAGATGCTATTAGTGATTAATATCTGGGAGTTTCCTAATACTGCTGCAGAGTGGATACAATTGTCCAGACTGCTAAGGGCCGACAACATTTTCTACATCCTTAAGCTCTATTTCCTTTTGGCTCATTATAACGACACATTAACTGTTCACGTACTGTGGATGAAATCCATGTGACATTTTTGGTAAAACCTCAGCCAAACATTTTCAGGTCTCTCTGTGTGTATCCTATGGAAGATGGCCTGTGTTGCCAAGTTGTATGCTGATGAACCAGTACTGGCATTTATTACAATTGAAAAGTAGCAGAAAGCTGTCTAATAAAACTTCTATTGTTTAGTGAACAGGGCTGGAATTAGGTAATGGTGGCAGGCACATTATAAGCAATTGTGCTTGATGCAGGGTTCACTTAGATTCATTTGTGGCATGGAGTCATTTCCAAATGCCAGTCTCCACTCTGTGTGCAGTACCAGCATCTAATATTTCTAAACATATTTCGGCTCAGTGACACCTTAATGGTATACAATAACACTCGGCGTCCCTCTTAGAAAAATGGATACTCTCATTTCTCTAAACATTGGGCCTTTACCTTTAACCATTTCCATTTAAATGCAAATTTCAATCATGTCCACCTTTCTTGTTCCAACATGAGCATACATGTTGGAAATGATAGCAGCTTGAATCCAAATTTCAAGAGGCTGGGAGCTGCTTCCTACAGGAGTCCTAGACAAGTTTAAATGGTTATTTTTTGTGTGGCTTCATGTTGCTGAGATTAGGCTCTAAGGGAGTATTTTGCCTTTATTGGGAGGAGTGGCTAAGTCAGAAGAAGGAAGGACGGCTTTCAGAGCAGGAGACAGACACAGGGATGGATGTCCCAGAAGTGAGTAACACCTTAATGGACCCTGGCTTATAATCTTAGACATGGACCCCCAAAGACAGAATTCAGGGCCCAGGGCATCCTCAAGGGCTTTGATGTACAATGACTGCACTGAGTTTTCCTTCCTGAGGGCGGTCTTAGTTTCTCAGCATATAACCTCTGTCATTGTCATCAAGTCCTGAGTTAACGAGTTCATGCTCCCTGGCCTGATCCATCCTACCTTATCTATAGACAGGATTTTGGGGTCCAGGTCAGGCTAGACCAGGAGAACAGCCTTGCTAACAGTAGGGGAAGAAGGGGTCTGCACAACCTTGGAAGGCACTGGAAGGGAAGGGGTTTACTGGGCTAAGTCCTTAGGAGGGCAAAGACGGGGAGTGACAGGCCTTCAGGGTACCACCCAGTGAGAGTGCCAGGACTCAGTGATGAGGGCTTGTGGACTTCAGAAGCTTCTAGAAGTTTGTCTTTTCAAAGAAAGAACACTAGTTCAGGATCTAGACTGCATGGGTTCAAATCAGGCAATTTCATTTCCCAGATGTGGGACCATGAACAAGGCTGTTTACTTGGGTCTGAGTTTTTGCAAACACAGAGCCAAAAAAAACAGTAGTTACACTCATGGAGCCGTACCAAGGACAAATATGCTAATGAGGCAGGCACATAGCTTAGAACAGTGTTTGCTCCCCTGCAAGTGTGCAGGGAAATTTGGGTAGGATCCAGTGCAGAGGATGAGGGGGCAAGAGGTCATGGTATTTGCCCTTCTCCTTTGTCACCTGGTGGCCTGAAAGATTTCCTCATGTTCAGCAGTGAAATCCTTCAAGCTGAAAGGCCTTCCCTTGGGATGGAAAACGGATCAAAGAGAAACTGTTGTTACAAAGGCCTGAGTTGTCCTGAGATCAGAGAAAGGCCCTTGAGGAAGCATATCTAACAGGAGAAGGACACAGGCTTACTGTTGAAAGCAAAGAAGAAAAGGGAGGTTGTGGAGCGACCAAGCCCTAGATTGAGGCTTGGTCCTGATGGTTGCTATTTACAAACTGCATGATGTTGTTATCATGAACTGATATAATATTATTTAACATTCTCTTCCCAATTGGGAAGGTGAGACGTGACTCACTAAAAACTCCAGAGTGGCTGTAGTTTGCGTTAATAAAAAAATGAGGTCAAAGCCAAGACAGGTGGATCCCTGAGCAGTGCTGGTTAAACAGCTCTGAGGTTTATCTTTGCTTCAGGGCTATGCCCTTGAACAGGAGTAGAAGCAAAATATGAGAAGACCTCAGAGGAGCCTGTCTACAATCAGAGAGGATGCATCAGGCCATGTCCTGTGAGACGGAAGGGAAGGGAGGATGGAGGGCAAAGCCTCCTAAACAGCCTCTTTCTGGAAGATTCGCCTTATGGTAAGCAGCCAAGAGTGGCAGAACTGAGCACACTGGGAGGATTAAAGGGCTGGGAAGGCAAGATTTTCCCATAATCTGGATTTCGTATCAAGATCAAAGAGGCTGTCTACCAGTGATGAACACCCCTTCAACAGAGAGATGCAAGGTGCTTCCTGATTTACATAGGAGACGATTGAGGTGGATATTGGGTTGCTAATGGGATCAAGATTCTCAGATTGCCTCCCCGAGAGAAGTTTCCTGCTTCTGTATATGTCAGGGACTAAGGAATTGCCATGAAAATGTTATTCCCTTAACAGCCAGCAAAGGGAGCTTCTTATTCTAAAGGCAGTCAGATGTGTTCTTCCCTTCTAAAGAAAGACTTGAATGTTGGAGTCAGAGATGCAGGGAGATGGTGGTAAAAGAAAGAGGAGCTCACTGCTCTGGCACCAAACGGGTTCAGCAATACTTGTCATGTATCCGGGACCTCCCTGGAGGAGGAGAAATGACTTCTACAGCCTCCACTGGAACTGGGCCGAGGCTGTGTGAGGAAGTGAGCATGAAACCTGTGATCTGTCACTCGCACAGCCAGTTCATTTTTTATCAAGACAAGGCATTGTAGAAGCTTTCTGAAGAGTGGATTTGTGGCTGAGTGCAGTGGCTCACATCTGTAATCCCAGCATTTTGTGCGGCAGAGGCAGGTGGATCCTTTGAGCACAGGAGTCTGAGACCAGCCTGGGCAACATGGAGAAACCCAGTCTCTTAGAAAAAAATACAAAAAAATAGCTAGGTGTGGTGGCACGTGCCTGTAGTCCCAGCTACTGAGGAGGCGGAGGTGTGAGGATGGCTTGAGCCTGGGAGGCAGAGGTTTGCAATGAGCCTAGATCACACCACTTCACTCCAACCTGGGCAATAGAACCAGACTCTATCTAAAAGAAAAAGTCTTGGGCCAGGTGCGGTGGCTCACGCCTGTAATCCCTGCACTTTGGGAGGCCGAGGCGGGCAGATCAGGAGGTCAGGAGATCGAGACCATCCTGGCTAACACAGTGAAACACTGTCTCTACTAAATATACAAAAAATTAGCTGGGCGTGGTGGCCGTCGCCTGTAGTCCCAGCTACTTGGGAGGCTGAGGCAGGAAAATGGCATGAACCTGGAAGGTGGAGCTTGCAGTGAGCCGAGATCGTGCCACTGCACTCCAGCCTGGGTGATAGAGCGAGACTCCGTCTCAAAAAAAAAAAAAGGAAAGAAAAGAAAAGAAAAAAAAAGACTTGCTTGGAAAACTTGCCTCAGATATGGGAAGATGGAGTGAGTTGTAGGGAGGCTAAACAGGTGGGAAGAGGTGAAAGGTCAGGCAGGATACAGACTGACATGTGACTTGCAGTTGGGGGTAGTTTGACCATCTTACAAAATCAGCCTTCTATTTCAGTTTCTTTGCTCAGTCATTTATTAGCTTAGAATGGGAGAAATTAGCCTATGGGCATATTGATTTCTTTGTCTGTAAAATGGGGATATCAACACTTGGCCCAGTTGATAATCCTGAGAATTAAAGGAGAAAAGGGATAGGAAAAAGTCTAACAGAACCTGGAACCTGATGAGTCTTCACCGAGTGCTATTTTCTGGAACTACATTTAGCCTGGGCTCCCTAAGATCTGTGGCATGCACTTTTCTCTGCATTTCCTTCATCAGATGATTCCCATGAGAACTAAAGCTCAGAGAGGGTAAGTGATTTGTTCAAAGGCACACAGTTGAAAAGAAGCTGCTTTAAGTGAAAGCTGCTGGCCTGGAGGCCTGTCCACCTGAAATTTGTATTCTCTGCTCCACTGGCCCCAAGCTCTCTTTAAAGAGCTCTCCTGATAAAGAGATCAAGACTCAAAGGCAGCAGCCCATTTTGTACTTGGAAGGATGGCCTAGGACTCTTCCTGAAGCTCCTAGCCATTTACCTTGGGACAGGGGTGAGAATGAGTGAAGCTGCTGATTTACTGTTGGGCACAGGTGCTGATGTCAATGAGAAACACCATGCAATGCTGAGATTCAGGAATCCTGGATTCCAGATAAATTAATCTATTGCAGCATTTTCCAAAATTTGTTCTATTAAACTTGTTCTTTAAATGAAAAGTAACTTGCATTTAAGTGGGCAATACCACTGACTTGCTCCTCTCCGATATTCTCATACCCGTTTGCAAAATAGAGGCTCTGAGAAGTTCTCAAAGAACCTGGGTTTCATCTGAGCTTTTCCAAAGATCTTGGAATATGGAACCGCGTTTGTCACTTGACACCTTCTAACAAGTCACAGAACCTACTGTGGCAAATGCTACTTTATTTAAACACTCATTTCACGGTATTTCGGCCTCTGTTGAATCTGCTTGATGCCAGGCACTGAGTTGGGCTCCAAAGATATTCACATACATTCTGTTTCAGAAGAGTTTCAGGTCTAATGGAAGAGACCAACATATAAGCAATTTTTAAAAATGCAGTGTGATAATGTTTTGAAGTCATCCAGCAGAGGACATTTGACTCATATGGGGCAGGGTTTCATAGAGGAGGCTATGGGTAAGCTGAGTCCTAAAAGATGAGTGGGAGATAGCCAGGTGATGGAAGGGACTTGGGAAGAACCTTCTTGAGTTGATTTCTGTGTATTACTGTTGGTAAAGTGCTTGAGATCATTTGATCTATAAGTTTCCTTAGTTCTGACATGTGGGGCAAAGGTACGTTTTCCTGGAATCTTCATGAAGCATTTATGCTTTTGGTCTGAATTTGATCTATGATTCTAAAATAAACTGAGGGCTTTTCTCTCTTTAGTACATCTGCAAGAGTGTCCGTGAGTGCCCGGGCCACAGAAGGGAAGCTGCTTTGGTGTGGTTGATATTCCACTAAGGGGTGGGGAAACATTCCTCACCATCCCCTGCTGGCCTCCCACCCACCACCACATCTGGAATGGCCCATCGGGCTTACCTTAGAAGGACACGAGCCACATCTTGTAGCAGAAAATGCCGTCGACTAAAGCCTAAAGTCTTTGTTTAATGTCTTGACTCTACTCCTTGAAATCTTGGACAATTAATAAATACTTGGAAAATGGGCTTCATGATCACTGTTTTACAAAGTCTCTGGATGAAATCCTGTGGCACCCAGCCAGATGAGCACAGGTACTCAAGTTATCTCAAGTGTTTTAGATCTCTGTCCACTTCCCACTCCGACTTCTGCCTCCTGGAAATTTAGTGGTCTTCGGAATAAAATGGGGATGCATTGATCTATCTTCAAGAATGCAGTGAAGGTCAGATGACATGCTGTATGTGAGAGCACTTTATAAAAAAAAGGGGATAATTTGAGATGTGATTCCATCTTTCCCATGACCCAGGAAGAATTTGAGGGCCTTACCAACAAGATTTGATATATGGTTCTAAGCCCTGGGAAGACCTAGAAGATGTTTGGCTTGGCGAAGTGTGCAAAAGGGACTTGCACCTACTAAGTCAGAAACATGTAACAAGGTCACTGCCTAAATGTTCCTAAGGACAAAGCCCACCGTCTAAACCTCAGCCCTCTTCAAACCCAGTGCCTATGTGTGGGGTAAATAAAGAAGGAACCTGAGCCCAGATGAAACGTGCAGCTGAACCAGGTACTTGGAACCACATAATTATGACCTGGAATGGAAGTGGATGTAGACGTTATACTTAGAGGCTGTTATGTACAAGTGTCTTTGTCAGCAGTCCCTGCATAGGGATTGAAGATTGATTGAGGAGGGTTTTGGGTTTTGCTACTTAGCATGCTATTGAAGTGAGAGGAACATACATGTGAAAGACAGCAGCAGCTGGAGGTAAAAGAGTGTCACTTAAGGCCAAAAATCAGACCAATGACCACAGAAGAGCAAAATGGAACAAAATAGAAGAATATTTACCTGGCTGTGGTTTCTTCATGAGGTTACAAAGTTTTTAAGAGCAAGAAACGGGTCTGAGTCAGAAAGCCTGGGACAGAGGACGAGAGTTACAGGATTGGTATGAGCTCATTCAAGGAATGATTGGATTGACAGATAGATGAATGGATGAATTTGTGTATGTGCTCATAAACAGGCTTCCTCCCTCTCATTGTCATCATCATCACAGTCCTACCAGCTCTTCCCTCTCCCCGAGCTGCTCCTTTCTGAGGTCTGCAATTGGATGGCCCCCTCTCATCATTTGGCTTCAGCTCAGATGTTTAGTTGCCCTCAGGAAGCTGCCTCCTACATCTGTGACCTCATCACTTGCCATTGTCTACCACCACACCTTGGCTCATGTTCCACAGCACTCACCTCTCTTAAGGAATTCACGTAAGTGGTATGTGCTTGATATTTACTGTCTGTTTCCCCATCCCTCAATGGTATATCAACCACACCAAAGCAACAAGTATGGTGATCCTGTTGACTTCTGTTTGTCCAGAAATGAGGACAGTGCCTAACACATGGCAGGTACTCAAGAACTATTGATAGGATTTATAAACTACTGATAGAATTTAGAATCACAGGTCAAGTTCAGACCCAAAGCAACTTTATCAACCTCACATAGTTACTACTTGCAGAGAAGAGAGATCATCCTGGCCTTGGTTCTTTATAAACTTTATTGCAAATTCTTGTGTTGCTTCTGTAAGATAGATGACATTAGCTGCAGCTTATGGATTAGCAACCTCAAAACATACACACACGCACACACACACACACGCACACATATTTGTTTTTCTGCTAGGCAAAACTCCTGGGGATCTCAGAAAGTCCCCAGAAATGTCACAGCCAAGGTCCTAACTTTCTGGGCTATAGGCCCAGCTGGTCAAGAATCCAGGGCACAGGGGACAAGCAGGACCAATGTTTAAGAACATCCCCCTTCCAGGGCCACCGCCAGCTTCCCAGGGCCAGGACTGTGCACTGCACGATATGGCTCACTCCCAGAGGACAGTGTCCTAACCAGAGTCAGATGTTTCAGCTACAGGAGAGAGGCCAGTCTCTATATGTTTGGGAAAACTTGAAAGAATTCTGGAAGAGCCATAAATCTTGAACTGGAGCCTTTTATCAACCTCTAATTTATCATGGTCTCTGAATTACTTTGACTGGAAAAGTCGTAATCCATATGTATTGGAAATTTGGTTGACACAGGCCTGCTTTTCATGACAAGAGCGGTTCTTGACACATGTGATTTAAGTTAAAGAGATTCCACGTGGTGGCGACTTGTCTCTACATCCCTCACCCCTGTGCTGGTCATGCTCATTCATTCAGCAGACATTCTCAGACCATCTCCACATTGCCATGTCTTACATTTGTTTATAGAGAGGCAGGGAGAGAAGACAGTTCTACTCCCAAGACACTTGACATGGAATGAAAAAAATAGAGAAGCAGACAATTACATTTTAGTTTGATAAATGCCAGAGAAGCCAAGCGTGGCGTCTTGTGAGGCCACCAAGTAAGGGCATATGACTAAACCTAGGGCCTCAGAGAAGGCTGCCTGGAAAAGGCAATGCCTCCTCTGAGACTTAAAAGCCTTCAGAAAGCAAGGACTGTATAAAGGCCTGAAGATGATAACATGAAATGGTGGGGAACTAAAATTAGCTAGGTGTGGCTTAAACTAGAGCAGATGACATTGTAGGCATGTTGCTAGGGCCTGGCATATAGAAGGATCTCTTCTCTGAGCTCCAGACACATCCCATGGGCATGCCTCGCATCTGCATTTGGTTGGCTGATGGACCATCTCCAACCTAACGTGGCCAAAACAAAACTCTTGATTCCCTCCCGTGACCATACTTCTTCTCCCAAGCCTGTCTCATGTCAGTTCTTCCCCATCTTGGCCCATGGCTCCACCGTGTGCCTGTTTGATCAGGCCCCAAATCTGGAAGTTAAACTTGTCTCTTCTCTTCCCGTAAACTCCCTCATCTGGTCCATCAGTGAGTCCTGCTGGTTTTACCTTCAAAGCACACCCCAATCTGTTTATGTGTCACCACCCTACTCTACCACCCTATCCCAGGCTTCTATCTGCTCTTATCGACTTCCTGTAGGTATTTCCTTTATAGGACTCTGGATTCCTTAGCAGCAGGAATGGTGACACAGTCATCATAGTGTCCCCAGCACTGATCACAACTGCTTGGATACATGACTGCTTGTGCACCTTTGAGACTATTTGAAAGTCATAAAAAATTTCAATTTACCTTCAGTCCTTTCTCATACGTGTTTGGTAAAGGCAGGGTAAAAAGCATAAATGGCAAATCCTCCCAATTTGGGAATATCCCTGTGTACCAGCTCCTAAACCCTGTGCTAAGGACAAGAGTGTTCAGGGACACAAGAAGTGACCTTACGGAGCTTAGAGCCTAGTGGGCAAGGCAGAGGAACAGCCAGTCATAACAGAATGGGAAAGGACTCTAATGAAGGTCATGGTGGGTGCTGGCAGGCTTGGCTCAGGGGTACCTACTGTGGCTTTGATGAGGTGAATCAGCTGCAATAGAGAAGGTTCTTGGGGCAGGAGATGCGGTGGCAGTGTGAGTTTGGGGGAAGACTCTGCATTGATCATTTTACATCTCTTTAGTGAGGATGACCACACAGCCATTTGCTTTTTGTGTCAGTGCGATCATTAGTAACCTGTCCTCCTCCTCACTTTTATTATCTAAACTGTCCCTGTATGAACAATACATTTAATGGCCACCCTATTTGTAGGAGAATATTGTCACTGCCAAGGCACCCACCAGTATGACAGAAGGAGCTTTTTCCTAATGCACTGTGGACTAAAGTAGAACCTTTCAGTTAGAAAAAACTCCCGAAGTCATCCTAAGGCCACTTCCACTGTCCTGTGCACCAGCACTCACTGAACTGGGGAGTACGCATGCACACTGACACCCTAGTGTGTGTGAAGCATCCACAAAACACTTCCAGGTGCAACAGCCCACGGAAAGGAGAGCTCTTTACCTTGCAGATGAAGAAACAGGACTTAAGTCATTTTTTCACAAGGCCACATACTCAGTCCATGCTAGAACCAGCATTATCTGGATTCCAGAGTTTATTCACTTTTCTTACACTCTGTCGATGCTTACTTTGGCCCTTTCTGAGACAGCTAGAAACCAGGACCAAGTGGGTTCGTTCATATGATGCTGGTTTATTTCTTTAGTCTTTCTTACTATTTTTGCTTTGGTTGTTGTTAACACTCTTCCTCCTCCGTAAGTGCCACTAAAGGCAATTTGAAGCCTATGGACATCAGCCTGATTCTGGTTACTAACTACACCCTGACTCATGGTAAAACCTACACCTACCTTTCCAGTTTTGAGAAAAGTAGTTTATTTCGGGCCTATTTGCTTATTTCAGTTCAGGAGATGTGATGGTTAATACGGAGTGGCAACTTAATTGGATTGAAGGATGCAAACTATTCTTCTTAGGTGTGTCTGTGAGGGTGTTACCAAAAGAGATTAACATTTGAGTCAGTGGACTGGGAAAGGCAGACCCACTCACCATCTGGGTGGGCACCATCTAATCAGCTGCCAGCGTGGCTAGGATGAAGCATGCAGAAGAAAGTAGAGTGAGCAGACTCGTTGAGTTTTCTGGCCTTCATGTTTCTCCCATGCTGGATGCTTCCTGCCCTCGAACATTGGACTCCAAGTTCTTCAGCTTTTGGACTCTTGGACTGACACCAGTGATTTACCACGGGCTCTCAGGCCTTTGGACACAGACTGAAGGCTGCACTGTCAGCTTCCTTACTTTTGAGGTTTTGGAACTTGGGCTGGCTTCCTTCCTCCTCAGCTTGCAGATAGTCTATTGTAGAATTTCACCTTGTGATCGTGTGAGTCAATACTCCCTAATAAACTCTCTTTCATATATATTATACATCTATCTTATTAGGTCTTTCCCTCTAGAGAACCCTGACTAATACAGGAGAGAGAAAATTTAGGTTTCTTTCTGCATTGCTGACTCCCCATTCAAGCCAGCAAGAAAGCTAGTCCTAAAGGAATTTGTATAAGGTATGTAAGTTCCCTTTAGTTGCTGACCTTAAAGCTGTCTCTTCGTCCTGCTTCTAAGGTTTCAGAATCTGTTAAACACCACTGTGTCATGCATCCACCAGTACAAAACATGCACCTGCTAAGCCGATGTGTAGCAAGCACCCCACACTTTATTGCATGTCCACTAAGCATCAGGTACTTAGCCAATAACATTGCCTGGCAGGCCATGAGATTCCATTTTATGTATGAGGACAATGAGGCTTATACATTGAGGACATTTAGAGGATGCAGTGACTTGTTTTAGAAGGTCATAGTAAGGTCATAATTGGGTGTGGAACTTAGACATACACCACGAGTTGCCTAATTCCAATCCTGTGTCCTTTGTTTCACATCAGGCTATTTCCATCTCTCCATGAAAGAAAAGAACTCTGCAAAATGAATCAGAAAAAAACCTTGGTTTCAAAGTATTTGAACCCAAGGGACAGACAGACAGATTTGAACCCAAAAGGGACAGATAGAATGGCCTTCCTGGCAGAGGTGGCAAAACAGACCAAGGTATAGGGGTAGAGCTCTCTTGGTCTATTTTGGAGGTGAGCACATTACCTGTTTAGCTAGAGTGTTGCATGTATGCACGGTGTTAGGATGTCTCTGCATGTGTGTAGGTATGCTTGTCCAAGTACATGTGTGTACATGTTTGTATGGCATGAGTAAGTTTTAGAAAATTAAGTTGCAACCTAGTCCTGGAAAAATTATGCACCAGTTAAGCAGCACGTGTTTTTCTGTATTTTTAATAAAGAGCAATGATGATTTTTTTACCTGGAAATGTGATTAGGATGTGAAACTACCAGTAAGGTGACTGCTTTCTCAATTGAATCCACAATCCAGCCTTAAGTTTGGAACTTATTTAATTTGTTCTTGTATAAGCAATTCTAAGCAGTCAATAGCATTCATGTATTCATTCAACAAGCATTTAGTGAATACCTACTTGATGCGGGATACTGTTACATTTCAGTGTTAACAGTTGCAATCTGATAGGGAAGATATATATGTGAATAGAGCATTGCAAAGCAGTGTTTTGGAGTTGATAGAGACAAACATGGGCTATTATGGGCACCTAAAGAGCTTCCCAGCAAAACTGGAGGTTCATTGAAAACTTCTTTGAAGACTTGTTGCATAGGCTGAATCTCGCAGGATGACTAGGATTTAGCCCAGGAATGCAGGGAATATGCCAGAGAGAGGAAACTGAAGAGAGAAGGCACTGGGGAGAAGCAGAGGTTGGGGTGATGGCAGAAGTATTTACTAGTCACTGAAAAGTCAGATGCTTCCCTTTGTAGGTAGGCAGGGCCATGGGACTATTTCTAGCCAATAGGTTGCAAGTAGAAGTGTTGTGTTTCACTTCCAGGCTCCAGCATTTACAAGCTGATGTGAAAATCTCAACCCTCTACCCCCTGCTACTCCACTCATGGAGGCCACATATGGAGATCACAGCAGCCTGGATCACTGAGTCACTGCATGGAGGACATTTTCCTTGGAGAGTCTCCCAATGTGCATAAGAGTTGGGTTAAGCCATTGAGATGCTGAGGTTTACGTTATGACTGGAGCCTAGTATAGTCTATTCTAACTAGTGCAGCAGGTATTGGGATTCTAATGAGTTTGACATTGCCAAAGATAAAAAGTAAGGCAGAGGAAGAAGTACCTGAAAGCGCCTTACCTAAATTCCAGCTTCTTGAACTCATTACTTCCCAACTGATGCTAAAATTCCCTCTTCATCCTCCCCATAGAGAAGAAATGATGTTTGAAGCATCTGATGAAGCAATTTCAGCAAAACTGAAAAAGTGCACCACTTATTTCCAGTTTCTTTTTCTCCCGCATCTTAGCCTACAAATCTTAGTCAGACCCATAGTTGGGCCTGAGCCTTAGCCAGACAAACTTTCCTTCCACGGCACAGGGAATTTTCTTTGTTCACTGCGGAATCATAGGAGCCTAAAACTATGTATCGCATGAACAAGGTACTCAATAAATATTTATTGATTAAGCATCCCAAGGAAAAGATGAACATAGGTGTCCCTGGAGAGAGAGGAGGGTCGCACTGCAAGGTCTGAAGACTCATGTTGATGTCCCAGATGCCTGACTTCAAGTCAGCGCCCCCGTCTCTCTGAGCCTCAGTGTTCATGTCCAGCAAATGAGAATAACATGCCTACCTCCCAAGTTTAAAACTTGACTATCTTATGAAGATGAAAGCTTTCCCAACCCTGCCAATACCTTAATCTTGGACTTCTAGCCTCCAGAAATGTGAGAAAATAAATTTCTGTTGTTTAAGTTGCCCAGTGTATAGTATTTTGTTATGGAAGCCCTAACAAACTAATCTACCCATCAACATAAACTAACACAAACTGTGCAGTCATTCAGCCATTCAACAAATATATACTGACCACCTTCCAAATATACTTATGACCTTGGTAGGCTAGGCTCTGGGCAGAAAAGATAAATTATGTAAGATTTCTTTTTCCTAAAGGAAAATTATTGTCCATGTTTGTGCATGGTCCTGTCCTGATAAAACTGATGTAAGATGATATGAGATGATATATTATGACAATTGCATTCACTCATTCAATAAGTGTGTATCCATGCTTCTTAAAGGATAGGCATTAGAGATATGAGAGAGTGATGCAGTGACTCTGATCCCCAGGCTGCTGACAGTCCCAAAGAGGTAATAATTAGAGCCAGGGCCCTGGACTCAGACTTTGTAGGTTCAAATCCCAGCTCTGCCACGTGTTACCTCTGTGCATATGGAGAGAGTCTTTGGACTATTTCTGTCATGTTGTAGAACTGTTCCTATAGGAAGCTCAAGCTGGCGGGTGTTGTGTTCTTATTTGCAGAGTAATGATGGGCTGTAATTTAGCACACAAAGGCAGCGCCAGAGGCAATGTTTTTAGAATTAATTTTGAATGTTCATACAAAAGACATTTGCAGACACGAGGCCATTCTAGTTAAAGGATGAGGAAAATGGTCCTGTGAGAAGGATCAGTCCTCAGAAGGCCAGTGGCCCACCTATCCAACCTCTTTGTGTTTCAGTTTTCTAGACTGAAAAATTGAAATTACAGTATTTTCCTTGTTCTGAAATATGTTATCATCAGAATTTGGGCATAAACTATCATTATTCTTGCACTTTACACATGAGAAAACTGAGGCAACAGTATGAGTGAATAGGCCCAGGTCACTTAGCTGCTAAATGTCAGAGCACCTGTGCTGTGTGCTTTTTTTTTTTTCTTTTTTTGAGACAAGTTCTCATTGCCACCCAGGCAGGAGTGTAGTGGTGCAAACATGGCTCACTACAGCCTTTACTTCCAGGGTTCAAGTGATCCTCTTGCCTCAGCCTCTCCAGTAGCTGGGACAACAGGTATGTTGTCACCATGCTCAGCTAATTTTTCTTTTTTTTTTAGTTCTATGTCTTATAGAGATGGAGTCTTGCTATGAGTTGTCCAGGCTTGTCTCATGGGCTCAAGTGATCCTCCAACCTTGGCCTTTCAAAGTGCTGGGGTTACAGGAGTAAGCCACAGTGCCTGGCCTGTGCTGTGTTTTGATTCCAGAATCAAATCCACACTCTTGACTGCTAATCGGCTGGGAGAAATGACCTGCAGTTCCTTAAGTGGTAATAGGAAGGAACTGGACATGCAGGATCTTGGTGGAGGTCAGGGAGAAGGATGGGGATTGCCCTCAGTGATGGGAGAGTGTTTATTAATGCACAGGGGATGAGCTCTGAGGACCCTCTAGAACACTGATTCTGTCAGCCCTCCCATTTCTGCAGACACGTGGCCCCACCCTCCTCCACTTCTCTTGCCAAGCAGGATGTGCAGTCGATGCACAGGGATTGGCTCTGCGCATGTGCTGTGTGCTGCAGGGAGAGGAGAGAGAAGTCTCTAGAATCTGTCAGCATCCCTCCAGGAAAGCCTGGTGTCACACTCACCATTCCTGATTTCTTTTGTTAGTCTCAGAATAGTGACTTAGAACAATTATATTCATTTCACAATTAACATTCTTTTTTGGACACTAGCTGAGAAGTAATGGAACCTGGACTCTCCACTTTTGAGGCAGGGCTGACAGCTGAGCGTGGACGTGGATGGTGGGGAAAACACAGCTATGACAGCCTTCCCCACAGTTTAAGGTAACACCTTCCCACCTTCCATTCAGTTTTGCTTGTGTGCTTGTTTGCTTTTGGTTAGAGAACAAAACATTGAAACATTGGCGAACGTATTTTTTTTTATATTCTCATTAAAATAACCCCTGACTCCCGGCTCATTAAAGTCGTCATGTTAGCAAAGATTCCCTCAGGACCTGAAATGTTGATTCCGACTTCGTTGCATATGGAGGTAAATTAGTGTGATCTGTATAACTTATTGAGGAATTTGCAACTTTAGATTCAAACGTGTCCCATCTGTTCGGCCTGGCCTGTTCTTCTGCCCCAGGGCTTGAGACAACACCCTCTTTCATCCTCTCTGTCGGCTATGGGATTTGATGCTGTGTCTTGTCCTTGATGTTCCTTTAGAAACTGAAGATGTCCTGGCCAGGAGCGGTGGCTCACGCCTGTAATCCCAGCACTTTGGGAGGCCAAGGCGGGCAGATCAAGAGGTCAGGAGATTGAGACCATCCTGGCTAACACAGTGAAACGGCGTCTTTACTAAAAATACAAAAATAATGAGCCAGGCGTGGTGGCGGGCGCCTGTAGTCTCAGCTACTCGGGAGGCTGAGGCAGGAGAATGGCATGAACCCAGGAGGAGGAGCTTGCAGTGAGCGGAGATCAGGCCACTGCACTCCAGCCTGGGTGACAGAGCGAGACTTCCTCTAAAAAAAAAGAAACTTAAGGTGTCCTTAAGACTCCACTCAAACTTGGCCCTCTTCTGTACTGAATTGAATAGTGTTTCCTCAAATGTTTATGTCCAACCAGAACTGCAGAATGTGAGTTGATTTGGAAATAGAATCTTTGAGGTGTAAACAAATGAAGATAAGACTTATTGGATTAGCATAGGTAGGCTCTAATCCACTGGCTGGTGTTCTCATAAGGAGAGGGACATTTGGACACAGAGACATGCTCGTTCAGAGGGCAGGCGATATAAAGACAGATGCAGGGAATGCTGTGTGAAGATGGGAGATGAGTCCACAAGGTGGAAATGCTACAGACAGCCAGAAAACCAGCAGCTACTAGCAGAGAGGGGTGGGGCAGATCCCTCAGCCTCCAATAGTACCAATCCTGTGGACACCTTGATTTCAGACTTCTCTCCCCAGCTGCCAGACAATGAATTCTGATTGTTTTCAGGCACCCAGTTTGTAGCTGTTGGTTACAGCAATCCTAGGAAATGAATGCGCCTTCTTACCAACTAACAGTGATGGCCTTTGGTCTCTGAGTGGCATTCTTACTACTTTCCAGGTTCACCTCTTCCTAGGAGGTCAGCACTGCTCAATGACTTGCTTCTAAACTCCTGAAGACACTGAGGCAACATTCCCTCCCTCTTAGCCAAAGCCTGGACAACTCATCTCACTCTGCCTTTCTTTGTGTGTCTCTCTCTGAATATGTTTACCCTGCCTCCCGTTACTTGAAACCCATTTCAGCCAACATCCAAAAGCCCTTATGATGTGTCAAGCACAGGACCAGGTGCGGTGGAAGTAAATCTGGTGTCTGGAAATGTTTATCATAATGCAGGCCCCTTCTGACACCACAGAGGAAACACGACGACCCTTCCTTTCCATACCTGACACGGCAGTCTAAAATCAAAGGTCTAATGATCATGCATTAGACATTGATGTGGTTTCTCCATTCTGTTTTAATCATGAGTGTATTTGCAAGATGCCATAAAGAACCTCTAAGATGGTGATGATGGTCAGAGGTGGAATAGGGAAATACAGCACTCTGTTATCTTGTAGTCTTGAGGTAACTCCCTTTTCCTAAGGTCTGTTAGCAGTCAGGGCTTCTAGATCAGATGTAATGATGGGGCAGGTTCCAAATAGTGTACATTCCCCCCAATTGAGATATAGGAGGGGTCTTTCTTTTAGGACTTTAGGGCACACAAAGAGAGCGCTTGTGCCCTTCAGGGTTTGAGAGGGTATCCTTCTCAAACAGCTGTCAGAAGAGGAGCTGGGAAGGCTGTGAGAGAGGCAGGACAGAGAGGGGCTGAGGAAAAATAGCCACCAGAAGCAGGCTGGTGTTTGGAGGCAGAGCCAGCTGGAGATCAGGAAGAGTCTTCTACCAGGTGGGCAGCTGTGTGTCTGGAAGTGGTGACAGGTGGCACAGGCCAGTGACAAGAAGATAGCCATGACTAGGGGTTGGGTCTTGAGTAGGACTTGGTTGGCAGGAAGACCCTGAGGATGGGACACCTGTGGGTAGTCCATGAAGAGGACCCAGGCAAATGGACGGGCATTCAGGAGGGGAGAGCTGCTTCTGGGTGGGTGGCCTCCAGTTAGATGATAGAATGTGGGGCAGGAAGGAGATGGGCAATAAGTAAAAAGACTCTCAGGTGACATGGCTCTCCCTCTGGCAGCCCCAGGCCCTGCCTAGATGCCAAGACCCAAGAGACCACCCCCTGCTTACAATGGGAACCCGCTACAGTAAAAGAAGTTCAAGGGCTACCATACAGGGCTTGAGCGAAGTTATAAGATTGCAGTGTAGGATTTGGGAAAAGGGCGACAACTTGGGAAGATGCAAAAGGAAGCCTTCAGAAGCACATGAGGCAGCCACCATCAAGGTTAGCCTTGGGCTTGATCTCCAGAGACTCTGCCCAGAATTTCAAATCATTCTAGATCAGCAGCAGGATCTAATGGGGGCAAATGAAAGTCAAATGGGCAGAGTTTAGGGCACAGCAGAGCAGAGGCACTCACCCAGTTAGGCCAGTCCAGCTTCTGAGATATCTTATTAAGAGTCCATCTCTGAGGGAAAGCAGGAAGAAGAAGAAGAACGAGAAGGTGGCTGCCCCACCACTGTCTCAGTGGCTTCTGAAAGACATTGTAAAGAGTCATGATTGACCCATTGTAAAAGGCAACCATATGGTGCATTAAACCATACGGTGTAATAAAACAAACAAACAAACAAACAAACAAAAAACCCAGACATAAATAACAGAGAAAATAAGTTGCATTAACTCCTTTGCATTTTGAAAGTGATAGGACTATTAAATGTATACATTTCTATAAGCCTCTGAGAGTTAAAGATCAGCCCCAAAGGGGAGGCCATGGCAGGATATTAAAAGTTTAATGAGGCGCAGTTTCAGAGGTGTTAACATTTGACAACCAGAAACAGCAGTAGCCCCAAACTTATAATCTGAAACAGACAATAAATGATGGACAAAGGTTGCTTGCTTAGAGCAAGGCTCTGACTGCAGGGATGTCCGAGAAAAGGAGAAATTAGATCTGGATGCTAGGCTGGGATATGAGCTAATAAAATGCTTGGCTTAGGCTTCTTAGCCTTAAAATGTAGTTTTGTGGCCAGATGGAAATAATAAATAGAAACAATGAGCTCAGTGCTGGGCCATGGTGGGTACTGATGGTAGCTGCATAGACTGGGCATCAGAGTGAGTGTTATCACATTTTTGCTAGCATTAAGTAGTTTCTGAAACCAGGAAGGCTCAGAGGGGCTGTGTTCTGTACTGTGCAAAGTGATTCTTGCTATCGCATTCATTAAACTTTCTGTAATAATTTGATTTCACCAAACTCAACCGTGGAACAGCTCACAGTAAAATAAGCCTGACTCAGATCGTTCTAATGAAATCACCCCTACATTAAAGAGATTTCAGTATCATTTCTGGAATGCATCCAGGGGGCTGATTTCTAAGGAAGAAGGAAAAAGGGTTTTGATGTGTCAGAAATTCAAATGAAGGAGTGGATGGCAAGATGTCCAAAAAGGAACAGCTTTGGTCTGTAGCTGTCAGCAAGATCAATGCAGAAGGCAGGTGATTTCTGCATTTCCAACTGAGGTATCCAGCTCATTGGGACTGGTCAGACAGTGGGTGCAGCCCACAGAGGGTGAGCCAAAGGTGGGTGGGGTGTCACCTCACCAGGGAAGCACAAGGGGTAGAGGAACTCCCTCCCCTAGCCAAGGGACACCATGAGGGACTGTGCCATGAGGAACAGTGCACTCCAGCCCAGATACTATGCTTTTCCCATGGTCTTCGCAACCCGCAGACCAGGAGATTTCCTCAGGTGCCTACATCACCAGGGCCTGGGTTTCAAGCACAAAACTGGGCGGCCATTTAAGCAGACACCGAGCTAGCTGCAGGAGTTTATTTTTTCATAATCTAGTGGTCCCTGGAACGTCAGTGAGACAGAACCATTCAATCCCTTGGAAAGGGGTCTGAAGCCATGGGACCAAGCAGTCTTGCTCCATGGATCTCACCCCCACAGAGCCCAGCAAGCTATGATACACTGGCTTGAAATTCTCTCTGCCAGCACAGCTGTCTGAAGTCGACCTGGGATGTTCGAGCTTGGTGGGGTCGAGGGGTGGAGGGGGATCCACCATTACTGAGGCTTGAGTAGGCGTTTTCCCCTCACAGTGTAAAAAAAGCCACAGGGAAGTTTGAAATGGGCAGAGCCCACTGTATCTCTGCAAAGCTGCTGAGGCCAGACTTCCTCTCTAGATTCCTCCTCTCTGGGCAGAGCATCTCTGAAAGAAAGGCAGCAGCCCCAGTCAGGAGCTTATAGATAAAACCCCCATCTCCCTGGGGCAGAGCACCTTGGGGAAGGGGCGGCTGTGGGCACAGGTTCAGCAGACTTAAACATTCCTGCCTGCCGGCTCTGAAGACAGCAGAGGATCTCACAGCACAGTGCTCGAGCTCTGCTAAGGGACAGACTGCCTCCTCAAGTGGGTCCCTGACCCCCATGCCTCCTGACTGGGAGACACCTCCCAGCAGGGGTCAACAGACACCTCATACAGGAGAGCTCTGGCTGGCAACTTGTGAAGGCCCCTCTAGGACGAAGCTTCCAGAGAAAGGAACAGGCAGCAATCTTAGCTGTTCTGCAGCCTCCGCTGATGATACCCAGGCAAACAGGTTTCTAGCAAACTCCAGCAGATGTGCAGCAGAGGGGCCTGACTGTTAGAAGGAAAACTAACAAACATAAAGGAATAGCATCAACATCAACAAAAAGGACATCCACTCAAGATGAGAAAAAAAAACAGTGCCAAAAGGCTGAAAATTCCAAAATCCAGAATGCCTCTTCTTCTCCAATGGATCACAACTCCTTGCCAGCAAGGGAACAAAAATGGACAGAGAATGAGTTTGATGAATTGACAGAAGTAGGCTTCAGAAGGTGGGTAATAGCAAACTCCTCTAAGCTAAAGGAGCGTGTTCTAACCCAATGCAAGGAAGCTAAGAACCTTGAAAAAAGGTTAGACGAATTGATAACTAGAATAACCAGTTTAGAGAACATAAATGACCTGATGGAGCTGAAAAACACAGCATGAGAACTTTGTGAAGCATACACAGGTATCAATAGCCAAATGAATCAAGTGGAAGAAAGGACATCAGAGACTGAAGATCAACTTAATGAAATAAAGCATGAAGACAAGATTACAGAAAGAAGAATGAAAAGGAATGAACAAAGCCTCCAAGAAATATGGGACTGTGTGATAAGACCAAATCTACCTACGATTGGTGTACCTGAAAGTGACGGAGAGAACGGAACCAAGTTGGAAAACACTCTTCAGGATATTATCCAGAACTTTCCCAGCCTAGCAAGACAGGCCAACATTCAAATTCAGGAAATACAGAGAACACCACAAAGACACTCCTCAAGAAGAGCAACCCCAATACACATAATCATCAGATTCACCAAGGTTGAAATGAAGGAAAAAATGTTAAGGGCAGCCAGAAAGAAAGGTCTGGTTACCCACAAAGGGAAGCCCATCAGACTAACAGCAGATCTCTCTGCAGAAACCCTATAAGCCAGAAGAGAGTGGGGGCCAATATTCAACATTCTTAAAGAAAAGAATTTTCAACCCAGAATTTCAGATCCAGTCAAACTAAGCTTCATAAGTGAAGGAGAAATAAAATCATTTACAGACAAGCAAAATGCTGAGAGATTTTGTCACCACCAGGCCTGTCTTACAAGCTCTTGAAGGAAGCACTAAATATAGAAAGTAAAAACTGGTACCAGCCACTGCAAAAATATACCAAATTCTAAAGACTATCAATACTATGAAGAAACTACATCAACGAACAGGCAAAATAACCAGCTAGCATCATAATGACAGGATCAGATTCATATATAACAATATTAACCTTAAATCTAAATGGGCTAATTTCCCCAATTAAAAGACACAGACTGGCAAATTGGATAAAGAATCAAGACCCATTGGTGTGCTGTATTCAGGAGACCCATCTCACATGCAAAGACACACATAGACTCAAAATAAAGAGACAGAGGAAATTTTACTAAGCAAATGGAAAGCAAACAAAAAAAAAAGAAAGAAAAAGAAAAGAAATCAGGAGTTGCAATCCTAGTCTCTGACAAAACAGACTTTAAACTAACAAAGATCAAAAAAGACAAACAAGGGCATCATATAATCATAAAGGAATCAATGCAACAAGAAGAGATAACTATCCTAAATATATATGCACCCAATACAGGAGCACTCAGATTCATAAAGCAAGTTCTTAGAGACCTACAAAGGGACTTAGACTCCCACACAATACTAATGGGAGACTTTAACACCCCACTGTCAATATTAGACAGATCAATGAGACAGAAAATTAACAAGGATATTCAGGACTTGAACTCAGCTCTGGATCAAATGGAACTAATAGACATCTGCAGAACTCTCCACCCCAGATCAACAGAGCATACATTCTTCTCAGTGCCACATTGCACTTATTCTAAAATTGACCACATAATTGGAAGTAAAACAGTCCTCAGCAAATGCAAAAGAATGGAAATAATAAAAAACAGTCTCTCAGACCACAGTGCAATCAAATTAGAACTCAGGATTAAGAAACTCACTCAAAACCACACAACTACATGGAAACTGAACAATCTGCTCCTGAACGACTACTGGGTAAATAATGAAATTATGGCAGAAATAAGTAAGTTCTTTGAAACCAATGAGAACAAAGACACAACGTACCAGAATCTCTGGGGCACAGCTAAAGCAGTGTTTAGAGGGAAATTTATAGCACTAAATGCCCACAGGAGAAAGCAGGAAAGATCTAAAATCGACACTCTAACATCACAATTAAAAGAACTAGACAAGCAAGAGCAAACAAATTCAAAAGATAGCAGAAGGCAAGAAATAACTAAGATCAGAGCAGAAATGAAGGAGATAGACACAAAAAACCCTCCAAAAAAATCAATGAATCCAGAAGCTGGTTTTTTGAAAAGATAAACAAGATAGATAGACTGGTAGCCAGACTAATGAAGAAGAAAAGAAAGAAGAATCAAATAGACACAATAAAAAGTGATAAAGGGGATATCACCACTGATCCTACAGAAATACAAACTACCATCAGAGAATACTATGAACACCTATATGCAAATAAGCTAGAAAATCTAGAAGAAATGGATAAACTCCTGGACACATACACCCTCCCAAGACTAAACCAGGAAGAACTTGAATCCCTGAATAGACCAATAACAAGTTCTGAAATTAAGGCAGTAATTAATAGCTGACCAACCAACAAAAGCCCAGGACTAGACAGATTCACAGCCGAATTCTACCAGAGGTACAAAGAGGAGCTGGTACCATTCCTTCTGAAACTATTCCAAACAATAGAAAAAGAGGGACTCCTCCATAACTCGTTTTATGAGGCAAGCATCATCCTGATACCAAAACTCCTGGACACATACACTCTCCCAAGACTAAACCAGGAAAAAGTTGAATCCCTGAATAGACCAATAACAAGTTCTGAAATTGAGGCAGTAATTAATAGCCTACCAACCAACAAAAGCCCAGGACCAGACAGATTCACAGCAGAGGCACAACAAAAAAAGATAATTTCAGGCCAATATCCCTGATGAACGTCGATGTGAAAATCCTCAATAAAATACTGGCAAACTGAATCCAGCAGCATATCAAAAAGCTTATCCACCATGATCAAGTCAGCTTCATCCCTGGGATGCAAGGCTGGCTCAACTTACATGAATCAATAAACGTAATTCAGCACATAAACAGAACCAATGATAAAAACCAAATGATTATCTTAATAGATGCAGAAAGGGCCTTCGGTAAAAGTCAACACCACTTCATGATAAAAATTCTCAATAAACTAGGTATTGATAAAATGTATCTCAAAATAATAAGAGCTATTTATGACAAACCCACAGGCAATATCATACTGAATGGTCAAAAGCTGAGAAGCATTCCCTTTGAAAACCAGCACAAGACAAGGATGCCTTCTCTCACCATTCTTATTCAACACAGTATTGGCCAGGGAAATCAGGAAAGAGAAAGAAATAAAGGGTATTCAGACAGGAAGAGAGCAAGTCAAATTGTCTCTGTTTGCAGATGAGATGATTGTATATTTAGAAAACCCCATCATCTCAGCCTAAAATCTCCTTAAGCTGATAAGCAACTTCAGCAGTCTCAGGATACAAAATCAATGTGCAAAAATCACAAGCATTCCTATACACCAATAATAGAGATCCAAATTATGAGTGAACTCCCATTCACAATTGCTGCAAAGAGAATAAAATACCTAGGAATACAACTTAAAAGGGACATGAAGAACCTCTTGAAGGAGAACTACAAACCACTGCTCAATAAGAGAGGACACAAACAAATAGACAAACATTCCATCCTCATGGATAGGAAGAATCAATATTGTGAAAATTGTCATACTGCCCAAAGTAATTTATAGATTTAATGCTATCCCCATCAAGCTACCATTGACTTTCTTCACAGAATTGGAAAAAAACTACTTTAAATTTCATATGGAAATAAAAAAGAGCCTGCATAGCCAAGACAATCCTAAGCAAAAAGAACAAAGCTGGAGGCATCACGCTACCTGTCTTCAAACTATGCTACGAGGCTACAGTAACCAAAGCAGCATGGTACTGGTACCAAAAGAGATATATAGACCAAAGAAATAGAACAGAGGCCTCAGAAATAATGCCACACATCTACAACCATCTGATCTTTGACAAACCTGACAAAAACAAGCAATGCAGAAAGGATTCCCTATTTAATACATAGTGTTGAGAAAACTGGCTAGCCATATGCAGAAAACCGAAACTGGACCCCTTCCTTACATCTTTTACAAAAATTAACTCAAGATGGATTAAAGACTTAAATGTAAAACCTAAAAACATAAAAACCCTAGAAGAAAACCTAGGCAATACCATTCAGGACATAGGCATGGGCAAAGACTTCCTGACTAAAACACCAAAAGCAATGGCAATAAAAGCCAAAATTGACAAATGGGATCTAATTAAATTAAAGAGCTTCTGCACAGCAAAGGAAACTATCATCAGAGTGAACAGGCAACATACAGAATGGGAGAAAAGTTTTGCAATCTATCCATTTGACAAAGGGCTAATATCCAGAATCTATAAGGAACTTAAACAAATTGACAAGAAAAAAAACAACCCCATCAAAAAGGGGGCAAAGGATATGAACAGACACTTCTCAAAAGAAAATATTTGTGCAGCCAACAAACATATGAAAAAAAGCTCATCATCACTGGTCACTAGAGAAATGCAAATCAAAACCACAATGAGATACCAACTCATGCCAGTTATAATGGTGATCATTAAAATGTCAGGAAACAACAGATGCTGGAGAGGATGTGGAGAAATAGGGACACTTACACTGTTGGTGAGAGTGTAAATTAGTTCAACCATTATTGAAGACAGTGTGGCAAATCCTCAAGGGTCTAGAACCAGAAATACCATTTGACCCAGCAATCCCATTACTGGGTATATACCCAAAGATTTACAAATCATTCTACTATAAAGACACATGCACACATATGTCTATTGCAGCACTATTCACAATAGCAAAGACTAGGAAACAACCCAAATGCCTATCGATGATAGACGAGGTAAAGAAAATGTGGCACATATACACTATGGAACACTATGCAGCCATAAAAAGGATGAGCTTCTGTCCTTTGCAGGGACATGGGTGAAAGTGGAAATGATCATTCTCAACAAACTAACACAGGAACAAAAGACCAAACACCACATGTTCTCACTCATAAGTGGGAGTTGAACAATGAGAACACATGGACACAGGGAGGGGAACATCACACATTGGGGCCTGTCAGGGAGTAGGGGGCTAGGGAAGGGATAACATTAGGAGAAATACCTAATGAAGATGACAGGTTGATGGGTGCATCAAACCACCATGGCACATCTATACCTATGTAACAAACCTATGTGTTCTGCACATGTATCCCAGAACTTAAAATATATATATATAGAAAGAAATTCAAATGAGGCCCAAGAAAACTGTGAGAGGATCCAAGGAGCACACTTTCCCAGCTAGCTTCCTGGGAGTTGAGTTCTGTGCATATGTCAACATTATCCATCGCTACAATATGTTAGATAATTGTCCTGCCACTCACTCATTCACTCATGCTTCCATTCCTTCATTCACTTGTTCATCCATGCTTCTATTCCTTCCTTTTTAGTGTGAGAAGACCAGACTGGTGTGGTACAAAGCCTGGCATGGACTCCATCTCTGCTCCACCTCTTACTGTGTAATTTAGGAATTTCATGTCACTTCTCTGTACCTGCTTCTTCATAAGTAAAATAAGACACATGATAATACCTAATTCAAATGATTTCATGATAATTAAGAAAGGTAAAGCAGCTAACATAATCCCTCATGCAAAGTCAGCATTAATAAATATTAAGTGTCATTATCATTGTTGCCCTTTCAATCACAGATATCTCTGGGTGTCAAACACAGTGTTTTGTGCTGAAATATAAAGCATAGATAAGGTGGCTTTGACCCTCAAGGAGTGCACATTCTAGTGCATTCTAGTGAGAGAAACTGATTTACAAAGAAGAACTGACACATTGTGGAAAAGTCAATAACATGTCTCAAACATTTTCTATTGCCAGATACTTTTCTATACATGTCATGTGAAATATATGTTATTATTTCATGTATATATGTGAAATGTCATTTTGTATATTTCTTGTATACATATGTATGTATGATATATTATACATATTTCACAGGTATCAACAAATTTAATTCTCACTCCACAGGAAGACTCCAGAAGACTAAAAAAATCTCACTTTGACAGGTAAATCAATGAAGTCAATGCATCTATAGAACTTTTTTTATTAGTTTGGTTTGTTTGAACCCATGACTGTTGTTTGCAAAACCTTTACAATTTTCAATTACAATTTTCAATTTTTTCCCATCTTTAGTCATCTATTCCTCACAAGAACCCTGTAGGATGGAGGTGGTTGTTATTTTTATTTGAGCTTTGCAGGGAAAGACACTGAGGCATGAGGAGTGCAAGTAGCAAGTTCAAGGTTACTGGAGCTAACGCAGATCCTATGTATTAGGACCTCTTCATATCCACAACCATCACCTCCATCTTCCTCTGAGATGCAACCAGCTAGAAAGGCAGAGCCACACCTTCCTGGGTTCATAACAGTTATACTTGGCAGCAGACTGCTCATTCCTTTAACCTTTTCCAGCTTATGCAGTCCATTCTTTTCTTCCTATATTTAATCTGTTACTGTCTTTGCATTTCCATTGCTTTTCTTGCTGGAGCCCCCTACTGCATTCTCTGGTTGTTTCTGATCATTTTTCTCCAGATACTTTTGTTTGCATTATTTCCAAGCTGCATCTCATTTTTAACTCATAATTCTAGTTTTGATGAGTTCCCTGTATTATGCTTTTCACTTTGATCGTGCTCCCAGGCCATTATGATTTAGGATATTCTTGGCAAACCTCATTAACCTGCTCTCAATTAATTAATGGTCCTGCAGAATCAGACCACACCCTTCCCACTTTGTACCCTGTGGACTAAACCCCTGGACAATTAGGCACCATCAATTTTATTACATTTAGGCTGTTTCTCAATGCACGTTATAGCTGGGTAACTGAGCTCATCTGCATTCCTTTGGTGAGTGCCAGTTTCAAGAGATGGAAGTTCACGTGTTCCTCTGCTTCCTTCATCTGGTTTTACAAACCTATCAAAAGGGAACCATTTCTCCCCCATAGCACACGTTATTATTTATAGGTCCAGACACACTGTTATTTTATGTTATGGTTCCGGATCTTTCAAATGTTTCCTGTATTCTTTGTTCTGTTGTTTCTCTTATTAGAAACTATCCTTTGATTTACTGCCTGGGATTGTTTTTCTTTTCTTGAACATTTACTAGCTGTCAGGCATCTGGTGCAAAGCCCTGTGTCTTCAAGGGCACAAGAAAGGGCAAGACCCTTGAGAAAGCAATTCTATGACAAAGAATATGGACAAACTGGCTTTCCCCATCTGACCACATGAATTTACTAAACACTTACCAATACCAGTCAGTATGGTGCAGTGTCCATGTGCAGAATCACACTTTGTTTGTGTAACAGCCCAGCAGTCAAGATCCACCAATCCTCCCATTTAACCAAGACCGAGGTGGGTGGATCACCTGAGGTCAGGAGTTTGAGACCAGCCTGGCCAACAATACAAAAATTAGCCGGGTGTGGTGGCAGGTGCCCGTAACCCCAGCTACTCAGGAGGCTGAGGCAGAAGAATTGCTTGAACCTGGAAGGCAGAGGTGCAGTGAGCAGAGATGGCGCCATTGCCCTCCAGCCTGGCAACAAGAGCAAAACTCCGTCTCAAAAAAAGAAAAATAAAATAAAATAAAATAAAATAAATAAATAAATAAATAAATAAATAAGTGCTGAAGCCAGGACTTGAACTCAAGTCTAGTTCTAATGCACATGCATTCAGCTTTCAGATGCCTCCAGTCCCTGCTTCACCCTATTCAGATGCACAGAGATCTTGTGTTGCCCCTGAAGATACTCTCACTCAGCCTTCCCTCTGTCTGCAGAGATGGCTTTGACAGCCCCACACCTACAATCTCCAGCTTCTCTTCTGAGCTGTGCTCAGGTAAGGTATCCAATGCCCTTTGCATTAGGGACTCCACCAACACATCTCATGGGAGTTTTAAAGCTTAGCATATAGTAGATTAAATGGTCAAAACACTAGGATGGGAAGAGATTGAAACTGGACTTGAGACCATCCATCAGTCCAAGAGGCACTGCTTTTAGTTACGTGATCCTAGAACAACCTGCCTACTTTGGTCATTCTCAGATTGGCTAAAACATATTTCTAATCTTGGTCGTCTATGCCATAAGCAGGGATGGTGGTGGCGGTAGGGATGTTAATGAGGGGAAGGTTGTGAATGTGCGTTGTGAACTCCAAAGTGTGGAAAATTGATTTTCACATGGTAAGCTCCAGTGCACAACGTCAGCATCCCTTTATTCAAAGCAATACTGAAATATAGTCATGGTTCCATGATGACCTGCAGATCTTCTTTACAGGTATTGTTGAATCCTAAAGCTCTAACTTTATAATTTAAAGCCCTTGAGTAGGATATTCTCACTGGGATGTCCCTCTGGTGACTTGAACTTGACAAATCCAGAATGAATCCTCAGCTCCCCTCTCTGCTTTGTCGTCTTTAGTACCACCTGTCTCAAAAATGAGCATCATTATCTGCCCAGACTGTGAGGTTAAAACCTTTTCCTCACTTCCCATGTGAGTCAAAAATTGTGTCTGGAAAATGCCTTTTAGACCCCTTCCCCCTTCTGTCCAAAGTTCACCCTCTTGGGTCAAGACTCTCATTTTTCACCTAGTCTCTTGATTTCCTGGCCTGCTGTCCTCCATCTACTGGTAACCCACTTGTGGTTTTTCTATACCTCAAATCAGTTACTGTCATCCTGTTCCCCAGATCCATCCTTCATGCTCAGCCTCCCTCCAGAGAGATCCCAGGTTCTCCAACAGGGAGGCCCTTTCATTCCTGGTCCAGGCAGATCTAATATCCGGGCTTGTCTCAGGCAAATCCATGCCTGCCCCTTACTCCTCAGGAGCCTGAACTTCTCACCCTTCCTCAGCAGAGCGAGGAGCAGCCCTGCATACAATGCTTTTCCGTCTCCAAGGCTGCCCCACTTCCCTTGCTTAGGGAACTCTTCAGCATCCTCAGGATCCACTCATGTGTCACCCTATGAATGACGTCTTCTATATCCCAAACTAGTCTTTCCTCTCTAGGTATTTTTTACCCCCACCACTTACATATTCATTCAAATTCTGTGCATTCATTTATGAATATTCATTGAACCAGACCCGCAGAAAGTGCTGGATATAGAGGTGAGAGGCTATCCTTTAAAGGGCTCAGAGTATCAGTGGGGAGATGGGTGAGGTCACAAAGCCTGAGAGCACAACGTGAGAGGGGCATGTCCTACCTCCCCAGATTCTGGGTCTCTTCAGGTACAGCTCAGTCACCAGCCAAACCCTCTGAACTGTGTGCTATGTGATATTTATATACACTTTGCAAGCAACTCTGAAAAATCATGATGTAGTATATAGACAAGAAAGATGGCAGATTCTAGGGCCAGCTGGAAGGTGGGAGAGTTGGATGCCATGGGGAAAGTGGAATCCCTGAACCTGGACCTTTCTTGAGGAATTTGGTGAGCCCTGGACCTAGGGGCAACAGGACACAATGGGCACACACTAACGTGGGCATCGGAGCCCTGTTTCTGGGCCCTGCGGGGTCCCATCATCAAGTGGTGACTCTTTGGCTTGAGGATACAATTAGATTTTGTCTTAGGCATTGTCCAGTGGCTTCTGCACTGTAAATATTTTATGACTCTCTCAAAACCTGTGTGATTAAAGAGTCATGTATGCAAACCCTTGATCTTGGCTGAACAGCTTCTCCACTCCCTAATTCTTTCTGACAATGCTTTTAAATAATAATGCTTTCCAATTAAAAAATACTTTCCTTATCTCTTTTTTCACTTTTGATTTGAAAAATATCTTAATTTTAGGTTCTTATTGTCTATTTCTATTCTGTTTTCATCACAGAATAGTCAGATTCACAGCTCAGAAGTTGGGCTGTCCGCCTTTTTGATAGGTGGCCAATTGATGTTCTCATCCTAAGTCAGCTCTCTGGGTTGCCTTTTCCATACTTAGGGAGGTAGGATTGTTATTAGTAGCAGAAGCAGTGACTGCATTCATCTATTAACTTCTGAATAGCAGGAATGGTGTCCTTTTCTTCCAGAACACACCCCTAGTGCTGACTAAGAAAGGGTGAACTACTGAACATATTAATAGAAGCCATTTAAATCTGCAACGTATATTAAGCATTTACATCTTTAAAATATTGTTTCCATTTATTTAATGTGAGACTGCTTATTTGTTTTCCTGCCTGGTGCTTAGCACTTAACAGGCAATCACTCATTCATTTTGCTTAACCACAAACCTATGTGCTGTTGTTATCTCCATGCTAGGGATGAGAAAACTGAGACTTAGAGAAATTAAATATTTTTCCTAAGGACCTTAAAACAAAAGTCTACTCTGTAGCCACTTCCTCCTCAGCTACCCCTTTGTTACCTTCCAGTTTGGATCCTGCCCCTATTGTTCTTATAAAACTGCTAGATGCAGGCTTCCCCGTGGCCTTTTGTTAGGAATTTGGTTTACCTGCTTGTCAAAGGAGACAGAAGTTTGAGAATGCATTAGCTTCCTAGGGCAGCCATAACAAAGTAGGTCATAAACTGGGTGGCTCAAAACAACAGCAATTTCCTCTCCCATAGTTCTAGAGGGTGGAAGTCAGAAGGCAAGGTCTTGGCAGGGCCATGCTTTCTCTCTTTACTTCCAGTTGTTACCAGATATCTTAGTCGTTTTTCTGTTGCTTGCAACAGGATACCTGAAACTGGGTAATTTAAAAAGAAAAGGCATGTATTTCTTACAGTCACGGAGGCTGAGAAGTCCAAGGTCAGAGGGCCATATCTGCTCAGGGCCTTCTTGCTGCTGGGAACTCTGTAGAGTCTCATGGTAGCACAGGACATCACATGATGAGGAAGTGGAGCATGTTAGCCCAGGTATCTCTTCCTCCTAATATAAAGCCACCCGTTCCCCTCCTATGATAATCCATTAACCCATTGATCCATCAATGGATTAATCCATTCATGAGGGCAGACCAATCACCTCTTCAAGGCTCTACCTCTCCATACTGCTACCTTGGGGATTACATTTCAACATGAGTTTTGGAGGAGACAAATCTTCACACCATAGCGTCATCAACCGTTGGTATTTCTTGGCTTGCCATTGCACAAATCTAATCTGTATCTCTATCTTCTAAATGTGTTCCCCTTCCTGTGTGTGTCTGCCTTCAAATTCCCTTCTTTCTATAAGAATACAGTCATACTGAATTAGGGACCACTCTCATAACCCCATCTCAATGAGATTGTATTGGTCAACACCCTAATTTCTTGGAAAATGTTGGTAACTTGATGCATGTAAACAAACTCTTTTGTAAGAGCCTCTGTCACATGGGGGCCTGCGGGCAAATTCTACCAAGCAGAGAACAGTTTTCACTGCAAAAACTCAAAGGAAGACAAGCTTGGTAATGAGAGCTAGCATTTATTGACCGCTTACTAGTGCCACGCATTATGCGGGTACTTGTGAAACATAATTTACTCTTCCCTGCAACCCTTTAGATATTAGCATGTCCCCCATTGAATAGATCAGGAAACTGAGGCACCAGACACATAGAAAGAAAGAGGCAGAGAAGGAAGACAAAGCAGGCAGTCTGGTTTCAAAAGCTCAGCTCCTGATCAATAAGCTCTACTCTCCCCTGGTCCTTTTAAAGAGGGAGCTTTTACTACCTGTCATGTTAATGTTGGGGATTCCCAACCCAATGAAGGCCTTCCCTGTTAGCAGTTAATCATTCAGTATATGCCTATATCCCTTTGCTAAGGATGTCATACAGAGTTTCACAAACTGGGTGGCGTTAAAAAAACCGGAAAGGCCGGGCGTGGTGGCTCACACCTGTAATCCCAGCACTTTGGGAGGCCAAGGTGGGCGAATCATGAGGTCAGAAGATCGAGGCCATCCTGGCCAACATGGTGAAACCCCATCTCCACTAAAAATACAAAAATTAGCTGGGTGTGGTGTTGCAGGCCTGTAATCCCAGCTACTCGGGAGGCTGAGACAGGAGAATCGCTTGAACTTGGGAGGCGGAGATTGCAGTGAGCCAAGGTTGCACCACTGCACTCCAGCCTGATGACAGAGTGAGACTCCGTCTCAAAATCACCCTAATTTCACTTGGGGATAAGTACATTGTTAGTGAAGAGGTCACCTGTGTAGAAAGAGTTAGCAGCGCCCACACTACTCACATGTTTTGTTTGGTTTTTGTTTTTAAGAGATGGAGTCTCATTCTATGGCTCAGACTGGAGTGAAGTGGCATGATCATAGCTGAATGCAGCCTCAAACTTCTGGGCTTAAGTAGTCCTCCCACCTAGATCTCCTGAGTAGCTGGGACACAGGCATGCACCACCATGACCAGCTAATTATTGTTGTATAATTTTTGTAGAGACAGAGGTCTTCTTTGTTGCCTAGGTTGCCTAGGTTGGTCTTGAACTCCTGGTTTCAAGCAATCCTCCCACCTCAGCCTCTCCACATGCTAGGATTACAGACATGAGCCACCATGCCCAAGATTGCATCACTGCCACAAGACTGTCACTCCTCATGTTGATCAGCACACCACACTCCCTTATGGACACATGAGCCTGTGTCATAATGTCCCCTGTGGTCCAAAAGATTCTGCAATGAGGCTACATGTCCTAAACTGAATCACTGTGAGATTAAAAAGTCTAAGTTTCAAAAAGTTGTTTTGGATTTGTGTAAAATACTTGAATTATGTCTCTTAACAACAGTAATGCTGAGATTGGCCCTTTGTGTTTCCTCGGTGCTAGGGTTCTGCTGCTCTTGGGACCCAGCCTGGTAGCATGACCCCCACTTCCCCAGCTCCCGCAGTCCTCCCAGCCTGTGAGTCACCATCGATTCTTCCAGAGAGGAGTCACTCTCATCAAATTTGAAACCTCGTGACACTCTATACCCAGCATCTGGCTCACCAATCATTTCCGGCTAGTGGGAAAGGTCCTGATGGTTCAAGGTTGAAATGTGATTTTAATAAAAATAATGCTAAAATGAGATTCGTGAGGAGTGCATTCTTTAGCTTATGGGAGTTGAGCAAATATTTGTGGCATCTAAATATTCGCAGCCTGACATTTGGAGACATGAACGCTTCCAAATCTCGTGGAGCAACTGATCTTGTTTTATTGCGCTGGCTCCCTCATTGCCATAGCCTTGACCTTGCCAGGTGGGGCAAGGGTGCAGAGAACGGTCCGCACTAAGGCCTGGCATGCGTCAGCAATGTGCTAGGTACACCACGGGCTTTGCCTCATTAAATTTCCAGGCATTTTTTCCCAAGAAAGCAGTAGTTCCTTTTTGCATGTGAGGAAATTGAGACTCAAAGACCTGGGTCACAGGTCAAAGTTCATACTGCTATTTGGTAGCCAAGAAGGAATTCAAATCCTGGTCCCAGCCTAAACTCTTTAATTTTTCCTATGAAACCGCATGTCTCTCTTTACATGCTTGCCTGTGCTTTTGATTACTTTGGGATATATTCTAGAAATGCTGAGCAGAACCACGAGGGAGGGGTTTAGGGTCAAGAAGCAGCTCACCAGCCACAAGCATCACTTTTCTCTGGGCTAGGACTAGATTCTGTAAGTAAATACCCAAGTGAAAGAGAATGCTTTTCTTGGAAAATGTTGGTAACTTGATGCATGTAAACAAACTCTTTTGTAAGAGCCTCTGTCACATGGGGGCCTGCGGGCAAATTCTACCAAGCAGAGAACAGTTTTCACTGCAAAAACTCAAAGGAAGACAAGCTTGGTAATGAGAGCTAGCATTTATTGACCGCTTACTAGTGCCACGCATTATGCGGGTACTTGTGAGACATAATTTACTCTTCCCTGCAACCCTTTAGATATTAGCATGTCCCCCATTGAATAGATCAGGAAACTGAGGCACCAGACACATAGAAAGAAAGAGGCAGAGAAGGAAGACAAAGCAGGCAGTCTGGTTTCAAAAGCTCAGCTCCTGATCAATAAACTCTACTCTCCCCTGGTCCTTTTAAAGAGGGAGCTTTTACTACCTGTCCTGTTAATGTTGGGGATTCCCAACCCAATGAAGGCCTTCCCTGTTAGCAGTTAATCATTCAGTATATGACTATATCACTTTGCTAGGGATGTCATACAGAGTTTCACAAACTGGGTGGCTTAAAAAAAGCAGAAATGGCCAGGCGTGGTGGCTCACACCTGTAATCCCAGCACTTTGGGAGGCCAAGGTGAGCGAATCATGAGGTCAGAAGATCGAGGCCATCCTGGCCAACATGGTGAAACCCCATGTCTACTAAAAATACAAAAATTAGCTGGGTGTGGTTTTGCAGGCCTGTAATCCCAGCTACTCGGGAGGCTGAGACAGGAGAATCTCTTGAACTTGGCAGGCGGAGATTGCAGTGAGCTGAGATTACGCCATTGCACTCCAGCCTGATGACAGAGTGAGACTCCGTCTCAAAACGAAACAAAAACCCCCCAGAAATTCATTGTCTTACAGTTGTGGAGGCCAGAGTCCAAGATCAAGGTGTTGTCAGCAGGGTGTTGCTTCCTTTGACGGTTTTAGAAAAGGACCTGTTCCAGGCCTTTCTCCTAGCTTCTGGTAGCCTCAGACATGTCTTTGCTTGTCATTGTGTCACTCCAATCCCATGCCTTTTCATTGTGCTCTCTCTGTGTGTGTCTATTCCTGTGTCCACATTCTCCCTTTTTATAAGGACACCCAACATACTGGATTAGGGTCCAACCAAATAACCTCATTTTAACTTGATTACCTCTTTTAGGACCCTGTTTACAAGTTAGGTCACATTTTGAGGTACTAGGGGTTATCATTTGTGGATATCTTTCTTGGGAGGACACGCTTCACCACATAGCAATATCTAATAAATTGGAAGCTTATAAAGACCATTGCAATAGGCCAAAGTGATTTTTCCAGCTCCATTTCCTATCACTCGCCTCCCACCCTCAACCATGAACCTGGCACACCAGTTGCACAGCCTTGCTCCATTTTGAACACATTGTCACCCTCTTTGCCCCTTTGCTCTGCTTCCCCTGTCTGGAGTATCCTTAATCACTCTGTCTATCTACCTCACAAGTCTAGGCTCATTCTTCAAGGATAAGGGCTCAGACCATATCCTCCTAGAAGTCACTCCAGATCCCAGAACCCCACAATGTTAGTATGTTAACCATGGTTACATAAAGCATGCGTACGTTCCAGCATGATAGAAAAATCTGTGTACCTCTGTTTAAATTTAAATTTAAAAATTGGCCAGTCATGGTGGCTCACGCCTGTAATCCCAGCACTTTTGGACGCCAAGACAAGTGGATCACTTGAGTCCAGGAGTTCAAGACCAGCCTGGCCAACATGGTGAAACCCTGTCTTTACTAGAAATATAAAAATTAGCCAGATGTGGTGAGGCACACTTGCAATCTCAGCTACTTAGGAGACTGAGACATGAGAATCACTTGAACCTGGGAGGCGGAGGTTGCAGTGAGTCAAGATTGCGCCACTGCACTCCAGCCTGGATGATAGAGCGAGACACTGTCTCAAAATGAAAATAAAAATAAAAATAAAAATGAATAAATTGAAAAAGTATCAGAAAGAGATGATTGCTTTGATTAGGGTTAGATAACAAAAACAAGAGCAGTTAGTCAGTTAGAGGCACAGTGGAGGAGAATGTCCTGGGCCTATCTCAGAGAAGGATTCAGGAGCCACACACAGATGATGTGCCTCTGCCTGGGACCATTTGTGGCACCTTCCTGTACCCTGGGATAAATTGTTAGTAAAATCCTTGAAGTGAGAAAGTATTTAGGTTTATCTGTGGGGACACCAAAACAGGAGAAAGAAAGGAATTCTACATCCTGTTTTTCACATACCATGGGGGATGAAAGGAAGCCCAGGGAACCTCAGGTGGCTTACTGGGGAGAGGAGAAGCAAGTGGGCTGGATCCTTAGGCTGATGGGGATAAAGGAAAGACCATGGGGAAGGGATTGTGTGGACCAAGCAAGGAAAACAATCATGGTAATTGCAACTGCTTCTAATACCAGAGATCACACACCTATCCTAGGTCATGCGCTGGGCTAGTTGTTTGATACATTTATCTCAGCTATTTATGACATACAGAACACAGATAAGAAAGTGAGGGTACAAGACTGGTAACTAACTTTCCCAGGGTCACACAGTCAACGTTATAAGTGGTAGTCAGACTTGGAGTTCTGAAGAACAATATTGAATATTATTGTGTGTTTTAGGAACCCAGCACATTTCCTAGCACATAGCAGGTCCGCAGTAAACACTTGCTGAATTTTGCCAGAGAAAAGAGAATAACCTACTATTCAAAAACATCTACAGGGCTTCTGAGGCCCTGAACAAAGTCTCTATTGAATGGGGGTCCTTCAGTCTTTATGACTCAAAATTCACTGTTGTTACTTTCTGTGTTCTTCAAATGACTATATCAAATTGGGTGTCAGCCTGGCTGAATGGCCAGGGCCCAGGCTCCCAAGTCAGACATACCTGGCTAGAATCCCAGCGCTGCCACCTAGTAGCTGTGGAGGATGTGGGCAAGTTCCTTCACCTTGCTGACCCTCGTTCCTTCATCTATAACACACAGCCTGTAAGGCCTCCCTCAGGGTTTGCTGTGAAGACTAATGATACGGTGCATGTGAAATGCCTGGTGACCAGCAGGCATCCTGTGACAGATGGCAGTTATTCCTATTAGTGGTGTGGCTTCCTTGCTTGCTGGTGTCACTTCCTGGTGCCTGGAAGCCGACGGGAGTGCATGCCTTCCCACGTAGATCAAATGACCACTTTGGATGATTATAGGGTTTGGTGTGTGTGAGAGGTTGTTTTAAACAACCTCTCCACAATTGCCCTCTTGGCTACAACAGAAGTGAGTCAGAGGGGAGCATATGGAAGGTGGAAAGGAATCAGGGAGGGTCAGATACCCCCAGGTACAAAGAACCACCTGGACAGGCTTCTTCACCCAGGTTCCCAGGTACAGGTGATAGATCTTGAGCCTGAGTAAGGGAATGGGGAGCTTGCTAGAAGAGTGTTCTCTAACCTGTAATTCACGGAACTTGGGGAGACACACTTTGGAACACTTTGTTAACACTTCATAATCTAGGCATTGACATTCTTTAAGGACAAATAAGAAAGTTTAAATGACAGTGGAGGTCAACACTGAGTTCCTGAAGACATAACCTGCTGGCTCCCAAGTGCCATCTCTCTTCTCCACTTTCCACTGGAACATTGTTCTATCCCTCTCTACTCTTCTACAATGAAAGAAAGCTGATAATCAATCATGGAGCACCCACATTACGTGAGGAGCTGGACTGGGAACTTACATAATACCGGCATCACTTCAACCCCTGCTAAATAATATCTCACACTTATTGAGCTCTTACCATGCGCCTATGACCTGTGTATATCTACATAATTTTTATTTAATACTCACAATAAGCTTTTCAGTTAGGGACCTTCATTGTAGTCTTCATTTCAAAGGTGAGGAAGTTGAGGCTTAGTGATTTCTTAAGGTCAAAAGGTTAGAACTTAAAGAAGCCAGGATTTAAACCCAGGTCTGACCTGAGATGATGAAACACTGTGACCATTACAAGAAACCAATGGGGAAAAGCAGGGTTATTCTCACTTGGGTGAGGCAGAGCAAGGCAACCAAAAGCAAGTCCTTTTGGGTTGGAGACACCTGAATCCTCATCCAGGTGCAAGCAACTCCTTCCCAACTCTATCATGGTAGCTAAGTACCTTCATTGCTCTGCAAGATGAGGGGAGAAGAGGGTTGGTGATGCTGGAGTGTCACTATGTGCACCAACATCCTGCAGGTCTGGCACATAGTAGACTCTGGCACATAGCTGTGACAGAGGACAGCATTCATTCTGATGTCTGAGTTCCAGTGGCTAGGAGGTGGGGTCCTGGGAGTGAAGCTGGAGCTCACTGATCCTGAAGCCTGTGCTCTTTCTACAGAGCAGCTTTGCCTCAACAGGCACATAAATGCACATCATGGCGAAATTCAGTTTAACCCTGGCGGGGGGTGGGGAGGGACTCCTGCTTTTGTGTTTCTCTCTCTCTCTCTCTCTCAGGATTGTGCACACTGGAGATATCGAAAGGTGTTGGGAGGAAATGTGGAGATGCTTTTGCCTCTCAAGGGAACCCAGTAGCACATATAGAGCTTTTGAGTAATTACAGAAAGACTGCTCCTTCCTCTGGACAGGCTCGGTTCCACGTGAGGATGCCCAGCATTGCAAGCAGAAAGTGGGCTAGATTCTGTCCACCACTTTCCCTTTGGCCAGGGGTTCATGTGTACAACTGAACACAGCAGCCATTGGTCTCCCCAAGCCCAATTTAAAGAGCAGGAAACTGAGGCCCAGCTAGGAACTGCCTTAGCCACCAAGTGGGTAGCACCAAGTGGACAGCACGATGAACCTTGGCTCTCAGCCTCTGCACTACCATCCCTGCTCTGCTCACAGGGTGATGAGGGGCTTTGGCCCAAGCATGTGTGAGTAGCTGCTGCTGCTTGGTGCTCTGCCCAGGACTCATGGGGTATCAAGGAAAGAGCACTCAATGGGAAGCCAGAGACCTACTCTACTGCCAACTAGCATGGGCCTTGTTCAAGCTACTCCACAGCTTTGATTAGTGGGCTTAATTAAATTGAATTAATAATACTTCCCTCAAAGCCTTGTCCTAAAATATACATGAGAAAACAGGGTGAAGCCCCCTAGCCCTAGACTAGCACAATATGTATGAGTTGCACCAAGCCTCTGGAGAAAAGTCCAAGCCTCTTGGGCAGGAGATCAAATAGGAAAGGGTCTGTGACTTGAGTGAGACCTTAGGACACACACTGAACTTCTTGAGCCCAGGACACCTGTATCTCCAGTGCTGGCATCAAAATTGGCTCATTGAAAGGAATCAAATAATGTGATGAAGGCTGGCTGGGCCAGGTGGCTCACCCCTGTAATCCCAGCACTTTGAGAGGCCGAGGCGGGCAGATCACCTGTGGTAAGGAGTTCGAGACCAGCCTGGCCAACATGGTGAAACCCCATCTCTACTAAAAATACAAAAACTAGCCAGGCATGGTGGCAGGTGCCTGAAATCCTGGGTATCTGGGAGGTTGAGGCAGGAGAATCGCTTGAACCCAGGAGGTGGAGGTTGCTGTGAGCGGAGACCGCACCATTGCATTTCAGCCTAGGCAACAAGGGGGAAACTCCATCTCAAAAAACAACAACAACAAGCTATATCACATGCTCATGGTCACAGAGCATATGAGTAGCAGAAACAGAAGTCAAGTCCAGTTTTCTGTGGACTGTAAAACTTGAAGTCTTTCTTCTGCTTCCCTTGCCTCCTCTGGGAAGAGCAGCAGACAGCAACACTTGGGGCAGTCCCCATAGCCTGTACTCGGGGTGTGTGGGGTCCATTTCTGGGTTTTCACTTACATGTTGTTGTTTTTTTAGAGGACTTCCCTTTTCCTCATAATACCGAGTCTTACAAATTTTCACCTCTTCCCGAAATTATTCTGCTACTGGTTTCGACAGGACCAGTTGCTGCCTTCTGAGTAAGGGGAATGGGCTGTTGAATCATCACCTTTGCTGCTGATTTTCCCAGAAGCACAGAATGGTCCTGTAGCCCTGAGTCCCACATCAGAAGGACCACCCATCTCTCCTTGAAGAAAGCAAATCGTATTTTCTTAACAAACCCAAATGACAGCCTCTTTGGTCCCACAACTAGCATTTCCTGAGAGTTCATGAATTCCAAAGTTATTTGAGCAATTTAGCCTTTGAAGCTCAGCTTCCACCTTGGACTCTCAGAATTATTTCTTGGAAAAACGATTAGCACTGAAAAGCTCTATGAAAATTGGCATCCATGGATGGTCGTCTCATTATGCGAAGTGCCCATAGATTCACCTCCAAACACCTTGTGATTTCACAAGGGCTATTATCTTCCAGCTACATCTCTTCTTTGGAGCTTATTACTTAAATAAAAAATGTTAATTGTTTCTGAGAAGTGTGCAGTGAGGAATGGGGGCTGCCATCTCTGAGGAACCGGGTCTTCAAATTCCCAGGCTGCTACTCACTTTCTTGCCAAATGCTGGAAGCTCTCCACCAGCCAACTATCAATTTATGTGGACTGAGTCACAATTTACATCAAGCACTATTTCCATACGGGGTGTTATTTATTGAGCCTGGTACCACAGCGAGGAGGGTGAGCTCCTGAGTAATTAGAATCCTGTCCTAGCTGGGGAGTGAACAATGCCTTCCTCCTATCTCTGCTTTCTAATGGGTTTGCAATGGCGCTATCTCTGCTTCCATAAATAATGTGCTCCATGTAAATAAGGAGTCATTAAAAATGGGGCAGGACCCACACATCATTTCATAAACATGAGGGAAGTACTTAGGAAGAGGATCATCAATAAACAGGCTGTGCTCTGCGTTACAAAACTGAAGCTGCTCTGCTGTGTACACACTGCCTTTTGTAGCTTCAACCCTTCCATTCTTGCTAACTCCACATTAACTGCTGTAGGTATACATCTGGGCATTACCAGCACAGTTCCTGGAGGCAGATAGATCTGCATACGGAGCTGCAACTCTGAGCTGTGCAATCTTGGGCAAATCACCTGACCTGTCCAAGCCTTGGCTTTCTTCTCTGGACCGTGGCGCTAGCACAGCCTACTTGATTTGTATACCAAAATTCATGAATGGGTTCTATTAGGTTGGGAGCAGGCAGGAAGCAACTTTATTCTTTCATGTAATTTTCTTGCCTCTGTGTTATGTCGGATCCCTCTTCTCTATTCCTGTCTTGGAATTGTTAAGATGTGTAGTCCAGTTGAATAAAATCCTCATCCTGTTTAAAATTTGGGTTGGATGAATGGAAATGCCAGCAGTGGAGAAGGCATGAGTTCTCCTCTCTCTAACCCCTTCTGCTCCATGTCTTCCTCCCTCTCCCTGGGATGTGTGGTCCTTTAAGAAAGGGGCCACATTGAAGGGTGGGTACAGAAGAGATGGTAGTACCCATAGAGCCTGGTATATCTGGTACAGTTGCAGCCAAACATTGGTATTTGTATTCAAAGGTAATTCTTTCTTCTTGAGATGCTTTTGTGTGTTCCTCAGAGATCTTACTGGGGACCCCCTTGGTAGTCCCATGGTAGGATGATGGCCTCTCTAATGGGCCTTATATGAGTCTAGTCAGCCCTTAATTTCTAAGAGGTCTCTCCATACTCACCATGCTGAAATCCTCTCACCCTTGTAGGACATTCCCTTGAGCATCCCAAAGCCAGAATCTTCATATTGGCTATTCTGGCTGATACCAAGAGTTTCTAGAAGAAGAGGTGGCTCTGATGGCTGCTACCTGGATTTGCTGTGCCACACTACACTACTTCAGCCAGTCTACCACCTTTAGACTCCTATAGGTAAAAGTCATATGATGGTCCCTATCACCCCCAAAGGTGGGGAACACACGTCAACTCCCCCTAATTATTCTCTTGAGGCTTCTTCAGTTGCTAAGGGTTACCAGAGAGCTGCATGCCAGTGACTGTTTCCAAAGAGGCTTTCATTCTTCAGCCTTCTTTCCAAAAAATTCCTAGGCTGCCAAGAGTATTTGATGGGCTGATGAGGGCAGAACCAGGTATGGCTACTTTAGAATATGAGGGCACAGGTCACTGTTTTTCTTGACCTTGGCACTCAGCTGACAAATAGACAAAAGGAAATGTCTCAAATTTCATTGGCTGTAATAGAGATTGAATGAGAATATGTTTTAAGTGCTTGGCAATAATGCAAAGTAAGATGTGAGTGAAGTTTAGTTCTCAGAATTATACACTGTCGAGTGTCAGATGATCAGCACACACATCACCCATGCTTGGGCTGGGTCCTATTCTACCTGCTTTAGCTACAACAATGGCCCTATGAGAAAGGTCCTGCCATCATCTACCTGATGTGAATTAGGACTCTAAGGTATGGAAAGGCTCCATGACCTGGGAAGTGCGCCCAGGAGTAGGTCCAGATGGGCTCCTACTCACCTTCCTATAGGCCTCAAGAGGCGCGGGCACGTGGAGCTCTCTTCTTCCAAAGAGGCATCTATGCAAACAAAAGTCATTCCTGGGAATCCATCAGGGCTCCATCTGCATCCACTCCTCTCTTCCTTGCTTGCTCCTTGTTTGTGCTGGTGGTGGCTTCTGTCCCCCAAAGGTCCTCTTCAGTCTCAACTAATTGTCCTGGTGCCATTGGACCTTGGCTCTTGTAAAAGTGGTGTGAGGGCTGAGTCCCCTCAGTCCAAAACCTTTCCTAATCTTAAACTCACACCATCCTAGTATTGATGCTGAATTCATCTTTGGGGCTTTCCCAGCTGAGATGTGTGGTCCGTCTGGTCTACTAGCTCGTCACACTTCTGAGCAGCCATTTCCTCCTGGTTTCTCTTCTTGTTTTGGCTCCAACCCCCACTCCCCAGAGCTTAACACTGGCTCCTCTGATGTGGTATTAGGGTTCTCCTTTCCTGCTGGTAAGACCTAAGAATTCCCTGAGCTCCCATTCATCCTTTAAGCTTGACCCTACCCTGTCCTTCCCATTCTAAACACCACACAGTGTGCTTCCCTGTCCAGTCACCTTCACAGTGCTCTCACTCTTTTCATTTACAACCCTTACCTTCCCATGAGATGACCTTGTCATTTGCCATTTTGTTGGATTGTATTTCCATCTACACCACTAGTGTGTGAGGCATGGTGATATGAAGCTAGTCCAGAGATCAGGTCCCTGCCCTCAGCCGTCTTATAGTCTAGTTAAGGAAAGCAAAGGGCATCTGTTCACTGTGCAAACTGTCCCAAGGCACTGCCCCTCTCTGAGCCTTACATTTTCTGCCTCTCTCAGGAGAGGCTAGGCCACTTGATTAAAGGGGTTGTTCCTGCTTTAAAGACCCATGACTCTGGAGTTGCGGCTTCCCTTAATGTTCCTGGAAGAGCAGACAAGACCAATTTGTGATACCTGAATCTGATTAATGTGGGAACAGTTAACATTGGGAGGAAAGTATCCCCCCACTGCTTCTTCCCTTTCCCCTCCAGGCAGCTTTTATGTTTCTGGGCTTTTATCCCATTATCCCAGCCTCATTTTATTAGTACCACCTGGAGAGGAGCCTGCGCCCCACCAGACACCGGAGCAAATGCAGAGAGTCAGCTCCCCAGGTTTTGTTAGCCTTAGTGCTCTATTTACACACTTCTGGGCCACACCTCTCCTCTCCCTGCTGTTAATCTGGGAAGAAAATCTTTGCCACTGGCCTGGATACCAGGAAAGGAAGAACTTGCTGAAGCCACTTGAAAACTGAATCCACTTTTTAGTTCTTCCTAGCCTAGTGGAATCAGACTGAGGTTTTCAAAACAACTGTATTCTGTCCAAAGAACGAGCATAAAGAAAATAGACAGAACTGAAAGGAAGGAGAGGTTTGGCTGACTTGATCCAGGTGGCTGATCCTAGTCTGCCGGTGACTCCTGATGACTCCTGGCCTTTACCTGTGCTCTACCCCATCAGACAAAAACCTGAACGCATTCCAGTCCTCAAATATGGCATTCTCTCTCTCCTTCCTGAAGCTCTTCACATGGGCCTTTTTACCTGGAAAACACTTGGTTGTACCAACTTCGACATTTCTCCAGAGGTAATATCCTCCAGGCTGTTTATCCTGACCTCTCAAGCTTCAGTGATATGTCTACATCTACCTTCCTATGATATTCAAGTATGAATCTTGACACTTGGCCTGCAGTAATGAAGTTCAGCTATGCATGCTGGTACTTTCTACTGTCTGCAGGGGAGGAGTTATGACCAGTAAATGAGAAGGTCAAACACAGGGTAACAAGGCAGTGCTAGAAGGAACCTAGGGAGCTTTGGGAGCTCAGGGAAAGGGTTATTTACCCAGGTATGGGCACCACGAAAGACTCCTCAGAGAAGAGGCTTAAAAGATGAGTAGAAAGATAAGGAGATTGGAAAAGGTCTTCTAAGAAAAGAAGACACTATGTGCAAAAGTTTAACAGTGAGAAAAAAATGGTGTGAGGTTAAGAGGATTGTATCAGTTAGCTTTTGCTGAGTAACAAGTCACCCTGATACTTAATGACGTAAAAAACAAAAACCACTTACTTGGATCACAGTTTTGCTGGTCAGCAACCTGAGATGAGCTCAGATTTGGAATGGGTAGTTCTGCTAATTTAAGCCAGACTTAGCTGATCTTGGCTGGGCCTCACTCATGCATCTGAAGACAGGTGCTAGGTTTTCTGGAAACTGGCTGCTGTCAGATGCAGTGCCTCTTATCTTCTCAACATGGCAACCAATCATCCAGCAGTTTATCTCAGGCTTTCTTATTTTCTGACTTATCAGGGTTGTAAAAGAGAAATCAGAGCCTATATGTTTTTTTTGAGGTCTGAACTCAGAATCTGTCCAGCACCAAGTTTTGCTACATTGTACTGGGCAAAGCAAGTATCCCGGATTCCAAGTAGAATATATTGGCTGTGTGCCCGTGTTTTCTGTGTGTCTTCTGCAGAGAATTCCATTCCATGCAGAACGGCCATCTTTATGCAATCTTCTTTGGGGTGTAAGCCTGGAGAAGCAATCCACAACCATATTATGAGAAGATTTATGAAGTCTACTAAAGTTTGGATTTTCCTTCAGGATAAAGGGAAAATTTGTTAAGTATTTTTAACAAGAAATGAAAGACATCAAGATGTACACAATTTGGAAGTTGCTCCCTGGGTACTCTTCTGTTGGTGTGAAAAAGACTACTACTTGCCTAAGTAGACCCAGAGAACTCATCTGCCTCTGGATTCCCAGGGCTGCAATTCACCAACCCTTGGTCTAAACAGAGTTAGTAGGCATGTGAAGAATTTATTAAGCACCAGCATGAAGGTAGGCATAGAGATCCATAGAACTGAGATGAAAATCCAGAAATGGACCCTTGCATTTGTGGTCAATTGATTATTGGCATCAAGACCAGCCAATGGGGAAAGAATACTCTTTTTAACAAACAGTGCTGGTACAATGGGCCATCTGCATGCAAAAGAATGAAGTTGGACTCAGTCACATGTTTTACACAAACATTAACTCAAAATGGAAATAAACATAAATGCAAGAGTAACACTATAAAACGCTTAGAAGAAAACATAAGCATAGTTCTTCATGACCATACACAGGGCAACAGTGCCGTCAATATGGTATGGAAAGCACAAGTGAGCAAAGAAAAAAAAGATAAACTGGTCTCATTCAAATGGAAAACTTTTGTGCCACTAAGTGAAGATTGAAAAAAGTGAAAGATTAACCCACAGAATGAGAGAAACTATTTGCTAAGAGATACTTGAAAATATTGACAAGGGTCTTACATCCACAATATATAAAGAACTCTTACAAGTCAGCAATAGAAAGGCAGACTAATACTCCAGTTTAAAAAAGTGGGCAGAATATTTAAATAGAAATTTCTCCTAAGGAGATCGATCAATAGCCAATAAGCACAGAAAAGCTGTTCAACACTACTAGTCTTTGGGAAAACGCAAATTAAGACCATAAGTATCACTTCGCACCCATTAGGATGGCTAGAATAAAAAAGACAGTAACCTCTGTTGGTAAGAGTATGCAGACATTGCTGGTGTGAATGCAAAATGTCACGGCTACTTTCGGACATAGTTTGGCAGTTCCTCAAAAAGGTAAACATAGAGTTACCAAGAGTCTGCAACTCCACTCCTAGGTATTCCCAAGAAAAGTAAAAACAAATGTCCACAGAAAAGCTTATATGAGAATGTTCATAGCAGCATTACCCATAATAGCCCCCAAATGGAAACAACACAAATAACCATTAACTAATAAATGGATATATTAAATGTTATATAGTCAACCAAGTGGAATATTATTTGGCAATAAAAAGGAATGAAATATGATATGATATGGATGAACTTTGAAAACATCACGCTAAGTAAAAGAAGCTACATATCTCATGATTCTGTTTATATGAAATGATCAGAATTGGCAAATTTATAGAGCTAGAAGGTAGATCAGTGGTGTGTAGGGCTGGGGTGAGGGTGGAGAAATGGGGGAAATGAGAATTGATGGCTAATACATTTGGGAGTACTACTTTTAGTAGGGGAAAACATTCTAAAATTAGATTGTGGCAATGATTACACAAACTTGTGAACATACTAAAAATCACTGAATTGTGTGCTTTAAATAAGATGAGTTATGTGGTAAATAAATTATATGTTAATAAATCTTTTAAAAAATTACTCATCACTAAATTAAGACATATTAGAGAAACTGTAGCAGAAGCAATGGCAATGCCTACCTAAATATAAAAGGGGTGTTGAGAAAAAGGAAAAGGAAATATTTGCAGAGGTGCCCAGGTCTCACTTAAGGACATCTGAAGGTTGATGGTGCCAGGTACATAGACCAGAAGGCTTGCCATAGATTATTTGCTGCTTCTGGGATGACTCACAGTGGCCAAAGTCTTCATATGATCCATACTGTGTGACCAGGTCTCCTGAGTAACTTTTCTTCTTAATCACGTTACAGAGAGATTCCTGGCAGATCTCGAACAGGCTGTTGTGAATCTGCACGCAGGTTGCACACTGTGCAACTTGAGTGGCTCAGTTTCATCACAGTCCTGCAAAGTCAGGCCCCTGAAGATGCAGAGCATCCAGCCTGCCCGGCCATTTGCTGTGGCCCTGGCTATGCATCCATCTGCAGGCCAGTAACTTTGTTGATGTCTAACTGATTTTCAGAGGTTGCTCCTAAGAGGGATTTCTCTCAGGTCTCAAAAAGAGAAAAAAAGTATCTGCTTTTCCTGATTTAGTCTGTTCTTAGCTGGTAAACTCTTAGAGTATTTAACTGATTATGATTGTTTGGGCCCCTGAGAAGGCCACAAGTTAAATTTGCAGTTTTCTTTTAGTAATTTTCTAAAACTTTGGACAATGTTTCTCAAACCATAGTGTAAATTGTCTGGAAATTGAAACATTAAAATATGCTGTTTGCATATCTGCCCTCAACTATGGCCATTTAGCAGGTCTAGAAACGGGCTAAGAATCTACGTTTTGGCCAGACAGCAGGTGATTCAGATACAGGGGGTAAATAGATGACAAATTTAGATACCTCCCCTCATGGTAAGCCCTTTTATCATTTAATTCTTCCTTGTTCTATCTTATCTATTTTTTTTATCATTGTTCCTTTCAACAGATGTGTGTGTATGCTTACTTACAATTTGTTATTTTCATTTTAAATCAAGTTGTTTTTGTAAATAATGCAGGCTATGAACTTATCAATTAATTAATTAGTATATGAAATTTGCACAGCATATTGCAGTTTCAAGGTGCTTGTGCAGGCATAATTTTCTTTCCTGTGACCCTCAAAGCAGCCTCCTGAATTCTGTATTGTTATTCTAGTCTAACACATTAAAAAAAAAAAAAACCGAGGTTTAGTGAAGTAACTTACAGGAACAAGAAAGTACTAACTTAAAAAACGAAAACAACTGAAAGGACTACCTGTGCGGCATGCCCAGTATGGGCACTCTATGATGCTGCAAAGATAGAGTTACAGGCATTTGCAGAAATGGGTCGAGTTTCCATCTCAGAAGGGAAGTGATCTTTCTAAAAATTTACCCACGAGAAAAAGCAGCCGATCTCAGCTCTGGTTTCAGACCGGAGATCAACAACCCTTTATCGGGTTGTTCAGGTGACCTCTCTTGGTCCAGCCTTGTTTCAACACATCTCCGGCATCTGAAACCACATTAGTTATCCCCTCCCCTACCACCTGGGCTCTGACCACAGTGGGAGCCTTACCGAATATCAGGGTGTTGAATATTCACAGCCAACCATGCGCATGCTCCTGTGGGGAGAGGACCTCCCCATGCCCAGGCCTCCTGGAACTGCAGGGCTTAGAGTTCGGACGGTGGATAGAAAGGGAAGGCACAGGGCAGCAGTGATTAGATCTGGTGCCTGGCAGACCTGCTAGGAAGCAGCAAAGTTCAGTGGGAAAAGCTAGGCAGCTCTTGGTCTAGATTCCAGCTTGATTTCTCAGACTGTAAAAATTCTCTTATGCAACTGACTTAATGTCTATAAAGCTTTAGATTCCTCACCTATAAAATAGGGTTTCTGATACCCACATCTAAGGTTCAAGTGATAAGCACATAAAGCAAAGTGTGTAGTCTGCCCCAGGTGTATCAGTCCTCACAATAAGTTAGATCATCTTTCTTTCCCTCCCTGTGTTTATTTAATTGGCTCCATGATTTGTTTCCCATTGCTGCCGTAACAAGTTAGCATGAACTTAGAAGCTTAAAATAACACAAATTTATGATCTTGCAGTCTGGAAGTTAGAAGCCCCAAATCAGGATGCCAACAGGCTGGCGTTCCTTCTGGAAGCTCTAGAGGAGAGATTGTTTCCTTCTCTTTTCTACCTTCTAGAGGCTGCTTGCATTCCTTGGCTCATGGCCACTTCCTTTATCTTCAAAGTACATCACTTCATCCTCTGCTTCTGTGGTCACGTCTTCTTCTCTGACTCTGACCCTCCTGCTTTCCTCTTATAAGGACCCTTGTGATTACATTGGGCTCATTCAGATAATCCAGGATAATCTCCCATCCCAAGACCCTTAATCTAATAACATATGCAAAATTATCTTTTGCCAGGTAAGGTGACGTATTCACAGGTTCCAGTCATTAGAATGGGAGCATCTTTGGGGGTCATTACTGAGTCTATTACGAAGGAAGGTCCAGAAGATGCCTCCATAAAAGCATGTCCTAAAGCCATGGCTAAGAAGATGATGGTGGAACATGAAACATGTTTGCTACAATAATTTAAGCCACATCTAAGAGAGATGTGGAGCCACAGGGCACTGTAAGAGCTTCCTGCATCCTCATAGGGTGTCCTAAATTAGAACACACTCAGATCTTTTCCTTCAAGCACTAACCCATGAAAATCCCTCTGAAAACTCCACCGCCATTTGTTCTTCAGTCTCTGCCAAGCTCCTCCAGTGATGACAATCCCCAGGTTTCCTAAGTTCAGCTTTACCTGTAAGAAATTCTTTCTAGATATGGAAAAGATCTCTCTGAAACCTGCTTAGGCTCTTTCATTCTGTCCCTGGAGCCACAAAGAAGAAAAACCCAGCCCCTTTGCCTTCAGAGATCTTTTCCTTTTGCAGACAGTGAGTGATTGTGAATGCCTCTTCCTGTTTACACTCTGGTAAGAGTTTACATCTCCATAATAAACATTCTAATTTTCTTAACTATTTCTTGTGTAAAACAGTTTGGAATTCCCCTTTCATCCTGGTTACTCTCCTCTGATGCATTCTATTTTTTAATGACTTATTGAAAAATTAAAAAAAATCAGACTGTAAAAATAATTTACATTCCCTTTTGAAATTTGAAACAACAAAGAAGAAAATCAGTTACCCATAAATCCATCACCAGTGAGAACCACTGAGTGTGTATTTTTTCCAGTCCTGGGATAGACCTGGATTATAATCTAACTGCTCTCACAGAGGCATTGTGTGACTGTGGCTCTCTCCTCCCACCCCCACTTTTTTCATCTCCAAGATAAGATGCTAGCTTTGAATTCTTTTTTCCCTCTATATATCTGTGAAAGTCATTTGTTTCAAATATTCACACTGGATTCTGGCTAGAATAGAAGAGCCTCGCTTATTATTAACTTTTTGAAAAGAATATTACTTCTGAAGGCCCAACTTATAAGAAAATGTATGATTTGTCCGTGGAGATGTCAGCCTGAATTCTGCTGAGTCATCTTATTACATTTCCACAGTCCTGGGTCTCAGTGTTACCCCATTGAGTGGATCTCACTCCAGTCCTTAGCACTGGGGTCTCCAACAGCCTTGGAATTTGTTTTCTGCCTTGTATCCATTTCCTCACAATTGCATCTCCCCAGAGCAGCTCCATGTTTATTAGACAGTCATGAGGAAATGGAGGCCTTCTCTGAGGAACAGAGAAGTAGGGGTTCAAATCTGGAACTCTGAGTGGCATGCGATGCCAATCTTTTCTTGGTAGTAAACAGCCTGTTTGTGAGAAATCAGACTTTACAAAGTCCTTTAATATACATCTCACTTGAACCTCACAACAACCCATTAGGTTATATCTTTATATAACCTTTTTTATAGAAAGAAAAGAAAGAAAGAAACCTAAACTTTCAGAGAGATTCAGAGAAGTGAATTTAAACTTTTTCAACCTCAATGCATAGTAAGATATGCATTTAACTACAATCCAGTCCAAATATATGCATGGAACGATAGACAGACAGACAAACTAGATACAGACACATAAACAGATAGAGAAATAGCCAGATACATATATAGGCAAAATGAGAAACAGAAGTTTTACCAAACATATTTACAGCTAGCTAGCTATGTGACAGATAAACTAAACAAAAGTTGCCCAAAACAACATTCCTTCCAAATGTGGGTGTTTAAATCTGATATTTTCTATTTTATAATATTCTGTTTTGTTGTTTTGAAACGCCAGTTGTACTCAGCTGATTTCATGAACCTCCAGCAGGTCATGACCATAGTGTGAAAACACTGGTGTTGAAACCCTAACCAAGAGTGCACAGCCCAGTGTACAGCAGAATGAGCCTCCTGTCACCAGCCCAGAGCTCTCAGACAGAATTGAGTTCCTGTACAGTAGGACTTTCCACTCATGTCTGTGGTCTAGGAGGAGATTGGGTTGGGCAAACACCAGGCACGATGGAGCAACCATTAACCCTGGAGTTGTGAAGACAGGTGAGGTGTCTGGGAAAAAGCAGGGAGGTGTCTGGGAAAAAGCAGGGAGGCTGGAATGCCACAGAAGTGGATTCTAACCCTCAGAGGCTGGCTTCACTGTTCAGGTCATCACTTCCTGCTCAGTCTCAGTCCCTAATAAATGAAATGTCTGCTCAGCAGCAATGTTGGAAGAATTAAATAAATTGAGTGGCTTATATGAAGCTTATGACCAGTGCTGTGAGCTCAACTGATCCTAGCCTCCTTTTTCTAAGGACATTCCATATATAGCATATTGCTGTAGTGGGGTGCTCTGAGGCAGGGCCCCAATATTTCTGAAATTCGGGGATCTGAAACATGGAAGCATATATTTCTTTTGGGTGGAGAGTGTTTGTTCCAGGTGAAGTCACACTGGAGATCCAGTTAAACATGCATTGCATAAGGTCAATATCTACCAAAGTTGTGTATGGGGGAAGACATGTAACCTTGGGAAAAATCCAGAATCTATGAAATTATTCGAGTGCTTAATGTTCCCACTAGGATGTTTAACATCTACTGAGTGAAGTGAAAGTCTGCCTTCCTAGGTCTCTAAGGACCACGTGGGGTCTGGCTGAGGCTTGGCATCAGGGCATAGCTGGCTCTTCACAGGGAGATGACCACAGCTGCCCAGGCCATGGTAGGCTGAGAATGAAGGAGGAGGAGCATAGGGACCTTTGTGAGGGCAGGAGGTTTCCGGGTAGAAAGAACAGTGCTAAGTCACTATTGAGGTTGAGGTGCTTCCTCTTTGGGTTGTAAATTCATTCTGCCCTTCCCACTCCCTCAGTGGGATCTGCAACCACAGCAGACCCATGAGGGAAGGAGCAGAGCCCAGTCTGTGCATGTGTGCATGTGTGTGAACATTGAAGTGAGTGGGAGATGGCCATGGTAGTACAGAGAAGTCACAAGAGAATCAGGGAAGAAGGATGGAGAAGGTCAAGCCTCTCCATCCTCGAGGTCAAGGTATGAGAGAGGCAAACAACCAGAGTGTCTGAGAAGGCAGAAGGATGGGTTTCAGTGAATCCTGTGGCATGAAGATTTAGGTTATTAACACGGGGATATGACGGAAGATGGCGCAAGGACAGCTCGGGAGTGAGTTTATGACTCCATGCTTCTGAGACCTGAGCATCCTGCTATGTTCCAGGCACAATGTCAACCCTCTCAGTCATTCATTTATGCCCTAGAATGAGCCTGTAGGCATGGTACTATTGTTATGCCTATTTTACAGTAAACAGAGACACAGAGAGATGAAGAAAATGGACCAAGTTAATAAGTGAAAAAAGGCAGAAATGAACCCAGTTGGGTTGGCTCTGCAGCTTGTCGTTGTAACTGCGATGCCCTGGTGCCTGTCTGTGCTCCGTGTTTCTACCCCACTGCAACTCAATGGGCAAACTGCAGAGACTCCAGTGGCTGTTAAAGTGCAGATACTCCTTTTAAAACTAACCACTTCCCTTTTGCTTTTGACTGAAACTCATTGCAGGACCACAAGCTGAGAGAGGGCAGCAATGGAAACCCAGCCAAACTATTAATGGAAGGCTGGGTCCCATTCTTTATTATCCTTCTGTGGTCTCGTCACCAGCAGGGTGAGCCAAAGCCGAGGGCAAGAACACGCTGGGTGACCTTCCACACCCCAAATGCAAGATCAAGTGCTGTGGAGAAGGAGGTAAGCTGTGGCTCTTCATTAAAGCAAATATCATTAGACATATGTTCAAGATAACAGAGTGTTTTGACCCCAGCAAGCATTTGAACTGCAGTGAAAATTCATTTTCCTTCTCTGAGGGTACAGGAAGCAGAGAATTTTTCCAGGACTAAAGCCACCATTATGAATACGTATTCCTCAATAATGAAACCTGTATTAATAATTGAATTAGTAATTCAACAAATATTTTGGCAGGCCTACTATGTTTTGGGTAGTGTGTGTGTGTGTGTGTGTGTGTGCGCATGCACACCTGCACAGGACATCTTTATAATTTGCTTCTCATCATGTTTTTTCTAGTAACTGCCCAGCTTGACTGTCCATATCTTTACTGTTATTTTAAAATCCACTTTAGTGGTAGAATGTTACTCTGTCCCCTGGCTGTTTTATTGGTCTCGTGTTGGTCATCCAACCCCAAATAAGCCAATCTAAGGCTTATCTAGGAAATTTTGAGACAGAAACTGGGAAATGGGGTACAGTTTTGTTGAGAAAGTCTGGAAGAGAGAAGGGATATGTGAAGACTTTGGCTGAAGTGTTGGCTACCACATTTCTTATCAAGTAGATATGAAAAACAAAAGGAGAGAGGGGAGGGGGCATGAAAGGATGGTGGGAGGGAAGGAGAGAGAGAGAGAGGGAGAGGAAATAAGGGACATGGACAAAAGCTGAGAGGGCCTGAAAGCACCTGACATGAGGATCTTTTTTCTATCCATTCGTGAAGACTACCAGTGTTCCTTTCTTAAGCTCCCTGTGACGTCTCATTATCTTCAGGATAAACTTCCCTTTTTGCTTCATTTATCTAAGTGGAGTTATCAATGCTGCTTCATTGACCTGACCACCAAAGTTGTACCCTAACAAGTCCTCATTAATCCCCACCCATATGCCACTGGCATGCTGGGCACTGAGAATGCCCAGAACTCAGATCCTGCTCCCAAAGCTTCCTAGTCTAGAGAAGGTGATGCTGTTCAGGGATATTAGTTAGCATATGGGGAAAGGATACTCTACTGGAAGACCTCTAGGAAGAGAAGAGTGAATCTTGAGCTGGGCCAGAGTCTGGAGGCCCCTCCCAGACCTCATGCTTCCACTGCGTCTTAGAGGATGTGTCCACTGTCAGCTCAAAGAATCTGTGCAGACCCAGAGGTGCGAAATAGGAAGGCATGAGTCAGTGAGCATGGCTTGGTTTGGCTGTATGGGGGAATTGATGGATTAAGAACGGGTTAGGGCAGGAAGAGAGGCTGGAAGGGAAGTTAGGGGCAGAGTAGGAAGGACCTTCTAGGCCAGTTTAAAGAGTGTGGGCTGGACCTTGGTAAAGCTTGTTAAGCAGGCCCTCCTGTAGAAGTTGCCAGTGATGGTCGCGTTCCATAGCAGACATTCCTGGAGAAAAGGGAAGTTCACTGTAGAACAGTATAGATATTTTCTATTGCCCTAGCTGGAATGAATATTTGATTTGTAGGTTTTCTAAAAGATTCATCTTGAAAAACTTATATAAATATCCTCTTCCTTCTTCTGCATTTGATAAACCAAAAATCTTCAAATTGAAGGATTCTTTATATTTTTTCAAACAGGTATAAACAGGAGAAAAAGCACTGGGTATAACAACCCACAAAAGGTGATGTAAGAATAAATAAGAAGTGAATAGTAATAGTAGCAGCAACAACCGTGGCTGAGTGTTGAGTGTCCGCCATGAGCCAGGGACAGCGCCAAGGGCTGTGTTCAAGAGAAAGGCACAGTAACAAAACCAACTGATGGGGACTGCGAGGGGAGGGGTGGAGAGAGGCTGCCCGGATGCACATCCTGGCTCTGCCCCTTGCTGACAATGTGGGCTTGCATATGTCACATTAGATGGGGGTGTCTATAATAATTTCCTCATAGGGCTGTCAGGAGGATTCAGTGCAATAATTCAAGTTCAGTGCCGGGGACACTGTTAGTGCTCAGGAAGTGTAAATTATTTGTTCCTTAAAATTAAGAAAAAGAGAAATGATTGATAGATAGATAGATAGGACAGAGATAGCTAGAGAGAGAGAGATAAACATTGATATATTTAAAAATACATCTCTCCATCATATTCCAATGCAACTGCAATTCTACACATTTCTTTCATTGCAAAATTCAGTGTGTTTATATGACATGAAATATCAGTTGTAGACCACCTGAGGGGGAAACCAAGAAGGAGAAAAGCTGACAGTGACTCTTCTTGACTGATATTAAGTCTAAAAATGCTGTGATTTATTGACTATTCTTAGTGAGTACAGATGGCTTTGATAAAATGACTTGTATTTTAGTTTATTACTTCAATGAATATATATTGGATAACATTTGGAAAAATAAAATGAATTTTAAAATGTACTTCTCATGTTAATATTTTAGGTATTTTTCTTCTCATTTCTTTTCATACAGTCATTTTACAAAGGATTGTGAATGCACACACACACACACAATTTTGTACCTTTCAATTCCATTTCATTGTTTGATATTCATTTAAAAACTTTGTATACTTTTGTAATAATATGTCAGATATCTGCATATTATGATTTTATATGGATGATACATGATTTACCTACTCTTTGCATTGGATATTTCTGTTGTTTCCAAATGGTAATGATTTTGAATAGACACATGTTCATACCATTAAGAATAACAGGAGATTGTGGTTAACCTACCCCAGTACATTTACAAACACTCAAACCCAGTCCTGGTATCACCAACATCAAAATTGTATTATATGAAGACAATTTTAGGGACAGCTGCAAACACCATAGCAATCCTTGTTTTTGTCCTCCTGAAGGAAGAGAGTACCTAGGCTCTAAGCCACACATATATAGGTTCAGAATCTGCTACTTTCTAGCTGTAGCCTTGGGCTGCTGCTTGACCTCTCTAAGCATTTCCTTTCTCAGCCATAAAACTATAAAATGTGAGTAATATTGCAACCCTCTCCAGGTGATTGTAAAGATTAAATCACATTCCTTTGATCCCTATGCATTCCAAATCCCACCTACATGATATTCATAGTGCTAATCAGGTGTGAGAGCTGAGTCCAAATCTGATTTCTTTCTGCAGACAGAAAACCTTACGCAGGCAGGAGTGATGTCTCCTTTGTACCTTTTGAACTTAGAACGATGACTGTCGTGTAACAGCCACTTGGTGAGCAGTTATTAAACAAATGACTGAGTATCCCCTCAATATGAAAACTTGAAAAAATTTAGTAATCGTTTGATCGTCTCAGGGAATGACACGGTCTTCATTTTCTATGTCCAACACTACAGTTATGCAGGCGACTGAACTTCTATTGCAGAATATTTTCCACTGGAATGTAATTGTATTTATGGAAATTATAATGTATGTTCAGCAAAACAAACCTCGATTCCATTGTCCTACGTGGAATAAGTCTAGAGAACAATAGACTTTCTTAGTGGAATGCACCCTCCCATACATTGCTACAAAATCACAAAGAAAAGGAAAAAAGGGAAAGTGATTTTCCCAACAAAGCGTCTCTACATGTGGGTGGTCAATGATGTTTACCTAAAATGGATTTGTGGCTGAAGAGAAAATTCTGATTTCCCGAAAGGTGAATCTCACTGATGTTGATTACAGAAATAAGTTGTACTGCTTGATGTAAAGGGAGGAAAAAGTAACTTTTTAATTTATCTCTGCCCTATCCAAACAAGGGCCAGGAAAGATTACATGTTTTCCTGTGATTCAGTTCTACAGAGGCAAGAGACTCTATCAATATTGAAGTTGTAAATACCGGAACATTAGATTTGCTTTCTGCCCATGAAAAGCAGATTTTGTTGCTTTTCTCTTCTCTCTGCTGACAACATGCATAAACAGTGGCCCAAAATGTGATTATTCCCTGTGGATGCCCAGGTCCTTCCTGTTGCCTCCCCTCCGCAGTTTGGGGGAAGGGTTGTCAACCCCCGTGAGATGCCGCAACCCGGAAGCAGGTCCTTGTTAATATTTTCCTCATGAAACTTTGAGCATTTAGGCAAAACCAACACAATCGCTTTTTCCCTCCAGATAAATAATTAGATCTCTGAGGCTGCTTATTATCAGAAGCCCCTTATATAAGGAGCAGAGTGATGGTTCTTTCATCATGTCATGTGAGTGGCTGTGACACACACTGGGCACATGTGTGTCCTGACCTGGGCTCCAACAGCATCTGTGGCAGGTAACCCTAGGGTTCCAGAAATAGACTCTGCAGACAGGCAGAATAGGGTGTGGGAAGCATCTTCGTCTCTGCGGAGCCATAGTCTCCTGGTCTGCTAACATCCACCATATGACCCTCTTCGCTGTCTTTTTGTGGGGCCTCAGTGCCATCAGGCTGGGCTGTGAGGACCCTTTTTCTAATCACACAACTCTATACTCACTATTTTCAAACCAAATAATTGGCAAACGTGATTGGTAAAGGCTGAGACCACAGAGCACTCTCTTGAAGTGTAAGTTCACCTTCTCATAAGGAATTTAGTAATTCACAAGCAAAGGGAAGTCAGTAGACAATGGAGAAGCAACTATCAGCCTGTTTCCATGCATTTTTTTCTTTTTACTTTTCAGTCAAAGGGCTTTGTATTATGTGCTAGTATCATTCATACTTAAGCTTCATCATGGCTCAAAACTTTCATCTCTTTTACCTGTTAAAAGGAAACAGTATCCTTTGTAATTTAAGTGATGTAATTTATGTGGAATTGCTGAGCAATGTTGGGGGAATAGTGGGTGCTTAAGAAATAGCAAGGAAAGTTGAATCTGAACATTTATTAATCTAAATGTCCCTTCAGATTACAAGGTTCTGGAGGGCAGAGACATTTCTGGACATGATTTATCAGGAAAGGAAGATGATAGAGTTCTTTCATCACAGCTGTGTTCTAATGAGATTCTGGGTACTTTCTACACATTAACTTAGTTCACCCTCTGAACCACTCAGCAAGGGAGGTTTTCATACCCCCAATTAAGGAGAAAACAAAATCAGAAAAGTTTCAAACTTGACCAAAGCCATGGAGCTAAGGAAGGGGATATAGCTGGGCTTAGAATTCAAGTGTGTCTGTCTTCAAAGCCTGTGTCTTCCCCCAATAGGTTAATAAAGCAAACATAAGGTGGGACTCTTAGCTCAAAGTTGGGACCCAGTGGTAAAAAGACTAACGAATGAGTCATACCTCCAGGTTGGATCCTAGCTCCACCATTTACTCTCTCTGTGACTCAGTTCCTATCTATAAAATTGGGATGACATCACCATTACGCTGCATTGCCTGTCATGCGTCAGGCGCTGTTCTAAGTGCTTACGTGTTCTGACTCATTTACTCCTCACCAAAACTCTAGGAAGTACATAGTGTGATTATTCCCATTTTACACATAAGGAAGCTGAGTCACAATCGACATTAAAAGTAAGTGTCCTACAGGTAAAAAATAGAATGTGTCTGAGCTTGGTTTGAAATCCCCGTAATAGGTCTTGTAGTCTACATTCAACTGCACCATTGTTTTTAGTAGCTGCCCCCACAGGACTGGCGTCTGGCTAAAATAATATGATGCTTAAAACTTCTTAGAACAATATATTGCCCATAGAGTCATTTGATTAACATAAACAATTATTTAGTATTGTTGCTACTATCATGATTGCTATGTCTGGAATATCCAATCCCTATAAAGCTCAAAGTAACTTCAGCAATGCAAGTTCAAGATAGATGGGCCAGGAGGTGCTGACTCTGAGTAAGTGAAGAAAAAGCATGATCCACAATGCTGCCAGAATGCTTCTAGGGATCAGCGTAAAATTTTTCTGCATTTTAAAATACATTTTTGAAATTTAACGATTTCAAACAATTCCATAAAAAGAATGTGTATAATTTCATTTTCAACTCCTAGGCAGAAAAGAATAAGCGTAAAGCTGTGGTCTAAAAAAATAGAAATCTGGCTACTCAATTACAGATAATTGCAACAAAAAATAAAGTTGATCAGTGTTTAAAGAAACAAGAAATGGCTGGGCATGTTGGCTCAAGCCTGTAATCCCAGCACTTTTGGGGGCTGAAGTGGGTGAATCGCTTGAGCCCAGGAGTTTGAGAACAGCCTGGGCAATACGATTAAACCCCGTCTTTACAAAAACAAAATACAAAAATTAGCCAGGCATGGTGCTGCACACCTGTAGTCTCAACTACTCAGGAGGCTGAGGTGGGAGGATCACCTGAGCCCAGGAGGTCAAGGCTGCAGTGAGCCATGATCATGCCACTGCACTTTAGGCTAGGTGACAGAGTGAGGTCCTATCAGAAAGAAGAAAGAGGGAGAAAGAGAGAGCAAGGGAGAGAGAGACAGAGAGAGAGAGGGAGAGAGAGAGAGAGAGAGAAACAAGAAAGCTGCATAAGTAGCTCTCTAATAGGCTCAGATATTTATAATAGCTTTTTCCCTTAAAATGTGTCAAGTAAAACTATTCCTTACATGTGCTTAAAAAGTCAAAGAATATAAGAATTTATGATACAAATCATCAGTCTCCAGGCTCTACTCATACCCTAATCCTCTAAATAAATCACTTTTACTGCTTTTTATTGTTGAATTGTTAAAGTAATGGGATTATTATACTCTTATTTCTCACTTTACCAATATCAGATATTTATTGATTTCATACCACGATAAAACACAATTTAGGTCACTTACATTAGTTCCAATGTACTTACATTACATTACATATTACATTACATTGTTTTAAAACTCAATGATTTTAACTCAGTTAATTTTATTGGTTAATTTTATTTTACTATTTTAGCTTATCTATTGTTTCCCATTGTAATTTTTTAAAGTGGACTCTGTTTTTTTTTTAGAGAAGTTTTAGGTTCACAACAAATATGTGCAAAAAATACAGGGCGCTCCTTCATAGCCCCTGTCCCAACACATGCACTGTCTGCCCCACTATCAACATCCCCACAGAATGGTACATCCATTAACAACCAATGAACCTGAATGACATATCATTATCACCCAAAGTTCATAGGAGTGAACATTAGGGTTCCTTCTTTGTGTTGTAAATTCAATGAATTTTGACAAATGTATAAAGAATGACATTGACCCACCATTACAGTGTTATACATAATAGTTTCACTGTCCTAAAAATCCTCTGCTTGGCCGGGTGTGGTTGCTCACCACCTGTAATCACAGCACTTTGGGAGACTGAGGTGGGTGGATCACAAGGTCAGGTGTTCGAGACCAGCCTGGCCAACATGGTGAAACCCGGTCTCTATTAAAAATACAAAAATTAGCCGGGCATGGTGGCACATGCCTGTAATCTCAACTACTCAGGAGGCTGAGGCAGGAGAATCGCTTGAACCAGGGAGGCGGAAGTTGCAGTGAGCTGGGATCACACCACTGCACTCCAGCATGGGCAACAGACCAAGACTCCGTCTAAAAAAAAAAAAAAAAAAAGAAAAAATCCTTGACTCTGCCTAGTCATCCTTCTCTTTCTCTAACTCCTGATGGCAACCAATCTTTTTATTATTTATGTAGTTTTGCCTTTTCCAGAATGTCATATAGTTAGAATTATACAGTACATATTGTCTCAAATTGGCTTTTTAAGTAAAATGCACTTAAATCCTTAATGTCTTTGCAAAGTTTCATCTCTCATTTCTTTTCAGTACTGAGTCATATTCCATTGCCTGGATATACTACAATTTAGTTACTTGTTTGCCTTTTTCTATTGAAAGACATCTGGGTTGTTTCCAACTTATAAATAAAGCTACTAAAAATATTCATGTGTACATTTTTGTGTGGCTTTTAGTTTTCAACTCATTTGGGTAAATATCTAAGAATACAACTGTTGGATATTATTAATATGTTAGGAGTATGTTTTGTTTTGTCAGAAACTGCCAAACTGTCTTCCAAAGTGGTTGCACTTCTTTGCAATTCTATCAGCAATGAATGAGAGTTCCTGTTGCTTCACATCCTCACCAGCATTCAGTGTTGTTAGTGTGTTATGGATTTTGGCCATTTTAATAGGTGTGCTATGGTATCTCCTTGTTGTTTTAATATGCGTTTTCCCGATGACATAACATGCGAAAAATCTTTTCATATGCTTATTTGCTATTTGAATTTTTTTTGGATAAAGTACCTCTTTAGGTCTTTTGCCTGTCTTCTAATGTGGTTGTTCATTTTCTGATTGTTGACTTTTAAGAGCTCTTTGGATATTTTGGACAATATATTTTATCAGATAAGTATTTTCTAAATATTTTCTTCTAATCTATGGCTTGTCTTCTCATTATGTTGATAATATCTTTTGCAGATAACAAGTTTTTAATGTAATAAAGATCAACGTATCAGTTATTCTTTTTATGGATTATGCCTTTGATGTTGTATCTGTAGAGTCATCTTCAAACTGGAGGTAATCCACATTTTCTCCTATGTTTTCCTCTAGTAGTTCCACAATTTCATGTTTTATATTTAGATAAATATTTTAGGTGCATTTTGAGTTGATTTTTGTGAAGAGTGCAAGAACTATGTCTCATATATATGTACATATTTTTGGCAAATAGATGTTCAGTTTTTCCAGGACCATGTGTTGAAAAACTATCTCCTCTCCATTGCATTTCCTTTGCTTCGCTGTTATAGATCAGTTGACTATAATTGTACAGGTCTAGTTTTGGGCTTTCTATTCTGTTTCATCAATCTATTTGTCTATTCTTCCACTAATACCACACTGGTTTGATTACTGTATCATTACAGCCTGTCTTGAAGTTAGGTAATGTCAGTCTTGCAAATTTATTTTTCTTCAATACTGTGTTTACTCTACTGTGTCTTTTGCCTCACTATATACACTTCAGAATCAGTTTGTCAACATTCACAAAATAACTTGCTGTTTTTTTTTGAGGTGGAGTTTTGCTCTTGTTGCCAGCGCTAGAGTGCAATGGCGCGATCTTGGCTCACTGCAACATCTGCCTCCCGGGTTCAAGTGATTCTCCTGCCTCAGCCTCCTGACTAGCTGGGATTACAGGCACACACCACCATGCCCAGCTAATTTTTTGTATTTTTCGTAGAAACGGGGTTTCACCATATTGGTCAGGCTCGTCTTGAAATCTGGTCAGGCAGACCTCAGGTGATCTGCCCACCTCGGCCTCCCAAAGTGCTGGGATTACAGGCGTGAGCCACTGTCCCCAACCAACTTGCTGAGATTTTTATAGATATTTTTTAAAAGTATAGATCAAGTTGTGAAAAATTGACATCTTGACAATATTGAGTCTTCTTACCTACGAACATGAACTCTCTCTCCATTTATTCAGTTATTTGATTTCTTTCATTAGATTTTATATATTTTTCTCATAGATCTTGTACATATTTTGTTAGCTATCTAAGTATTTCATTTGGGAAGTGCTAATGTAAATGTTATTATGCTTTAAATTTCAAATTTCAACTGTTCATTGCTGGCATATAGGGAAGTAATTGATTTTTGTAAATTAACTTGATATCCTACAACTTTGCTGTAATTACTTATTAATTCTAGGAGTACCAGTGTCATTTTAATGAAATATTTATCATGTATTTCTATTTTATAAATTTAGCAGTGCTTTCCTGTCATCTTCCCCCATCTACCCCTACTCTTGCCTCCACTTTTCTGTTGTTTGTAATATCCCTATAATTTTATCAGGTGGATCCCACTGGCTTTCTGTTCTTCCACCTCACATATCTCTTTCTTGCTTTTTTTTTTTTTTGGTTGACTTTACAAGTTAAAACCAATACATATACTTATATACTTACTTTGTTATAAAACATCTCCTTACATATATTCTTCAGGCTCTCTGATTTCCTCCTAGACTCAGTTGGACATGCTATAGAGTTACCATCTTGATTTGTATTTTTGTACAATGGTACCCTGGAGCGGATCCTTTTTCTCTTCTACATTTTCTCTTTTTTTTTTCTCCATGATTCACTTATTTGGTTACAGTGTGTTTTCCAGAAACTTTCTGAGATGGGGGATTTGGGAGGTAAAATTTTGTGCCTTTGAAAGTAAAAAAAAAATAAATAAACCAAAGGTAAAAAAGCATTATTATATCTTCACACTTGAGTTATTTCTACAAAACACTTGGAAGACCTTGTTTCCCGGTTCTCTGTCATTTCTATTCATGGTTGTCAAATTTTATTTTTTGATAGGTAATACATTTCATATTTTCCTTTTGTAATAATTTGATTTTTCTCTTTATCATCGAAGTTGTGAAATATACAATAAAGATAAGTGGATTTCAGATGATTGAATTTTCCTATCCAAAAAATATTGGTTAAAGAAATAATACTAACGCAGGAAGACAACCATCTATTTTGTTCCATCCAACTGCATCCCCCTTGTTCCCTTGTTGGAGGACTTGATTAAAGACATATAAACATGAAAATCAAATTTTAGACATCAAAAAGGGACACTATGAATGATAACATCATGATATACAGTGTCTAGACAGATTTTAATACACTGAGTTATCTCTAATAAGTAGCAATGTGAACACAAACAGGTAGACCATCTGCGAGAGTTGCAAAATGATTGCATATATGCATTTCACATTTTCCCAAATCTTACACACTTTGTAATCTCTAGGGTCATGATCTCCAATTCAAAAGCCTATGAAAATATTCACATATGGCCAGGGAGTGCCCTTTCCCTCTCTGCTGATGGGCCCCTGAACTGCTTTCACACTTTCTCTTTTCTCTCGGATATTGCCTTTTTCTGTCTTTCACTATCAGTTGACTCCCATCCCACCCACCTGAGGAGAGGCCAGGAGATCTCACTTTTTCTCCTCTCCTTTCTTTCTTCTACAAATATATTTGAATGCTACACACTATAGATGCAGAGTAAGCACAAGCCATGTCTTCACAGAGGTTAGAGTTGAACTAGAAATAGAAGCATGAGACACAATGTTATTGGGAAGTACAGGACACTAAGGGGCAGAGAACAGGGTGGCTTAATGCATGCCTGGTGGGGTGGAGGCTAATCCAAGATTTCTCTGAGTCAATGATCTTGAATGGAGACAAGACAAACACATTGGGTTTACTTACCTCTTGGATAGTTTCTCTGCAGTTTTTCTTCCTGTTTAATCTTGGAACTTCAAAGCTAGCATTTTACTGTGACAAATCTGAATTCTTAGAAGAGACTTTGCTGAAACAAAGTATCAGAGACTGGATGGCTTATAAACAACAGACATTTATGTCTCACAATTTGGAAATTAGAAGTCTGAGGTCAGAGTGCCAGCAGGATTGGGTTCTGGTTGAGGGAGCTCCTCCAGGTTGCAGACAGCCAGCTTCTCACTGTATCTTCACATGGCAGAAGAGAGCTCTCTGCATTCTGTTTCATAAGGGCATTTATCCTACTCATTAGGGCTTCAACCTCAAGTCCTAATTCTCTACCAAAAGCCCCACCTTCTCATACTTCACAGTGGAGGTTGAGATTTCAATATACGGATTTTAGAGACATGAAAATATTCAGTCCATTGCATTCTGCCCCTGGGTCCCCCAACTTCATATTCCTCTCATAGGTAAAATACTTTTATTCCATCCTAATAGCCCTAAAATTCTTAATTCGTTCTCTTATCAACTCAAAGTCTGAAGTCCAGTCTCATCAAAATATTGTCTAAAAAAGATATGGGTGAGACTCCAGGTACAATTTATCCTGAGGTAAAATTTATCTCCATCTGTGAACCAGTGAAATTAAACAAGTTATGTGCTTGCAAAATACGATGGTAAACAGGTGTAGACAGACATTTTCATTCCAAAAGGGAAAAATAGAAAAAAAAAAAAAGTGGTGGGTTTCAAAGAAATCTAAAACCTAGTAAGTAAAGCTCCATGAAATCTTTTTTTAAAAACTTATTTTAAAATAAATTTTATTGTGTGTATTTAAGGTATACAACATGATGTTATAGAATACACATGGATAGTAAAAAGGTTACTATAGTGAAACAAGTTAATATATCCATCATCTCACCATTACCATTTTCTTTTGTTTTAGTGGCAAAAGCAGTTAAAATCTACTAATTTAGCATGAATTCGCAAAAAAGCACAATTTTATTACCTGTAGTCCTTATGTTGTACATTAGATATCTACATATGTTCATCTTACACATCTGCTACTTTGTATCTTCTGATCTACATCTCTCCATTTCCTCCCCATCATCCCCTCCCACCCCCACTCCTGGTAACCACTGTTTTGTTCTCCGTCTCTGTATCTTTGATTTTTTTTTTTTTAGATTTCACATATAAGTGAGATCATGCATTCTTCTTCTGTTTTTTTTTTTTTCCAATGTCTGTCTTATTTCATTTAGAATAATGTCCTCCAGGCTGATGTATGTTGGGGAAAATGGCAAGATCTCATTTCTGTTATTTATTTGTTTTTAAGGCTGAATAGTATTCCATTTTATATGTGCACACACACATATAAATGTGTGTGTATATATATAGTTTCTTTATCCATTCATCTGTTGACAAACACTTAGGTTGTTTCCATAGCTTGGCTATTGTTAATAAAGCTACAATAAACATGGGAGTGCAGGTCTCTTTACCTTTGGAAGGTGATCATTTTGTAACATTTTGCTTTATGCCTCGAAGAGTAGTAGCTGGATCATATGGCAGTTCGATTTTTAATTTCATTAGAAACCTCCATACTGTTTTCCATAATGGCTAAACTTATCTACACTTTCACCAACAGTCTACAAGAATTTGTTTCCTTTTCTCTTACACTTTTTCCAACATTTGTTATCTTTTGAAATCTTGATAACAGTCAATAATCCTAACGCACATGAAGTTGTATCTCATAGTGGCTTTTATTTACATTTCCCTGATGATTAATGATGTTTAGCACTTCTTAATTTATCTATTGTTCATTTTTATACCTTCTTTAGAGAAATGTCTATTTAGGTCTTTTGCCCATTTTTTTTTTAAAATTGGGTTATTTGGCTTTCTATTATTGAGTTGTATGATATTAACCTCTTATCAGATATATGGTTTGCAAATATTATTTTTTGACATGTAGTTTGCCATTTCATTTTTTTTTTCTGTGCAGAAGCTTTTAGTCTGTTATAGTCTCATTTATTTATTTTTGCTTTTACGGCCTGAGCTTTTGGTGTGATATCCAAAAAATCATTGCCAAGGCCAATGTCTAGGAGCTTTCCCTTTATGTTCTATTCTAGAAATTTTATAGTTTCTGATCTTACTTTTGGGCCTTTCATCCATGGTGTAAACTAAGGGTCTAATTTTATTCTTTTGAATATGAAAATACAGTTTTTCCCAGCACAATTTATTGAAGAGACTATTATTTTCTCATTATGTCCTCTTGGTGCCTTTGTCAAAAATTAGTTGACTATATATGTTCGGGTGTATTTCTGGGCTCTGTATTCTATTCCTTTGGTCTATGGGTTTGTTTCTATGCCAGTACCATACTTTTTTGTTTAGTATAGCTTTGTAATATAATTTTAAATCAACAAGTAAAATGTTTTCAACTTTTTTTTCCCTCAGAGCTGAAACCTAATATTTCTGGAGGCTGGAAGTCTGAGATCCACATGCTCCCAAAGGACCCACTTCCTAAAATCATTACTTTGGAGTCTAGGATCTCAACATATGAACTTTGGGGGATGGGGACAGAAACATTCGGTCCATTGCAGAGGAAGAGCCTGTGTTAATATGAAAGAGTCAGAAAAACTTCTTTGAAAAGCCAATCCTTTGCTTTCTGAGGGTGAGTGAAGATTAAGCAGAAGGAGCAGTTTAAGGCAGCAGGAAATGCTAGGGTGAAGACTCTTGAAGGAAAAAATGAAGGCCAGTCAGTGTGGCTGGAGTGAAAAAATCCAGGAAGATACTGCACAAGTTGACGCTAGTGAGGAGGCATGGCCATGGTGAGGGTTTTGGCCTTTATTGTAAGGATGAAGGGAAGACACTGAGAGGTTTAAGAAGGGGCAGAATGGAACAGACAACAGGACTGTCAGGGAACATCCATTTTAACAATATCACCTTGCTGCCATGTGGAGAATTGATTGAAAGAGGGCCACGGTGTGTGGGAGACTCACTGCGAGCACCTCACATTAATCCAGACATGATGGCAGCTTGAACTAGGATATTAGCTGAAGAAAGGGAGAAAAATAGATGACTTGAGTGATGTAGAGATATAAAGGCCATAGGAGCTGGTGATTGATTTCATATGAGCAGTGTGGCATCACAGGCATCTTCCAGGTTTATGGCTGGAGCTCTGGATGGACTGTGGTGCTGTTGAAGCCAGAACCAGACCACGTTTGTGGGAAAGACAATAAATCGAGCCAATTAGGATGGGGAGGGGTGTTCAATAGTGCAGAGACAAACCTTGATTGAGGAAAATATGAGAAGGCTACATTTAGGAGGCAGGATTTGAACCAGGCCTTCAATACATCCAGAAATCAGAGCCAGGCATAGTGGGGAAATTGCAGGGGAAGTGAGGTTCCCAACAGAGGGAGCACCCAGAGCCTTATGGGGGATCTTGGCATTTTTATTCCATTTTTGTTTTAAGTAAACTTTGCATTGAAGTTCAGCATACCTATAGAAAAGTGCACAATTTATAAAAATACAAATCTATAAAAATTTAAGAAAACATATCATCCAGTTTCTTTGGGAAGGGGTTCATTTTTTTCCCCTAATTTTCTATTTTAACTGCATCTAGTTTTCTGATTGAAAGTGACATTGAATTCCTGGAAGTAAGCTGGGAAGAAAAACTCATTCTATGAGTGAATACACTTGGCAAGAAGTAGTGGGGCTGTAATTGTGATAGTAACAGTGTTACTAGAAAACATCGGTGACTGCTATTGTTATGTGTTATGCTGACTATAATTTGTACTGCATTAGAGGAACGTAATCAGAGAAGACTTGGAGATATCAAGTCTTGGAGTATTACTGATAAATAAATAGAAGTAATTCTAGACTGTACAAGAAAGAGTTCAGTTTTAGAAATTTTAAGTTTCGAGTGTTTACTCAAAACTCATACAGAAGTGGAAATGTCTGGAAGAACAAAAGGACAGAAGAATGCATGGGTGAAAAATCAAAGGAGGGATCTTGGCTCCAGGAGACATGTGTGAGTTCTGCTGTGGGGCTACATTTAATCATGTCAGAGTTGAGGTTCTTGCTTTAGGAGCAGTTACTTAGAATGAGATGTCCGGGATTTGTCTTTTTCTTTTATTTTACCCAGAAAGAAATGGAAGTAACTAGAGTGTCTGTTATACTGTTGCAAATGCGGTTCTGGAGCAACAAAGATTGATCAAAGCTGGAAGCAGGGCTTTGGGTATTGTCTGTTTTCAGAGAGTAATTGAAGCCACAGGTCGGACAAAATGGTCTGGGGAATGGACAGGGAGCAAGGTGACCCCAGTGTGTTGGAGGGTGCCAGAGCTCAGGGCAGGAGTCCCAGCTGTGCATGGTGGTGGCAGCTGCCCCGCTTGCCAAGCCCAGGTGGATGAGGTGGGCAGTGGGTGGGGGGCACTCATGCACCATCCACAGAGAGGGTTAGAAGCTAGAGTACTTTGCAGATGTCAACAGTCGATTGCAGACAATTAGGAGGCTGCCTTTTTTCTCCTTCTCCCAGGACCCCTAAGACAAACTGTCTGAACCATAACAGTTGAGTCTGAGGATATCAAATAAGTAAGGCAAAGAGAGACCCCGTGGAATAATTGTGGTTAGTGGCTTGCGGGGCTGCGGATGGGCTGTGGGGGGCGGGTTGCTCAAGAGAAAGAAACTTGCTTTTAATCAATGTGCTAATCCAGGACATAAGGTCTCCTTTCTCTCCCTCCCTTGTTTCATTTCCCAGGGCTCAGTCCCCATTCCCACCCCCTGCTCCCTCCCCATACTGGTTGAATGGAAATTTGGTCCAGTTTTTTTTTTTTTTTAATATAGATACATTAAAAAACAGACACTGATCTTCAAAGAAGGCTGCAATTTCACTGGCGACGGAATGTTTATAGCCACAATTTGTTTGGTTCTGATAAAATGCACATGCCCCGTTATTCCATTTTATTTTGCATCCCAAGCCAGGCTTGCTTCTTACATTGGCCTGTGCCTCTCCTAGTCAGCAAGACAGAGGGAGACAGAGAGACGGAGAGAGACAGAGAGACCTTCCTCGAGCTGTGGCTACATCTGCCTGTGGGTGTCCTGGACTCCATGGGCCCAGAGGTCATTGAATGTGGCGGAAGGAGACACAGTCCAGGAGTGAGGATGACCAGCCAGAGGGAATTTCAGGCACTCCCAGAGATACGTTATGCCCCATCAAGAGAAACACCAGCCTTCCCAGGTCTCGCTGAAGCTAGAAAATAATGCCCCCAGTTCTTCTTGGGAGATGGTGCAAGGGAGGTGAAAGAGTCTTGAAACTAAAAAATGTGGACTTAAATCTTAGCTTAGTCACTTTCCTGCGGTATGATTTGAACACAATTTTCTCCGAATTGGCTTCCCCGTTTGAAAACCAACAGCGTCTGCCCTACAGAACTGGTGTGAGAGTAAACAGATTAGGACCAGGTCAGCAGGACGGAGCATGCCCAGAAGAGAGTAGAAAGTGCAGTTTTGCCAAGGAGAGGGAATTGAGAGGAGTATTCTAGCCGGGAGGGCGGTGGGCACCCCAGCACACAGGCATGAGGAAACAGCATTGCTTGGGGGAGAAGTCTGAAGTGACTGGGTGTTTAGTTCAGAGATAGAGCAACAGGAAATGAAGCTGGCAGAACAAGAGGTCAGGTTGTGAGCCACTCTGAGGAGTTTAAGTTTCCTTTTGCCGGCCGTGGGAGAGCTTTAGGATTCTAAGTAGAGAACGATGTATGTTTAGATTGTGCCCTGGAAAAAAAAATGACCATTTGCAGCAGGATGGATCCACTGCAATGGTGGGAAGAAGAAAAGAAGTTAGAAAGCATAAGGGCAGGTAATGCTTCTCAGTACTGTGCATGCATTACTGAATTCACTGCGGCAGCAAAGGACACTGCCTGCAATGGTCAAGAGTTAGGACTCTGGGTTCTGATCTCAGCTCTGTCATGGACCAACTGTGGAATCTGGAACAAGGCAGTTACACTCGCTGTGCCTCAGTGACCCTATTTATAAAATGTGGATGGCAATAATGTTTATTGCCAATATAGATACTGTGAGGATTACATGAACTATTATTTTTTTTTTTTGAGACGGAATCTTGCTCTGTTGTCCAGGCTGGAGTGCACTGGTGCGATCTTGACTCACTGCAACCCCGCCTCCTGGGTTCAAGCGATTCTCCTGCCTCAACCTCCTGAGTAGCTGGGATTACAGGCGCCCACCACGACGCCCAGCTAATTTTTGTATTTTTAGTAGAGACGAGGTTTCCCCATGTTGGCCAGGCTGGTCTTGAACCCCTGACCTGCCCACCTCGGCCTCCTGAAGTGCTGGGATTACAGGCGTAAGCCACTGCACCTGGCCGACATGAATTTTAAATACAAAAGAAAACCACTGCAAAACACTTAAAGAGTGTGCATGGCAAATACAATACATGCACTCAATAAATGCTGCATATTATTTCCAGCTAAAATGTCAGAGCACTATGTGCTCTAACTAAGCAGTTTATGTATGTCATTCCATTTAATCTTTACATTTTCCCTGGAAAACAATTGCTACTTCTATATCTTTTTCTTTGCCTGATGAAAATTAAAGTTCAGAGAAATTGAATTCTTGCCCAGCATGATTAGATGCTACCTGGAGGAGCTGGGAAATAAAGCCAGATTTCTTCCAAAACCCATGGGCTTCAACATTGCCCGTTGAAAGAGGAAGAACAGGAATGAAAATCTCCAGTTCTTCAATCTTGAGTTGCAGGCAGTATATAAAAAAGCCAGTGGAGATATTGCTGATGGAAAGGCTTAACTTTATGCTTTTGGTAAGTGTTCCCTCCAGCCCCACTGCTTTCCATCAGCGTGTGTGTGTGTGTATGCATGTGTGTGTGTGTGTTGTGTGTGTGTGTGTGTGTGTGTGATTGGTCAGGCTGACTCTAGCCAGTGCTAATAATTCTCTGAGGAACTCTAAATGACACATTGCTGTTGATCAGATCAATCAGTCAAAGGGCACATTCTACATTTTTACTTTCACTGAAGTTTTCCTTTTTTCTTTCTTCCTTCATCAATTGAAATCTGATGAAGACAAACTCTTCTTAAAATCTGATAGGCTTTATTTAAGAAGATTTGTATGATTTTATTTGAAAAGTTAATTTTTAACTATAATTCAAAATTTCTCTGTAGGTAAAACCCTGGCACAAATTTTCAGTTCCCAGTGACAGAAAACAAAAGAATAATGAAATGCTGGGGTTGGAAGAGCCTCCAGCCCAACTCCCCACCTGGCCTGCAACCCTGCCACATTCCCTGGGTCATCTCACTCTGTCTCCCAAGACACAGAAGCCTCTGCTCTTGGGAATTCCTTTCTCTTAGAACCTGACACACTCTGGCTGTTGGAAAATTGTCTCTCATAGATAAGTGTCTTTCTCTGGAACCCCTCTAGGCCCCTCTGAACCTAAGTGGTCTCAAAAGCCCTTCTCTGGTCTTCCCTTCCCAAAAGTGGCCTTCTGGAATCTGTGAGCATTACTGTGTGTCCCTGAAGTCTTTTCTTCCATGGGCAGACATTCTGAGTTTGTATAGTCAGTCATGGAAAGAACACGGCTTCTGTAGTCTTTGGGTAAAGTTGTGCCCTGGAGCTAAGTCAGGTCTACACAGATGGCACTTCTACTATGGAATCAGGGGCTGGATTTTGTTTTCAAATGGTTTTCAGTGTAGTTGACACTCTACCCTAAAATCCTTGCCAGGAAGTTGTAGGGGAGCTGCTGCATTCTTGACATAAAGGTGATTCTCCAATAGTTCCCCATTACATCTGAAATAAGATTTAAACTCCTCCTTCTTACCAGCAGAGCCGGATATGTTGCGGCCTGTGCACTTGGCCCCAGCTTATCTTACAGTTCTGTCCACTCACTCTCTCTTCCCCAGTCAAACTGGCATTTGCTTTACTCCGTGAACTTCTGCAAACTTGTCCTGACTTAGAGGCTTTGCAACTGCTGTTCCCTCTTCCTGGACTGCTCTTTTCCCAGATCTATGCAGGGCTAGCTCCTACCTGTTCTGTAGGTCTTTGTGTCAAATCAACCAGGATTTCTGGAGCTTTCTATCTAATATGTTTCTTTTCCCCTCAGCCACTGTCTGAGTCACTGTATCATTTCATAGCCCCTTTCAAGAAGAAAATTACCGTATTTACCCACTTGCTTACTTTTTTTTTTTTTTTTTTGACGGAGCCTCCCTCTGTTGCCAGGCTGGAGTGCAGTGGCGCGATGTCGGCCCACTGCAACCTCTGCCTCCTGGGTTCAAGCGATTCTCTTGGTCTCAGCCTCCTGAGTAGCTGGGACTACAGGCACATGCCACCACACCCAGCTAATTTTTGTATTTTTAGTAGAGACGAGGCTTCACCATGTTGGCCAGGATGGTCTCGATCTCTTGACCTCGTGATCCGCCCGTCTCAGCCTTCCAGAGTGCTGGGATTACAGGCGTGAGCTACCGTGCCCAGCCCCCTACTTGCTTACTCTTTAGTTTACTTTCCTTAAATAAGCTTCACTCTACACTAGTGGAAATGATGCACTTTTTTTTTGGTTTAAGTCTCTGTTCCTGTTAAAATGAAATTGCATCTGGAACGTGGTGTAGCCCACTGGGGCTATTTGCTGAATTAATGCCTTTGTGAATGATGGAATGGGCTGAGTATGGGGAGAGCTTAAAATAAGTATGTAGAGTCAAGGCATCTTAGAGGCTGTAAAATATTGGAGAGATTGATTCGAATTCACTATGCTTATTCCATAGACAGTGAATCTGTGTCCAACAAAGCCAAGTCATGCACCCAAGATCACACCCTGAGTACATGCAAGAACTGGTCCGGGAGTCCAGCTTCCTAACAGCAGTGGCCCTTTTTCTTCTTTTGACAATGAAAAGCAAATGCATCAGCATACACCAAAAGTGCTAAATCAGTTAGTTACTTTAGATCGAGGATTTTCCAAGCAGATTTTCTAAGATGATATTTTTGATGTAGAGAAGATCTGAATAGAAAGCAAGGAGGTTAAAATGTAGGTAGAATATCTGAGAAAAAAAATCCAGGAGCAGGAGTCAGCAGATGAGATGCAAGGAAAAGCACAGAATGAGGCCTGGCAGGAAGACCCCAAGGTAGGGGTGGGGAGCCTAGTGGTGGGCAGGCCTTGGACATCCAGAAAAGAGCTTTGGATTTTAGCTCCTGCACATTGGTGGTCTTTTGAGGAATTGGTGGGATTTGAGGAATGCAAGTAGCAATGGTGGATGGAGAAAATGGAAAGAGAAAAGAACCACATACAGGAAGGCCTATCCAGAGGTCACTGATGGGCAGAGGGTCGTCCAGGCAATGACCACACCAAGCAGCAGAGGAATGACTTAAGGAGCTTGTGCTGAGGGAGGAGGTAAGGAGCTTGTGTCCAGAAAAGCAGAAAGGAAGGTGTGCACATTTATGAGTTGCTCCCAGGACTTCCTGCAGGAAGAGTGCACAGGGCTCCAGCAGTCCCTGCTGCTTGTCAGCTGTGAGCTCTAACAATCTTCCCAAAAAGCTGCGAAGACCTGGGTGCCATCAGTGATTTCAGTTGCCCCCTCCACACAGCCTTGGAGGCACCTGGTAGCGTAACACAGGCAGAAGTTTTGGAGCCAGACAAGCTGGTTTTCTAGGAAACAGCAAGGTGATGTTGATTTTTTTGTTGTAATTCCCTTTTTGGAATCACAGTTTCTCATCTCTACAAAGAGATAAACAATGGCTACCATTTAGCATTATTATAAAGATTATGTGAGAATTTATGTGTTAAATGCATATAATCATTTATGGCAATACAAAGTGTTCATACATATTTATTCACCTATATTTTTCCTTTGTATGTAACCTGGACCTCTGGCTAAACCTCTTTGATTTGAGATTTTTTTTTTTTTTTTTTTTTTTTTTTTTTTTTTGAGACGGAGTCTCGCTCTGTCGCCCAGGCTGGAGTGCAGTGGCGGGATCTCGGCTCACTGCAAGCTCCGCCTCCCGGGTTCACGCCATTCTCCTGCCTCAGCCTCCCAAGTAGCTGGGACTACAGGCGCCCGCCACCACGCCCGGCTAATTTTTTTGTGTTTTTTAGTAGAGACGGGGTTTCACTGTGTTAGCCAGGATGGTCTCGATCTCCTGACCTCGTGATCTGCCCGCCTCGGCCTCCCAAAGTGCTGGGATTACAGGCGTGAGCCACCGCGCCCGGCCTGATTTGAGATTTTTTTAAAAAATTTTTATTTTTTATTATAAGTATAATCTTTAAGTTCTGTGGTATATGTGCACAATGTGCAGGTTTGTTACATAAGTAATACATATGCCATGTTGGTTTGCTGCACCCATCAACTCATCATTTACATTAGGTATTTATCCTAATGCTATCCCTCCCCCAGCCCTCCACCCCACGACAGGCCCTGGTATGTGACATTCCCCTCCCTGTATCCATGTGTTCTCATTATTCAACTCCCACTTATGAGTGAGAACATGCAGTGTTTGGTTTTCTCTTCTTGTATTACTTTGCTGAGAATGATGGCTTCCAGTTCCATCCATGTCCCTGAAAAGGACATGAACTCATCCTTTTTTATGGCTGCATAGTATTCCATGGTGTATATGTGCCACATTTTATTTATCCAGTCTATCGTTGATGGGCATTTGGGTTGGTTCCAAGGCTTTGCTATTGTGAACAGTGCTGCAATAAATATACGTGTGCATGTGTCTTTATAGTAGAATGATTTATAATCCTTTGCGTATATACCCAGTAATGGGATTGCTGGGTCAAATGGTATTTCTAGTTCTAGATCCTTGAGGAATTGCCACACTGTCGTCCATATGATTTGGGATTTATTGATTTAAGAATTTTCCCAGGTAAGAAGTTTGAAAGTCGCAGTTTCCTAGTATGTTATCAAGAAGAATTTAAGGTCATTTAGTCCATAAATTAAGTTTTTTTGTTTACATTTGTGTTGTGGAGGGTTGGTAGCATTGTTTCAAATTTTTGACTTACTTGCCCATTTTGAACTGGAATACTTCACATAGTGGGAAACTTTTAACATCTCTTGAAAAGTCTGAAAGTCCAACAGCCAGCTGTCCAGCAGTGACCATTAGCTGAAGCTGGGTGTCTCTTATCCCACCCTCTAGTTGGATTGGTCTGTTAGGGCTTTCATAACAGAGTACCACATACTGGTGGCTTAAACAGTAGAAATGTATTGTGTCACAGTTCAGAAGGCTAGAAGTCCAAGATGAAGGAGTCCGTAGGACTGGTTCCTTTGAGGGATTTGAGAGGATCTGTTCCATGCCTCTCTCCTGGCTTCTGGGGTTGCTGAAATCTCTAGCATTCCTTGGCTTGTAGAAGCATCACCCTGACCTCTGTCTTTCTACTCATGGGGTGTCCTCTGTGTGTGCTTGTCTCTGTGTTCAAATTCCCTTTTCATAAGGACACTAGTATTGAATTAGGGTCCACCCTAATAACCTCATCTTCACTAATTACATCTGCAGTGACCACATTTCCAAACAAGGTTACATTGTGAGGTACTCAGGATTAGGACTTCAACATATGAGTTTGCGAGGAACACAGTTTAACTCATAACACCAGCTTAATATCATCCCCTCCCCCAGGCTTCTGGCAGGCATCTGCAAAGTCCACCTGGCTACTGTCATTTTCAGCATGCAGTCCACAACTTTTGGTCAAAAACCTCCTTTCTATCACAGTGGACCTGAGGCCCACATTTCAGTAAAGCAAGAGGCAACTACAAGGTCTGCAGTGTTTGGTTGGGTTGAAGGCTCTGTCAAGTGACTCTCCCAAGGTAGCACAGCTAGAGGCAGCCGGCCCTTTATGGATTCTGGTCCATTCATCTGCGTGCCTCCGGTTCAGCCTGAGAGGAAGTAGTGAGAAACAATACTGTTTCAAGTGTAGTGCCTCTGAGATGGGCGAGGAGTTGAGAAGTCAAGAGGGAGGGTTTGTTTGGGGAGGGCAGGTGACATGCAGGTGGAGCAGTGATAGGTGAAGCCTGAGGTGACATCCTAGGGGAACTGTCCAGGAGGTAGGGGAATGTGAGATTGGTGTGCTCCTGTCTGCCCTCCAAACAGATCAAACCAGAACCTTCTCATATTTGGTGAGGACCTTATCAGGGTGATACTTTGTTAGGAATTCTTGTACTCTTGTCATTTTTCACCTAATGTAAATTGATAATTAGGAAGCATTACACATATTCACAGAGTAAAGGTCTTGAGATAAAGCACAATTTCTCAGTGTTTTTTTTTTTCAGATGAAAAACGTTTCTTTGTGGGTTACTCTTATGAAGAGGAAGTGTTTTTTCCCTACCAAAATGGCAGTTAAATTATATTTTGATAATATTCTCAATGTGTCAGCTGCCAACAGCACTTTAAATAATAAGAATTAGATTCTTCCTAAACAAGGCAGTAATTCTATTGAAAAATGCTGGAGGCCCCGTAGCTCAGGGTCTTAGAACTGAACCACAGGCTTGCTGCAAGGTTTACAAAATTCTCAAAACTTGGACACAAATGTGGCATCCTTCTTTAGAGATCTGCCTTACTCCATAATACTGATGAGGAATAGGTATGCAGTTCTCAGGAGATCATTAGGAACATTCATATGGCTCTTCTTATTTGGGTGTCCCTAAACTTCACACAATCAGGTAGGAATTACAGTTGATCCTTAAACAATGTGGAGGTTAGGGGCCCCAATTCGTTGTGTTGTCAAAATTCCACATACGACTTTTGACTCTCCAAAACCGAAAACACTAACAGGCTACTGCTAACCAGAAGCCTTACTGGTAACATAAACAGTTGATTAACACATAGATAGACTGATATTTAGGTATATTTTATGCATCCATGACATACCTGTTTCCTCCTTTTAAAAATATTTCTAGGCCATGTGTTTGTCTGAGGTTTTTCAAACTGTCTCAAATCTCTAAAGAAATGTTCCAATGTGTTTACTGAAAAAAAATTTGCGTATAAGTGCACCTGCACAGTTCAAACCCTTGTTGTTTAGTAGTTAACTGTACCGTCTTCCTTTTACAGTAGAGAAAGCTGAGACTTAGGAAGAAGACAAGACTCACTCAAGGCTGTACAAAAAGTGAGTGGCTGAGCTAGGAGTAGTCATGGCAACCACAATCTGGTGTGTGGTACTCCTGGGTGATACCTGGGGACCAGGGGCAGCCAGGGCAGCCATAGCCAAGTGCCTTGACTATATAATTCCAATATATTATACATTTTAGGGTGTTTAAAATGGCCACCAGAAGAAATGATTTGACATTGTACAGCATAGGCACTGTTGCTTAATGAAAGAAATAGATACAAGTAAAGTACAAGTATTCATAAATGATTACTGGGTACCACACCATACTCTCAGCTCTTGAGCTAAAGTCAGACATTAACATCATACAACTCTATCGTCATCGTTGTCATGATCAACATCATCCATTCATTTTAGAGTTGAGCAAACTGAAGCTCAAATTTTATATATATATGTATATATATGTATATATATATGTATATATATGTATATATATATGTATATATATGTATATATATGTATATATATATGTATATATATATGTCTATGTGTGTGTGTGTTTAATTAAACTTAATATATAGTGAGTTCTTTTTAACAGGTTCTGTGCTTATACACTCTCAATTCCTTTCTGCTACAACTCTGTGTTGCTATGTGTGTGCATGCCATTATGCTCCTATGGAGATGTTGAATTCCCCCTCTTTTTTCACTACACATCTAGTTAAACAAAAAGTTTGCAAAGCAAGGAACCCAAGTTACCAGGAATGAAAAATGTGTGCTAAAATTTTGGGAAACTTTTGGGAAGTTTTTTTCTGATTCACTTAAAAATAATTTTAATAAATTGTAAGTCAAACTAACAGACACAAAAATGTTATGACAAAACATAATTACCATATTTACCCAATAGCTAGAATTCACAAATGTAAACCTTTTGCTACTTTTCACTTTGATTTTTTAAATTAATCACTCTGGAGGGAGTCAAAATCCCTTATATTCTTTTGTGACCCTGTTTCTCTTTTTCCATCTCCAGAAATCTCCAGGATTTTATAATTGATCTGCACCCTTCTCTTTTATATTTTATACTTTTGTTATGCAGGCATTTGTCTACAACACTTTGTAGCCTAGCTGTAGAATTAACTGGCATGATACTAATTTCCAAAAAAACTTTTAAAGTATCTATATTTAAAAATTTGTCAGATATAAAAATGTACATATAGTATAATAGACACACATATTTAAGTAACACAAAGTTGACATGTGCAAATACTCTTTTACTTTCTTCAGATATTTTTTCTTAAAAAAAAACCACTAATCCCAACACTTTGGGAGGCCAAGGTGGGCAGATCACCTGAGGTCAGGAGTTCGAGACAAGCCTGGCCAACATGGTGAAACCCCATCTCTACTAAAAACAAAAAAAATTAGCCAGGAGTGGTAGTGGGTGCCTGTAATCCCAGCTACTTGGGAGGCTGAGGCAGGAGAATCACTTGAACCTGGGAGGTGGAGGATGAAGTGAGCCGAGATTGTGCCACTGCACTCCAGCCTGGGCAACAGAACAAGACTCCATTTCAAAACAGAAACAAAAACACAAACAAACATTACAGATTTGGCTAATGGACCATCACCTAGCATACCACCTCCTACTCCCCATACAATTTTATTCCTTTTTCCTTTTTCTAAGAGAATCTTTTCTAAGATTAACACAAGAATAACTGATTCTTTTCTGTTTTATACTTGTACCATATTAAAGTAGCCTTAAGTTATACAGAATAGTGTGTGATGTGTTCTTTAAGATTTATATACCTGGTATTCTTACCTCTAGCTCTGTATCAATCTATTCCTTAGTTGCCTTTTTGTTTAAATTAACTTTTAGAATCGTCCATGTTGATAGATGACACTTTATTCATCTTAACTTTGATTTAACATATCATTTATTTGTTCATTCTTATTGTGACGGACACGTACATAGTTGTCTTATTTTATTTTTCCTATTACAAACAACACTATAACAAACATCCTTATACATGTCTTCTTGCATATTTCTGTCAGTATTTAATTCGGGTGTGAATACATCCAAAGGGGAATGGTAGGTCACTGAGTAAACACATCTCAAAGTTACCAGATTTTGCAAAATTGTTCTTCAAAGTGGTCATAACAGCTTACATATCTATTAGTGTATAGGAGATTTCTCTTTTCTTTATTTTCTCACTAACACTTGATATTATTAGATTTTTTTTAAATTAAAGCTTCTTAATGTTGTAGCAACACATTCTTTAAAGGTATTACATTGTTTTAATTTGCATTTCCCTGATGACTAGTTAGTGGAAATATCTTTCCCATACTTATTAGCCTTTGAGTTTTCTTCTTTATGAATTGTCTTTTAAATTAATTGCCAATTTTGTATTATGTATTTCTACTTCTATATTCTTGATGAAATTATATATTTTATCTAATCGCTAAGATCTATCTATCTGTCTGTCTACCTATACAATCCTTTTGGTTATATGCTTTGCAAATACATTTATCAATCTATAGTTCATCTTGTAAGTTTGTCTACAGTATTTTTTAAATCACCGAAGTCTTTATTTTCAGTATACTTACATTTATTAATTTTTTTCTAGCTTCTTTCAAAAAATGATCTATGAACAGAATACTAGTTTAGTCTGTTGGAATTATCATTATTAATTTAACAATACTGAAAAATAATTTGGTTGAATATAGAATTCTGTTAGACAGTTTCATTTTCTCACAACTTTGAAGGATTCTTCTCCTTCTTCCTCCTCCTTCTTCCAGTCCAAACTAATTGGTATTCCTCATACAGAATCCATATATTATTCTCTTGCAAAGTTGTCTCGGTATAGATTTGTTACTCATCGTAACAAATTCCATGTGTTCCATCAAACAGGATATTTTATTAATTTGCAGTTATTTTCATCTATTATCTTTTTGGTAATTCTGTTTTCTTCCTCTGGAAATTTTGTTAAATATATGTTGGACATTCTAATTCTACTTCTTTCATAATATTTATTTTTTCACACTGTGATGCATTTACAGTAATATGGTAATACCCTCTGGTCAGTCTTTCCTGTTTTTTTTTTTAGATGGAGTCTCGCTCTGTCACCAGGCTGGAGCGCAGTGGCATGATCTCAGCTCACTGCACTCTCTGCCTCCTGGGTTCCAGCGATTCCCCTGCCTCAGCCTCCCTCCCTAGTAGCTGGGACTACAGGAGCACACCACCATGCCCTGCTAATTTTTTGTGTTTTGGTAGAGACGAGGTTTCACCATGTTGGCCAGGATGGTCTTGATCTCCTGACCTTGTGATCCACCCTCCATGGCCTCCCAACAGTCACTCCTTTTATCCATTCTTTTTCAGCTATGTCTAATCTGTGTTTTGAATTATATATTTAGAGGGATTTTGGTGTATACATGTATGTATTATAGTGATATGTATATTCACCTATGACATGTATAAAAATATGTATTTCTTTTTATTTATCTTTATTTAAAAAATCACTGATTTAATTCTCTGATTCCAACCAAGCACAACACTACAGGTTAGAATCTTGTTTCTTCCTTTTCATATTTGAAACTCCCTTCACAATAGTGAGAGAAATCTGTATTCTATTATCCTTAATATATTTACTCATTTACTCTAGTCTAGAATACATAGAAAGCAATTTCAGAATTGCTAACCCATACCACTGGAAAAATCAAATCTACTAACTAAAGTTTGATATTTATTTACAATTCTTTACATGCAATTTACATACTTGGAAATGGAGAATCTTTAGTGTACAATCCAATGAGTTTTGACAAATGAGCAAACCCCTGTAAACCACACCGCTGTTGAGGTACAGAATGTACCCATCGCCCCAGAAAGTTCCTTGCAGTCGTCCCCAGTTAACTCCCTTCCTTGCTTCCAACTGGAGGCATCCACTGTTCTAATTTTTCACCATTGTTTTGTCTGTTTTAGAATTTCACATAAATAAAATAATCTGCATTGCTTTTTGTACAGCTTCTTAGCATGTTTGTGTGATTTATGCAGTTGCATGTATCAATATTTCACTCAATTTTATTGCTAAGTAATATTTTATTATATTATACTTTTCGTATCTGTTTTCCTGTTGATGGACATTTGAGTTGTTTCAGGTTTTAGCTGTTATAAGTAAAGTTGTCATAAACATTTTGGTACAAATTTGTGTAAAGATATATGTTTTTATTTCCACTGAGCAAATTCCTTGAATTGGAATTATGAGGTCAAAGATAGGTCTATAATTAAAAATACAAACTGCCAAACTTTCTCAAAGAAGTTATGCCATTTTTCTTTCCCACTAGCAATATAAGAGAGATATATGTTCCACATCATCACACCATTTTACTTTAACAGATACTTTATCCTTTCTAGTGTGTATGTAGTGGCATTTCATCGTGGTTTTAATTGTGTTTCTCTGATGACCAATGATGCAGAGAAATTTTCAGGTACTTATTGGCCATTTTCATGTCTTCCTTTGTGAAATATTTGTTCATATATTTTGCTTAGTTTTTGCTTTTTTAAAAAAATTTTACTTTAGGTTCTGGGATATATGTGCAGAACGTGCAGGTTTGTTACATAGATATTCGTGTGTCATGGTGGTTTGCTGCAGCTGTTGACCCTTCCTCTATGTTCCCTTCCCTCATCCCCCACATTCCAACAGGCCCTGGTGTGTGTTGTTCCCCTCCCAGTGTCCATGTGTTCTCATTTTTCAAGCTCCACTTATGAGTGACAACATGTGGTGTTTGGTTTTCTGTTCCTGTATTAGTTTGCTGAGGATGATGGCTTCCAGCTTCATCCATGTCCCTGCAAATGACATAATCTCATTCATTCTTATGGCTTCTTGGTATTCCATGGTGTGTATATACCACATTTTCTTTACCCAGTCCATCATTGATGGGCATTTGGGTTGGTTCCAAGACTTTGTTGTTGTAAATAGTGCTGCAATAAACATACATGTGCATGTGTCTTTATTGTAGAATGATTTATATTCCTTTGGGTATATACCCAGTAATGAGATTGCTGGGTCAAATTGTATTTCTGGTTCTAGATCCTTGAGAAATTGCCATGCTGTCTTTCATAGTGGTTGAACTAATTTATATTCCCACCAATGTGTAAAAGTATTCCTATTTCTCCAGAGCCTCATCAGCATCTATTGTTTCTTGACTTTTTAATAATTGCCATTCGGACTGGCATGAGATAGTATCTCATTGTGGTTTTGATTTTCATTCCTCTAATGATCAGTGATGTTGAACTTTTTTTTACTTGTTTGTTGGTTGCATAAATGTCTTCTTTTGAGAAGAGCCTGTTCATATCCTTTACTCACTTTTTGATGGGGTTGTTTGTTTTCTTGTAAATCTGTTTAAGTTACTTGTAAATTCTGGATATTAGACCTTTGTCAGATGCGTAGATTGCAAAAATTTTCTCCCATACTGTATTTTGCCTGTTCACTCTAATGATAGTTTCTTTTGCTATGCAGAAGCTCTTTAGTTTAATTAGATCCCATTTGTCAATTTTGGCTTTTGTTGCAATTTCTTTTGGCATTTTTGTCATTAAGTCTTTGCCCGCGTCTATATCCTGAATGGTATTGCCTAGGTTTTCTTCTAGGGTTTGTATGGTTTTGGGTTTTACATTTAAGTCTTTAATCCATCTTGAGTTAATTTTTGTATAAGGTGTAAGGAAGGGTTCCAGTATTAATTTTCTGCATATGGCTAGCCAGTTTTCCTAGCACCATTTATTGACTAGGAGATCCTTTCCCCATTGCCTGTTTATGTCAGATTTGTTGAAGATCAGATGATTGTAGATGTGTTGTGTTATTTCTGAGGTCTCTTTTCTGTTACGTTGGTCTATGTATCTGTTTTGGTACCAGTACCATGATGTTTGGGTTGTCTGTTTTGATATCACTACCACGTTGTTTTGGTTACTGTAGCCCTGTAGCACAGTTTGAAGTCAGGTAGTGTGATGCCTCCAGCTTTGTTCTTTTGCTTAGGATTGTCTTGGCTATACGGAGTCTTCTTTGATTCCATTTGAAATTTAAAGTAGTTTTTTTCTAATTCAATAAACAATGTCAATGGTAGTTTGATGGGAATAGCACTGAATCTATACATTACTTTGGGCAGTATGGCCATTTTCATGATATTGATTCTTCCTATCCATGAGGATGGAATGTTTTTCTATTTGTTTGTGTCCTCTCTTACTTTCTTGAGCAGTGGTTTGTAGTTCTACTTGAAAAGGTCCTTCACATCCCTTGTTAACTCTATTCCTAGGTATTTTTTTCCCTTTCTAGTGATTGTCAATGGGAGATCATTCATTATTTGACTCTCTGCTTGTCTATTGTTGGTTTAAAGGAATGCTTGTGATATTTGCACAGTGATTTTTTATCCTGAGACTTTGCTGAAGTTGCTTATTAGCTTAAGGAGTTTTTGGGCTGAGATGATGGGGTTTTCTAAATATGAAATGAAGTTGTCCACAAAAAGAGACAATTTGACTTACTCTCTTCCTATTTGAATACGCTTTATTTCTTTCTCTTCCCTGATTGGCCTAGCCAGAACTTCCAATACTATGTTGAATAGGAGTGGTGAGAGAGGACATCCTTGTCTTGTAACAGCTTTCAAAGGGAATGCTTCCAGCTTTTGCCCATTCAATATGATATGGGCTGCGAGTTTGTCATAAATAGCTCTTATTATTTTGAGGTATGTTCCATCAATACCTAGTTTATTGAGAGTTTTTAACATGAAGGTTGTTAAATTATATCAAAGGCCTTTTCTGCATTGATTGAGATAATCATGTGGTTTTTGTCTTTGGTTCTGTTTATGTGATGGATTACATTTATTGATTTGTGTATGTTGAACCAGCCTTGCATCCCAAGGATGAAGCTGACTTCATCGTGTTGGATAAACTTTTTGATGTGGTGCTGGAGTCTGTTTACCAGTATTTTATTGAAGATTTTCAAATTGATGTTCACCATGAATATTGGCCTGCAGTTTTCTTTTTTTGTTGTGTCTCTGCCCCATTTTGGTACCAGAATGATGCTGTCTTCATGAAATGAGTTAGGGAGGCATCTCTCCTTTTCAATTGTTTGAAATAGTTTCAGAATGAATGGTATCAGCTCCTCTTTGTATCTCTGGTATAATTTGGCCGTGAATCTATCTGGTCCTATGCTTTTTTTGGTTGGTAGGCTATTAATCACTGCCTCAATTTCAGAACTTGTTATTGGTCTACTCAGGGATTTGAGTTCTTCCTGGTTTAGTCTTGGGACGGTGTATGTGTCCAGGAATTTATCAATTTCTTCCAGATTTTCTGGTTTATTTGTGTGGAAGTGTTTATAGTATTTTCTGATGGTAGTTTGTATTTCTGTGGGGTCAGTGGTAATATGCCCTTTATCATTTTTTTATTGTGTCTATTTGATTCTTCTCTCTTTTCTTCTTTATTAGTCTAGCTAGCAGTTTATCTCTTTTGTTAATTTTTTCAAGAAACCAGCTCCTGGATTCATTGATTTTTTGGAGAGTTTTCTTTGTCTCTATCTCCTTCAATTTTGTTCTAATCTTAGTTATTTCTTGTCTTCTGCTAGTTTTTGGATTAGTTTTCTCTTGCTTTTCTAGTGCTTTTAATTGTGATGTTAGGGTATTGATTTGAGATCTTTCTAATTTTCTGATGTGGGTATTTAGTGCTATGTATTTCTGTCTTAACACTGTTTTAGCTGTGTCCCCGAGATTTTGTATATTGTCTCTATGTTCTCATGGGTTTCAAAGAACTTCTTGATTTCCGCCTTGATTTCATTACTTACCCAGGAGTCATTCAGGAGCAGATTGTTCAGTTTCCATGTAGTTGTGTGGTTTTGAGTGAGTTTCTTAATCCTGAGTTCTAATTTGATTGCATTGTGGTCTGAGAGACTGTTATGATTTCCATTCTTTTGCATTTGCTGAGGAATGTTTTACTTCCAATTATGTGGTCAATTTTAGAATAAGTGTGATGTGGCACTGAGAAGAATGTATATTCTGTTGATTTGGGGTGGAGAGTTGTGCAGATGTCTATTAGTTCCATTTGATCCAGAGCTGAGTTCAAGTCCTGAATATCCTTGTTAATTTTCTGTCTCATTGATCTGTCTAATATTGACAGTGGGGTGTTAAAGTCTCCTACTATTATTGTGTGGGAGTCTAAGTCTCTTTGTAGGTCTTTAGGAACTTGCTTTATGAGTCTGGGTGCTCCTGTATTGGGTGCATATATATATTTAGAATAGTTAGATCTTCTAGTTGAATTGTTGCCTTGACAATTATGTAATGCCCTTCTTAGTCTTTTCTGATCTTTGTTCGTTTAAAGTGTGTTTTGTCAGAGACTAGGATTGCAACCTCTCCTTTTTTCTTTTTTTGCTTTCGATTTGCTTGGTAAATTTTCCTCCTTCCCTTTATTTTGAGCCTATGTGTGTCTTTGCACGTGAAATCGGTCTCCTGAATAAAGCACACCAATGGGTCTTGACTCTTTATCCAATTTGCCAGTCTGTGTCTTTTAACTGGGGCGTTTAGCCCATTTACATTTAAGGTTAGTATTGTTATGTGTAAATTTAATCCTGTCATCATGATGCTAGCTGGTTATTTTGCACACTAGTTGATGCAGTTTCTTCATAGTATCAGTGGTCTTTACATTTTGGTGTGTTTTTGCATTGGCTGATACCCGTTTTTCCTTTCCATATTTAGTGCTTCTCTCAGGAGCTCTTACAAGGCAGGCCTGGTGGTAATGAAATCCCTCAGCATTTGATTCTCTGGAAAGGATTTTATTTCCCCATCACTTATGAAACCTAGTTTAGCTGGATATGAAATTCTGGATTGAAAATTCTTTTCTTTAAGAATGTTGAATATTGGCGCCCAATCTCTTCTGGCTTGTAGAGTTTCTTCTGAGAGGTCTGTTATTAGTCTGATGGGCTTCCCTTTGTAGGTGACCTGGCGTTCCTCTCTGGCTGCCGTTAACATTTTTTCTTTCATTTCGACCACAGTCTGCCACAGCTGGTGTGTTGAGCTGTGGGGACACCTCCTGGGACCAAGCCGTCCAGCCTCCCTGGCTCCAGCAGGGGAAAAGCATGAGCTGGAGCTATAGAGTTGGATGTCACCCTCCTCCTGCCCAGGGAGCTTAATGTATTAGGCAGCTATGAGTCCCCATGCTGCCTGCTGGCTCTCTCTCAAGGAGCTCAAACGGCTTAGAGAGCAGGCACCCCCAGCTGTGGTGCTGGTTGCACCTCTCTTCAGTAGCTTGGCAGGCTTAGGCAGATTCCAGCTGAGAGGCTGTTGAGAATCTGTGCGGCTCTAGAGTTGGGACCCTAGGCCCCGGTGGTATGGTTTTGTGAGTGAGAACTTCTGACCTGTGGGTTGCACAGTTCCGTGGACAAAGCATGGTTTCCTCGGCTGGGTAGCATGCTCATTCACCACCTCCCTTTGCTGGAGGGTGGGGGCTCCCCCGCCCTATGTGGCTTTCAGGTGGGCCACTGAACCACACTGCTTCTCCTTCCTCTCCATGGATTATGTCAGTTGCCTAGTCAGTTCTGATGACAGAACCTGGATACCTTGGTTGCCAGTGAAGGATTAGCATGCTAATTATGGTTCTTTTTTGATGGGAGCCTCTGATTGCTGCTGTTTCTAGTCAGCCATCTTGGCCTTGGCCCTATTTTGCTTATTTTTCAAATTATCTTGCTTTTTTTTTTTCTTTTTTAGATTGAGGTGTAAGAATTTGTTATATACTCTGAATAAAAGTCTTTAGTTAGATATATATTTTACACATATTTCTCCCAGTTTGAGACTTTCTCAATTATTTTCTTGAATGTGTTTTTGGATAAGCAGGTTTTTAAATACATTTAGGAAATTCTAACATTATTTTTTCTTTTGTGGTTATTGTTTTCTGTGTCTTGTTCAAGAAAATTTTACCCCCAAGTCATGCAAATTACCTTATTTTTTTCTAAAAGCTTTATAGTTTTAGCTTTTATTTAAATTAAACTTGAATTTTGTGTATGGTGTCAGATAAAGGTTGAGGTTCATTTTGTTCCCAGAAGAATACCTAGTTCACTGAAAATACTTTGCTTTTTTCATGTAATTGCTTTGATATATTTGTTGAAAAGCTGTTAACCATATAAATGTGGGTCTTCCATATTTTCTGTTCATTTTTATTGATTTATTTCTCCAGCCTTATGTAAATGCCACATTGCCTTATTAAATGTAACTGTATAGTAAGACTTGGTAATTTCTTCAACATAGTTTTATTAGTCAAGATTGCTTTGGCTATTTTAGGTTCTTTGCATTTCCATGTAATTAATTTGTCAATATCTTTTTTAAAAGCCAGCTAGAATTATAACTGAAATCATTGAATCTATAAATCAGTTTGAGTAGAATTGATATCTTAATAATACTGAGACTTCAATCTATGAACATGGTATATCTCTCTATTCGTTTAAGTCTTCCTAATGAATAACCTAAATTATTATAGTTTAGCAATTATAGTAGCTATTAGTGTATATCTCTCATACAGCTTTTGTTAAATGCATAAAGCATTTTGTTATTTTAAATAAATTTCAAGAATTTTATTTTCCAGTATATATAAAGTTTAATCTTGTATACTCATCTTGCATCCTGAGAATATTAGTTCTAAGTGTTGGTTTATTTATTTGTTTGTTTGGTGGGTCACAGAGTATTTTCTAAATAGAAAATCTTGTTGTCTGAAAAAAAAAGGGACTGTGTTACTTATTTCTTTTCAATATTTATGTTTGTATTCATTTTTCTTGCTTTGGTTTTTTTTTGACCAGGATCATCTTTGTCTTCTTTATAATGTTAAAGAGAAACAATAATTTAGTGTTTCTCCATATTGCTGATATCTCCATGATGTCAGCAGTAGGTTTTTCATACAATCCCTGTATCAGATGGGAGAAGTTTTATTCTATTTTTATCTTGCTAAAAGTTTTATTTATGTATTTTAAAAATCATGAATAGATGCACAGTTTTGTCAGATGCATTTTCTCTATCTATGGTTGATTTTTAGATCTTAAACATTTTGTTCCTCAGACAAAGCTCATTTGGTAATAATATTTATAATTTTTTATATATAACTGGATTAAAAATGTTGGTCTTTTGTTAATAATCTTAAAATTCATATTAATAAAGAATATTACTTTATAAATAGTTTAATATTGTTATAAAGTTTAGGTAACAGGGTTTTCTGGTCTCATAAAACAAGCCAGGAAGTGGATTGGATTTCCTCTATTTTCTGAAAGTGTCAGTGTAAGTCTGACATTATTTAGTCATCAAATATTTTATATAATTCAATAGCGAAACCATCTGGGCTTGGACTTCTTGTGTTTGCTATATATAAGAAAGACAAAGAATATATACATACACACACATACATACATACACACACACACACATATATGTGTGTGTGTGTATATGTGCATATATATACACACACACATATATATAAATATAAATATATATATATATATATATATATATATATATATATATATATTTGACCTTTGAATGATGTGGTAGTTAGGAGTGCTAGCTCCATATGCAATCAAAAATGTGTGTATAACTTTTGACTCCCCCAAAACTTAACTACTAATAGCCTACTGTTGACCAGAAGCTTTATGGATAACAAAAACAGTCTATTAACACATATTTTGTATGTTTGATGTATGATACTCTATATTTTTACAATAAATATTGTAAGTAAGAAAAGAAAAGAAAATGTTATTAAGAAAATTATAAGGAAAAGAAAATACATTTAAAATACTGTACTGTATTTATTGACACCATAAGTTATGTTGTCTGCTTACAAGATGAATCCAATATTTGAAATTGTGGGCAACCACAGCTGCAGACCTCAAAGTACACATCAAGCAATTCAACTTTCTTGTAATGTCATGACTTTTCTCTGCTTCTTGGGAGAATATCCAAAATCACTAGTGGAACTTTGTATGGGTCCCGTCGTGTTATTCAAGGTTTACGGTATTGCATGAAACAAGATGAACAATATGCGAGAACTGAGAGAGATCACTTTTTACTGCTATCTGCAATTTATTGTAGAGATGAACTGCTCAAGCGGAGATGATTAGCATTACATGATATTGTAAGCGGATGCTCAGAACACTTGAGCTCACCTCAATAGCAACAGGAGGTGGCTAAAAAATATTACAGTGATACAGTGTGTACTACAGTTAATTTTATGCAGCTATGATTTAATACTGCATCTTTACATTTCTTTACATTTCTCTTGACTGCAAATGGCACCATGTAAGGTCTCTAAGTGTTTGTGTACATAGGTTTTGATAAATTTTAACTTTTTGTAATAGATTTGTGTGTATTTCATGGTAATAAATGATAAATTAGACTAGTATCTCCATAAATTTTATGCATTCATGGCATACCTTTTTCTTTTCTTTTCTTTTTGATATTCCTAGGCTGTGTGGTTATGCCAGTTTTTCCAAATTGTTGCAAATCTTAAAAAATTTCCCAATATATTTATTGGAAAAAATTCCCATATAAGTGTACCTCTGCAGTTCAAACTCATGTTGTCCAAGGGTCAACACCATAAATATTTAGGTTTTTAATTTTGTCTTATGTCAGTTTTCTAAGTACTTTGTTCATTTTATTTAGATTGTCCATAATATTCTCTTATTATCCTTTCAAAGTCTGTATGATCTCTAAGGCTATCCTATCACTCGTTCTTGGTTTTGTTTTCCTCTTTTTTTAGTTTTTAAATTAACTTTCCTAAGACTTTACTGACAAACCTGAGAAAAACAAGCAATGAGCAAAATATTCTCTATTTAATGAATGTTGTTGAGAAAACTGACTAGCCATATGCGGAAAACTGAAACTGAACCCCTTCATTACACCTTATACAAAAATTAACTCAAGATGGACTAAAGATTTAAATATAAGACCTAAAACCATAAAAACCCCAAAAGAAAACCTAGGCAATATCATTCAGGACATAAGCATGGGCAAAGACTTCCTGATGAAAACACTAAAAGCAATGGCAACAAAAGCCAAAATTGACAAATGGGGTCTAATTATACTAAAAAGCTTCTGCACAGCAAAAGAAACTATCACCAGAGTGAACAGGCAACCTACAGAATGGGAGAACATTTCTGCAATCGATCCATCTCACAAAGGGCTAATATCCAGAATCCACAAGGAACTTAAACAAATTTAGAAGAAAAAAACAACTCCATCAAAAAGAGGGCAAAGGATATGAACAGACACTTCTCAAAAGAAGACATGTGTGCATCCAACAAACATGAAAAAAAGCTCATCATCACTGGTCATTAGAGACATGCAAATCAAAACCACAATGAGATACCATTTCACGCCAATTAGAATTGCGACCATTAAAAAGTTAGTAAACAACAGATGCTGGAGAGGATGTGGAGAAATAGGAACATTTTTACACAGTTGGTAGGAGTGTAAATTAGTTCAACCACTGTGGAAGACTGTGTGGAGATTCCTCAAGGATCTAGAACCAGAAATACCATTTGACCCAGCAATCCCATTTCTGGGCATATACCCAAAGGATTATAAAACATATAAGTGCCTGTGTCTACTATAAAGACACAGGCACTTATATGTTTATTGCGGCACTATTCACAACAGCAAAGACTTGGAACCAACCCAAATGTCCATCAATGATAGACTGGATAAAGATAATGTGGCATATATACACCATGGAATACTATGCAGCCATAAAAAGGTGATTTCACTAATAATTTTAAAGAAAGTATTTTTGTATTTGTTCACCTTATTTGATGTTTGTCTTATACTTTATCAATTACTGCTCTTTATTTCATTTTTTGCTTATTTTGACTTTAGTTTGCTCTTCTTTTTTAAACTTCTTATAATAAAAATTCAGATAATTTTTAGACCTTTCTTCTTCTGTGATATAAGCATGTATAGCTAGACATTCCTTTCTGTGCACTGCTCAAGTTGCAGTCTACAGATTTTGTTAAATTATGATTTCATTATCACTCAGTTCCAAATATTTTTAAATTTTCCTTATAATTTCTTTTTTACTTGGTCAGGTATTTAGAAATGTGTTACTTAATTTCCAAATATTAGGGACTTTTCTGGATATCTTATAATAATTAATCTCCAATTGAGCTTCACTATACTCAGGAAATAATGCCCTAGTATATGATCTATTTTGGTGAATGGTTCCCTTGAACTTAAAATACATGATTTCTGCAGTTTGGGAGTTTTATATTTTATAAATTCAATAAGCTCAATGTGGTTGATTTGTTTGTTAAAATCTCCTATATCTTACTGTTATTTTTATCTAGTTATTTTGTAAGTTCTTAAATTTTGCATTTCTCTCATAAAGTCCCTATGCATTTTGGGTTTTCCTAATAAATTGACTGTTAATATAAAATGCTCATCTTTTCTCAGATAACGTTCATTGTTTTGAAGTGTATTTTGTTTGTTATTAGCATAACCATTTCTTCTTTCTTATGGCTAGAGTTTACATGGTGTTTCTTTTTTTGTTCTTTTACTTTCAACCTAATTATCTTTGTATTCAAAGTTCATCTCTTGTAGCCATCACATAGTTTAGTTATGCTTTTAGGTCCAGTCTAGATATCTCTTTTATGCAGAGTATTTAGCATATTTCTATTTAATGCAATTATTGATACTAAAGGGGTCTGGAATGGCGATAATTATTTTCACTATTCTTCCATACTAGTCCCTCATTTTTTTCCATTTTCTTATTTTTTAGGCTTTATTGGTATAGTTGGAAATAATTGATAAATAATGACAAAATAACCATCAGGACCATGGAAGAGCCAAATACTTTAGATATATAAAAAATAGAACCTCTAATATTCTGTCATATATTTTAAATTTATAAATGATTTCAATGAACTCTTGTGCTAATTGCAAGATAGAGTGGGTTTTATTGGATGAAAATATTTCAGAATGCTTTGTTTTATAGAGGGTTTCTAAGATAATAAAAGCCATATGATATCAGTTTTTCCAAACTGATACAACTTTTCAGAATAGAAATTTAAAAAGTAAAATGTCACCTAATAGACCCAAATTTTGTATCAATGTTTAAAGTGCTTATTCGTCAATTCGATAATCTGGGTCATTTCTGAGGCAGCTTATATTTACTGCTTTATTTTTTCTTGAGTACAATTACATTATCCTATCTCTTGGTGTATCTAGTAATCTTTGATTGTATCCTAGATATTTTAGTGATGCATTGTAGAGACACTAGATTTAATTATGTTCTTATAAGAAGCAGTAGTTTCATTTCTAGCAGGTAGTTAATTTGGCTGGAATAAAACTCTCAATCCTTTTTTCCCGTAGTGATTAGCATCTCAAATGTCCCCTTCAATTCTTTTGTATTTCAACTGCTGCTTTAGCCAGACCTCCTGGAATCACTCTCAAATGTGCATAAACAGTTCAGGAGTTGGCCAAGGATTGAGCAGTCTCCCTGCTTTTCAGGATTTTCCCCCTTATTATTTATAAGCCATGCTGGCAGTCCTAAAGCCTTTACTCTTACACATGAAGCCAGCAAGACAATGGATTTCTCCTGGACTGTGCTTCACAGACTGGAGAATTTTCCCAGGCAAAAAGCCACAAGCATACTAATCTCACCCAATTCGGTTTCTATCTTTCAAGAAGAGACGTCTTTCTAGTTTTTGCTTGCTATTGGTTGCTCTCCAGTGGCTTCAAATGGGTTACTTATTCTTTCTCTTACAGATTTTATCATTGTTATTGTGAGAGCTCAATCAGGCTATTCTACCATTACTGAAAGCCAAAACATAGCTGTTTTGATTTCTAGCTTCAGAAACTAAAATTTTTATTTCTGTAAGTCCTATATGGTTACCTTCTAATATTATTGTTTTATTGCAAGACTCCATTGTTTTCTCATAGCTTTAGTTTTTCCGTGACTCTAATATTTTCAAACACCCTTATTTTAAGAATGTTTTGACATCTCTTATAAGGCTATGGCTTTACATCTTGCCCCAATGTGGGCATTTAACGTCCAGCCTCTAAGGCCTATAGGCAGGTTCAGCCCTTGTAAGTCACCAAAACTTCAGCTCCACCTTATAATTGGCTATATGTTCCCACTTCATTTCTAAAACCTAGAACATTCTCTTCCTTCGAACTAAGCTATGCACTTTTACCTTTTATTTGTTATGCTCGATCTTGTGTTTGTGATTTCTTAGTAGGAGGAGGGAGGTGGCTTCTTACCTTTGTATGAAATAAGGCTCCAAGTGTATTGTTAAGAACAAAGCAGATATTGAATATAAGAATTAATGGCTATATACTTACAAACATAAAAATTCAGAAATTTTGTGATATAATACATTTCAAAAGTGGACCCTTAAAAAGCAGATACATTTTCTTGCTCTAGGGGGTATCCATTTTATCAATCACATCCAACTCTAAGTACGTTGTTAGTATAAACCTGCATGGATTCCTAATTTTATTTCTATCAGTGGTGAGAAAAGAGTGCATTCTAGTCTCTGCTGACTGGAAGTCTTATAGCACAAGAGTTACAAAGACTGTGCTGTCTGTTTCATGGGCAACTTTACCAACATTCCGTGGCAACCACAATGGGAATGACTCTGACTCTACCACAATTTGCAGAGCTTAGGGGAATCCTCATCGATGCTCTACTGATACTTCTGTACCCTACAATTCCTTGTTTTCAATTTCTCCAATTCCTTTGGAAGACTGGGCCAATGGAATGTTGAAATTTCCAGTAACCCAAAACCGCCACAGTCTGTCACACTTCAAACCCGGGGCTGTGCATCCAACCGAGAATTCAAAACATTATTTTCACACTTCACTTCTGACCAAAGGAAATGTGGTATGCTGGCTTTAGCTTTGAATTTCAATCAATTTAATTCAAAATATATGAAATCAAAATGTATTTCCAGAACATCTGAGAGAGTCACCAAGTGCCTAGCTGCTTCTACTCTGTCCTGGAGAAGCTGCTTCTTATTTTGCATGTTTAAAGTCCCTGTTTGAAGTTCATCCATGGGGCTCAAGTTCTGGCTTGGCTTTCATTCCATGCCACATTTTACACTCACTTTTCATTTCACATGAAAACCAGGGGCAGGAGAACAAATGGGGATTGTGGTAAAAAGGGGTTAGAATCATGTCCCTGGTGAACAAAGCCAAATCAGAATTTTCCCTGTAAGGTTGAAATCAGACTCCAAGGGATGAAATAGATATTTATTGGAAGAAACATCATTTATTGAACACCTATTATATGCATCATGTTAAGGTCCCATGTTAGAGGAAAGTTAAATTGCAGGTTTTGTGCCTAAGCAAGAGCCAGACAAGTAACCAGTAATTAGGATAAAATGTGCTGAATAAAGAATTCTAGGAGCACATGAATACAGAGGAACATTGAGGAAGACTTAGGAAAAGACCAAGCATTCCAGTTGGGTTTTGAATCACAAGCAAAGGTTTGCCTGGCACTGGTAGGAGAGGAGGCAGTAGAAAACTAAAGCCATGGGTGCCCAGGGTGGTGATGAGTGGCTAGATCTGATCTAGATGTTCAAACCCATGAGTCAGGGGCGGGGCTGGTCTTGCTTGGCCGAGACCAAGGTAAAGGGACTCTTAAGTAAGCAAAACCAGGCACCGAGAACCAAACACGGAGGGCAAAGTAAAATCTGTCACTTTTTGGATAACAATAATAGCAATGCAGTTAACTTGTTATTGAACACATGCCATGTGCCAGGCCGTATTTGAATCCTCTGCATGCATTAGCTTATTCAATTTTTCTGCCCATCCTGGGGGGTATGTACTAACACTCTCATTCCCATTTTAGAGACAAAGAAACTGATTCAGAGAAAGGGAAAGCATCCCCAAAGATCACATAGATTACGAGTGGCAGAGACAGGATAGACTCAAACTTGTGATGCCAGAGTCAATGTCCTTAATTGCTACCTTACATTGTTTCCCTGGGGGGCACTCTGAGTTAGAATAGTCTAGGGTGAGAGCCAGGCACATGGACCTTTAACAACCCCACAGGTGAATCAGATGTGCAACTCACTCTCACAGAGGGATCTGAGTTCACATAGTTAGAAGAGAGCCCACAAAAAGTAAAATCAAAGGAGTCAAGGGGAGGGTAACCCGTTGGATGAGAGAGCCAAGAGGTCAGAATCCCACAAGGATGGGATTGGAACAAAGGGAACCAGGGATGTTTAAGGGCAATGGGAGGGTTATTTGTCCTGAGCGATTGTCCTGAGTGCTCAGCCGCAGCCTCGTGTAGTAGGCTGTGTTCAGGATGCGGGCCTTTAGTAAAGATTCTGGAGCTAACAGCTCCTGTGGGTGACGATGAGTAAGCTGCAGTGGAGAAGCCCGGGGACAGGGACTGCTCAGAAGGCAGAGGTTTCAAGGTCTCATGGAGATGAGATCCACTTCCCAGGTTATGTACTGATGGGGGTGGTGGTGACAGACCCAGGTTATGGAGGCTACTGGATGAAGAGTGCATTCTAGTCTCTGCTGACCTTAGACGCTGGTTCTAAGTAGTTCATTCATAGTAGAAACTCTGCTCTTTTGGACCTGTCTGATCAACCTAAGGGAAAAGGATGGAATATAGTCCTAGCATAGAACCAGCGTGTTGTGCAGGGAAACTGAGGCCCAGTCTCCTAACTTCAGATAAGGTGGCATGAAGGAGGGAAGGGATTTGGTGAGCAGGCCAGTCCTAGGGGTCCATTCAGGAAAGCCAACTTCCAGGGCCAGTATGTACAGCTGTGTGAGTGCATAATTCCAGGGATAAGAATGTTCATGTTGTGCTTGGCGTGGTGCAGTGCATAACCTGCACAACTGTATATGATGATCCTCCTTGGAATTCACGCTACCACAATTCTGGTCCCTACTTATTGGTAGGAATGATGACTTGCTAATCCCAGTGACAGGCCGGTCCCAATTCTACATTCTCCAAGGCTGATCTCAGGAACTGGAGAAGGCTGAGGGCTGAGGTCATGATGGAGAATTGACTTCTCGAAGGGATGTTTGAGGGATGAATAGCAAACATTTCTTATCTTTGCAGCTCTTGAAGGTGTGTAGCTACCTTTGTAAACCCAATGGCAGAACCAACTGTATAATTTAGTTCCTGGTGCAAAATAAAACTGTGAACCCCTTACTTGAAAAGCAGGAAAAAAGTATTATTAAAGGGACTAAAGCATAAGCCGTTTTCATTTTTTTCAGCAGATTCTCTCATTTTGTAGTGTTTTTTATTTGTATTTTTCATGTTTTTCTAACTAAAAAATAAGCTTTAAATTATTAGCGTGGATTTTACTGTTTATGTTGTGCCATGACAATTTTAAATTTGGCTATAGTAGCAATTAACTCTTACATAAAATTACCCAAATTTCACAGTTCATATGTTGCAGTTCCTATGTGTCCATGAATTTAGTTCTTACCAGGACACTGGAAATGCTGCACGAAACAAGCTCACCTGTTTTCCTTTCACTTCTTGATACGTGCACGTTTCATCCGCACTCTTTACCTTCCTCTCACAGGGAATGAGGGGGACTGAGAGGAACGGGAAATCTGGGCCCTGCCCTCCCCTTTCCTCCTAAACACCAATTTCAATGGGCATAGTTGGCCAATGCAGGGAAGCAACACGAGTAAGGAAGGATGTGAGGGGGTCCCTTGCCCTGGTGTCTGTTAGAATCCTGGTGCCTTCTTTCTTCATTTGATGCAAATCCTGGTTTGGATAGAAAATATGACTTACCTTGGACTCACTTTGAGCCTCTCTGAACTCCCATGCTGGCGGGTCCCTCACAATTCCACATTCATGGGGCATCTGGGGCATCATGAGCATGCTGCATTAATGGGCAGCAAGGAAAGGTGAACACACCCATTGCACTTCCCTCCTCCGCTCACGGACACGCTCCAGTGTGCCATCAGATTTCACCTGCAAAACACAAGTTCAAAGATCAAATTGCTGTGACTCTGAAGACAATGACAAGAGAGCATTAAACCAAGTGCCCAAATGCAGGCCCGTCGGAGCACAGGACCCTGTGGGACAGCCCAGGTCATGTGCCCATAAGGCTGGCTGTGTCCAGAGGCACCCAATCCCTCACCTGTCTGCTCCATGACCCTCAGAACCACATCACAAGGACCACCTCACAGATTGCAGCTCCTCGGCACTTAGACTTTTTTGAAGGTGGTAAGAAAGATATTCATCCTATTGAACAATGGATCATGCATCTTTGAAGCTAAAATTCTCTTAGTTATTATTTGCACTAACAATTTCCAAAGTGTTTTGGTTTGTTCATTTGTTTATATGTGGATGGAATTTTCCTTCACATCAATTCTTACATTATTTCAATGTATGAAATACAGAAGGTGATGCTTCCACTAGAGCAGGGTTGAAGCCAGAGCCTCACTCGTTTGCTCGTTGATCCCAAAGCCACCTCCTGCACTTGTGCATGACTCTGGCAGATACAGATGGAAAAAAAAAAAAAAACCAGAACTGATCTGATCCATGCAACTTTGTAATTATATGTAATACTAAAGAAATGTTAAACTAGACAGGAAGAAGTTACCTGGTCAAATCCCACAGCCATTTATAGACATACTGCTTCTTATGGTCAGGTCCCCCATATCAATGGTTCTGAAAGTAATGTCCCAGAGCCAGCAGGACCAGCAGCACCTGGGAACTTTTAGAGATGAAAATTATTGGGCCCCTTCCAGACCTAGTGAATCAGAAACTCTGAAGTGGGGTCCAGTTACCCGTGTTTAAATAAGCCCTCGAGATTATTATACACATGCTCAGGTCTGAGAACCACTGGCTTTTATATTCCACTTCACTAATGCCTAATCATCTCTCGGGCAGAAAACATGCCCGGAGCTGCTCTGGTCCACTGAGGGACAGTTCAAATCACAGACCATGCACAGCTGCTGAGACCACGTGCTATGAATGTGGTCACTGTTCTGTGAGGCTCCCACTCCTGCTGCATTTCCAGAAACACCTTGGGCCAGTGGAGAAGAGCAGCGGGGCCAGCCCATGGCCACATCTCACTGTGTGCCATGTGAGCAGGATCCTTCTCTTTAGCTCCTGCATTGAAGCCACAGAAGAACTTGCACCCTGCTCTTGTGAAGGAGAGGAGCGGTGGGAAGTTCCTCAGTATACTCATTGCATTTCAGTCTATCCTTACCTAGACCTCTGGCCAAGTCTAGGTAAATAAAGTGGGTGATGTTGTGGTGTTCCCCCCTTTCACTTTTTTGAGCTTTAAATTAGGAGTCAGTGGAAGGCTTCAATCTCAACAGCAGAAAGCCCATAGCTGAGGACTGTCATTCTTCCTTGATGACTCTCAATGGACCCACAAGAAAAATGGCAGATGGAATCCATGTGCCTTCTCAGAATAGTCCCTCAATAGAACCGAGGTCTTTCTTCACAGAGGACATTGTGTGGGTGAGATGAGACGAGGAGACCCTCATTCCTTACCCTAAGTAAGTAAGTACTCATGTCCATGCCTGTGGCAGGAGGGGTGGGTTGGGAGGGTGTGGGAGAATGAGCCCATGTGTGTCTCTCTTTGGCTGTTCTCTTTCCCATTTTTTAAATTGTGTTAAAGTGCACATAACATTTATCATCTTAATCTTTTTTTTTTTTTTTTTTTTTTTTTGAGACAGAGTCTCACACTATCCCCCAGGCTGGAGTGCAATGGTGCTATCTCGGCTCACTGCAACCTCCACTTCCCGGTTTATAAGCAATTCTCCTGCCTCAGCACCTCAGCCTCTCAAGAAGCTGGGACTACAGGCATGTGCCACCATGCCTGACTAATTTTTGTATTTTTAGTAGAGACAGGTTTTGCCATGTTGGCCAGGCTGGTCTTGAACACCTGACCTCAGGTGATCCAACCAACTTGGCCTCCCAAAGTGTTGGGATTACAGGCGTGAGCCAGCATGCCCTGCCATCTTAATCATTCATAAGCATGCAGATCGGGGGTATTAAATACATTCATGCTGTTGTGCGACCATCACCACCATCCATCCACAGAAGTCTTTTAATCTTATAAAACTGAAAGTGTGTCCCCGTGAACAGAAACTCCTCATTTCCCTCTCTCCCCAGACCCCAGTAACCACCATCCTACTTTGTAGCTGTATGAATTTGACCTCTCTAAGTACCACATGTAAGTGGTATCATACAGTATTTGCCTTTTCTGGCTTATTTAACTTAGCATAACGTCCTCAAGTTTTACCCACGTTGCAGCACTTGTCAAAATTTCTTTCCTTTTAAAGGCTAAGTAGAATTGTATTATATGTATGTATCACATTTTGCTTATCCGTTCATGTATCAATGAACCCTTGGGTGGTTTCCATGCTTTAGTTGTTGTGAATAACGCTGCTATGGACATGGTTATACAGACACCTCTTCCAGACCCTGATTTTAATTCTTTTGGGTATATACCCAGAAATAGAATTGCTGAATTATACGGTAATTCTATTTTTAGTTTTTTTGAGAAACTGTCTTTGGCTGCATTTTAGGGTCAGCCAGAAACTCCTGTTTTAAATACAAATATTCATAAATATACAAACTTACAATGTGCCCACAAAAATTAAAAATAAAAAATAATAAACTGAAAAGCACAAATATTTTCACTATAAGATGCCTATGGAGTCTGTGCTCCTTTCATGACTTTGTGTCTCCTTTTTCTCATTTCGTTTATGGTGGGGCAAGTCACTCTAGATGCTGCAAGAGACAAATCACCAATCTCAATTCTTTGGTTCTGTATGTGGGAGAGAAAGAGATAGAGAGGTGAAGAATGGATACTTGCTCCTAACTTCCTCAGACCATAAGAGGCAAGGTCACTTCTGTTCACATTCCGAATGGTGAGACTCTCGATACACAGCCCCGATGTAATCAGAAAGAAGGTTGAGAAGCATGGCCTTCCTGCATGCCCAGGGCAGAAAATGGAATGGTCTGGTGAACACATAGTGTTAGTTTTACCATGCTTTTCCATTGTCGAGAGGCTGAGAATTCAAAGAAAAATTAACAAACAGAACAATTGCAAATAGTGCATTTGCAGGCTTATGGTCGAGCCCTTCAGAGATGTGCTGTTCTTGGCAGACTGTGTTTTTAGGCAATGTTGACTTTTGCATTAACTTACCATTGTGGACCCACTGATTGTTATGGATGTAAGAGAGGAAGAGCCTTTCAGAGGAGGACTGCCTATGGAACCAGAGCTGCTATTTTGATTAATGTGACCAGTTAAGCTAAACAAAGAGATTGGCTGTAACTGGGTAAAATCAGTCACTCCAGATGCCCCAGAGAGACCAGCTTCTGGATTCAAAGTGAATACAATCTCCAGGTTGAGAGGGACAGCTATGGATGGGGGCTCTACAGAGAAACAAATCCCTCGCTCACTGTTGTAGGGGTGGAATACGTTCATGAAGGTGAAACGGCAATACATATTCCTAACTTGAAATTCTCCATACTGTCTGACATAAAGATCCCACCTCTGCTCTACGAATCGATGTAGTCTAGAGACCATGTAAATATCTGAGAGGAGGGGAAAGGGCATACACAGGCCTATCACATTTTTATTTAAGGGTGGAAAAGATCAGCAACCACTTAGCTGAACATAGAAGCAGCTGAATATATTGTTAGTGTAGCCAGTTCTTGGAAGAGTATGCAGAATTTAACATTATTTTTTCAAAGACTTTTTTATTACAAAGATGTTTTAGTCACATGGAAATTCTCTCCACGTAATCATACATGGAAAATTGTACATAACTATATAATCCCAGTGGCATTATATATAACATTATAGAAATAAAAATAATAACAACAACAATAATAGCTCTCATTGAATATAGTCTTTCATGAATTAATTTCATTTAGTTCTCAACCAAATCTAGGAAGTAGGTGATCATATCCCCGTTTGATGCATGAAAACACAGAGGCTCAGAGAGGGAAGTCTGTCACTCCTGGACACACAGCTACAGAGGTGAGATTCACATTCTCGTCTTCCTCCAAAACTCATGCTTTCAATGAGTTAGTTCATTGATGCAAATTAATTTATACTCGAGAATTTTATAAAGGGAAGAATGAGTATCAGAACATTACTTTGCAAGGGTTAACTATGTGGTAAAAATGGCAGTGATTTGGGAGTTTTCTTCGTTATGTTTTCTTTTGTTTTCACCAATTTCTGCATCAAGCATGCATTGCCTTTAACATCAGGAATAAAAAATGAATTCATGACGAAACCTTGCAGCTTAAACAAACAAACTTATTCATGAATTATAAACAAATGACTTGATGTTCAGAAAAAATATGGACAAATGCAACCACAGAGTAAAATGTGGGGTTATTGAGTTGTGAGACCTAGTTATTTTCTATTTCTTATTTCTGTGCCACATTTTGTTAAGCACAACTTTTAGACTAGGAAATAAGAAGAGAACTGACCACATTTACAGGCCTATCTTAATTTTATTTCTCTGTGATGACAGCAAGGCAAACATTTCTCTCTATATTTGAGGGACAAAAGCCAAATGGGGCCATGTCACAAAATGAAAGAGTTTTTTTCTTTTTTACGCATTAGGAAAGAGACCTTGAGACAATGACCACTTCCATAATGGAATCAAAATGATTTCAACTGAGCGTTTGTGGTCTGGTTTCAGATTGGGTGGTATAACCATGTACTGCCGATTTCAGGCAGCATCTGAATTGGCATTCTGTTATCACGGAGGAACGAGTGGGACCCAGGAGCTGTGTCGAAATTCTGCCCAGGCTTAATGAACGGGACCTCTGGAAAGGGCTCCCTGATATTTGCTGTGCCCCTGAAATCAGGTCTCCACTTAATAGGGAGTTTTCAGAAATAGAGAATGAGAGAGAGAGAAAGGCAAAGAAAAGAGGGAGAGAAAGGACAGGGGAAGAATGCAGCTGACCACTGGCAGATCGGGCCTGCCTCGTCTTTTCTTCCAGAGAATATGTCTACTTGGGCTCATGAGGATAGAATTTCAGGGCACCAGGAGCTGGGCAGTCCAAGCGGTCTTTCCCGGGGCTCCTGGTCTCCTGGATTGGGGTAGAAACGGGATGTTTACTACTGTTGCTGTTCCTGGTGTGTTCTGAGTATGACTGGGCGGTGGAACCAATTTCTTTCCCTCTTCCTTTTATTTATGCTCCCTGTTTTATTTGTTGAGCATCACTTTTAGAATAGAAAAAAGAGAGAGAGAGAAATGCCATTTTTACAGACTTTACAGACTTAACATGTTATTTTTAAAATAAAGCTTTCTAGTGATGGGGAGGCAGAGGCTGAAGTCCCTTCACTGGCTTAGGCTGGTTTTGCCAATTGTCTCTGCCAAGCACATCCAGAAGTCTCTCTTTCCCTTAAACTCCTACCTAAGATTTAGTGAGAGGCCAGGGAAGCTGAAACATTTCAAGGGTGTCTTTAGCGACACTGGGGCCTAAATCCAGGTGGCCTGGGGAACAGATCCCGTCAGATCCTTCCTTGGAGGCTCCATTAGAGTGTGGGGGAGAAAGCCAGAGCCTTCTGCCTCCCCCTGGATCCCAGAAGTGCAGCTAGAGAGAGGTGGCTCCTTGGGAACAGCCTGACATGAAATAAAGAGCGGTAAACGGCCAGCACTTCAACTTGAAAGCAGTAGCTCAGCCCTGCATGGCTGATAACTTTGGGTCAGGCATTTAAGCTGTAACCACAGCTGCTTCCCGGTGATGCGGCATGAGGCATTTATAAAGGGTCCTGGTGCAGAGCGGCTTCCCACAAACATTCCTTACAGTCCCCTCCTCTCCTAAGGAGCTCTCAGTTCATGTGCTCTGGTTAAATTCCACTTGAGATCATATTTTCTGTCATCCCCAAAGTCTCCCTCTTAGCTCAAGTGGTACTAAAGTGAAAGATAGCTGGTCAAATCTCCCGAATCCTTATTCTCATCCCTATCAAACAAAGCCGGATTTGAGGATTACCGAGGCTATGGTAACATGCTCTCGCATCTGAGAGTGGGAGTGTGTGTGAGGAGGTGGGGAAAGACACCTGGCCTGCAAAGGAGAGTTGGTCTCCTGGCCTTGCGCCTCCTAATATGTTGATTACACCGCTGGGCCTCAGTTCCCATTATGCTAAAATGAGAAGGGGGAGAGGCATCCCTGTCTACTGACCTCTGAGTGCGGTGTGAAAGGTAAAATAAACCCATGCATGTGAATGCAGTTTGCAAACTGTACAGCCGTCATTCTCATCTCTGTGTGCTTCCGGGATATAATTAGTATAGTTATTGATAACTTTGGTAATTTTGAAAGCACCAAAATGGGCATTTTCTTTATCTTGATTTTCTGAAATTTGGCTGAAAAATAATTAACTGCTTCCCCAGTGTTTCTGGGTCTTTGGAGGAGCCGCTGACCTCTCTCAGGTGCCTTTTTTCCATCTATAATAGGAAGATCAAATGCCATCCACCTAGAAGTTTCTAGGATGCTCCAAGATGACTCAGTGTGGGAGTGTTTGGTAATCCCTAAAGCTCTCTACAATGTAGGTAAAGTGAGTATCAGTGACGACGAGTAACGTGGGCACAGATTTAACAACCAGGGAATTAGCACAGCATCTTTGGGGCTCCTGCCTGGCACAGGGGCTTTGAGAATATTTGAAGGCAGGGCCGGCACTTTCCTCATTACCAGCACACACAGTGGGTTCTCGCAAAAACAGTTCTTTTAAAAATGCTATTTGTTCCAAATATAAATTATCTGGTCAACCTAATTTGTTAGTCTTTCTCTTACTAGTTAAACTGTTCAAGTTTTATGTCAACTTGAGTGCCTTTCAAGGTCTACTTTAGTTTTACTATAACTCAGCAAATCAGTCCCAACATTTTATAAACCTCAGAGAATTTGGCCATTACAAACTGATATTTTTATTTTGCTTGAAGTTATTCCTGTACGCGTTTTAAAGAACGGAAATATTAGCCCATAACAATCTAGGCAATGGAGTCCCTTGGCATGGGTGACATTGATCAGGCTTGGTCACCTCCAGGATGCGAGGACTGGTACATTTCACAGCCTCGGTGCTGAAAATAATCTTTCCAGGAACAGCAACTACCACAACTTAATTTGCTTTTATCTCTACCTTTCATTAACAAAATTATTCCTAGAATTTATTTTGTCAAAAATATGTAAATAACTATTTCTTGCTTCAGGATTATTTTAGAGAAGTCCCAAAATAGAAATTGACCTGGAAAGCAAATTATACATACACACGCATATATGTGGTGTGTGGTTTGGGACATCATATGCTATAATATGCAATACAAAATGTATATGTATAGGACACATATTCTGATGCTTAGTATATATTTACAGGACTTCCATTCTATGCTAGGTGCTGTCCTAGCTTGGGAACAATCCCCCAGCTTTTTGTTGTAAAATCCTATGTTTGCACCCAAGTTCTACCAGTTAGCAGATGTGTGATGTTAGGCAATTTACCACAGTTTATTGACCCTAAGGTGATATTGTAAGAAATATTTTAACCTCTGAAATGAAATGCATCTTACAATTGATGACATCCTACAATTAGAATTGTCAGCATACTTTTTTCTCTTTGTGGTACGTAAGGTAAGGATGCATCTTACAAAGGATTTCACCTTAAACTTGATAACATCCAGAATCTTGCCTTTCTGAATTTTGGTTTCAGTCTCTGCAAAATGGAAAAATTGCTAACACCGAGTTGTTCTGAGAATTAAAGTAATTGATGAATTTAGAAGATTTTCTATTATGGTTACTCAATAAAGGACACATTGTTATTGTCACACTAACTTATTAATAATAGCCATAATTTAAAGAGTATTCAGTCTGCTGACAATGCTTACTCCCATTACATAGATAAGAATATTTAAGCTTATAAGAGTTGGGTTATTTACCTAAAGCCGAGACCAAATTCAAATGCAACATCTGTCTGACTCCAGTGTTCGCACTGACTCCACTAATGCTACCTCATTATACATAAATACATTTTGTATTTCGTATGTTATTCACATACAATGTGTAACCCATTGTTAACAACCCACAAATCTCTGCTACTAGGAAGGAATGAGATGGAGTTTCCAATACCCAAAGACCCCCTCCATGGCGTGTTACTGACTCTGCCTGGGCTTTTGAATGAGGATATTTATTTCCAGGTCTCTCAAATTCTGTGGTTATTTAATCACCTCTGATACCTCCCAGTAATCACTGTGTATTGCATTATGCAAGTCAGCAAATTCTGCTCACTTTAATATACATGAGGAGGAGGGAGGGATATTTCTCACTGAAGGTTTTATGGAAAATTTTGCATTTATTGATTTTTTTCCTTAAATCTTATTCTTTAAAGACACCTCCCATACACACACACAAATGCACATGCATATATATGATGAAAATAATGGCTATGGCCATGTTTGTTCAACCTAACAAAAATATAGCATATTGACAACATTATCTGTCATTCCCACATTTCACCTGGAGTAGAAAACTGTTTGATCTCAAAAGCCTGTGGACTACATCAGTTCACAAGAATATATTTTATTCATGCACATTAAAGTAAAGACAACCATATGCAAGGGTTTCTATAACTTGGGAAAAGAGACAAAATAAAACATGTTTCTGCTTGCAAGCTTTGCATGTTGGTTACACTAGCAGTGTTCATGCCATTTACATTTCTGCATTTTTTTTGGTCCCCTGTATTTTCAATGATCAGCACAGATTTGATGGCTTGTTGACATGGCAATGCCCTTAGAGGTCATCACTTCCCAAAAGAGATAACTGAGGGTCCAATAAGTTAGGGACTTCTATGGGGTCACATGTTGCTTTCTGTATAGGACAAGACTAGAACAAAATGTTATCTGTCTTGTAGTTCTCAGCTGGATCCGGGTACTGAAAGGGAGATGGAATCTTAGGGAGAAAATTTCACATCTCTAGACTTCTGTTTTCTCTTCTGGGAAATGGGGATGGTAGTATTGACCTCACAGCGTTGTTGTAAGAACTAATTAAAATAATATATGTAAGGGTGCTGGTATACTCTGGTTGGCACTGTTCCATATGCCTGTTTGTTTTATTTTAACTTCCTTATTTTCATTTATCTGCTGCAGGTAGCATAAAATTTTATGCAGGGGCACAAAATGACATGGTTACGACAGATTTCAGGTGACTGTGTAGACCATAAAAATATCTGGTTGTCAGCCAGGCGCGGTGGCTCACCCCTGTAATCCCAGCACTTTGGGAGGCCAAGGAGGGCGGATCATGAGGTCAGAAGATCGAGACGATCCTGGCTAACATGGTGAAACCCCGTCTTTACTAAAAACACAAAAAATTAGCCAGGCATGGTTTCACGTGCCTATAGTCCCAGCCACTTGGTAGGCTGAGGCAGGAGAATCACTTGAACCTGGGAGGCGGAGGTTGCAGTGAGCTGAGACTGCGCCACTGCACTCCAGCCTGGGTGACAGAGCGAGACTCCATCAAAACAAAACAAAACAAAACAACAAACAATAACAACAACAACAGCAACAAAAACCTGGTTGTCTCTTTGCGTTCTCTTTTATTCAACAGGAATTATCTATTGCTGTTGTATGACATTTTATCTTCAGCAACCTTGGGAACCAAAAGCAGAATGCCTGTCTGGGGGCAACATGGGAAATCTGAAATATGGCAGTTTGTAGACTGGGGTCCTCTCAGAAGGCAGTAGGTTTCATTGCAATCTTGTGGTTTCTGGATTATCAGAGTAAATGTTTCTGCCTCAGAGTCCTTAGCTCTGTGTGGCCAGTAAAGCAAGTCTAACTCAGCCAACCTGGAAAACATGCTTTTGTATATTTCTCTTGGTGTTCTCCTTTCAGGGGAGAAACACACTATTGGCAATTGTTCTCAGAGTGGAGAGTGTTATGTTTTACTTTGATGCCCTGGGCTCCTTGATAGTCCACAAGCCCACACACGGTACCAGCAGATGCTTAAGTCTTATTTTTTTTTGCCACCTGCTAGATGTTTCTAGCCAGATCATTCACTCCAAATGGAACTTGAATGTCATTTAAAATCATTTTTGGGGCCTGGTTGTCTAGTCTCTTGAGCTAAAACTATGTAAAACACTGCCATTTATCAAATCCAATAGGTTAGCTCATTTATTCCTCACAGAGAACTTGTGATGGAGGGAATATCATGCTTTATTTGTACAAGAGGAGACAGCAGCTCAGAGATGTCTCATTACTAGATTTGGTTGGCCAACTAATACGTAGCAGAGATGTAATCAGAACCGAGGATAATGGAGGCCCAAACTGACCATTTAGTATACTGTGCTACCCCTACATACTACCAGGTTTTCAATATGAAAAGGAAGATACACTCCCTTCTTTAAAAAATAAAATCGATGAAAATATTGGGTAAAGGACCTGTGGCAATGAACATGATGTTGAGCAGAGAACTCAGCCCAGAGTAAAAGTTCAGTAAAATCGTATTATGGTGGTTTCATACTTACGGGTTCCCAGCCCCAAGGAAACACTTCTCTGCTCTGTTATCTGTTGCTGGAGTTGCCCTTTATGAAATCCATTTCCCAGGCTGCGGTATCCTTGGCTTCCTGTTGCGTTGTGCCAATGGAAGTCACAGGAAGGAGACAGGAAGTTAGGAGGAGTAAAAAGAACTTTATTCTTGGTGTTTCTTATTCCTTTTCAGTGTTGCTCCAGCAGCAGCAGCAATTGACTCTATCTCTACCTTCTTTCTCCATTCCCAGAACCAGACTTCTCACAGCTTCTTAGACCCACAAACAGCAGCTGATAAGACCTTCTTTGCAGGGCTCTGCCCTCTTTTGAGTCTCAGCTCTGGTATCCTCACTTCTCTCTTGTTCTCTGATCTCCCAGTAGTGACTGCTTGTTGTGTGAATGATTTGGTTATTATCTCTGGGTAATATTGATTTCCTGTTTGCTCTTTTAGTTTGTCAAATTCTCATGTTAAATCCTGTCTATTTGAAATACGCAGTGTGGTTTTCGTTTTCTTTTCTGAACCCTGAATGATACATTTGTTGAATGATACAACTCCCAAATAAACACAGAAATCTGAACAAGATCCACTTGGTCATCTAAAGGTGTTTGAAACCAAATGGAAAGGATGGACCTAAATCCCAATGGAGTGTAGAAGGGTTGATGGGAGTGTTAAACAGAGGCATGAGCCAGGTGCGATAGAACAGGACAGGGAAAAGACGATTTCTAGAAGATCTAGAAATCTAGATTTCTAGATGCTAGATAAATCAAGCATAAGGCTTGATTTGATTGAAAGGTAGTGTGGATTCTACTGAGAGAGACGAACTAACATGAGTTCTTGCAGGGTCTTCAAAACAATTTATCATGGGTAACAATTTCCAAAAATTCCCTAAAACCAGTATTTGGAGTGAGATGGAATATATATATTAATCCCTAAATAAGTAACTTTCTCATAAAAGCTAATGTTTATCTGGCACTTAATACAAGCTCCATGCCATGCTTGACTGTGACATGGACTAGTCGATTTGGGGCTCACTCTGGCCATCCTCTGTTTTAGAGGAGACACAATTGAGGCTTGAATAACAAAAATGCCTTGTACAGAAGGTGAACAGGAATTCTAACCCTGGGAGTCTGCATCTAGAGACAATATTATGTCACCTGCACAGAAAGGGGTGGATTATTATCAGAGGGCTTTGGTACAAATCTCACCTATATGCCTTTAGGTAAGTCACTGAGACTTGTTCTCTGTGTGTTAGGAAAGTTCTCTAACACTTGCTTTCTTCCTTAGAAAAACAGAAATGCTAGTGGGCTCTAAGGAGGTTCAACATCTCAATGGATGCCCATCATAGACCCATCAGCAGTTGTTAATTTGCAGGAATAACTTTATGGTACCAGATTAGGATGAAAACCCTGCAATTTCATGCCCAGTCACTTACCTTGAGCCCCCTCCCTGAGCAGAGAAGCTGTAGGCTGTGTGAGGGTCTCCAGTCCTCTCTGTGCATCTCTGAGCCATTGTGTAACCACCCCAATGCTGACAGGGCTGTAACCCACTTTTATTCACATGACAGCTGACAAGAGATCATTGCAGTTAACTCTGACCCAGGTGATTCAATGTATCAAGGTCAACCTCCCTGCTGCCCAAATGGCATTGAGTGGGAACCATGGTCCTAAGAAGATGTTTATGGGCGCTTGGGTGCTCTCAACAAAATCACCAGTCACCAAGTAAGCATGATGGAAATCCACAGTGAGAAGGAGGCCTTCTGTAGTTTTCTAAAGGGTATTAGTTTCCTATGTCTGCTGTTAACAACTTAACCACAACCTTAGTGGCTTAAAACATCACAAATGTATTCTCTTAATAATTCCGACCTAGAAGTCAGAATTCCTAAATGAGACTCTGGGGGCTAAATCAAGTTGTCATTGGGTTGGTTCCCTCTGCAGGCTCCAAGAGTGAATCCCTTTTGGCACCTAAGTCTCACAATAGTCTTTCATGTTTGTATTATTAGTTCAATTTTACAAAAGAGAAAACTGAGGCTCAGAGAGCAACCTACCCCATGTCTTACATCTATTAAGGCTGAGATAAAACTAAAACTCAGGTCCAGTTGGCCACCAAGCCTTCTTTGTCATTTCTATTCCCCTCTCCTATGATGTGTGGTAACAATAGTAAGGTTGCTGAATTCTGTGTGCTTTGCAGTAAATGTCCCAAGATCCAAGATGTAGCTTCTTCTACTCTCTCAACATCATTTCACAAAAAAGGGCTGAGAAGGAAGCAAGAAAGAGGCATGACCTATATGTCCCGTGGTTCATGCCCTCACTAAAGTGATAGTTTCTTTTCCGCTGGAGCCTATTAATTTTCAGAACAAATCCATGTGGTAGTCAGTATGATTTGTAACTCCTGGATGGGCAAACCCAGGCTAAATCAAACACCCAGTTTCCCCAGTAGATAAATGGAGGGACTTGTCTGAATTTAGGATAGAAGGAAGAGGCTGGTGCACAGCTCAGACCCATGCAGAATGGGTTTCCTGCAGGAGGCAGGGCCCTCAGATGGATTAGGAGAGGGCCAGGGGCCCTCAGGGTCCAGTGGGCAGCTTTGTCCACCTTCTATCATTCCAGGCTATGCCCAGCGTCGCTGTTCTGCCAGTTGGGTCTCTAGTAAAGATGTTTCTTTGTGACCAAGTTGCTATGTCAGTCACCCATCCCTGCTGAATCCACTTTTTAGTGTGTTTGAGTGCACACACACACAGAGCCTACCCTTAAACAACAGAATGATTTTGATACATCATTTAACTAACCAATAGTAACATCTTGACAATTTTAATCGACTAATTATACACTCATGGTCATCTTGAAAAGTGCCCATTTTGGTTCTTTATGTCTTGACAACTGTAAGAGTCCTCAGCTGGAAAATTGGGATACAGACAGAGAATTTCAATTACTCTGACCTTGGGAAGTTGAAAGCTGGGATTTCCTTCCCAATGGGGCACAGAGAAGCAGAGAGGAGTCCTGGGAAGACTGGGTTGGCCACCCCCAGAGCTAGACTTGGGGTCTGCTCTGCTCCTCTCTGGAAATAATCAGAAAGAGACCAGGGAAAGGCATCAGGAGTTGGAGAAGAATGCAGATGCTACAAATTTAGGTATCCTCGAAACTAAAATAGCCTGGCATTTCTGCTTTCCTTCCTCTGTCTATGCCCATTACAACCTCAGACTCTTCAGAAGCTCATTTTCTTTCTTTTCTCCTTCCACTTCCCTCTCCTCCCTCCTCCACTCTTCTCCCCTTCTCTCCTCCTTTTTCCTTTTTAAGATAGATAAATGAACATTTCATCTTTCAAGCTTAAACACGGTGTTGGTTTGCTAACACGTGCTAAAGACCTATTTTGTGCCAGGTAATTTACAGTTATCTTTTCAGTAATTTCTTATATAAACTCAAAAGATACCTTCCCCATTTACCAGAGGCAAGCCTGAGTCTCTGAAGCAAATAAAGTAACTTGCTGAACATCATTCCAGTAGTAAATCATGGTGCCCTGATGAATCCAGCTCCATCCGCCTCCCAAACCCTCCTGGTGAGTGTGTGCAGGGGTCTCACAATTTCCTGGCTTCTTCTGTCAATCCAGAGAAAGAGGAAGCTCTGCTGAGGGTCAGATACAGGCCAGTCCTCCAACCCCATGTAACTGTGGCTACCGGCAGCTTGGACGAAGTAGTGGAGGGTGTCTGGGGCAGCACTAGTTTCTGCCTGGAACAAATTTTTAATGCCAGAGGCTGATCTCGGATCTGGGGTCTCACCTGCTCTCCCAGGTTTCATGTTTTGAAGGCCCCCTGGGAAGGGCTGAGATCAAGCAGTGCAGGCTTAGAAGGCTCCTCTCTTATATTGGGGGAGCAGGAAGGGGCACCACAAGCATAGAGAGCCTCACAGGTTGGGGAACCTCAGATGTGTTCCACCAATGCCAAAGCCAACGTGTTGTCAGAGTCAGTGGGAATTCTCTTCAGGAATAGTTATTTCCCTTCTCGAACTTGTGGAAGTCCCACAGAAATGAATCAGACAATGACTGGGTGTCCTTGAACAATGTCTCTCTAACATTAAGTGGCTGGATCTGTAAATTAGGCACAGTTATGGTAGCCTCAGAATGTCATTTTCAGAATTAAATTGAAGAACATATTGAAACAAAAAAGGTTCCCTTGTTTCCCTCGCAGGGTGTGCAATGCAGAAATGGCTTGCTTCTTCAGTGCCCGGCTGCTCAAACCTCTAGGGGAGCATACAGATGGGCAGGTGGTGGGGCTCTGACCATGGTAGCGTCTAGGGCTGGATGTTTACAGCTTCTGAAGCCTCAGTGAGTGTGTGCTACCATGCACTCTTTTAGTTTTGCTGTCTACGGATGGCTTGTGTTGTCCAACTCAACTACACCCTCTACCTTGTCACAAAGACAGAGGACTTTCTGTATCCCGGGTTCTTGCCTTGGTGCACTGCAAGAATCAGATCACACGTGGGCTTGGAGAATGAGTGAAGGTTTTATTGAGTGGAAGTAGCTCTCAGCAGATGGGGGAGCCAGAAGGGAGATGCTTTTCCCCTGGAGTTGAGCCGCTCAGTGGCCTGGGCTCTCTGACCACCCCAGCCAAACTCCACGTTTTTCCACCAGTTGATGGCCTGCTGGCCTGCCGGGGCTGCCGGTGTGCTCCTCTCGACTTCCTCTTGATGTCCATCTGCTTGTGTGTTCTTCCGCTGATGTGTTCCTCATGGCCTCCAGCCAGCTTGTGTCCCTGTCTGCTAGGGTCTCAGGGTTTTTTTTTTTTTTTTCCCAGATGGAGTTTTGCTCTTGTCGCCTAGGCTGGAGTACAATGACGCAATCACAGCTCACTGCAACCACTGCCTCCCGAGTTCAAGTGATTCTCCTGCCTCAGCCTCCAAGTAGCTAGGATTACAGGCATGTGCCATCATGCCCAGCTAATTTTTGTATATTTAGTAGAGACGGGGTTTCACCATGTTGGCCAGGGTGATCTCAAACTCCTGCCCTCAGATGATCCACCCGCCTCAGCCTCCCAAAGTGTTGGGATTACAGGCATGAGCCACTGCGCCCGGCTGGGTCTTGGGGTTTTCATAGACAGGTTGGGGGTGTGGCAGCCCAGGGTGGTCTTGGAAAATGCAACATTTGGGCACGAAGGCAGGAGTGCCTGTCCTCACCTAGGTCCATGGGCACAGGCCTGAGGAAGGAACCCTACCCAGGGACCCGCCTTCCTCTACCCAGCACTTCTCTGCCCCCTTTCCTTATCAGTAAGCTAAGCACTTAGCCCAGATTCTGATGCAGGTTTGTGACAATGCTGCTTTTCTTTCTTCCTTCAGCAGTGATTATTGTGCCAAGCTTTCTGCTAGCTTAAGGTTGCCAGATGAAATACAGACACCCAGTTAAATTTGAATTTTAGATACTCAATAAATTATTTTTAGTATAAGTATGTCCCAAGTATTTCATGGGATGTACTTATACTAAAGAAGTTCTTATTCATCTGATATCTAAACAGATCAGGGTGTCCACCATGTACATTTGCTACATCTGTTGACCCTATCTAGGCATCAGGGAGGCAAGAGTGGTGGACAGAAGAGAAGTCATTGTCACCCGGTTAACATATTAATGGGATAAAAGTCTGTTTTTTTTTCTGTCAAGTTCCTCTGCCTTCCTCCAGTGTTTTGTTTCTTTTTCTTCTTTTTTATGTAATTCCTGAATAAGTAGAGCACCTTCATTGCTGCTGATTTTCTCAACGGCCTGCTGCTGCAGAGGCTTCTTCTCCCTCACACGCCTGTGCCTTGCTTGGGCAGCCCAAACTGTGGGGCACAGGCTGCTGCCTCCCTTAGACGGTGGCCAGCAACATACCCTGGGTGGCTCACCGCCAAAGCCAGTGCTGCCTTCAGCACTCTGTGATGACGACCTTGAGGGAAAGGTCATGTTGGCTGTTGACAAGTGCCCTGGGCCAGGGCCTGGGGCAGGTCCTGCTGATTCCAGCAGGCATCACCGTAGCTGGAGATGGAGTTAGCAGAGGCCATGCGTGCCCTGACAGGGACTGGCTGAAGGATGGCCATGTGGGCCACTGGAGGATGCTGGGTGAGGTAGGCTGAGGAATGACCCCCAAAATATCCCCCTAGTAATCCCCAGTCTCTATACATGTTCATTTACATGGCAAAGGGGCCTTGAAGGTGTGATTAGGTGCAGGGTTTTGAGATGGGGGGATGCTTCTGGATTATTTGGCTCGGCCCTAACTGTAGTCATAAGCATCCTTGTAAGAGGGAGGAAAGGGGTGAAAGGAGGAAGGAGGTGTGGGAACAGACGCTGAGGTTGAAGTGATGATCTTTGAAGCTGAGGAAGGGGCCAGGAACCAAGGAATATCATCGTCCAACCAGAAGCAGGGAAAGGCAAAGAGAAAAAAAAAAGAAAAAGAAAGAAAATAAGTGAAAGGAAGGAAGAAAGGAAGAAACTGAGTCTTTCTTACAGCCCCCAGAAGGAACACGAGTCGGCTGACTCTTTGATTTCAGACTTCTGACCTCCAGATCTACAAGAGAATGCATTTGTGTTATTTTAAGCCAACATTAATTTTGTTTTATTTCTACAGGTTTTTTGGGGAACAGGTGGTATTTGGTTACATGAGTAGGTTCCTTAGTGGTGATTTGTCAGATTTTGGCCTACCCACCAACCGAGCAGTGTACACTGAATCTCATTAGTAGTCTTTTATCCCTCACCCCCTTTCCACCCGTTCCCCCAAGTTCCCAAAGTCTATTGTGTCATTCTTATGCCCTTACATCCTCATGGCTTATGTATTTTGTGGTATTTTGCTACAAGAGCCATGAAACTCGCACATCAGGGAACTTCGAGGACGACATCTATCCGAGGGCTTGCTTTGGGTGAGCTGTGTGGAGGTGGGGGTCCCGGGACATGCTGTCCATCACTGTCAGCCCTCTGCTCAGGCTGGGAGGATCAGGTGTATTCATGAGAGTTCTCCAGGCAGACAGAACAATAGGATTTATGGGGCGGGGGAGAAGCGGGGGACAGATTTATTATAATGGAGGCTGAGAAGTCCTGCAACAGGCTATCTGCAAGCTGGAGGCCAAGGAGGCTGGGAATGTGGCTCAGTCTGAGTCCGGAAGCCTCAGAGCCAAAGAAGCTGATGGTGTAGCCCTCAGTGGGAGGCCAAAGGTCAGAAAAACTGATGGGCCACTCGGCAACTCCTGGGAGCCAAAGTCCAGAGAACCTGGGTTCTGATGTTCAAGAGCAGGAGAAGAAGGGCGTCTCAGGTCCAGGAGAAAGAAAGAGATAATTCACCTTTCCTCTGTTTTGTTCTATCTGGGCCCTCAGAGAATTAGTTGGTGCCCACCCCCGTTGAGCGCAAATCTTTACTCAGTCCACTGACTCAAAAGGAGGCGTCTCCTGGCAACACCCATATAGACACGCCCAGAAACTGCTCTGCCAGTTGTCTGGGCCTCCCACAATCCAGTCAAGTTGACACCTGAACTTCACCATCACACCAGACAACTGCTCTGATCGTCAGAGCAGCCAGGGGCCTCCCTTGGCCATAGCCAGCCTAGGTGGTTGAGATGAAGATGGGCTGGAGGCCAAGGGGGCAGGGCAGTCATCATACCATCCGCAGGGGCTAGTCAAGTGCCCTCCTCAGACCAGACCCAGCCTCGACACTTTAAATAAATTTTCCCTAATTGTATCAATAAATACAAAGCAGTTTTTCTAGTTAGAAAGGACACAGAAAGTTCTAGAAACTTGTCCAACCTCAGACTCCCTGTCAGCTCTGTCTGCCCTGTCATCTATGCCCCCTCTACTCTAGCAGAACATGTGACTGGCATCCAAAGACAAGACTTGGTGCTCATGTGCCCCTTACAAGCTGTAACTCAGGCGAGCACACGTCTCTGAGCCTCAGTGTCCCTACCTGCCACAATGGAGGTTACAATTCCTGCCTTCGCGTGGTCTTTGGTGGACTCAGAAGGACAGTGCTTATGCGAGAGAGCTTTGAACCACAAAGGCAATAACTGTGCAGGAGTTATTCTCAGTGCTGTTTCTGCCCACAGAGGCATCTCCCCTTGTTTCTCTGTAAGAGTATAGCAGTGGACATTCACTGATGGCCCATTGATCCTCAGAGTACATCTCTCTTATCTATGAGATTCAGAGAGGGGAAGCAAAAAGCCTGGAGTCACACAGCAAGCCAGGAGTCTGTGGGTGTCTAGTCCCAGATCTGGAGCCCTCGCTCAGCTGCACTTCTGCAAGATGCCTCTTCTCCCAGGCCTTTCAGCTGCCACCTTCCGCTCAGTTAGTCCAATCCTGACTGACAAGACACAGCCAGTTTCTGAGGAAGGCTGCTGCGTTTACACTGCGAGCTGCGGCCCAAGACCCCAGATCTCACTCCAGGCTCCTGGGATGTTCCTGGGGTTTTCCATGACTTGGGAACCTCACACAGAGTGGGAACCATGGGTCTCTGGGCTTGGAGAAAGAATACTTTTTGATGTGGCCTTAGCCCCATGTCCATGAGCCCAGCGGTCGTTCAGCCACCAGACTCAGCTTTTCCTCACTGAATAAAGGGGTCATTTTTCCCTGGCTGCCGAACCAGAATTGCCTTGACTTGCACTGAACTTCAGCTAATAATCAGAACCAGGCTTGGGGAGGGGGTGCAGAAGGTGGAATGACATGGTCATTCCGACTTAAAAGAAACATTTTAGGTTCACACTTGCCAAGTTAGGAAGAAAACCAACCTTAGATCCCTTCCCCCCCACCAATACTCCTTTCCCCAAACACCGTCCCCACCCGCCTCTATGTTTAATTGAATTTTTATTTGTGATATATAGAAAACCTAACCCATGGCTGTCATGCTGAGTGTCATTTGGCTTCAAGCTCGAACCAGGGCACAGCTTGGCCTGGAACCCTGAGACAAGATGCTGGCCTCAGAAGGTGGGGCTCACGTCTTCTGGATCCCCATTTACTGGCAACAGTTGGGTTTGTCAAAGGGCTGCCCAAATTGTGCTTGGCTCAGATCTGGGTGAATCATCCCTTTTCTTCTGGGAGCCCAGTGGCTTACATGTGGATCTGGAGAGACAATCAGGGAAAGCAGGAATAACACAAAGCTACCATCATCTAGTGTGTCAGTGCTCATTTTACGTTCAGAGCTACCACACGATCTACCCTGTCCTTTCTCTCTGCTTAGAAGTGTTCTCAACCTTCCTGTCTCAGTCCAGTTGGCACTATTGCTTGATTGTAGTAACAGACCTGATTTGTCAAAGCCTCTCTGTGTCCAAGCCCTTGGGTGCCTCCCACGCTGACTCAGGACTGTGGCTTGTTTGGTGAATGAAACAACAGCCTATGTGATTGATGATGCAAATACCGGAATATATAAGACCTAAAAAATGCCTGGCAGTAGGTTTGCCCTCAGGAGTTCTGACTGGTATGCAGGTAAACAGGCTCAACTAACCTGCTGGAGGGATAGAGACAAACACGAAGAGAGACTCTAGGCTCCCTAAACAAGGACATCCGAATCCAGCCAAGTGCAGCCAGCACACTAGCTGATCACATATTCATGAATGGGCAAGTCCAGCCTTACCTGGAAGAAGTGCCCAGCTAAGCCAGCCCAAACTGCCAAAGTGAAGACTTGTGAGTTAAATTGCTACTGTTTAGGGCAACAAGATCCGAGTCGGTTTGTTACATAGCACTTCTAACTGATACACTTAGTCTATGGAGCTTCCAATGGCTGCCAGGCTGGGATTTTTGTTTCTTTTCTATGCCCTACCACACTTGCTATGGTCCTCTGTTTACTTGTTGGTCTCTCCAATTAGACTGTAAGCTCCACCAGTGCAGGTGCCATATGTCTGTTGGTCACAGTTGAAACCCATCATCTGCCATAGATCATGACAGGTAGTAAATATTCAAAAAATACTCATCAAATCAATCAATGGCTGATTGAAGAAATCAAGCAGATCTGGTTCTGAGCCCCACCTCTTCCAGCATTGCTTTGTAACTTTCATTTATACTATGTGACATCTCTGGGTCTTGGGTTCCTCATCTATAAAGCAAGGCTAAAAATTGCTGTATCATTACTGGGAGGGCCAAATGAGATGAAGCATGTAGCTCCCCTAGGACTGTGCCAGGCTAATACTCAACAAAGGCGGTGACCAGGTCCAAACAAAGCCAATCTGAATCCTATGAGCTGGTGGGTGTATTGCAATTTTCTCAATGAATAACCCTTGGCCACGATTTGTTGGCATCAGTTGTGCTTTCAAAGTGGGAAACTTTACATTGAGACACACGTGAAGGTATCAAATTTATAAGAGAGAAGAATAGAGAAGAAAAGGTGCATCAAACATGTTTCATGTGTTTGTTTACTCCAGAAAGAGGGGCTGGCATGCACAAATACCCTAGAGCAAGAAGGCTCCTAACATGTTCAAGGAACTGAAATCAAATATGATTGCAGCTGAGTATGAGAAGAACATCCTAGAAGCTGAGGCAGGAGAGGTGGGCAGGGGACAGATCATAGGAGCCTTGTAGGTCGTTCAAAATATTCTTATTTCTTTCCCTATACAGCTATGGAAAACTAAGAAAAGATTTTGAAAAGATGCCTTCTAGCCCATGTTTAAATCTAGTTCACATGGCAGAACCAGCAGCCAGGACTTCTAAGAAAAACATGCCACTGTGTCTCGTGTTGCCCAGGTACCCCTGCTTTGCTGCAGACAGTATCAGCCGTTTGAACCACCCTGTGTCATTTGCAAGCCACATGCTCATGAATGATCCAGTGGAGCCTCCACGCATCTGTAAAACAGAAATAACAACACCAAAACCAGCACTACAACAAGGACAAAGGCCAACACTTTTTGGATCCTGTCTGTGATCCTGCTGTTCTAAGTGCTTTATCTCTCTCATCCCCATGAATCCCACCTAATCCACACAGCCAACCCTTAGAGAAAGTCTGAGGTGCTGGGCACTGCTCTAAAAGTGGTGCAAGTATTGACTCATCTCATTCTCACAGCAACCCTAGGAGTTAGTCATGACGGCTACCTGTGTTCCACAGATTCGGAAACTGAGCTCGAGACAGGGTCAGTGTTCTGCCAAGGTCTCAGTGTGCAAAGCTGAGATTTGGCTCAGAGAAATCTGGCTCAGTGGTCAACGTCCTTAGCAACTGGAAGCATCATCCAAGGGGTAGATGACACATCACTCTTGTAAGGAATGTGATAATGTGACACACACAGGTCATATGGCTGGTACATGGTGGGGTGGGGGCGCTGAGATTTAAACTCAGGGAGGTTGAAGGCAGACCAGGCTTTTAATCACCACTGTATACATCACATTGATCATCAACATTTGAAAAATACTTTAGGCATTCGAGCATACAGGGCTGAATGTTCGCGTACATGAGTCATGCATGTGTGCATATGAAATATGTATTCATTTTTTACTTATCTGTTTTCTTTGAGGCCCATGGAAGAACTCGCTAGTGGAAACTGTCAACATTGACTAGCTATCATGAGCCAGGACTGATGGGATGACGTGAGCAGAGGACACCATTATTTTGTGCTTCATCAAAGTTGCAAGCTTAATAAGTGACAAAGTGGGGTCCAAAACCCAATTGTAAGTCCACTACCCTATTAGATTTCTCATGGGGGCAGAGGAGAAAAGATTGCATATTTGCATATCAGGGCAGCTTCATTGCTTTGCACATTTGATTTTAATATTTGTAATAAACATCCTCTGATGATCTACATCTCCAGATTTGAGAAGCCTAAGGATGAGACAGTGATAGACAATCAGTCCAGCCACCAGCATCCCGTTGGTACAGTTAAGTCTAAGGAGGGGCAGGTGCACAGCTGGGAGGCTCCAGCCAGCCTAAACACACAGACTGAGACAGGACTTGGGGGCATGGAGGCCAGACCGTGAACTCAGGGCAGCGTGACCTTTTGGGTGTCACTAATTCACCACCTTGGCTTGCACAACAGTCCATTGGTCTTGCATCAAAACCTCAAAACCTCCGTCCTCTCTCGCATACCCACTTACATGTTGGCAAAGGTTGGAATGTCTGCCGAGAAACCTGGTGGATAGCCTCCCTTTTCCACACTCACAGAAGGAGCTTTGACAGTTCAGGCCTTCTTGAAAAGTTAGAAAACTGTCCTGGGTAGTGAGTATATCTATGAGAATTTGGAGGTAAAGTCTTTTTTTACAAGAATGTTAACTGAACTATAGTAGACCTCTCTTATCCGCCAGGCATGTGTTCCAAGATTCCCAGCAGATGCCTAAAACCCTGGGTAGTACCTAACCCTATTTCCATCATTTGGAACACATTTCAGTTCATAATTTCCACCCACAAATTTAATGCCTTTTTCCATCTTAACTAAGCACTTATCACGCACTGGGGCCATAACTTTTGCAGTTTAAGATATGACAGCAAAACTAGCATGAATTTCTTTTTCCTTCTTCACAATTTCACAGATAGAAGATTTATTCTTACAATAGATCTTAGCAACCTCAACATATAATTTTTTTTTTCCTTAAAAGTCAAGAACTTTCACCTTTTACTTAAAGGAAGCATTTTACAGGCTGGGCACGGTGGCTCACGCCTGTAATTCCAGCACTTTGGGAGGCCAAGGCAGGCGGATCACCTGAGGTCAGGAGTTCAAGACCAGCCTGGCCAACATGGTGAAACCCTGTCTCTACTAAAAATACAAAAATTAGCTGGGCGTGGTGGTGTATGCCTGCAGTCCCAGCTACTTGAGAGGCGGAGGCAAGAGTATCACTTGAATCTAGGAGGCTGAGGTCGCAATGAGCCAAGATTGTGCCATTGCACTCCAGTCTGGCTGACAAGTGTGAGACTCCAACTCAAAAAAATTAAAAAAGGAAACACTTTACAGCTTCTCTTTGGCTTATCCGAATTGCCAGCACCACTATCGTTGCTCAGAGGGGCCATTACGAAGTAAAATAAGAGTGACTTGAGCACAGACACTGCGATGTCATGACAGTCAGTATAGCGAAGACAGCCATGAAGTGACTAATGGGCAGGTAGCGTAGACAGCATGGAATATGGTGGAAAGTGATGATCCATGCCCCAGTGAGATGCAACAGGACAGCATGATATTTTAGCATGCTACTCAGAGCAATGCAACATTTAAAACTGATTAACTGTTTCTGGAATTTTCCATTTAATATTTTCAGGCTGTGGTGGATCGTGAGTAATTGAAACTGTGAAAATACAGATGGGGGGATTACTGTACTTACCGGGCATGACCCCAGGGATGGTGGTGCTAATTAAAACCATGCATATCTCCTGCCCTCAAGGAACTTAGGCTGAACTGGAGAGACAGATACAGGGGAGGGAGGGTTCTGAGCAACACTGCCCAGTGACAGGAGTATCCAGAAGGCAGGGACCATAAAGGATCACAGTGCAAGGGGCTTGCAAGGATCCCAGAGGATCCTGGTGGGGTGAGGTGAGCTGGTATCCCAGGTTTTGCTGAGGATGTGCTATTTTCCAGGGATGCATGGTAGAGATGCCAGGTTCAGGTCTGAGGCAGGTCTCAACAGTCGATCATATTTTGGTGGGAAAGAGAATGCAAAAGCATCATTTGGGGACTTATTCCTAACTCCTCATGGCTTCCTAGGACTGGAATGGAAAGTGCCATCCCTCAGCCAGATGGGGCTTTTGAGTGGAAGAGCGGAGGAGTGGGGAAGGGCTCTTGTCCTCCTGCTCCATCTCTTGGGCAACTCCTGGAAACCCTGAGGGAGAAAGTATCACCATGGGCCCCATGGCAAGGGTGGCCTCTGACAAATATGTTCTGCTAGTCCAAACTTCAGTCAAGCTTTTGGACCTTCTCTTAAGCCCATCTCTGTACTTCCTTGTAAAATCCAGTTTTATCAAAGAACCCTGCTAAGTCAGGTTAGCAAGAACCCATCACCCTTGATATCTGATCATCCTCAACCTCTGATCAAGTTCCTCATCTTCCATCATCCCCTGGGTGTTGCCTGATCACCCTGGCTTGTCTTTAGTGAGAATCCTGCATACATCACATTGATCATCAACATTTGAAAAACGCATGAGGCATGAGAGTCTACGGGGTGAATGGACATCTACATGAGTGGGTTGCTTTGGCCAGAATCCTCCCCGCTGACGTTTTATCTTAGTACCTCTGCATCCACTGACCCTGCCCTGCTCCTTGGCCATAAATTCTCATTGGCTCATGCTGTATTTAGAGCTGAGCCCAATCTCTGTCCCTGACTAAAAATCTCATTGCAGGGGTCCTCGTGCTTATTGTGATGGTCCTAAGCATGGGCCACCTACTGTGCTTTCACGAGTGTCATTGAATCTTTTTTTTTTTTAAACACCTCACAGTTGAAGCAGGATCACACAGGGGACTGGGTAATTTCAGATATCTGAAATTACTTCCCTCCTCAAAGGCTCAGTAAAAGCTTGAATGGGTCCACCAACTGCTAGGACACCTAGTACAGTCCTCTGACATCTAAAGCCCTCTTTTTATTTCAGTGACTCAGAATCCAGGCCCCTGGACATTTCTCCAGCCACACTGCCAGCCACAGGGCTCTCTTCTCCAGGGCTGTGGGCTGTCCTGGGGCTGTCTCACTCTCAGCTCTCAGAGACCAGCAGAGCTGCCTTTTCCTGTCCTGCTGGTTTCTGGGTCTCTTCCCTAACAAGACCCAGAGCAGTTTGGCCTACTTTGGAGAACAGCCCAACGGACTGAGCGATGGGAGGAAGTGATAAGTGCAGCTGTCTCTTCAGCCCATGGCTTCTTCCTCTGGGGAGACTGAGGTTCTCACGGTGCCTGCAAGGCTGTGGGAGCCGGGACCTGCCCTTAAAGTTAGTCTCCAGCTGGGGGAGGTTTCCCTGAGCTGAGCCCTAGATAAGTGTGGCAGATAAAAAGAAGAGCCAGAAAGGACTGGTTTTGTCTGGGTTGGCTTTTGAGAGGGACTTTACTGCTCTCTGGGGGTGTAGAAATAAACTGTCTCATGCCAGATTGGCCTCCACATTGTCAAATTTAGGCTGGGAAGATTTTCCTTCCTGGCTTAGACTCGAGTGCCCTGAGAAGAGACAGAAAAGGGGACTAGAGATCATTGCATTTCTCAGGTCTTTGCCAAGCGAGGGACTCGTCCGGTCTAAACACATTAAGGAAATGCATCTCAATTCATCTTCATAACTTGCAGCTAAAGCCAGCTTCTCAGCCTTGGCTCTGTCGACTTTTTGGGTTGGATAATCCTTTGCCGTGGGGACTGTCCCATGTATTATAGGATGCCCAGCAACATCTCTTGCCTCTACCCACTAGATGTCAGTTGCACTTTCCTCCTCCAGTAGCGCCAATCAAAATGTCTCCTGGGGCACGATTGCCCCCAGTGGAGAGTCACTGGGCTATCAGTAAAGAACATCAGAGATCACTGAGCATGATGCTAAGAGGACTTGCCCACCACTCCACAGCTTTGACAAGAGTCAAACCCAGGACATTTTGTTATTCTTGTCTTTCCTTTTCATGCCTCATGCTGCCTGAGTTCAGGAAACCCTAATTTCTCTGAGTGTATTCCCTCAACTGGAAAGGAAGTTCAGAGCTTTTACCTTAAGGGGTGATTATACAAATCAAATATGACAATGAATAGTCGGTGTGAGCATGTAGAGTGTTGGGTTTGTGGTAGGTCCCTTCCCTTGCAACAGACATTCTTTTGAAAGAAAACACGTGCCGGTAAAAAACAGAGCAGTTCTCAGCCTTCTCTGCACATGAGAATCACTTGGGCACCTTTGACTGCCAATGCCTCGGCCTCACAGCAAGAGATCTGGGGTTTAACTCGGCATCAGTAGGTCCTAAAATTCCTCAGGTGCCTCCAATGCTGAGCTGAGATTCTGAGAAGCTCTCAGAATCTCTTTTAAGAACTATAATGGTTACACTATAAATTCCACCTGTTTCATGTTCCCAAAAGGAGGAAGCAAGTTTAGTGATAAAGGAGCAAGAAAAATCTATTCCCCAGAGTCACCTTCAGTGACAATGTTTGACAAAAGTGCTACTGAGAGGAGATAGCAACAGGGCCTAGATTCGTACAGCACTTCAGAATGTCAAGTGTTAACTTGGAATATTTACCATGACATGCAGAACTGAGTCAACTGGTACTTACAGGTGAATGGAAAGAAATGAGGCCAGAGCCTGATGGCAGGTACCAGATGTAATGCAATACTGCATGTGTGTTCTTCAAATACATGCAAAAAAGTTCTTCAGTGAGGACCAGGTAGAGTCCTGGGATTTCTTTTTCTTCTTCCTCTTCCTTCTCTTTCTTCTTCTCTTCTGCCTCCTCTTCCCCGCCATTTTGTTTTGTTTTGTTTTTTGGTCTGTGGTTTTCAATATTGATTTGCTTCTTTTGGATTATCGGCCATCTAGGGGACATAGGAATAAGCTACTCATAACATCAGCAACCGGTATCACCCACTGCCGATCTCCCTCCAGTGATTTTATGTGTGTGCGTTGACACTTTACTAAATTGGAACGTAGAGAGACAGTTGGCATCATGCTATTCTCACTTGCTCATAAAGCATGTTTATATATCATTAAAAATGTTTCAAAATATAATTTGATGTCTATATAATCTTCTAACCTATGACTATATATAATCTTCTACCCTAATTCTATCTGCACATCACAACTTATTTTCCCACTTCTCGTTTGCTAAACACATATTGTTTCCACATTTACAAACAAATATTTTAAATAAAGCTGAAATAAGCATCCTTGTAAACATCTTTAAGTACTCTTATTTCCTTAGGAAACATTTGTAGAGATGGAGTTATTAGGGCAAAGTTTCGGTACTGGTGATGTCATGTGTCACGGCAAATACAAATTGCTTTCTATAAAAAGAATGAACAAATTTAGACGCTAACCACCTCGGTGTGAGGAGCTGAGTCATCTGTCATCAGCAACTCTGATTAGTATCATTCAAAGATTGATAATTTAATGGCTAAAAAATACTACCTTATATTTTGTTTCATCTGTGTCTATTGGATCACTAGCAAAGATAAATACTTTTTACATATTTATTAGGTACTTGAACATGGTTTCAGTTGTGAATTTTTGTGTGTGAATATGTTTTCTGTTTGCTTTCTTTCTGTGAATTCATACTGGAGTTATTTTTTCTTAATTTATAAAATATCTTTCTAGATTAAAGATATTAAAATCTTGTCTTTATGTCGCAAACATTATTTCCCAGTTTGTTTTAAATTTAGCATGTTTTAGAGAACATTTATTTTCTCTTTTCAAAATTTATTATCTTTTTCTCGCTGACATTTAAGAGAAAAATATACTCATGGGCAAAATTTGAAAAACAAATATAAAAATGTAAATTACAAAATGAAGCGTGTTTTGAATGGCAGCAGAAATAATCGCTATTACATTTTCATGCAACTCCAGCTACTGACAGGGACACAACATGTTTATTTTCTCAAAATTGGAATCATATAGGCTATGTTATATTATAGCCTGTTTTTGTGAGTGCTTTCTTTGTTCACTCAATAGTCTTCTAAAACCTGATACTTAACAGCTATAAACTCTTCCGTTAGAGGGATGCAATATATCTTTTTAAACAGTCGCTAATTATCAGGAATTCTAGTTGCTTCAGGATGCTACCCAGAATACATACTGCTATGGTGAACACTCTTCTACACACAGAGTTCATCCAACTATTTCTTTCAGATATAGTCCTAAGGGTAAACTTGTTAGGTCCGAGGATATGCCAATTTTAAAGACTTGTGATTAAAAATGACTAAATTGTCTTTAAGGAAGATTGGGGCAAATTACTCTCTCACCGAAAGGGTATGAGAGTGGAAAAGCCTCATTGAACAGGCCATTGAAATGTGGGTTAGAGAGTCTGCCACACACAATATGCCTCCTAAACATTCATTCCCTTCAAGTTGAAGTTCTGAACCTTCATGAAGTTTCAAATCAAGCCTTTTGGCATTAAGAAGCTGTTACTTTCAACTGTGTATTTTGTGGAGTTGATGACACTGTGGGAGTATTTCTAGTTAAAACAATATGCGAGCTGACATCTCTCCCCGAAACCACTGTCTCGCTCGCTCTCTGTGATTCTCTCCTTTAATCATGTTTTTATAATTTCCTCACAGCACTTCACATACAGTGACAAGCCTCGTGCTGTGCCCATCAAGGTCTGTTATGGGGGGCAACAGCTGACATTTTCCAAAATGACTGTGCAATGGAGTACTGGGACCAAAGCATGCTTGGGGGAACTCATTCCAGGGGAATAAACGGCAGGAGGAATGTGGGGTAATCACAAGGCTTTGGTCAACAGAGACAGCAGTGCTGAGTGCTCCTAGGCGGTGCAGGTAGCAAACTAAGAGTATTTTGTACCCGAAGGAAGGAAAGCAAAATCAGACAAGAGTTTGACCAAGTAAGATTTGAAATCACTATTCTAAACATTAGCAACGATGCATGCTTATCGAGTGCTTGTCGTGATCTAGCTAGGGGTGAGGCAACTAAGGACTGCAAGCTAAATCTGGCCCACTGCCTGTTTATTTAAATAAAGTTTTATTGGAACACAGCCACACTTATTTGTTAACAAATGGCCTGTGGCTGCTTTTACACTATAATAACAGAGTTAAATCATTGTGACAGAGACTGTATGACTAACAACTATAGACACATTTACTATTTAAACATTTACTGAAAAAGAAGATAGACTTCTGTGCTTTTTTTTTCTTTTTGGTTTGTTCACATATAACTTTTTATTATTTTATTTTCTAATTTTAAAAGAAGTGCATGTTCATTCTGGGCAATTAGAGAAATGCAATTATTGTCTTTTCAAAATTAGAAAGAAAAAAAAATCAAATTACTTTTTTAAGCTGACCCCTAGTGCAATTTACTTAACATGTAGGGCCTCAGTTATTTCTTCTGTAAAATGAATATAAGTCACAATAGGGCTGTTGTGAAGATTGAATGAGCTGAGGACTCTAAGGCCCTGAGCTTCCTGGAATGTAATCAATACTCAGCGAATGCCAATCACTCTCAGTACATATGGGGCCCTATTAGTGGGTTGGGCTTTTTCCTATGAATTTATATGGCCTCCTTAGACAATAAAGACATTGCTCTTTTTAAAACAGTGATATTAATCAGTTATGATTGCTTTGTGTCTCAATAATAATTGGAGTCTACCATTCTGAGTCCAAACAGGAAAGCAGAAAACACTTTGAATCTTCATAATAGAAGAGACTTAACACAGAGACAGAGTTACATGGTGACAACAGAAACTGTTGGGATTCAATTGGGGGCCAGAGGGCAATGCAGGGACTCGCAAAGCCAGAAAGCTAGCAGCACCCCAGGCTGAGGAGGAATGGTGTGGGCCTACCAGAGTAAGGGCTGGGTTCACCTGGGGGCATCATCCCCTAAACTCCCTCGTGACAGCCCTCCCCATGCTGTACTGCAATGGCCCAATGGCAGGCTACTGACTCGACGACCTGGACTCCTTGGACCCCATCACATCTTGCTCATTTTCTATATAGTCAGCAGCACTGGGCACAGGGAAAGCAATCAAACAAACAAACAAACAAACATGAAGGATCAAACAAAGCAATCAAACAAACAAACATGAAGGAGGCACGATAGACAACCTGGACACCTCCAGACGAGGCTGGAAGAACATGAGTCAGAGGACAGACTGGCTGGAACTGGAATCCAGATTCTGAAGATAGCTCCCAGCATGGCCTTGGGTAAGTCTCTTCGCCTCCCTCACTCCTTGCTGGGAACAGGGCATGAAATGAAAACACTTCTCTGCGGAATCATCGTCAAGCTAAAATAGAGTGGAAAATAAACAGTTTCCCTGCTTTTTATGTTAAGAATCAAATGGAACAGAAGGCAGAATTTTTTTGGCTTATTTATATTTTTATTAATTTGTCCTTTGGGGGAGACACATATTTTTCAATACAAAAGTAGTAGAGTGAACCAAGTGGCAGCCCTGCATGGAGAGGTGGCTGGACATACAGAAAGTGATGTGACTAGATTGTAAAATACACCAAGATCCAAAGGGAGAAGAGGAAGAAGCTCATATCAACTGAGCTCCCCCTGCCCGGCTGGGCATTATGTGTCATTGATCCCCATAAAGACTCGGCCAGGAAAGTATCGTCATCTTTCTTTAAGCTGATAACTGAGATTCAGAGAGCTCAGGAAACTTAAGCCAAACGTAAAAACTAGGGGGGCCAGGATTCAAGTACTGGGAAAAGTTGCTCCACAGCCAGTGCTGTACATGCTTTCCTCTCTACTAAGCTGCTCGCAAAGGTGCAACAGAAGGACAAACTGAAAAAGAGAACTGTGGATACAGAGAGTAAATGGGGAAAATAGGGGAGAGAAGGAGGGGGAAGGAGAGAGATTGAGAGAGAGAGAAGACACACCCACGGATTCGACTTCTGTATATTCTCAATCCCTTTTGGCTTCAAAGGGTGTTTGATAAGTCAGACACTCTTCCAGAGCTGCAGATATGAACTAGTTGACACCTCACAAAGGAAAAACGCTTGCTTTTCTCATCCTAGTCTTGGTCAAAACCAGGAAGCAGAGAGCTGGGCAAACACAATCCGTTCTTTGAAGTTAATGTTTTCAGCGGTCTCCGGGGCTTTGGTTTGACTAGAGTGTTGGCGCTGGGGCTTGTGCTGTCCAACCCAATTTATCCTTGGTGCTGGATTTCAGCTGACACGTGGAGGAGGGAAATACAGGCCCATGTGCTTTGGAAAGCCTGTCCTTTAAGAAAGTACACTTGATGGCTTCAAGGGGCTCTTCAGGTTCTCCCACATTACTCTCAGGTCAGAGGATTTGAAAAGGAGCTCTACAATGTTATTTCATAAAACTTTTTTTCAATTTTAGAGGGTGGTCAGAAGGTGTAATTGCCTAGAAATGGCCTTATCCAGAATGAAAATTTTCTGTCACTCTTCCTGTCAAGAACATAGCTGATAACTAGAAAGAAAATCTAGGAAGAACTGCAAATAGACTGAAGATGCATTACAAAGAGGACTGAGGACCACGCTCCAAAGCTACCCACTTGCTTTTGCCCCACGTTTTCATAAACTGACGTATACTCATACGCACTTCTACTGGATTATACTCTCAGACTCTAAAAATACAGCCCAGAAATAAGCAAGAGGCCACCACAGACAGTGAACGAGTAAAACATGACAGATGAGAACTAGACAGAAAGCTCTCTGAAGCTCCTCACTAGAGAATAACAACAATGATAACAGCAACATAATCGACACAAGGAACTGGAGCCAGGTATTTTAGGGCAAACAGCCCTGCCCACTACGGTAGCCACAGTCGTCATCACTAATTTATAGTCCAGTGAAATGTGTCTTTCACAAAAGTGAATCCAAAACAGAAAGAAGGAAAAAAATAGAAAATAAAAGACAGGACCATTCTACGTTTGCACTTTTTAAAATAATCTTTTTCTTTGGAAATAGTTTTAGATTTACAAAAAAGAAACAAAAACCAAAACAAAAAAACATTGCGGAGAGTACAAAGAGTTCCCCTGTGCCCCACACTCATTTTTTCCTGTTGTTAACATCTGACTTTAGTTTGGTGCATTTGCCACAACTAATAAACCAATACTGATACACTGAGATTAACTCAAGTCCATACATTATTCTGATGCCCTTATTTTTTATGTAGTGTCCTTTTCCTCTTCCTGGATTCCACCCAGTATACTATGTTATATTTAGCCATCACATCCCTGTGGTCTGTTAGCTGTAGACTGTGAGTTTCTCAGACTTTCCTTGTTTCTGATGATGTTGCCAGGTATTTTGTAGAATTTCTCTCAGTTTTGTTCAACCGATGTTTTTCTTATGGTACGATTGGTGGTACAGATCTTGAAAAGGAAGATCACAGAGATAAACCACCATGCTCATCCCATCAGATCATGGGCACATACTGTCAACGTGACTTATCCCTGTTGATGTTGACCTCCGTCACCTCTCTGAGGAGGGTTTGTCAGGTTTCTCCACTGCCAAGTGACTCTTTATTCTCTTCCTTTGCACATTGAACTCTTTGTAAGGAAGTTGCTATGTACTGCCCACACTTAAGGGGTGGTGAGTTATGCTTCACCTCCTTGAGGGCAGAGTATCTAAATAAATTATTTGGAATTCTTCTGCATGAGAGATTTATTCATTATCTCCCATTTATGTCTTTATTCAGTCATTCATTATTATTAGGATAAAATCATGGCTATGTTATATTTCAGATTATAATTCAATACGATGTTATTTGTTGTATTGCTCAAATTGTTGTAGCTCTGAGCATTTGGAGCTCTTTCGTTTGTCTTCTGTTTTCTTCTGACATACCCCATTATTTTGTCTTTTGAACACTGCTTTGCTTTCTGGCACTGTCATATGCCAGGCTCATCTTGTATATTTCTTGCCTCAGGCCTAAAATCAGCCATTCTTCAAGGAACGTGGGCTCCTTTTATTGGGAATTGGAATTAGAAACCAAGACCTGGGCACTAGGTGTGCTCATGGCTGCTGTGGTGTCATTGCTTTTGAAGAACCTATTACAGCCATGCTCATTGTTTTATGTTTGATTTTACTTTGTTTCACAGACATGTTTTGTTTTGATTTTTTGTTTAAATCAAAGGTTTGTGATAACCCTGTGTTGAGCGTCTATCTCTGCCATTTTTCTAACTACATGATCTCACATCATGTTTCTGTGTCACATTTTGGTAATTCTCACAATATTTCAAAATTATTATTATATATGTTACGGTGATCTTTGATCATTGATCTTCGATGTTACTATTGTAATTGTTTTGGGGCTGTATGTGCCATGAGATGGCAAACTTAATTAAGTGTTATGTGGGTTCTGACTGCTCTACTGACCAGCCATTCCCCTGTCTCTTTCCCTCTCTTTGGGCCTCACTATTCCCCAAGACACAACAATATTAAAATTAGGCCAATTAACAACCCTACAATGGCATCAAAGTTCAAGTGAAAGGAAGAGTCACATATCTCCCACTTTAAATCAAAAGCTAGAAATGATTTCGCTTAGTGAGGAAGGCACACCAAAAGTCAAGACAGGCTGAAAGCTGGGCCTCTTGCACCAAATAGACATATTGTGAATACAAAGGGAAAGTTATTGGAGGAAATTCAAGTGCTCCAGTAAACACACAAATGATAAGAAAGTGAAACAGCCTTATTGCTGATGTGGAGAAAGCTTTAGTGGTCATGGTAGAAGTTCAAAGCAGCCACAAGAGTCCCTTAAACCTAATCCAGAGCAAGGCACTAACTCTCTTTAATTTTATGAAAGCTGAGAGAGGTGAGGAAGTTGTAGTAGAAAAGTTGGAAGCTTGCAGAGGTGGGTTCATGAGGTTTAAGGGAAGAAGCCTTCTCCATAACATGGAGGTGCAAGGTGAAGCAGTAAGTGCTGATGCAGAAGCTACAGGAAGTTCTGAAAAAGATCCAGCTAAGATCATTGATGAAGGTGGCTATGCTGAAGAACATATTTTCAGTGAGGATAAAATAGTCTTACATTGAAATAAGATGCCATCTATGACTCTCATTGCTAGGGAGAAGTCAATGCCTAGTTTTAAAGCTTCAGCGGACAGGCTAACTCTTGTTGTGATCTAACGAAGTTGGTGACTTTAAACTAAAGCCTAACGCTCATTTGCCATTCTGAAAATCCTACGGACCTTAAGAATTAGGCTAAATCTACTCTACCTATGCATCATAAATGGAACAACAAAGCCCAGAAAGTAAATCTGTTGACAGCATGGTTCACTGAATGGTTTAAGCCCACTGTTGAAACCTATTATTAATATTAAAAAAAATTCCTTTCAAAATGTTACTGCTCATTGATAATGCACCTAGTTACCCAAGAACACTGATATAGACGTATACAGAGATTAATGCTGCTTTCATGCCTACTAATACAATATTCATTCTACAGCCCATGGATCAAGAAGTAATTTAGACTTTCAAGTCTTATTACTTTTAAAAAAACGCATTTTTAAGGCTATAGCTGCCGTAGATAGTGATTCTTCTGATGCATCTGAGCAAAGTCAATTGGAAACCTTCTGGGAAGAATACACCATTCTAGATGTCATTAAGAACATTCACATCTCCTAGAAGGTCAAAAAGCAATATTAACAGGAGCTTGAAAGAAGCTGATATCAAACTTCATGGGTGGTTTTGAAGGGTTCCAGACTTTAGTGGAGAAAGTAACTGCAGATGTGGTGAAAATAGCAAGAGAACTGGAATTAGAAGTGGAACCTGAAGATGTGACTTGATTGTTGCAATCTCACGGTAGGACTTGAATGGATGAAGAATTGCTTCTTACGGATATGCAAAGAAAGTGGTTTCTTGAGATGGAATTGACTCCCGGTGAGGATGCTGTGAACATTGTTGGATGACAACAAATAATTGATAATATCATATTAACCTAGTTTATAAAGCAGCAGCAGGGTTTGAGAAGATTAACTTTGATTTTGAAAGAAGTTCTACTGTGGGTGAAATGCTGTCAAACAGCATCTCATGTTACAGTAAAATCTTTTATAAAAGGAAGACTTGATCAATGTGGCAAATTACATTTTTGTGTTATTTTAAGTAGTTGCCACAGCCACCCCATCCTTCAGCAACCAACACCTTAATTAGTCAGCACCCATCAACATGAAGGCCAGACTCTCCACCAGCAAAAAGATTGTGATTTTCTGAAGGCTCAGATGATCCTTGGCACTTGTTTAGCAACAAAGTAATTTTTAATTAAGGTATGTATACTTGTTAGACATAATGCTAGTACACATTTAATAGACTACAGCATAGAGTAAACATAACTTTTACAGGCACTGGGAGGCCAAAAACCTTGGGTGACTGGCTTTAACATGATATTCATGTTATTGCAGTGATCTGGAACTGAATACACAATGTCTTCAAGTATGCCTGTATTTTAAGAGAGATATACTTTTAAGAAGGCTGAAAATAGTATTCCATGGTGTATATGTGCCACAGTTTCTTAATCCAGTCTATCATTATTGGACATTTGGGTTGGTTCCAAGTCTTTGCTATTGTGAGTAGTACCACAATAAACATACGTGTGTCTTTATAGCAGCATGATTTATATTCCTTTGGGTATATACCCAATAATGGGATGGCTGGGTCAAATGGTATTTCTAGTTCTAGATCCCTGAAGAATTGCCACACTGTTTTCCACAATGGCACATGTATACATATGTAACAAACCTTCACGTTGTGCACATGTACCCTAGAACTTAAAGTGTAATAAAATATATATATATATTTTATTTATATATATTTTATAAAATATATATATATATTTTATTTATATATATTTTATAAAATATATATTTTATTTATATATATTTTATAAAATATATATTTTATGTATATATTTTATAAAATATATATTTTATGTATATATTTTATAAAATATATATTTTATGTATATATTTTATAAAATATATATTTTATGTATATATTTTATAAAATATATATTTTATGTATATATTTTATAAAATATATATTTTATTTATGTATATTTTTTATAAATATATATATTTTATTTATGTATATTTTTTATAAATATATATATTTTATTTATATATATTTTATAAATATATATATTTTATTTATATATATTTTATAAATATATATATTTTATTTATATATTTTATAAATACATATATTTTATTTATATATTTTATAAATACATATATTTTATTTATATATATTTTATAAATATATATATTTATTTATATATTTATAAATATATATATTTTATTTATATATTTATAAATATATATATTTTATTTATATATTTATAAATATATATATTTTATTTATATATTTATAAATATATATATTTTATTTATATATATTTATAAATATATATATATTATTTATATATTTTATAAATATATATTTTATTTATATATATTTTATAAATATATACATTTATTTATATATATTTTATTATATATATATATATATGAAGGCTAAAAATAAGAAACTTTGGTGCTCAAAGAGTTAAATACTTAGCTGCTTGGAAAGTAAGGCTGTCTAGAGTGACTTATTTTTCAGTAGAGTAGGAACAGGAACACCAAAATAGAGAAAAACTATGCATAGGCTCTGAATGCTGGCAGATAAAGGCTTAGGCTTAAATATTCACTTGCTCTGCAATATTTAGCAACTTACATATCTCTCTGATTTCTTACTCATAAGACATAAGAATGTCTAATTGATGCTACCATTTTTGATTAGACATTCTCATGTATAAAGTTCCCAGAAAAATGTGCCTCCTTGATTGGTACTCAAACAATCACAGTAACCCCTCACGTCTTAGCGTTTAGAACCATCTTACATATAAATAATTGCCAGTTAACACATAACTTCTCAATAAGAGCATGGTTATATGTATTCTACATATATTAAGCCATGTAATCTTCATAATGACACCAAGAAGTTGATATGATTACTATCCCTGCTTTACAAATGAGGAAACTGAGGCAGAGAGCGGTTAAGATACTTACCTCTTCACATAGTAATGAGGCAGGGAGTAGGGTGTCCTCTGGCTTCAGGGTTCGTGCTCCTAATTCTTACACTAGAACGTGATCTTGGGTAAACTAGATACCTTTGCTGTATAATGGAGTTTACAAAACTAGATTCACAGGCTACTTGTGTAGCCCAAATGTATCCATTCCTTCTCTCAATAAATGTTTAATGAGTACCTTCCATGTGCCAGGGGGCATGTAGATCACCTAGCCCTTGGTAGCATAGACAAAGATGAGACCTCGGAGCAGACACTGCCCCGTACAGTATGGTTTGACAAGCTAGATTTTACTCCCTTCTTGCTTCCTTGTCTGGACACCTTTGTGTGGTTATACAACCTGCCACACTGTACCTAGTCAGCCTGCCTGAGACTGTGCTAAAAATGGTACCCCAGAAATAAACATGATAAATGCATTTCCTGGTTTCATGGGGGTTATGTAAAACTTACGTAAAAATTTTTTGCAAATTCTAAAGCATGGTGTAAATGATGTAAACGTAAGGTATAATCAAGATTATTATTATTGTCATTTTTATAACGGATCAATCTCATTGTTTGTCATGAGGGCATTAACAGAGCCACATGATCAACAGGCAGTGCTGGTTAATGTCCAACAACCACCTCTCCGGGGAAAGCAAGTCATGATATGTATATTTTGCCAATTTATGTGGTGTAAATACTCCCACCAGGGTACCCAAAGTTGGAAAGAGAGTAAAATCAGCTCTCATGAGTTGGAAGGAGCAATTCCTGCCTGTCCCATAGGATGGAGGTGGACAAGGGAACCATTACCACCTGCTTTGGGTTAGGGGAGCAGGCAGAAAGAAACAGGTAAATTGGGACTCAGAAGAAGGAGGTAGCAGAGAGATGCCACAGTTTGCATTTGAGCTCCAATCTGCTGGACTAAAGAGTCACAACTTTTACCACCTACCAGGGCTCTGAAAAACTTCCTTGTAGAGACAGCTCTCCATCAGAGGGCTTTGGACATTTTGGCAGTGTATGCTACCACTGGCTTAAGAATCAGTGATTCAATTCGGCGTATGCTTCCTGTGCATTGTTTATGCACAAGAAAATTCAGGATGTCATAGCCCGTAAGAGGCTCTGTGTCCAGTAAGAGAGGCAGACATGTCCATGACCTGCAAGGCCATCTGTGCTGCTGCCAGAAGCACAGGGCAAGCAGGGCACTGGGAGAGAGAAATGGGACCATTAGCAGGGGCATCAGCAAAGACTTACTGCAGGAGGCCATTGGAAAATAGCTTCGAGGAGGAAAAGAGACAAAACATTCTCTCTGGAGGCTGGGGAAACTGTCCCTGTTTTTGCTGTTTTGATAGAATGAAGAGCTGATACAAATTCTCTACAGCGCCTGTAGCAAAATATCTCAGGTCTTCAGTGGCACCTGTGGACCCTGGATCAGGCTCACTAAATGCTGTCAGCCTCTGACTCTGTGCCCCTCCCGTCCAAACACCCTGGATTCTCCTAATCTTGACATGCTTTTGCACATACCCTTCCTATTCCTAGAGCAAACATTCCCCACTTCATCTTGCAACACTTTGTCCACTCTTCACAAGAGTTAAGTCAGGTCAAATCTTTTTTTTTTTTTTTTTTTTTTTTTGAGACCAAGTCTCACTCTGTTGCCCAGGCTGGAGTGCTGTGGCATGGTCTCGGCTCACTGCAACCTCTGTCTCTCGGGTTCAAGCAATTCTCCTGCCTCAGCCTCCTGAATAGCTGGGATTACTGGCGCCTGCCACCACGCCTGGCTAATTTTTTGTATTTTTAGTAGAGACAGGGTTTTGCCATGTTGGCCAGGCTAGTCTCGAACTCCTGACCTCAGGGCATCCGTCTGCCTTGGCCTCCCAAAGGGCTGGGATTACAGGCATGAGCCACTGTGCCCGGCCAGGTCAAATCTTTTGACACAAACCCTAAGCTCCTCAATTTGGACTGTGTATCCATTCTGTTTTCTTGTAATACACCATGGGTTCCTCTGCCCTTGCATTTAATTTGTTCATTCATTTAACAAATTTTTATGAAGCACTCGATACAGTAGTGGTAACAACTGAGATTTCTTGAGCATTTACTATGATCCAAGCACTGACTTCTTCTAATCTTTGCAATAATCCTACGAGGTGTATTATATTATTGTCTCCTTTTTTCAGATGAAGAAATGAAGACATAAAAAAATCTAGCAGTCTGTTTGGTGAGCTGCGACTGGGGTTTGAATTTAGGTAATCTGGACACAGGGTGGAAGTCTTGCCACCCCGCCTTGTGTTGTCTCACCTCTGAGGAGGGTAATAGATGTGGTCACAGCCCAACCTTCTATTAATACATCAGTCTAGTGGGAGAGGAGAATGCGAAGCACAAAACAAAATAAACGTCACTATGAATTGCGTGATGAAAAGCAGGGAAATTAAACCTCTCTGTCTTGCTTTTTTTCATCTGTAAAAGGGGAATAACAAGAGTATATTCTTCATCATCTGATGTAAGGATCAAATAACACCGTCTGTATGATACACCTGGAATAATAGTACCTGCACCTAGCAAGGTCCCAATCAACATATGCCAGAGATGGTTGTTCCATTTTATCTCTGCTACCCTCTCGGAGAGCAGGACATCAGGAAATGTTTGCAGAATAATTGATGGATCGTAAGCTAGAGCTGTAGGGTGCTCCATCTCAGGTGACTTTGGTATATTATATTTAATAATGTTTTGGCAAGGTGCAGTGGCTCACTCCTGTAATCCCAGCACTCTGGAAGGCCGAGGCGGGTGGATCTTCTGCGGTCGGGAGTTCAAGACCAGGCTGACCAACATAGAGAAACCCTGTCTCTACTAAAAATACAGAATTAGCTGGGTGTGGTGGCACATGCCTGTAATCCCAGCTACTCGGGAGGCTGAGGCAGGAGAATCGCTTGAACCCGTGAGGCGGAGGTTGCAGTGAGCCGAGATCACGCCATTGCACTCCAGCCTGGGTAACAAGAGCAAAACTGTCTCAAAAAAAAAAAAAAAAGAATATTTTAAAAATATTCTTGTGCCCCATTAGACAAAAATTTCCTGGAAAACAGGAAAAGCAGGCTCCCAGGCCTTCTTGCTCTTTCTCAGCCCCGGGGCTAACCAATGCTGCAAGTTGGCAAGAGCCCGTTGCTGTTCCATGAGCTGCCACACAGTCACTTGAGGCTGGAAATGTGCAAATGCAATACTGTCCATGATCCAATGGAGCGGCAGAAATCTCCATCAAAAGCAGCTGTTTGGGTACCAGCTGCTTGGTAACAAATACATCTTTAATGAAATCAAACAATCCAGCAGGATTTATTGATTGAGAACAATTGCTTTTAAATATAGTCTAGTAGCCGGGACTGTTAACATTCTTTTTCCTTCAATTAGTTCAGTTGGTTTGAATCAGAGACACTTGGCTATTAGCTAATGAAAATAAATGCTATTGCCATTCAGCATTAACCCCCTGCTCCCTTCTCTGCACCAATGCATGCCACAGACTACTCAGAAGAAAAAAACATTTTTTTTTGAGGTAATTCTGTCGTTTTGGGGAAAGGAGTCTTACAACAAACCAAGTCTGACAAACTCTGAGATAGAGACCCATCTCAATCCAGAATACTGAATAAGGGTGGGGAATCATCCAATTTTCTCTCTCAAAATCTAACAATCTAGGCAGGCAGCCCTGATACTGGATAGTGTTTCCCAAACCAGCTTTCATAGCAGAGTCATAGGTTTCTAGAGAAAGCTATTCTGTTTATTATATACTTGTCCTCAACTCTGGCCAGTTAGCACAGTTGGTTAGGGCATGGTGGTAGCCCAATATTATATATTTGTCTTGATGAAAATAACCATTCTCCATCCTGACAGTCAAATGAGAAATCTGGGAATTACCCATGAAACCTCTTCTCTCCTACTTCTCATTTTCAACAGGTCCCCAAACTTTATGCATTCTGCAAAGGTTTCCAATCTGCCACATTCCCCCTTTTTTAGGGATGGGCCTCATCACAATTTCTCACCTAGATTAATACATTCATGACCCTAACTCTTCTCCCTGTGCTAGTTCTCTCCTTTCTACCAGTTCTGAAAACCACAGTCAGAGGGAATGTATTCATTGCTCAGGCTGCCATAGCAGAACACCACAGATCAGGAGGCTGGAACAACAGACATTTATTTTCTCATAGTTTTCCGGGAACCAGAGGTCCAAGATCAAGGCTTCAGCAGCTTTAATTTCTTCTGAGGCCTCTTTATGACTGGCAGTTGTCCCGTGTTCTGTATGTTGTCTGTGTCCTAACCTCCACTCCTTATAGGGACACCAGTCCTATCGGATGAGGGGGTAACTTAATGACCTCATTTTACCTTAATCACTTACTTAAAGGCCCTATCTCCAAACAGTCATATTCTGGGGTCCTGAGGGTTAGGTCTTCAACATACGATTATGGGGGACATAATTTAGCCATAAAGGGGAGATTCCCAAAATGCAAATATAAACAGGCCTCTCATTTGCATAAGCACCTTCTGTAAATGGATCCCTGCAGCTTCCAGGACAAAGGTGAAGCTCCTTAGTTCCACCCCTGAGGACTCCCAAATCTGAGGCCCTCGTCACCATTGTGCTCATCTCTTCTCCATACACAAGCATTGGATTTCTATGACTTCCATTCCCTAGATGCCACTCTAGGCACTTACTCATTCGCTCCTTATAACAAATGACACACAGGACAATGCCAATGTCCTCTACTTCATTGGAAGCTCCTCTACGCAAGCCCCAAGTATTAATTATCTCTCAGGCCCAAATATCTTATGCGAGCTCTACCATCAAATAGATGGTCAATTAGAGATTATTAAATGGAATACTTTTAATCCAGTTTTTGCACTTTTATGTAGCAATATTTACTTGGAAGCCAGCCTGGAAAGTAAGGGACATTTACGATGGACCTAGGTATCTTCCTGCAGGTTTGGGGGTTTATTTTAATCAGTGCGTCAATATTCCCCATCAGAATATATGCCACTTCTCTCCACTACACTTCTCTGGAGATGACATTACGGGGGCATCTGCTATACTTTCACCATTAACACACCTGCCTGAAGTTGCTGTGAAAGACTGACCAACTGATGGTAGAATTTTTATCTGGTAACCTGTAAAAGGTGGAAATTCAACACTTCTTCCCCATTCTTGATGTTTTCTTCCAGGCAGCTAGCCTTTTTATTTATACTGCTTCTCGGGTGAAGAGTCACTGACTGGTAATCTCTGGAAAAACAAACAAGGTAAGTTTGGTCCAGCCACTGGTTTTTCCTTTTTTAAGCAGGTGTTCAGGGACAACTTGCTGCTTCCATCCCTCCCTTCCTTGCTCCCACCATGCTGGCATTGTAGGGAGGTAGACCAGGCTCCCGTGGCTGGGTGATGTGTCTGCCTAATGCTGGTGCTCACTTAGCAGCCCATTCTCTCTCCTATCAACTCCATTTTCCTCTAACTTTGCTGTTACCAGGAATGAAGGCAAATTTCAGCCTCTATCCATTTCTCTTTTTACTCATTTTCTCCATCTGTTCAGATCTCAGGCAGACAAGAAGGATGATATTAAAGACTCTATGATTGGGTGCAATTGTCTGGATTGCTGAAATATTTCATGACACAATATAGATCTGGAGTGACTGTAGCTTCAGTGGGGCCAGGTGGGTGGGCCTTACATTTTATATGTGGAGTGTTTTGACCTTGGCCGTCAGCAATACCTCAGAAGGGCCAGGTGGGCCTTAACAGCTGTGCCATTGGCTTTTAACTGCTAGGGCCCCAGTAGGGGCTGCAGGTCTCAGGGTAAGTGGTAATTTGACTTTGGTGGATGACCACAGCCGTGAGGACCTTGTCCATGGTGCAGCGACTATCTTTACATTCAAGTTGCACATCTTTCACTGCAAAATGGCCCAGGGGCCACATGAATGGCTTTTAGCAAAAAGAAACCAGGCACATGAGAACCTCTGAAAGGGCTTGTGGCCATTGTAGGTGACCTTAGCAGATACAGTCCACATGGGACCTGCAAGCAAATGCCAGCCATGCTGGCTGCAGCAAAGGCGTGGGCACTGAGTGGTCACAGGCAGCAGTAGGTGCACCTTGACCTTGAACAATACATGTGCAGGAGACAAAGGCCTCAGCGAGGGTAGAGGCCCTCCACAGGCGTAGCAGCTCCAGGGGCAGGCATGGCTCTTCCTAAACAAGCATGATAGAAGCAAAGATTGGACTAGTAGAGATAAGGCCTTTCTGCACACATGAGGGGAAGGCTCATGTACTGCTATTTGTCTGCAGAGTGGTTGGCTACTGTGTGCCCTCCGGGAAGAGAAATGTTCAAGCTCAGGTGCAGGTCAAGGCCAGGTGTGCTCATCCAGAGCTCTACAACTAGCTGGTTTCTCTGAAATGATTAAAGGGAGGATAGAGGTTTAACTCACTACTGGGGAGAAAGAAATGGCAGAGATGCTACTCATGTCTGGGACATGCCAAGGCTGAGAAATCACGGCTCAGGCAGAGACTTAGGCATCAGTGGGCCCAAAGGTTCATAGGGTGGGTATAGAAACAGAAGGGTAGTGATGTCCTGTGCATCATTCTCCAGTGAGAGCCAACATGTGGACTGGTGACATGTGTCTCCCTGCTAAGTCATTTTATAGCAGGAGAGTGCAATCCACCACTGGGCCCCAGGACAGAAAATTCCTGTTTGCATGGGAGAATCCCACTAGACAGAGCCCACCTCAGTTGAATATAGTGGGAGGAGGAACACTGGCCAAGAGGGAAAGTGAGAATTCTGAGGTTTAGAATTCTCCAATGGAAAGGAAAGGCAGCCGACCCTTTCTGAGAATGCAGACAAGATGTCAAAATAGGTCTTCCTCTCCATGGTGGTAAGTGCACCTTGTGCAAATTAAATTGTCAAAGAAAGATTTTCCCCATTTGAATTTAAGGTGCCACCTTTTGGGATCCAGATGACTGACATGAATGAACTGCAACCCAATGGGGCAAAACCGGGAAGCTTTTCTCCACTGCCCTCTCCACAGAGTTGCTGTAGAGTCTTGGATATTAAGAGCTGGGCTTGGGAAACTTCATTTTTCTGGGATAACTAAGAGAAAGTGCCTTAGAGTTGGGGGTTGGAATGTTTTTGGCATTTTGTGGTGAGGAAAACAGTGTTAGCCTTCTCAGTCCTATGTGTCCTACTAACTCTTTCAACTCTTTAAGTAGAGAGAGGCTCCTAAGTGAATTGGCGTGGCACCAAGCCTTCCTCTCAGTCCTAAAGTAACCACACTCATTTCAGCAGAAAATGACCTAGGCTGTTGCTGCTCAAGGAATCCCAAGCCAAGGCTGAGGGGCAAATTAAATCAGGGAAGAGAATTCTGGCGCTTTCACCTAAGAATTGTGAGATTTGAACTTTGAACTTGAAAGGACCAACAATCCCACGATATCAGTCCTTAATTTCTTTGGGATCCAACTTGCAAGGGGATGTAATCTTCAAATTGTACCTTCTCAGTGGGACCTTGATAATAGGAGAGGTTTATATTCAAATTTGGGGAGGCTCAAATGTTGCCGTTTGCTCAGTGGAGTGACCTTGTGTGCTTGTTACCTTCCTGTCTTCCTGGGTCATTCATCTCCCTGTAGGGTCTGTGCTGGTTTGGCAACGCAGCTGGAGATCTTTCAGAGCAGGAAGAGAGAAATGAGTCAAGTTCAGCCTCGACAGATGAAGCCTCCTTGCTGTTAACCCACCTCAGAGCCTTCTAGTGGCAAAATCTAAACTGCACCCCAGTAGCCCCAGGGGCCCAGACAGGAGAATGGGGTTGGTATCAGGCAAGGAGCCTATGAATGTGGGACGGATCAACCAGATAGATTGCTGATCTGTTCACCTTCTTTCTGGGCACAGTGGCGTCACACACAGAATTTTCAAGCCCACTGTGTTAGGAGCATGCTAATCTGGTTTAAGTCAGGACAATGCTACTTCTCCTTTCTTACTTTTCCTTCTAGGTGAATAAAGCATCTTAGCATCCCTCTCCTGGCTTCCTTCTGCTGCTTTCCTGAATATGCATGGCAGTATGCATAGAACAAAACATTCTCCCTGCTCCAAGAAGCAGGGTCTCCCTAGCCTGCCCTCATGGACAGGTGAGCCTCAGTCCAGCAGAGCCTATGGTTGGAGGCAAAATGGGCCTCTTCCTGGAGTTCCGTTAGCAGGTCTATCTGCCTCTCACTCTGAGCTCTGCCCTCTCCCTGAACCTGGTAACAATAAGAGATATGTTGGCTTTGAACGATTTGATTTCTTGTCTCCTTTTTCCACTTGTTCTAAATCAAAGTAGGGCAAAATATTCCTGTTTGTAGAGCAGAAACCTCAGAGACCTCAGCCCCAATATCTCTTCCTACCACAGTTTTCACAGACTATTAGGATCCCGGTGCAACAGAAGTGTTGAGAGAGCCCTTCTGCAAGGAACGAGAACCCAGCCAGGGCTCCACACTCCCGGAGAAGTTCTCTGTTCAGAACCACCCACTCTGTCATCTGGGTCCTATCAGTTCATGCGGATAGCTGCTGCCATCACAAGGTGCCAGGCGCCATGTTGGGCATGTGGGTTACCTCATTGAATCTTCAAATAGATGCTGGTTTTGTCCCTCAGGAGATGGAGGCTCCGAGAGGATAGGAGACTTGTTCAAGATTACTTGGCTCCTAAAGGATGACATTGGGCTTCAATTTAAGTAGGATTTCAAAGCTTGTGGCCTTGTTTCATCAGAGGCGAGCATCTCTACTTCCTCGGGACCAGGATGGGTTGACCTGGGCTTCATGTCTGAGTCTACCACTCAGTAGCTGATTAACCCTGAGGAACACCCTGGACCTCTCCAAGGCTCAGACCTGTGAAAGGAAAGACCTTTCAACCCCCACCCTGGAGTGCACCATAGGATCAAATGCAGCTGCGAATATTGTGCAAAATTTTAAACACAAAAACTCCCCATGAGACTGAGCTGATATCTCATGGCTCTGGTGGCAAGCAAAAACACAAAGGGGAGAAGCCTCTTTTTTTCCCCCCTACTTCAGTTTTCTGTGTCAGTGCTTGTAAAATCTTTGGTGTCATGAACACCTCCTCCAAGTCTTTAGAAGTTCAACTTGCATTAGGATTTGACAAGGAAGTCCTTTGTTACTGTTTTCTTCTCTTTCAAGATTAAAAGAAAAATCTAAATATAGGACTGCCTTCTGCTTAGCATAGTGCATTTTCAGTATAAGCAGACTGACTGCTCAGTCAGACTGAACAAAGCCCCGCGCCCCGAGCTGCCTAGCACCTGAGCCACTCTGCAGCCTGCCTCGTCCGCCTTTGATGCCCACCTGTCAGTCCTGCTGCATGGTGAAGAGGCCCCAATACTGCCTTTCTAGGGCTTTGTCTTCTATCAGCTGTTTTATCTTTGCTTGGCTTCAAGCGTCTCTCTCTTTGTTCTCTGCCTTCTGTGTATCTCTAACGTGGCAGTCTTTCATTCCAGACCCCAACCTCCTCCCACAGCCTCCTGCACCAGCTTCTCAGGGCCCACAGGCAGCATCTTGTGTGGGGACCCAAAGCGGCGGTTTGAGGCCACTGTGCAGGCTCATCCATCCCAGCTCTCACTAAGAGAACCCGAGCTGTTAAGGAGCAGGCTCTGCCTCCCCTCCCACCTCCAAACCTTTGCCAAGGCTGTTGCCCTATCCTAGGCTGGATTCCCCTTTGGGCTGCTCCATGACTTGTCAAAAACATATCCTCAAAAGTTTAAGGGACTCTCAAAGCTAGCTTTTTCTCAAAGGTGTCCAGAGCGCTTCTAAACAGAATCTTCTCCCCATTGTGCTCCGCTGCATTTGTTTCATGATGCTACAACCGCATCCCTCTCTGCCATGACTTTCTTTGTGTGATAACCCATGTCCTGGCAAATATGAATTCCCAACAACAGAGACCACTCTATTGGAATTTATACCTCCAGCCCCTTCCCTCTAGCCCCAGGTGTGGGTGCCTCGTACAAGGCAGAACTCAATGAACATTGTAGTGTGTGCTGAAACTTCCTTTTTTTTTTTTTTTTTTTTTTTCTGATATGGAGTCTTGCTCTGTCGCCCAGGCTGGAGTGCAGTGGTGCAATCTAGGCTCACTGCTAGCTCCGCCTCCCGGGTTCACGCCATTCTCCTACCTCAGTCTCCGGAGTAGCTGGGACTACAGGCGCCCGCCACTACGCCCGGCTAATTTTTTTGTATTTTTAGTAGAGACAGGATTTCACCGTGTTAGCCAGGATGGTCTTGATCTCCTGACCTTGTGATCCGCCCGCCTTGGCCTCCCAAAGTGCTGGGATTACAGGCGTGAGCCACTGTGCCCGGCCTGAAATTTCCTTTTTTTACAGGCTGAGTAATATTTCATTGTATGGATAAACTGTTTACCCTTTCATCTGTCTGTGGACACCAATGTCCACCAACGACATAGCAACCCAGCATTGCTTTCACTGAAATGACTCTTTTTTCTTTATTTTTATTTTATTTTTAATTGACACATGATCATTATAGGTACAATATATTTATGGAGTACAATGTGATGTTATTATAAATGTGTACGTTGTAAAATTACTAAATCTGACTAGCTGACATACTCATCGCCTCACATACTTATCATTTAAAATCTAGATGAGCTTATGCTAAGTGAGATACTCCAGGTGCAGAAAGACAAATACCTCGTGATCTCACTTATATGTGGCATCTAAAAAAAAGTCAGGCTTATAGAAGTAGAGAGTAGATGATGGTTACCAGAGGCTGGAGGGCAGGGGTAGGGTACGGGTTAGTTGAAAAGTACAAAGTTTAGTTAACAGGAGTAAATTTTGGTGATCTATGGCATAGCACGGTGGCTATAGTTAATAATAATATGTATTTTAAAATTACTATGTTTTGACGGACCCAAATTTCGGGATACGGTTTTCAGGAATCCTTTCCCTTCTCCTCAGTAACAGAGAAATCAGATTGACCTTTGACTGAATTTCAGCTCATTTTTTGTCACTAGTTCTGTGTCTTGGGTCATGATATTTAACCTCTTTGAACCTATCTTTTAATTTCTTCCTAAGGATAATGATACTTCCATGACAAGGTGACTTGTCATGTGCTGTGCTTATTATACACTAGGAACTATGCTGGAGACTTTAAAGATACTAATTTAATCCCTATTGTAGCCCCATTTTACAGATGAGGAAACAGATCCCAGGAAGGCTAGGCACCAGGCCCAGGGCCTCATCTGCTACAGGTTGGCCCCGGGTACAAGCCCAGGCAGTTGGACTCTCGTGTTTTCACCTCACTTCTAGTCAATTCCACCTGTTTGATTCACTCATCGTTTACCATTGGCCCCCTGTGGCCCCCTGGAGGCAGGAAGTCTCTTTTTGACCATCTTCCATGTTCAAAGTCCTACTGGGAAGAGCAAGCCTTTTATTTGTTGCCTGTGAAGGTCTTGACTGGACTTTATGGTCATTTCTGGATGATGGTGTGGAGTGGCTTCGGAGGCAGCAGAACTGCAACTTGATCCCAGACCTTCTGCCACCAAGTCTTGGCATTTTCTTCAGAGCATTGGTGTCTGGAAGCTCAGAGAATCCCTGTGTGAATGCAGCCGTCCTGGTCACAGGGCAATAGAGATGAGCTCCCTCCCTCTCAGCAAAAGTTTCCAAGTGTCACCTTAAGTAAGGCCCCTCCAATGCTGCTGGCAGGACTGTGAACTGGTACTATTTTTCCTGAGGACAACTGGGTAACACATATCAAACATTTTATAGACAGACTTTCCTTTTGACTCTGCAAGTTGAAATCTAGGGATGTTTTTTAAAGAAATAATTATATGTATAAAAATATCTATATATAAGCTGCTGAAATTCTGGAAACACAAATACCCACCAGTACTTGAGGGGTTAACTGCTTTATGGAGCAGCTGTAAAATGGAATACTAAGCAGCTATTAAAAATAATGTTTTAGAAGGCCACTTAATGATGTGGAACATGTTCACAGTGTTTTGGAGGAGAAAAAGCAGGATCACAATAAAATAGGCATATATGGCAATAGAAAATAAGACCAGAATAAAATACACAAAAAATGTGCATAGAGCTGATCTCAAGGTGAGAGAATTATGGATAATTTTATTTCTGGCATTTTGTTTTCTGGTATCTTCTAAATGATAGATAGATAGGTAGATAAATAGATAGATAGATAGATAGATAGATAGATAGATAGATAGATAGATAGATTATACCCAAAAAATGCCATGTCAACTTTTAAATGTGTCAAAAGGTCTCTTACTCCCTTGAGGACAGGAAATAGGTAGATCATGCTGGGTTCTCTATGGTGGGTCTACTTTATAGCGACTTTAGGAAAGGTAGACTCTATTTCCCCAAACACACTGGACCCCTTGGGCATTTGATGCCTCCCACATAAAAGACTTATCCCTCTTTTAATAGCTATGTGCAAAGACAGTGTTGGATACTGTCCGTGACTTTCTGTAAACCCTCTGTAAAGCACAGAGGAACAGAAGTTGTGGGAAGTTGGAGGGAAGTCCTGGCCATCACCTCCTCCCTGGTACCCCAGTCAGCGACTCTGACAAAGGACACCTGCCTTCTCCTGAACACTCCCAGGGACAGGGAGTCCCCATTCATAATAGAGTATCTCTTACTGCTGTTCTCCTTGGATTCACTGGAGCTTCCACCAAGCTGGAATCTGAGGTTTCTGTCTCCTGGGGCCACACAGTGCACATCAGCTCCCTTATACACATGACAGCCCTTCCAATGCAGAATGCAAGTCACTTGTCCTTTCCCAGACAGATGCACAAAAATACTGGGGTGCTTTAGTCATTATCAGCCAGCGGTGTGGGCTGGCTGACATAGCTCAACTGGGAAGGGGTCTCCTCCTTGGGAAGTCCTCCAGATGACCCCATCAGATACAAGGCTCCCACTGACTCCCACAGTAGGCTAACTGCCACCATGCTGCAAGGTGGAGCACTTTCCCAGAACTCTGTGACCTCCTCAAGTAGAAGGACCTTCTCTAAACCTACGTTTTGTATCCTGTGCCCAACACTGTACTAGGCATCCATTCATTCATTGGAGTGTGCAACATGCCCTCACTTATGGAGGCCTCCACAGAGCTAGGCACTGTGGCAACTTCAAGTATATAGTGGTAAAAGAATCAGCAGAAGCCTTCCTTGGACAGAGCTCAGAGTGTGTGGAATAAGTCAGAAAATAGTCAGATAGAAAGATAAAAGGATGGATGGGTGAGTGGATGGTTGGATAGATGGTTGGAATGATGGATGGATGGATGGGTAAATAGTAGGTCCCAGCTACTTTACATTATGATATATACTATAAAAAGAAAGAAGAAGGGAGCTGTAAGAAGACGTACAATGAGAATGTGAATATTGCAGCAATTAGAAGTGAGGACTCTGGAGTCAGAGGGCATGAATCCCAACTCCATCTCACATTTGCTGTGTGGACACAGGTGAGTTTCTTATCGCTGTGCCTGAGTTTCTTCACTGGACAATTTAGGATTAAACTAGTTTGTTTCTGTGGAAATGTTTAAGCCTGTTTGCAAAAGTAAATGTTGGCTGTTATTGTTAAGATGTGTGTGTTTAGTGAGTCAGGGAGGGGGGTTCAGGAAAGACCTTTCTGAGGAAATGACCCTTGATAATTTAAGAATGAGTAAGACATGTCCAGGAAAGCACAGGACTAGAGAATGAAAGAAAGAGTGAATGAGACTCTGGGCTGATAAACAGCCTGGTGCATTCCAGGACTAAGGGGTCTCAGGAGTGAGGGTGTGGGGGCGGAGGGGAAATAGTCAAGAACCCTTGGGGAGGCCAGCTGGTCAGTTCCTTTAGGGTGTCACAGGCAATAACAAGGAACTTACCTTTGGCTTGGGTTCTGGGAAGCCCCTGGAGGGTTTTAGGTAGAGGAGGACTGTCTTTCTTTCTAGTTTCGCTGGCAGGTCAGTGGAGAACAGGTGGCAGTGTCAGGCAGGGAGGCCTGGGGGGAGGGTGGGCAGGGGCCCGCAGTGATGTGGATGTGGTATGGAGACACAGCTGATGACACTGAATGCAGCTTCTTATGAGAATCAGAAAAATAGAGCATGCACACACACACACACACACACACGCACAAAACTCCTTGTCTAAGGCACACCCAGCCCAGGTGCCAGGGAACAGGAATGTGGAGCGGACTTGAGTTGGGCTCAGTTTGCACTACCGCCCTTTCTCAGGAGCCCTTCACACACACACTCAATGTCTTTGTGCAGATAGGTGTGGAGCAGAGAAGCCAGGTAAAGCTTCCTTGATAGGATGGAGGAATTGAGGGCCCTAAGACTGGGTTTGCAGAAGGACGATGTCCAGCAGAGAGATGGGGATTCTCCTGCTTTCCACAGAGGAAAGGATGGGGTGTGTGCTCTCAGGCTGTGTAAGGCATGAGGGTCTTGACGGCAGTCTTTGAGGACAAATGCAGGAGGCCAGTGAGGGCTCCCAAAACCATGAGAAGAGAGAATGGTAGATAGCACTAGGGGTGGGGAGCCTGGAGAAGAAGGTTAAGATACCCAAGGTCACTGTTCTCAAACACTTGAAGGGCTGTTACTAGTACAAGAAGTTCAATGGTCCTGCATGGTGGTGATAAGATTAAGGGACAATGAATGAAGCTGCAAAGGGACTGATTGTTTTATTCTTAAAATAGAACTACTGTAGCTGAGTTCAGTGTCTCACATATATAATTCCAACACCAAGAGGCCAAGGCGGGAGGATTGCTTGAGCTCAAGAGTTCAAGGCCAGCCTGGGCAACATAGAGAGACTCTGTCTCTACAAATTATACTAATAAAAAAATTAGCCAGATGTGGTGATGTGTGCCTGTGGTCCCAGCTACTTGGGAGGCTGAGGCAGGAGAACTGCCTGACCTGGAGGTTGAGGCTGCAATAAGACATGATCATGCCAGTGCTCTCCAAATTGGGCGACAGAGGAATACCTTGTCTGCAAAACAAAAACAAAAAAAAGAACTAATTTAATTGTCTGAAAATGTAAGCCTATGCTTTTGCAAATGATGAGTTTCATCATCAGTGAAGGTGTTCAGGTAAAGGCTGGGGACCATCTATTGAGCAATGCTGTAAGAGAAGAAAGTTATCTTTGGAAGCATCCAAAGACAGCTTGAGGTTGGCCTCTCTTGTTCCCTTCCAAACATGATGCTCTGGGCTTCCAAATGTCCAGTCCTCTCCATACTCTTCTGATTGGGTGAATGAGATTGAGTGAGAGGAATCAGGCCCATGGGCTTTGATTGAGTTCACAGTGGGGAAGTCTGCCCATGAGACAGTAAGAGAGGCAGGGAGAGCTGAGGCACCTGTCAGCAGTTATGGTTCAGAAAGCAGAAAGCAGGAAACTGGGATGAGAGAAACATGAAAGGTGAATGGCAGAAATGGGTCAAAACATGTGGTCACGCAGTAACCCAAATGAGTTACACGGCCTGGTAGCCAACATACACACGAGAGTGTTCCAGTTTTCAGACTTTTACTCATTTAAAAATGAAAAACACATTTTCAATATAAAAGTAGCTTATGTGCCAAAATAATTCAACTGGGGGAAAGAATCATGGTTCCAACAAGTGGTGTTGGGAAAACTGGATATCCACACTGAATATGCAAAGAAATAAAGCCAGGCCCCTATTTCGCAGCATGTTTGAAAATTAACTCAAAATTCACCATAAGTGTGAATGTAAGACTAAAACTACAAAATTCGTAGAAGGCAAGAGAGAAGTGTATCTTCATAACCTTGGATTCAGCAATGGTTTCTTAGATATGACATCAAAAGCAAAAGAAATAAAAGAAAAAAATAGAAAAAATGGGCTTCATCAAAAATAAACATTTTGTCCTTCAAAGGATGTCCTCAGGAAAGTAAAGACAGGCCCCAAAATGGGAAAATTTATTTGCAAACTATATATCTGTTAAGGGACTTGTATTCAAACTGTATAGATAACTTGACAATTCAACCGGAACCCAACTGAATATGAAAAAATGATTTGCATTGACATTTTTTAAAAGAAAGTGTACAAATGGCAACAAGCACACAAAAATGTGCTCAACATCCTGAGTCCTTAAGGAAGTTTGAATCAAAACTACAATGGATAGCATTTCACACTTACAGGTATGGCTATAACCAAAAAGGTAAACCATAACAAGTGTTGGAGAGAATGTATAGAAATTGGAGTCCTTGGCTGGGTTTGGTGGCTCACATCTGTAATCTCAGTACCTTGAGAGGCCAAGGTAGGTTGACGACTTGAAGTCAGAAGTTCGAGACCAGCCTGGCCAACAAAGCAAAACCCCATCTCTACTAGAAATACAAAAATTAGCTGGACATGCTGATGCACGCCTGTAATCCCAGGTGCTTAGGAGGACGAGTCATGAGAATCTCTTGAGCCTGGGAGGTGGAGGTTGCAGTGAGCTGAGTTTGCACCATTACACTCCAGCCTGGACGACAGAGTGAGACTCTGTCTCAAAAAGAAATGGGAGCCCTCATGCATAGCTGGTGGGAATGTAAAATGGTAGAACTGCTTTGGAAAACAGTTTTCAGTACATCAAAAGTCTAAACATAGAGCTACCGTATGATCTGGCAATTCCACACTAAGGTGTATACTCAAAAAAAAAAAAAAAAAGAAAAGAAAACATATCCACATTAAATGATATACATGAATGTAGCAACATTATTCATAATCACCAAAAAGTAGAAACAACCCAAATACCCATCAACAGATATATAGATAAACAAAATATGGTATATCCATAAAATGGAACATTTTCCAGTCATGAAAAGGAATGAAATACTGATACATACTATAAGGGAATTGACTCTTGAAAATATTATGCTAGGTTAAAGAAGTCAGATACAAAATACCTCATATTATAAGATTCCATTACATGAAATGTTCCAGTTAGGCAAATCCATAACAACAGAAAGTAAATTAGTGGTTGCTAGGAGCTGGTGGGAGTGAAGAATGAAGAGCGATTGCCAACAAGTATAGGATTTCTTTTCTGAGTGATAAAAATATTCCTGAATTTGATATAGGAGATGGTTGCATAATTTTGTGACTATATTAAAAAACAATGAATTGCACACCTTCAAAGTGTGAGTGTTATGCTGTGTGAATTCCATATCAATGAAATTGTTATTCTAAAGGAACAAAAATATAGAAAAAAAAGTAGTTCATATTTATAAAAAGAAAACTAAATGCACCGTATGCTTGTTGCTTGAACTAGAGGATAAGTCATATTAACAGATATAGAAGTCCGCATTGAACAATTTCTCCAGTTAGTTAGATGGCTAGTTAGATCGTTTCTGGACTTACTTTTGTTACTAATGCTGTGTGAACTTTCCATACACCCATCTTCATACATTTCTCTAATAATTTTCTCAACTTCAATTTTTAAGTTGGAATGCTTCAAAGACTGTTCATAGGATTTTTAGGCAATTGGGATGCACTGGAGGACTGTTCTTCATGCAGGCCATGCCATTTTTTATTGTCCCACCAGTGGAACATGGAATTAACTCCCACTCCTCTGATATGCATCTTGCTGGGTTGAACAGGTCCTTGCAAAGGCTAAGGGGCAGGACATGGAGACTTCAGTGGGAATTGCAGTTCTCACTTCTTGTTGGTTTAGGCCTGATTTCCAGGATGAATCCCTCCCAATCATGTGGACCGTGGGGGTCTCAGCTAAAGAATAAGGAAGAAATTAAGTGAGGGCTAATCAATGCTGAGCCTTTAAGGCATCTGGAGATGCTGGGGATGTCAGCCCTGAGCCATCATGGGCTCTGAGTCAGGCAAATGACATGATCAAAATTACACTTAATCTCTCTGTAATTAATTGCAGATCTATAAAAACAGCATAATTGGCAAACTGTCCTACAATTAGCATATTAATACCATGACCCTTGCCAGGTGAGCAGCGTGGATTTATATGTGGGTGTTGTGCTGGGACCCAGGGCTATAAGGCAGAGCTGGTGCAGGGGGGTATCAGAGCTCCATTATCCCAGGGCCTGGCTGCTTTGTTCCAAGACAAGGATTAGCGCTAATAATTTCTCCCCAGGGAAGCGCTATCTAAATCCAGGTTTTCTTCAGAGTCTGTAAATACAGCCAGAGTCCTATTGGGGAGCAGAGGAGGAAAGGCGCACGTAAGTAGGTCAATCCGAGAGCTTTTGTGTGCCAACAATGATGGAAAACATCAAAGTTTCCATGTCGCTTAGGCGATTGTTCTATTTGTATTGACCAAGTAAGCTAGAAATCCAGGAGGGAGGTGATTGACAGTGCGGGAAGCCAGCAAGTCTCCTGCAGCCAAGAAAACCCACACACAAAAAACTAGACACTCTGTTCACATGGAGTTGGACATTCCTGAGTGCCAGGAAGGGTCCTTCTGCGCCTCTCTCAGCCTTGACTTGTTGTAAGCAGATCTGAAGGCTCCCTGCCAAGCTTTGAGACAGCATGGTTAGTTGCCCCATACCTTGAGCAATGAATACTCACAAATGGCTATGTTTTGAATGCATCTTATGATCCATTTTATTATAAGGACATGTTATTTCTGGAAGGGGTCCTAGTCTGACTCGACTTAGGTGATATTCTTTTAGGTAGGAAAAAAAAATAAAAAACATTGCAGGCTGCAGATCAGGGGGCCTGGGTTCTAGACTCATCCCATCAACTTTCTGTGTAACTTGAGGACAGTGAAGTCATCCCCTGTTACACGTGTAAGTACATTTAAAATTAGGAACTGGGCTGGGGGGCTTCTGGGAACACTTCTATATGAATACTAATTGTAGTAAAAATAATAATAAAACTGTCTCTAAAGGCAAACCTGAAAAATTTAGAGAAGGGTGAAAAAAATCTGCAAATGTATTATATGGCAAAACAATTATTTATGAAAAAGAATAAACATTTGTTCCATGCCTCCTCTGTGCCAGTCTCTCTTCCATGGAATCCTGCAAACCTTCCCCTGAAGTGACATCACCTCCATTTTTGCAAATGAGTTAGTTGGGGCTTAAAGAGTTGGCAAATTTTTCAAGTTTGTGCAGCTAGCAAGTAGCAAACCTAGGTCCTTATTCTAAAAAGTTAGCAATAATCTCAAACATATGCCAAATACTTTTATAAGTGCATTTTAGAGTATCATTATTAATTCATCTAATCTTCCGAGCAATGCTGTGAAGAAGGAAGTTTGATGATGTTACAGATGAAAAAAGTGAGGCACGGAGTGGGTAAATGGCTCTTTTAAGGTCAACAGGTTAATGAAAATCTATGAAGGAAAATTGCTTTCTGAATGCGTGGGTGAGTGGATGCACGTCCTATTCATTAGACTATGAATGACAGAATTCACTGAACAACCATGTCCCTGACAAGGCTTGGGTAGATAAACTATCAGCTATCCGTGGTGGCCAAGAACCACTAAGGTGTGATCTGGTCATGTGCCGCTTCTTTTTGAACATTTTTAAATGATTCCACATTGTTTAATAATTTTTTTTAAATTCCTCCAAATAGTATATAATAATAATACTACAATTTATCATTCATATACTACATGTTGCAACAAATAAAGTGTGTCCCACATAAATTATCTCATTTAATCCACACTAAAGAGGATTACTATTATTTTGCTAATTTCACAGATAAGGAAACTGAAGGTCATGGAAGGTAAGTAACTTGAACACACACCTGAGAATCAAAGACCACATAATTTATTATCCTACCTGGGAGGTTTTTCTTTTATGTATTTATTTATTTATTTATTTATTTATTTATTTATTTTGTTGAGACAGAGTCTCTCTCTGTTGCCAGGCTGGAGTGCAGTGGCGCGATCTTAGCTCACTGCAACCTCTGCCTCCTGGGTTCAAGCGATTCTCCTGCCTCAGCCTCTGGAGTAGCTGGGACTACAAGAGCATGCCAGCACACCCAGCTAATTTTTGTATTTTCAGTAGAGACGGGGTTTCACCATGTTTGCCAGAATGGTCTCAATCTCTTGACCTTGTTATCCGCCCACCTCAGCCTCCCAAAGTACTGGTATTATAGGCGTGTGCCACCACACCTGGCCCCACCTGGGAAGTTTTGATAGTGAAAGTAGGGTGCTTTGATAAATTTGTTGGGACTGTAGGCATAAGTCAGGACTTTTTAGGAAGTATTGTCATTGTAACTTAGAAATGAAATACCTGAGATGTAGGTTCAGGGCTTTCTCATCCAGAACCCATGCTGCTCACCTATCCCCTCCCCAGCTGTGTGGAAGCCTTCTTTCTGCCAAATGGTCCAGCCTCAGGAGCTCTCACCAGTTCCCACATCACTGTTTCCATGGCCGCCATGTTTGGCTTGGGCCCTTGCATTTCTCCTGACTTGAATTGCTGGTGAGATTCTCTTCTTTTACACATTCTTCTGCCTACACCCTCTCTCTCTCTTCTTTCCCAAACTCCCTTTCAAACTTTTCAATTTTCAAAACTCCATTTTGTCCACACCTCTCTGGGAAGCCTTTCTTAATATTCCTGTTTCTTCCTTAAGGTCTCACTATCTTTTTGTTGTTGTTTGTTATCATTTCATCTTTTGTTCTCACTCAATGATGAGGTCTCAGGCAGGCGCTCATTGCTGTAACCCCAGATCCCATAACAAATCTTGTTACTAAACAGCATTCAATAATATTTAAGAAAGGAAGACAAATCATAGGAAATGAGGAAGTATGGATATTAATGGCTGTGATGAAAATTAAAGATGAATCACTCATTCATTCATTCATTCAATTATTCAACAAATGTTTTTGAGCACTGCCCACGTACTAGGTGCTGCAACTACATTGGGGAATGAAACAGATGGTTAGTTGCTTTCAAGGTACTTGTTTTCTCAAAGGGAACAGATAGTACATAAACAACCAAATATCAATCACAAAGTTTATGTACTATGAAGATGAGACTAAGTATCCTGCAAAAATGGAAATAATGAGGAGAATGAGCTAGAGACGTAAAAAACACGCTCCCTTTTCTGCCCGCCTGTATTTTATAGCCAAGCTCAAGTGTGTTGCGTCCTCAAGGAAAACTTCCAAGATGACCTCAGCCTCCTTTACTGAGATCATTTTGAGGCAGACAGGGCAGGAATTGTCGTATCCAATTTACACTTTCAAAGAGAGAAAATCAGAGCAGAAAAGTACTATGTCCTGGGTGGTAGAGTTTGTATGAAGAAAAGTGAGATGTGAAGCCAGATCTATTGATAAGACTTTCCTATAAAGTCTAATTAATTGATCCTGGAAAGGATCATTAAAAATATAATTTTAAACATGACACTTATAATGTTAAATTACAATGTATGCAAATGTATTAGTTTCCCGTGGCCCCTGTAAGAGATTACCACCAGGTTTACCCTCTCATAGTTCTGGGGGCCAGAGGTCTGAAATCAAGATCACTGGATTGAAATCAAGGTGTTGGCAGAGCCGTGCTCCCTCCAGAGGCTCTTGGGGAGGATCCACTCCTTGACTCTGCCAGCTTCTGGTGGTTGATGGCATTCCTTAGCTTGTGCCACACCACTCCAATCTTCAGGGTCAGCGTCTTCAAATTTCTCTCTGCTCTGTCTCACATCATCCTCGCCTCTACCCATGTACCCATGTGTAGTCAAATATTCTGCCTCCCTTTTATAAGGACACTTGCGTTTGTCTTTAGAGCCACCCTATAACCAAGATAATCTCTCCATCTCAAGATCCCTAACTGAATCACATCTGCACATTGGCAAAAACTTTTTTTTTTTTTTGCCATATATCGTACCATATTCATTGGCTCCAAGGATTAGGATGTAGATATATTTGGGGCACTATCTTTGAGCCTACCAAAATAAATACCTCTAATTGTATTATCTCTAATAATTGGTGGATGCTAAGAATGTTAACCTATATTTTATCAAACGTGGACTCTGCCTGTGAGATGCCACCAACAGATGGCTACAGGCTCAGAAATGGAAAGGAGAAGTTTGAAATATAAACTTCCTAAGCTCTGATCCTAGGCTCTTCTCACCACTTTCCATTGGAGCTGTCTTATTACAAAAGCAGATTTTTTGTTGTTTTTTGTTTGTTTGTTTTTGTTTTTGTTTTCTGGAGTAAAGTCTCCCTGTGGTTGAAGCATTCCAGTTTGCAAAATAAGAAACGTTCCCTTGGTATGAGAGCTGTTTTTGTTGTTGTTGTTGTTGTTTGTTGTTGTTTTCATTTTGCCCAAGTTGGGGTTTTTTAATAGCAAACTCTGTGTTCTGTTGGTGCAAATTATCCTTGCTGACAATGATCAGTAAACACTTTTATTCCAAGATAGTTAATAGCTCCCAGGACCAGGGAAGTCATCTCTTTGCCACTTTCCCTAGAAGTAATAGGACCTTTTTTTATGAGGTCAACCAAGTTATTCCACAGGAGAGGGCCTCTTCAGATTCACTCAGCTGGAATTTTCTGGTTCCTGGAGTCTGTGTCTAGTCCTCGGCTGACTGGCCTAAGTCTTAGTTGAAGGGGTGTTGGGAACCAAATCTCTGGGTTCCAGTGGGTGATTCCAACCTGCATCAGGCTAATTGCAATGCCATCTTCATACCAATCAATATGTTTTTTCAAAAGTGAGGTCAAAGTCGGGTTGTCCTGTTCTGTGAATAATGAATGCTAAATAATATTAATAGTTAAAGGATGCTAATGTTCCCAAAAACATGTCAGGTTTCTTTCTCTTCTTGCTGTCATACTCATCTTACTGATAATGTGTGAAAAGCAAAGTCTTTTTCCCTCCCCAGCTCAAACTTAATACAGTGCAGGCGAGCTATTTGTTCTAGCTCCCCAGAGACATCGGAAATTGATTGTAGAGGCTGAACACTCAAATTCGACATTTAAAGCAACGAAGATAAATTTGAAGATGAATTTACCCTGTCGAGGCTCAGAGGACAACTGATGAAACTTTTTATTTTATTCTTAACCCAGAAAGTGATCCTTACCCAACTTGTCATTTTCCAAAATCTTGATATTCAAATCAAAGAAATGTAGAATTGAATGCCTACCTGTAAGGGTTGTGTATATTCAAATCCATGTGTCTATCTAGGTGTGCCTTCAAGCTAAAGAATGGATTTGGTGAGTTAAGCTTGAAGCAGTGAGGCCTGGTGGATTCATGTTGCTTCTAGAATTCCAGCTTCACCCAATTTGGACTCAATTCAATTTCACCCTAGTCATTCTATTTTACTGGCTTATGAAGGTCGTGAACAATTAATTTTGTACAAGCTTTGGAAATTCTTTATTGTATAACACAGAAAGATGTCCTCTTTATACTCATCTTTTTTAAAATATAAAAAAAAGCATTCACAGATTTGCTCACTATTAAAAAATTTCAAAATAAATGTTCACAAGCATATATTATGGCCCAAAGGCAGGGTCTGGATATAAAATATAATATAAGCAAGGAAACCAGAAGGTTGAGTCTCTTCAAGTTTTCCCATCATTTCCTTTGACTTATTTTATTTTATTGTGCAGCATACACTAACCATGTGCATGGCCATAGTTTCTTTCTAGAGTCCTTGATTGTCCTAGATATTTCACTCTTTGGATATGAAAATAATTGCAAATTGCAACATCGGTCTAAGAGGATGGAAAGAAATGGCTTAGTTTTCCAGTGGAAGGCGGCAGTCCTTAAAGCTACAGCACCAACTTTCTGATGAGAGAAAAAACTTCAAAAAAACCTTCATTTTTCAAGGCAGAGATGTGGTATTATAGGTGAGTGAGGAGGATTAGAATTTCACCTTTACCTATTTACTTCTGAATGGGATCTTAGTGGACTCAGTTTAACCTTCTGAGATGTATGGCCTGTTTACCAATTTTGAAAAGCTGCTGGAAAGCTTAAATATTCCGATTAAGTATGGAGAAATTTGAAGGTGTAGGTGGGTAATAGGAATATGAGTCTACATCAGATCAGATTTAGGTCAACTCTATCATGAATGTCTACTAGAGGAAATAGATGTGGAATCACTTTGTAAATTACGCCACACAAAGCTTAATCTTGCCATTTTCGGAGTGAGGTGGGAGAGGATTTTGGAGACACACTCATGGTTTGAATCTTAGCTCTTCTACATCTTAATTAGGTGGCTTTGGGCAAATAAATTCATGTCTATGTATTAATAAAGATATGCTAGACTGTGCTTCAGTAACGAATAAGTCCAAAACCCCAGGGCTTAATACAAGGCAGGTTTATTTCTTGTCATACTACATGGCTGTCTGGGATATACACCATATCATCACTTTGGAAAGTGGCTTCACAGAGGCTCCAGCATCTTGTAGCTGCACCAGCCAGAGACACAGCTTCCCTGGTTGTTGCCCTAAAAGAGGGGATACATGAGGGATTGTGTGCTATTTATTCGCTGCTTGGACCTGGATGTGATACAAGTCACCCTTGCCTGCATTCCATTGTCCCTGACCACAAAGGGGCTGGTAGACATGGCAGAACTGATGGAATTTTTGGTACATGTCATGGTCTCTATGCCTTGGTTCCCAATTCTTTAAAATGAGGATAACAATCTCTACACAAAAAGTCACTAGGAAAATTAATGATAAAGTCTTTAAGGCATCTGCTAGTTGCTGAGTAAAATAAAGGCATTAATGTTGCAACAGTAAGACTGCCCTAGTGTGGTTCAACTTGTAGAAGTAGATCAATGAATTTGGGCTCTTAGAGAAACATTAGATGATAATGACAACCCTGATTTCATAAAACTCAGTAAAAGTTATTATGCAATATTATTTTTAACATTTAAAGAACAAATTATTTCAAAAATGTTAATTAATTAATTAATTAAGTTATTTATTTATTTATTGAACAAGGTCTCATTCTGTCTCCCAGGTTAGCGTGCAGTGTCATGATCTTGGCTTATTGCAATCTCTGCCTTCCGGGCTCGAGTGATCCTCCTGCGTCAGCCTCTTGAGTAGCTGGGACTACAAAGTGTACACCACTAGGCCCCGCTATTTTATTTTTTAAATTTTTTTAGAGATGAAGTCTCACTATATTGCCCAGCCAGGTTTCAAACTCCTGGGCTCAAGTGATCCGCCCACCTTGGCCTCCCAAAGAGCTGGGATTACAAGGATGAGATACTGTACCCAGCCACTGATGATAATTTAAACAATAACAGGCATCATACTCAGATCTGCAGACAATATGAAGGGAATTAAAATTCAGCTGCAAGCAATAGGGGATAGTTTTAGTTGAGGAAATGAAGAAAAAAGTCAAATTCTTAAGTAGCAACATTATGAAAACCACTAGGGCAGATAGATATGCACCATCATTAGCCATTAGAGAAACAAATAAAAATCGTGGTAAGAGAGCACTTCAAACCCACTAGGATGGCTATGAGAATAATACTAATCTGATATATTGATATAGATGGATAGATAAGTATATATAGATATATATGAAATAATATTTTGATGAGAATTTGGATAAAATTAACACCTTGCTTATTATTCGGGGGGACATAAAATGGTGTGACTACTTTGGAAAATATTTTGGCAGTTGCTCAGAAAGTTAAACAGAGAGTTATCATATGACCCAATAATTTTATTCCTAAGTGTATACTCAAGAGACTTAAAGATGTATGTCTACACAATAACTTGTTCAGGAATAATTATAATAGCATTATTCGTAATAGCTAAAAAGTGGAAATAATCCAAATGTCCATCAAATGATGATTGGATAAACACAGTGTGGTCTTTCCATATAATGGAATGATATTTGGCCAAAAAAGATATAAAGTTCTGATCCATGTTGCAAGAGAAACCATGAAAATATTATGTTAAGTGAATAAACCCAGACAGAAAAGGACACATATTGTATGATTCCATTATATTAATATAAAAATCCAGAGCAAGCAAAGATCATAGAGAAAGAAAGAGATTTGTGGTTGCCAGGGGCCCTGGGCATAGGAGTGACTATTCATGGGTAGGGTTCCTTTTATGGGTAATGAAAATATTCTGGCATTAGATAGTGGTGATGGTTGTACAACACTGAAAATATACTAAAGCCACTTAGCTGCATATTTTTTTTTTTTCTTTTTTGAGATGGAGTCTTGCTCTGTCGCCCAGGCTGGAGTGTAGTGGTGTGATCTCGGCTCACTGCAACCTCAGCCTCCTGGTTTCAAATGATTCTCCTACCTCAGCCTCCTGAGGAGCTGGGACTACAGGCACGTGCCACTACGCTTGGCTAAGTTTTTGTATTTTTAGTAGAGACAGGGTTTCACTGTGTTAGCCAGGATGGTCTTGATCTCGATCTCCTGACCTCGTGATCTGCCTGGCTTGGCCTCCCAAAGTCTGGGATTACAGGGGTGAGCCACCATGCCCGGCCTTAACTGCATGTTTTTAAAAGGTAAATTTTATTGTATGTGAATTATCTCTCAATAAAAAAATGAGAAAGAATGATAACTTACAGGAGAGAGATGATCTGGTTTGTAGAATCTGTGAAGTCTTCATTTGCGGTTAGGCTTAAAGAATACAAATGATTTTTCCAGGGAATAAGAACACCATGCAGGCAGAAGGTAAAGTACGTGAATATAGTCTGAGAAAACAAATTTTGAGGGTTGTTTGCCCATTTGATCTTTTCTTTGATCAGCTATAGATGCACAGGGCAGGACTTCAGGAGTCATGTTTGAGTTTCATGATTCTCATGCATCGTCCTAGTTGATTAGATCAAAGTAGTTAATTGGATCAAAATAGTTGATTAGACAAAGCTTGATCAGTTGGACTCTCTCTCAAGTTTCTAGGACATGACCTGGGATCTCTAGACACTGGGAAGTAGATTCTAAGTCCCGGCAACAGCAGAGTCAGATGAAAGGTGGTCTCCGATCTGCACTAAGTTTGATTGCCTGATTCTTCCTCCTTTGGTTCCTAGATGCTCAGGTCTTCCATAGATCACATGAGACTTTCTCCATAAATCCCCCTTATTTTACTCAGACAGGTATAATCTTGTCTCTCTTCCTTGCAACTAGAAGAACCAAAACAGTGTGTTCAGCAAACTCGCAGAAACCGGACTGACAACAGCATAGAGGGATGAATGTGGAAAAGTGTGATGGATTTTCTTCTGAAGGCCCTTGGAAACCAGGCTGGTAGTATATATTTAACCAGGGAAGCCAATGAAGACCTTTTGCCAAGGAAATGTCTGAAACCACCTATTAGGGAGAATGATCAGGCCCCAATGAGTTAGAACATGTGGGTTCTCTTTAGTATTGGTTCCCCCTTTGATGGCAATTTATAGAGAGAAGTAGTTCTGTATACACTTGTCAAATTATTTATCAGAAAAAACTTTTGATATTCATATTAGAATATTTCTGAGGTAATTCATCACGAAAATTTACTTCCCAACTTCATCAGTATGTATTCCTAGCTATGTTCAAAGCAAAGTGCTAAAATACAAAAATTAAGGTGATTTGGTCTATGCCTCGAGAAAGTTTTCAAATGAGAGTTTGCACACATCCTAGCTCATCACTAATATTAGGGAGCATTCACTTTGGGTATGTCTGCATGGTAGAAAACATATGATTGGACAGGGTGTCCAGGAAAAGGTCCCTGAATTCCCACATTCTTTTATTTTCTCTTTCTCTCTCTATATATACATTTTTTATTATACTTTAAGTTCTAGGGTACATGTGCACAACGTGCAGGTTTGTTACATATGTATACATGCACCATGCTGGTGTGCTGTACCCATTAACTCATCATTTACATTAGGTATATCTTCTAATGCTATCCCTCCCCCCTCCCCCCACCCCACGACAGGCCCCAGTGTGTGATGTTCCCTTTCCTGTGTCCAAGTGTTCTCATTGTTCAATTCCCACCTATGAGTGAGAACATGTGGTGTTTGGTTTTTTGTCCTTGCAATAGTTTGCTGAGAATGATGGTTTCCAGCTTCATCCATGTCCCTAAAAAGGACATGAACTCATCATTTTTTATGGCTGCATAGTATTCCATGGTGTATATGTGCCACATTTTCTTAATCCAGTCTATCATTGTTGGACATTTGGGTTGATTCCAAGTCTTTGCTATTGTGAGTAGTGCCGCAATAAACATACGTGTGCATGTGTCTTTATAGCAGCATAATTTATATTCCTTTGGGTATATACCCAGTAATGGGATGGCTGGGTCAAATGGTATTTCTAGTTCTAAATCCCTGAGGAATCACCACACTGTCTTCCACAATGGTTGAACTAGTTTACAGTCCCACCAACAGTGTAAAAGTGTTCCTATTTCTCCACATCCTCTCCAGCACATGTTGTTTCCTGACTTTTTAATGATCGTCATTCTAACTGGTGTGAGATGAGGAGAAAACTACTTTAAAGTTCATATGGAACCAAAAAGGAGCCCACATTGCCAAGTCAATCCTAAGCCAAAAGAACAAAGGTGGAAGCATCATGCTACCTGACTTCAAACTATACTACAAGGCTACAGTAACCAAAACAGCATGGTACTGGTACCAAAACAGAGATATAGACCAATGGAACAGAACAGAGCCCTCAGAAATAATACCACACTTCTACAACTATCTGATCTTTGACAAATCTGACAAAAACAAGAAATGGGGAAAGGATTCCCTATTTAACAAATGGTGCTGGGAAAACTGGCTAGCCATATGTAGAAAGCTGAAACTGGATCCCTTCCTTACACCTTATACAAAAATTAATTCAAGATGGATTAAAGACTTAAATGTTAGACCTAAAACCATAAAAACCCTAGAAGAAAACCTAGGCAATACCATTCAGGACATAGGCATGGACTTCATATCTAAAACCCCAAAAGCAAGGACAACAAAAGCCAAAATTGACAAATAGGATCTAATTAAACTAAAGAGCTTCTGCACAGCAAAATAAACTACCATCAGAGTGAACAGGCAGCCTACAGAATGGCAGAAAATTTTTGCAATCTACTCATCTGACAAAGGGCTAATATACCGAATCTACAAAGAACTCATACAAATTTACAAGAAAAAGACAAACAACCCCATCAAAAAGTGGGCGAATTCACCGCATTCTTATCCTTAAACAGGGTGATTGTCCTATAGGAAGAGGAGGGACCTCTCATGTGAGTTCTCAGCTTCCCGAAGCACCCTCAATTCTTACTGAAGACATAAAGGCTGATAATATGATGATTTGATATTCGTATGAAAATTAAGTCAGGAACTAAATTTGTTAAACAGCTTAGTTGTAGGAAGAAACTTGATATGTAGCTAAGTATTCATTCAAGGTTAATATTTGCAGCCTCCATGATTTAAATTCAGCTTTTTCTTATTTCCTTCCTTCCTCTTGTCTTCTTTTTCTTCTTCCCGCCTCAATACAGTTAAGACAAGTTACTCTAATTTGTACACAAGTGAATCCAGTTGAGGCACTTTAGCCTGTAGGTCAGAGCACACCCCTTTTACCAGAAATATCTCTTTCTAAGGTATTTCTTCACTCTGTATGAGTAAATTCAAAATAAAAAGCTATATTAATACAATGAATTCTGTCTGTGTGCTTTGGGAAATGCAAGACCCCACCCCAAATCTGTTTACTTTTACTCATTGAGAAAGCTTCCAGATAAATTCTTGGGAGGTTCTCACATGCTATGGCTCGGAAGTCACACAACGTAGGCGAAGCACAGTGTGAGGGGCTCCTGGGTGTTCCAGTGGCAACCAGCCTTCTCTGGGCTTCGAGCCTGCGCCAGGATGTGCACTCAGTTGAGGTGGGTTAGCTGTCAAAGTTTGGTTCCTAGCAAAGCAGACTTTGAGGCATGGATTTGTAAATGTATTTATTTAGGATGTGACCCAGGAAACAATGTGTGGGCATGTGGACATGAGCCAAGGGAAGGAAAAGCGCCAAAAAAGAGCATGTTAATGAGGGAATTATCACTGTGGGCAACAAAAGCTCAACTCTTCCTACTGATGAGGCTGTGAGAAACCTGGGTGGACCTGACTTGAAATTGTCTTACTGAGGACAGAGGAAACTGGGGTATTTCTCTCAACCTTGGGCCTTGTGGTTGAGGGTAACCTGGATGCACTAACCTTTGAGTGCTTCAGAAACGCCAAGAGGACATGAGCACACAGAGGCCAGATAGCCCCCTTACCAGCTGCCTGGCACAGGATCAGGAAGTCCACGTAGTCAAAAAGGCCTCCACATTAGGCCTGTTTAATGGGTGGCATTAGTATATTTCCCATCTTAAAGAACATATTGACACTGAGAGATGAAGCATCTTGACCTGAGCCACACAAACGTTAATCTATAGAATCAGGCATTTCAATAAAAGTCATTCCATAGCCCGCAGGCCACTGGTCTCCCTGAGCTTGGGTCTTTTAGTTTTTTTACCAAATTCTAGACTTGGTATTGATTTTTGGAGCAAATATCTATAATAATAAATTCATAAATATGTAAGCATAGATTTAATTCACTTACTAAATATTTATGCAGTTCAATTAATAATTTTTTTCTTATGGATATGGTTTGGCTCTGTGTCCCCACCCAAAAGGGACCTGGTGGGAGGTGATTGGATCATGGGGATAGCTTCCCTCATGCTATTCTTATGATAGTGAATGAGTTCTCATGAGATCTGATGGTTTGAAAGTGTTTGACAGTTCCTCCCTCACTGTCTCTCCCTCCTGCTGCCTTGTGAAGAAGGTACTTGCTTCTCCTTCACCTTCTGCCATGATTGTAAGTTTCCTGAAGCCTTCACAGCCATGCAGAACTGTGTCAATTAAACCTTTCTCCTTTATAAATTGTCCAGTCTCAGGTAGTTCTTTACAGCAGTGTGAAAATGAACTAATACAGGAAATTGGTACTGGGAGTGGGACACTGCTATAAAAATAACCTGAAAATGTGGAAGCAGCTTTGGAACTGGATAACAGGCAGAGGTTGGAACAGTTTGGATGGCTCAGAAGAAGACAGGAAGATGTGAGAAAGTTTAGAATTTCCTAGAGACTTGAATGGTTTTGACCAAAATGCTGGTATGAGATGAACAACGAAATCCAGGCTGCGGTGGTCTCAGATGGAGATGAGAAACTTACTGGGAACTGGAGGAAAGATCATTCTTACTATGCTTTAGCCAAGAGACTGGTGGCATTTTGCCCCTGCCCTAGAGATCTGTGAAACTTTGAATTTGAGAGAGATGAGTTACGGTATCTGGATGAAGAAATTTCTAAGTGGCAAAGCATTCAAGAGGTGACCTGGTTTGTTCTGAAAGTGTACAGTCATATGCATTCACAAAGAGATGGTTTGAAATTGGACCTTATGCTTAAAAGTGAAGCAGAATGAAAAACTTGGAAAATTTGCAGCTGACCATGTGGTGGAAAAGAAAAACCCATTTTCTGCGGGAAAAATTCAAGCCAGCTGCAGAAATGTGCATAACTAATGAGGATTCCAACATTAATAACCAAGACAATGGGACAAATGTCTCCAGGGCATTTCAGAGATCTTCATAGCAGCCCCTCCCATCACAGCCCCTCCCATCACAGCCCCTCAGAGGCCTAAGAGGGAAAAATGGATTCCTGGGCCAGGCCCAGGGCCCCACTGCTCTCTACAGCCTCAGGACATAGTACCATGGGTCTCAGCTGCTCCAGCTCCAGCTGTAGCTAAAAGAGGCCAAGATACAGCTCAGGTCATTGCTTCAGAGGGTGCATGCCCCAAGCCTTGGCAGCTTCCACACAGTGTTGGGCCTGCAGGTAAACAGAAGACATGAGTTAAACTTTGGAAGCCTCCACCTAGATTTCAGAGGACATATGGAAATGCCTGGATGCCCAGGCAGAAGTTTGCTGCAGGGGCAGAGCCTTCATGGAATACCTCTACTAGGGCAATGCAAAGAGGAAATGTGGGGTTGGAGCCCCCACATAGAGTCCCCACTGGGTCACTGCCTAGTGGAGCTGTGACAAAAGAGCCACTGACCTCCATACCCCCCAGAATGGTAGCTCCATCAACAACTTGCACTGTGCATCAGGAGAAGTGCAGGGGCTCAATGCCAGCCCATGAAAGCAGCTGCAGGGGCTGTATCCTGCAGAGGCACAGGAGCAGAGCTGCCCAAGGCCCGGGGAGACCATCCCTTGCATCAGCATACCCTGGATTTGAGACATGGAGTCAAATGAGATTGTTCTGGAGCATTAAGATTTAATGAGTGCCCCGATGAGTTTTGTACTTGCATGGGGCCTATGGCCCCTTTGTTTTGGCCAATTTTGGAGCATTTACTCAATGCCAGCACCCACATTTTATCTTGGAAGCAACTAACTTGCTTTTTATTTTACAAGATCATAGGAGGAAGAGACATGCTTTGCCTCAGATGAGACTTTGGACTTGGACTTTTGAGTTAATGTTGGAATGAGTTAAGGCTTTGGGAGACTGTTGGGAAGGCATAATTGGTTTTGAAATGTGAAAAGGACATGAGAATTAAGAGGGGCCAGTGGTGGAATAATATGGTTTGGCTCTGTGTCCCCACCCAAATCCCTCCCCATATGTCAAAGGAGGGACCTGGTGGGAGGTAATTGGATCATGGGGATGGCTTTCCCCATGCTGTTCTCATGATAGTGAGTGAGTTCTCATGAGATCTGATGGTTCAAAAGTGTATGCCCACTCCCCCGCCTCACTCTCTCCCTCTCCTGTCACCTTCTGAAGAAGGTACTTACATCTTCTTTACCTTATGCCATGATTTTAAGTTTCCTGAGGCCTCCCCAGCCATGCAGAACTGTGAGTCAATTAAACCTCTTTCCTTTATAAATTATCCAATCTCAGATTGTGTGAAACCAGATTAATACACTTATTTTATTGTGAAAATGATTTCTAAACAAAACAACTCATTTTTTTTTTCTACCAAAGACAATGATTTAAGTGTGTGAATGGACATGGATCTTAGAACATTCTACATGGTTATCTGTTTGTCTATATACTTCATTTAAGTTTTCTTTCAAGAATTACACTTGCTTTATTCATATCACTGTTCCTAGTGATTGGCACATTGTATATGCTTAAAAGTGTTTTCTGAATATTATATGGAATGTTCTTAGCAAATTTGATTATGGAAAATGACCAAAAATCAAACGTGTCTGGTAGTATAAAAAGAAACAATACCAAGTCCTTTTTAGATTTGGTCAATAGCTTCTACTCCTTGAGTAAATTACTGACTATTGTGGTTCTCAACAGTAAATCATTTTTCAAAGGTTATACAAAGGAACAACACATTCCAAAATAGCTGCATCCAAGATATTGGGGATAAACCAATAAATCCATTAAATGAAATATTCACAGAAAATATCAGAGAAAAGCTCATAGGAGCACATTTCACCCCAAGCAAGTGGAGTAGCCAATGTAAGCATTCACTGTTTCACTGTTGCTGCTTTCCATTACTACTTTGGAGAATAATCTTTTCCAAACACCTGTCTGATCTTGCTTTACACTCTTCAGCAGGTCCACACCACCCATGAGAGGGAACTCAGACACCTTGCCCAAGGCTCCAGCACTCAGGCTCCAGCTCATGTTTCTGGTTTCACCTCCACTCCCTTCTACACTCCCACAAATCCACCCACACTACTCCTAATTACTGAAGCACAGCTTGGTGTTTCAGCCTACATTCACACTTGCTGTTCCCTCTCTCAGAAACATCTTTTCCACTTACTAGCAGAATTTGTCACTTCTTCATGCTTATTCTCACTATATAATCTTTTCACACTTCTGCCACATTATCACCTCAAATTGCAAAATCTTGTTTATGTAGATAGCTACACCTACTAGATTGTAGAGACTATGTCATATCCATCCTTGTCCTTGGAGCCTAGCATAGTGTCTATTATATAGTTTCTAGTAAAGAGATGCTCAGTGATCCTCAACAGGAAGGAAAAAATGAATGGATGGATGAGTAGGCGGATGCAAAAGTGGATGGATGAAGAGATGAATAGACAATTGAAGGTAAGAAAGAAAGAAAACGTTATCCCTCAGAAGGTAAGAAAGAAAATGTTGTTCCACATGCAAAAGTGCATGAAGGAATTAAACATTCTTTATGAGTGCCTTGTGGCTTCCCATTCGGGGAATTTTGTTGTATTTAGTCCCTAAAGCCCAGGAGGAAGACATCTTACTTTCCTAGTTGCCCCACCTGAAGAGTCTAAACTATGTGCATCTCCAGTTGTCCTTTCTAGAATCTTCTAAACTTATGCTCATCAATATGGAAACTGCCATCTACATGTGACTATTTAGAACTTGAAATACAGCTACTGGGACTAAGGAAATAAACTTTTAATTTCATTTGATTGTAATTAATTTTAATTTAAAAAATACTTGATTTAGTAAATGGAAAACTTTAATTATGTTTGAAATAACTTATATAAATAAATCAACTTTTTAAACTGTAAGTTTTAGGTCTAAACACAGATCAGATATTTCTAACAAAAAATTAGCACCTGAATTTCTGTGTGCTGAAAGTATAAAATAGGCACTGGATTTTGAAAAGTTAGTACTAAATTTAAAAAACAGTAAAATATCTTATTAATATTTTTATGATAATTACATGTTGAAGGGTGCATCTTTGGATAGATTAAGGAATATATGTTATTAAAATGAATTTTACACGTTTTATTTTATTCATTGTGGGTACTAGGAAATTTTTAATTGCATGTGTGCTTGCACTATGTTTCTGCTAGATCAGCACATGGCAAGTACAGGATCTTGTCTGCTCCTCAGATAGACAGTAGTGATCAGGTTCAGTTTTAACTCCTTCCATGGAAATTCTGTTGTATGGGGCATCAAAGTACAGTTGATTCTTGAACAATGTGGGGATTTGGGGGGATGACCTCCTACTCAGTTGAAAATACAGGTATAACAATTGACTCCCCCAAAACCTATCAATTAATAGCCTACTATTGATTGTAAGCCTTACTGATAACATAGTCAATTAACATAGATGATGTATATTATGTATATTACATACTGTACTCTTACAATAAAGTGAGCTAGAAAAAAAAGGAAAACATTATTAACAACATCATAAGGAAGAGAAAATACCTTTACTATTCATTAAGTGGAAGTGGATAATCTTAAAGGTCTTCATCCCTATCTTTAGGTTGAATTCGTTGAGGAGGAGGAAGAAAAAGTGGAGTTGGTCTTGCTGTCTCTGGAATGGCAGAGGTGGAAGCGGTGCAGGAGGTGGAAGGGGAGGCAAGAGAGGCAGGCACACTTGGTGTAACTTTTATTGAAAAACATCCACTCATAAGTGCACTCACACAGTTTAAACCCATGTTGTTCAAGCATCAACTTTAAATGGAAAAGAGCACTCCAGTTAGATATCAATAACTAATTTTGACATCTATTTTGTTGGTTAAATATTTATTAATTTTCAGCTCAAAAACCCCTACTGTAATCTGCTCTGTGATTCAGGAACTGAGACTTTACAAAACTTATTTCCCAATTCTCATTTGGCTTCCTGTAAGTTTTGGCCAATAGGAGGCACTCTATGTGGTCTGGAGGTGGGACTTCCTGTCTGTCTTCCTGTTCCTGCCAACCTCACCCTGAAAGCAACAGCACTTTCGGCTCCAGTTTCTTTGAGCACTCCCAGAACCACTCCCCTGTGCCTGCTCCAGTACCAGTATGAGCAGGGTAGCAGCCCCTCCACAGAAATCTTACCACCAGCTTTTTCCTGTTTCATTCACTCCCAGTCCTGGGACTGTCAGTGTATTAGTCCATTTTCATGCTGCTGATAAAGATGGGACAATCTGCAAAAGAAAGAGGTTTACTGGACTTACAGTCTCCAAGATGGGCCAATTTACAAAAGAAAGAGGTTTACTGGACTTACAGTTCCACATGCCTGGGGAGGCCTCACAATCATGGTGGAAGTGAAAGGCATGTCTCACATGGCAACAGACAAGAAAAGAGAGCTTGTGCAGGGAAACTCCCCTTTTTAAAACCATCAGATCTCATGAGACATTCACTATCAAGAGAACAACATGGAAAAGACCCATCCTCATGATTCAGTTACCTCCCACTGGGTATCTCCTACACATGAGAATTCAAAATGAGATTTGGGTGGGGACACAGCCAAGCTATATTAGGCAGCTACTCCTAAAGTTACTATTTCAGTGTTACAGTAGTGTTTGCTTTTTGCACTTTAATTTTCTCGTACCTTTGTAATTGATTACTCACGTTAAATTCCCTCTTGAAATATATAATGTGTTTCTGTTCTCCTGATGAAAACATGAGTAGTACATGTACATCTGTAAATGTAAAGCACCTGTAAACATAACCTAAACATAAAAGGATAAATCACAATAAAAGCTTGAAAATAACTAGAATGGAATTATAATGAATATATTATTATCAAAAGCATGAGATGCAGTTAAAGCAAGTTTTAAGGAGAAATTTATTGTCTTAATTGCTCTTATTAAAAAAGAAAAAATCAATAACCTAATGATACAAATAAAGATTTTTTTAGTAAGAACATAAAAGTAAACCTTAAAATGAAGAAATATAGATATAGTAGAAGTAGAGATAACATAATACACTTAACAGAAAAAATGAACAAAATCAAAACTTAGCTGTTTGCAAAAAATAATAGAGTCATATCCAGTGATATAGCTCAAGGGAAGAGAAAGCAACTAAAAATTTAAAAAAGTAGGAGTTAGTAATATGAAAGATCTGCAGATAGAGAATGAATAAATAAAAAGCAGAAATTAGTAATATGAAATAATTGTAGATAGAGTGAGAAGAGACTGAAAATGTAAGAGGAAACTATGAACAACTTTATGCTGTATGTTTAAAAAACATACAAATGGAAAAAGAATCCTGGGAATATTGAATTAACAAAACACTCTTCATGAACAGTTGGACAACCCAAGTAGAACTAAATACATTGAATCACTATTTAATGATTATTGTTTAAAAAAGAAAGAGATTTTTAAAACCTGAGTAGATTTTACCTGCAAGTTCAAACAAATAGGAAAGATTTAATATCTGCTTTCTTCCAGCTGACCAACAGAAGAGAAAATGTAAGAGAATATTTCACATTTCATTTTGTGATTCTGGAATAACTTTGATGCCGAAACTAGAAAAGAAACTGTGAGAAAAGAAAATTACAGGCAATTTCATTTATAAATATAAATGAATATTAACTAAATAATCTGAAATAAAATACTACAAACAGAATTAAATAGTATGTAAAATGATCAATTTGGGATTAATTTAGAAATATAAGGGTCATTTTCATTGGAAGATAAATTAATGCTTTTCACCATATTCGCAGAATAAAGAAATAAAACTATCTGATCAATTAATATAGGGCACTTGATGAAATCCAAAACCCATTTATAATAAAAAAAACTAGCAAACTGGAAACAGAAAATAACTCTGCTAATTTCCAAAAACTAACAGCTTAATCACTAATGAAACATTTATATTCCAATAATAGTTAAATAAAAGCCATGTGACTCCCATGTCACTGCTTAGTCCAACACTGAGTTGGATTAGCTAGAACAGCAAACAATAAATAAAAGCATAAGGTTGTAAAAGAACAGACCAAACTATCATTATTAACAAAATGCATAAGAGGATTTCAGCAAGGTTGCTAGATACATGTTCATTTTATTCAATCAATCACATTTCTATAAAGAGCCATGATTAGAAAATGTTTCTTTAAAAATATACCATTTACTGTAATCCTAGCATATTGGGAGGCTGAGGTAGAAGGATCACTTGAGCCCAGGAATTTAAAACTAGGCTGGGCAACACAGTAAGACTCCATCTCTATAAAAAACAATAATAATATATACCATTTTCAATGGCAACAAAAATAGAAAACATCATGTAAGAAATCTTACTACAATTTTTCAAAAATTCTTCAAGACTTATTGATTTCATACCTTAACTCTGTGTATGTATGTGTGTGTACATACAAACACACACATATATGTATGCACACAAACAGACACCCTTTTATGTTGTAATGATACCATGATGTTGAGCTTTTGATTCTACCTAATTTCGCTTGTAAATTCAATGTTATTTCAGTCAAAACCCCAATAGGAATTTTTTGGAGCGTAACAACTCATTCCAAAATTTACATGATAGAAAAAAGCCAACACAATTTTAAAGATCAATATGGTGGGACTTAGACTTCCAGACATGAATATTGAATGTAAAATTATATCAATAAGTGAGTGGTAATCAGTATAGGGAGACCAATAAAACCAGAGTAGAAAATCCAGAATTCGACCTATGCATATCTAGAAATTTGATTTATGAAAGAGGTAGCAATAGGGATTAGCACGTGTATTATTTTAGAAAATGCCAGCTGCTGTACCAGGTAAATACCACAATATTTTAGCATAATAGAAGTTCATTTCTACCTCATAAGAATCCCTGATTGGCACGTACCTCTCCTAAAAGCTATAATTCCAGAACCTAAGCTGACTTAGTCTGTTTGGGCTGCTACAACAAAAACCATAAATAACAGAAATCAATTTCTCACACTTCTTGGGGCTGGAAAGTTCAAGGTGGAGGTGCCAGTAGATTTGGTGTCTGATGAAGGCCTGTTCCTCATAGATAGCACCCTCTTGCTGTGTCCTCATATGATGGAAGGGGTGAGGCAGCTCTCTGGGGCCTCCTTTATAAAAGCTTTTAGCTCATTCATGAGGGCTCCACCTCTGTGAAGTAATCACCTCCCAAAGTCCCCACCTACTAACACTATCACCTTGGAGGTTAGAATTTAAACCTATGAATTTTAAGGGGATACAAAGATTCAGAACATAGCACATCCTTTCAACCTTGTGGATCCAGTGTCTTCCACATATGGTGTCTCTGCCCACCTTGACCAACTCAAGCTAATGGAAGAGAAATATGGGGTTCCCCTTGCAGAAGCCACCTACTCGGCCAGCCTTGGAAGTGTGCATGGCATGCCCCTCATTTTCTACTGTCTAGAACTCAGTCATATGGCACCATCACACTCCGAGGGTGACTAGGGGGAAGAAGTCCAGCTTGCTCCAGGAAGAATAGAAGTCAGCTTTGATGAATAGTTTATTAGTCACTGCCATAATTGGGAAATGATGGACTGTTTGATGAATAGTGCAGGAAAATTGCTTTTGCTTCCAGAATAAGAGAGAATTAGAAATCCACCTCGCATCATTTACAAAAGTGTACTCTAAGTGGATTAAATATTTCAGTGTAAAAACAAAAACTCAGAAAAAAATGAAGAAACATCTCTATCTTCCTAAGTTAATCAAGAGTTCTTTTTTTTAATACCAGATACATATATCTCAAATTAATAAAAGGACACAAGACACAAATATCTTTTACTAAATTTACTAATGACACTATAGAAATTGAACATTTAAAACAATGAATATAGTCAAGAAGACATCTCTGTCCAGAATATCTACAAATATCTACAAAAACCTATAAGACAATAAGGAAAACATAGGCAGCCACAGAGAAAAAATTGACGAAGGATATAAATAAGAAATTCAGCAAAGAGAGAATCTGGACAACCAAAGACATCAAAAGATGCGCAACCTCAGTATATATCAGGGAGACAAATAACATAAGAATGGAACATTTAAAAAGGAAAACAAGTTGATAGTACTAAGACTTGACAAGAATATGCATTAGTAGGACCTCTTAGACACAGTTGGGAGAATTTAAATCGGTACAAAATACTTTGGAAAATAAATGGCAGTATCTGTTTAGATTGGAGACGTTCGTTATTCTGTGACCCAACAATTCCACTTCTAGCAGAACACCCTAGAGAAACTGTACATACAGGGAGTCAAGGGTAAGAATTTTCATTCTAGCATTGTTTGTAATGGCAAAAAACAGAAACCTAAATAACCAACAGGAGAATATATTAAAATTGTGATATATTCATACCTTCAAATACCATATAGCAGTTAAAATGAATGAAGTAGAGATCCGTGTCACAACATAAAAATCTGAAAATGGCTGTGTTTAGCGTGGCAGTATGTTAGATATTGTATATCACATGATGTACATAATATAAAGTTTAATATTAAGCAAAATAGCATAAATGATTATGGATAATGAAGACAAATATGCAGTTTATATGAGAAGAATAAAATACATTAAAGTGGCAATTTGTTGACTTTGAGGAGAGAAAGGGAAGGAATGTTTGAGAAAGGGGTGAATGGGAGGCTTTAATTATATTAGTAATGATGAATTTGTATACCTAAATAAATAATGTTAACGATTCAACAAATGAAGGCCCTGTGATGATTGGGTACAGTTGTGTTTATTATGATGTGCCATCTTTTTCTGTATGCTGAATATTTTTTATAATTTAAAAAAGACTCAGAAATAACAGTCTTACCTCTCTCCAGGCATCCTTCTTTTTCTCCTAAAAAGGTCTATTAAAAATCCTTTCCATGATACTAATTTTGATAATTCTAATTTCATCTGCCTCAAGTGATAACTAACTTGTAGGGCATCCCATAACTACGACTGTGATTGTGTGGTTGCCTGAATGGAGTAGATTCAGATTTGAGGGCAAGTTCTTCAAGAGGTGAAGTTTTAATGAACTCTTTTCTTTTCTCTAAGCTGAAGCTGATTAAATAAAGGATTTTTCTAAATTCATATGCAACTTAAGGAAGTGTGACACAAATATACATCTACACACATACACTCATAGCTTAACATGCGGGGCGATGGACACAGCAGCCTCATGGGCCTGAACTGTCCCCAGCGGTGGCCATGGGCTGCTGAAGAAGGGAGCTCTGGTCTAGAATCTCCATAACTGAGAAGAACCCCCTGCAGCGATTCCAAGCTGGTAGCCTAACAGAAGAGAGGAAAATGGAAAAGATTAGTGTGACTTGACACGGATTACATCACCCGTGCCTATGAGCTACTTTCAGAGATCGTTCCTCAGTTGGACTCAGGATGATAAAAATAAATAAATTAGTAAAGTGAGGATAAACAAGTAATGTAAAGGCAGAAAATTTTTAGTCATAAAATTACTCTAATAATCATCCTAACTGTATTGTCATCATAATAGCCATAATATTGTACTTGTGTATAACTTTTGTGGTTTTTTGGTTTCTTTTTTTTTTTTTTTTGAGACGAAGTCTTGCTCTGTCACCCAGGCTGGAGTGCAGTGGCGCGATCTCAGCTCACTGCAACCTCCGCCTCCTGGGTTCAAGTGATTCTTCTGCCTCAGCCTCCTGAGTAGCTGGGATTAGAGGGGTGCGCCACCATGCTTGGCTAATTTTTGTATTTTTAGTAGAGACCGGGTTTCACCATATTGGCCAGGCTGGTCTCAAATTCCTGACCTCATGATCCGCCCACCTCAGCCTCCCAAAGTGCTGGGATTACAGGCATGAGTCACCACTGCCGGCCAGTTTTAAATAGATTGGTAATACACTCTGGTGTGCCCAGGACAGTCTTGGTTTATATCTGTTATCCTGGCTTAATTGTCTGTGTTACCTCCTTCCCCTCTCAAAGCTCTCTGGTTTGGACACCACCTTTTAAGTCATTTTTTTTTTAAAGTCTTCATTTGAATTTTATCTTTGACACTGATTGGGAGAGCTGCGGTCTCCTGTTTTGTCTCCCTGAGCAGGTTTCCCTGCTGGCAACACTAAAGGTAACAGCGATGCACCTTCATCTCTTCCACCCTTAAGGCCAGTCTCCCACTAAGTCATGTTGATGTCCATCTTAAATCTCTCTCTTCTTGCCTCTTAACCCCTGGTCAAAGTTGCCATGTCTCTCATCAGGACAGGTTACATAATTCAATTCCTCTATCTAAGTCGGATCTAAAGGCAGCAGTGTGTATAAACATGCTTTATAAACTGATGAAGCCCCATGCCATGTTAATAATTGTTTTCCTCTGTTTTTTGTTTGTTTGTTTGGTTTGGGTTTTGAGTTTCACCCTGTCACCCAGGCTGGAGTGCAGTGGTGCAATCATAGCTCACTGCAGTCTCAACCACCGAGCTCAGATGATCCTCCCATCTCAGCCCCCTCCCTAAGTAGCTGGGACTACAGGCACACACCACCACACCTGGCTAATGTTTGTAATTTTTGTAGAGACAGGGTTTCACCATGTTGCACGAGCTGGTCTCAGACTCTTGGGCTCAAGTTATCTGCTTGCCTCAGCCTCCCAAAGTGCTGGGATTACAGGCGTGAGACACTGTGGCCAGTCAGTACTTGTTATTTTTTATATTCTATCATTGTATTTAGGATATTTTTCAGTCAATACTACATGCTAGGCACCGTGGTAGGCTCTGGGAGCAAGATGGTGAAGAAAGAGACAGTGTCATCAATGAGCTCACAGTCTATGATGATTGGCAACCACTCCTTACACAATCAGAAGAGTGGGTGTTATTATACTCATTTCCAGACATGAACACTTAGTAAAAGCTAAAGGACTTGATGGAGGTTGGAATAACAGAGCCAGGATTCCAGCTCATTCTTCCTCATCCCCATTCCTCTGTTGCCCTGTGTTTGCGATCTTCCTCCCAATGCCAACCATCACTGTCACACAGAATAAGACTAGGGCAATGCCCTTATTCGGAGCCAGCTCTCTGTTTCTTGACAACTGTGTCCATGGCCCACCTGGAGTTCCTCTTCCTCCACCACTCATTCCTTTCCTGTGACTTTAGCCAAGTGACTACATTCTGGATGTTTCCATTTTCTTGCCAGGGAAAGGATATATTAATGCCTGCTAGTCAGGCTAACGCCAGGGTTAAATGAGCCAGGAATGAATGTGTGAGGGTGCTGAAGAGTTGGCTAACCTGACCCCTCTCTGCTGACTAACCCTGCCCTCCTTGATCTCACTCACTAACCTCCGTATGTGCACCATGTGCTCGGCTCGGGACTTGATGCCTGGATACCAAGGTGCACACAGCTACATGACTCCTGCCTTCCTGAGCTTACAGACAGAAAGACAGGCAATGGCCCATAAAGGCACTTCATGGAGAGTTCTAATCACAGCCAGCATAAGCACAGGGGTAAAAACACAGCGTCTCTAATGGGGAGGTTGACCTCACCTTGGGGGATCTTGAAGGCTTTCCTGGGCCTGTAAAAGCAGAACAAATATTTGAAGAATAAGAAGAAGCTAATTAGGAGAAACGGGTGTGGGTTATATTCCTGGCAGAAAGTTCAGGGTAAGCAAATGGCCTGCAGCCACATGAAGAATGATGAGGCTGAGCATAAAGCGGGAGGGCCAGGGTGGCATGGCTGAGGCCAGAGGAGGTTGGAAGCTGTGCATAGGGGTTTCCGTCTGAAATACTTGGGTGTTTCTATAGAGAAACACCCCCGCCCAGATGTCCCTGGACCATCTGAATTGAAACCTTTGAGGTGAAGCCTGGGCATGGGATGTTGAAATACCTTCCAGGAGAGTTTGATGCACAGTGAAGGTTGAGAACACCAGCTGTTCTTAAAGCGTAAGAGCTGACCTCGCGAAGTGGAAGGCTAGTTCAGACAGAGGTCTCAGCTTGAGTGAAGGCCTAGTGGTGAGAAGCTGCCTGGTTTGTTGGGTCCTGGGAACTGGCTGGTACCCGGGAGTGTCCCATGGAAGGCTATGGCCATCCAGGCAACAGGAGAAGAGCAGGGTCCTTGAGTGCAGTGGCAAGGAGGGGCCGGGGGGCTTCTCCCGAGTGCCTGGGAGACATCAGTCCTGGCTGGTGCCTAGCTGGGTGCCTGATGGACAGTCAGTGCCTAATTAGGAGACAGAGCATCTGACTCAAGTAAGGAAGCAGCAGATGGGTCAAAGACAGAGACCTAAATGGTGTTTACGGGCACGGAAGGCGCAGCCTGGGCCGCTCCATTTGGCCTGCCTTTGATCCTTAATCCCAGCCTCAGGTGGGTGCACCCTGAGCCAGACAGCTCTAATCAGGGCGACGGGGGTAATACAAGAGTTCAAGTGGAGCAGGGCCCAGAAGACAGAGAGAGCAAGAGAGAAGGGGGAAAAGATTCTTCACGGGATAAAATTACCAGCCAAGACAGAAGGCGAAGAGGCAGAGGGGCGGGCTCCCCCGCCCAGAAGGCAGCCCTGGCCACCCCCAGCCTCCACCCGGGCTGGAAGAGCAGATGCTCCCAGCCTGTGGTGTGAGCCCCAGAGGGGGGCTGGTCGCTCCCTGCAGTGAGCACAAGGGCAGGGTGGGAGACGGAGACGGGGTGAGGCCGGGGGAGCCTTCTGGAGTAAATGGCTGGAAGGAGGGAGGGGGCAGAAGCTGCTGGCCACCTTTGGCCACTGCAAACACTATCCCTTTTCCTCCTGTGATGTGAGTAACAACAAAAAATTAACACAGCCACAACTGCTGTTTGTGTTTAAAGCTTAATGAGAATTTTAAAATACGTATCTCAGTGATACTTAAATGAATACTTTCTTTCCAAAAAATAAATAAATAAAAAGAGAGAGAGAGAAGAGGAGGGGGGGAAAACAAAGATGATGGCTTTGAGATTTACGCTGCCACTCATGCTTGGATGCCGATCACTTATCTGGATAATTAAGCAGTATCAGTGAGCAACCAGATCCCTGAAACTTGATATTAATCCATCCCTCTTAATAGTAACACAGAGTCACAGCGGCAGAACTCAGCCGAGACTTCTAATCCCCCTTTGCTGGCGTTCCAGCATCAGCACCCAGCATTGCTTTCCCGAAGTGGCCGAGACATGCTATCAGCAGCTTAAACCTCATTTCGGCTTTGAATCAAAGTCTATTAGGGAAGTCTAAAAGAGTCAAGAGGCCTACAGATTCTGGAGAGAGGGAGTCATTCATCGTGGCTTTGCCAACAGGCCAGGGGTGAGGCAACTGGTTTTTAGGACTGTCTCTCCCTGAGGTGTGTGTGTAAACCAAAAGCTCTTTCCAAATTCAGGGCACCCGGGATTTTGCCACTTGTGTGTCTGTCTGGGCATTGGATCTCTAGGCCTGTCAGACAGGCCAACAGGCTTTGTGCCCCCCTAGGGTGGGGAGCAAATGTACACTGGTGTCCGTGTCAAATATCAGGGTTTGTGTCTGTTCACTTTCAGCCTGGTTTCTGTTTCTTGGCTCCATCTTCCCTTCCATTTCTCCCCTTTCTCTCTGGGTAAAACCTTGACTTCTGGTTCTTTGTCTTCTTATTCTGGGCTTATTCTAAGTCCAGCTTGGTTTTTTGGGGGGATTTCAGGAAGTACAGACATATACAAGCACAGGTTGGTGCAAAAGTAATTGCTGTTTTTGCTATTGAAAGTAATGCAGGCCAGGCACATTGGCTCACAGCTGTAATCCCAGCACTTTGGGAGGCCAAGGCAGGTGGATCACTTGAGGTCAGGAGTTTGAGACCAGCCTGGCCAACATGGTGAAACCCTGTCTCTACTAACAATACAAAAACTAGCCGGGTGTGGTGGCACACGCCTGTAATCCCAGCTACTCAGGAAGCTGAGGCAGGAGAATCACTCGAACCTGGGAGGTGGAGGTTGCAGTGAGCTGAGATCATGCCACTGCACTCCAACCTGGGTGACAAGAGTGAAACTTGGTCTCAAAAAAAAAAAAAAAAAGTAATGCAAAAATGCAATTACTTTTGCACCAACCTAATACATTCAGTCAATAAAAGTTTCTTTCTATAGCCCATGGGGTTTCCAGGAAAGAGAAAGCAGAGCGAACTCATGGCAAGCAGAACCCACAGCCTTCCAGGCATCAGGACATTCAAGCAGCCATGTACCACTCAGTTCTTGCCACCCCGCTGCCTTGGTGGCAGGACATTGGAGCATCAGACTTCTCCCCTCACCTGAGGCTCTGCTATCCTATCATTCCAGTCACCCTCTGTGGCTGTCTCTGCTGCTCCTGCCTCACCATCTACTTTTCTCTGGACATCCACATCAAATCCTCTGAAGAGGGACCCCAGTTGGTTCATTCAGACTCCACCCAGGAGGGGGACACTCAGTCTTCAGTGACCTCATGGGGTCACCTTATAGCTGGATAGTCCCTGGGTGACAGCTTCTAGTGCAGATTTACTTCCAACATTCAATCAGTTTGGCAAAGAGGACTGAGGCCACACTGGACAGAGAAACATGAAAGCTCAAGCCAACAGAGTGTCTCAGAAGAGGGCTGTGGATGCTGTAGGCACTCGGAGCATCAGCAGTTCCTCTCCAGTATAGTTGAATTCAGCTGCCAGCTCTCTTTACTTTACATTACTGCAATGACAGCACTGTCTCTAGTTGCTTCCTGGGATGAGTTCTTGCATGCAAGTTGGTGCCCCAGGTAACCACCGCCCCCCACCCCCCCGATTTTTTTTTTTTGAGATGGAGTTTTGCTCTTGTCACCCAGGCTGGAGTGCAGTGGCACGATCTCGGCTCACTGCAACCTCTGCCTCCCAGGTTCAAGTGATTCTCCTGCCTCAGCCTCCTGAGTAGCTGAGATTACAGGCACCCACCACCATGCTTGGCTAATTTTTTTGTATTTTTAGTAGAGACGGGGTTTTGCTATGTTGGGCAGGCTGGCCTCAAACTCCTGACCTCAGGTCATCTGCCTGCCTCAGCTCCCCAAAGTGCTGGGATTATAGGCATGAGCCACTGCACCCAGCCAGTAACCCCTTTAAGAGAGGACAATATCAGCATTGGAAGGAATGGAGTTGCCCACTTGCAAAGTCCAAAGCGTTGATTCATAAGATCAGTGCAAACCAGAGGTTGAATCTGGTCCATGTGGAAGATCCCAGAGGCTAGGCTGCCTCAGGCTGGTAGGACACAAGAGAGGCCAGAAGTGATTCACAGTAATGTATACCCAAGGAGAAGTGCGAGGACATAGTTGAGGCATAAGGGATAATGCCAGGCAGAATTCTAGGACGAGGTCCAGCCATGGAGGGCAAGTTGGATCGTGGAGCTTAGCTGAAGGCACAGGCTTTGAACACTCTTAAGGATTCCCCCATACAAATGCTAGCATGCCTCCCAAAGCAGCCAACTGGTCTAAATCCCCACTTAGTTGGCTCCACAGGAGGAAAGCAATGAACATGGAGGCTCTGTTGAACACACACATCAGGGCAATGGGATTAGAGCCAAACAAAGAAGATGCAGTGGCAGTGAGCTCAGAGGCCACATGAATTCAGCAGCCACATGTGTGTGGCAGAAACATGGGCCATTTGAGGGATTCTCTGAAAGGCAGGTGTCCCATAGGTGGGTGAAACCCCAGGGCCAGGTACTCCCTGTCTCTCACTAACCTCCACAGGAGCCCTTTTCTCAACATTTCTTGTGCCCTTTTAAAAAATATCTTTACCCAGAAAATGTATTTTCTGAAATTTGAGAAAAATTGGGGGGAAATTCACATAACATAAAATCAGCCGTTTCAAAGTGAATGATTTTGTGGCATGGTAATTGTACATCATTGTGAATGTCCTTATGCTTTGTAACCCAATGTCCCACAGTCAGGGGTCTGAAGCTACTCCTCATCTCTTACATGGTCTCTCTCTCTCTCTGCAGCATAAGTGTCACCTTCCCCAAGGGAGCTTCCCTGACACCATGCCTGGTGCAAGAGGGAGCAAGAACTTATTTTTTTTTTCCTGGATCTTCATTGCTTCCTTTAGGGGTTCCATGAGCCCTAAGGAAATAGCTGGCAAGCAGAAAGACAGTCTGTTTCCTTCCTTAGTGAGAGAGCTGGACAATCCCTTACACCCATGTGTGCTCGCTCCTGGGAAACTGCTGCATCACACAATTTATTGTGATTTTGCCAGGTCTCTCCAGCAGCGGAGGCCTGCTCTCCATGTACGACATGAAACTTCATGTGCAATCTGGGGGTGCAGTCCTGTACCCCCATGCAGGAGCAGATCTTTGGGGGAGAGAGGACACTTTGGGTTGCAGCTGAGGGTAGGGTGATCCAGGCCTAGAGAACCAGAACAGCCAAGGTGGGGAGTAGGAATAGTGTCTTCTGCCCTGGCAACCTTTTCAGGCCCTTCCCACCTGTAAGTATGTGTGGGCTCCTGACAACCTGGCGTTGGAAAGACCAAGGCAAGGAAACAGAGTGAAGATTGTCGGCTAGGTGACGTTATGGACCTAGAGTCACCTGGGGATTATGGGAACACAAAGAAACGGGCTGTCCATGAGCATGGATGGGAGATGTGGTTGAGGGAGCATGAATTGTTTAGGTATCCAGGCCCAGCAAGGACCTCAGGCAGAGGCTTTTAAACTAAGCTTCAAACACCAAGGGCATCTTCGGGAAGTTTCCCAAACCTGTGGAAACTGGGCAATATCACTGGTGCAATCCCAGCATGCTTAGGATTCACTGCTTATGTCCACCTTCTCAAACTCCTAGCTAAGGCTTGAAATGTCCCAGAAAAAAAAAAAGAACCATTTCTTAGCTTGGCAGTAAACATCATGTTTCTTAGATTGATGGTAAACATCATCTTGGCAAAGATAAGTAAGTCAAAGAAAGAAGGGAAGAAAAAAAGAGGGAGACAGAGAGAAAGAAAAGGAGGAAGGGAGAGAAAGAGAAGGAGAGATGGAGGGTTGGAGAGAAGGAAGGTGAGGAGGGAGAGAGGGAGGAAAGAAGGAAGGAAGAAAGGGAGTGGAGAGGGAGGGCAGCAGGGAGGGAGGGAGGAGAAGGAAGGAAAGAAAAGAAGAAAATAACCATTTTTTTAGGCACACAATTGACTATGTTACATCTACTTTAAACTATCCAGTGGCTCTCTGTTGGTCATCTGGAGAGACCCCCATCTTTGAGGGGCCCACAGTGCCCTGCGAGCTCTAGCAGCAATTTTCTTCTCCAGCCGCATCCTGCACCGGTTCCTGCCTCCCTGTTCCCTGTCTGCCATCTCAGCTTTCACTAGGGCTACTGAAGAGGCCTTTTTCTCCTCCTCTCAAACTGCTGCCCCCCACTCCAAAGTTTCTGCCTGAGCTACCTCTATTGCACCCAGATTCTGCTTAACCCTCAGATTCCAGTATAGAACATTCCCAGGATGCCTTTCCTGGCCATTCTTGACTAGATACAAGTCACAGTGGTTTTCTTTGGGAATTCACTAGTTTGTCCTTCAAGGCAGGTTGGGAGGGAACCAAGCCTATTTCTCTTACCACAATCATGGATGCCCTGTGGCCATTTCTCTCTTTGGATATAAACACCCTTTTGGGGGGCTTTGGAATCTGAAGCTCAGACACAAGACCACTCTTCCCCATTCCTGTATATGTGGTCTCAAGTGATAACTAAATTATAGGGCATCTAAAGACAGAGCTGGACAATCCCTTACACCAAGCTGTGTGCCCTCCTCCTGCATCACATGATTTATTGTGATTTTGCCAGGTCTCTTCAGCTGAGGAGGCCTGCCCTCCATGTATCACATGAGACTTTACAAACAGTCTGGGGATGCTGTCCTGTACCCGCATCCAGGAGTAGATCTCTGGGGGACAGAGGACATTTCTAAGTGACAGAGCTGGACAATATGTGGCATTAGGTTAAGCACATCAATAACTGCTCATAATTATTTGGTTTTATTTTCTCACGAGTAAAGTGAACATAATAATATTGACCCTGAATATTTTTGAGACTTAGAGAGAAAGGATATAAAAAGATCTGAAGCAGTTGCAGAATGCAAAGCTCACCTGGTGAGCCCCAGCTGGCCCTGCAGACCTTCCTTAGATGGTTCCTGTAAGACCCTTCCATGCCTTTGTCCTCACCTCCCACCCCCAGGCCCCCGGGAGGGCCTGATAGCCGCATCGGCAAGGCAGCTTTTGGGAGTCCACTTCCTCTGCAGGGCCAACCCAGGCAGGGCAGGGAGAGCCAGGGCGGCTCCATCCTTTCATTTGTAAAATGATGAAGGGCCCATCTCTTCTGTGACACAGAGGAGGGTGACAGAGGGAGAGGCACACATGTATTGACAACCCAGGGCCTTGCTACCTTTACCTTTTCGTTTCCTATTTGTACAATAACGGTAAAATGTTTTTACAGAGTAAGCCAACGGTGCTACGGAAACCGAATTAGAGCGTCCTTAATTAATATGTCAGAATATAAGAAATGATGAAAATATGTATAATTAAATTCTTGCACTAAAACAGGATTCGAAAATGCGACAAAAATAGCAGCGCGGCTTTTTTTTTTTTTCTTATTTCCCCCTCCCTCCCCAATGGCCTCCCTCCTCTTTCCCTCCCGAAAAACAATAATAATAAAAAAAGAAGTGTGAAGGCTGTGGCAGCTGCTGCCTGCGTCGACCTCAAAGAACGATTGGGTCACTGGAGCTGACAGGCTGGTCACCCCCAAATTTAGACACAAATTGTCGAGATTAAAAATTCTCCCCCAATCAGGTGCCGCCTGCCTTATTTTCATACAAAGATGCCGCAGGCTGTGTGCTATGACAGCTGGACGTGTTGGTTCCCATACAAGCTCACGCAGTGATAAGGCTGTTCAAGACAGGTGCTTGGGAAAGCCAAACTCCTGAATAAATATACAATTACAGTAGGACAACATCGAGAGAGGGAGTTATTTATTTCTTTATTTTAGCTCCCAGTGTGACACAAAGATGTCCGAGGGCATGACCCTGAATGTTGGTGAGGAAATTAACCTAGGTTTAAGGAAGAATGCACCCGGCTCCATCGCCCCTACAACCCCCGAAACCAAAACATGACTGAGTCCCTCCAGACCCAATCCCCCTCTGTCTCCAGAAAGTCCTGGGGATGAACTGCCTGTTTGTGCTCAAGAGGGAGGAACTTGGGGCTTTCTGAGACCAACAAGGGACTCAGACCCAGGAGCACAGGCATCTTCTCATCTAGGAAAAGAAAGGAGAAAACCCTTTTCTTATCCCTGGAGATGGAGCGTCACGAGATAGGCTTTTTGGTTTATGAGGAGGGAGTCGGGTGCTTTAGGAAATTTCTTTCTGGGGATTGCTGTCTCCACTTCACCACCATAAATGGCAATTCCCTACTCTAACCTCCAGAGAGGAGAAAGGGAGGCTCTGCCAGATGGGTTGCAGTTCTTACTGGGAATAAGATGACCCATTAAGAGGGAAGTGTTTATAAGCCCACGGCAGACGAGGCCAGAGTCTTTAAAACAGAGACAAGATCCTTTCTGTAAAAGTGATCAGAGATGTTCTGGGGCACCTGGTCAGGTGTGCGCATGGGAGATGGACCTCGATTCAAACCTTGGTTGCCACACACTCTCTGTGTGACTGTAGGTGAGTTACCAACTAGGACTCAGTTTTCTCACCTATTAAATGGGAACCATGTTACTTACCTCCTGGGGTTGTGGTGGAAATTAAAGAATTATGAAAAGACCCGTAGTTGATACAGAGACAGGCTGCCCAGAGACCCTTGCCAGGAAGTGATCCGCAGACAGCACCCAGATCTCAAACCCACGTGCTTGCCTTTCCAAAGACAGCACACATCTGGGGACTGAGCAGGGTGGAAATGCCTGGGCCCAGCTATCAGCCAGATGCCTTCTGGTCTCCTGGGGGTAATGCTCATCCCAGAGCTGGGCTGGCCGACCTCTGCTGGGCCTACTGCCCTGCTTGTGGGTCTCCCCTGCCTCCTCTCTCTGGTGCAGATCCCTGATAGGCATCTTGTTTCCAAACTCCATGTCAGCATCTGCTTCCTTCCTAAGAACCCAATCTCTGCTAAGATCTTAGCTCCAGTTCTGGCCTAGGGTGAGCACTCCAAATGGGGGCTTAAGAATTTCCAGCACAGCCCTCCTAGAGGAGCCACACCGGAATGAGTTAAACCTGAGAAGATGGACACCTAATCAGTTGCACAGTGGTTTCAGCACGGAAGAAACACTGTGTACCCAGGAGGGGGCCTGGACTTCTGGGAGCCTATGATGGAGGGGGGTGGGGGGAAGAGACAAAAAAAAAAGAGAGAGAGAAAGAGTTCAAGAGACTGTGATTATTCAGCAGTCCTGGATTCAGGAAACCGGAGAATTCAGTCCCCGGAGAAGGGTTCTCAGCGGGATGAAGGAGACAGTCCCTCTGAGCACAGCCTACTCCCCATACCTTGTTTCTCAACTCGCCCAGCATCATCTTGATTCTCAATCTGGATTATTGAGTCCATTGACACTAGAAAGAAAAGGCGTGGAAGACAAAGGATACGATGAAACAAAACTCTGGATCCTGGGAGGTTCCGTCTTAACACACCGACACGTGTTAAATACCAGCTGGAAGTGAACACCAGCCCCGCCATTTGTAAATGCCATCATATGAGCCTGTGCTGAAGCTTCCCGAGCCTCATCTCCAGGCTCGTCCTCGGGAGGAGATGAGTGGATGTATTACAAATGCTCAGAACTGCTCCAGGCACCAAGTGGGAGGACAAGACATGGCCATTCCCCTTCCACATGCAGAGACCCTTGACCTTTGGGTTGGGGGCACTTGTAAGTCACTAGAAGGGGCTTCTAGTCTTTCTTCTGCCTGCTGTGAAGCCCTGAGGTGTATTGTCTCTAAAATTTATGTCAGATAGTCTATGACTCAAAGTCACTTCTCCTTCTCTGAGTGTCTTTACCAACTAGTGCCATTTGTTTGGCTCTTGGTGTCCCTGGATCCCTGTGTCCCCTACAATGCCAACACACAATAGCTGCTCAAAAAATAGGTGAGTACATTCAACCACATGTGGGACTGATGGGAAAAGTTCTATTTTTTTCTGGGTACCTTTGGGCTAATTCGAATGGCAAAGACACATGAACAGATATGTTTGCTTAGAGATAAAGCAGCATGCTCCACTCCTTTCAATGTGACACACATTACCTCTGCCAGCAGAGGGTGGGTTCATCCCGTGCTGTGTTCTGGGAATTGTCCATGTGTTCTCTAACCTTGCTTGAAGTGTCCTCAGGCTACCTGGCCTGTGATATCAAGAATACCTTCTGCGGAAACTCAGTGCTCCCCCTGCCAAAGAACTTTCGCATCATCTCCGTCACTCCCCACTCCTCAGCCTCTTCCTTCTCTGGTCATTCAGTCTTCATCACCTCCCATAACATTTCACCTGTTACCCACTGTTCATTCGCAGAATAGATACCATCCTTCGTCCTTCATTCATTTGACAAGGAAATGCTAGTTAAATACCAGACAGCAGTGGTTAACCACTTCCATAGAAACACAGACTGTGCCCCAGGATAATTACAACACAGGAAAGGACCACTCACAGTTACATATTAGACACTATATCAGACACTGCATCCATAGGTAAATGGACTATCCTGCAGCGTGGGTAGGTCCTGGGCTCACAGTCTCTCTACTTAGTACTTGCCCACCCCTAGAGGTTCATCCGTCTCTTCCTCAGATCAGAGAGTTTCCACAGTCTTCTCTCTCATGGCCCAAGAATTTCCAGAAAACGATCCCTAAGCAGTTCCACACTATACAAAAAAAAAAAAAAAAACATGAATGTGCATGATATTTATGTGCTTATATATGCTAAGAAAGAATAAATAAGAAAGAAAGGGAGAGAAGAAGAGAGTGAGGGAGGGATGAAAGAAGAAATGAAGGAAGAAAGGAAGAAAAGAAGGAAGGAAGAAAGGAAGGGAGGGAGGGAGTGAGGGAGGGAGGAGGGAAAGAAGGAAGGAAAAAAGAACAGAGGGAGGGAAGGAAGGAAGGAAGAAAGGAAGGAAGGGAGGGAGGGAGGAGGCAAAGAAGGAAGGGAGGGAGGGAGGGAGGAGGGAAAGAAGGAAGGAAAAAAGAACCGAGGGAGGGAAGGAAGAAAGGAAAGAAGGAAGGAAGGAAAGAAGAAAGGAAATGACTTTTATTATACAGAAAATTTTAACTCCCTAGTGTCTCAAATTCATCTTATAAGACCAGGCTTTCAGTCTTCATAGCCAATAAGCCAAGTAAGCTAATTTCCCAAACATGAAAACAGTATTTTTTTTTTTTTTAAGACGAAGTCTTGCACTGTCACCCAGGCTGAAATGCAGTGGCACAATCTCGGATCACTGCAACCTCCACCTCCTGTCTTCAAGCGATTCTCCTACTTCAGCCTCTGAAGTAGCTGAGATTACAGGTGCCCACCACCATGCCCAGCTAATTTTTTGTATTTTTCATAGAGATGGGGTTTCATGAAGATAAACTCTATCTATTCTCTGACCCCCTCCACACACACACAGCTGGAATAGAGAAATGTCTACAGGAATCTTTAAAAATAACCTTTTGCTCATCCTCACCACACAAACACAGGGACAGGATTTGGATATAAACTTACCCAGACTCCTAGTGTGTTCTGGGCTCAGTTCTGAGAGCTTGCCATGAAACCTACAACAGTACAAGGAAGATCCTATTTTTACTCAATTTGACAGATGAGGAAACATCTGAGAAAGTGACATGATTTGCCTGAGCTGCTAAGTTGCTCAGTTGGAATTGAGTTGAAGGGGACTGGCTCTAGCATCCCCACCTGCTCAATAGCCTGACACACACACACACACATGCGTGCGTGCACACACACACACACACACACACAGATACAGCCCTGGCATTTGTCGTTGATGTATAAAACACCACCTGTTCAACTTCAGAGGAGAAGCCTTTTCTGGGTCTGACTGCACAGTTCCCACTGACCCTCTGACATATAGCTGAAGCATAGCAGGTGGGTTCTCCACTGGCCGCTTCAAAGAGCTACCTAGAATTCAGCAAAGGGCACGTCCTCCAAGTCCCTGCCCATGGTCCCTACCCATGACCAAGCTGGAGTGAATGACTGCCCAGCCAGCCCTATCAGGCCCACGCTGCTTGGCCATTTCTCCAAGACACTCTGAGATTCATGCTTACGTTAGGTCAGCCCATGTGGGTGTTGTGTCTCTGCAGAGTTCTCAGAACTTCCCTAGAACTTCTCTGAGCCAGCACTGGCATTGCAGCAGCCCTCACTGAAAGAACTGGACTTCTCCAGAGGAAATAATTTGTTTTATTTTATGGACATAGGGACTCATGTGACTAATTCTGTCTCCATCTTGGGATGTTCTGTGTGCCTCCGACTTCTACGAAAGACCTAGTGCCTCATGCTGGGTATTAACTTTACCCTGGCTTGATGATATTTCTTTCTTTTATAATACTTTCAAATTTTCCTAAATTTTTTACTCATTTCTATTTTGTTGACCCAGGTGCATTACCGCAGCCTTTCTCAAGTCCTTTGAGAGTGAGGCTGAGTACCTGCAAATAGTCAAACAAAATCACCAATAAATTTTGATGGCCTTTGAAGTTTAAAAACGGAGACGATGTTTTGGCTAAGGTGGACTACTCTATTTTTACTCTATTTGTCCAAGGCAGAGAAGCAAGTTTGTGTGTGTGTGTTTTTGTGCAGTTGGAAGGGAAGCAGGTGAATTTGCAATAAACATATCCTGAAAGGCTTTCCTCCAGATGGCTGGAGGACTCCCCTAGTTTCCAAAGTAGCCAAAGGGCTGCCCTGGAAAGCAGGTGGATCAAAACAGTGTCAATGGACTTGAGAAGCACTAGCCTCCCGGGCCATCCCCAGGTGGAGAAGTGGCCTGCCTTGGCCCTGAGGTGGGAAACCAGCCCAGCTACTGCTGGACAGGTGTTCATGCCTCAACCCTGCACCTGCTCCCAGAGGAGGTCAAAGGGTAAGAGGATCAGGTGTTCTTGCGAGTGCCCCCATGAAACCCAAGCTCTGTGCTGGGGAGTAGGGCTCGGGTCTCATCAGTGGGCCACCCTGCCAGCTGGGGCTGTGTGATGCCTACTAGTCGGGACGAGGAGGTGTCACAGGCAGAATCAAACTGCATGGCCACTGCGGCCATCTGTCTTGTTGCATTTGTGTGTTGCCTGTCTCCCCCACCAGACTGTAAAGTAGAACCTATATGCTCTACAAAAGGGGCACATTTGCCTGTCTAGTTCACCTGTACATCCTCAGGGTTTAGAATAGGGCTATCGTTATAATAGGTGCTCAATAAGTCTTTGTAAAAGGAAGGAAGGAGGGAAGTAGGAAAGAAAGGATAGGGAGAGGAAGGGAGGGAGGAAGGGAGGAAGGAAGGAAGGGAGGCAGAGAGACAGGGAGGGAGGGAGGAAGGGAGAAGGGAAGGAAGGAAGAAAGGAAGGAAGGAAGGAAGGAAGGAAAGAAGGAAGGAAGGAAGGAAGGAAAGAAAGAAGGAAGGAAGGGAAGACAGAAACTTGAAGTTTTTAGTATTCAGTGGCCAGAGTTCACCTGAGTGGCTGTAGGATGTGTACACCTATCTAAGGTATATGTTACAATATAAAATATGTCCCAGCGCGGTGGCTCATGCCTGTAATCCTAGCACTTTGGGAGGCTGAGGTGGGTGGATGGCCTGAGCTCAGGTGTCTGAGACCAGCCTGGGCAATATAGTGAAACCCTTTCTCTACCAAAAAATACAAAAAATTAACTGGGTGTGGTGAGATGCGCCTGTGCTCCCAGCTTCTTGGGAGGCTGAGGTGGGAGGATCACGTGAGCCTGGGAGGTACAAGTTGCAGTGAGCTGAGATCACACCACTGCACTCCAACCTGGGTGACAGAGTGAGATCCTGTCTCAAAATAAATAAAAATGAATAAAATAAATAAAATGTTTATAATGGGGTGCAAACAGTAACCTAGGGGAACAAAGTGGGATGGGGGTGAGATTAATTCCAAACAGATCCAGAAGGGAAAGACTCCTCAGATGAGATGACTTTTTTTTATTGTGCTTTGAAAGCTGGAAGGTGATCTCTTATCTTTTTTCAAAATATTTTTTCTAATTATAAGTTTAATACTTTTTCATTAGTGAGCAGTTGGATAATGAAGACAAGTATAAACACAAAATTAAAATTTTCCATAAATAAATGCATCATTCAGTTGAGAAGCACTATTATTAACGTTTTGGTGTGTGTTTTATTCCAGTCTTGTTTTTTTCTGAATTTTTTCATAACTGAAGCCAATTATGTGTATTGTGTATTTTAATTAATACTGTATAATGTGCATTTTTCAATATCTAAATATCTTGGCAAACGTTCTTAATCACCTTATCTCTTTCCTCATATGGATATTTCATAATTTACCTGACCGTTTCTAAATTATTTGCTTTTTATATTGGTAAAATTTCCATTCTTATAAATATTTAGTTGGAAAACATCCTTTGTAGAATTATTCACATTTAGATTATTGCCTTAGAATGGTAAGTTAAAATGAAATAACTCAATTGAATATATGCTTTTAGACTTTGGTATAAATGAAGAAGGAGAGGAAAGTCAGGAAGAATCTCATCGACTTGGAAATTGGCATTAAGCAAAAGTGTTCTGACTCACATCTCTGTATAATCTTGAGTGCAAAAGATGAGAAGGTAGTGCTTGTTTTGGTAGTGGTGGTGGTTTTGGAGATGGTGGTGAGGGTTTAGAGATGATGGTGGTGGTTTTTATGTGATGATGGTGGTGATAGTGTTTGATGTTGCATTGATGACAATAATGGTTAGGGTATTGAAAATGGCAGTGGATGATGTAGTGATTGTGGTGTCTTGGCAGTGGTGATAATGGTGATTAATGTGGTAGAAGGGGATGTGGTTGTTTGAATGGTGTGAATGATGGTGGCAGTGGGCATGATGATGATGGGAGTAGTGGTTGTGGAGGTATTAGTGTTGATGATGGTGACAGTTGTGGTAGTGATAATAGTACTGGTAGATGTGGTTGTGATTGTGTTGACAGTGGTGGTGGTGGTTTTGGTTGTGTTAGTGGTAGTTGTTTTGACGGTGACAGTGAGTGTGATGATGGTAATGGCAGTAGTTGTGATGGTGGTTGTGGAGGTGATGATGTGGTAGTAGTGGTGATGCTTGTGATGGAAGTAATGGTGGCGATGATAATACTGGTAGATGTGGCTGTGCTGGTGTTGATGGTGGTAGTGATGATGGTAATGATGGTTGTAGTGATGGTGCTGATGGTATTGATGGTGGTAATGTATATTTTTTCATTGGAAATGTGACAGTAAGTGGTACTGCTAGAAAACTTCCTTTCTTTGGCATCTCACCAATCTGTCAAATTTCAGTTTTGTTAATGATGTTCTGTCAACAATACCATTATTGGAATGAAGATTCCTTTAATTGACTAAGATTACAATAATACTACGAAAAAGTAAATTTGCTAAACAAGATTCACAAGGGTCAGTCTGTGTGCAAATCCTTACTCTAGCCTAGTAAATGCGATTGGCCTCAGTCTTGCTTGTGCTTACAAAATCACATGTTCTAAGGAGAAAAGATTTTGATTTAATTATAAGTTCATTTAGCTTAACAATGTTATATTAATCATCTTTTGTATCCATCTACAGAAGAATACATTATCCCCAAGAACGTTTATCTCTTCTTCTTCCTTCTCCACATATTTCTGTATACCAGGGATGGGCAATGATGGTCTATGAACCACATCCAGCCCACTGTCTATTTTTGGATGCCTCACAAACTAAGAATGGTATTTACTCTTTTTAAGAGTTTATGCAAAAATCAAAGAGAAATAATATTTTGTGACATACAGAAATCCTATAAAATTCAAATTTTGGTGTCCATATGTATTTTTTGGAGCGTAGTCACATTCATGCATTGAATTATTCTGAATTTCTGTCTGTGGCTGTTTTTATGCTATAGCTATAGAATTTAGTGGAGTTGAGATCACCACAAAGTCTGAAATATTTACATATTTACTGACTGGTGCTTTTTTTTTTTTTTTTAGACATAATCTCCCTCTGCCACTAGGCTGGAGTGGAGTGGTGCAATCCTGGCTCACTGCAACCTCCACCTTCTGGGTTCAAGCAATTCTCTTCCCTCAGCCCTCTGAGTAGCTGGGACTACAGGCGCATGCCACCACGGCCAGCTAATATTTTGTATTTTTAGTACAGACAGGGTTTCACCATCTTGGCCAGGATGGTCTTGATCTCTTGACCTCGTGATCCGCCTGCCTCAGCCTCCCAAAGTGCTGGGATTACAGGTGTGACCCATCGTGCCCAGACCTGATTGTTTCTTTACAGAGAAAGTTTACTGGCTTCTGCATTAGAGCATGCCCAGGTAAACAATACCTTTGGCGATCTAGGAAGAATATGTTGTAAACTGGCATGAGCTTGGACTCTGGAGTTAGTTGTGACACTAACTGCTAAAGTCCCTTCAGTCTCTGAATTGGGGAATTGATATTTACATCAGAATGAGAGCAGTAACCTTTTGAAATTGCCTTTACTATAGAAGTGCAGGGTATAAGCTCCTACCTAATCAAGCTAAATTTAAAATTTTGCCTTGATCTTCCTGGTAGCTAGGTCAAAAAGGGCAAGATGTTTAGCATGTTTATGGCCCAAAAGGAGTAAAGTTTTTCAGGCAAACTCTTGTCTGCCTAACAGTCTAGAGTAAATTATCATCACACAGGATTTCATAAAGGGACAAGTATAGTGTCCTTAACAGTATCCTCATGGTGCAGGTAGCACTGAGTGTTGCCCTGTCCTAAGGGAAGGATGAGGTCAAAAGATCAAAGGCCATTTAGTGAAAGAAATTCTGTGAGTTGGGCAAAATAGCGTGGACCAAATACCAACTCTCAGTAATTTTATTTACTTGAGGGGTAAAAGTGAAACAATAGATTGCCCACATGTCTTTTGAAAAGTCCTTCATAACTGCCAGCTCTCGTAAGCTTAGATGGCTAATACAGAAATATTCTCACCATCCTCTGTGTCATCAGGCCTAAGAGGCCTCAGCGACGGACTGAGAGGCTGAGGGGCGCTCTGCACTTAACCCAGTACATGGGCTGAGCCTCGGCCACGCAAATAAATCATCACGTATTTTCAATTAGTTTGCACTCTCACTAGCTGCTGTCCTGAATAATTAGGAAAACGATTCACATGCTGCCAGGAGCCGATCTGAAGTGTTATCTCTGGGATAATTATCTGTCTGCAGTTCAGTCTCCCCTGCTCCTCCCAGGTCAGCCCGGCCGCAGGAGGACACCCAGAGAGCATTAATGAGCTCTCATTGAAGATGTTAAAAAGCTTGTATTGATCTGTTTGTCCAAGAAGGAGATATTTAAGCCTCTCTGCTGAGGGCAGGAGAGACTGGCGAACCCTATCACAGAGCCTGTTAGCTGGCCTCTGCTGCTTCTGCCAGCCCCGCCCTCCTCCCTGCAGGTCTCCTTCCAGAGGTCAGACTTCAAACTCATCATGCAGCTTTCCAACCTGCCCCCTGTGCCACTTTCCCAGTGTTTGTTTTCTTTGAATGTGTGTGTGTGTGTGTGTGTGTGAGAGAGAGAGAGAGACAGAGACAGAGAGAATGAGGGAAGGAAGCCCAGTGAATACATACGAATCCACAAGCCTGTACCAACATAAATGAATGAACAAATGAAAGAAGTGAATAGAAAAGAAGACACGGCTCATTCTTTTCTCTTTCTTCCTTTCTTTCTTTCTTTCTCTTTCTTTCTTTCTTTCTTTCTTTCTTTCTTTCTTTCTTTCTTTCTGTCCTTCTTTCAACAGAATCTCGCTTTGTTGCAGTGGCATGATCTCAGCTCACTGCAAGCTCTGCCTCCCGGGTTCAAGCAAATCTCCTGCCTCAGCCTCCCGAGTAGCTGCGACTACAGGCGCCCGCCACCACGCCCGGCTAATTTTTTGTATTTTTAGTGAAGACAGGGTTTCATCGTGTTAGCCAGGATGGTCTCGATCTCCTGACCTTGTGATCCACCCGTCTCGGCCTCCCAAAGTGCTAGGATTACAGGCGTGAGCCACCGCACCCGGCCACGAGGTTCTTTCTTACCATGGAATGCCAGCTAATAAAGGTAGATGGAAAGAACGAATTAGAAAATCGCCATTTGACAACTACCATAGTAATAATTGATCCAGATAAAAAATATCAAATATCAAAGTGTAATGAAAAGCAGGCATTTGCATACACTCAATGCATCTCACAAAAAGATACTTACTCATTTAAACAGGAAAAAACGAGTAGCTTCGCAGTAGAGAAATCTGGCAGATGCTACCTTAACCAAGTGATCAAAGTTAACATCCATAGTAATGGGACTAACTGCCATCACATGCCCCCCAGGCGCCGAGGAGGACATAACGTCACTTCTGTGACATTCCCGCCAAAAACACATAACCTGAATCTAATCACCAGGAAACAGCAGACAAACTCAAATTAAAGGACTTTCGACAAAACAACTGGCCTGTACTGTTCATAAATGTCAAGTTCGTGAAAGGCAGAGAAAGAATGTGGAATAGTTCCAGATCAATGGAGACTAGAGACAGTACAAGTAAGTGAAATGTGAGATTCTAGATTTGATCCTGGACCGAAAAATTAAAATTACTTTGCTTTAAAGAACAGTGTTGGGACCATTTATGACATTTGAATAAAGTCTGTGGATTAGAACATAGTGCTATATTAGTGTTTATTTTCTGATTTTGATCATTATACCATGGTGATATAAGAGAATGTCTTTATTTTTAGGAAATGCACATTGACATATTTCTGGGTAAAGGAGCTTCTATCTGTAACTCACTCTTAAATAGCTCAGAAAAACAAGTAACAGTGTATGTAGATGTGTGTATACATACACACATATATATACAGTGTATGTAGATGTGTATATACATATGTATGTATTGATATCTATCTATATCTATCCATATGTTCACCCATCCACCCAGCATCCATCCATCTCTCCCTTAAGAGAAAGAAAAAGCAAATGTGGCAAATGTTAACTTAGGGAATTTGGGTAAAGGAGATTTAGGAATTTATTTACTGACTTATTTTGCAACTTTTCCGTAAACCTGAATGTTTTTTGAAATAGTTTTTTTAGAAGGAAGGGAGGAAGGTAAAAATGTAAGAAAGGAATAAAAAAAGGAAAGAAAGAGGACAAGAATAATAACTTGGCTTCCTTCCCAGCATGAAGGACATCGTACACTGGACTTGGCAAGGATAACTTTATAATAGGACTCTGGGGCCTTAGCCTGAATCACAGGGTGTTCAGCTTAGCAGAATGTGCAAGGACTAAGATTTCAGCTTGCAGTTAGGAGAGCAGGAGTCTGGTTCCAACCCTGCTGTGAAGAAGAGAAAGTCCCTAAAACTCAGCATCTTGGGTTTCCTAGTCCCATCTACAGCTAGGGTTGGACTCTAGTGTGCAAATCCTTGTGGAGTCACCAAGCTTCCTTTGGAGTCAGCATAACTTAGGGTGGCTGGTGCAGATTCTTCATGCACCAGGCTACCATGCCGGGTGAGATAAGACAAAGAGACAGCATGAATGGAGGGACAGCATTAGACCCGAAGCCAAGAGACCTGGGCTTTGTGCCCTGACTTCAGCAGGTGCCAGCTGTACCATTTTGGGAAATCATGTCACCTCTCTGAGCCTCAGTATTTGCATCTGTGTAATGGGGGTACAGACGCAGGGCCTCGCTTGCACACAACAATCACTCACTGAATGGCATCTGAACTGAAAGACTCTGTGTGAGGATGGGGAGAGTCTCTGCGAGGTAAGGCAGAATAAAACAGTTCACAGTTGGTGCAGACTTTGGAGCCAAACGAAATGGGTTCAGTTCCCTCAAACAGAGCTGAGATTTGCTCACTACTTAATTCACTGTCTTGGTTTTCTTATCTGGAAAATGGAGACAATATGATGTGTCTGCCTGGGTGGCTGGAGGTTTCAAGATAGTGACAAATGCAAATGCTCTAGAAAGAACAAGCACTTTGGCAACATTCACTTCCTCACTCCCCACCCCCACCCTGCTCTCCTCCTGCCCCCTCAAATGGAAGAGGTGATTGTCATTACTGTATTGCCTGGTTGATGTTGGAACAATTCCATCTTTGTCCCCAGGTCTTACCTAACCACCGGATCAGATTCTATTGACGTGACAACCCGCCCTCTCCCATCTGCCAGCTGAGAATATTCATGCTAAACTGCTGATTTCTGTCTCAGAATAAAGGCACACCCTCCCCGCAAATCTGCACGCTTCGGGTAAATTCTGAGAGGCGCCTAGCTAACTCGCGGAGGCTATAGAAGCAGGTGAGCCTGGGGGCTCTGCGTACACACCTTTGTGTCTCCTGAGAGGTCAACCAGCCGTGTGGCCCTAATTAAGAGCTTACATCTCACATCCATCTGCCCAACTTCATGATAGCTCTTCACTGGAAAATGTATTCCTTTGTCCCCCAGCCCCCGCCTGAGTATGCGGTCCTGTCAAAAGGTCACTGTTATGGAGCGTGGGACCGTGGAGACCTCAGGAGGAATAGGGGGATTGTGGTCAGCCCTGGTGGGAATGGATAGCTTCACCAGTCAGAGCAGGAGCTAAAAAAAATCAGCAATAATAATAATAAATAAATAAAAGCTTGCACCAAGAGCATGCGTATCTGGACCAAACAATAGTTTGGAACCTTTTGAGAGGGGCAGTTCCTATCAAATAATGGCGTTTTATTGATATGGTAATTTTTATATTAACAAATGTGTGCTGGAAATGCTGTGATTTATTTTTTTCTTGGAGGGGAAAAAAGTAGCTTGCATGTGGCATCAATAATGATATGCTAATGACCTGCTTCCAAATTTAGATTAAAAAATTTAATTGGCAAATCTCAGAGCTGAGAAGATGGCTTTCCTGATTGCGGCCCAGTTTTAAGGTCCAAATATAAGGTTTGGTAAACTTAAGATTTCAGGCAGGCCTCAATATAGGATCTCTATAACTAGGATATGGACTTGTTTAGGGTTGTAGATTAATTATACTGCTGGATCTGCGTATATCTCAAATTTAGATCATCCTGGTTTGACAGAATGGAAACATCCAACAAATGCTGACTGGGACCATTTTCCCCTTTCTGTGCACACACACAGACACACACACACACATGCATATGCACACACATGTACACAGAAAGCCTAAAGGGGGCTGTGTAAACAAAAATGTTTGGTATGGACAGAGACAGCTTCCCTGATGAAAACAATGGCAAATTAGTCTTGTTATATTTTTTAAATAACTTCTATACCTGTATATGATTTCACAATAACCTGGAAATATATATATCTATATCTATATTTATATATATATATACATATATAAATATATATAAAATAAATGTTATTTGTCCATTCTATCCAGCAAGGCAGAAATATCACAAGATATCTAAATTAGGATTTAAAGAAGAGGGGGAAAAAAGAGAAATCTTTTGGATAATAATGAATAAGCCCACCGTGTCCCTGGATTCATTCTTCCTGTTTCTTTCTTTTCCAACCTCTGTCTTATCCCTTCTCTTATTCACTCCTCTTTCTCTGTGCATCCTTTTTCATTTTTATTACATTCACTCTCTCATAATCACCTCATACTCTATGTATTCTCTTTCTTTCTCTCTCTTTTTTTCGTCTTTCTTTCTTCCTCTTTCCCCCATCCTCCTCCTCCTTCCCTCCCTTCCTCACTTCACTCTCTCCCCTTCCTTTATTTCTATGCTCCTTCCATTATGGCATTTAGGCAAGTGATTTTCTGATTAACCATGATGGGTGGAGGTCAGGCTAGGCTGAGTATTGACACTTTTGATTAATCCATACAAATCACTGGTCAAAGGGAAACTTCTTGTTTGACTCTAGACAACGTTTATGCCAGAGTCAGAATTTCTTTCTTGGGAGGAAGCGCCCAGTGAATAAACCTGAATATTCTGATATAGCTCGAGGTCTTGACCTTTGGAGTCTGTTAGCATGGCTGAGGTAGAGTGGAGTCAGAGGCAGCCCTGGGGAGCCTCCTGCAGATGTAGCTTTGGTAACAGGGACATTAGCTGACATAGAAGCTTTCTGGTGATTTCTCTCTTTCCCCTGGATGTTTGGAGTTGGAAAAAAAAATCAGTTCTCAATGGTTCCAGTACTTGGAACTATGCTCTATTTAGACAATTGCAATGTCTCTAAAGTGCTGTGTAATAAATTATAGCTCTTGGTTAAGTGCTATAGGTGCCAGGTGTTAAGAATGTAAACTCCGAATCACCCTCTGAGATGCTACTATTATATTCAGTAGAGCAGACCCTTTTCTGTAGGGCACCCTCCAGGTGACTGGCATACTTATGGGACATGGTGTTAGTGGTCAGGCCCCGCAGTCAGGACTGTGTGATTTCACCTCATTTCAGCCTCAAAATAACCTTTCAATGGTATGCATTGTTAATCCTATTTTGTAGAGAAAAACTGAGGCTCAGAGAAGGGACAATGACTGTCCCAAGAGCATCAGACCACAGCCAGGGGAGGAAGGGCCAGGATAGGTGCGTGTGTGCCCACACCTGTGATTGATCTGTTACTTCCCACTCTCCATCCCCAGTCTGCTGACCACACAGTACTGGGTCTGAACACATCTCTCTCCAGCCTCAGCACTGCAGGACAGCTGACCCATCACGTCTGCATTTCTCCTGGGAGCCTCCCAACAACCTTATGCACCCAGGCACACCTCCTGCTCATCTAGTTCACTCCCATTTACCCTTCTAATCTCAGTTTAGAAAAATCTTCCTCCAGGAACCCTGCCTTGACACCCAAAACCTAAATTTGGTTCCCATGGCATCCTGTATCTCCCCAGCACCACCTGTCTCGCTCTCTGTTATTTTTTGATCTGGCTGTCTCTCTTTGGGGAATGTGAGCAACTTGAAGTCAGGGGCCTTGTTCTTTTGACAACTTTTGATAAACAACAGTCAGATACTGTTGTAGTCACTGCAGAGCCACATGCACAAGGCCCCCTCCCTGCTTCCATAGAATTTACGTGCTCTAGGACGAAACAGATAGAGGGCCCACATGGTTGAATCCCCAGGCTATACAGAGCACAGCAGCTGGCACACTGTAGGTGTTCAATAGATGCTTTTTGAATGGCTAAATAAATAAATAAAATAACGTGAATAAAAAAATTCATTTTGATGAATCAATAATACCTTACCTCTGTATATAAACTGCCAGGGGACTATCAGCCCTATTTACTGATGAGGACACTCTGGCGGAGAGCAGGCTTGCGATTTGCCCAAGGAAGGAGCGGGAGGAGAAGGCAGGATTGGAGGCTAACTCGGAGGCTCCACAGGTTGCCTAATGCTCACCTCACTTGGCAGCGATGTCTCCAGCTTTGTTTCCAGAGCTTTGTCAGTGACAAAGGGGTCTTATTATTGACACTACTGGCCTGTGTCCTTGCTAAGTGCTTTCTGATTATTTACTGGAGACTGAATGAAGCAAACAAGGAAAATGACGGGGTACTTTTTTCGTAATTCACTTTAATGTCTGGGTCTTGGTTCTCTGGAGGCAGCTCCAAGGACCCATTTGTCTGCCATGCGCAGTAAATACTGAAGAAGGGATGCACTCCTTATCCAGGGGCCTGAACAGAGCAAAGAGGGTGGGGCACCGGATATGCTGATCCCGTGGTTCCTGGAGCCCAGGAATCAGGGAGAGAAAGGAGGGAGGAGGTGACAGCGCCGGTGCTGCATTCCTTTGCTAAAGGACATTAAGACGGAAGAAGTAGCTCCCTCCTTTGTCACCATGCAAGCCAGGAAGTCATTGTGAAAAGAAGAAAACCTTCTAGGCCGAGAGTCACATGGGGTGCAACTTCTTTCCAAAGGTTCATATTGTGACAGACAGCAGTACCCACTAAAGCCCCTGACTTGTGGCATCCCATAGTCTGGTTCATATATGACTGCTTCTTAGTTCTTGGTTGTGGGCAAGTCACTGAATCTGCCTGTGCTTGGGATTCCCCATGCTACAAATGGGATAAGAGAATACCTACCCCAGAAGCTTACTGTGATATTAATTGACTAGCTCCGTGTCCATGCGTGGTGGTTCTCATTACTGGCAAATGAGAAAATGGGGTCTTCATCTTCACTGCCCTCATTTTACTCCCATTATCCCCAGTATCACCACTACCCTTGAGAACTGCATGTCCAGTTCAGTAGCCACTGGCCAGATGTAGCTGTCAAGAGCTTGAATGTGGCTGTTCCAAATTGACATGGACCCTATGTATATATAATGTGCACATAATGTATATAATGTGTATATATAATTTATATAATGTGTACATAATGGAGTTTGAAGATTTAGTACAAAGAAAAGAACAGAAATTATGAATATTTCATTAATAACATTTTACATTGATTACACATCTAAATGATAATATTGTGGACATATTCAGTACAGGAAAGACATGATCCTTACGATGTGAAACTCCAACTGCTGCTGCTTATTTCCAAGCTCAAATCCCAGCAGCCCGTGGCTTTAGCTTCATTTATGCCTTGGGTTTCTGTTCCCTGTGGATGTTTGTCTTGCTTTTGACTGCCATGTCTGCTTTACTCTTATTTTATCTATGTCTGTCTTGCTATGTGTTTTGAGGTTGGATGGGCAAACTCAGCTTCAAAGTGTGAACTCACCCTACCGTCTCGCCCTGAAGTCGCCCATGGACTCTGTGTGCTGTCCCAGAGCTCCGGGACCCAGAAGACATTGTGCCTTTTGGCAAATGATATATGGAGACTGTCTGGATTAATATTAACTGTGAAAGGTGCTCATTATTCATTTCTGGTTCAAGGTGACAGGGTTAAGCCTGATAGCATCCTTTTAGTAGTATTAGGCTGTGATAAAGCCCCTGGCACTGTGGCTGTGTTATCTGATGTCCCAGGAGCTCAGTGCTTGCACTGAGCCCAGCAAGCACTCAGCGTAAGCACTTAAACAAAACACAGTTACAAATTTACAATCAGGGGACAGCCTGGGAAATTTCCCCCCCCCCGAAAGCCTTGTTCACACCTTCTTTGTTTTTCCTAGTGCCAAAGGATAATGAAGGAGTTTAGTAAATATCTGGTATATGAATACATTTTTGAAAAAGGAAATGAAGGCTGGGCATGGTGGCTCAAGCCTGTAATACCAGCATGTTGGGAGGCCAAGGCAGATGGATTAAAAGGTCAAGAGATTGAGACCATCCTAGCCAACATGGTGAAACCCCGTCTCTACTAAAAATACAAAAATTAGCTGGTCATGATGACACACACCTGTAGTCCTAGCTACTCGGGAGGCTGAGGCGGAGAATTGCTTGAACTCGGGAGGTGGAGGTTGCAGTGAGCTGAGATCGCACCACTGCACTCCAGCCTGGCAACAGAGCAAGACTCCGTCTCAAAAAAATAAAGAAAGAAAGAAAAAAAGAAAAAGGAAATGAAGAAATAAAGTGGATGAATGAGTAAATAAGTTGGTGAATACATCAAAGAGTGAGTAAAAGAACCAATTAATTTTTGAATAACTGGATGAATAAAATATCAAATACATACATTTCTGTACCACTTATTGAGTAGCTGAAAGAACGGCTGGTTACTTGGTTGGAAGGACAATGGAGGAAGGAATACGTGAATGAATAAATGAGTCAGTGGGTGGGTGGATGGGTTCAGCATAATGTCTTAAGTGCTGCTTTTTCTGGCCTCTTGGTCTAACAGTCTACCTCTTCCCATTCATGATATTCTTTTGCTTTTTATCTGTTTTATTTTTCCTTCTTAGTACTTACTACTGTCAAACATGTAACATAACTTATTTTTTTTTTTTGTTAATCTTCCTCGCTACTAGAAGGTGATTCCTAGAATAGTAGATAATGTTCTCTATTTCATGAACTGCTCTACCCCAAATGATAATATTGTGGACATATTAGGTTAAAAATATCCTTTAGGATGTGAAACCCCAATTGTTACTGCTTGATTCCAGACTCAAACCCCAAGATCTTTGAATAGCGAGGGGCATATAGTAAGCACTCAATAAATACCAGTTGAGTGGATGAATAATGGCTGGGTGGATAGACAGGCAGATGGAAGACAGATCAAAAAATTTATAGAAGAGACAATGGTACACAGACACATGTTCAGAGAGCAAGAGATTAAGGGTCTGAAGCCACAGAACATTGTTTTCCCTGCTGTTTACTACCTGTGTGTTTTGGGGCTGGTCCGAGCTGAGGGAGGTGGAACTTCTCTGGGTCATTATGCGTTTTCATCTGTGACGTGGGAGTGATGCAATCTCAACTGGCCACAAGTCTGTTATGGGGATTCAATGCTGAGGAGCAGGTGGACATGCTTGGTGCATGCTAAATCTCATGCCCATGCAGGCCACTGCCAGCCACTGGAGATGCCCAGCTCTGCAGGGGGGCTCTGGCATTAAAGCCTCTGTTTGTTCCGAACCTTCCCAGGAGGAGATGAAGCTGGCAGGGGTGATGCTGACGTGCAGTGAGGGAATCTAGAACTGAATTAAAGAGTGGTGGGCTGCTGACCCCGCTCAGACACTCACCTGCTTCAGCAAGTCTTTTCTCTTCTGGACCTAATTTTTCTCATCTGTAAATCAAGGGGACAGGGGACTGGCTCCCATATCTTGAAAACTCATTTCAAGACACATTTCAAAGCAAACAATGTACAAGCTATAACCCCACACAATAACTTCTGCTTTTTTATACACTCAAAATGATTTACCACTCCTTGTGGAAACATTAGCTGAGGGGACTGGACATTCACTCACATTGCCTGGTACAGATGGTGAATGTGTGTGACCAAATCAAGGAGCCAGAAAATGGATCAAGCAACTACTGACTGCAATACACCACAGGAATGCTGCTCGATCTGGTATTCCAAGTTACTTTTTTTTTTTCTTTTTGTAAGACCTTCTGCTGGTCTACCCAAATTGCATAGCAGAGATTGGGACTGCCAAAGACTTAGTAGGGAAGTAAGTCTTGACTTCTGTCCTTAGTATTTTTTTTCTCTTTTCTTTTTTTTTTTTTTTTTTTTTGAGATGGAGTCTTGCTTTGTCACCCAGGCTGGAGTGCAATGGTGCCATTGTGGCTCACTGTGACCTCCACCTCCCGGGTTCAAGCCATTCTCCTGTCTCAGCCTCCCGAGTAGCTGGGATTACAGGCACGTGCCACCATGCCCGGCTAATTTTTGTATTTTTAGTAGAGATGGGGTTTCATCATGTTGGCCAGGTTAGTCACAAACTCCTGACCACAAGTGATCCGCCCACCTCAGCCTCCCAAAATGCTGGGATTACAGGCGTGAGCCACTGTGCCCAGCCCTGTCCTCAGTATTTCTTCAGTTTCCCGACCCCAAGCCCCCAGCCCCCTGATAACATGCACACATGACTCTTCATATACAGTGCTTTAAAGGCATAAGACAAGCACATGTATGTGTATACCAAGAAAATAAGTAATAATAATTATTATTGTTAATATTATTATATCATAATATTATAACAATTATTATTGCTAATAATTATTAAAATAATATTTCCTAGTCTGGTTTTATGTTGTTTTTTTTTTAAGTAGCTGTTTATCACAAGAAGCACTATCTAAAATGCTTTCAAAATGAGTTTTGAAATTATTTTTAATTTACTTTCAATGTTCAAGATTATCTTTCAGTGTTAAAGTTTGCCTGGTCCAACCAGCTTAATAAGCCAGAGGAAGTATAGATGAGATACATATTATCTTGTTAAAAAAGTATAAATTACTTTCCTTAACTTGTTCTATGATATGGTATCCATCAATCAACTGAATTGGGCTCACTTCTTCACCTATGAATTTTAGTAATTTCCTTAACTTAACATTCATGGTGTTCTTATAGCATATGAGGAAGTATCTAAGACTGCAGTCCAAAGCATTAATAGTCCCAATTAGTCATCCTTCCCTGTAACCAGGTCTTTTGCTATGTGATTTTGCGGGGCCTGCTTACTGAGGGTAGGGAAGCCCTCCTTCCTTTCCATCTTGACTCTTGGTTTGAACAGTGGACTTGTTTGACCAATGAGATGTTGGTAGATGTGATGTCAGCAGACAGAAAGTGATTGCTTTCATTCATCTCTACTGTGGCATTGAGAAGACATCCCTGGGTTCCTTTGCTGGCTGCAGAAGGGGAATGGAGACCTGTGGAGCAGTCACAAGCAGCTGTACTTAACCTAGGGCAGTTGATCTCTAGTTGGCCACAGACAAATGAATAAGCCCCATTCAAACTAGACAAGTGCAAACTAGATTAGCTAGCCTACCCCCAGCTGATGGACATTTTCATGAGTTAAACGCATGCTTATTATATGCTGCTGAGATTTTAAGGTTGTTTGTCACACAGCATTTATGTGACATTAGCTAACTGTTGCAAAATAAATCATAGATTACTACAAGTGCTAAAATTCCACGGCTCTATGCATGATAGCTTAGTATGACAATATTTTGAGAATATTTTCATTTATAAATAATCCACTTATTGGCTTATGGAAGTAGATTGCTGATGATAAATTTTATCTGCAGAAGAAATACAGTGAGATCATTATTTGGTGGGAAGGTTGGTTGTGGCAAAGGATAAAATCTCCAGTGTCTTAAATGTCTCAGGCTTGAATGTTCATTTCTGCAAATGAACTGTGTCATTTTAATATGTCAATAACTATGGGTTAACCCCCCACTCTCCTTTGAACTTACCCTGGATTTTTCAGATAAGAAGTCACTTCTTATTTTACCCTTTTCCTTCAGCTAGGTAAAGATATTTCCAAGTAGGACCAAGGGGGCTAGTTTCCGAATCCTGCCCCATTCTTACATAAAAAAGATCTCAACTACATGGGCTACATTGATGTCTTCAGAGGCGTGTCAGGAGTAATGTAATAATAGGTACACTGTGGGTGTCTGAAATGAACATTTGTTTAAAGCTTATTGAAAGTCACCTTTGTGATGGTGAAGCTCATTTCCCTTCCATCCACCATGCTGTCTCCTGTGGGTGAGAAAGAGGCAAGACAAATACTGCTCATTGGCCAACCCCAAATCTTTTTCAATCCCCTTCTCCTAACACATTCCACTATAAAGGCTTACGAAGATAACATTTCACTTTGACAGCTTCCCTTGAGGCTAAGGGTGATGTTATGTGTTAAATTGTGTCACCCAAAAACATATGCTGAAGTCCTAACCCCCAGCACCTGAGAATGTCACCTTATTTGGAAATAGGACTGTTGAGGATAGTATCAGTTAAGATGAAGTCATACTGGAATAGGATAGATCCTTAATTCAAAATGATCTGGGTTCTTATAAGAAGATGGGAATTTGGACATGGAGATATACAGATAGGAGGTGATGTGAAGACACAGAAGACAGATGGTCACAAGAAGAAGCTGTAGAGATTGGAGTGATGCTTCCATGAGTCAAGAATGTCTGGGGCTACCAGAAGCTGGAAGAGGTAAGGATGGATCCTCCCCTAGAGGCTTTGGAGGGAGTGCAGCTCTACTGATGTTTGATTTCAGACCTCTGGCCTCCAAACCTGTGAGACAATAAATTACTTTTGTTTGAAGCCTCCTAGTTTGTGGTACTTTATTACAGCAGTCACAGGAAGCCAATACGGATTGCCATATAAATATTCAGATTAATGACAAAAAGCAGGGATCTGCTAGGGACTTCTGGGAAGGGGTTAGGTTTTCTAATAAAAGGGAAAGATGTGGTTACTCCCAATCATTTTTCATTCTTTCCACTTTGTGTGCAGATGTGATGGTGGGTTCTAAGACAGGACTCTTATAATCAGGTGGTAGTAGCTACCACGCTAGAAGGGAAAATACAGAAAGATTAAAAAGAGTCTGAGTTTTCAATGGAATTATTGAGCTACTGTTCCAGTCCTGCATTGACTAGATCTAGAATTTTAAATGTAAAAATAAGAATTTCCTAACTGTTCAATTGATTTCTTATTGGTCTTCCATCCTTTGCAACCCAAGGTATTTTTATCTGGTATAGTAGAATTTAGCTTGCTGTCTACTTTTGGTGTATGCCAGAGGGATATTGATAGCCCCTTAGCAGTTTACTGACACCTATATGTAAAATTTGTTGGATGGAAACAAAATGTTCATATATATATATATATGCACACACACACATATATATATATGATCAACAAATATTTATTGAGTACCTGGTATGTGCCCGTCACTATCCTAGGTGCTTGAGACATATCAGGAAATAAAACTGATCACAATCCCTGTCCTTGTAGGGTATCCATTCTACCTACCCCTCCCCTCTAAGTATTTCATTGGTACCATTGGTACTTCTAATGGAGTGCATGTCTCATGTCAAAGGTTTTCAGTTGTTTCTCAGAGGAAGAAAGAACCCTGAAGAGCTATTCCTTCTCACAGTGCCCCTCCCAAAGACATCACCCATTTCCTCCAACAAAGCTCCTCCTAGGGAATACCACCAAAGCCTTCATCACTTACCACTTAAACATCAGACGAAAAAGGGAAAACACTGAAGCTTGCTTTGCATTTTTTTTTTTCTTATTTGAGACAGAGTTTCATTCTTGTCACCCAGGCTGCAGTGCAATGGCGCGATCTTGGCTCACCACAATCTCCACCTCCCAGTTTCAAGCGATTCCCCTGCCTCAGCCTCCCAAGTAGCTGGGATTAAAGGCAGGCACCACCACGCCTGGCTAATTTTTTGTTTTTTTTTTTTAGTAGAGAGAGGACGTCTCCATGTTGGTCAGGCTGGTCTCGAACTCCTGACCTCAGGTGATTCACCCACCTTGGCCTCTGCATTTTCAGTTACTAAGATGGTTTTCCTGGTGTCAGTCTGAAAACAGAAAAGCTGTGGAATACAGTGAACAGGTTTCCCTTCTTCATGCCTCTCTGCTCTGGGCAAAGAAAGACCAGGGACATGTTACTGTAGGGAAAGGCTTAGGAACCATTAAAGATCATCTTCACTGTTTGAGCATGATGACAGATTCTTTTGGCTTTTAAACATGATTTTTTGGGAATTGCCATTTGCCATTACTGTCTTTCTTGGGCAACAATGTCTCCACATCCCACCTTTTTTGTTTTTGTTTTTCTTTTTCTCACAGCCTGCTATGGGTCTTAAAATATTTTCAGGATCTCTGGGAGGTGTTCAAAGCATGGATGTGTGTTAGGCAGACAGTTGTATTTATTGGTGCCTTTTCTGACTAAAAAAAAGTCTACATCTAAATTTAGTGGGAAGAAAATATCTTCAGTTGGGCCGTTTCCTGAGAGAAACAAAAACATATATATACACATCTATATATATTTTATATATGTATGTGTATATATATGTGCATATACGTACACTCACACACACATATTTACTCTTTTAATATTATAAATATGTTTTTTCAGATGAGAATTGTTAGTGCAATTAAAAAAAAAGTTCAGCTTGTAATAAAAGAAAAACTTTCAAAAAAAAAAAAAAAAAAAGCAGACTCCATAAATGGTTTCATTCAAAGGGCTGCTTTTAATTTGGCTGTGGTGACAGATTAAGAAGGAGAAACTTGAACCAGACCTTTGACCTGTCGTGGGGTCAGAGATTTCCTCTGTCTGTGTTCGGACTCCTTTGACAACTTCCTGTATAATTTGACTATTATTTGCCTGTCTGGGCACCGTCTGACCCCACAGTCTGGAAAAATGAGAAAGGCAGCCCGCATTTTGGTGCCATATGGACAACAGCAAGGGAGGGCACGTTTAATCAAATTTGGGTGGGAAACACTGTCTGATCCCAGGTTAGGGAAAGAAGCTTGCACGGGATTTCCAGCAGACTGGCGGAGAAAGGGTCAGATGACAGGCATGCTATGATTTAGGGTGTGTGTCCCCCACCAGACGCTGGTATGGCTGAAACAAAATTTTGAATCTGGAAGCAGATCAATTATGAAAAAAAGAGAGGTGCTGGTGGCATTTCAAATTGCAAGTGGACTTCAGCCACAGAAGTCCAGAAAGATTGAATTTTAAAAATCCAAATAAATGTATCTCTAATGCAGACTCAAGTCATAAGAAAATGGGCACTTTCGTCAGAGACAAAGAATTTTTACATTTTTTTTAACTTTAGGTCTGGTAGAAGACTGTGTTCACATCAAATAATAATTATACTCCATTTTCATAATTTCCACAGGAGTCTTCATGGTAAAAAAATGTGTATATAAAAAAGAGCTTTACTTAGTAAATAATAATAAATATATTTCTCAATTTAGAGGACTTATAAAAAACACATATAACCATAAATCAGAGCTTCAGAACAGCCTGGAATAATTTGCATGGCCACACCAAGTTGCTGCTTTAACACCAGCAAAGGCAGGCCCTGGGTATTCAATTAGCCTGTAGGGTGTTCTCATGATGTGTGAATGCACTCACAGACTTGAGAAGTCCCAGGTGTTAGTAAGGAAAGTTGTTGGGCCCCATAGCTTAACTTGTTACCAAGTATACTGGGGCATCATCTTGTCTGACCCTCATCACAGCCCTCTGAGTAGGTGGCAACTGAGGAGGAGAATCAGGATGGGATCAGAAGACCCCGCAGTTGTTAGTTGTCAGTTGCCACAGCTGGAAGTTGGGGCCAAGGATCTGGAAATCAGTTCACAGTCAAAAAAGGAAATCAATAAACAGTGCAAGACAAGTCAAACAAAACAGAACTGGTCCTAAGAGTCTATAATAGAATCTGGAGCAAAGCAGAAAGATCTTGGGGTGCAGCTAAGAGGCAGGAGGACGTCTGAGGTGGTGGGCAGGGCAGTAAGGGCCTGAGCTGGGCCTGAGAGGGCAACTAGATTCAGGAAAGGAAGAGAAGGGGAAGGGATGAGGCACAAGAAAAACTGAGATCAGAGCTACAAAAGACCCTTCAAATGTCAACAACCAACTCTTTCCATTTTATAGACCAAGTAAGTGAGAGCGAACAAAGTTCAATGAGTTTGACGTAAGTTACCGAGTTAGTTAAAACAGACCTAGATTCAATCCCGTGAGATATGACACCCCAAGTGTCAGGCCCCAAGTTCATCTCAAACCAAGGAGCCCCAATCCTGTGCCTCTTATATGTTTCCTGATACCTTCTAGTACAAATTCAGAAATATAATTAATCTAATATCTAAAATGTTTTAAGATCCTCAGGTGTTAGGTAAGTAAGCTAGCTTTTGGGTTTAGTGAGTGCACAGAAAGATAAAATGCCATAAAACAGGGAAGCACCAGCCTTGAGCTGTCTTTGACAGGGGCTAGTATCTTGGGGAAAAAAAGACTTATTTTTCTTTTCTAGGGGCAAACATTGCAAAACACTTGAGTTAATGCATGTGGAGCTATTTTATGTAAAATGCATCTCCTGGCTATTGAATTCTTTTGCATTTGACAGGAGTGGACGTTTACGAAGAAATCAGTCTCATGTAAGTAGACATCACTTACTGAGCATGTAACAATGTAGTAGATACTGTCCTATTGTTCATAAATGCATTTGATCTCACAACCAAAATTGAAGATGCATATCCATATCAGCAACCTTGTTTCAGATAAGAAGAAACTGCGGCTCTGAGATTTCAATGGTGAGCCCAGGGCCCTGGCTTGCATGCTGCAGGATTCAAGCTAGGCCAGCCTCCTGAAGATTCTTTCCCCCCGCTCAGCACCCCCTGGCAATGACTCCTGCAACAGCATTTGATGCAAGTGGTCTTACTTCTCACATGAGTATTGCCTGCACTTTACATTTCATACTTTTGCTGGACTTTTTTGAAGCTTAATATTTTGTCTTTATGAAGTGAAAACAGAAAGGAGTTATCCCATAAAAAGAGGACTAGAGTTGTAAGATGTGGCATTGAAGATCATGTCACGATACTCCTTGGAACAGGACCACATCAGTTTTTCTTCTGGGCTGCAATAACTTCAGCCAAAAGGTCAAGTGTATTGGGGAGCAGAGTGTCTCTGAGGATCCTTGCACTACATGTAGAGGGTTCTGTCTTCCCCTTTCTCTGTTGGCATTTTCAAGAACACAAGATCATTAGGAGGAGCAACATGTCACTGCTCATTTTTCCAAAGACCCAAGCCACTTTCTCCTTCCTAATGCCAAGGGATATTGAACTCAGGGCATGATGGTTAAGTTCTATGCCTTGGGTTGTTTTTTTTGTCAATGGTGGTGGTTTAGTTTTGAGAATCACTTCCTTCTTGGTCCCTGTGTCCCATTCTAAGGCAAGCCATGGTAATGTCAGGCTCTTATTAAATATCAAGACCCTCCATCTGCTTCTGTCTTTCCTCTGAGAAAATTCTCAGACAGCCAAGGTCATGGCCACATATCTTCTGCCACCCCCAGAGCAAAGGGGGAGGGGAAATGGGGGAGCCACCTGTCTACACTGAGCCAGACACAAAAGAAGTGTTATTCAGAAGGTTTGTATGCAAAGTACATGGTTCAAAGTTTGTGGACCCATCACGTACATTCCCAAAGCCATGTTTTTACATTTTAATTTTTTTTGTGCTCTTCATCGTGGGGTCACAGATTCAGCTCAGAAATGAGGACTTACTCTGGGATCAACAAATGTAGACAAACTGGACACCTTTTCCCATTGCTTATGTCTGCATCAGATCTTGAGGCCGGGGACAGTCGGCTTGGCTCCGGGCCCTACCCTGGAATTTGAGATTTGGTGTCCAAACTACTTGAGCCAATAGCTGATTGATCCAAACATGCAGGAAGGCATGTGTATGACTTGGCAGCAAATTTTTTTTCTCTAAAGAAGAATGGTAATGAAGTACCACGAGATTCAAGTACAGGTGACAAGATCTCCCACATGCCTGGCTTTCCTGGCTGGTGGTCCTGGTTAAGTCACATTGCCTCTGTCTGCTTCTATGAGCAATAATAAAATCTACTGCTTTGGGTTTCTGGGATTGGAGGAGGATTTAATGAATTAATACACTAGAACAATGATTGGCTCGTGGTGAGTTCACAACTAACAACAAACAGTGACTCTCAGCAGTATCATCACCACATGATGATTACATCATTGCCCTGAGCCTTGGCATTCCACGCCATGAAATCTGGATAGAAAGAAGTCCTTGCTTACCTTGCAGCCCAGGGGAAGGATCAAAAGGGATAAAATGGACTTCCTAGTTCTTGGATCACAAAAAGTCCTAGTTCTATACCAGCATAGGAGCTGTTTAAGAGAGGACTAAGGGCTTCCATAGCCCCAAGTCTCAACCTGGTTTTTCCCCTAAGTGCCATCTCATCATCAGAAAAAAGAGGAGAAATTAGAAGAGGAAAAATAAGCAAGTCACAACTTGATTGTTGTCACTTGAAAGTCTTCATTTCAAGACTGTTCCCTCGGCTCTGGGAGTTCTTGTGTCATTACCTTCTGTTAAAAGGATTCAAATGACATTATTTGCATGGAAACTCACATACCAATGATGTCATTTATGCCACGAAGTTGCATTACAATGAAGAGGATGATGACTGTGTCACATGGACCTGACATTCTTTATGCAGTTAAATTGAAAGTCAATGCTGGCAGTTCTTAACCACGCACATCCCTTGAAAATACATCACTTCTGATATGAAATGAATATTTTAGGATGCCAAGTCTCGACAGATCAAATGATGCTACCCGTAGTATCACTCTAGGGCAGGCAAAGTTTCCTACATTCAGGTGGACTTAGGGAGCCCTCTCTGAGTCAGAACCATCAGATGGGCTAATAAACTATAATCTTTCCAACCAAGCCTAATCATGGTTTAATGACAGTCTCTTCGATGATGTCTTTTAAAAGCAGTTTCACTTGGAGATGTCTGCAGAAACATTTAGAAATTCTTCTGTTGTATAAGAGGATGGCATAGAGACTTTGGGTGCACAAATCCAACATGACCTTCTATTAAATATACCAGTTCTAAAGGTTGGTCCAACAAGCCGAGTGCTCACTTGCTGCGTAGAGCAAATTCACAGTGTGGTCCAGTCAAAGAGCAATGGGTGCTGTGGAATGAGATGGAAGGAGACACATGGAAGGTATAACTGCATATTCCAGACAGGAGGTGGAGAAAACATACATATCAGAGAGGCCAACACCAAACACAGCATTATTATGAGAGATCTCAATGCACAGGAAAAGGGAACATGTACTACACAGGAGGCATCTTAACTTGGGGAGACAGGACAGGAGATGGAGGGCCACGTGTTTGTCAGAGCTCCTGACTTGGAGACAGGAGGCTGGAGGTGAGTCATTCTACATGCTAAAGTCTACCAGACTGACTCAGTACATGCATGACCCACCAGCAAAGTCGTGATGCAAATAAGAACAAAGGAAATAAAAAGAGTTATATTTTGATGGATGAATCCAGAATTTTACCATTAGATATTTAAGAAAGAACTGAGACTGGGTGCAGTGGCTCACGCCTGTAATCCCAGCACTTTGGGAGGCTGAGGCGGGTGGATCACTTGAGGTCAGGAGTTGGAAACCAGCCTGGCCAACATGATGAAACTCGTCTTTACTAAAAATACAAAAACACAAAAATTCGCCGAGTATGGTGATGCACGCTTTTAGTCCCAGCTACTCTGGAGGATGAGGCAGGAGATTTGCTTGAACCCAGGAGGCAGAGGTTGTGGTGAGCCAAGATTGCACCACTGCACTCCAGCCTGGGCAACAGAGCAAGACTCGGTCTCAAAAACAAAACAAACACAGGCCAGGCGCGGTGGCTCATGCCTGTAATCCCAGCACTTTGGGAGGCCGAGGCGGGCGGATCACGAGGCCAGGAGATCGAGACCATCCGGGATAACACGGTAAAACCCCGTCTCTACTTAAAAAAATTACAAAAAATTAGCCAGGCGTGGTGGCGGGCACCTGTACTCCCCGCTACTCGGGAGGCTGAGGCAGGAGAATGGCGTGAACCCGGGAGGTGGAGCTTGCAGTGAGCAGGGATCGCGCCACTACACTCCAGCCTGGGTGACAGAGTGAGACTCTGTCTCAAAAGACGAACAAACAAAAAAACACAAAAGCAAATACACAAACAAAATAAAACAAAACAAAAGAAAGATCTGGCAACACATAATAAAAATAACAGCTAGCGCACCACCACTACCAAACGTAACCATGATAGTAATCAGGGGAAATGATAGTCTGCGTTCTTTATCCCCACCTCTCCCAAGTCACTCTTTGCCTTCTGGCCTTTTTTTTAAATGGCTTGGGCTGCTGCCCTTGGGCCTCACCCCTGTGGCTTCACCTCTTCCTCACGGGCCCGTGAGCACTAAAACCTCTGGCAGCGGCTGGGACTGGCAGTCTTCCCTCAGCCTGTGGGCTTCTGCCTGCCCGATCAACCCCAGAGGGACCAAGAGCAGCTCTGAGAACCTTGTTCCCATCTTTTTTTTTTTTTTTTTTTTTTAGATGGAGTCTTGCTCTGTTGCCCAGGCTGGAGTGCAGTGGCGTGATCTCGGCTCACTGCAAGCTCCGCCTCCCGGGTTCACGCCATTCTCCTGCCTCAGCCTCCCGAGTAGCCGGGACTACAAGCGCCTGCCGCCACGCCAGGCTAATTTTTTTTTTTTTTTGTATTTTTAGTAGAGACGGGGTTTCACTGCGTTAGCCAGGATGGTCTCGATCTCCTGACCTTGTGATCTGCCCACCTCTGCCTCCCAAAGTGCTGGGATTACAGGCCTGAGCCACCGCGCCTGGCCCCTTGTTCCCATCTTTGACTGACATGGCAGATGTGTCTGCTGGATGCTGCCCATCCTTATTAGGAAGTTGGAGCAAGTGTGCTCTTACAGGCTTAGTGTGTGCCTCTGTGATAGCAAGTGTCACTCACCGTTCTGGAAATGCCTGGCTGCTCCAAAGACCCCAAACAACTTCAGTGACGAGTTCCATCTTGTCTCCCACAGTGCCCAGCACTAAGACTCTATGTCACTATCATGACAAGAGCAACCGCTGAGATGATGTTCAACAGTATGCCTGGCACTGAGGTCAGTACTATTTTTATTCTCACTTTATAGATGAGGAAACAGAGATGCCCAAATAGACTAAGCAATGTTCCTGGGTCACCAGTGAGGAAGAAATACAGCCAGGAGTTGAATAATCAGCCCCAGAGTCATACTCCAACCACAGCACATTGCTGCCTCTCTTAGAAGGTAAAACATAATCGAATGAAGCATGAAGGAGCCTGTCTTTTCAAGAGGAGTAATAAAAGAAGCCACCAAGGTCACCGTCCCACTGGGAAGGGCATATTTACCTGGTTCCAAATGAATTTAAGAATTCTCATTTTCTTGCAAACTAACTCCCTAACCTTTTTCAAACAACACATTCAGTGACACAATGTCATGTCGGGATGCAGAAATTGAATATTATAATTAAAATTTTCTCTGGGGGGTCTTGCTGCCACGTATAAGTGTCCATGATGATCAAGGGACAAAACATGAAAGTAGGGGGTGGCTGAAAGCTCCCTTAGCTCTTTTTATTTATTGATACCACTGAAATATAATAGAAACATCCTTCAAAGAAAGCAACACCAGCCAACCCTTCAGCTTTGATAGGGCTTTTTTAATCAGGAGACATTGTTGTCTCACAATGAACATGGAAAGCATTTAAAATATTTTGTAGATGGAGTGCATTGCATCTGACCCCAGCCAAAAGACCACATTAAAAGGAACTGAAAGGAATTCACTTTGAGTCCTCCGGGCTCAAAGAACCAAGGACATGCAGAACATGCTAAGGGTTGGATTCATTTGGAGGAAAAGGTGAAGCACCAAGTTAGAAAATGAGAGTCCAGATTTGCCTTGGGAGGTAGAGTATGGTTCCCCAGAGTGCAAGGGATGATAAGAGACACTGGACATTGCTACTGAGTCATTGATGTAATTGCTTTCTTTTGAGCATATGGAATCGGAGCTCAGTTTTCCGAGGGGTGACCAGTGGACTGCTGGTCGAGGGAATGCTTCAAAAATGCCTCTCTGTCACTTAAGTCTGGGACACATTCCATACTACCTCTGCCTCTGGTGACTGACACAGATGTATCCAAGGCTCTGAGGAGTTATTCGAAAAGGAGTCTCGGTAAGATTTTTAAAACTTTTAAAAAATATCCGCAGGGCCTTTTGCAGTCTGCAGGACGTAATTTGGGATGAGCCGCCAACTCATACAGGCACAGATCATAAGGGGTCATGAGAGGTCTGGAGTGACACACCTGGTTAGCCCTTGAACCTGTCTGCCCCAGTGAGTACTACCTTCTCCAAATCCCATTTCCCCCAAGCTCATCCAATTATACAAGTGACCAGGAATAAATCAAATGAAATTACTAGAGGGGTTTTTTTTTTTTAATAACAAGACATAGCTGATCTGATCTTATTAAAACAGGAGTTGGGCAGATTTAAGACATGAAAATAAATAACTAGAATACAAAGAAGAATAAAGCCAACGCCATAGACATTTGGCACAGTTCCTTAAGCATTTATGGGAGGAAGGAATGTCCTCTAGGTTGGGGAACTTGATGGGGTTGGGGGTACATCAGGGGAGGCTTCCTAGGGAAGGGATGGGAAGTAAAGAGCACCTTAAAGTGCAGATATTATTTTTATTAATAATAAAACCTTAATAATACTCTTTTCCAATTGATAACATCTAGTATCTCATAAAATAAATTAGATTGTAAAGTAGAACAGAGAAAAATATTTCCCATTAGTCTAGGACTGAAAGATAATTCTGATATTCATTCTTTATATAAAACCCAACTGTTTTGGCAACACAGCTAATATATTGTGTCTGCAACTTTTTAACTTAATTTTCTGTTTTTTACTCTTTCAAAAAATTTGGCTTAACCTGGCAAAAGAAGCATATATTCTTTCCAATTACTCTCTTCCATCATTGTCTAATTTATTTTTAACTTGAGGAATCATGGTTTAACTAATCAATATTGTCTTATTGAATAATTACTTTTTTCTAATTTTACATTTTAATGTTTTGCATAGCTCTGATAAAAACTTTGTACATGAAAGATTTTCTAGGTATATCAATTTCTGCTCTTAAGGTAGATGGAGAGTCTTGATGTCTCCATTATTTGGTTAGAGTAGAGATGAATATCAAGTATGGTATTGATTTGGCATATTGGTATGCAAAGTGTACAATGCTGTGCCTCCACGCCCCTGCCCCAAGGCTATACACATCGAATTTCTATGTTTCTACCAAAATGCCCTTCATCCAATTCAGATAGGAGTCACCCACTGTGTGGACAGAAGAGGATTGTTGGAATCTCAGAATCAAAGTTATGCATTTTTAACTTCTCAGTTGAAAAGTCATACTTCAAATGTTAGGCTGGAAAGTTTAGAAAAGAAGATGCAGGTGAGAGATGGTATATTCCCTCCCGTGTCCAACTACAAAAGCCCTTTAAGCTGGAGATGGAGAGAGACAGTGAGAAAGATAGAGAGAGAGAGGAAGGGAGAGAGAGAGAGAGAGAGAAAGAGAGAGAGAGAGAGAGGAGTTGGTGAAAGGAGTGGCTTTGCTCATTCTTGGCCCCCAGTCTTGGTACTAGGTGGGGAAGATCATGGAAACCCCACTTTGAGTCTGGGGAATCCAAGAGTTAGGAGGACCTGTACATCACCCATTCCATCTTCCTGCCTGGAATTCTGATAAACCACCATGTTGTCACCTTGACATCTCAGCAAATCAAGGGGTGGGAATAACAGGGCTGAGATGAAAGCACAGGTGTGTCAAGGTGGCAGCATGCCCCCACCCCAAAGTCACCCAGGAACCTGAGAAAGTTACTGGAGAACAGTGAGCTCCTCCTGGGGCCAAAACAATGGAACAGTGGGCTAAGGAAGGGCCATTGAGTGTCATGGCCCTTAAAGGCTGGGGACCGAGGATGCCTCTGCGCAACCATAGGGAGAGACATGCACAGGATGACGAGGCCAGAGGACCGTGGTGAGGTGGCAAATCCTTGCAGGACCAAGAGGCAGACTCCCCCTGCCCACAGTAGTCCTGACCATATAAGAAGTCCCTGAGGGCTTCAAATATATAGCAAAAGATGAAGCTATCAAAAAGAAAAAAAAGTGCCCATGGACAGCGGTCACACAAAGTTAGTTTTAATAGAAACGTCAGGGTTTGTCTGAACCCTTTCTTTTTATCTATGAGAAAACTGAGGCTCAGGGACTTGATGACACCCACATGACATGTAGGAGGAAGCGTGAAAATCAGATCATTGCATGAGGACCTCTCTGTCCACTCCATGGGAAAATCTACAGCAATTGACTGACCAAAGTGGAGTGCGGTTTTAGCAGTGTCTTAAGGGACTTGTGATCACCTGCAGGAGAAAACAGATGGAAAGTAAGATAAATAATGATAACATGTGTCCCTGTGCACTGTAGGGGATCGACAGAGGCTCTCAGCTCATCTTGGTCAGTCACCAGGGGCCACAGTGAAGAGCTCAGGTGGAAGGGCCAGCTGTGAGACTCTCCCAAACAGTAGAGCAGTGGCTCCTCAGGCAGGAGCCTCCCAGCTTCTCTGGGCTTGCTTCTACTTACATAAACCAATAGCATTCACCTTCTTTGCTTGGGGCTATTAGTCTTCCGATTTCAGGGTGGTGTGGACAAAATGAGGATGTTTCTGTGCACGAGACCTGTATTTCTTCTCTGTCCTTTTTATTCACTAGCTGCATAAATCACACAAGTCATTAAACCTCAGCTCAGTTTCCTCATCTGTAAAAATGGGGATATTGGCCCCCACTTCAAATGGGATATCACTTATAAAACAGGCAGCACAATAGGCAGTCATCTCATTCCATGGCAGACACTTCTCATGTGTTAATATCTCATTGACTCCTTGCAAATTGCCTTGTAAATGTTAATATCCATTTTATAGACCAGGGAGTGAAGGTTCACTAAATTGGGTCATTTGCCTTAGGCCTTAGAGTTACTGTCCTTGTTATTACATACAGTCATGCCCTAATGCTGTATTTTTACTGTACCTTTTCTGTGTCTAGATATGTTTAGATACACATGTATTTACCATTGTGTCACAGTTGCCTACTGTCTTCAGTACAGTATCATGCTGTACTGGTTTATAGCCTAGGAGTACTGGGCTGTACCATATGGCCTAGGTATGTGGCAGGATACACTATCTAGGTTTGTGTATGTACACACTGTGATGTTTGCACAATGACAAAGTCACTCAGGGGCAAATTTCTCAGATTACACCCCTGTGATGAAATGATACACAACTATTTATTTTCTCTGTCCTGCAGGGGAACAATATATCTCAGTCTTCAGGCTGCAGTGACTGGTCCAAAGTGTGATCATGTGATCCAAGTCTGGCCCATCATGCTCCTTTTGATTTGGAGCTAAAAGAGGGCTCATCACTTTTCTGTTCGCCAACCTGTGTTGCCTGTGGCTCTGTGGGGGCCACACAGTGGCTGATCTGAGGATTTGAAGGTGACACACACAGCAGAGATAAACACAGCAAAGAAGGTTTCATGCTCACATATCATTTATTCTCAAGGCCAGCTCCACCCCTGTCCACTTTGCGGTTTGACTCTTGACTCAATAACTTCCCTCTTTTTGCTTTGGCTAATCACAGTTAGGAATCTGTCACATACAACCCAAAGAATCCTGGTGAATACAGGACTTGGACCTAGGTAATTCAATGCCTGTGTAAATGTAAATTCAAATGTAAATTCAAAGCCTGCCTGTGTTCCTTCTACTTCATAAAAAGGGAGAAAGGAAGGAGGGAAACAGACAGGGACAAAATACTTTCTCCTTAATTTGTCAAGCATCACATCGAAGCTTCCTCGGCTCTCCAGAGATATGACCTAGGTAAGCTTGAAATCTATGCTTGCATTTTCTACAGAGTGCCCTTTCTAAATCACCTTATTTTGATGTAACTGCAAAAGGCAGAACTATTTTGGGTTCTTGCTATGATAAAACTGAAGCTGTAAGCTAGGGACTTTCATGAGAAATTGCACTGAAATGTCAACAGATGGCTTGCTAATCATGTTAAAAAATACTCATTTTTTTTCAAAAATGGCATTTCCCCCCAGTAAGTAGATCAGAAAGCAATGTTTATGATATAAAACATATTAGTCACAACGCCGTGTAATTATCCTACTTAATCATCAAGGTCATAATGATAATTGTTTCTAAAAATTAACACCTCTTCCCTTAGCAAGGAAGCTAACCCAAAATGCATGGTCAGAAACTCAAAATCGCTGCACTTAAAAGGATGTGCACGTTAAAAGGAGATGCACGCAGCAACCACAGAGATTGGGCGTAACGATTTACAAAGCGCTTTGCAGTAATAGGCTGAGGAGTGCCGAAATATTTGTTGGTCCATTTTTGCCAAAATCAAAGTCCCTGTTTTTCTTTATTCAAGAGGAAGGACTGGAGTCTTAAGAGCATTTGATCATGATTCACCATTGGATCTACCCTATTTTCTTGTAAAGATAGCTGTCTCTGTAAATCGGCTGGAGTTGGCCAAACATTGAAGACCACACTGCAGGGAGAAGTCCCCCCGCCCCCCAGCTTCTGTTCCCGACTTGCACTAACCTGCCACCATCTGAAGTTGGACTCTGCTTCTTGGTTTTACTGTGAATCTTTTGCTAGCTTGTGTTGTGTGGCTCCATGACACCAGTTCTGTCCTTACACTTCACACTCTGGGCTGTCTTCTACTTCTTTTCAAGAGTAGACTCTCTCCTCACAGTTCCAGCCCTCCAGGACCTAAATCCAGGAAGCAGCATTCTCAGCCAGCATCCCTTCTTATCCATCCTCCTCACCGCCAGCCCCCTTTGAGAGATGCTTCAAATGACTGTCATGCCCAGCCACTTAAATGTTATCAAATAAGCTAGTTCATGCAGCATGGGCCTGAAGCTTATCTTTGCAAGTGTCCCAAACAAGTTTACCTCTTTAGTCATGAAGTCTGCCTGAAATATACCATGTAGACAAGAAATAAAATGTGCTTAGTGTTTTTAGGTTACTGCAAAAGTAATTGCTGTTTTTTTGCCATTAAAATGGCAGTAGAGATGGAGACTACAGATTGCATGGATAACTGAAAACAAACTCACACAAGCAACCTCATTAAAAGAGAGGTGCTGGTTCATCTTCGGCACCAGACCCTTTCAGATACTAGTGATTTCCTGTGTGGGTGTCTGGCTGGACCCCAAACTCCCTACCTCTACAAACCAGTACATCTGCCTTTTTGTTAGTTGTGTTTACAAAGGTTGAGTGTTTACATTTCAAATGCCTTGGGAGAAGAGGAAAAAACCCCTATCACCCTATTCATTCTGCAAATGCAGAATCCCCACAGGCAGAGTCCACACATAATGGGAATTCAGTTTTTATGAATTTCCATTTTATGAATTTTTTAATGGCAAAACCAGCAATTACTTTTGCACCAATCTAATAATTCATCATTATTTAGAATGTCAATGACAGTACTGTCAGAGTGACTGTCAGAGCTACAAAGGGGGCATAGGACCATTTGATCACACACAGAAGGACACCAGGTTTTCTGTGCTTTTCAGTTCTTGTGTCACGCTATTAAATGTGTTCTTGAGTCCCTGAGTCTCTTGCTCTCAGGCTGCCATATCTGTGATTTCCGACAACTCCTCCCTTCAGGTGCCTGACTCTTCTGCAACAGCCTAAGATAAGAGGAGAGGATGTGGAGAAACAGGAATGCTTTTACACTGTTGGTCAGAGTGTACATTAGTTCAACCATTGTGGAAGACAGTGTGGCGACTCCTCAAGCATCTACAACCAGAAATACCATTTGACCCAGCAATCCCATTACTGGGTATGTACCCAAAAGATTATAGATCATTCTACTATAAAAACTCATGCACACGTATGTTTATTGTGGCACTATTCACAATAGCAAAGACTTGGAACCAACCCAAATGCCCATTAATGATAGACCGGATAAAGAAAATGTGGCACATATACACCATGGAATACTATGTAGCCATTAAAAAAGGTGAGTTCATGTCCTCTGCAGGCACATGGATGAAGCTGAAAACCATCATTCTCAGCCAACTAATACAGGAACAGAAAATAAAACACAGCATGTTCTCACTCATAAGTGGGAGTTGAACAATGAGAACACATGGACACAGGGAGGGGAACATCACACACCAGAGCCTGTTGGGGGATTGAGGGTAGGAGAGGGATAGCATTAGGAGAAACACCTAATGTAGATGACGGGTTGATTGGTGCAGCAAACCACCAGGGCATGTGTATACCTATGTAACAAACCTGCACGTTCTGCACATGTACCCCAGAACTTAAAGTTTAATTTAAAAAAAATAGAGGTGGCCCCTTAATTTATTTGGTGTCTGAAGGGAATTTGGAGGGTTTCACCACATAGCTGCTGCCTTGATGGAGGCTCCCTCACACTTCTTTCTTCCCTCTGCCTGGTGCCATGGTTGGGAGCACCAAGAATGCCTGGGTGTAAATCACTGCCTTGCCAATAATGAGCTGGGTCATTTGGGGCAACTTAGTACATGTCTGTGTGCCTCAATTTTCTCTTCTGTAAAGTAGGAATAAGAAGGGTACTTAACTCATCAGGGTATCTGGAGATTAAATAAATTCCTATTTGCAAAGCACTGAACACAAATATGGTGATTGAATAACTAGGATTATTTACTTCCTTTTTAAGTCTCACTGCACCATCTACAAACATGAAGATAACAGTAACACTTTCCGTTTATTCTGTCAGTAGATGGTGAGATCCTCAAGAGAAAGGCACCACTTATCATTGGTGTCTTTTAAGGCTGTGTTTCGGATGCAGAGTTTCTTATCACCCCTTCTGACCATTCGCATAGCTGAATGACATAGAAACCGTGTCCTGTGTCCTGTCCTGTGTATCTGTTTCTAGTCCTCTCTACCCCAACCATTCTGTCACAGATGATGAAACCAACAGTGACCATCTGAACCTGGCTAACCCAACTAGTCTCCACTCTCCAGTGAACAGAGCAGATCTGGGTTTGGGAGGCCTGTGCCTATGCATTTGGGGGATCCTGTTTTTGAAAAAGAATATAAAGTGATATAGGTCATCAAATATATATTTAGAATGAGAAAATACATTTCAACAAATTGTAAATTCATAGAAGTCGGCAAATATACAGAATAGCAACTTAACTTTTATTACTTTTCTGCCTGAAACAGCTCAAAAATTCTTTACCCCTGTGTTTTTTTTTTTCTGTTTCTTTCTCTTCTTTTTCCCCCTCTGTTGCCCAGGCTGGAGTGCGATGGCATGATCTCTGCTCACTGCAACCTCCGCCTCCCAGGCTCAAGTGATTCTCCTGCCTCGACCTCCCGAGTAGCTGGGATTACAGGCGCCCACCACCATGCCCGGCTAATTTTTGTATTTTTGGTAGATATGGGGTTTCACCATGTTGGCCAGGCCAGTTTCAAACTCCTGACCTCATATGATCTGTCTGCCTCCACCTCCCAAAGTGCTGGGATTACAGGCATGAGCCACCACATCCTGCCTCCCCTGCATTTTTGACTGAATGTACATATAACTAATATTTTGATATATCATTAACTCCACAGAGAATAGAAAAATAATTCATGGGTGATTTATTTTTTTTTCTTAATTATACTTTGAAAAAAGTCCTTTTCAACTTCACTACACATTATTGGTAGCATCATATAGATTATTAAGATGTGGCCAAACATATAAACTATTGTCAAATCTCCTATATAGATGAGCTGTTTCAAATGCATTTGCTGATTATAATTCTACAAGAGGTTTATCCCTAACAATGAATTCCATTTTTTAAAGAGTTCTATGTGTTTATGCTTGAATATATAGTATGATCTAGTGTATTTCTGATGGAACATCCATTTCTACCGGACATTAGTGAGAACAATACTCTCTTACAATATTCCTCGCTTGATAAGTGGAAAAAATTTTCACAAATTAGCTTTTGTCTCTGTATAATTGAAAGCCTAGAACTCCTCCTTTACTCACTTGCTTCCAAGACCAGGCACTGAGGATGTATTCCTAACCCAACACAACCTCTAACCTCACTCTTGCTGTCACAGTGCCAGGTGAGCTAGTGCTGCAGGCAACAAAAGTACTTCCAGAAGCCAAGGCATTACTGCATTGGGAGAGCAATCAATATTTTGCTATCCACCCAAGGAACTATGAACACACAAACCCAAACTGCATATCTCTCCAACTCAACTTCTTATTTTCTGGGTCCCAAAAATGCCCTGACAACTCTAAAATCCTCTAGGACAAGGGCCAATGTGAAGGAGAGGAAATCACAGCAGAAAGAGAAGCTGTCTTTACCAATGTGGGTACAAGTATTTTACCAGGGTGATGTTCCAAATACATAGGAGGACCCTGGAACCCACTCATAGGGTTCTTCCTAGGGTTCTGGAAGGGTCTGTGCAAGTGAAGAGCTGGATCCTGAGCTTCCTTTGCGTCAGGGTAAATGTGCCTTTGTCAGGGACCTCAACGCTGTGTGAATTGGCCAGAAAGGGAGCTGAGTCAAGGAGGTCTCTTGCCAAGAGTTGTGAAACTGGAATTCTGAGTCTGTTGCCAAAAAGCTGTAGGGATCAGAGCTGAAAATCGTGTACACTGAGGACTGGGGGGTTCACTGGGGCATGTGTTTAACATAAAAGCAGAAAAGAAAAAAAGTTGATCAAGAAGGAGAGGGAGACAGGAAACAAACAAACCGTGGGCACGTTGCAAAGATGAAGGCCCCAGTCTTGAGGTCTCCAGAGAAGCACAGGAAATGTGTAGATTTCTCCAGAACTGCTTTAATGGCAACCTGTTCTGAAGCCTGTTTTGAGGCCTTTTCTGAGGCCTGTTTTGGGGCCTTTTCTGAATCTCCAGGAGATCACTCTACATCTTCAGATAAATTCCATGACTTGAGCCTCTTCTAGTCAGTGCTTCTGACCTTCCGCTGAAAAGTGTGCTAAGATATTTCTGTCTTTAGCTTTCGTACAGTTTCTTCTACCTCCATGGACTTTTTTTGCTTGGAAAAAAACAAATAGTAAACCATGGGGAAGGGGCCAAGGCCATTTCTGGGTTTGAACATTGGAGTTAACTGTGACGGCTTCAGGAATCTCTTTCAGTAGCTCTTAGCCATTGTTTGTCCCTTTTGCTGTCCTTTTCCTAGTCCTGGGTGGCTGAAATGATGCATGGAGTAGCTTTTGGATGAACGAGCACTTGTTCTTACATGAAGCAAGAGTGTGGATGATAGAATAAAATCTTAGGAAAAGCCGTAAGTTAATTTATGTCCACCCCAAGTCTAAGGTGGTTCCAAAAATAAATTCCTCCTTGGAAATCCACAAACACAGATAAAAATATCCAGAAAGAAAGGAAAATTCTTCCCTCTCAAATGTTATTTTCTCTGTCTTGTCTTCTTATTTCTTTCTCTTAATAAGCCTTTAGCATATGTTTCCAGTATATCAGGGACTGCTCTGGTTACTTTGGGAAAACACAAAAATGAATACGACAAGAAGTCTCATTTCAATTAGTCGGCAGACTAGTAATTACCTGATATCCTTTCAAAAGCACTGACTTAAAAGTTCACCATCATGATGACCTTCACAAAGATGTGTTCAAAAATTAACCCCACCGAAGGTAATCACAAAATCCCCCTTTTTTTGTTGGACAATACCATAATCTTATTTTGTTCTTTTCAGTGAAGGCATTTGAAAAACAGACATTTTTATAATCCTACAAAATGTTTCTCATAAATAAACATCCACATCAAAAATATATATTCCTCCCAAGACCATATATATTTCAACTTGAGTTTATTACATATCTGACAACCAATTAGGCACTTCCTAGTGCTGTTAGCTATCATCTCTGTGTCTTTGCCCTGCCTCCCGATTGGATCACAGTCTCTGAGGACAAGCATTATGTCTGCACAATTATAACATTCCATTCTTAGTCTTTCTATATGTCCTGTAAATGGTTTTGAATTAATTTTGCAGAGTTTGGATTGTAGGGCCACTCTCTTTATGGACTGAAGATTTTGTAATGACTTTTTTAGCACTATTTGCTTTTTCAATCTAATTTACAACCTGTATTTGATTCCTGCAAAATCTCTCTAAAGAAGATGGAAAGATGTTATTCTTATTATGACACATAAGAAAACTGAGACTTAGGAAAGTCCCAGAATTTACTAGCCACAAACAAGGATTGGCTAGTGGGAAATCTACCTGTCACCAGCTTCTTCCTCTTTCATCCAGATCATGGTGTCTCTTACAGACTCACTCCCCTATGTACAAATATCTCACAAGTGTATGAAAAATGCTCAGCATCACTGATCATCAGGGAAATGCAAATCAAAACCACAGTGAAATATCACCTCACCTGAATTAGAATAGCTATTAGCAAAAATACAACAAAGGCACACATGCTGATGTGATGTGGAAAAATGGGAACCCTTATACACTATCAGAGGGAATGTAAATTAGTATAGCCATTATGGAGAACAGTATGGAGGTTCCTCAAAATATTAAAAATAGAACTACCATATAATCCAATAATCCCACTGCTGGGTGCTTATCCAAAAGAATAGTACAAAAAGGAAGTCAGTATGTCAAATAAATATTTGCACGCCCATGTTTATTGCATCAATATTGATAGTAACCAAGACATGGAATCAACTAAAGTGTCCATCAATAGACAAATGGATAAAGAGAATGTGGTACCTATATAGAATAGAGTACTATTCGGCCATAAAAAATGAAATCCTACCAGTTGTGGCAACATGGATGAGCCTGGAGGAGTTTATATTAAGTAAAGTAAACCAGGCCTAGAAAGACAAATATCACATGATCTCACTCATTTTTGGAATTTTTAAAAACTGATCTCATTGAAGTACAGAGTAGAACAGTGGTTACTAGAGGCTGGGGATGGTGAGCAGGGAATGAGGACAGATGTATTAATGGGTACAAAATTACAAATAGATAGGAGAAATAAGTTCTATTGTATAGTAGGATGACTTTAGTTAACAATACTGTATTGTATACTTAAAAATAACTCAGAGAGGATTTTGAATGTTCTTGCCACACACACACACACAAAAAGATGAATGTTTGAGGTGATGAATTAGCTAATTCCTCTGATTTGGTCATTACACATTGTATACATGTATTGAACATCACACTGTATCTCGTAAGTATATACAATTATTATGTGTTAATTAAAAATAAAATACAACTTGGCCAGGCGTGGTATCTCACGTCTGTAATACCAGCACTTTGGGAGGCTGAGGCAGGTGGATCACCTGAGGTCAGGAGTTCAAGACCAGCCTGGCCAACATGGTGAAACCCCATCTCTACTAAAAATACAAAAATTAGCCGAGCATGGTGGTGTGTGCCTGTAATCCCAGCTACTCAGGAGACTGAGGCAGGAGAATCGCTTGAACCCAGGAGGCGGAGGTTGCAGTGAGCCGAGATTGTGCCACATGCACTCCAGCCTGGGTGACAGAGCCAGATTCCTTCTTAAAAAAAAAAAAAAAAAACTTAAAGGAAAAAAAAAAACCTTGCTTACCTGATACCTGATGGTCATCAGGGCATAGAGATGGAGACTATGGATTGCATGGATAACTGAAAAGAAACTCACAGAAACAATTTTACAAAAAGAGAGGTACTGGTTCATCTTCTGCACCAGACCCTTTCAGATACTAGTCATTGCCTATATGGGTGTCTGGCTGGTCCCCAAGCTTACCCCTACCTCTACTTTTTCGTTAGATGTGTCTATAAAAGTTGAGTGGTTACATTTCACATGTCTTGGCAGAAGAGGAAAAAACACGTTATCACTCTATTAATTCTGCAAATGCAGAAACTCCGCATGCAGAGTCCACACATAATGGGAATTCAGTTCCATTCCCTTTAATTAATTTGTGAATTTATTAATTTGACTTGGTGGAAAAATTGCTTAAAGATATAAACTCTATTTGATGGCCTCTGTCACCTCCAGGGCAAAGCCCACACTTCTTCCCACTGTATTCAGGGCCCCAGTAACTGGGTATTGCCATCTTAACTAACCTCCTCTTTGACTTTGGACGACACAGATGATTTCAGTTGAGTGACACAATGCCTGGGTTCAAGGCCAGCCTGACCTAGGTAGAGGGCCCCAAGACCGATGATGGTGACTTAGCCTTGCTGAAAATCACCTTCTGGCAGCCGCTTGGCAGAGCCGGGCTTGCAATCCATCTGATTCCAAGCTGAGACTTTTGCTCTTTCCAGATAGACTTCAGGGTGATCTTGTGCATGGTAGAAACTGGTGAGGGATCTGGTTTCAGAGATTGTGGACTCACTTAGGAATAAGTGAGCTTTATGCCTTTAGCACTAAACTAGTTGTTTCTAATGAAGCCTAGGATAGATGTCCCTGGGGTCAAGGGAAGTACGTATTCCTGACATTCTGCCTGTAGTTACTTCTCAAGCTGCTGCTCTAACTGGGCCCCCCGGTAGCAATTGGGCTTCTCTCCATTGGTTGTATGAACATGGTCATCCATAAGAGCTCAACAGTCTATAGAGAAGGGAAAATAGTCTTAGTCTCTGGCCTCCAGAAGGTGACTATAAGTTAAAACCCTGTTGTTGCTGATTTTTTATGTTGTTGTTCTGGTCACATGCAGGTACATCTATCAGACCTTCTGTCTTGTGTTGTGCTTTTCTGGAATGTTCTGAGAATGGCTAGAATCCCTAAGCCCCTCAGCTACCACTAAGTGCCCAAACAGTTTGTTGTCCATGGGGCTGTTTGTGAGTTTAGAGTTTTCTCCATGCCTCAGAAATTTAACAGCCAAGTAACGGTGGGGACAAGGAGACAATTCTTTTTTTTTTTTTTTTTTTCTGATATTGCTTTGGTTTTAACTTAATGAAATAAACGTACTCCTGAAAAAAAATAAACCAAACTCAGCATTGCACACGAGAGTCCCACAGACCGACTGTCAGCTTAAACCAATCTGAAAGCTATGCCTTTTAATGCAGACATTGGACATAAAAAAGGCCTTGTGGGTCATAAAGCTCACCCCCTGCCAATATCAGAGAAGCATTGGCTGGTTTGTGTGTGTGGTGGGGGGTGAACATCTCAAATTCCCTTCCATCCAAATCAAGGGAGGCTGGGCTGAGCTCTGCCTCCCATTAGTCACGCCCTGTGGGGTGAGACGCAGCCATTGCTGGAGCTTGCAAAAGACTTCTCCTGCGCAGCCTCCATTCACAGTCCTCAGATCAAAAGGACACGACAGCATCTCCTCCATCCCTACCTGACCCTGGACTCTGGTCAAAGTCTTGGGCATTGGTTTTGAGTCTTAGGATGGTCCATGGAATGCTCAGTATCTCCAAGAGATCCAAGCTGGGTCCCCCAGTAGCCATGGGATAGATGCACCACTCCTTCTCTGCTATTCATCACATTTATCCCACGATGATCTGGTGGAGACAAAGTCCTGCAGGTCTTTATCTCAGCTGGAGCTTATCTCCCATCCAGCCACCTCCCCATCCAGTGGGAAATGAACCTTCTAGATCCACCTTCTAAATCATGTGCCTACATGTGGGCTAGTTTTCATCTTTTGTCTGTGTTTCGGTTGTTTATAGAGAGGGGGTGGGGAATTTCATCTTGATTTTAAAACTGCCTGCTATTTCGGGAAGGCATAGCTCAGTGTCTCTTTGTCCAGTGAGTTACTGAAATTTGACACCCTTTGAGGAATATTTTTGTCATAACCCACTGCTTGCTGCATTGTTGATCCAATTATTTGGAACAAGCAATCTGTCATTCTATTGTTCCTTTCCAATTGTTTGACTTCGGTGGCAGTTGTAGAAAAGAATCTACTTTCAGTTTAAAAGAGGGGGTGAGGAGGGAACCTAAAAGAGCACCTCAAATGTGTATATCTTAGGTTACTGTGGACCAGAAGTCTGTGACCTGTGCACATTAAAGAGAAAAGAGTATCCTTTTAGGTAACAAATATTCTGGAGTAAGTAAACTCAGTCATGTGTTTTGGCCACTATAGAAATAACACTTTTCCACCCAAAGCCTCTGCCAATGCACATATCCCCCTGCTACCAAAACCCGGCAGCTTCCGAGGTCTGTTTATGTGGGATGATCTTGTTAGTTCTATTAATTAAAAAAGGTTTTTGCTCACTCTAGTTTTGCTGGAATTTAGCTGTTGCCACGTGACAAACATTGTAAATTTATGAAATTCATTATAGACACATACACATACTTCTTTAGAACCTCAAACAGGATTCTTGATCCAGGAAGAGATCTTTTCTTTCTCATTTGTAAATTTATTTATTTAACATATTAAGAAATTATAAGAATTAAATTTAACATAATTCAATGACAAAAGGATTTTTTTAATATTGAAGGAGAGTTTAACATTCAGAACAAAAAAAGTATGAAATAAGTAGGTATGTAAAATTATGATGAGTCTATGAAAATTCAGCACATAAACTGATCAGAGTTTTGAGTTTGCAACAACAATGAAACACTCATGGGAGTGTTTTCCAACATGGCCCTTGGTTGCTTTGCTAGAGTTGGAATAGCAAAGGACCACAGGCTGAGCTGGCTGGTTCGAACAACAGATAATGTATTTTCTCACAATTTGGAAGCTGAAAGTACAAGATCAAGGTGCCAGCAGGGTTGATGACCACCTCTTTTTTGCCTCTTGATGTTGTCATCATCAGTCCTCTGTGCACATGTGATCCTGGTGTCTCTCTGTGGGTCTAAATTTTCTCTTCTGATAAGGACACCAGTCATATTAGATTGGGGCCTACACCAGTGATCCTCTTGTAACATATTATCTCTTTCAAGGGCCTATCTCCAAACAAAGTCACATTCTGAAGTACTGAAGTGGAACGATTCTTGTCTTAGACATCATGGTATTTTGGGCTGCAGTGGTTAAGAAAGTTTCAGAAAAAAAGAGGGATATTTGCCAGGGAGACCAAAATGAACCAATACTTGGAGCAAGAAATGTCTGAATGCTGACACAGTTCTTTGGCCACAGGGAAAGGCTGATGTTTCAATTGAACATCAAATTAACTTCAGTTTACATTCAACATAAGAATTCAACAAAAGAATTTGGGGGGACACAATTCCCCATAACAGGCCCTTTAAGCTATCCACAGCTGCCTCTGCATTCTCAGTGTTGGCTTCCAGTTAACATTGGTCTGTGGAAGGTTCTAAGGGCTGGGTCCTAAAACCTGTGGTCTTCTCTAACGCGTCACTAACATCCTGATCTGCTCACAGACATCTGCGCCATTTTCCATTTGTCCACACCCTTACATGTGGCCTCCACCAACCCTGCAGACCCGATACACATTTTCCTTCCAGCTTTTCTGCCTCTGCCTGCTCCAGGGAGCATCTTCCCTCTGTGTCCCCACATCCTACCTGCTATTGCTTGGTTAGGGCCCATCAATTATGATCTTCTGGCTTCTTTGGGGTCAAGGGACTGCAACTCATATCATGGATAAGCTTTATATGTGGAATCAAATTCAATGAGATTACTCTGAAAAATAAGCTTGTTTGCAGGTCTATTTTAATTGTAATCACTTAAATTAAATTTTAAGTGTGAACATTTACACCAGCCTGGTGGATTTTGAATTTCCGATGTGGATACAAATTTGAATGTATACTTTAGAAGCTGCACACATCAAAGCGATTTTTTGCATGCAAAACTAAACAACCAACACTTTTTCAAACTTCAGATAAATACTTCGTTGTGATTTTTACTGCAACGTAAATGAGGCCCGAAAGCCAAATACATCATTAAATGTCTGAGAACAGGCCCAGGTCCCCTGGCTCCAACACCTTCCATTATTTGTCATCTTTTGGACATATGTCCTTTGGAATGTGTTCACAGGTTTCAAATTATTTGGGGGTAATGCGCTAAGTCCAAAGGACATGACATTCATTCTCAGAGACCCGTCAGCAGAAGGAGCAGTGCACATAGATAGATTGCCAAGTAAAAGGATATCTGCACGATCCTTGTCATAGATGTCATGGTATTTCAGGCTGCACTGGTTAAGAAAGTTTCAGAAAAAAAGGAGGAACATTTGCCAGAGAGACCAAAATGAACCAGTACTTGGAGCAAGAAATGCCTGAATGCCAACACATTTGTTTGGCCACAGGGAAAGGCCGATGTCTCAATTGAACATTAAATTATCTTGGGTTTACATTTCAGTTCTTAGCCTGCTTTGAAAAGATCATGAACTTCTTTGTGCCTCAGTCATTTTATTTGTAAAGGGGAAATGGCAATCTGTCTCTCATGGTGACACATGGCTGAGAGAAAATACTGCAATAGGCCCAGCCCAGCACAGTCTCAGAAATGCAGTGGCTACTTAAAAAGGCTCTTATTAAAGTTTTACTACAGTGGAAATTTGACAGAATGCATAGGAGAAGATAAGACAAAGACTACAAAAATGTAGAGATAGACACACAAAAGAAACAGATTCCCTAGCAACTGACAATTATCTAGAACTCAGAATGTAAATCATGCATATCTATAACTTATAGATGATAAGCATGAAACAGTTCCATGGCAAAAATCCAGGATTTTGCAGCCAAGGAAATACAGGAATACTATAGAGTCAATGGATTGTTTGCATGAAAGGGAATTTTCCTGTTACACCTAATGTGAGACTTTTATTTCACTTTCTCTTAAGACAGATTATATGACGTATCTCACTTCCATAATACACCATGCAACAGGGAAAGAGGCAGGTGCTTTGCAGAATGTCCTTGGAAAAGTGAACTTTTCTAAGCTTCAGTGCCATCCAAAGAGTCCTGTATCAGAAGGATTGGAGGCAAGAATTCAGATTGTGGGACTGTGCTTTGAAGTCTTAACTATGCAATACTGTCAAAGATAGCACAGAATGACTACAGTTGCTCTAGGGGCCTGATTTATGGAGGGAGAAACCCCAGTGGGGAAAAGCACTGGGTGGGGCCAAAGTAAGATAGGAAAGAAAATGAACAAATAACTCAGCACTGGATCAAAGAGGGAAGCACATGCTCAGGACACTTCCCAACCTGTTCCACGACTCAGTGGGGAACTTTCTTCAGTCCATAGTGAGAAGGGATTTGCGTTAACATCAGCCCATTACTTCTTGTGGTTTGCTTGGGTAGACTGCTTAAATTAACTACTTTGTAAGTTGAACCTAGCTGTGTTCTACTGTGAGGATTTCGACTTTTTCAGCCAAGTCTTTTTCTTGCTGTTATAAATCCTAAATTTAGGATTCTGATAGGTTTTTACTAACAAGATGTAAGGAGTTGTCAGGAAGAGTCCTTGCTATTTTATATACGTAGCCTCTTTACAGTTTGATAATCCTGACATATGCTATTGTGCCCATTTTATGGAAACAGCAGGGCAGAGGCTAGCATGAGGCATAGGAAACACACAGCGTGCAAAATTTAAGACGGCATTCACACCCAGCTGCCAACCTGGCATGCAAATGACCTTGAGAATAAGAGCTGCCTTAGATTCTGCACCCTAGATGCCACCCTTAAGTCACCCCAGGTCTGGCTTTGGGGAATAGGTGCCGGGAGGCAGAGAACAAGCCTAAACATGAAGGAGCTGGCTTGAGTTGGGCTTTGAATTCCTTTTAGGTGAAATCGGCTTTTTCTCAAGACTCTGGTGGCTCGAATATTATCCTGGTGAGATGTCCCCATAGAGAATGGACTCTGAACAATCTGAATGAGATCTATGTCCCATCAGATGAGTGTACGTTACATAAAATCAATGACAAGCCACAACAGCACTCTGTGCAAGGTCAGATGCCGTAAAAAGAACCACATCTGGTGCCCAAGGCCACCAAGAAGCATAGCCAAACGGAGGGAGATGATTTTATTTGGTCCCCTGTGATTGACTTGCCCCAAGCAGGAATGCAAAAGGGAAAACAAGAGAAGAGGTCCATGCTGATCCCCATCATGGAATCCAGTAAGGCTGCGGAGCAAGAATGGACAAGCAGGCCTGGGATGGTGGAGGTGGCAAAGGGTGGAACCATCCTCTGAACAGTTCTCCACCTACAGCAAAACTGTAATTACACCGTGGCCTGTGCAGAACACGGTGTTCGGTCAGGTCAGACCGCTTCCCAGCCTGTTCTGAACTCAAGCCCAGCAACCTCCACCCAGGAAGAGAGCATGTGCTGTGATTTGTTGTTTGGGAGGGACATCTGTGATCTCCATGCTCCAGGCACTGGCTCTGGCAGGACACCAAAGCCACCCAGACATTCAGCTTGTCCCTCCGTCTGCCTGGGGTGGCCCACAGCCCACAGGTTGAGCCATGGCCACCTGGGAGGCCACAGGTTGGGGTGCATGAGGGCATTCCAAGAATAAGATGTTATCTGTCTATTTATTTTGTAGCCAAATGACAGAAGGTAGATATGTGAAAGTTAGGAGTGCTTCCAGCTGGAAGTCTCCTTAGTGTTCAAGTAGCCTGGTGCTACCCTTCATAGTGCACAAGAATTGGAAGCCCACATAAATTAAAGGACTCATACAAGTCCTCAGGCAAGGCATCATATCTCCCAACTCAGTTCAATGCATTTCTATTCAATTCAATGAATGCATATTTTTGGCTAGGACCTGCAGGGTCCTCAGAGGTTAACTGGATTACCATATGTGGTCATAGAACCCAAGGATCCATGTCCTCTTAAATCCTAAGTTAAATTGGAAGCTATTTTCATTGATTTAGTAAACCCAAATGAAGACCAGCATACATATAGAAAATCCAAAGAGAAATAAGTCTTGCTAAGCATATTAGTCTGTTCTCACACTGCTATAAAGGACTGCCCAAGACTGGGGAATTTATAAGGGAAAGAGGTTTAATTGACTCACAGTTCCACATGGCTGGGGAGGCCTCAGGAAACTTACCATCATGGCGGAAGGGGAAGCAAACATGTCCTTTTCCACATGGCAGCAGCAAGCAGAAGTGCAGGGGAACTGCCCTTTATAAAACCATCGGATCTCACGATATTATTCACTATCATGAGAACAGCACAGGGAAAACCTGCCCCCATGATTCAGTTACCTCCCGTGGGGCCTCTCCCATGACACATGGGGATTATGGGAACTACAATTCAAGATGATATTTGGGTGGGGACACAGAAAACCTTATCACTAAGGCATGCATTTTTTTGTTTGTTTGTTTTTTCTTAGCCTGCCCACTTAACTCTCCAGAACTCTGACCCTGACCTCCTGGTCAATTGGTTCCACCTCTTTCGTTTATGTTTATACCATAGCAAAATGATTCTTTCACAAAATGACCTTTCACAATGACTGGACACATTCTCTTTTTTAAGACAAGGTCTTGCTTTGTCACCCAGGCTGGAGGGCACTGACATGATCATGGCTCACTGCAGCCTCGACCTCTGGGGCTCAGGTGATTTTCCCACCTCAGCTTCCCAAGTAGCTGGGACCACAGGCATGCACCACCATGCCAGGCTAACTGTTTTATTTTTTGTAGAGACAGGAGTTCTCCATGTTGCCCAGGCTGGTCTCGAACTCCTGGGCTTAAGTGGATCTGCCCACTTTGGACTCCCAAAGTGCGGGATTACAGGTGTGAGACATTGTGCCTGGCCTGGACACATTCTCTGCTGTGAAAACAATATCCTTTTTGCTATACACAGTAAAGCAACTTTAATTTAAACACAGTATAATGATTATTATTATATATTTATATGCAGTATAATCATTTTTATACACACATACACACTCACACATACAGAATAAAAATATTATGCACAGTATGAAAATTTAAACACAATATAAATAACCACAAACTGAGGCATGCACAATAAGCCCTTTACCCCTTAGCAAAGTGTCATCAAAATAATTCTCTGTATTTGGGGACATTTAGACTTTTTTTCTGCAATTTGTTCATTTCGTTTTTCATTCAATCATTGAATATTTGTGGACCCTTCTTATGTATTGGGTATATCCTGATTCCCTTTCCTTGGGTGCACCTTGATTTCCTGTTTTACACCGTATCAGCCACTTTGAAGCTATCCAGAAGCCGAGCTGCTGTTATAAAGTCTTTTGGAGTGTGTTACAGGGAATTCTTTGTTCATTGAATGTCTACAGTAACAATTACAGCTATAACACATACCATCTTACATAGTGCAGAACCAAGATTGCTTACATTTCCAAGCACTCTGTCAAATGCTCCTTGCATGCGTTCTTCCTTCTCTGTTCTCTGCAATCTTTAATCTAACTTCAGTTGAAATGCAGAGGTGGAAGCTACTTCATAGCCTACTTGAGACTTAGCTGGGAGAGGGCAGTTTCCAGATTGAATTTGACCTGAAAATATGATTCTCGCTACACATAGTGCCCTATGAATTATGTGATCCCTCTTGATTCATAGTGTAAAACATCCTTTCCCTAGGCGGCAGGTGAGGCTGCCAAATTCCTTCAATGAAATCAGGTCTTGAAGCTTGTGTGGACTATGCAAACTTCTGTAGTGAGATCAGAAGCCTGCTTCTGGTCATCACTGTGAGAGATCCACTAAAGCACAGCACATTTTAACACCCTCAAGAAGCTTCTTAAAAAGAAAATTATACATACATATGTACTTGAGAGCAATGCAAAGGGAAACTATTTTTGTTTTTGTTTTTTGACAGAGTCTTGCTCTGTGGCCCAGGCTGGTACGATCTTGGCCCATTGCAACCTTCGCCTCCCAGGTTTAAGCAATTCTCCTGCCTCAGCCTCCCAAGTAGCTGGGATTACAGGTGCCCGCCACCATGCCCAGCTAATTTTTTGTATTTTTAGTAGAGATGAGGTTTCGACATGTTGGCCAGTCTGGTCTTGGACTCCTTACCTCAAGTCATCCACCTGCCTGGGCCTCCCAACGTGCTGGAATTACAGGAATGAGCCACTGCATCCAGCTTGTTTTTAGTTTCTGTTGCTGTTGTTAATCAGGAAACAGAGTTTCTTAGAGTGAATTGACTGCTCAAAAATTATGTTAAAAACATCATTAAGTAATTTAATACAGTCAATATCTAAAGGATCTTGGTTCCCTACTTTACAAAACAATCTAATTTTTAGCTCCTTAATAAGCAGTGTTAAGATAAAGTGTCAATATTGTTATAATTTTATCACATATTCAAACCTCATGTAGTCATTATGTCAACAAATATTTATTGATCGGGCGCTATGGGGTGGGCATTCTTTTAGATAATAAGGATGAAGTGAATAGAAGAGCAGGCAACGTCCCTTCTCTCATGGAGCTAAAAATTTAATCAGAGAAGAAAGACAATAAGCTTAGCTAAATAAAATAAAACACAATTTAACCTCTAGGCAAAAAATTATAATGGGGGATATGACAGAGAGTGACTAACTGGTGGCTTCAGGTTACCCGTTCAAGCAAGACCTCTCTGAAGAGATGACCACTGAGCTGAATCTACATGACAGAAGATGACAGCTAGGCATAGAATGGAGAGCATTTTAGGCTGAGGAAACAGCCAGTTCAAAGGCCCCATAGCAGAAATTAGATGGTCAGGATCATAACACAGAAACAAGCCCAGTGCACAGGCAGTGGGAAGGCCAGGAGGGCAGGAGTCAGTAGTCAGGGCTGACATGAGTAGAAAGTAGCCAGACCAGGCTCCCTGAGCTTGGGTAGGGAGCTTGGATTATGTTTTGTGTGTGGTGGGAATTCACAGGAGTGAGACACTGGTGTAACATTATTTGCATTTCAATAAAATCACTCCAACTACTATGTATGGAAGAATTGAAGGGAAGCATAGGTCTAAGCAGATAAACCAGGCGAAAGGCAGTCTGAGTTGCCCAGGAAGAGAGGGGGTGACAGTAGAAAAGACAGAACGTATCAGATAGCACTGAATGTGCTTAGGAGACATTTTATAGCAAGTTTGTCCAACCCACAGCCCATGGGCTGCATGCAGCCCAGGACGGCTTTGAATGAAGCCCAACACAAATTTGAAAACTTTCTCAAAACATTACATGTGGTTTTCTTTTTTTTTTTTTTTTTTTTTTTTTGCGATTTTCTTTAAGCTCATCAGCTATGGTTAGTGTTAGCGTATTTCATGTGTGGCCCCAGACAATTCTTCTTCCAATGTGGCCTAGGGAAGCCAAAAGATTGAACACCCCTGGTTTATAGCATTTGCTAATGGCCTGGATTTGTGGCACATGGAGAAATGCTTGAAGTTTTCAAATTATGAGGTTTTCAAAAAATATAACAGCCAGGTAGAAGCAAGTCATAAAAATTACTTCTTGGGCTCAGCAAAGCTCCTTTTCTCAACTTAGACTTCACCCACTCCTTTGATGTCTTCTATTTTTGATTTTTTTGGGAACTAAGTAAACTCCAGGCAGTGTTTTAAGGACTCCTTTTATTTTTCTCACCCACATCCTTAGCACTGAAATGAACCTTCTGTGTAACTGGATATAAAGTTTTGCATTCAGTAGGTGTTTAATGGGTTCCTCTGGGATTACACCAAGGATAAGAATAAAATACCTCATCCCTGTGAGTCAGACCCATGACCCCCACTCCCAGTGACCTGAGATCTGGCTGTGTGGAGGTGTGACCTTGCAGAGAAGGGAAGGGGGAGGGATAGGAAAAGTATCTTCAATAGGAAGCCTTAGGCCCAGTTCTCAAAATAGCCTCGTTTTCAAGACATAGAGGGAGAGGAAGAGCAATCCTATCAGAGGGAACAGTAGAGAGGCAGAAGGGAACATAGGGCCCTCTGAGTAAGGCACTGGAAAGGGAGGGTTAGAGTTTTAAAACAAAGAATGGCACAATCAGGCTTGCATCCTTAGAAGAGATCTGCAGTTGGGGTATAAGGAAAAGATGGGAGAGTTCAAGAGACGATGTGGTTAGGAGTGATTACATTATTCGAGGAGAGATTAGAAAATATCTTGGACTATTATAACATTGGTGCCATATTTTTTGAGATGAGGTAACATTTTCCCAGCCTGGGCGACATTCTGAAATTTATGTATTTAAAACCATGCTTTCCGATAGAAACAACAATGCAAGCCACAAATAATTTTAAATGTTCTGGTAGCCACACTGAAAAGGGTAAAAATAAAGAGGATTTAATTGTAATAATAGATTTTATTAACTCAATATAAACAGAATGTTATTATTTTAATACATAATCAGCATATACTATAAATGAGGTATTTTACATTCTTTTCTTTTCAAACCAAGGCTTTGAAATCTGGTGTGTATCTTATACTCACACCACATCTCAACTTGCACATCTGTATTTCAAGTGCTTAATCGCCCTATTAGTGGCTACCACAGTAGACAGCTTAGCTCTGGAATATTCTAGAATTCCTACTTCAACATGAGCCAATGATCTCATGCAGAAATTCATTCCTGGTATATACTCTCAGATACAGGACCTGGAGCCAGGAGACCCCAGTTCTGGCCACTACCCTTCTACAAACCAGCTGCAGGATCTTCAATTGCCCCTTCTCTACCCCAAAGGGCAGGAAGTAATGATGTGTTTTTGCACTAAGTTTCTATGATGGAATCATTTTTCATCTGTAGTAGTGGAGGAAATTCCAGAGGAATTATTTTGAAGGTCTGCGACAGTCTACCAGTTTCGATGCGTGGACATTTTCTTCTGTGCATGCAGCAGTTTCGCCCTAAGCACTGTTCATATCTGATATGGAAAGACTGGTCTTCTTAGTCAGTTATTGGACAGAAAACCTTCAAGTGTGTCTCCTAGTCCGTGGGAAGTGGGCAGGGTGGTTCCGCTGCGGGACTTGTCCCATGAGTCAGGGATAAGCTGAATAATGCCAGGGGGCACTAGCAGAGATAAGAGGCAGCTCGGACCAAATCTCAGGGCTCATCACTCGCTGTCCCAAGTTACTTCTTGCAAAAGGCTAGGTGTTAACCCATCTGGCCTGGCTGCATTTCAGCATGGGGAATTAGTCTCAGCACCTGAATTTCTCTAAAAGCTTTAGCTGGCCAGAACTTTCTTTACTTCAGCTCCTCCTCCTTGGGATGTATTCAGCCTGAGAAAGGCCAAGTTTCAGGAGAAGCTGGAGTGAGATTGGTGTGTAAAAACCTTTCATGTTGAGCCAACTAAGATCTCTCAGTCAGTGGTAGTCTCTCATTTTGAGTGAAGAAAGGAGAAAGAATACTTACATAGATAAACAGATCCACAGATGGAGAGAGAGAAAGAGAGGGAGAGGGAGAGAGAGAAATTATGACTATAGATGGACACTGACATCTGTGTCTTCAAAATTAACCATTGCTTGGGAGCCCCAAATCTTTAGGACATTGCATAGACCTGAAAGGTTAGCAAAATTTTACTTGGAGAGGTAAGCACAAATTTTACCATGCCCATTCTTTCAAACTCTTGTACTTTTCACATTGGGGAAAACAATCCATTAGACGCCAATACAAGCTTATTGCATGTTCCGTGCATGCCATTCTAACAGATCTGATTGACAGAATAATTATGATGTGAGTGAATGCTGACTTATATTGGGAATTTCTGTTTCCATTTAATTGAGTCTGGGAGAGCGTCACAGTTCTGCCACCAGCCAAGTAGATGTGGCCAAGTCGCCATGAATTCTGTAGGCATCTGCAGGCATGAAGTGCTTTAATATGAGGTTCTCAACCTGGCCTTCTTTCTCCATTTCTAGGTTTGCACATGCCACTTTCATTACCCTTTCATTGCCTGTATCTTTGTGTTATTCACCTTTGCAACTTAAAATGGTCTATGGAATTGTTATCTATGATGAGAAAGCGCCATCTTCACAGTTTTCCAGTGTCTACTGAAAAGAGCATTTGTGGGCCCCACCCCAGGACTCATGACTGGCAACAGGGTTTGCTGGGCAGCAGCTGTCCAGGAGAGGCTCATGCTCCTTCAGCACTAGGAATGCTCTGGAGGGCCAGTGTTTCTCTTTCTCTGTGGCACATGGGACTTGCCTTTGGAGCTTAGAAAATACTGCCTGGGCTGCACCCTCAGCTATTCCAATTTAAGGTATCATGTGGACTCACAAACAGACTCACAGTCACACACACATACAGACTGATACATACAGACTCACATAGACACACACAGACTCACACTCACACACTCACACATATAGACTAACACACAGACTCACACTCACACACATACAGACTTACACACACACACATACACAGACTCACACTCACACACTCAGACTTACACTCACAGACATACACAGACACACACACATACAGATTCACACACACATAGACACAGTCACACATACAGACTCACACACACACAGACACAAAAAGGCTCACACCAGATTCACACACACAGACTCACACACGGACACACTTACATACTCGCACATACAGATTCACACACAAACTCACACACAGACACCCCCAGACTCACACTCACACACATACAGACTCACACATAGACTCACACGTATAGACTCATACACACAGACACACACATATGGGCTCACACACTCACAGACTCACACACACATGCAGACTCACACTCAAACACACACAACTCACACACTCACACATATAGACACACACAGACACAGACTAACACACACTCATACAAACACAGACACACACAGACTCACACTCACACAGTCTCACACAGACGCATACAGACTCATACACACAGACAGACTCACAGGGACACACACACACGGATCCATACTCATGCACACAGACACACACACAGACATATAGATCCATACACACAGGTACACACTCACACACATACACACAGGCTCATATGTACTCACACACAGAGTGACATTTATGGGGATCTCACTCCCACACACACACAGACTCACACTCAGACTCATGCTCACACCCACATTGACACACACACAGACACACACTCATACACTCACACACAGACATACACACAGATTCTTACACAGATTCACATTCACACACAGACTTACACACTCTCACACTCACCCTCACACTCATACCACCTGCACTGTTGTATCTGTCCAAGCCTTGCCACATCTCCACGCTTCCTAACAGGTGGGCCCAGTTATGATCTCCTATGTCAGTCACACCTCAAACTTTAACACCTTCAAGCTGAAGCTTCATCTCATGAAGAAAATCCAGGACATATTAAAATATGAAGCAGTTGGAAGGATGTGTTCTTGCACTAACCATTTTTACTCACTTTGCTGCAACCTTCACTCATTAGTAAAAATTCCCATGCACAATGCCCCATGCAGAGAGTAAACATCCAAACGTATCCCCACTCTCCTTTCCAATGGCTCCTCCAACCTGTGGAGCCCGCATTCTGGTGCTCCCCTATTCCCCATCCATATCCCAACAGTTATTTACATGATGATCATTTTGAATGTCTTATTTCACTTCACGGTTCCACAGGAACAAAACAGTCTGGGCCCTGGAGTGAGGTGGTCTGAGTCCTGCTTAATAGTTGCTTAATGTTTGTACTTGAGAAATGAAATGCATTTCTTCCTGCCTAGTAAATATCTTCCCCATTGACAGTCTAATTTATTTTTCAGCTAGAAAGTTGGAGGCCATAGTTTCCTCAGGGGCTAGGAAATGAGTCTGTGGTTGACCAAGGCCAAGTGGAGGGTATGCCTTCAGAACAGCACACGAGCAGGGTTTCTCTGATATCCAAACCTGGCTTAGGGGACCCTGGGCTCCTTGTCACTGTTTTGGGCACCAGAATCAAAGCACAACACACACCCTTCCTGCAATAGTCCCTGCTGAGTATCCTCCCAGCTGCCCACATTTGCATGATGGGTATAAATTCCCTTGGCCATTTTGCCTGGAATCTACATTTACATAGACTGTTTTATCAAGTTGAAAACCTGACATTTTCTGTACATCTTTTCTTCCCCCTTTTCTTTTTTTGGATGTCTAAAGAGTGACTTTGTAGCATCTTTGATAAGGAAGATCATAGCACAAATTCCAGCCTATTATGAAGTTTGAAAATATATCAATCCTGTTTTTCACAAAACCCCAAAATAAGCTGATAGAATTTCCGGTATCTACTAGGTAGGCAGATGGGAAGCCCTGGTAGGCAGGCAGATAAGAAACCCTGGTTTGTACCCATGTCCCTTTTCATTTAAAGGTTACTAACCTCTTCCTTCTTCTGCTGAAAAGTAGGTATGGAGCTGGTGAGTTAATAACACATCCTTCTTATTTGAGAGAAAATGATTTTTGCCTCTATATCTGGGTACTCTTCTTCTCATTTTTTGTATGTAGAATTTTCTTTTAAATGGACTTTAAGTGGTATTGAATTGTGACTTAAGATTTAGTGAATTAATGAATTCTATAAGGTGTAAGTTAAATTTTTTAACCCTAAAAATAAAATTAAACTTTTAGATTGAATAGTCTTTTTATAGCAAAATAGCAATAAATTGATCCTTTTACTTTTCTGCTGTCTTAATTTTTAAATTTTGTTTAAGGTCAAGCATTTAAATAAAAAGTATCCCCCCAATCATGTTCTCAAATGTCCTTGTTTCCGTATCTAAGGCCTTTGCTAAGTTAACTCAGTTGGAAGTGGTGGTAGACCGCCTCTAATGTGGCCCCAGTGTACCACCTTCGATGTGGTTCCTGTGAACCGCTTCTCCTGGTATTCACAGTCTTGTATAGACCCTTCCTACATCAAATCAGGGCTGGACTGTATGGTCAGCAGAATATGGCTGATGACTTCTAAGACTAAGTCCTAAAAGGTTCTATAGCACTCTTGGTCTCTTAGTTAGCTAATGCTGGGGGAAGCCAGCTGCCATGCCATAATGGCTAGGTTGGTCAGATATATCAAATACAAATATAGGATCAAATACAAATTTGGTATAGACTAAACTGGAATTTTTGATAAACAATTTTTTTATTATAAGTATGTCCCAAGTACTATTTGAAACATGGAGAAGAACTGGGGCCCCCAACCAAAAGCCACCATCAACTTGCCAACTGTATGAGTGAGTCATTCCTGGAAGTTGATCCTCCAGCCCCAGTCAAGCCTTTATATAACTTTGGCTTAATGAGACGCCCTAAGCCAGAATTGGCCAGCCAACTACTCTCCAATTTTTAACCTACAAACACTGTGAGAACTCATAAACTATTATTGTTATTTAAACTAAGTTTTGGAGTATGTTTGTACTCATAGATAACCAACAAAGAAATTTTTTATTTTGGGAGGTTGTTGATAGATTGTTTTGACTTCTGGGTTTTTTTTGTAAAAATAGATGCATATTGCTGATATCTAACTAAGGGAATTTTCAGACTCTTCCCTGGTTACTGCTCCTGGCAGAGGCAACAGCAGCAGTTGTATGTCTTGATTAAGACAACTTCAAGAAGGATAGTGCAAGGGTTTGTCAGCTAAAGGGCTTGGATTACAGCTAGGAATAATCCCTGAAGGGATAAAAGAATTAAATAAAATCTAGAGCTCTCTTAAGAGCTGAGTTGGTTAAAACAAGACAAGTTGGCAAGCCTGGAAGTCAGGAGTTATCATGAAAATGAGTGGCAAAGGCGAAGTTAGGAGCTGGAAAGAAGCTGGTGCAAAATTAATACCAGGAGGGCAAATGAAGGAGGGGGTCTTGGCCAATTTTCTAGGAGCAACCTGGAGGCTTTTGGCTTGCCACAGTCAAACTTTGGTTTTCCTAACTTCTTGATACTCAGTTCTGCAGCGATGGTGCTTGTCATTTTGTGCAGGAGCTTAGAAACATCCTGGGAAAGAAAGTAATTAAAACACCCATTCTTCTCATGTATAGGTTCAGTATTATTTTAATGCCTTCAGTGAGTTTGATAGTCCTTTCTGAGGTCAGCCAGTGGGAAAGAACATCACATGGAAACTTATTGTTGGGGAAGCTGGACTGGGACATGGTTTCATCCTCAAGGCCCTGTCTTGTGGAAATAGCTATTTTCTAAATTGTATATCTGAACCCAGAGGCATCTCCAGACCTGGGCATCAAGCTGTATGGTCGCAACGGGTTTAAGTTTCTGGGCCTCTAAGTATAGTTCTGGTCTGAAAATTCTGGACTAGCAAGTTAATCACTTCAGAAGAGAAAAAAACATTCATTGGCAAATAAAGGACCCATATCCAATTCTGGTGCCCTGAGCCAATGATTAAGTCCCTCCACGCTTAGAATTAGGCATGGGAACTAACCACTTGGATTGAATCTTTGGTCTTTGCTTGGTTTAGGGAAATTTTATGACTTTAAGAGGGTGATATTGGCAGGCACACTAAGCTGGGTAGGTAGAAGATTCCATGGTAAATTAGACTATAAATGTATATTCTACTTAGGGAAGAAAAATGTATTTTGTATGTGAGGCAGTGTGTGGTTGGCTGGATGGAAGCTGAGATTTTCTACCTCCACAACCAGACTTCCAGCACTGCATCTGCCAAATACCCTCAGCAGCTGGCATGAAAGGCAATAAGCAATGTTGAGTGGCTTTCTTCTTTTTTTCCCTTTGGGTGTCTCAAAAGATTTTTCTCTCATATATATGAAATAGGACCATATTTGTATCTCAAGTGAAATCATTCATGTCAGTTGCATGTCCTATAAGGTAATCCTAGAAAGTGGTCTGAGGCTGGAATATGAGTTTTCTATTTTAGATTGAGAAGTTAGGGCTTAAGGCTGTAGGCCAGTGATTCTCAAACTTTACCAGCCACCAGAACCACCTTGTGAGCTTGTAAAAGCACAGTTGCTGGACCCCACATTCTGGAGCTTCTAATTCAGTAGGTCTGAGATGGGATCCAAGAGGCTGCATTTCTAACAAGCCCCAGGTGATGCTCATGCTGTGGGTCCTGGGACTACACTTTGGGAATCACTGCTGTACATAGCTGGTGCCAGTGCTAAACTGAGGGAAGAAATAACACCAACTGATAGAAAGCTCTAATTTAGAATTATAATACTGCACCAAGGTAGAAAATCCAACAGAAAGGGCAGAGATTTAAGACCAAGTCCATTGGGCTGTTTATGTGCAATGATTAAAAACTGGGAAAATTTAAGGAAAGTCACTACAGAATATCTCAAATCTCTCTAAACACCCAGCACTTGTTGTTTGCTCTTTTGCTCTGATGAATGCCTCAGGCAAGTATCTGTCAAAGGACTGTGAAGACATTTGTGGTTGTGAGTGCAGGACGCAGGCTTTTCAGAGCAATGTGCCTATCATCCCGTGTGGTTGGTAGAACTGATGTCTTGTTCCTTGTGCATGGTAAGACTAGGCTGAGGCAAAGAAGGTCAAAAGCCCTCACTTCAGAAAATTTCACACAGTGTGTTGCCAAACTGGCCCCTGAAATCCTCTTCTGCTCCACGAAGGGAAAGTTCTACTTAGGAAAAAAAAAAATGTATTTTTGTGTGTGAGGCAGTGTGCAGTTGGCCAGACAGAAGCTGAGGCTTTTCTATCTCCACAACCAGACTTCCAGCACTGCATCTGCCAAATACCCTCAGCAGCTGGCGAGAAAGGAAGAAAGTAATGTTGAGTAGCTTTCTTCTTTTTTTCCCCGTTAGATTTCTCAAAAGATTTAGACAGTTGAAATAATACCCTTTCTGCTCCTTGCCCCTGCCGTAATGTAGTCCATTTGTCTAAATTACAGACTTGGCAATTATTTGTGTGTGTGTGTGTGTGTGTGTTTTCCAGATTGAAAAAAAAAAAAATTATCTCCACTCTGTGTGAAGGTGGCCAAGCAACAACAGACTCAGACATCACACATCTGTAGAGAAGAGGAGAAATTTGTTCAGTACCTGTAATGTGCTACACATTTGGTCCATATCAACTTGTTTAATCTTCACCTCAGCCTTATGAGTTAGATATTGTCATGGGCTCCAGTATTTTTATTTATAATTTTTACAAAATAGGCCAGGTGCAGTGGCTTACGCTTGTAATCCCAGCACTTTGGGAGGCCAAGACGGGCGGATCATCTGAGGTTGGGAGTTCGAGACCAGCCTGGCCTACATGGTGAAACCCAGTCTCTACTAAAAATATAGAAATTAGCTGGGGGTGGTGGCGGGAGGCAGGAGAACCGCTTGAACCCGGGAGGCAGAGGTTGCAGTGAGCCAAGATCGCACCACTGCACTCCAGCCTGTGCGACAGAGTGAGACTGTCTCAGAAAAAAGTAAATAAAATAAAATAAAATTTTTACAAAATAGTTTTAGATTTATGGAAGAGCTGCAAAGATAGTACAGACGGTTTCTATGTACTTTAGCTTCCTCTAACATTAACATCTTACATAAACATGTTGTATTTTTTTTTTTAAACTAAGAAATTAACATTGAAACAACACTATCAGCTCAACAACAGACTTTGTCCAGATTCCATCAGTTTTCCTACTAGTATCCTCTGCCTGTTCCAGAATCCCATCTTGGATACCATATTACATTTAGTCTCCTCTGATCTGTAGCAGTTTCTTTCAATTTCCTTGCTTTTCATGACTTGGACACATTTGAAGGTCATTTTATAAAAAGTCCCTCCGTTTGGATTGGTCTGATATTTTCTTCTAATCAAACCTGAGGTTATAAATTTGAGGAAAGAAAATCACAGAAGTGATATAATTGGTGGCCCCAGTTTGCAGATGAGAAAATTGAAGTTCAAGGTGACTTAATAAGTTGGCCAAGGTCATCCATTTCAGAAACATTGTTATCTCTACTTTCTGAGTCGATGTTTATCAATCCCTCAAAAGTTCCCCATAGGAAGCATGGAATAAAAGGTTAATCACAGAGACAATGGGAAGAGACTGGCTTTAAGGATAAAGGCCTCTTTAGTAGGGAAATGACTCTCAGAATTATCTTTACTTTTGCATGTTGCTCAGGTCCAGGGAGAGGCCATCTCCAGATGAATAAACAGTGGAAAAAAAAATAATTGTCACTGATCTACAGATGTGGAAAGAGCCTGGAGGGGGTGTTCTGGGGTAGCATGCTACTTTGAAGATTAAACAATATCTAGGAGAACATTAGTTCAGCTATGTTTAGATTTTACTAATTTGTCTGGGCTTTTTGTAAAAATGCAAACAACACTGAAGCTGTCGATCATAGACTTTATAGTGTGCTTATTTGCAAGTGTTTCCCATTCATTAACAGCTTACAGGGGAAACAATGATACTTTTTAAATGATTTGTGTGTTTTTACATGAGTCTCATTTAGCTCTAAAACAATTCATCAGATTTTCAAGCTGCTCCAAATGCCTCACTTAAAAACTTAGGAGTGAGCCAAGATCACGCCACTGCACTCCAGCCTGGGAGACAGAGCGAGACTCCGTCTCAAAAAAAAAAACAAAAAAAAAAAACTTAGGAAACTGAGTCCCACAGTGGGCCAGGGGAATCAGTTGGTATTTCTTATGTCCCTCATCTAGCAAACGTTATCCAACTTTATCTTCAAGGAAATACCATGAAGCAGACATTAAAATCTCCTTTGAAATGCACAGCAGTGATGACTTGCCCGGGTTAGTGGTTTTAAATGGTGGAGGCAAGACTTGGATGCAGCCACATTTCCAAAAACCCAGTCTAGAGCTTTCTCACTTCCACTGTTCTCTGCAATCAAGTAACATATTGTTTAGGGAAACATGTGATGACCTCATAGTCTGAAACAAGTGATGAGTCAATCAATATCCAATGTATTGCCTCATACTAAGTTGGCACCTAAATGTTACCAACCCTTGGGCACATTTGCCAACTCTATTCCAGTTGAGTGAGGCAGGGCATAGGAGTTCAAATGGGGTACTGAAATGGCTGTCTTTATTTCTTCCCCAGGTGGGTTAAAAAATACTCTACAAAGGAGATATTTTTTTCCCTCATTGATTAGGTGATGCTTTTACTCATTCAACAAACGTTAGAAACTACCTGTGTGGCCGGGCACAGTGGCTCACGCCTGTAATCCCAGCACTTTGGGAGGCCGAGATGGGCAGATCACGAGGTCAGGAGATCGAGACCATCCTGGCTAACACAGTGAAACCCCGTCTCTACTAAAAATACAAAAAATTATCTGGGCGTGGTGGTGAGCACCTATAGTCCCAGCTACTTGGGAGTCTGAGGCAGGAGAATGGCATGAACCCGGGAGGCAGAGCTTTCAGTGAGTCAAGATCACGCCACTGCACTCCAGCCTGGGCAACAGAGCAAGACTGCCTCTCAAAAAATAAATAAATAAATAAATAAACTACCTGTGTATGAAACCATTGTTTTAGGTACTTTGAAAAACAAAGCAGATGAATTAGGTGAGTACAATTTTTAAGGCATGTATAGCTCATTCTTTGTACCGCGCAATGTATTGAATGATGTAAGTTGGGTGTGTGTGTGTGTGTGTGTGTGTGTGTGCGCGCACACACATTCTTCACATTCAGAGAACTGATCAGAGCCTTTGCGGAAGGGGTACTATTAGACAGGCCCGCAGTGATGAACATTTTGTTTTGTTCGTGCCAGGCAAATATCCCATCCTCATTACTCTCCTTCACTCTCAATCTATGTGGTTTTCATTGGAAAGAACCCAACCCCAGGTTTAGGGTTAGGACAATGACACAATCCTGCACATTTGTATTTAAGGCTGGCCATGTGATCTAAGCCACACTGATGAGAATTGGCCCTGGGAGTTTTAGAAGTTTTGCTGGAAAGAGGTTGCCTTTATCTGCCACTATCTTTGCCATGATGATGTAAAGCCTAAGACAGAAACCAGCACGCTGCAAATTGGAGCCAAGCAGGGAGAATTAGATAGATTCTTATAAGTTTTATTTGTTTGACTAGCCTGAAGCTAGCATAGCTCTGGACTTCTTAGTCACCTGAGACAATCATTAAACTTCTGCCACTTGCAACCAAAAGATTCCAGGTTAATGTATGCCTGTAAGAGAGAAGGAAATTTAGTAGTCAATGATATAGATGAGGAGAAAGTCAAGAGTGTTAGCGGAAGTGACCAACGGCAGGAGTGGCTGAGAGGCTTGGCTTTTCAACAGTTGTTTGGGAAGTCATTCTGAGTTTAAAAGGTGTCTTCCTAAAAGCCAGACATTAAATATTTCTAAGAAAGCCAGAGATCGGCATCAGAATCATATTAAAACCTCAATATATTGAATGGATTTTCAATCTAGCAAAATCAATTTTGTTCTTCCTAATTTAATTTTACATGACTGTTAGAAATAACAGAAAAATAAATAATAGTCACTTCAACCTTTTTAAAGCAGTAACTACCCTCTTGTCTTCTCCATATCATTCCCTCAGTTCCTGTTTTTTCCCATGAAGGAAGAAGAGACAGGGGGAAAAAAAAAAAAAAGGCAAGCGCAGTGGTTCATACCTGTAAACCCAGCAATTTGGGAGGCAGAGGCGGGTGGATCACTTGAGGTCAGGAGTTTGAGGCCAGCCTGGCCAACATGGTGAAACCCCGTCTCTACTAAAAATAGAAAAATTAGCTGGGCGTGGTGGTGGGCACCTGTAGTCCCAGCTATTCGGGAGGCTGAGACAGGAGAATCACTTTTACCTGGGAGGTGGAGGTTGCAGTGAGCCAAGATTGCACCACTGCACTGCAGCCTGGGTGACAGAGCAAGACTCCATCATATATATATATATATATATGTGTGTGTGTGTGTGTGTGTGTGTGTGTATGTGTGTGTGTGTATACGTGTGTATACATATATATGCATGTATATACATATGCATGTATATATACACATATATACATATATAAGATGAAGTCTTGTATATACATATATACGTGTGTGTGTGTGTGTGTGTGTGTATATATATATATCTATATATGCATTTTCCTTTATCATCAAAATGTATCACAGCTCCTGAGCTGTGTGTGTTTTGGCTGTTGGGTATAGATGTGTATGGTTTTATAAAAGTCATGCTGAGCTTAGTAGTGCAAACCTATATGTAGCACAGGTCAGGTGATTTTTTTGAATTTCCAGTTGCACCATGGTAGAGATTAGTTGTAGAACCTTTTCTGGGGGTGGCCAATTTGCTACTGGACGGATATGCCTTGATATCTGACAACAACTATAGCTTCTGTCTCTAAATACCTATTCTGAGTCAGGCCCAATCAGTAATTCATTTAGTGACTATTTATGAAACATATTTATTAAGCACCTTTGATGTGCCTTTGGGGATCTCATTTAATCCTCACGACAATCAAATGGAGTGGTTGTAAGGATTCATTAGTGCAGTGCAAATACCATACCTGGAATGGAATGGGACCAAAATATAACAGAAAGCAGTAAAATAGGGGACCCCCCAGACAAGCACCATCTAACATCTGGAATGGCCTGGAGCCCCCTGGGGTTGCTTCTTCGAAGATTTGCCTTGTAATACTACTGAGTAGCCTCCATCCCCCAAATACACACAGGAACTTCTCTCTCTTATTGCAACCCAGATGGCTTCTTTGGTAGCCTGGTCTTCTCCAATGAGAGACTCTGGCTAATAAAACATGTTATAAAAGTGTGACTTACTCTTTAAGACTTTCAAAGCCAAGGAGTAGCCATAAATCTAGGTGCAAATTAGAATAGGGTGATATTTGGTGGAAGGCTAATGACATTTGGTGGAAGGCTATTTTACTTATATTACACCCATGAAGTTTGGGATAATTGAGTGTAGCCTCAGAAACTGGCAGAGGCTCCAGCTTCTATTTAGTGTCTCTCTGCCCATCCTCCCTGTCTCTCCTCCATTTGCTTAATGCTTTCTTTTAAACAGCGGTACAAGGTACCCTTTTCGGGACTGTTAGTTTTTGGAATGTTTCACTTGGTTTTTCCCTTTTACAAACTAATTACAGTTGAAACTTTATGCTAAATCCAGAGAATGTGGTTCTGTTTGTAATAAGGTTTTTAATACATTAGTCTCTTAATCCTGGGTGACTTGATCAAGCTGCAATTCTTTCTTCGTGTGACTTCAGCACAAAGAAGATTTTGAATGGCAACCCACAAGTCTACAAAACTGTATATATTTTACCTTTTATTTTGTCTGTGTGAATTTTAAAATTTTTTCTTCCCTCCCCTCCTTCTCTGGATACATCATTTCAGGGCAAAAAAAAAAAAATATCTGGGGAAGGGTTTGGCTTAGGTCTGTCAAGCCTAAAAACCTTTAATCCTTCCCTCTGCTGTAATGAGTTTGAGACTCTGACAATTTGGTTTCCCCCAAGCCTTGCTGGGTATGATCCAATCAATGTTTAATTTCCCAAACTGGCTTTGTGAGAAGATTTATTTTCTTGTGTTTGTCTTGCAAACAATATTTGTTCTAAACTCTGCACAAAACAACCAGCAAATGCTGATTTTTGAATTTATTTATTTATTTTTTTAAGAAAGACATTTTTACAGAGAGAAACATATACTGCTGAGATTGTGCCCACAAAGCCAGCCGGTGGAACCCAGTCTACCAGGCACTCTGAACACAAGTTCACCTGGCACCCATTCTCTACTCACCTATGGCTGCCTTTATTCTGTGACAACTTTCCTTAGACAGAAAGGATCTGTTGGACAATTTTCTCTCAATTCTATTCTATATTGCATCAAGTTGTGCTTTGCCTCCCACGTCTGCCTCTCTGTAACCCATCCTTCAAAAGTCCACTGAACACCTCCTTGAGGTCTTCTTGTTCTTCAGTCTAATGCCCTGTCCTTCAAGGCTTATTGCTTCCAAGGAAATGTCCCCTCCTCAGACTCAAGGGCTGCATTTTACTGTATTTTGTGACATCATCTTCATCTTTCTCATGTTTTCTTTCTCCTTAATTACCTGGGGGACAGAGTCTGCCCCTCAGGGCCAACCAGAGTGTCTGGCTGACATAGAGGCTTAATACCCAATAACTGACTACTTAATTGATAACATCCTCGCTTCTTAGATTTTTAAAATTATAACATTGTTTTATAAAAGACACATGTTCTCAAAATACGAAAATGTGAAAAACACAAAAAGTCTCCCCCAAAATGAAGTTACTAAAATGTCATCTGAAAAATGACTTTTGACAGTTGGTTCACGTTATTTCAAAACTTTCTCTAATGCATAAATAAAAGAAAGATGAATAGATGAAAGTAGTTCTGGAAAAATGTACCATCTATCATCCATACCACTTTTTAGAGTTTCAAAAATAATTTTATTTGAACATAAAAGAAGCCAATATAAAATTGCAGTAATTATTGAACTGAAGTTAAATATCTTTGTACAAGTCAGGTTAGTCATTAATAGCCAAGTTCAATTACAAAAAAAGAGCATGGCAAACAATTAGAAGTTGGGAATCATTGGTGTTTTATTATTTAATTCTTTTTAAAAATGCCATTAATATAGCCTTTAGACAGTATTTATGGATTATTTGCCATAAAAGATAGAGGCACTAGCACAAATACGTTTCCTTCCATTCTCCATCCCCACCCGTTGGGATTTTTTAGTTATAATGTTGTTTTTATATTACCAAGGTTTATAACATATACATATACATAGAATATATATCATATTTAACTACAAATTTCAAATTTCCCTATTCCTACTTCAGTATCCTAGTGAGTTTAATTATCACTGCCAGTCCTTCTAATTTGTTTTTTTCTATTTCTAAATGTTTTATTTTTATCTCTCATTTTATTTCCCCAGGAAGATCTAATTTCTCAAATTCTTGGGTCTTTCAGAATTTTTGTATGTGACTTACACATGAAAAATATTAGGGAATACTGCTAAGAAGGAAATTCTTTTTTTATCGAAGGAGGAAAATAGATTAAGGAATTAGAAGTGTGTTGAGTCAATAAATTTAGGAAAAACACTAAAAGAAGCAGAGAAAATGCCTGCAAAGCCTTATATTCTGATGATCAGAATGACACGTGCACCCTAAAACACAGCTGGAACTGAGCTAAGTGGGGACAAAGACTTGGTGAAGGCTACATTTTGTGGATGCCATTTCTGCTGCCTAGTCGGGTACCCTGTCCTCATTTAAATGTATTTACATAGACACAAGGTACAAGGAAAATGGAATTTAAAAAGAAACAAAGTTACAAGGAAATGGAATAATTGTGATCTAGGTTGGAGTGAGAGGATTCCTTTGTTCATGTGATGAATAGGTAAAGAATAAGAACAATTTGATGTAAGGTATGATTACTCAAGCTAGTTCCATCCTACAGGATAAGATAGGGAGTTTGGGAAAGGACAATGGTTGAGGTTTTGAAGGAACGGAATTTGACCAAATCCAGCTGGTGAATTAGGAACTATTAACACACTCTGACTGGGGCCATTGTTAAAGCAAAGGACAACCCAGTACTGAGAGACAACAAGGCCTTTAGGGGTTTGTTTGGCACACAAGTAGTAGCTCTGTGACTGGGTACAGTTTCGCACATTTGCTTCTGAGAGCAGGACTGTATACAACCAGGGAGTTAGGTGAACTGGGGTGCTTGAGACAGGTGCCACTTTTCCCCAGAACACTGTCCTCTAGTCTCTGACACTGACTTTTGTTGTAAAGAAACCTACAGCTAATTTGAATTTTTTCTTCTTTGAAGGCAACTAGCTTTTTTTTTTTTTCTCTGCCTTGAAACTCACAGATTTCAATTCCCGTCTTTGGTAAATCTTGGTGTTGTTCACCTCTGTCCCTGGAACCTGGTGCCCCAGTGAAATTCAAGTCTTTATATAAAATTCAAGTCTTCATATACAAATGAAGTTTTCTTGTATTATATCATTGTGTTTTTTCTTGTGGATGCTTATTATGTCATCTTGATCAGCTATGCTCATTATCTATACACAGAAACTTTCTCCCTATATGTGGCAACTTCTCTGTAGTCATTTTCATTTTTTTCCTCTTAAGGGACTGTAGTTTTCCTAAGGACATTGTCTATGTTCCTGTATTTGATTTAACTTTGTTTATTTCTCTATTTTATGACAGTTTCTAATGTTCCTTTTATTTCTATAATACTTTATATTCCCCTTGTATCCATTTTCCAGAGGTCTGCCATTTTTATTTATTTCTATTATCTTGCCAACTGTTATTTAATATCTCTGCTGTATCTCTTTCTTGAACAGCTTTCCAAAGACATCAATTATCTTTAATCTCCTCAAACTCTTTATTTGTGTCTAAAACTAATCCCTCCTTAAATAAATATTCTTTATCTGACTTGTCCTCCTCTTCCTCTCTCTTTTTCTTTCTTTTCTCACCAACTTTTGAAAACCCTGATATTTCCTTCCTGGCATTTACTCATCTTCAAATAGTATTTTCTGGGTTAGTATTTTGTTGAATTATAGTATAGAGAGGCTATTTCTTATAGGCTCTCTAGAATTAGGTTGAAGCTATATGTGATTATTCATGTTGGAGTATCTCTATTTCTGGCATTCAGGTGTTTTTTTTTTAATTTAATTTAATTTAATTTTACATCCCAGGATACACATGCAGGATGTGCAGTTTTGTCACATAGGTAAACACATGCCATGGTGGTTTGCTGCATCTATCAACCCATCACCTAGGTTTTAAGCCTCACATGCATTAGCTATTTATCCTGATGCTCTCTCTTCCCCCGCCCCACCACCCTGACAGGGCTCAGTGTGTGTTTTTCCCTTTCCTGTGTCCATGTGTTCTTATTGTTCAACTCCCACTTATAAGTGACAACATGTGGTTGTTTGGTTTTCTGCCCCTGCATTAGTTTGCTGAGGAAAATGGCTTCGAGCTCCATCCATGTCCCTGTAAAAGACATGATATCTGTTCTTTCAGGTGGTTCTTAAGCATTCAATGAAACCCCACAATGTGTGACTCCTTGTGCTATAATATGTGGATTCTGCTCCCTTCAAAACCTAATTCAATCTCCATCAGTCTTTCTTGGCTGGAGACAAGATCTCAGAAAATTTAGATGGCAAGTCTATATGATTTTCCTGTTTCAATTCCACCAAACTTGCCATTGTGTGACACAAAACCAGTTCTAGAAAAACATTAACCTTTTTAAATTTCTTTTTCTTTTCCCCCTTGTGTATCATCCACAACTCTAGGTGTAAGGATCACCAGATGGCACTTTTAGGACTGTAAGAGCAACTTTTAGAGGGTTTTCACAGAAAACTGACTTCTGCTCAAAGTCTAAGGAAGTCTGTGCCAGCTTTCTCCATTCTTCAATATTTGGGTTCAAATTTTGTAATATTTGGCGAAAATTTCATGGCTAGTAGTTTGGAGTTGTGGCTATTTCTTTGTTGTGTTGAACACAACTAATAGCCACATCTGTCTTCTTTACTTTGAGTGTGTGTATGTGTGTGGTTTGTGTGTTTTTCTCAGAAGACAGAAATGCATTCCAGCTAGAATTATCTCCTCTGATATTTCATTATCATGAAATATATATATATATATATATATATACATATGAGGTACAGGAGGAAAAACAGCATTTATAATGGTGATGTTGAATTGACTGATACTATCTGTGCACTAGGGATCCCCATGGCAATGGGGCAAAAATGCTATCATGATAGCTTATCTATCCAGAATTTAGTGAGTTGTCCAATGGTCAGAGAAATTCTAAGAAATCTGTCTTTAAATGGGATTAAGCTGTTGAATTCATATGTTGTTTTGCCAAATACAGTGCTACTTTTTTCTCTTGCTTTTGAAGTTCCTATAGGGAGTAGAGGCTAGGAACACAAGCAATGCTATCCCAAATTTCTATTTATGGCTTTGTCCTCACTAGCTATATAATTTTGGTGACGTTATTTAAATTTCAAAGACTCAGCTTGGTCACCTGTGAAATGGGAATTTATGTTGCTCAAATGAAAATGCAGGCAGGAAAGATCTTTCTGAATTACAGGGTTTCTAACAGTGGCAGAACAGGTGTGGGGTCCAAGAGACACTGTCTTAAGTAAAAGCTTCTCTTTCCCCTTCTCAGCTATGAGATGCTCATTCTCTTTGGCTCTCAATTTCTTTATGAACAATAGGGATAATAACACTATGCAAGATTTTTGAAAAAAAATTAATGAGATGATCACATTGGTAGAGTGTTTGGGGGCAGAGCTAGAAAGTCCTTGAGATTCAGTTGATAAGTAGCCTTTCTTTACTCTCTTGCTAATACATTTTATCACAAAGGGTTCAAGAGACCTTTGAGTATTCAAAAATGCAGACAGACATTTGCATGCCCGTTCCCCTGACCCCCATTCGATCAGGGTTGAAAATCATGTTGAGTTTTCTGAATATTTCATAACTTCAATGGCCATTGGAGTCTCACCAACACAAAGAAAAGATAAAATTACATGGAGATACAGCAGACTTTTTAACTGGACTAGGACTTGTTGCAAATGTGGTTGCTCTGGTCCTAATCTTTGTGACTCCTGGTCTCTTTTCCTCACCTGCAGGGCATTTTCTGGGACTGGTCCTGCTTCCCTGAAACTGTCCACTTCTCATGCATGCACAAGTCCTCCTGCACTGCTCTACTACATGCCTGCTCTGGCAGCAGACTCAATGTCCTTCCCACCCTGGCTGACCTTTGCCAGCCCAGTCTCTCTTATCCACTCTGTGGCCTTAGACAAAGCATCTCTGACTATGCACCTTAGATTCTATCCATGTAAATGAGAAGACTGTGCTAGATCATCTCTAGGAGTATTCTAGAACTAAGGGGACCAATGCATACTAAAGACTTTTTGTTATTTCCTAGGCCAATGAGGTATAACTCTAACTGATGGCTGCATTCTTTTCCAACAGGCCTGGAAATGCCTCCAAGTCTCTTTCCACATTGTGGTCCAGCTTGTTGGCATCAATCACAGGTGGGATGCAGTCTTTTTGCCATGCATAGACCATGAGATGCTGGAGAACAGGGATTCTTTTTTCTACTTCTTTGAAACCTCAGCTCTGAGCACCATGCTTAATTTAAGCTGATGCTTAATGGGCGCAGACTGAATGAATAGCTTGCAACAATCAAAGCCCTTGCTGATACATATTTGAAGCCAGTCGAAAGTGACACCAGTCATATGAGAAGGAACACTGAGCACTCCCCTATTTTTGAGAAAGAAGCTGCTTTTCCATGTCTTGAGGTGGTGTAAGTTGGGCAGAGGAGAGACCGTTCTCCAAAGAGAAGAGGCTTCATTAAGGGCAAGAACAGTTCCTGCCTAGTTGGCTTATTTTCAGAAAGCAAAGAGCAGTTACTGTAAGGAAGCTGGCTGTCTGGGCCGGCAGCTTTATCAATGAATAATTTCCTGAAAGGAAGAGAATCTGTGGAGACCTTACATTATATTTGATCTCAGTGCACGTACACAGTATGCAGGACTATCTTTGATTCGAGGGAGGTGAGATAATTGTTTCCCAAACAGACTCTCCGGCTGGAGAGCGTGCTCCCTCCCATTCTGTTGACCCATACACCAGAAGCCCCACGTCTGCCCCAGACAATTATCCTGTTTTGCTAGGGAACAAATTGCTCTTTTGGGGTAATTCTGAGCAAGTTTGCCAAGTTCACAACCATCCCAGGGGAGCCTCAGGGGGAAAAGCACTCTCCAAATCCCCTCTCTGGCCCTTCCAAAGGAAAGCAGGTCATTTTTTAAAGAATTCCAATGAAAGCAGCTCATTCTGAATGATCCATCCCACCTTCAGAGAGGCCTCCTGGGCAATTTGTTGGTTCCTCGTGTTTGTCTGATACTAGGGAGCCAATTTCCCATGCAACTCATTATGCATGCAATTAAGTAATTGTGGATGGAAATGAAAAAAAAAAAAAAGAGGACAATGCCAAAAAAAGAAGTTGCATGCATTTAACTTTCAAAAGGGAGCCTCCAGGATGCAGGAGCTGAACCCCACTTGGAATTTATTCTCGCAAATCACTGAATAAAATCAGAAGCTTGGAAAGAGTAAAATGTCAGTCTGGTATAATGTAGTAGCTAAGAATATGCACCCCAAAGCCATACTGCCTGGGTCCAAAGCCTGGGTCTGTCATTTATTAGCTGTTTGACCTTGAGCAGGTTACTTAAGCCTTCTGTGCCTCCTGTCTACAAATGATAAAATCAGATTAATAATATTTATATCATATGGTTGGTTGTCAAGGTTTAAATGAATAGCATATGTGTATAAGGGGTATGGGTATGCATGTATATACCTACCTGCCACCTATCTATTATCTGCCATCTATCTACCTATCAATCTCTCCATCCACCGCTGTCAGTCTAGCATCTATCTATCCACAGCTTAGAACAGTGCCAAGTACTATACCATTGTTAGCTTTTATCGTTGTTTAACTGATGATGTTTTAAGCAAGTTATGAGCAATCACTTTGCAGGGGAGTTAACATATTTATCATTGCTAGTGGTTCTTTTCTTCTGACCTTATCTCTTTAGTATTAGAAAATCAACTGAACAGGAGTGGGTAAAGAAATATAAAGTGCATAGTTTAGGAGATAAAAAGTAAATGGCTTCTGGTTCTGGCAGTGAAAGTGTCAAAGCCATAGCACCCCCGGACTCTCCAGAGGACCAGTGTTGTTTACAGTATATGTTTAAAATAATATTCCTGCTTAGCTGGGCCTCCCCTTGGGACAATGTAATCTCAACAGTAACAGAGGATTAATTAAAACTGGTCTCACTGGTGAGGCTGGCGATTCGGGATGGAGCAGAGGGGTACAACCCTCACTGCCCCCTCTCCACACAGGGAAGGGACCAGGCCTACTGAAAATAATTAGTGTGGCTCAAGGGCAGGCTGACACTTTTGTCTCATTTGTATGATTTTGATTAATACTTTAATTTCACTTCCTTTGAATGCAGGAGAGGTAAGAAATGAGTAAGGAAGATAAAGCCTCCCAAAGCCAAAATCAATAAAGAATGAATCTCTTCCCAGTCCAGTCAGGCAGGGCTACCATTTTTCACACCTGGTAGGGACCTCTGGATTTATGCCTTTGCTGCGGAAGATGGGATATAGCAAGAGAAGACACAGAGACATGCCCTGGGGACAGAGAGGCAGCTGGCTTAGAGACAGTGGCTGCAGGAGGAATAGGATAGGCTCCTTTAAGCTGCGGAAAACATTATGAGCTGCCCTCTGTCCCTCTGTCCCTCTGTCCTTTGGTCAAGCTCAACCTCTGTAGCTCCTTTGGTATTTAAAATTGCAATGTCTTGGGCATCAGCCTTTTCCCCTTCTAGCCATCCTATACTGGCTCAAGGAGGAACTACAGTGGCTCAAGGAGTGAATGTGATCACCTCACTCTCCAGGTTCTAATACTCCAAGAATGGACTTCCTGGCCTCCATGACCTTGTCTGGAAATTATGGGAAAAAGTGTGGAGAGACAGTCCAGAGTTCCCTTGTCCAGAAGAGCTTCCACTGCCCTAGGAGGTCTCTATCCCTTTTATAAAAAAGCCCAAGTTCCTCAGCATAACATGCAAAGCTTTCCATGATCACACCTCCCTCTGCCTCAGTGGTCCTCTCCTATCCTCCCTTCCTGAGAAGATGGGGGTTGTCATAAGTTGCACCACAACCTGCTTCTAGAGTGCTCTGCTAAAGCCCAGGGCTGTCCCTCTCTGTGTGGAAGCACCCTGCTCAGACCCAAATCCAGCTTTCCCTCATAGCCTCCAGTCCTGCTGAGTCTTCCCCAGCCTGTGCCCTCCTCCAGATACTCCCCAGCACGTGATAGTGAGCTTCTTCAAGGCAAGTACACTGTCTTGCCCAGATCTGTATTTTCACTTGGGACTAGAGTCTGGCAAGGTATTGGACTGAACTCAAGAATGAGCAGTGTGACCTTGGGCAGGATCTTTAGTCCATGGCTCTGAGCTTCAACATGGTAAGAATCAAATAAAGTATGTTAAAAAAGGAGAAATGCTCTAGAGCTGCAGTGTTTACTAAGATAGCCACTAGCTACATGAGGACATTTAAATTTAAATGAATTAAAAGTAAATAAATGTAAACATTAACTTTCTCAACCACAGTAGCCTCTGCTTCTCAGGTGTTGGGTACCACATGTGGCTGGTGGCTAATATACCCTGCTGTCTATGGTGTATTGTATAGCTAATGTACTTGGGTTGCATAGAACATTGCATTGGGCTTTTCCATTCTGGCAGAGAGCTCGGTGGACAGCCCTGCTCTAGGAAGTCTCCAGATGGCTCCACTGCTAACTTTCTGTAGTTATGGAAATCTGTAATTCCAGGGCTGTTTGTTCTCTATCCTGCTGATCCCAGGCCTTCCTTCCAAAGTCACTGGGATTATAGGGACACCAGTTCTCCATTTGCAAGTGTGTTTCTCCCATGCATGGATTTGTTGGTTCATTGGCACATTCACCAGGGGAGAAGGCAGAAAATGGACAAGATCTTACCCCCTTCCTTTGGGAAATTCAAGCACCTCCCCATGCTGTGCTAGTGTGCTAGGGGTCATTGGATGGGAGAAGTGGGGACTCCCAAGTTCTGTGTGGTGTAGGCACATCCAAGCATGGGTGCCCCACTGAATTAAACACACCTCCTAGTCAAACTTCCCAGCCTTAAAAGTGAGGGCTTGGAAATTTTCAGGGACAGAAAATTTCAGGGAAGGAGGGTACTCCTGAAAGAAAAGTTAAGGAATTTTTGAAACCAAATCAAGGTAGGGCTTTGGCAAGTTGAAAGAGTGTTTTCCAAGCACAAAGGGCAGTGGGGGGTTCTGGTCAAGGAGCTAAATATCCTCCTGTCAATGCCAGGCTGCCCCCAACTCACCCTATACTTTAGGCTGCCACATTCTAGTGTTCTGGGCTAAAATGTCCCCCTTCTTTCACTAGAAGGATCAGCAAAATATCTGGGATCACCCAAGTTGTGAGCCTAAGGTTGTTGGCCTGTTTCCTTGGGGCAGCTCTTAGAATGGTGCAGTCAGGAAATTCACAGACACAGGTGCGGTCAGGAAATTCATAGTTTAGCGGATGCAGTCAGCTCCTTAAAGCACCTCATGAAGCAACAACTCAACATCGGACCCATACCCACCACTCAAGCCCTTTCTGGGTGACATAAGGGAATGGAGATCATTGCAATCCAAAACCCATGGAGCAAAGGAGCCAGACATTTGGAAATATCCTGAACTCATTCCAGTGCTTGTTGCTGGTCTCTTTCCCACCTATCCACAGTGCTTGGGTGATGGAGGCCCAGCCAATTAGAAATGGATGAATAATAGCCCACAGCATTGCGGTTTGCATAGGTGTCATGCTGACACATCTCTTCCCAGACATCATCTCATTTTGATATTCTCATCAACATCTCCAGGTAGGCAAGGTGGAAATTGTTAGTGTGGCTGCATGACAGATGCAGAAGTTAGCACCATGCCAAGCTTGCTCAACAAAAGAGGCAAAGCTAGGCTTCCACTCAGGGCCTGTAGCACATGCTAGTCTCACTGGGCAGCACTGCTTTGGAATGGCCACCTTTGGGGGCTGGGGGCAAGATGAGTGCAGAAATCAAGAATTACTTCTGTAAAGCCACATGCCATTCCAGAGAATGCCTGGGCTGGAGCATCTGTTTACCACTGTCAACATATAGAAATGGACAACACAGACGTGTTGAAAAAATCGGAAGATAAAACCAGTGTCTTTCCATTTTTATGTGAAGCAAGAACTTGGTCAAATTTACCTCCTGTGGACTCAAATTCCTCCTTTGCAGTTGGAGGAGAAGAATCCTCTCCCCACAGGCTTTTTTGAGAACAAAAGCAATGTACTGAAGCACGTAGCAAAGAGTAGATGCTCAATCAACATCCTTTTTCTCTTGTTACTTTTTCCTTTTCTTATGCAGGCTTGCAGGGTGAGGCTAGAAAGAGGCAGATGGATGAACAAAGCTACTTGTTCTTGGTCATGGTGTAAGGATTGGAATGCCAATGCTTTCAAGAGGTGCAAGACTAGCTCTTCTCAGACTCTGCCAGCCAGCACAACATTCTGCAGGCAGGAGGGAGGCACATGGGCTTGGCCTGTGAAAACCTACCTGTGCCAATGCTCAGGGCCTCAACAGAGGTCCCAGAACCTTAGCTTTGAGCTTTCTCATGGGCCTCACTACTGTCTCTAGGAAGACTGCTCCATTCATCTCATGCTCTCCAACTGCCTCTTCAGCCTATGCCTCCTTTCTTGCACAGCCCTTCTACCAGGTTGGGGTGGAGGATGGTGGGTACCTCTTTGCATCCTGGAGGAGAGAAGACAGGGCCTTGTTCCCCTTTGTTGTGGAGTGGGTGAGGCAGAGCTTTTGCATAATTTAGCAAGAACTACGTGAACTCACTCTTCTTTGCTGGCAGCCCCGCTCACCTCTCTACCTGTGTTTCTGAAGGGCGGTGATTAATCTCAGAGATGGGATGAGCACAGAGCGCCAAGTGCCCCAGGATAGGGCAAGGCCTACATTGAGCCATGCCCAGCCTCTCCTACTAAAGGAAAAACAAGAGCTGCTGCCAAGAAAATCTACCCTCAGATGAACACCTCACTTCCTGTTATGTAGCTCTTTTATCTTCTAGAAAGAAGCCCAGTGGAAACTGGGAGGCATGGGTTCTATCCCCAGCTCCTCCTAACTTTGTGTGACCTCAGGCAAGGTACCCTCCCATCTCTGAGGCTCAGATAACTCAAGGGCAAATTAGGCATAATCTGATTCTTGAATTTGCACATGACCTATGGAAACTATTGGTGATTTCTCAAAATCTAAAGCAAGCTTGACACATGCTCTTAAATTTTAAAGACATGGCCATCCATTTTCACAACTACTTTTGTGGGACCAAATCCACACACTCATATGTTAACAAAGTCTGTGGTTTCAACATTGAAATAGGCAAAGTCCCTATTATGGCTCGTGTATTTCTGTTTTCTCATTGTTCTTCATCACCATCTCTTTCCTGCCAATAAGAGTAATAGTAATTACTCTGTGTTGGGTTCTTTCAATGAGCCAAGCCCTGGCCAAGCGCTTTACCTGCCATCTTGCTTCATCCTCAGCAAATCTAAGAAGAGGATGTGAGGGCTGTTGGCCATTTATCAATGAGGGAACTGTGGTTCCGAGGAGAAAAAAAGCTACCCAAGCACACTCTCAGTAAATTTGGAGCCCAGAACTGTGAGGACTAAAAGGCCATAGTTAGCTGCTGTGCCTTCTGGAACTCTCTTTTCCCTAGAGTGTCCAAGTCTAGGTCATCCTGGGTTGTTCCTCTGGTCAGCTGGGCTGAGTGCAGAACATTCCCAGCTCATAGCTGGACGTCCCAGCTCAAGGCTGAACAATGCCAGTCCTCTTCTCTGTGCCCATCTAGCATCTCATCTGGACACCAGCTCCTTACCAAGCTTCACACCATGGTGGGGTCTCTTGATGTCTGAGGCCATGAGTCCCCCAGCAGGAGCTGCTCCTGGGAGCTGCTTCAGATGGGGACCTGGGAAAGTCTCCCCCAAAGCCCTGGAAGGCACAGCAAAGACTGAAGAAAGGGAATAGGGAGAAGGACAAGGAAACAGGAGGGAAGACATTTTACAACATATCTAAATGCAAGCATGAGCAACTCCATTTTAAGATGAGACACAAATGCATCCCAGAAGACACATTTATCCTGAGTTTTGGAATATAATGCCAACACAGAAGCAAACTAAGAGCCAACACTTGAAGCTGGTGTCCTTAGTCTAGACAATTGTTTGGTCAATGGGTTTTTTTTTTTTTTTTTTTTAGATGGAGTCTTGCTCTGTCACCTAGGCTGGAGTTCTTGCTCTGTTGCCCAGGCTGGAGTGCAGTGACATGATATTGGCTCACTGCAACCTCCACCTCTTGGGTTCAAGTGATTCTCCTGCCTCAGCCTCCCGAGTAGCTGGTATTACAGGCACACACCACCATGCCAGGCTAATTTTTGTATTTTTTTAGTAGAGACGGTGTTTCCCACGTTGGCCAGGCTGGTCTCCAACTCCTGACTCTGTGATCCACCCTTCTCGGCCTCCCAAAGTGCTGGGATTACAAGCATGAACCACTGCGCCTGACCAATGAGCTTATTAAAAACAATCCTTGTATCTGAGTGTATTATCCAAAAAATGATTTAACTACTATATCCATCTCCTGGCAAATGCCAGGAGACTCACAGTATTCCTTAAAGGGCAGAGGGAGTGAATTGTCTATATGCAAATAAATAAGATTATAAAGATTGTGCTCAGTATTACCTTATATTCTTAAAAATTGCAAAGGTCTTTTTGTAGTATAAGAAAACAGGATGTATGTCAAAGACAGGGCATAAAATCAGACTCTTTTTCAAGCTGGACTTTCATGGCTGAGGTTCCAGGGTGGATGGACAGATGCACTGGACATAGACAGACCTGCCTTCAAAGTTTTACTCTCCTGCTTCCTAACACTGAGTCTCCTGAAAAGTCCCTTAAACTTGTCCAAGTTTCCCTATTTATAATACAAATCACTTTGAGGAATTCTTGAATTTTTATGAGGGTTCAATTGAATAATATATCTGAAGTGTCTGACTCAGAATCTGAAATGTAGAATCACTTAATACAAGTCATTTTTTTTTTTTTTTGAGACTGAGTATTTCTCTGTCACCAGGTCAGAGTGCAGTGGTGTGATCTTGGCTCACTGCAACCTCTGCCTCCCCTGTTCAAGTGATTATCCTGTCTCAGCCTCCTGAGTAGCTGGGACTACAGGCACCTGCCACCATGCCCAGCTAATTTTTGTATTTTTAGTAGAGACGGAGTTTCACCATGTTGGTCAGGATGGTCTTGATCTCTGGGTCTCGTGATTCGCCTGCCTCAGCTCCCACAAAGTGCTGGGATTACAGGCATGAGCCACCATGCATGGCCAATACAAGTCATTTTCAATCCCCACCTCTCCTTCCTCCACTTCTTCCTTCCTTCTGAGAGTCCAGCCTGCAAGGTCTAGAGAAGGCTCTAACCTCTGCTAGAATCCACAGGGGAGGGGACAAAAATGCAGTGGTGAGCAAACTCTATGCTGATTGTAAGGAACAGTGCCAGATAGAAGGAGTGCTGGGACCTCAAGGGAAGCTTAATTTCAGCCGGTGCGACTGCAGTCACCAGAAGCCACGTGTCTTCAGGATGTTCTGCACAGTGTGACTAGGGCTGTGCCCCGCCTGACTCTTCAAGCTCCAACTCCAAAGGCCTGGCTTGTGCCATCTTCCCTAAGCTGGAACCAAACTCCCATGGCCTTGGACTCCTTGGACTCCACATGCAGCCACCATCCAGCTGGCCTCCACTCTGTCACTTGGTATTTCTGGCATTTCTATTTTATAAAAGCCTGTGAGCTGGCAGGGAGGGGACTATCTCATGCACCCTCCGTCCTAGCACCGGACACAGCACTGGCTTGTTATTGCCATGTGGGTGGAAGCACAAACCACCTGGGCGACAGTGCCATGATTCAGCCACTTTTCTCCTTCCAGGAGGTCCAAAGTCATATGCTGTGTCTTCACGGAGACAGATGAGTCATCAGAGACCTAACATTAGGCTCTGATATGGCCTAAGAGTTGCCGCAGCTCATTGGCAAAGTTGGCCACTAACAAGCCTGCAGCCACTGTCTCCATCACCCATGCACTGCCCAGTACTGGGTAACAGTCATTGAGTGAGACAATCACACAGAAATGAGGGTCTAGCTAGGGAGGGCAGGGATGCTAGGCATTAAATAAACACACAGACACACACCGACACACACACACACACACACATTTACATTAAAGTCCAAAATCAGTGTGTCCGTCTCTAGGACTAAGAGGAGAGAGAAGGTACATTTAGAAATAGGTGTGAACGGGTGTGTTTCAGCCATATTGCAGCAATGGGCTTGGGGTAAAGATCCCTGGAAGGCTACTGCACCTGGAAGTCTATATCATTGAATTCAGGGCTGGGTGCTGTGGCTCACACCTGTAATCCCAGCACTTTGGGAGGCCGAGGTGGCTGGATCACCTGAGGTCAGGAGTTCGAGACCAGCCTGGCCAACATGGTGAAACCCTGTCTCTACTAAAAATAAAAAAATTAGCTGGGCATGTTGGCATGCACCTGTAATCCCAGCTACTCCAGAGGCTGAGGCAGAAGAATTGCTTGAACCCAGGAGACGAATGTTGCTGTAAGCCAAGGTCGTGCCATCACACTCCAGCCTGAGCAACAATAGTGAAACTCTGTCTCAAAGGAGAAAAAAATTCAGCCACAGAATTTTCATAGAGGGAGACTTTTGGTCTTACATGAATTCATCCCTACACGGAAGGAGAGTAGGGAGGTCAGGAGAGGAGATCCCACCCATCAGCCCACCAGAGGCCATGCTGCTCAGCTCTGGCGTCTACTATTCTGAGTACAGGAAATGTTGAGTCAAAAATTTTAGCAGATATTTTTATTTTTCTCTCACACTGGATTCTGGGAGCTTGAACTGCCAGGACGTCAGAGAAGAGAAAGTGTCGGACACCCGAAATGACATGCAGACTTGCTAAAGCTCGTCTCACACACAGCTCTGCATCTATCTGTTTAGCCAGATTTCCTTATCTCAGGCTGAGTCAGAAATTAAAATATCTCTTAGGCTATGCTAAGAGAATGGGGTAGAGCAACCAAAGACTCTGGGGCAAACCAGATAAGGACCCTGGGGAGTCATTTGTGAAAAGTCACTTACCCTCCCTGAGCCTCAGTTTCTCATCTGTAAAATGGATTTGATAAAGTCAACCTCTTAGGTGATCATGAGGACTAAATATGATGAAGTGCTTAAAAGCCCCTATTTAATTTAGGTATTGAAAGCATCCTGGCAATTTGTATATATTTATAAATGGACCTAAACTTTCTACTTTTAATAGATTACCTTCCAAAATAAAGTCTGTGGGAATCAGTCTCTGAAATTAAACTCCCTTTCTCATTGGAACTTTTAAGACCAGGATTTCGTCATTCATTCCCCCCCGTGCAGATGGAGAAGCAAGTCAGAGGTAAGCACGTGCCTCAGGCACATGTGGAATCATATTTAGAGTTGATGTGAACATTTTTGGCTCTCAGAGATGCCCCTAGAATCCCATGTAAAAAAAGCCTCTCGTTAACATAGAAAACTCATAAGCAAAGCTCTGAGTCAGCCAGGATATATCCTCAAGGTGGGCTCAAGTTCAACACACATGAAAGAGAAAGATATTTAGTTAGCTTTCTGAAATCCTTCTCATCTTAGGCCATTCTTCCACTGTAGAAGGCAACAAGATGCCTTGAAAAGAAAGTGATGTTAACCAGACTTACCTTGACATCCCCTACTGAGACCTTTCAACCTATATGGCCTCAGGCACAAGAATTTACTCTACTGCACCTTAGTTTTCTCATCTCTGAAATGGGAATAATGGTAAGTCTTCTTTTAAAAGCCAAATTGGATAAGGCTTGTGGAGTGCTTAATTAATGCCATACCCATTTCCTGAGATGGCATTTTTTTCCCCAGGCCACGTGATTTAAACTCATAGCAGACCTCACTCTCTAGTGAAGCAGGACTTCTCAAGCTTTAATGTGCATAGAAACCACATTGATGGGGGAGGTGGGGGGCTTGTTTAAATGCATATTCTGATATAGCAGGTCTTGGGTAGATCCAAACATTCTACACATGTAGCAAGCTCTCAGGTAACATAGTTACTACTGGTCTAGGAATCTCACTTTGAGAAGAAAGTCTGTGGTGGACTCCAGGAATGAAGGAAGGTAGGACAAGTAAGTAAGGAGCTGTGGGTTTGGTTCATCTTCATCCTATACAAACTCCATGTGTACACAGAAGTGCAGACACAAACATGCATGTTCACACAAGCACACCTAAATGCATGCTCAGGCACACACAGGCTCACACACATGTATGTGCACACAGCAGGCCCCCACCTACAGATACATATGCATATGTACACACCTCCCAAGTCCATGCTCATCTACATGCAGGCTCACAGTCACATGTGTGCATGCAAGCACAAACATGCACCTGCAGACACATACATGTGTGTCCACACAAGTGTGCCTATGGGCACACTTGCTTATGCACAGACTCCCACCTACCCACCCTTCCTCTCAGTTAGGGGCTGTGCTTCAGCACAGAGTTTTCATGAATGGGCTCTACAGAGGAATTCCTACTTTCACCCTAGATGGGTCTTACACTGATTCCATCCACATCTCTCTGTCCCACTTCCTTATTTTACCTGAAGTGGCAATGCTGAGCCTGTGACCCCCATGGCCAATGTATTTGCTCTGAGAATAGACCAGCCAAGAAACAGACTTGCTGCTGGTGGAGAAGACCCATCCTCATTTTCCACACTTCTCCTCTGGCTGAAAATGAGAAGGACAGTGTTCCACAGTCTGCAACTGTAGCTCTTTTTCTCTCTGTCACAAGGCATCCCTGTTTATGGGCAGGGCTTCCCTTCTCTAGCCCTTCATTTTCACCTCTGTAGTAATAATAGACATTATTATAATAGAAGTTGTAACTTATTGCACATTTATCACCATGATGAATACTTTACATGTTAATATGAATTTTTTGATTCCTGACCCCATCCTTGTGAGAAGGCAATATTCTTATTCCCATTTGCAAGTGAGGGAAGTGAGGCCCACAGACATTGGGGAAACCTTCCCAGGCTGACAGCTTGGAGCAATGCTGGGAAGAGGGAGTTCTGGTTCCGAACTTGCACACTGACCTATCACACTCGGGTCTCAGACTAGATGACAAGTGGCACGATCACCTCTCCCTCTCCCTCCTGACCCTTTCCTCCATGTCTATTTCTGCAGTGTCATGTCTTTCCTTCTTTGTTTCTCCTTTTCTTTGCCTTCATTTTTATTCTCGTCTTCTCCATTCTTCTCCTTACTTCTTTCTTGCCTTTTCTTTCATGATTCCTTGCTTGCTGCTGTCCTCCTGCTTCCATCCACTTTGTCCTGGATGTCCTATGCCCGAGGAAAATGAACACCACCCTACTTAAAATGAATTTAGTGCTGAGAGCTCCACTGGCACGAGAACGGGAAGTCTGTAAAGTGGGGACATTTCTCAGTCTGTAAAATGACTGAGAACTTTCCAGGTGTCCACCAAGTTGACCCACTCAATCCTCAAGTGCTCAGAGGACACAGAACTTCACTGAATCTTACCTGCCACCATTGTGTGGGATTTCTACCTAGCACTGGCTTTATGCTAATGGCATTATGTGACCTTTTTCCTCTGGGCCTCAAAACAGCCCTCATACGTAGATATGACAATGTTCATCCCCTAGATGATGACCCTGAGTCTCAGGATGGGAGGAGATTGTACAAGGTGGTCCAGGGAAATGAGTCAGGGGTGGAGCTGCCTGATTGACTCTGTTGCCTTACATTGTCTTTCATCTTTTAAAGGAGAAAAAAGGGAGCAAAAATAAGAAATTATTTAGAAAATTTTACTATGAGAAACATAGATGGTCATAGTCAAGAAGGAGAACAAACACCTGTTTCAAAGATGAGGACCCTGAACTCTGAGAAGGGAAGGAGTTTGACCAGTACTTGGAGGACTCACCCAGGTTCCCGCCACCACCAGGGACCCTCGTCATCACTACACAAATCTATGACATCTTCTCCAATGTAATGCCATAGTAGGAAATGAGCTGCAAGCCAGTGTTCTTAGTTGACTATCTTTGACTATGTAACATGCACACACACACACACACACACACACGACACACACACACACAATTTTCGATATTCTCATCAACATCTTCAGGTAGGCAAGGTGGAAATTGTTAGTGTGGCTGCATGACAGATGCAGAAGTTAGCACCATGCCAAACTTGCTCAGCAAAAGAGGCGAAGCTGGGTCTCCACTCAGGGCCTGTAGCACATGCTAGTCTCACTGGACAGCACTACTTTGGAATGGCCACCTTTGGGGTCTGGGGGAAAGATGAGTGCATGAATTAAGAATTACTTCTGTAAAGCTGCAGGTCATTTCAGAGAGTATCTGGGCTGGAACATCCATTTACCATTGTCAACCTATAGACATGGACGACACAGAGGTGTTGACAGAATAGTTCGACGTGTTAGCTTGATCTTACTTCATTGCACCCTTCGTGATGCTGCTATTTTAGTATGTCATCCTCTAGTTACCCAAAACTTCCCCAGTTATCTTACTATTGCAGAACCCAGGGTCTGGTTTCATAAAGATCTCCCCGCATTACTCACTGTAGAGAGATGATCAAACACAGAGTTTTTAGGGCACTGGTGTGACTTGGCTTCATGCCCCTGTCTTTTGTTATACCGTTATTAGCCAAGATACGTTTTTCAAGAACACAGTCAGGCATGTACACTGGGTCAAGGCATTGCTGCCGGAAGCCAGGCTCCTCCATGATGAAATGTTTATAAGGTGATAGCTCTGCACAGAGTCGCCTCCTTCAAATTCACTTAAGTAGTGATAAAAACCACTGCGGTCTAGCCCTATTTATCTTTTGGCCTCATCTTCTCGCCACTCCTCACCATCTTTTCTTGAAGAAGTATGGTTTTGCTTACAATTCCCTAATTGAGTCATGCTGGTTATAGGCTTCCATGCCATTACCCATCTGTTCATTCTGCCTAGAATGTCATCTTCTCATCATCTTCAAGACCAACCAACTCAAGGATCCCTCTGACAATGTCACACTCCTCACCACAGGCCACCTTTTTTGTTTTTATTTTTTTTTTTGAGACTCTGTCACAAGGCTAGAGTGCAGTGCTGTGATCTCGGCTCACTGCAACCTCCGCCTCACAGGCTCAAGCCATTCTCTTGCCTCAGTCTCCCTAGTAGCTGGGACTACAGGTGCATGCCAACACGGCCAGCTAATATTTGTATTTTTAGTAGAGACGGGGTTTCACCATGTTGGCCAGGATGTTCTCGATCTCTTGACCTCGTGATCTGCCCACGTCAGTCTCCGAAAGTGCTGAGATTACAGGTGTGAGCCACCGCACCCAGCCCACAGCCCACTTTTAACCCACAGGAGCTGATCTGCTGTCCTGTCCGCTGCAGTGCATGGACTTTTTTCTCAGCCCTTATTTTCCCCTATTACTGTGATTTTCTCCAAGCTGTCTTCCCCATGTGCTCATGAATTCCGGGAGATGACGGATAATCCCTGACTCATCCTTGCAACCCTGACACAACGCCCAGGCCCTGACATGGAGAAGTGTCCATGAAGTCTGGTTGAATAAATGAGTGAATGAATGAATGAATGAACAAAATTAGCTAGATGTAGTGAGGCCTCTTCCACCAAACCACAGCTGAAGGGTTTTGGAGAAAGCCTCATTCTGCAAGGAGGTCTAGATCTTTATTAGGCCTGGCCATTGGCGGGGCTTGAACCTCAGAGCCCACCACTCCTAGCACCTCTTCCCCTCTCTTCTGCTGTGCTTCAAATGGACCCAGAGATGAATTAAGTCAGAGAAATTCCCAAGTCTCCTTTCTATCCACATCCAGGTTAACATTGCTGGAAAGTGTTTTGCCTACTGAGGACTTCTCCTTCCCAATATGATTCTTGGTATGTGCTCACATTGACTTCGTATTGAGGGCACTGCATTTTATTCAATGCGACAGCATAGCACAGTGGGTACATGCATAGGCTGCAGAGTCTGACTACATTTGTTCAAATCCAGCTTGAACCACTTCTCAGTTGCATGGCATCAAATGTGTTGTTCGACCTTGTGAAGGCTCAGCTTCCTTGTCTGGAAAATAAAAACACAGTAACAATGCAACCTCATAGGATTTTAGGAAAATCAGAGATAGTTCAGGGAATGTTCCTCGCATAATGAATGTTCATTGTGTATGATTTGTTAGTTTGTTTGAATCATGATCATTGCTGGGACTCCAGGCCTCAGCAGGTCGACATCCAGCCCTGTGAGCCCTGAGCAGAGGACCCCGCCATACCATGTGGGATTTCTGGCCTACCGAACACTGAGCTAATAAATGGGTGTTGTTTTGTGTTGCTACGTTTGTGGTGACTTGAGGGAGCTCTAGCAATCTGGAGTTGGAGATAGTCGAGGCCTTGGATGGGGGAGGCAGGGATGGGTCAGGGGAGGTGAACACATTTTTTTGCTTTTGGTTACAAGATTGCAAAGACAGCCCCAGAGATAGAGATAAGGGTGGAGACCACTGAAGGAGGCCAGCTCTCAGGGGGAGAGGCATAAGGTTAGAGGTGTAGCAAACACCCCACGGGGAGATTCTCTAATCAACACAAGCTCAGGGGGAACCCCAGAATGATTGTATTAATTAGGCTACCCCTCATGATTGGCAATTAAGTCTTGGAGAAGGAGCAGAACTAACATTTACTGTGTTCATCCTGCTTGACAAAGGGATGTGTGTGTATTTACGTGCACATGTGTGTACACATGTTGGGGGAAGAGGTTGAAAGGGAGAGGGATGTATTAACCTTCTGTACTTATGGAAAATAAATGAATAATAGAAATTCTAACCTCATGTCTATATTGGTTTCTCATCTTGCTTCCTAGAAATTATTTATCTTTGGACTTAACTTTTCCATCTGCAACATGGAATACATGAATGTTAGTTTCCAAGAGGTAGATCAAACATCATTGGTCAAGAACACAATGTGAAGAAAACCTCCAGCAGACCCAAGACACAGAGCCAGAGAGGTTCAAGGGTTCCAACTGCATTGATTTCCACCTCCTCATTTTTCCCAGAGGTGGGGCTGTTACTGACTCCACTTCAATTCTATCAAATTCCCATTCAAGGCTCAATTATCCAAATATACAGAATACACAGAATCAAAATCCACTCACATCTGGCCAGCTGCATTTGCTCATGTAGAATGATCATGGCTGTTAAAACATGACTTTGCGAAGACACCTCTGTTTGCTGCATTACCTGTTTTCATCACTAACTGAAGAATGGGAGGTGGGTTTCACCAAAGTTATGGGGATGAGCAAAACGGGCAGTGGGGAAGGGATACTAGAGCAAAGTCTGAAGTTAAATATTTTTTCAGAGGCTGATGAAGATGAGGAATAAAGAGTGTTCAGTGAGAGGCTGGGTGCAGTGGCTCATGCCTGTAATCCCAGCACTTTGGGAGGCCGAGGCAGGTGGATCACCAGAGGTCAGTAGTTTGAGACCAGCCTGGCCAACATGGTGAAACCCTGTCTCTACTAAAATTACAAAAATTAGCAGGGTTACCTGCTAATCCCAGATAATCCCAGGATTACAGGATTACCTGTAATTCCAGCTACTCAGGAGGCTGAAGCAGGAGAATCGCTTGAACCTGGGAGGCAGAGGTTGCAGTGAGCTGAGATTGCACCACTGCACTCCAGCCTGGGTGACAGAGTGAGACTCCATCTCAAAATAAAAATAAATAAATAAATAAAAAGAAGAGTGTTCAATGAAATGGGGACAGACAGTGAGTAGGACCATACTGTAGACATTTTAAACACTCAAGAAAGGTATTTTGCTGGCTGGAATTAGCAGTGGGGTGCCACGAAAGTTACTGTTCAGGAAACAGATCAGAGAAGAATGTTCAGTGGAGGAATTAGAATTGGTGTCCCTCCAGTGAGGCAGCCCTCCATGGGGGCTCCACCCCAGCAAATATCAAAGAGGAGCTTGTCCGTCTCATTCTTACTTCCAGAACAATGTCAACACTTTCTGCATACTGCCCTAGGCCCAGCCCTGGGCCAGAACAGAAGATGAAGAAGGGAACAGGGACAGGCCTCTGTCCTCACAATTGCCACACTTTAGTAGATTTGGGAGCTGTGCCCATTTGCAGTTCCAGCTAAAGACTTGAGCCTTGTAGCCCACAGTATCCTGGGTGCCCCTGACAGCCATGCCTGTGAAGTTATGTGAGTTAATTCGTGAAAACTTTTTGAATCAGTATTTGGTACATAGTAACCTCTAAAACCTGGTATTAACATTGTTATTCTCCTTATCATTATGATTTCCTACCAACACACTCTACGCCTATCTCTGAGATTTGTGTGAACCATCAACTAGCTCCCGAGGCCATCTAGCCAGCCAGCCCAGTGGCCTAATCACTCTGAAGAAGGGGCCGCTGGAGATCACAATGCACTTCAGAGCATGTAAGGTTCTGATAAGCCCTGATACACAGAACACTGTCTCAGCCACTGTGGTCCACACCTGCTTGACTTGACTATATATATGGTGACTTTTGGTCTCGAACAGAAATAGAGGTTCACATGTCTGAAAATTTTATTTCTCCTTATTCAATGAGCCTTTTCCTGAACTCTGCGTGCATTAAAAAAAAATCTCTCATTTGTCCTTTTATGGGGGACCAGGGGAACAGGATGGCTCATTTCATTAGCAAAAGCAACAATTATAGGGACCCTCTGGACAGCTTTTTGGATCTTGTAAACACTTTTGTACATGCTCACAACAATCACATGAGGTTGACGTTGATAGTCCCACTTGCTGTTGGTGGAATTGTGGCTCAGAGAGGCTGTGTGCCCTACTTAAAGTCACAGAGCTAGAAAGTGACTGGAAGGTGCCTACATTTATGTTGTCTAAATTCACAACCCAAGCTGTTTCAAATATTTCAAAGTGCTTCTAAAATTAGAAATTCCAGGTGACTTACAAATTGTGAGTTGGGGTATTTATATATGTGGAGGTGAAAACAAATCCCTGTCGATGTGACGTGGAATTGAAATCAACCATAACTTGGCTCAGAGATGGGGCTCTGTGCAGGTGGTAATCCAAGCTGTCCTCGAAGGTGAGAGCTGTTACTACCATTCCCGATGTTAACAGTGGCCTGAGCTTATACACTAGAAGAGTCTCCATCAGAAAGAGAAGAAGATGTTGGAAGCTTCAGCAGATGGGCTGTTTGCCTCTCACTGAAAAGAACAGCATCGTATCAGGGTCTGCTGGGGTTTTACAAAGCCCAGATAGAGACAAGAGTTGCCGCACAACCCATAGGAGAAAAATTAAGCAAACTAAAACCTTTCTTGGAGAGCAGAGCTTCCATATAAAGATTGCCACTTGGTTGCTTGCTGGCATCTCTCCGCGATGGCAGATTTTCACCCGAAACCACCAGAGCCCGCCCCACCCCTTATCTCTGCGCTGGCCCTGGTGGAGACTCCAAAGGACAAAAGGCACACCGTCATGGTGCTTCCAGCCCACAGCCCCCTAAAAATAACTTCTCATTCTTTGAGTCTTGGGAAGAAGAAGAAAAACACCTGGTTTGTGTGAGACATTCAGGTTGCGTTGTTCTTTGTGGTTGTGTTGTTGTTTTTTTCCTTGCTGAAAGGAGAAAGTTAACATTTGTTCCTCAAAACAAGTCTCTTCTCCATCTGGAATCAATGGGGGCGGCCCTCAGCGGATCACCCCTGAGGACTGGCTGATGTTTATAAGATCTTAATCCTGGGGGGAACGGGCTGGCTTAGGAGGCTGGTAATGGGATAAGAAACCTCTCCTCTCCAGGGCACCAGCTGGAACCCAGCCCAGGCTCTTAATGACGGGAAGTCTCCAGCTAGCGGATTGGGAGGCTCACTGTGAAATGAGCTGGCGGGCTGAGGCCAAGGTGGCTCCAGCTCCACCTCCCCCACCCCATTCCCTTTCAGGTTCAATGTCAAGGATTTCCACGTTATGTCGAGGAGGCCCTGGGCCTCAGGGTTGAGCCAGCCATTACAGGGCTGGTGTGGTTGAAAGGCAGGAAAAATGGGAATGAGTTTCTTTACCGTTACAAGGGAACACATGTTGTTTGAGCACCTACTGTGTGCGCCTGGCATTGTGCTAGAACAAAGAACATATTATTTCATTTCACCTTCACAGCAGCTCTGTAGCTGCTAATGTTGTCCTCACTGAGACAGATGAGGAAGCTGAGGAAAAGAGAGGTTGAGTAATGTGCCCAGGTTGCACAGGTAATAGGCCTTTGATTCCGATTCAAGGACCTGTAGTCTTTCCACTGCTGACAGATAATACTGAGCTCCCTCCAATGTGGAATGGTCCAGCCTGGAAGCTTCCTACCCATGGTGGACACACACACACACACACACACACACACACACACACACACAGCCTTCATCAACAGCAGCACTCAAATCATGCCATAAAAATTTCTCACAAGTCACAGAATCATTTTATGTTTATAGCTTATAGCAAAGATTAGCAATTTTTCTTTTCTGTAAACAGACGGAAGCTTGTAAGTAGTTTCTTAGTTTCTGCTTTGCTGGCCATTTGATCTCTGTCTTGACTACATACCTTTGTCACTGGCAGGAAAGCAGCTCTAGATAATACATGAGCCTGGCTATGTTCCAGAAACCTTTACTTAAAAACACATGTGATGATGGGTTGGACTTGGCCCATAGGCCATCATTTGCCAATGCCTGACTTAGAAGAATTATTCCTGCATTTAAATAAATCAGGAAAAGGCTTCTTGGAGGAGGTGCCGTTTAAGGTAGGCCTCAATGAACAGGTGGAATTTGGAATATGAAACTGAGGAAAGGGGTAGATATTATGAAAAAGAGACCAGAGTGAAAGAAGGCATGAGGCAGGAGAGTACAGAGTGAATCTAGAGATGTAGAATGACTCAGTGTGGGAAGAGAACCACATGGGGCAAAAAGCAGAGGAGACACCACTCAAGAGGAAGGACCAGGCTGGCTGAAGAAGTGCCTGAATGCCTGCTGGGGAAACACAACCCGATGGTCTATGATCCCCACCGCTCTTGCAAACATTCCAAATCCTTTGTCTGAAAAAATGTTAGAACATGAGTCTCCGATGGTTTAAATTTGGTGTAAAAATGGGAAAAAAATAATGTTATGGAAGCACAGGGAAATATGTGCTTGTGGAACCAGATGGAATGTAAAGCTGAGGAGGGAGGTCCAGTGGAGAGAAATGCATAGAGCAGAAGGCTGAAAAATATGCAGAGTTGAGGATCAACTGACCTTGGTGAAAAACTTACCACTAGCTGTGTGGTTACTTAGCCTCTCTGAATTTGAGCTTTTTCCTGGAACATTGGGCCAATGATGTGCACCACACAATGATCTGCACGTGTGATGCAGATGACAGGAGATGGCACATATGACACATGTAACCCATGTTGGGGACATATGAGAATTTTATTAGACAGGGTCCTCTAGAGGGACTGAACTAATAGGATATATGTATATACAAAAGAGAGTTTATTAAAGAGAATTGACTCACAGGATCACAAGGTGAAGTCCCACTACAGGTCATCTGCAAGTTGAGGGTCAAGGAAGCCAGTAGTAGCTCAATTCAAGTCCCCAAACCTCAAAAGTAGGGAAGCCGACAGTGCAGACTTCAGTCTGTGGCCAACGCCAAAGACCCAAGAGGAGTCCCTGGCAAACCACTGGTCTAGGTCCAAGAGTCCAAAAGCTGAAGAACTTGCAATCTGATGTTCGGGGACAGGAAGTATCCATCATAGGAGAAAGATGAAGGCTGGAAGACTCAGGAGGTGATCTAAGTCATCTTCTCCCATTTCTCCTGCCTGTTTTTACTTTATTTTTATTATTTATTTATTTATTTGAGACGGAGTCTTGCTCTGTCACCCAAGCTGTAGTGCAATGGCACTAACTCGGCTCACTGCAAGCTCCATCTCCAGGGTTCAAGCAATTCTCCCACCTCAGCCTCCTGAGTAGCTTGGATTACAGGCACCCACCATTATGCCTGGCTAACTTTTGTATTTTTGTAGAGATGAGGCTTCACCATGTTAGCCAAGCTGGTCTTGAACTCCTGACCTCCCGAAGTCCTGGGATTACAGGCATGAGCCACTGCGCCCAACCATGCCTGCTTTTACTAGCCACACTAGCAGCCGACTGGATGGTGCTACCCATGTTGTGGGTGGGTCTTCCTGAGGGTGGGTCTTCTTCTCCCAGGCCACTGACTCAAATGTTCACCTCTTTTGGCAACACCCAGAAATACCCAGATATGCCCAGAAATAATACTTTGCATACTTCAATCCAATCAAGTTGACACTTAATATTAACCATCACAAAGACTATTTAAAAGGGCAGGAAGACTTTTTCTTGCCAAAGTCTGAGAAGTGTGCTTCTTGTACAACAGGTGCTTTGGAATAGCTCTCCTGATTCAAGGCCAGAACATTCTACCTTCAACTCGGGTATTTGGAGGTGGTGAGAGTAGGCATGAGGGCCTTTTTTTTTTCTTTTTTTCTCTTTTTTTTTTTTTTTTCAGACGGAGTCCCTCTGTCGGCCAGGCTGGAGTGTAGTGGCTGGATCTCTGCTCACTGCAAGCTACACCTCCCAGGTTCACGCCATTCTCCTGCCTCAGCCTCCCAAGTAGCTGGGACTACAGGCACCTGCCACCACGTCCGGCTAATTTTTTGTATTTTTAGTAGAGACGGGGTTTCACCGTGTTGGCCAGGATGGTCTCGATCTCCTGACCTCGTGATCTGCCCGCCTTGGCCTCCCAAAGTTCTGGGATTACAGGAGTGAGCCACTGCGCCTGGCTGGCATGAGGGTCTTTTGATTTTACCTGGTAAACCAGCAGGAAAACTGGCTGTGTGTGTCCACATCACTTACTTGCTACACACTAGCCCTGTCTTGAACATCTCGGGCTCTGCTCTTCCTCTCTGCCTTTGCATGAACTTTTCCCAGTGTAAGGAGAAACTTTTTCTTTCTTCCTCTCTTTGCAATCTTCCAAGGCCCAGGACAAAGTCTGCCTTCCTGGTGAAAAGTCTACTGGGCCTCATTCTGTCTACATGTAACCTTTGATAAACTCCAAGTCTCTTAAAAGCAGGTTTTGTTACCTTTGTGACAATAGCCACCAACTTCATACTTCAAGTATATTTGGTACAAATAATTGCACAGATCAGAGAACAAACAAAAGTGAAGAAAAAGTAGCCACTTTTTCTTCATTGCCTTGTATGTAGTGCATCTTGCTAGGGGTTTTATGATATTGCCTACTATTTACAACACCCGGCTTAGTAGGGATCATTTTCCTCATCAACAAGGCAGGAAGCTGAAGCTCAAGGTGACAGAGCATCATGAATTTTGCCCTTACATTTGCCTTCTTTGGAACTGTAAGTCTTTAAGCAGACCGCCTTCTTTTACAGCACTTGGGTATAAAAACACACAAATACACATGCTCATTGGCACTGTTCCTGGTACAGAGCTGTGCCCAGTTGGAGGGGCCATTTTGAGCAGTGTCCTTGGAGTTCATTGTGTCAACCCTGACACATCAGGCTCCTTAAATGCACATAAGGGCTAATAGACCTGGCAGAACTGAATTTCTCTTGCACTTGAGAATTCATATTCCCTGACAATAAAGGATCTAGAAATGGAGACATCTTCCAAATGCACATGTTTGAATGTGATGGGAACAATAGTGTCATCCTTGAACCAAGGGGAAGGCACGGTGTTTGCTGGGAGTGTGTGGTTTTTATCCTGCATTCAAATCATCATGCAGCAGCTCTTCGCACAAGGAGTAAGACGTTGTTCACTGTGCATTCTGTTCAGCTGTGCAATGAAGAGGAGAGAGAGAGGTGCTGGGCTTGGTGGCTGCAGCTGTGTGGGGAGCCACTGAGTCTCTGTGATGAGATATTGCAATAGGCAGAATCAAGGCACCCTAAAGATGCCCCACGTTAGTCCCCAGGACCCATGAATATGTCCCCTTATGTGGATAAAGGGACTGTGCAGATGTAATAAAGTTAAAAACCTTGAAATGGGAAGATGATCCTAGTACACCTGGGAGGACACTAAATATAGTCACAAGGGTCCTTGAAATCCACGAACCATTCCTGGCTGAGTTCAGAGTCAGAGGGAGAGAGGACCATGAAGAAGGGTCAGAGAGAAATGATGTTGCTGACTTTGAAGAAAGAGGAAGGGGTCCATGAGCCAAGGGATGTGGGAGGCATCTGTGACCTTAAAAAGGGGACACATTTTTCCACCTAGAGCTTCCAGAAAGGAATGCAACCTGCTGGCATCTTGATGTGAGTCCAGTGAGACCCATGTCTGATGTCTGTCCTACAGAGCTGAAAGAAAATAAATTTGTATTGCTTTAAGCCACCCAGTTGGTGATAATTTATTACAAGAGAAGACTCATACAAACATTTCTTCTGAGGCTTATCCTGCAAACAAACCAACACACACATAAACCAACACACACATAAAACAGTACAAGGCCTACATTAGCCGTGGTCACCTACTGCCATATGGGATGTGGCCCACAATGCCCTTGACCTAGACAGAAACTTTCCAGAAGGGAGCAGTGAAAAGAGGCCATCCAGGGGAAGAGACGTGAGCTGACCCTTTGTGGTTGGGTCTAGGGAACACCTATCCCTATTATGCCACAGGTTTAACGTGCCAGCACTGGATTGCAAAAGGCAGTATGGGATAAGGAAACACTCATGGAACTTATAGTCAGACAAGCCTGGGGTAAAGTTCTGCTTTATCCACTCACTACCTGCATGGTCTCCTACAATCTTGCTCAGCTTAATTTGGGAATAACAGTATATAACTTCCGGTTGGTTTGAGAATTTCACAAGATAAGTAATCTATATATCTATGACCTAACCGTTGCCACTAGAACCTAGTAGATGTTCAATAAATTATATTATTTTTATTATTTTACCATTTCCCCTTAGATCATGGCTTCATTTTTTTGCAAGTATGGAAAACAAGCCATTTAAGTACCTCTTATAAGTTTCAAGTGACAATTAGCAAGGCTTTCAAACCACAATATTTCCTTTTAGGAAGTTTTAAAATATTTATTAAAATAACAGATGAATACAATTTTAAAACCAAATGATAATACAAAGATTAGGACATGAAATGAGAGTTTCCTCTTTAACCCAACCCATCTTCCAGATTCCTGCTTTGCAGAGGTAAGAGTATTAGCTAGTTTTTATAATACTTCCAATTTTCTAAACAATATCCTTACAAGACTGACATTTATTGATTTTGTTTTTAAAATATTATTTACTTCATGCTATGAGAGATGCTGATCTAACTCTCTTAAAATGCGCGCACACACACACACACACACACACCCCTCCCATGTAGTTTTAATTTAAATTTTTGATAAGTCAGAAGTGTTTGGGTAAGTTGAATATTGAATCACATAGTATACTGAGCCTCATAATACACTACAATTACACATTCTTGATGGTGAAGCTATTTCCCCTGGAGTAAATAACTATTTATTATTCTTATTTGGTGTTTAATTTTATAGATAGTTATTACTTATCCAGTTTTTACCTTTAAAACTACTATAAGACAACTCACAATATAGACAAACACTGGTAATTTACTACTGCTGTTTTTTTTTTTTTTTTTTTTTTTTTTTTCCTGAAATACCCATTCTTGATTCCTCTGCCCTGCTCCAATTGGACTGACTGTTTCCTAGGGTGGCTGCTTAAATTTAAGCTTGGACTTCTTTTTACTCTCATCTTGGGATTTCTTTTTTCCCCTTTTCTTTGTTTCCTTCCCCTCTCATTAATTCTGTGTATTCTTTATTACTGGCCCAATACCTTATTATATCAGAGAATATATTCTAGAATCTTCCTAAGAAGGCAATACATACTTTGATTGCTTATGATTTTTAAAATATCTTTATTTTATCTTTACCTTGATTAGAGTTTCGATGGGGTATAATTTAAGGTTGAAAGTCATTCTCTCTCACAATAAGAAAAGCATTGTTTGCTTTCTAATTTCCAGTGTCAGTCATTAGAAATCCAGTGGCCTACAGTTTTCTTATCATTTGAATATTTACTTTTGTTCTGTAAGTGTATATGATTTTGTGTTTATTCCGAAGCCCCATGCTGATGTGCCTTGATGTGGATGGTTTCATATTAACTCTGCTGGTCACTTGGGGAAGATGAAATATGTTTCAAATGAAAACCTGTGTGTTTCATTTCTAAGAAATTTTCTTGCATTATGTCTTGAAATTTTTTCTCTTTTTTTTTCCCCCTCTGTTCTCTTTTCCTGGAACTGATATGGGTCAAACATTTGGTTTGTTAGATTTATCCATTGATTTTTATTACCCCATTTTCTATATTCTTGACTTTTTTGTTCATTTTCCAAGGAGATTTTCCTAACTTCATCTCTTAATTCTCCTATTATAATTTTTTTTTCTGTTTTACTTGTTAGAAACCAAGAGTTATTTATTGAACTCTGAATATTCTTTTATTGCACTCTAACATTTCTTGAATGTAATATTCTTTCTTATTTCCCTAAGGATAGGGAAATAATTATAATTATTTGCAGTTTTCTTCTGGCCAGTACAGTCTCTATCTCCCTTAATTTTGTTTGTTTGTTTGTTTTAGCGACTATTTTATGCTCGGAGCTTTATTAAATGTCTGAAGATACTTGGTGTCAATTCTTATTAGGGAGTGAGGAAGTAAATATCTAAATAGAATTTTGTTCACGGGTGGGGCTTATCTACTGCTGAGCCTCATGGTTGCTTAAATGGAAGACCCTGAAGTATCAGTGCCTGTAGTCTTCTCTTCTGGTCTAGTCAGTTTCTCCCAAGAGGATGCCTAGATGCTATGTGTGATGCCAGCGTGCTGGGAGTCCAGCAGCCGAGCAGGGCTGGAGGTCAATGTCCAGTGCCCCAGAAAGGCAGCTAACCACCCTAATTTCTTTCTACAGCATGACCTCTGGTTTCGCTGGGCCTGGTTTCTCTAAGTGAGAGACACTTTGATAGTAACCCTGCATAAGGGGGGATTCTCTAGAGGTTTGAATATCCCTTACACAGAATTTAAGCCAGGCCTCCTATTTTCCATTCCATCTTGCACCCTGGTTCTCAGAAATACCAGGTACCTCCAATTTTTGAGCCTTCTCCAGGTTCTTTGGCACCAATCCTCTTGCTTCTTACTAGAGACGTCTATAGATCATTAGACTGAAGCTTTTTAGCAAAGCTACTTCAATTACCATTTGTCAATTCATTTTTCATCTTCCATAGCTTTGTGGTCATCTCTCACCTGGTGTTGTTTTCTCTGCTTCCAAAGAGCTTATGTTCTAGCAGGGAAGGCATATGCAAGCAAATAAAGTGCAGAATCATAGGAGTTCACTAATAAAATTGTGAGTAAAGTGAATTACCATTAAAATAAAAGGTAATTAACATTCTTTATAGGGGTCAAGGGTGGCTTCCAGGAGAATACAGTTTCTATTAGGTTTTGAAGAGTAAACAGAAGTTTTCCAGATGGATAAATAGAGGAAGAACATCTAAGAGTGATGGCTAGCTTGCGAAAAAAACAAAACAGCAGAAGAATCTGGTTGAATAACTAGAAGTAGGAAGGTATGACGTGAACAGGGGGACAGGGGGAGACCTGGAGCCATGATGGGGCCAGCATATGAGGGCTGGTTTGCCATGCTGAGAGGCTGATCTTTTTTGGAGGTTGAAGGCAGCCATGAGAGGTTTTAGAGTAGGGGAATCATATAGTCATGGCTACATTTTAGAATGACCATTTGTCTAGTGAACATGATATAATGAATGTTCGTATCTTGGGGTATCATCCATGTAGTAGGGAGTTGTGGCACACAATGCAGACTGATATTTTAGGAAAAATCAAATAAACATCTCTGTAAATGCTTGGCCACAAAAAAAAAAAATCACTGAGGTTATTTTTTAAAGATCTCCAATTTTTGAGGTTCCCGAGAGACTTAGAGAATTCATTCTGAGACATACAACCTAGTGACTTTATTTTTGACTTATTTTTTTTCCAAGAAAAGACTCCATTCTCAAAAGTTTAGTTTAGGGTACATGTATCATAATCAGCAGGCATGGCATCAAACCTTCTCAAGAGTCTGAAAACACTAGTCATATTTCCTTGGCATCAATCTACTGCAAAGAGGAGGAGACGGGGCATTGAGGTCCTAATATGTGCCAGCACGCACATTAGGCAACATGCTTGTATTTTTTATTTTCTGGTCCTTTCAACCACCTGTGGTGAATCTTCTCAACCCCACTAAACAGATGAGGAGGCCAAGGTTTGCAAGGTGAGCTTGCCTGTTTGGGTTCCATGACTGTCCAGTGGCCAAAGCAAATGGCAGAGAAATGTCTAGCTGCTTCTCTCCCACACCTTCTCACTATTCTATGCTCTGCCCTTGTTATTACAGCAGATTTCCTGAAGATGCATTTGCTGCTTGGCTATGTCAACACTTGGAGCTAGGAACCCTACTTAACGTCACCATTTGACAGCTGAGCAGCTGAGGAAAGCTTCATTCACAAGGAGATATTATGACTTGATTAAGATCCCACCATTCAACTATAATAGAACTGGAATTTGAACCCAGAAAACCAGGCCTAGAAAGTGCATGTTTGCCCACTGGACTAGGCACCATCTTCTCTCTTTCTTCCTTAAAAGTCTGTGAGGGCATGTCATCACTTCAAGAGTCAAGTTCAAGCTGCCTAGTAAGTGCACAGAGCATTTCATCTCTGGCCCCTGCTTATTCTGTCTCCCTTTCCTACATACTGCAAACCTGGCACCTTGCTTGCAAATCCAGAAATCTCGCACACTCTATTTTTTTATAAACTTTGCTTATGCTGGGGCCCTTAGAGCACCCTGCTCACCCTCACCTTCCAAACTGCCTGGGCATCAGCAATTGATTGTTCCACACAGAAAGAAAGTCAGCTCCTCTAGGAAACCCACTACAGCCCTTCTACCCTCCACAGGCCCCACCCAAGACAAAATACAGGCTCTCATGGGACCCTGCAGGGACCTAATGTGTGCCTTTTCTGACCTGAACATGCCCTTTCATAGTCTCTCTTTGATGACCATGTATCATCCTGTGTTAGAAGGCCAAGGACTGTCTGATCAACCTCTATTTTTACCACTCCCAACACAGACTTTGGCATTTAGAAAGTACTTTAACATATTTGTAGACAGAAAGAAAGAGAGAAGAAAGAGGAAAGGCAAGAAGAAAAACAAAAAAACAAAACAAAACAAAAACATAAAACAAAAACATGAGCTGCAGTTGTCTGACTAATCTAAGCCCTTTTTATATTCATGTTAACAGACATATAAATACTGGGAATTCTCACTGCCAAACTCAAGTTTGCAAAGCTTTAGTCTTTCATAAAATTACGTCATTTAAGAGGAAATCACCATACTTTTTAAAAGACAAGCCAGACCAAATACTGAGAAGTGTATAACAGGAGAAAAAAATAATAAAATTCAGAAAGCAATGGCCACAAATGTAATATTCACCCTCATACACACACATGCACACCGAAAAAGAGTCTGCTTTTGCTGGATCTGTGGCGGCTGAAGTCATTACAATCATTTCTAAATCTACGTTGACCAGAGTGGTAAAGTTTGTAAGATTAACCATTCTAATTGGTCTGTTATATGAATTCTAAAAATAAGATAATAGTAATTTATATCAAGTGGAAAACAAAACATAGGTAGGAATACTCTTTTACCTTCTATTATTTAGACTAATAAATCAAAAAAAAAGAAAAAGAAAAGAAAGTAAACCTCTCAAGTGGTTGAACCAGTTTATTGTGGTCTGTTAAGAGAAACATTTTCATTCTCCTCGGTGTCAAAAAAGGAAGACCTTTCTTTGTATTCATTGACCAATATCACCTCATCCTCTCTCCCTCAACCCCTGCTCAGCTTCTGTTAACCATTATTCTCCTTTCTAACTCTATATGATCAACTTCTGTAGATTACAGACATGTGTAAAATCATGCAGTTATTTGTCTTTCTGTGCCTGGCTTATTTCACATAACATAATGCCCTCTAGTTCCATCCATGTTGCTGCAAATGGCAGAATCTCATTCTTTTTCATGGCTGAATAGTATTCTACTGTTCATATGTACCATATTTTCTTGATCCATCCATCTATTTTTAAAAAGTCAAGAAACAAAGGAAGGCATTTGTAATGGAGGAAGGATTCTCTCCAAAATTTTCTATGTTGAAAAACATTTTCAGGCTTATGACATGGGACCTCTTCTCCTCCTTCAAAGGTTGGCTATTTGCTGCAGGAATAAAGGCATACCAGGGCAGTTTGGTCTGACATGGTTCTTCCACTTTAAAGCCAAGCTGGAGGAAGCAAGTTGAAATCAAGATGGATAGGATGAGCAGCACAAAGAAAACTGTTCCACAAACTGAGAAACAAAACGTCATCCACAGATGAGCTTTCTCCCACTTACTGGTGTTGCCTTGCAGGTTAGGCCTTGTCACCTTGAAGTCTTAAGACTCTCACCATTGAGTACTCCCTTGCTCAACTTGCCCTCCGACTACGATTGGCTACTGATCCTCCACTGGCTCCTTTACAAACTCTTTCCTTGAGGGGAAATGGAAAATCCAGGCAGGGTTTCAAGTTTATGTAAAGTCCTGCTGGGAAAACCTTACATTCGATGCTTCTGGTTCCATGAAAAAGTGTTTGAAGTAGACTCCAGGTACTACACATTCAAAAATAAATACTTTTTTTTTAAGTCTGACTTTTTTTTTGCATGGAGGAAGGGGAAGGAGACCATTGCCAGAGGCTGACTTTGTGTCCCAATGTCTAATATTATAAGAAACTTTATAGTTTTGATAGACTTAATCCCTACCGCAGGAATGTGTAAAATGGCAGAGTTCAACTGCCAACAAAAACCAGGACCACACTAGGAAAGTCATCAGCTTTCAAGGAGCTACCTGCCAGGTCCTGTCTGGCAAAATCCCAGCTAATGAAAAATTGCACAATGTCCCAACGTATCAAGCTGGACGTGGCTTTGCAGTGGGTCTATACAAGGTCTGGGGTGACCATCACTTCTAAGCACACTGCTTATCATGGCCAAGAAGCTTGACGTCCTTCAGAAGGGATGTGTATGAAGAGAAGCTTTCCCAGAAATCCATTTGTGTTTTTGCAAATCCCCTTATGGGTTCTTATCGGTTCTTCTGGCTATCTATGTGTGTGTGAGTGTGTATGTCAGTACCTTCTCCTACTAACATTTCTTTAATGGATTATGACAACTCACAGATCTTTCTTTGTCTTTCGTTAGTTGCTGCCATTCAGACCGATTTTTGTCTTGCATATGATTTTAATACAAGCACTTGTAATATGATTACATTAACTGTTGAGCAATATCGCCTCAGCAGAACCAAACCACAGTGTTCTTTTTTTAACTGCACTGAAAATGCCTTAGCTCTATCCACAGTGTTAATTCTTTATTGTAGCCATTAAAGTACATTGGGCAAGTGGATCGTGTTTGAAGACATGTATGTAAATACATATTTGGAGGATTGGCAGAAATGGCTCAGGAGAAAGACGTGAAGGGGATAAATGAGACGCATTTTTCTTGGAGTTGAAGAAAAGGTCTCCTTCCTCGCTTTAAAGATTCTGGCAATGTTTTAGAAATGTGCTGTCTTTCCAGTTTGGCCTTTGGTAGTATAAGTAGAAGTGGTTTCTTTTACTAGTTCTTCAGAAAAGTAAATCCAATCCAGGATATCCAGGAGTTGTGGCCAGTGAAATGAGGAAAGGAACCTCTTCCACTGTGGTCTCTGTGAAGAAATATCTCTCTATATGATTCTTAAGGTAAAATTATTATTCCAATTAGAAAAAGAAGAAGAGGAGAAAAAAGAGGAAGAAAAGGGATGATGTTGAGAAGGAGGACAAGAAAGAGAAGTAGCAAGAAGAAGAGGAAGGGAAAGAGAGGAAGATGATTTGACTTGATTCCATTCATTTAATACTTCTATGAGTGTTTCAGTCCACTTAGGCAGCCATAATAAATTACCATGGACTAGGTGGCTTGTAAACAACAGAAATTTATTTCTTGCAGTTCTGGAGGCTGGGAAGTCCAAGATTCAAGGCACCAGCAGACTCGGCATGTGATGAGGGCCTGCCCTCTGGTTCACAGATGGCACCGTCTCCACATGTCCTTGCATGGTTGAAGGGACAAGGCAGCTCTTGGGTTTCTTTTGTAAGGGCACTAACCTCATTCATGAAGGTGAACTCCTAATATGGTCACTTCGGGGATCAGGATTTCAACATGTAAGTTTAGGAGGGACATAAACACTCAGACCATAGCAATGAGTTCTAGAACTGTGTACATCTGTCCCAATTGTTTTATCTGCTTCCTTGTTTTCAGAATAGTTTGATGTCAGAATTTCTATCCATCTTAATAAAGCAAAAAATGTTCTACAATTCTGCTAACAACAGGATAAAAATTGTACCCCTTACACTGCCTCTTGACATGGAAATATTCTAAGAATTGTTTTCTTCAGACCACATAGCTAGAATTTTTCTTTTGGCCCAGAGAATGCAGTGATGTTTTCATTTAGAGAAAATGTGGGGAGTGTGTGTATGTGTGTATGTGTGTGCATGCGCACACATAGAAGGAGTTCCCTACTGGAGGAGACAAACACATTCTAATTTATCTTCTGGTTCCTGCTTGTGATTCTTTTTAGAAGACACAGAAGCCACCTAAAATTTCTGGTCTATCCCCAAATTCTCAAACCCAAATGGCTGGGATTTGTTTATTTTTTATTGTTATTTCTTCTTAACATATCATGAGTATACCATATGTGAATATAGACTTTTTCTGTGAATTTTTGTTCCAGGTTCATGTTTGATGCTTTTTGCTTGACTTAGAGACTATAGATCTGATATGGACAACAAACGGTGACCCTATCCTTATATCTCCAGAGCAGCTGCTAATAATTTCAATGATTAAACAAATGTATTCCATGAATCTGCTATCAGCAACAATTCCATTATTTCCTATGTCTCCATCTTCTCATCCTTTGATTCCAAGGCAGAAGGGTCTCCTGCTATCAGCTGATGTGCCTGCAAAAGGTCATCTGGAAATAGTCTCTTTCTTTCCCTGCTATAGAGGATGTGGCCTGTTTCCAGCAAGGAACACACTCCTGAACACTCCTACTAACAATTTCTCTTGGCAGTGACACTTGCTAGCCCTATCCAAGGGGTCTTTAGTTCTCAGAATGTCAAGAACAGCCTATGCTGATGACAGGCAAGGTGTTGCTGCCCACGATCCTGAGTCAGGGCTGACTAAAGATACCCATCCTTTTGAAGTGCCTTGGGAGGTAAATCATTTTAAAAAGCTGAACCTACTTACTTGGCAATGCCTGCTCAAACTTAACAAAAGGGTCAAGAATACTTCCCTTTAAAGATCCAAACTATAACAGGGACATTCAGAAATCATATTTTATTTGAGAACACATGAAGACTAAAAGCAGAGGGGCAGTGATGTGCCAGTAATGTTTACCAACTGGCTTCTGGTGAAACACTGCCTTGAGCTGTGGCATTAGCCTCTGTCTGTGGTGTAAATTCCTTCTGCCATGGCCAATGCCAAACTGCCAGCATGACATCTCTGAATTTGGCATTAGGAAGAGGTGCCTGCAATTGGTCCTCTCAAGCCAGGACTAGAAGCCCTAGCCAGGACTAGCACAGTCATGCTATAGACTGTGAAAGTGGAGGGAGCAAGCACAGAACTTGGGGACAGGAGATGTGGGTTGGATTTTCCAGATATGATCTTTCCCAGCTTATATAAGTTACTTTGGATCCTCTGTGAGCATGTCTAAAACATAGCGGAATGAGCACTTTCTAGTAGGGTTTTGATGAGGATCAAATGATAAAACAGTTGGGGTCATTTTCTCCAGCAAGAACAACTTTGTCTTCACCACCAACTAACATAATGCACTGTGCCATGAGCTTTTCAGCCTCATGCAGAGGATGGATCTCATTTCATCCTGTCACATCTTCCAATGTGGGTGGTGTCATTTCTATCTCACAGAAAGAAAAACTGAATCTTAGAGTGGTGAATAACCTCTCCTCCTCATCCCAGTGAATGATACCAGCTCAAGTCAGCCTATCTGCAAAGCCTACTCAATTCAGCCCCATGAGATCCTTAATGGTTTTAGCTTTTAAACTGGAAAAAATATTTATTATAGACAGGGGAAGATCCCCTTGAGTCCTAAAATTGTCATACACCTCCTCAAGAGAGGGAGGTTGCTAACACCCCCCAATGCTATGCCATCTGAATGCCATTTTTTTCTCCTCCCATCAATTAAAAAGTGCTAGGTTGTATGCAAGAGATGTTAAGTCATAACCTGCATTCTTTGAACATAAGGTCAATTTCATTCAGGGAACTATGAAGAACAGTTAGCCATATCATTAATTGATTTATGTTTTACTCCTCAGGGAGGTCACTTACAGAGGTCACAAATATGAAATTATAGAATCCTGGCTTCTCCCCCCATCTCTTTTATTTACATGCTGGGTGGCCTTGGTTGAGTCACTTCTCAGAGTATCAGAAAAGCTTCATCTATAAGCCAAGGGTATTCATAAATTCTTCATTCAATCATTGTGTCTCTGTGTGTGTGTCTGTGTGTGTGTGAGAGAGAGAGAAAGACAGAGAGGGAGAGAGAGACAGAGACAGATACATACAGAGACAGAGAGAGAGACACGAGAGAGACAGAGACAGAGAAATGATTCAGATAATGATTGTAAGCTCCTTGAGAACAGAGCTTTTGTTTAATAGGCTCAAATCTTCAGGATTTATCAGCACTATTTGATGAATCAGCGAGTCAAGTACTTGGAACAAAAATTGCCACCCAGACAGTTAGTAGGTGACTGTAATATTTATTCTAGTTCCAACGATCCTGTAAAATCCCCCTTAGACTTTTGGAAAGTGACAGCTGTGGTTTTACAATTTCCAAATCAAGACTAGACATACATATATTTTTTAATGTGAGTTTACTTTCAATGTAAACAACCTTTCCAAAGCAACACCAAACACCCAATACATTGGGAATAAACAATGCACTGCAAATTGCATCCCCAATAATCTATCATATGTACATCTCCTATGGATAATGCAACATAGCAATAATCCTTTGGTTTAATTGGGCTTGTGAGCAGTAGCATATGCCTCAAAATGGTCCCATTGACATTGTTTTGCACCCAAGGAATCAAATTAATGCTTACTAGCATACTAAGCACTGTGTGGTCCTCTCTCCCTTGAAAGTGCACATGTGTTGCTATTAGCATTAACAGGAGTCTGGCCTGGGCTTTGAGGAGTGTGAACACCCCCCCTGGGGTGCAGTAGAGAGGCCAGGAAATATTCTGCTGATTTCAGTGGGACTGTGTGTTCTTTGAAAAGCCCTGTAATGGTTCCAGAGGATATCTCTCCAGGTCTGGCTGCAATGTTAATAGATGTGTCTAGTAATAACAGCCTAATTATATGTGTGAGCATGTAATATTGACCTATACAGCATATCTTCCCCATCTTTGCCTCCAAACCACAGGGATGCCCTTTGCTAGGAACAATAGGAGCTCCTCCATATCAGATGACCTCGCCCCACTTTAACGGTGCTCATAAATACTAATCTGGCCAATTCCATCTCCTTTGGCGCCAGAAGGGCAGTTTAATTCTAGATGCTTCAACCCTGGTTCTCAGAGAGCAGAGTATTAAGCAGTGCTGATATGACTATCAGATCTAATACATTTTGCACCATCTTTCCCTAGAATGGATTAAAGTGCTGGTCTCTCTCATCACAAGGCAGAGCAGGGAATGAAATCATTACATCATGCTGGCATCCCCAGGAAGAGGAAGTAAACAATGATGTGGATTTGCCTCCTCCTCCGGAGGGCAGATGGTCTGTGTCCGGCAGACCCACCTTGTGGAGAGCCCAAGGAATGCCCCTGCCCTGCCACCTGCATGATGCAAATCAACTTCTCAGACAAGCCCCCATTCATTGTCAGGCTGGAAACTCAGCCTTCCCAAGGCCTGGAGCCTGGAAGCTGAGCAGCACTAAGCAATTATCTGTTTTGAAGGAATACACTGATTTGACATTCTTAAGGAGTCACAGACGTCTGATTTCATAATATAATTTGTAGAAGTAAAAAAGGCAAGTTAAACATTTGCTTACACATATCATGTTTACATGTGTTCAAAGAACTTTCCAAAACTTTGCAGTCTCATCCAACTGCATCTTTTTTAAGCTCGCTTCGCTCTCGTAGGTTTGCAAACAAATTCCACAGCACATTCAACCGCAAATTGATTTACTTTTGGGGAAACTCCTTGAGTTTCACGACTTTCTTCTTGCTGTTTAACGTACACACAGATGCAAAAAAGAAAAAACAATCTCCTAACACAGGAACACAAATCTGGCATCCGGAGGAGTCGATTTTTTCATTTATTCTCAAAGTGAAGGGAAAGCAGTAATGGAAGTGATCCAGATTACCAAGGAGTGTGCAAATGACTTCTTGGGCCCCGCTGGCAGTGTGACTGACAGCCGACTCCTGGGGCAGAGCAGATGAAGGGGAGAGGAGCATCCTCACATGAAGGAAGACCATGTTTCATTTATGACATAACCTGGATATTCATCTTCCTATCACTCCCTGGATGGCACTGCCACCCTCTCTGCATTCAAGTCCAGGAGGCATCTTCAACTACCTGTCTCTCTTACCTTTCACCAGATCAATCCCCAGGTGCCACTGATGGTGACTCTTCCATGTCTCTTGAGTGCTCTCCCCTTGCCCAGCCACATCCAGGCCACCCCATCACTGAGCACTTGGGCTTCTACAGCAGCTTCTCTGTGATCTTACTGCCCCCTGCCTCCTGCCATTCCATCCCCTGTTCCCCATTGCTGCCAGAGAGAGAATTCCTAACTTGAACATCTGATCCATGGGCCATCTCTTTAGCATGACTTTGAAGGTCTTTCATGGTCAAGCCCCTGCTTTCTTTCCCAGCTTCCTCTCCGTGAGCATACCTCACACTACATGCCCCAGCCAAGTTCTGCTTGTGTTTGTTTTGCCCACCCTCCATGACTTTGGCACATGCTATTCTCTAGACCAGGGATATCCTGCTGTCATTTTTCCACCTGGAAAACACCTACTTATTCTTCAAAACCAGCTCTGATTCCATTCCTGGAAACCATTCCTGAATCGCCAAGAGGGGGTTAGGACTTATTTCCCTATATCTTTAGCATCCTACACTGCCGTACCATAGCAACTGCCACTTTATGTGATTGTTTGCCTATTTAACTAGTGTCTGTCTCATTCAAATTGAGTTGTCATGAGAGGTGGGCTGTGTCTTTCATGGGTTTGCAAAACTATCTCCTTTAGAACCATATTTTTGTTACCCCTCTCTATACAACATCAAACACAGTTCCCAGGATGTGTTAGATACTGCATAGGGATTTTCAAATGAACGAATGGACACACAAACGACTGAATCAGATCATGAAAATGGACAGGTGTGTACCCACTCATAAGGCTCTGGGTCAGACTATTCTACCTGCTGGAGACCCCTCACAAAGTGATCTAAACTTACTGCCAAACAGTTAGATCACAGAATGCTGCAGACTCCATGAGTGGTGAGAGAGGGATCTCCAGGGGTCTTCCTAAAGCAGCCTCATTGCATTGGTCCCTCATCCTCAGACTTTATCCTTCATTTCCACCTAGGCAGAGAAGCCTCTGCCACTGCACCTGGTGACCTCACCCTGAAGATGCTGGAGGGATCCTCAGAGGAAGTGAGTGTGTCATGAGAATGCTAACCCCTGGAAGGGGCTGGAGGGCCCAAGAAAGGGAGGGCAGGCTGCCCTTTCTTCCAGCAGAGCTGGCCAAGAGCTTACCTGGCCAAGGACCTCAGTGTACTGAGCTGACTTCTCCTTGGCTGCAGTTCCAGAACATTCCTCTGCCTTCCATCCTGCTCCATGAGACGGGGAGCAACCTCTCTGACCCACTCCCTCCAGGTGTGCATCTCATTACTTGCAGGGCATCTCCAGCAGCCTAGTGGCGATGCCAGTGATGAAGCTTCCAAAGAAAGGGCTTCACCGAATGCAACATCAACAGCATGGAGTTAGGGAGGCCGGCGTTTACCAACAAACGCGTCTTCCAATCTGCCTGACTTCTGTCCCTGAAGAAAGGAGCATATGTCCAGCCTGGTGTCTTCCAAGGTTTTCAGTTTTGCTTTTGTTTATTTGTTTTCAAGAAGTTTATAAATAATCCAGTGTCCGGGCCATAAAGGGTGACTCCAAAAGATCCCGTTTGTGTGCGACCTGGTTGGCGGCCGGCAGCCCCAGGCAGCCCTCCTCTGAAGCCAGAGCTCTGCTATTAGGGCTTGGAAACCCACATCATTAATAGGAACCAGGCAGGGAAAGTGAAGTTGAGACCAGGAATGTGTCGGGAGGCTTCCAGCTCTGCTCAGCTGTGTGAGGCCTGGGCAAGTCACGCATCGAGGCAGCTCGGCCCCGGGGCGCTCCAGGCAGAGGGGTTGGCAAGCGGGTGGGGCTCAGGCTCCAGTGCTTTCTGGGAGCCTTTGTCCAAGTGGCTGACTGCCAGAAACCCCTCCCTGCTCTGGTTCCTGGGAGTTAACCTGGCGAAACCCTAGACCCTCGTGTGCCTCAGCTAGAATCTGGCCATGGATTGGAGGTCTCCGATCTGTTTTTCAGACCCATGCTTGCAGGTCCTGCTGTGCTGGGGGAGGGGGCCTGAATGGGGTAGAGCAGGCTCTGGGCAAATGCTTCCTGCACTGGGCTGTGTTACCATGCAGCGTGCTAAGGGCTGCAGACCTCCAGGCACGACTCATGGACCAGAAGGAAGCAGGCATAGACGCTGACCTCCAGGGTGGTCACCCAATTGAACCACCCACAGAAAGTTAATTGGATGCCATCAATCTGCTGCGGTAACTCAGAGAACCTCAGAAGAGCAAAGGAACAGAGAGGATGGATTTTAGCAAGGCTGTGGCCCTGATGCCCCCTCATTGGCTCCAACTTTGGCTAAGAGGCATGAGATACCATCAGGCTCCGCTCTGCTCCATGCTACATCCCACATGCATGCCACCTTGGAGCTGCCACATCCCAAGGGGTTCAGGGTCCCTGCCATTGGGAAGCACAGTGTCCAGCCTCTCTTCCACCCACACAGTGATTACTGCTGATTGTGGTGCCACCATTGGAAAGCTGTGTTTCCCCAGCCAATGACACTGCTCTGGTCAAGGGATGTCAAAGTGGGCAGGGTGTGAGTGGGGGTCAAGAAGGAAACCCCAGTGATGTCCAAATCATAACTAGCTCTCAGGAGGTGAGGGGAGTGGAGGCTGAGCACGGCAGGAGTCTTCAGGGCCTGGCAATACATTTGACACTAAATACATGATAAGTGGATGGTTGACCAGCAGTTCACTTTTCTACTTTTCTATTTGTGTCTTTTACTTTGTTTTTACAATGCTGGCTTGATTCCTAAGGCAGGGTTGTCAAGTGAACTTCTGATAACATTCACAGTGTCTGCCACTGTGAATGTTAGCCAGTCTCTGTGCATGCGCACAAGTCAAGAGTGGCCATAGTTAACAATAATACATTATATAGCTTCAGATAGCTAGAAGGAGGATATTGAGTGTTCCCAACACAAAGAAATGATGAATGTTTGAGATGATGGATATGCTAATTACCCTGATCTGATCACCATATATTATATATATCAAAACATCACTGGTGTACCACGAAAATATCTATATTATGTAGCAATTAAAAAATTAAATAGTGGATACATATAATTCTTAAATCATAAAAGATTTAAGAATCATAAAAGATAGTTTAGAAAATTTGGCAAACACAGAATAGATAAGAAAATACAAATCATACATGATTGCATCACCCAGAAGTAAAAACTGTTAACATCTTGCCGTACTTCATTCTTCCAGCAAATATTATTTTACACATTTGAGATCACACTGAATAAACAATTTTGCATCCTGCTTTCTCCAATTAATTTGTAGTATAAGTAGTATTCCCCCTTCCTGGGGAAGGTAATTCTGTTTTAGGTTAGGTTTGATTTTGTCTAATCAAGATAAATTTTTATTTTATTTGATAGAGTGGCAGAGAACAGAATTCCTGAGTTAACTTTAGGTACTTCAGCTGTTGATATTTGCTTATTCCCTGGATTTCTACAGCCTACTGGTAGTTTGCATCAAAAAGGATAAAATCATCTGCTACCAATGCCCAAAATACTGAACAACTCTGTGAAAGAAAATGAACCACCCTAAGCTAAGAGAGAGTTGAATTCCCCCTTACAAAAAAGCTATGTAGCACTCAGAGAGACAAGAGATTCCAGTGTCACAAAACCACTAAAGCCAGCTCAGAGACTGAAGCAGGACAGAGAGTTTCTTCAAGACACTGCTCCTGACAACTCAGTGCCTAGGCTGCCTGGATGATTTACTTTTATTTTGTATTTTACTTTTGATTAGCAATTTTACTATTACATTTATTGATTTACTCCAGGAGAGGAAGTCCTCAGGTAAGAGATAATCTTATCCAACTTTAAGCAAGCATGGTGTTTCTTAGCCAAATTAAAGACATTCAGGCCAGACCTGGATGAAAAGTTTAGTGAGATTTCAACTGATCAGGCCAAAAGGAGACAGGCATATTTTTCCCCTTTTTAGTTCAATAGGTGTGAGTTTTGGAATATGAGAGTATAGGAGGTGTGAAATAGTGGGGTAAGAAGCAAACTGAATCCTACTATAGCATCTGACCTTTATTTTATTTTGCAGGGATAAATTTAAAAAAAAGTGCTGAATTGGGCATTCAATTTGCCAATTTATAGATATGCCCAAATTTGTGGAGATATACAATGGTTCATTTTATCCATGAGTTCCTCCTCTGCATAACATACCATGCCAGATGAAGCAATTCTCAAATCCAAAGACAAGTTATGCCCCAGACCTGCATCCAGGAGCTCTGCAGCCATGAATCAGTGAAAAAAATGGAGAAATTGCTATGATGTTAATAGATGTTACAAAATAAAAGTGACAATAAGTGACAGGCAGCTAAAGCAGAACAATAAAGGGCAGAGGGTCCTTATTTCTATGTGGACATCAGAATAAAACCTCATCTATCCTAAAGAATGGTAATTAGATCAGAGAATGTTAGAGACAGGCATGGGTTTTGGAGTTGTTTCTTAGCTGGGTGGCCTTGGACAAAGCCTTTCCTCTCTCAACTCCTCCATGTTGTCATCTGTACAGTGGGGCCAGTGTTGGCTCCAAGTCTCTGTGCCCGGTGAGGCTATTGTGAGAAATCAATGTCATCATAGACAAAAGCACTCTGCATTGTACTTGCGTACATTAGGTACTCACTGAAGAGCAACTGTAGAGAGGATAAAGTTATTATCATTCACTGTAATCAACAAAGGTTTCCATTTGATACTAACACATCTGATTCTAACCTAGGATTGGTTTTGGTGACTTCTCCCATAGGTGGTGGCTATCACAGTCCAGGTGGAGTGCCAGAAAAGGAGAAAACATAGCCATAGCTGCTTGTGGAATACCTACTATGTGCCAGTGTAAATGCATCTCCTCTAACTCAACAACCCATTGGATAATGGCTGGGGTTTGAAGGAATGACCTGCCCTGGCTTACACACATGGCAGAGGACATGCTGTGCACACCTCTCCATGCTCATCCTTTCTGTCATGGGACTGAGAGGATTCCAGGGGATGATGTGAGCCAGGATCAGATACTTCATGTATCTATCCATCTTTACTTTATTCTTGCCTTTAAAGGTTACCGGACTCCTATGAGTCAGGACCTATGGTGGGTGCTGGGGTATTGAACTGAATGGACCTTTCCTTTCTTATTTCAAAGAATTTCATATCCAGAGAAGTGAAGGCCATGTGGAAAGTAAATGCAGCCAGTATAATAAAGATTAGGAGAACAGTGCTGAATATGCAACCTCCCCTCCCCTTTCCCCTTTCCCTCCCTCTCCACCCCGACCACTTTTATTTTTCCTCCTGGTCTGGATTGTCTCTAATATCTCTGTTTGGACAAAGCCTTGAACTTCCATATCCACTTTGACCTTTTTCCCACAGCTTCTCTGCTTACTTATGACTGACTGAGGCCCCTCTGCTGGGGGCCTTTCTTCTCTCTGACATTCTAAGGAGGACCTATATAGCCCATTACTTGATGTACAAGTGCCACTTTGATCCTGTTGTTGTTTCTTATCTTAATCTTGGTTTATATTTATGGTTCTACCTCTAGCTGAAGATCTACAAGCTCACAATTTTCACTTTCCTCAGCACCATCATCAAAGTTGGCACACAGTAGGTGCACTGTAGGCAGTTAGCAGAAATGCTATGATTTGCCAACTTTGAAATCTTCTCAGAGTAGAACAGGATGGAGATACACATAATCACAGAGAGACAGGGCTGGTGTGGAGTATTTCCTCCAGTCACAATGTGTAGTTCTTGAATGGCCTGTTTCCCTCAAGGGACCATGGAAATTTGATGGACAATGGAATCAGATCCAAGAGAGCCTCCAGGACTTTTGGTGAACCTTATTCCATCAGGAGAAATGTGAGAGAGGCAAAAGAAAGGTTGCAGCGTATTAGGAACAGAATATGTCTGTTAGTGGGACCATTCTATATTAGTAGATCAGCATAGGGAGCTGGGACAGTGCTGCCAAAACTGAGCCAGTCATAAAGTTAGTTGTGATCTCCCCTGTCTAGATGGTCAAAATGATTGGATTTTCTTTGCCGATGTGGAGTGATTGAAGGCAGATCCACTTTGCCAGTTGTTGATTGATGTGTGTGTTTTGTCCATTCCCTCACTGCATGAGGCTTCATGTACACTTGGTTTGGCCTCTTAGGGAACTTTCGACTGCCAATCTCAAGCAAAGGACCAGACAAGATTCTGTATCAGTGAAACTGTCCCTTAGATCAAGTCAAAGAGTGAAACTGCTTCTATCCGTCATGACTTGGGCTTTTGTTTGTCTGCCTGCCTGCCTGCCTTCCCTCCCTCCCGCCCTCCTTTCTTTCTTTCTTCTTTCTTTCTTTCCTTCTTTCTTTCTTTCTTTCTTTCTTTTTTTCTTTCTTTCTTCCTTCCTTCCTTCCTTCCTTCCTTCCTTCCTTCCTTCCTTCCTTCCTTTCTTTCTTTCTTTCTTTCTTTCTTTCTTTCTTTCTTTCTTTCTTTCTTTTTCTTTCTTTCTTCCTTCCTTCCTTCCTTTCTTTTTCTTTCTTTCTTTCTTTCCTTCTTTCTTTCTTCTTTTTTTTGAGACAGAGTCTCGCTCTGTTGCCCAGGCTGGAGTGCAGTGGTGTGATCTCGGCTCACTGCAACCTCTGCCTCCCGGGTTCAAGCAATTCTCCTGCCTCTGCCTCCCAAATAGCTGGGACTACAGGCACGTGCTGCCATGCTCAGCTAATTTTTTGTATTTTAGTAGAGATGAGGTTTCACTGTGTTGCCCAGGCTGGTCGCGAACTCCTGAGCTCAGGCAATTTGCCTGCCTAGGCCTCCCAAAGTGTTTTTATTTCTTTTGTGTTTACTTTTGGGGTTGTTTGTTTCTTTGTTAGTTTTCGTTGAATTCAGACTTAATATTGTCATCCTCTAGGCATTGGCTCTTTGGAAAGGTAAGGTTTGCAGACTTCTTCATCAGCTTTAGGCTCTAGGGAGCACAGAGTTGCTGTGCCAGTGAAGAGCCTCGGTGGGTTCTGTTTATGCTCCAGCTAGAAGCAGCCTAGGGTATATTTGCTGCTTGCTGATTATGGTGGCCCTTTTTAAGTGTGAGCTTGAATATATGTACAGATCTAGTGGAAGGTGTCTATATATTCCCCTTGAGATATTCCTCTCGGCAAAAATGAAGCAAGATGAAAGAGTGGTTTTGTGCCCATTTCTTTAGCCAACTCTGTTGCATGTTTACCGTGTGTCAGGGACCATAGGAAGGACTAATGAAGAATAGATTTATAGGGCAGAGCCTCTGTCCTCGAGATCCTTGAGGCTGGCTGGTCAACATGAGGATGACCAAGCAAGAGGCACCTTCTGTGGGTATGAAGTGATCCAAACTAGAACCTGACTGAGCCTAAGTGGGATGTAGTAGTTATGAACTCTGACTTTGAGGTCAGACAGAAAATGGGTCCCAACCTCAGGTCTGCCCTATTTTAACTATGTGTCCTTGGACTTAGTTTGGCTATGCAAATATTTCTGGGTTTGAATTTTCTTTTCTGCTATAAAATGTAAGATCAGGTAAAGTCTGAAAAGCACTTAGCTCCCAGCCCAGCACATAATTCCTGCTGAACACATGTGAGTTTTGTCATTATCATCACTATTATTGTTGTTATTACTATCATCATCATCATCTGTATTTACTGAATGAGAGAAGCCTTCACAATAAAAGGGATAATCAAAAAAGATTTTGAAAGACAGCTAGGGTGTGCCAAGGTACCTGAAGGCAGGAACTCGTCCCAGAGAAAAGAAAGAGTTTGTGCAAAGACTCAGAGCTATGAGAGTGAGTTGGGCTATTTTCTGGGATTGACAATAGTAAAAATGACTGGATTTCTTGATTTTTCTGGGATAAAAGGTGTTGGTGTATGGGCCTTTTGAGGATCTAAGGTGTAAAATAATAGATGGTGGTCAAACCATAAGAGCTCTTGAGTGGTATGCTGTGAAGTATTATTATTACTCTGGAAATAAGTAGAAGTTATGGACAACATTGGATCAAAGTTTAGCATGGCTGCCAGAGTGAAATCTGGGTTAGAGAGGAGCTTGGAGACACGTATGTCTAGAGAGTTCAGGAAGGATAAAGTACTCAAAGAAAGGGGCTAGCACTAAAAGCAGCCAAGAAAAAGGAATTATAAGAAAGGTGACTAAGATTTTCCTCCAAGGGCCGTAAGATGGACTTTATCCCCCTTGTAACCCTGAAAAAGCCTTTGCCTTCTTTAGTTCATGAAACAAATTCACAAGAAATTATATAATTGCAGGACTGAGTCTCAGCTGACTGCAGATTTAAAATGGTGAATTCTCTCTTCTGATGTCTCAGTTTGTTGGCCATGAGTGGACTGAATCCTATACAGCCAGGAGAATCTGCTTCCAAGATTTACCCCCCCCAGCAAATGGCATATGCAAGTCCAGATCTTTTAGAAGATCTGAAATAATTATTTGGAGAAAAGAAAGAAAAGAAAAGGAAAGGAAAGGAAGGAAAAAAATAAATGTATGATTTCTTCCTTGAGTACTAAGTTTCCTGGTTCTATTTAGAAGAGATTATAATTTAAAAATGTACGCCCCCATCTTTTCAGGAAGATTTCTACTGTATAATGTGACAGACTCATTGCTTTTAGTTTATTCAGAGCTGGTGCTAAGAATATGAAGATGAACCAAATGTTCTTCCTGCCCTTAGGGAGCCTGGTGTCCAGCACAGGACACAGACATGGAAGTGATAGATTGAAGGTTTTGTGGTGACAGGAGTGGGCACAGAGAGGAGATGCATCCTTGTCTGCCTGGGAGAATAAGACAGAGATTTGCAGGAGGATGAAGACAAGCCCTCTATGTCACAGTGGTGGAGATGCATTTGCCATATGGTGACCATACTTTCTGAATCAAAAATTGAGATACATGATCTGACACAAGGTTTGACGATGGGACAGAATTTTTGAAATCAAGGCTGTCCGAGGAAACCCAGGACATATGGTTGCCATAACCAATCATTACTGTGCACACAGGGGGCATGGTTTGATCCACAAACAACCAAAGCCAGGATTCAGGCAGACAATTTATATCAACGCTTGACTGCATATGTGGCAAACTGTATTTTCTGACCCTATCTATTGGCCTGACCATGGCTGGACACTCATTCATTCAGAGCAATCCTAAACGAAGTTGGGCATGCCGGAATGTAACAGACTTTAGAAACTACCTGGTCCAAACTGCACCTTACCATGCCAGTGGAGAAACTGAGGCTCAGAAAGGGGAAGAGACTCTCTCAAAATCATGCAGCTCCTACAGAACAGAGCTGGGTCTGGGTAATTTTCCTTCCCCTCACCAGGGCTGGATTTGAGAGACACATCAGAAAAGCCCATGAATTGAGAGAAAACACAACATGCCAGCCTTGGTGTCACTAAGGCCACAGTCAGTAGATTCACTCCCGACTAAACAACCAAAGTGTCACATTTGATGGCCTTGAGCTCAGATCTCTCCAGAATATTGATGAGGCTGCCAAGCTGAATGTGAGAATGCCAGGCTGTTTAAGACGCAAAGGAGGTTGTTGTAACACGATTTGTCAATGCCAAAGAGTTCCAAGGACTCTGAGTCTTCAACATTATATTCTACTGATCTTTCTCCATTGGTGGTGAAGCGATAATGAAAAGAGAAAGCTCATGGAAATAGACGAGGTATTCACGTATGCGCATTCGGGAGAGAGAGCTGTCTCAGCTGGAAAAGTGGAAAATCAAAAGTCCTCCTGCCTTTCCCCAAGATGGCACTGGAGAGGGAACCCACCTGAAAGCTACACCCATTGATCTTGAATCTCTGGTCGTTCTGACTTGGGAAGAGGCTGAGTTCCAGACGTACATGCTGCCAAGAAACACTTAGTGCCTTCACAGCCAAAAAAAATGTAACACGCCTGCCCAGCATGTGAGAAGGGCAAAAAAAAAAAAAAAAAAAAAAGTGGTTTTTCCTCTGGGGCTGACAAATACCAGCCCAGAACTCTGAGATTAAAATGCACGACAGACATGCTCTCCCTGATGCGGGCCTGGACTGGAGAAATAATTTAGAAGAACTGATGGAATGGCCTGTGCTTGGCTTGCATGCCTCTTCCTCTGGAATTCCAGCATAGTCCCACCTCTGGGATCCAGAGCTGGTTGTGGGCATGTGGTCTAAGCTGGGGACCACCCATGAGTTTTCCTTCCTTTCCTCTCCTCTCCTTTCCCCTCTTCCTTTTCTAGTCTTTATTTTTCTCTGTTTATCTCATTGGTTGTCTTTTGTCTTTCTTCTCTTTTGCCTTCTTTTCTCTTCTCTTCCATTTCTTCCCATCCCTTCTCTTTTCCTTCCTTCCTTCTCTTCTCTCTTTTCATTTCCTTGTCTTTCTCCCCATCTGGGGTGACATACAATAATGCAAATTAAATATAAATTGCTTTGTGCCTAGATGCTGTTGGGATCTGAGATGCTCTCCCAGCTTACTGATCGTTCTTAGCCATCCATTCATATTTTCATCCATCCACCCATCTACCCATTACCATCTCCTGCCATCCTCCCAACCAAGCATTTGTCTATCCTTCTCTTCAATTCACATCGGCAAGCATTTCCCAAATCACATATAAGCACCAGGGACCCAACAATACCCTATGACAGCAGAAATGAATATGACCTCAACCTGGAATTTGAGAAGTCACCCAGTGTAGGAGGCAAACTTATAATTATTACTTAGTAAATGTTTGATAAGGGCAGAGCCTTCAGTCCATCAGTCTATTCTGTGCAGCCTTTTTTTCTTTTTTTTTTTTTTTTTTATTTTTAGAGACAGGGCCTCGTTTTATTGCCTCAGCTGCAGTACAGTGGCACTATCATAGCTCACTGCAGCCTTGAATCCCGGGCTCAGGGGATCCTTCCTCCTTAGCCTGCCAAGTATCTGGGACTACAGGCATGTGCCACCATGCCCAACTAATTTTTTAAAAAATTTGTAGAGAAAGGATCTCACTATGTTGCCGTGAATGGTCTCAAACTCCTGGGCTCAAGTGAACCTCCTGCCTCAGTGTCCCAAATGCACAGAGTACAGGCCTAAACCACTACACCCAGCCTCTGTGTACTCTTTAGGTGAAAAGGAGTTAGTCCTTTGAAGAGGAGAGAAAACACCAACTCTCTAAGTTGAAGGAGCACATAGGAGGTGCACATAGGGTGACGACGAATTGTCCTGAATTGCCTGGGACTGAGGCGATTCCTGGGATGCAGAACTTTCAGCTTTAAAGCCAATATAGTCTCAGACAAATCATGATGGATTGGTCACATTGTGTATGCATTGGTCTGTGTGGCAGGCATAATAACAGCCACCCAAAGACGTCCAAATTCTAATTTCTGGAATCTGCAAGTATGTCACCTTATAGGCCAAGACGGACTTTGCAGATGTGATTAAGTAAAGGATTTTGAAATGGGGAGATTATCCTGTACTACAATTGTCCTTATAAGGGAAAGAAAGAAGAGGGTGAGAGTCAGAAAAGGGAGACGTGCTATGGTTGCAGAGGTTAGAGTGATGCAGTTGCTGGAAGTGCCCCACAGCCAAAGCAAGCAGGTGACTTCCAGGAACTGGAGAAGGCATGGAACAGATTCTCCCCAAGGGCCTTCCAAAGGAACACAGCCCTTCTGACATCTTGATTTGAGCTCCATGAGACCCATTTTGGGCTCTGACCTCCAGAACTTTAAGACAACAAATGTGTGTTGTTTTAAGCCACTAAATTTATGGTAATTTGTTACAGCAGCAATAGCAGACTAATACACTCTGCTTTCCAAAAAATCCCCCAAAGACTTGAATGCAGGTTGCTTTGCTGCCTTTCTATTGCCCCAGGGCAGATTCTGGTTTCTCCCAAAATACCATTCCTTTATTAATGAAGGAGGCAGTGTGGGAAGTGTTGAGAGCACATTGAAAAGCAACCATTTACTGATCATCCAGGTTAAGCTGGAGCACTAGAGTGGGAATTCAGATGCTTCAGCTGCATGTCTGGCTCTGCCTTTCCTTGCTCTGTCAGCTTGGTCTACCTCTCTGGAATCTCTGGTTCTTACTTATCTCTAAAATGAACTAAATAACATAGAATTATCATCTCAAATTTATAAACTTTGGTAACATTCTTAAGTGATCATGCATTCGTAATGTGTTTGTGACTGACTCCAGAGCATATGCATTTTTGGGGGGTGACATCACACCCAAGAGGATTAAAATGGATTCTTGGATGGGGGGCTCTTACTGTTTCTGTGTTTTAGAAACAGATGTACAGATGATACATAACCGAATACACAGTATACCTGTGGTATGGAAGGTTCATGGGGTGGTGACAAGGAAAAGTGTCCAACACGTCTCCTTCCGGGAGTGCTAATGGCAAAGAAAAAGGCTGAGAATCATTTGTCTAGTTATTGCACCACCTGTTGCTATTTGATAACGTGTTTTAAAGGGCATGGGAAAGATGATGAAGCAGAGGAATCTCAGGAACTTTCTGGAGTCAGATGAATATAAATCCAATTCTTCACGTGGTTGTAGATCTGTACCACTCTGAGATCAGTCTCTTTATCTGTGACGGAAGACAGAACTGTTCTCAGGTTGTTGTTGGTATTTCATTAGATAAGACAGAGAGAGATACAGATATATAGGCAAATATAAATTGTCACAGAGCCTGGCCTTCAATGATGTGTCTCCCCTTTTCTTCCTCATCTTTTTGCTCCTTACGAAACGTCATTGTGGAATCATTTCTTCACTGCTCACCCCTTACTGTTGTGCCCCCTACCTGACACTTACTTTTGCTTGTAAATTGAATCAACATATGGAAACATCTAGCTTTATTTCATTCCCTGATTAGTGGAGCGCCAAACATGTGTGTTTGATTACTCTGGAGGCCAGGGAGCAGACAGCACTGGAATAGTCTGACCCCTTTGGCCAGGGAGAAAAATTAGGCCCAAGGGGTGGCCTGGCCAAGCTGCCCCTGTGCTGTAACGTGGTCACAGGGTTTCTCGCACCTTCCATCAGGCCATGGTCCAAATGCAGGGGGAGCTGAGGGTTCAGCATGGAGGTCGTTCCACCGGGTCTGCTTGTGTTACGATCAATTTGTCTTCAGAGACAGCGCCCGTGCTTCCAGAGACAGACTTTGTTCTTACCATCCCATCTTCCCACACTATGGAGTAATAGAAGAAAAGAATAGTGTTCTATGGCCTGTTGTTGTTAGGATAAGGATTCCATGTCATGCCGTAGTGTTCCTTTAATGAACACCCATGGGGGGAAAAATAAATCTCCAGGCTCAATAGAGGGGACAGAAAGGCTTCTTGAGGACATTTTCCCTTTTGAATCTGGCGAGTATCATGCATTGGAATTCATCATGTTTCCTTCTGCGCTTGGGCTGCCAGGAAACTCAGAGCCAAATTTGTGTTATATTTCTAACATCTGTACAAAACCTTTCTGATTTTTTTTTATGTTTTTATGTTTGATTCGTTCTTTGTAACTTTATCTTCTCTGCTGCTCCTGGTTCCTTCCCAGAACCCTAGTGGGCTGACTTGCTCTCTGGGTAACTAACACCAGTGAGTATTCCCAGAAGACGACTACTGCTATTCTCCCCACTTCCCCCTTTCTGAACCCATTAAGGGTTCATAGTCCTGCCTTTTTTCACCAAATGTTAATATCACACTTAAATTGTGATCCAGAAGTCATGACCCACAAAGGACCACTTGGACCTTGCTTCTTATTTGATACCTAACTCCAGGAATTGCCTCTTTAAAGGCACTGGGTAAAAAATGATGGACCGGGCTCAAGGAAAGAAAACCCAGTCAAAGCTTAGGTGAACAAATATGTTTGACCACTTAATATAGGTATTGTGGAAGCCAAGATGCATGGACTCTCATTCCACAGCCCACAGTCTCACTGGGGTGACACACAGGGAACAGTTAGTGTAGTACAGTCCCCTAAGTGCTATGGTGGAACAGGTGCATTGGAGTACTGGAAACAGGAGGGAGATCAATGTTGCAGACCCCAGGGAATCAGGCAATGCTTCCTGGAGGAAGTGGCACTTGAGCTTAATTGTAAAAGGCAGGCAGTTGAAAACTCATGTCCACATAGAAAGTTGCACACAAATATTCATGGAAGGTTTTATTGATAATTGCTAAAATTTAGAAGCAATCAAGATGTTCTTCAATAGGTAAAGGAATGAACAAACTGTGGTACATCTGTACCATGGAATATTATTCAGCAATAATATTGATATGGAGGAGACTTACATGCATATTATTAAGTAAAAGGTGGTTAAAAATCTATATGCTTTCTGATTCTAATCATAAGACATTCTGGAAAAGGCTAAAATATCAAGAAAGTAAAAAAAAACATTAGTGGTTCTTAGGGGTTTGGTGGCAAGGAGGAAGGGATAGAAAAAGAGCTCATGAAAGAGAGAGGGAAGACCGGTGTGCAGAGTACAAAGGTGGTCAGTGAGAAAGGACATTCCAGTCGGTGGCAATAATAGAAGCCAAGGCATAATAATTGAAAATGCAGAACCTGATTCAATCAGGACAGGTCAGGCTGTGTTGCAGAAACTAAAATACAAGAGAGGAATAAGGGGGATGAGGCCAGTAAGCAAGTGGACCAGATCACAGAAACCTGAATTTTGTCCTTATGACAATGGGGAATGTTTAAAATAACTTAAGCACAAGCATGCGATGGTCACATTTATTGGTCACTGCCACCAAGAAGCTGTGGACTTAAACCCTCATCTTTGCCTCCTTCCCTTACTCCTCTTCCAAGCCCAGTCAGTGGGGAGTAACATGATCAAGTGCACTTTTTAATGTCTAGTCTGTGAATATAGTTCATCAACAGTGTCCAGGAATGATGGGGCAGCCTTGAGCCAGACGGTATGACAGTCAATAAAGACAGACCAAAAGTATAGCTCAGTGAATACAGAAGCATTTACTGGACATTTACAAAGTGCTAGAAAACTGCACATTCTCTCGTTGTCTCTCTCTCTCTCCCTTCTTTCTCTCTCCTACCCTCTCACTCTTCTTTCTGCCCCCCCGTAACAATGTTTTAAGTTTGGTTTATTATTACATGCATTGACAAAACTGAGGCTGATTGCCATGAAGCAATTTTGCCTAATGTCAGAAGAAAGTGAGCCCAGGTCATTGGGCCCCAAATCCAATGCTTTCTATTTGAACTGCTTTCAAACTTGCTATCCACCTCTATTCATCACATCTGAACTCTTCCAGCCTCTGCCAAAGAGGTCATTTCTTGGCACACTGAATCCCATTGTGGAGAGGGATAGAATAGGTGTGCCCTGGCCATCAGGTCACTACAATTATTATATATAGACTTCTGACTTGTGCATCCATGATCTCACAGCAGCACCGATTATTGTTACCCATATGTGTTATTAACAGCTTCCTAAGGCTGCTATAACAAAGTACCAAAGCACGGTGGCTTAAAACAATAGAAACCTGCTCTGTCATAGTATGAAGGCAGAACTCTGAAATCAAAGCGGCAGCAGGGTTACTTCCTTTGGGGGCTGTGAAGGAGAATCCCACCCATGCCTCCCTCCTAGCTTTGGGTGTCTGCCGGCAGTCCTTGGTATTCCTTGGCTTGCGGCTGCCACACTCCCATTTCTGCCTCCATCCTCACATGGCCTTCTTGTTTGTCGTCTCTTCTATGTCTGCGTATGTCCAATCTTCCTTTCCTCTCTCTTACAAGGACACCAGTTGTTGGGCTTTGGGTCCCATCCTAAATCCAGATGACCGCAATTACTTCTGCAAAGACCCTATTTCCAAATAAAGTCACATTCACAAGCGTGGAGATCAGGACTTGGCCTGGTTTCTTTGGGGGACATAATTTCACCTGCTACTGCATAGATGAGCAAGAGGAGTTTTTGCGAGGCTCAGTGACTCATCCCAGCACACAGCTAGGAAGTAAGGGAACATTAAGACAGAAGACCAGCTCCTTCTATCACAAATCCAGGCCCCTCCTGTCTCTAGATCTCAAAGTCATTATCTCTGAATGCAACCTTTGGTTTAGAGACGTACATACAGCATTCAGAGCCAAGAAGAATCAAGGATGCGGTCCTTGGAAAAAGAAACACCTTGGAACTTGAAAAAAGAAACACCTTTCCTTTTCTATGGGAGTGTGCTTATGATATCTTGCTGCATAACAACTACCCCAAGACTTTTTGGACTAAAACAACAAGCATGTTTTATCCCCGAGGTTTTGTGGGTCAGCAATTCCAGGTTGCTTAGCTGGGACTTCTGCATCCAGGTTATCCCCAGGCTACCATCAAGGTATCAGCTAAACCTGCAGCTATCCCAAGGCTTGGCCAGGAAAGGGTCTGCTTCCAGGCCCACTCATGGGGCTGTTGGAGGGCTTGGTTCTTCCTGAGCTGTTAGACTGAAGGTTTCAGTTCCTTGCTTGTTATTGGGTAGAGACTGTTCTCAGTGTCTGGTCACCTGAGGCCTCCACAGGGCAGCTTGCTCACTCAGTCAGAGAAGGGATGGAAAAACAAAAGCATGTCACCATCTACCATCACCTAATCTGGGACCTGACATCTCAATCATTAAGCCACCAAGCCTGTCCCACACTCAAAAGGAAGAGATTACACAAGGGTGTGAATGCCAAGAAGCAAGGATCACTGGGCATCACCTTAGAGACTGGCCACCAGACACAGCCACAAAAGTAGACCCTCCTTGTCTATGGGTGGAGTGATAGAAAGATGTGAGGAACAGAGCTATGGCAATCATTTTGCTGCAGTGAAAGGAGAGCTGGGGATTTTGAGGAAGGCATGACATGGAGCCTGAGGACAGGGCCAACACCAAGGGATACAGAAAGAACAGACTTAGAAGAACCAGGTCCTTGATGACATGATTAAGCCTCTTGATCAGCCTCCTCTGTAGCCAGAAACCTCGGAAATGTTCAGATATAACGTGAGATAATAAATGCCACGGACAGAAAGTCCTAACAGATGCATGACCCCACATATAAATATGGGCAAGGTAGTGAAAATAACCTCCTGAGGTTGTTTGCCTCTGGATACAAGCCTTTTTTGTCATTCATTATCATTTGCTCACAGATGATTCACATCGGTACTGTGAGCTGGCCTGGGGTGACCATCCACAAGCTCAGGGCTGGGTTTCTAGCTGCATCCATATTCCCCTTATATTGAAGAACACCTTATATTTTATCAAGAGCCCCGAAGTCAAGCAGCTGATGAGGTTAAGGTCTGTCTACACCTGAGCACACAGCCAAAACCCCCAAGTCCCAGGGACTATTCATTTCACTGTGTTCGCAGGTGGGTTTTTAACAAAATTAGTAATGAGATCTTGCCTCCAAATCCCTTTTCCCTGGTGAATTCACTGGGGGAAAATCAGCTTGTCTGGGGGGAGCCTGCGTGGCCTGTTTTTTTCAACTGATGTTGAAATCCTACCATCTCCCAGCTCTGCCCTTCCACCCGCACCCACCCACATGGAGACAACTAACCATTAACTTGTCTTTTCCCATTTCACTGAAGAATTTGCGAGCACAGACTCAGCACTCACCCTCTCTCTCTGACTTCCTCAGACTCCAAACAGCACTTATAGAAAGTCAAAGTGTAATTGTGGAGATGTATTTGTGCTCTGGCCTTTTCAACATTTTGAGAATCACACACTGTGGGCTCCCCCCAGCCCTGCCCTTCTCCCTACCCCATAAACAATGTCTGACCTATAGCCTTTGAGGTAGGTTTCTGATGGGAATTGCAGATGATGGAGCCACCTTCTGCTTTAGGGACCTCCCCCATTCCCGGGTGGACACCGCCCCCCCCGCAACCTGCTCTGCTTCATGCATAGAGGGAAGAAATAACTATTCCCTGGAGATGCCGCATCTGATTCATAAGGAAAAAAAAAGGGATTTGAGGGGAAGATAATAGGAAGGATTTTGTTTTGTTTCATTTTTTTCTCATTTCACATTTTATTTGTAGAAGTTTAATGACTAGATATCAATGTTCTCTTTTATTTATCTACTTTCAAATTTTAATGAATACTTCTGGCTATAATTACCTAATTTTTATACTTAAAATGACTAGACACCTGTAGTTCAGAGCACATTGTATTCCAGCATGATGGCTTATGGTATCAAGTGCTGCATATATATGGATTAATCAATAAGCAAATTCAATTCTTATGAGGTGCAGTTCATTCTTTAAATTGAAGAGGCATTGACAACAGGAGGGAGAGGGTTTAGTGCTACTCTCTTAGGATGAGAATCTACCATGAATGTGTTCACTTCTCTGTTGTTCCTTTATTATCCAGGGAAGTGGCTTAATATTTTCTAAGAGTGGCCATTGTAAGCAGGACTCATCTATCCTTTTTTAGATGGATTTCTTTATTTTCAAGACAGTGTATGAGTAACCTGAAGAGGGGGTGGGTCTCAGTGCCCCCTCAAACCATTCAATTCTATAAAATGCCCAAGAGGTAAACATTGGAGGACTCCACTTCTAATAGGTATGGAAAATACAATTCTACCCTCTCTAGATGTGGGTCCTGATAAGGCTAGAAACCTCAGCTTTTAAAGTCATTGGTACTCTTTGGTATAATGACAACCACTATTGGACTAGGTACCAATTTTAGGGCCTGTGTCTGAGGCACTATGCCAGGTGCATCACATACAAATTCTAGTCTCACAGCAGAGTGTGAACTGATATCTTCATTCTACAGATAAGGAGGCTCAAGGTGTGACAGACCATATCACATGTGAAAGTCATGTAGTTAAACCAGGAATATCTCATATCTAAGCATTTTTTTCTGCCCACTCTATTACATTAATTTATTGTTTCTCTCCTTTAATTTCTTTCCTTCTGGAGTACTCACACTAACCCTTCTCATGTTCTGTTAGAAGCAAGGCTCATTAGAATAAGAAAGGCAATTGCTTGAACCTCACCATCTTTTGCTGGAGCTTACAGAGAGGCAGTCATGGACCTCTTGAGACCAGGAGGCCCAGGTACAGGTGATAAGAGCCCAGCTGAGACCAGAAAGGGCAGAAGGTGAGTGACTAATGGACTCCCACCACCCGCCTACTGGAACCCTGGGGGCCTGGAGGTGAGGAATTGTGAGCTAGACTAAAAGAGCATTTTCAATTATCCCAGGAGAGAAGTGTTTAGACAGGACAATTAGGTCATTTAAAGTGACCATATTTTCTGTTAGAACCAAGGGAATTCCTAGTTCAGCCTGCCCTGGCTTTCTTAACCTCACTGGGTAAAGACATTGATGAGGGAAGAGAGGAATCTCCCCACAGCCTGGTGGCTCACAAGGTGTCATCCGAGACCTCTGTGGAGGGTTTACAATCAGGGGAGGCTTGTGGGACAAGGTGCACAGAGTAGGTGAGGATTCATTGAATGCAAACTGATGAGAGTTTTCATAATGTTAAATAGGGAAAGAAGAGGAGGGTCACAGGGGTAGGAAGGAATTGTAAGCCACAGGATGTGTAAAGGCTGTTTTGATTAGGGAAGTTTGGACCACTCTGGGTGACCCACCTCTGTGAGAAGGAGAGATGTTTGGGTGGGGCTGGTGGAGAAAACGGCACCTTGTTAAGGCCAGAAAGATGGCCAGGAATTAGCAGGGAAGAGACACGGGGAGGGCTTTCTCGGAAAAGGAGCCATAAGTATTGGTATAGTAACAGTTTTACATTTAAATTTAAAGAATGTCTTGATGGATTTTCAAGGTGAGCTTTTTAGGCCTTTCCACCTTCCAATGTCCCCTACTCCCCATTTTCCCTACAGATGAAATGATCAAATTCAAGCTGCTATGGCATTTGACTTTCAAAGCCCAATACATTTCATTCCTTGTTAACCTGTTTATTCATCTCTTATAAATACTCTTTCCACCCCCACCCCAGTTTCACCTGGAGGTCTCACACAGGAGTGCCTTCTCTCTGCTATGCTCTCTGACTGCTGTGACCCCTGTGCACCCAGGTGGGGCCACAGTCACTCCAGGAAGTCTTCTGTGCTGGCCCCACATCTTTCTCTTCTTCCTCTTTCAGCCTTCTCTGGATGCTAACAAAGCTGTTGATAGCTGTTAATGGTTTCGCTGTGTCCCCACCCAAATCTCATCATGAACTATAGTTCCCATAATCTCCACATATTGTGTCATGGGAGGGACCTGGTTGGAGGTAATTGAATCATGGGGGCAGTTACCCCCATGCTGTTCTCATGATAGTGATTCTTACAAGATCTGATGTTTTTTTTTAGGGGCTTTTCCCCCACTTCACTCATACTTCTCCTTGCTGCCACTATGTGAAGAAGGATGTGTTTCCTTCTCCTACTGCCATGATTGTAAGTTTCCTGAGGCTTCCCCAGCCCTGCAGAACTGTGAGTCACTTAAACCTCTTCCTTTATAAATTACCTAGTCTCAGGTATGTCCTTATAGCAGCGTGAGAATGGACTAATACAGCTGTGTTCTGAGTCCGATTTTATCTGTTTTATGGGATTGCGATAGCCCCAGCTCTGCTGTGTACTCTTGGAGCACAATGCTCTTGCTGTAGAATTCCTCAAATTCCCCAACAGACCCTAGACACCATGGATCTTTCCATAACACTCTGCAATTAAGGGCTGGTTCCCAATGACTGACTCTTGAAAAATACTAGACCTTCTTCCATTAGCAAAATGAAACAAACAATACCATTTAAACTTGACCATAATGTGTTTGAAATCTCATTTTCTCTTAACCAAATGTCCTCTACTTTTTTAGTTGAACAACTTAAACTAGAAATTTACTATACAAGTTATAAGTCTGAGGTATTAGACCTTCCTTTTTTGATTACTGGTGGCAGTCTGATTTGTTTATATAGTGCTTCCGAGTTGACAGGAAACTTCTGGAGCCATTATCACTTTTTCCTACACAAAGGACTGAAAGAGTATTTTCTCTCCATTTGACAGATGAAGAAGCTAAGGCATGAGGGAATGAGCAAAAGTAAGCCCAATATGCTGCAGGAGAGGAAGGGGATCCAAGGATACCTGACAGAAAATTTTCTGCTCATTTTAAGGCACTGGCCATTGTCTTCTTCTTTTTTTTTTTTTTTTTTTTGAGACAGAGTCTGACTCTTTCACCAAGGCTGGAGTGCAGTGGTGCAATCCTGGCTCACTGCAACCTCCGCCTCCTGGGTTCAAGCGATTCTCCTGTCTTAGCCTTCTGAGTAGCTGGGATTACAGGCTTATGCCACCATGCCCGGCTAATTTTTGTATTTTTAATATAGACGTGGTTTTGCCATTTTGGGCTGGTCTCAAACCCCTGACTTTAGGTGATCTGCCTGCCTCAGCCTCCTAAAGTGCTAGGATTACAGGCATGAGCCAATGCACCCAGCATGGCCCTTGTCTTATAAATTCTAAAAAGCAGATACTACTGCATTTACCTAAGACCATTGACAGGGAGTCTGAAAACTCATAGACATTCATTGGAGTGGAGTGAGAGGTGGGAAAGTGTGTTGTTTTGGTGGAGTGAGGCTCAGATGCATTTCTCATTCTTTCTCTTCACGTAATCGCAGCACTGTGGGAGGCCGAGGTGGGTGGATCGCCTGAGGTCAGGAGTTCGAGACCAGCCTGGCCAACACAGGCAAACCCCGTCTCTACTAAAAATACAAGAATTAGCTGGATGTGGTGGTGCGTTTCTGTAGTCCTGGCTACTCGGGAGGCTGAGGCAGGAGAATCGCTTGAATCCGGGAGACGGAGGTTGCAGCGAGCCGAGATTGCACCACTGCACTCCAGCCTGTGCAACAGAGTGAGACTCATCTGAAAAAAAAAAAAAAAAAAGAAGTAAAATTGTGTAGGAAAAGATTGTATTTCCTTCAAGCCCAGATTAAGGGTTTTGCAAAAATCAGTTTAGGAAGAAAAAGGGATGGAACAGAGCCTTCTGTAATATTTTAAATCAAAGGGGTTGGCTATAAAATATGGAGACCAAAATAACTGCTGAGAACACAATGCTTTCACATAAAATAAAAACTTGGGAAGAAGACTCCAGATAAGAAAGACTAACAGTTGGCACTTACATTTCAGTGTTATTTACCAGCAGGAAAAGACGATTTTGACTGATTGAGTTGAATGTGCTGAGTTGATGGTGAGTTCAATATGGCTGTAAAGCTCGGTACTGTCCTGGTCATTGTGCCTTCCGGGAGAGGGAGAACGACTGTGAGTTCCTGAGCCCAAAGGTGATCTTTTCTTGCTTTGTAGTTCTGAGGAGACTGCACCTGGACAAGTTGTAGAAATTTGGGCTGTGCGGTATGAGATGCATGTATGCAGACTAAAAGGCATTCAGCCAACGGATCTAAAAATAATTAAAAGAAGAGTGAGATTACCTTTCATGGATGGACACAAAGACCAAATATATGTATTTACCCTAAATGACAACAGAAGGAAACCAGAAAGATAATTGAAGGATTGTGAAGATCAAAGGGCTAGAGGATTTGCTCTTTCTGACACAAGGGTCTAGAATTGCAAAAAAAAAAAAAAAAAAACAGAACAAATGTATGATGCTAACATGTAGTTTGCCTGACAGAAAACCTTAAACAAAAACATAGTGGAGTTACTTCCCTTGGAAGAACTTAGATCTGGGGGGTGATTCAAAATCTACTCTCATAAACTGTCAAAAGTACATTGGGAAGAGAGGAATCATGTGCAATCAGTGAAAGAATAGTTTAGAGGATCTGCTAGGATAGTTCATCATTGCCTACTACGGCAATGTGACATCAAATAGGAAGCCCCAATTGTGTTGCTCAATTACATGTGTATTCAACAAGCAGAGCCTTGGGCATAGAACAGGACTCCTAAGTTTCTTACAGCCATGATAGAATATAGAGTATCTCTTTGAAACAAGCCCCTACATAAGCCTCAAAAAGAAACAAGTACAATTCAGAAGATGTGAACTCAGGGATATCCAAGAAAAGAGGATGAAAAATCAGACCGATGGGGAAAGAGACTGATATAACATTTTTTGAAGCCAAGTACTGCTAAGTTAATCCTGTAGTTGATCTCAATAAAAAGGAGGACATTAATAATCTGTCCAAAAATACATATTTCGGTGTATTTGGTGGAAGGTAAAGACTTAGAGAGAGAAGAGCCCAGTGCAAAGACTAAGAATAGTCCAATATGGCTGCAAGGCTCAGAGGTGCAAGGCACAGAGACTACAGGCTATTTAGAAACCAGACCAAAATCTCTATGATTCAGGCAGAGGTTTCTGAGAATTACCTCAAGTCAGCAAGGGGGGCCATTGGGAAATCTCACATATAAAAATGAAACAATAAAGTTTGTGTTTTGATCATCCTGTAAAGATCTGTAAAGATTGTCCTGGCCCTGAAATAGAGAATAGACAGGAAGGGTGAAATAATAGAGGTAGGAGATAAATTAGGAGTTTGTTGTAGAAGTCCAGAAAAAAAGATAATGAAGCCTGGACTGAGAGAATGGTGGAAAATGGTAGTGGGTTGGAGAGATTGAAAAAAAAAAATGAAAACTATTGAAAAGATAGAATCCATAGGCCTCAATTTTTAATGAGATGGGTGGGTTGGTGTTGAGGAAAGATAGGTAAAGACATCTAAATTTCTCAGTTGGGCATCAAGTATGTGGTAATGCCATTAATCAGGGGACACTGACAATGGAGTAAAGATTTGGGGACGAAGATGTTATAGGGAAACTAAAGTAAAGTCAACTTGAACATATTGGGGTTTTTTTGTTTGTTTCTTTGTTTTGAAATGGAGTCTTGCTCTGTCACCCAGACTGGAGTGTAGTGGCAAGATCTTGGCTCACTGCAACCTCTGCCTCCTGGGTTCAAGCCATTCTCCTGCCTCAGCCTCCCGAGTAGCTGGGATTACAGACACCTGCCACCACACCCGGCTAATTTTTGTATTTTCAGTAGAGATGGGGGTTTCACCATGTTGGCCAGGCTGGTCTTGAACTCCTGACCTCAAGTGATCCGCCCTCCTCAGCCTCCCAAAGTGCTGGGATTACAGGCATGAGTCACCACGCCCAACCAAAGATATTAGTTTGAAGGCTCTGTGATATGGCCAAGTCTAAAGACAGTCATCACATATATGAACGCAAAGGTCTGGAGTCTATAGAGAATCAGGTCTGGGAATGAAGCTCCGGAGTCATCACCATGAGTGGTTAATGCAGTCTGGGAAGAAGAGGGATCCCAGGAGATAATGTAAATGAGATAATATAAAAATTATTTATGATATGTTAAATGGCCTATGGCAAACCTTGAGGAACATCAACATCTAATGGCTAGGAGAGAAAGACAATCCTGGAAAGGAGAATAAGAAGAACACTGAAAGAGGCAAAAAAGAAACCCAGCTCTAGGGGCTATTAAGGAAGTCCCAGGCAGGACCCAGGAATATTCTTCAAGATAATGGGATAGGTCAGGGCACAAGTACTAAGACTCTATTATGGGTTCAGCTTTTTTGATACAGAGATGAATAAGAGAAACATACCTGACCTAACTGCCCAGAGAAGCCAGGAGGATTTAGAAAAAGAAACACTAGGGTTATGTCTTGAAGGCTGAAAAGGAATTTTCTGGGAAAGGAGAAGTCATGCCAAGCATGAGAACCTGAATATGTGAAGTCCATGTCATGGCCCAACATGATGTGTTTAAAGAACAAGAAGAAATTCCATTTCACAGGTTCAATGGGTTTGTGGTGGAGGGGTGCCTGGGAGGATATGGGCACATGGGGATTTGGAATGGAGTGGAAGTCTGTGCTAAGAAGCCTGAGTCTTGTCTTATCAAATGTGGGGACCTTAGAGCTTTACAAGAAGATAAGGAGCATGTTTCATTCTAGTTCAGAAAGGTATCTTTAGTAGTGATAACCCTAGAGACTATAGAACTGTGTGGAGAGGAGACATATTTAGGAAAGAGACTGGGTATGCTTTAGATATTAATGCAGGGGATTCAGGGGGTGGGTATTCTGGGGCTTGTCTTGGGCAACAGGGAGGACAATTCTGTTTTTCCAGGAAGATAAGAGGAGGACAGTTTTAGACTCCAGCAAGGGATAGTTGAATTAAAATGAAACTAGTCCTGATCATTGTTGCCTATTATTTCCATAAAAAAACAAAAACAAAACCAGAAGCAGTGGGTAGAGGCAATGGCTAGATATTAGGAATTTGACAGGGGATGAAGGGTTAACCAAATCTTGGCGATGGATTCGATTTGACTTTCTGGAGTTGAATCAGAGACCATGATCATAGACCATGGCACAACCTCTGACAGCATCATGTCTTTCAGAGTCTTTGGTAGGGAGGGCAGCTGCCTTCTGCCGAACATCTCCTCTGTTCTAAGACCTTAACCCACGTGATATAATCAACACTAATGCCGACACTGTGAAGTCACCTTTGGGAAGCTTGCCTTGCCGTGGGTCAGATTTTAACAGTTGCTGAGTTCAATTTCTAGCCCAACTCATTCTGGTTGCCAAGGGGCTTTTTTCTTCTTTATATTCACATTCCCTTTATCCATTGATCACACTGTCTGGTATTATCTGGCATCACCCTGGTGAAACAGTTGGCTGACCTTACTACTTCCTGACTCCTTAGCTTGCTGAATTGCTATGGACCAAAAGTGAGACTAAAAGGGAGTGTAATGGAGCAGAGGGAATCAAGATTTGCATTATCAGTATGGTGGTTCTTCTTGATATTGCTGAAAACTCCATCAGGTGAGGGGCAGAGGAGGCTGTGTCTAATTATGTTTTATTTTTATCAATGAATAAGTGCTTCTCTTTCTAGAAACCCCCATTAAAAGCCAGTGAAAAAGGATCAGTTGGGACAGCGTCCCCAGACATTCTTCACTTCCCATCCCCCATAGGCACTGAGTGCTTCCTGAGTGAAACATGGCATGTGATATTCTTCTCTCAATTGTCCAGGTGACAAGGCAGTTATGTCCCTTGCAGGGTCATGACCAGGACAGAATACCATACATGGATCTCCCGAATCCTCCCTGCTTGGGGTTGGCAGCCTCCTTTTCACTGCTGTGATGGAAACAGATGAATAAATGAGCTAGAAACCATGGACCATCAAAGAAGCTGTCATGACTTAATGATGACTGAATCATTTCTCAGATGAAGAAAATGAGGCATAAGAGTTAAAAGTTAATGCGTTACAGGTCACGTCTCAATCTTGGTCTCCATAGAAGTGTATGTATATTTCTGGGTAACTGTTTACACATTCCTCTCCTCCATGTGCTGTGAACAATTGGCAGAAATGGTCTGTCTTCCAACTCTGGATCCCAATGCTTCATAGTGTTGGCACACATAGACTGACTACGATCTCATAGCTACACATGCTGCTGAATGAGAGGCTATTGTTTGTCAGGCATTTTACTGGTCCTGGCATTTGAGTAATGATGTTAATCACTTTTATCTAGTTCCATCTCCAATTTCACGTTGCATTTGTTGTTCATTTTAATCCTCTCTTCCTTGTGAAGAAGACAGTATTATCATCACCATTTTTGCAAATGTCGTAACTAGGAACGTAAGAGTTTAAAACCTGCCTTAGTTCACGAGGCTACTAAGTGGTAGATGAGAACTTGAACCCCAAACTACTGATTCTGAATCTTAAATGGATGTGCACAGCTACCAAGATGAAGAGGACCCCATCTGCACCCTCAGGAAGGTTCTAGTCTCAGAGAAATGGCCTCAGAAAATAAACTGAGGGATGTGCACTCCACTCCTTTATTCACTGGGGTCTGCCCGTGGGTTCCAGTCTAAGGGTTTGCACTTCTGAATGAGAACAATGTCCTGTTTGGGGGAGGAAAAGCAAATAGACAGGCCTGAGAAGTGGTTCAGTCATCGTCAATGTCATGACTGCTTCTTTGATGGTCCATAGTTCCTAGCTTGTTTATTCATCTCTTTCCATCACTGTACTAAAAATGAGTCTGCCAACCCCAACCAGAGAGGGTTCAGGAGATCTGTGCACAGTATTCTGTCCTGGCCACGACCCACCAGGGAGCAGGCAGGAATTAAGTGATGCAAAATGCTGGTATGAAATATTGCCATAATTGCTTTCTGGAAAACAACAAGCTTAATTCCCAGTAAAACGGCATTAGAATTTTCCAGGCTCTCAGACGGGGAAAATAAAATGCCCTTCCTAGAAATTTCTCATGCTCTGTGTTTTCTACGAGATGATGAAGACTCTGTAGAGGATAATGTGGAAGGTTTTGGAATCTATGCTCATTGCCCTGTTTCATCAAATGTATGTGGGACTCTTCTCAAACAGACAAAAAAACTCCAAAGCCCAGGCTGATACATATTTTAAAAATTTCTATGAGAATAAAAAATGGCCCTAGAGTCTCTCAGCCTGAGTTCCATCCTGTCACTTAATAGCTAGGCATTGTTGAGTGCCTTACTTAAGGTAGAAAGCTCTGATTTTGTTGTCTGTAAAAATGAGACTAATACTAGAATTTTCCTCATAGATCTGTCAGTACCTTTTAATAAGTTATTCCAGATTAAACACTTAGCCTTGTGCCTGATACAATACATGTTGGCAATGATCTTAACACTTTTCTGTTTCTCTTCTTCTCTTAGCTGATATGTTGAGACTGAGCTGTTTTACTTCAATGACCCTTTCTTCTGTGCCATCACTTCCTTTCTGAATTCATTGAATTATTCTAAGTAGAGAATATCCTCACAAGGTGGTTTTGTGGATCCACAAAACCCTACGGTGGTTCCAGAGTAATGTCTAGTGCTGGATAAATGTCTATGGCCCTGAACTTTGCGGGGAGAGGATTGGTGAGTTGAGTCAATACGTGTTGAACTGTACAGCAAGAAAACTCAATTCCTTTCTTGTGATAATTGAAATCATTTCAATTCATTTCCTTCTTGGTTGGACAGAAACATGTTTTCAGTAGTGAGCAAATCTTGAGGGAATCCATTGACCTGAACACTCATATAATGCATGAAGTTAGTGGACAAAAAATGATATTCATCTTCAGTTAATAATAGCATTTTCTTCTGCAGCACCTAAACTTAGGGGTGGTGAGGGATACTATTGGTGCAGTCACTGTGCCACCGGCAGATGCATGACCTTTGTTGTATCTAACTATAATTGGATCTATGGTGAAATAAAATAAAAACCAACACAAGTTTTGACACTAAGATAATAAATTATAAATTATGGAAGTCTACGCCACCAAGGATCTTGTAAACAACAGGCTGGTCTCTTAGCAACAGACCAAGGAGAGCAGGTTGTTGATAGGAATGGAGCAGACAGGATTGTTTTGTAGTGATTACTACCAAACACCAGGAACTACATTTCAACACCTGCCCGAGGCCCCATCCCTGCCCAGCCTTTCTTTGTCCAATGGCCAGTGACCCTTTCCCACTGACCCAGATGACCAGACCCCATGGAGGGGACAATAAAGATATGGACTGAAGGATAGAGGTGGGCTGAGGATGCCCTGTGGGAACAGGAGGGAACTACAGAGGGGGCGGGAGAAATAAATACATTCTTATTTGATACTGTTTAAAATTAGGACTCTAAACGGGGAACTCCTCTTTTCCCTGCCCCCAACTCCCTTTGGTTTTAAAAATCTCACTGAGAGTGGTTGTCATGAAGGAATTTAGACAAGACTTTGACAAGGTGCCAAAATGGTTTATTTTAAAATGTTGTTCCCGAAAGCACCGGAATATTAAGTTGGAGCAAACGTTGCTTGGAAGAGCGAAGGGGTTGTGGTCACACATTCTTGGAAGAAGGGTGATGGAGATCAAGGTGTTTGTAACCTGGAATTAACAAACGCAGGTGGACCGAAGGACTCAGTCACCAGGGAGTTTTTTTTTACAAATACATGTGTAAGAGTGTGTGTGAGTGTAGGTGAGTGTGGGTGTGTGTGTGAGTGTGGGTGAGTGTGTGAGTGTATGTGTGAGTATGTGTGAGTGTATGTGTGAGTGTGTGTGTGAGTGTGGGCGCGTGTGTGTGAGTGTGGGTGAGTGTGTGTGTGAGTGTGGGTGAGTGTGTGGGTGAGTGTGGGTGAGTGTGTGTCAGTGTTTCTCAACTGCGGGGCATTTTCGGAGTTGGGGTGCAGAAGGAGATTTTCTTTAATTAATTAGATGTTTACCTCCAGCATCATCCCTCAGTGGTTTAGACAATCATCTGCCCACATGTTAGGAATGAGATTCAAGAAAGCCTCTTGGAGTGAAATTTTCCTGGAAATATCCTGATTCTTGGCGGCACACACCCTCTCCCTCTTTCTGTGATAGAAACAGCCAGTTCTGCATTATTCCAAACCACAAAGCAAGCGACATGCCATCCCAACTTAGGATATGAAGGAAGTATCAGCCCCCTAATTGCACAGGGGCCACACAGCCTGCATCTCCCTCCATCGTCCCGACTGCATGCTTTTGATTGTTTCATAATAAAAGTGGCCGGCTAAATTATGACTACTTGTGATTTATTTGCCATGTCATTTAGACTTTTCATATGTATAAATTTGCCATTTGAAAAGAAAGAGAAAATTCACTGCTATTCCCCAAGGCCTCGTTTTTGGGGAGCTCCTCTAACATCATGAACAGAGGCTTTGTGACTTCTAAAGTGATTAGCTCCTATCCGGAGGTTTTGGAACATATCTGTGCTCAGAAGCAGTCTGCCGGGGTGAAATTCTATCTGGAATAGTGTCCTAACCCCATCGGAGAGAGACTCTGAATTTTTAAAACGCCTGTTAAGGACCCCTGGGTATGAGCCCCGCACAAACATGTCTGCGGCACCCACAGCTGTGCCTCAATGAAGGCCCAATTTCTCCATTGCACAGATGAAATTGCAAAGGCCCAGCAATGTTAGCCAAATTCCCCAAGCTTAATGCCAGAGCCTGCTTCCACTCCAGGACAAAGTGGTTTCAAAGTCCATACTTGCCCCACCCTGGTGGCCTGCCCTGGGGAAGGTCACTGCCAAGAAGGCTCCTGGGCCGTCTTGCAGCTGCTGCCTCTTCTTTTAATTACGAAAGAAATGCATCATCATGAAAAATCAACAATACACAAGATATAAAGTTAAAAGGCAAAGTCCCCCCTCATCCTCTCTCTCAGCCCCTCAAGTATATTAGAAGATCTTTTTAGGGTTGAATTTTCACTCTGCAGGAGGGTGTTCTGTATACAAAGAATACGACCCTTTCTTCCTCTTTAATTTGCTTATAGCTGGTACATTTCAAAAAAAAATAAAAAGTGACCCATGCCTTTGATGTTTTTTTTTTCCCCTTATTTTTGTCAACATATTGTGGAGAATGCTGAGTTCTTTGAATTGTTTTTCCCTCTGACAGCAAATCACCAAGATGTACTTTTCCAGAGCCTAACATCCTTGAATTCACAAAAGTTCCAGTCTGGAGTCATAATGTGGAACGTAAGCAGTTCTAGTCAGTTCTGATCTTGGCAACATGAATTCTCCCCTTTCCCCGGGGAGACTCAGAAACCTGCATTTTCACAAGATTTCCCAAGTGACATGTGTGCACAACAGGGTTTGAGAAACCCTGTGCTGGACTCAGCTGCTTCAGAGAGAAGACACAGAACAATTGCCAAGCTATCAAAAAAAGCTCAGACTGACAGCAGAGAACTCAATAGAAATGCCCCATCCGACTGTTGAAACTCAGGCCCAAACTACTGCAAGAGAGTGGAGAACTGTTTCTCCTCTGAAAAGGCCCGATTTCGACTAAATGAAAGCAAAACTGTAGGGACCATTTCCCACCTAGTAGCTTGAAGCCCTACCCGGTCACCAAATTGGCCTAGCTGGTCCTACCTGCATTTGGTAAGAGCCGGGGATTGGGACGAGGCAGAGAGCAAGACCAAGCTGGTTTCCTCTCCGGTTTCCTCCGGGGTGGCTGGGTCCCAGGTCCTGCCCCCGCCTCGCCCTGTGCAAGCTCGGTGCAGTGCAGCCCCTCCGGCTCTCGCCCCACAATGCCGTGCGCAGGCTGGCAGCAGTTCAGCTGAGGACTAAACGCTTGGCTCAAGTTCAACACGGCTGCCAAGATTTGGCAACCAGAGAGTTGCAGGGAAGCAGCAGGCTGCTAAACCCTTTCACATTTTTAATTAGATCCACACACCCATGTCTTTGAGCTATCATAAATATACAGATGACATAGAGAGTATTATTCGGGGTTAAAAAAAAAAAAAAGGAAGCAAACTCTACTAAGGTACAGCTTACCTTATTGAAATAATTTCCCTATCACTAGTTTGAGGGCTGAGGAGGAAAAAGAGAAGGTAGTGATATTTGCTTAAGTAGAACCACATCTGACAAGGGAATCTACCCAGGATCTGGAAAACACAGGTCTCGGCTGCCTTGCTATCTTCCTGGGCTTCGAGAATATCACCAGAAGAGGGCATTCTTGGCGCCGGCTCAGCCCTGTGCAGCCCGGAGCTGGCAGGCAGCAGTGCTGGAGGAGTCATCCCTCAGGCCACTCCCACCTCCCGTTCTTGGGGATAGCTTTAATATCGCCACGGAGCAGAGAGGTTCTCTCCTTCGCCCTAAATGCAGCAACTTTTATACTCCATGTTGCCTTACTATTCTTCTCGTTTTATTTCCTTCTCTGGATTGTTTTTGGGTATCTTCCCCTGGAAAACAATTGCAGATGCTTCTAAATTTTTCTAAGTCCTGTGCCGCAACATGCTCAGCTTCTTCCCCTCAGAACCAGCCTTTCCCCTTGCACTCAGCCCCTGGGCGATTCTCCCTCCGGGGAGGAAAGAAGATTCAACTCTTGATTCAAATGCTCCGGATTTCACTCTGGTTTCGCTGTGTGGCTTTGGACATAGGATTTAAAGCCTTCACGTTGGTTCCCTCATCTGAAAGATCCCAAAGCAATTCTGGCCTCACAGAGTGGCTCTGGGGTTTAAATCCTATGTACAAGGCTCGTAACACAGTCAGCACCCAACACTGAATATTCGATAGAACATGTGCCTTGTAGACAGTCAGCTAACAAACAACTCCACCAAAACAACAGTGCTAGTCCTTAGTCTTCTTCTTCCCTGAACTGCTTCTCCTCTTGTTTGTGACAAAGGCCACCCATGTTTCTCAGACAACTAACCCTAGTCTGATCAACTTGCCGTAAGATGAGAGTGAGCCCATGCATTGGTGTGCATGCCCTTAATTTAAAAGACATGTTAAAAAGGAAATGAAACACTTGAAATGCAGGAAAGAAGTGCCTCTGGTTGTCCCATCTGAGAGCACAAAGTTTATAAATAGAACCATCACAAGCATCAAACACGAGCTGTGCTAAGGCATCAAACACACATACATACACACACACGCACACACATGTTTGTGTCCTTGGCTTATGGTGAACAATTTGTACACCTTTCAGTGGCCCCCGCAGAAAACCAGAGCTTGTAGTGGACACTTGGCAGCATTTGGTCTTTTCCTCATCCTTCCTTCATTTATTTTTTCTTCACATATGACTTGAAAATAGAGCATGTTTTACTGTGGCAAAATTCCCTCTATACTTGACCTGCAAACAGGACAGTCAGGCTAACTGGGATGACCTGGTCCAATGAAGTGGGCTGGAGACAATTCTACGCCCAATAGGCACCTTTCAGCAGATGGAAAGGGTGAGGACAAACAGGTTGGTGGGCCTCAGCACCTCATCTTTTCCTGTAGTCTCTCTTGCTCCCCAACACCTCACTATCTCCCCCAATCCCCAGGTACAGGGGATTTCCTTTCACTAGAAGAAGAAAGGATACAAGCTTCTTATGCACGTGTGCACACACGCACACCCATTCATGCTCACAGACACTGAAACAAGACCCTTACACCAGGACTGTTCCACTTGGAATACAGAGAGCAGTAATGGCTCCCACAGCCATGAAGACCCAGGCTGAGTCCCACTTGCCTCTATGGTCCTGATCAGGCTCTGACAGGGAGCACACTGCTGCTCATGATTAGTTATTTATACATGAGGAAGCAGCAAATTTCTATGAGAGTAAAGTAAGATATGATCCACATCATGCTTTCCTGGAGCAAAAAGGGTCAAGCTGAAGCCGGTCTCATTCTCTGAGCTATCGTGGGCTGCACCTACACGTCCTTCCCACAGACGCATTGAAGGAAACGGGCCCTGTGACACCCTGACCCTTTCTGCACTTTATGTAGGGTGAAGGAGGTAGGCTGGGAATTAATACATGCACTTCATGTATTTAAGGGCCATTCCCTAATAGTACTCTGAGACTTCCTGGGAAATATTATTAACTCAGGACTGACATGTATTAGTCTGCTTGAGCTGCTATAACAAAATACCACAGACTGGGTGACTTAAATCCCAGAAATGTATTTTCTCAGTGTTCTGGAGGCTGACAAGTCCAAGATCATTTCTGGCTGGCCTGGTTTCTGCTGAGGGCTCACCTCTTGTCTTGTAGACAGCCACATGGCCCTCCCTTGGTGTGTGTGCCTGGGGAAATAGCATTCTGGTGTCTCTTATAAAGACACTCATTCTATCATATCAGGACTCTACTTTTATGACCTCAGTAAGTCTTACTTCCTTCGAGCCCCCATTTCCAAATATGGCCATACTGGGGTTTAGAGCCTCAGGATATATATTTGGAGGGATAGAAATTTTCAATCCATAATAAAAGCATTTTCGTACTTTTGTGCATTTTGTACTTTTGGAAGGAGATGGAGTCAGATGGAAATTCTGCTCACTCCGCCACCCACTAGCTGTGTGGCCTTGTATAAATCTATTAACCACTCTGAGTCTTATTTTCCACTTTTGAAAAACAGGGGTTAAAAATGCTTTCCCTAGAGTGTGATTGTGAGTAATAGGTTAGAGTAATATATACACAGTTCCCGGCCAAGGGAGGCACTCAAAAAATGCAACAGCCATAGTGGTAGTTGATACCATTATTTATTATTTGATGTTATTATTTGTTAAAACCACCCAGAGAGTGTTGCCTGAAACACTGGCTTAGAGCTTTGCATCCCAAATGTTCTCTATACTGCCGTTTGCATCTGTTTATCACCAATGCTGACATGAGTCAATGAAGCTCATAAGGAGTGTGACCGTCTGTAATAATATCTTCCATGGGGTCCAGAGGAAACAAACATGCGCACTTCCAGAGAACTGTGTATAAATATTCATATCACTTTACGTTTAGGGCATTTTGCACTAGTTGTTGATACCATTATGCATTTAGCATGGTCATGACAATCAGGTTTGAAACTCTTGGTTAAAGCGAAAGTCTTGCAAGAAAACATAAATGTGGCTGCATTACACTTGGGGAGACTAAACTTGAGGGAGCCAAAGATTGGAATTATGCAGTTTCAAAGGCCATACCCTGAGCTTCACAATCCTGCCTGAGTCAGCAATTGCAACAATAATGCTGTATAACAAATCATCCCAGCTCAGATGCTTGAAAGACTAAGTATTTCTTCTCACGCTCATTGGTTTCTAGGTTTACTGTGGTTCTGTTGAGCTAGACTTGTCTCAGCTGATCAGCTCTGCTGCAGACTGCATGTCTCCTGAGCATGGTTTTAAGCTATAGATTGGGTTCTCATCCACTCAATGTGTATTTGTTCTGGGATCCCAGCTTAAGGGGTGACAGCTACCTCAGACATGTTATAGCCTAAATGCAGAGAAGAGCAAGCACATCTAAGGTCTCTGATTGCATCATGTCCACAGGCACTCCAGTGGTTAGGTGAAGCCACATGGCCAAGCCCAACCTCAGGAAGTAGGGAAGGAAATTCTGCACGGTAGTATTGGGGAAGAGGGGAATGAGTTTTAGCTGACAAATAATCCAAACTATTGAGTACCCTGCAAACAACAGCATACAGAAAACTAGAATAGCAGCAACCACCATACCTTCTTTATCAGCAGAATGCTAATTCCCTTTAAGGCATCTCTAATGGTTGACAGCCAGCAGCCATTCTGACTGGTCAAGTGTCAGTTTTGCTTGGTAGTGCCCTAAACTTAATAGCTTTAAAATAGCTTGACTATCACCCTGGATTGTCAGTATCTACAACGATACCAGCAAACACCAACTTCCTAGGGCCTGCGATATCAGCACCAATGAATTCCACTCAGAACCCCCAAAATTCTAAAGACAGGGTCCTAGCACTGCTGAAATTGTGATGTGGATACAGGTTTCAGAGTGAAGGAGCTAGGAGTTTAATAATATCTCTGATGCTTCCCAAAAATGTGGCCCTGGGCAACGACATGATCTCCTGAATCTCAGGTCTTTAGTGGGGTTGCTTGTGGTGCTGCCGTGAACAGTAAACTACTGGATGCGTGGAAATCAGCCAACACAGGGCCTATAATTTACAGTGTGCACCCACTAAATGATTACTCTCTTCTTGCTTTACTATTAGCTTGAATCTTATGGAACTGTCAGAAATAATCAAGAGTTGGCAATTCCATACAGTTCAACCTAACAGGTAATAAAACCCTTATGGGCAAATGTAATATTTTGTATAACTCTATTCCTTGCAATCCTGGTTCATTCCTCATCTGTGGAAATGAAAGCCAAGGATGGGAAATGCCCAATGAAGATATGGCCAAATGTTGAATGTTGTAGCAGAACGGACACCCCCTGTGTTAGTATCACTCCAGTGATGAAGATGGAATGGTGGGGTTGTAAAGAGGTATAGACAGATAGAGTATAGATAAGTGAATCTACTGTTTATCTGCTTTCCTACCACCAAGGTAGGACGTGTCAAGTAAGAGCAATGGTATAAGGAAGGGTGGGTGTTCTGCAGAAGTTCAAGGGGCTGGGAGGCCACAGGAGAAAATCTGTGCCCATTTTATGGTGTGCAGAGAAGATCGTGTAATTTGAAATTAAGCAGATATGGGGGTTTTAATGTCAGCTCTTCCAAAAACATGCATAAAATCTTGGGCAAGTCACTAATTTCTCTGAACTTTTCACCTATGAAAATGACATAGTTCTCACAGGAACGTTGCAGGCCTCATAGCGATGGTCTAGCTATCAATATCTAACAGAGAGCTTGTTTTCTGGCAGGGGGTGGGAGGGCTCAGCCATCTTGGTGACACATCACTATCCCATTTTTTTTTCTCCAGGCTGGTCTTGAAGTTGGGGCAAAATGAATGCCGAGCAACAAAATTCTAGGGTGTCTAGGTCTTCTTAGTGCAGACTTTAAAACTGTACCAAAGGGATTTGCCAAGAAACTCGCTGTCATTTCCAGAGCAAGCTATTTTCATTTCCCCCACTGGTGCTATAGCAGCCGGAAACTTTGCTGCAGTCCTGCCCTCTGGACACCATCTAAAAGCACAAGCAAGCTGTAGACATGGGCAGTGACTGGGTATCCAAGGAAGACAGTCATATATACAATAATGACTGAAATTAATTTGTCTTATCCCTTCTAGGCCAAGGGATAAAACAAGAGAAAAGCAGGGGGAAAGAAAAAAAAAATAACAAGGGAAAGGCCCTAAATGAACTTCAGGATCAAAAATAGATCCTCTCTAACATTAGTAGAAGACGGTAATGTTATCTATTGTGTGCACCTTTAGCCAGAATAAAGCATTTAACAAACAACATTTATTGAGTTCCTACTCTGCGCCAGGCACTATACCAGCCACAGGAACCAACATTGAAACAAGCAAGATGCCTGCATCCCAAAAGCCTCATTCTTTTTGCCCAAACAGAGGGGAAGGAAGATCGATTCTATGGGGGTCTTGTTTCCATCTGAGGAATGAGGGTCAAGGATGGGAAATACCCACTGGAAATACATCGAAAGCATCTTGCCATCAAGACGTCTGTTAAATGAACAGCAATTAGTAATACCACGTTCTTTTTGTTCCTTCTACATGCTCAGCATTATCCTAGAAAATGCAGGGAGAAGGAATAAAATATAAAGTCTTGCTGCTCCTCTCCAGAATTTAAACTCTAGCTCAAGAGATTGGATTACCACCTGTGCAGAAATTGCAAAGAAGACAAGAAAATACTGACTTTATTTATTTTCATTTTAAACAGAGTTCATCTCCTTGGACTTCCTTTTGGGAAACTGTTTAAGGAACTCACATACAATACATTTAAACAGCTAATGGCCAGGAATAGAAGTTCAATACATAAACAGGAGAGCATGTAGCATCAGCTAACCACCAGGTTTTTTGTACTTACTCTATCTGCACCCCAATTTGCTCTTGAGCTCCCTGGCAGCCAAAGCAAAGGGAAAATATGGTCAATTGCAAATGTTTGCTTTTATTTTTGTTTTGTTCTTAAGAAAGAGGACACAAAACAAATCCTCTGGAAGATCTAGTTAGCATCATGGATAAAGTCCAAAACACTTGCTTTTAGAATAAATGCATACCTAATTTCATAGGATTGTTTTCCATAATGACTCTCAATAAAACTCAAAGATGTAACAAAACATTACTTCCAAGTAGGTGGTTTGTCAAGGGGCTACAAAAAATGGTTGAAGTCTATATCTTTCCAGGGATCTAACTCGATAAAAGAACTTAACTCAGCACAGCAACTTATATGAGTGGATAAATAACAGGTGCCTCCCGCAGTCTTATCATTTCTCTAAAGATGGGTTTTGTTGGAAAGTAGAAGATCTGAGATTATGCTTTCTTGTGGGCACCTAGATAAATGGTAATCTGTGTTTCTAACTGATGGAAAACCTACACAGTTTGTAAAGCAGACAAGTGGATGATATGTATAAAAGTATATTATAGAAAAATTGACTGGGCAATCAATCCATTAATGAATCCAATGGCTATCCATAGACCACCATCTTAGTCATTCAAATATCTGAGGCATAGCCAGTGGTATTCAGTAGGTGCTCAGTAAATGCTTTTGAATTGAATTCCTAGGAAATGAGAAGCTTAGGTGGCAAAACCCTGAAGGGCTTCACCCGTACTTGAAGATGTCTGGTGACTATCAACATTTCCAGCATCACCTCTGCCGTTTTTGGCCTTTGTGAGCCAGAGCAGGTGGTGACCGCACGATTTGCCAAGGTTAGCTGACCCCAAAAGATTGTGCAAAAACTCCTACTACATCCTGTCAAAGAAACAAAAATGATCATGTCCTTGGGACAATTACTGTCTTTGGAGCATCAGGTTTGATTCTATAATTCATGTATACTTAGCTCAAGCTCTGTCTGACACAAGCTATTTTGCCAGGCTCACTGCCTATCTCATACCCCTGGGTCTTGCTTTTAACTTTTTTTGTGAGTCTGCCCTTGACGACCAGTTCTACTATTATCCCACCTCAAGGGGATGATTCGCCATCTAAGGAACAGTGTATGTCTGTCTTGTTGCCCATCATCCTCCCCCTTTCCTGTTCAGAGATCCGCATGGCCTTCCTGGACTATTGAAACACAATCCTTCCTCCATCTTCCAGGCAGCTACTCCAGCCCTGCTGTCAACATTCAAAACCAACCATGGAACATCACTAATGGGCATCCAGTCAACTCCAGGACCAACACCCTTTGTGATCTTCTCCACTGACCACTCCTTTCTTCTCCCTCTGTCTTTCAGCAACTGGTGTTTGCTGTATATTGTTATTTTGGAGTTAGAATTCATATATAACAATTCACCTCTCTGAAGAGGCCATTTATTTCTGGCCATTTATCTAAAACAGCAGACCACACTCTGCCCCATCACATACTTTAGTTTTCTCCTCAACAGTTATTTGTACTTGAAATTATGCCATTTGTTTATTGGCTGTCTTCTTTACTAGGATATGAGCTCACAGAGATCAGGAACTTCACAGTGCCCCCAGAGCCTGGGACCAGGCCTGGCTCACTGTGATCTCCAATGAATGAGTGAAGGAATGAAGGAATGAATGAACACCTCCTCACATAGACTATGCTGTATTTTATCTCTTTACCTTTGTGTTTTGTTATTGTTGGTTCCTTGCTTTGCATTTGTTCAAATCATTACCCTCTGCCAAAAAAATAAAAAAAGTTTATTCGTCTATGTGTCCCTTATTTTAAACTTTGGGTTAGATATCAGATGCTGCCTTATTCAGAAGCTCTCCTAGCCACTTCTGCAGTTGTCTCTTCTCTGAGGGCCCACAGTCCCCTCTGTTTGTTTATTTGTTGGTGCATTTGCTCCTTGGAACTGTAATTGTCCATCTGTGTCACTATTCCCCTTAGGAGACATTTTCTCCTTGAGGTCCCTGACTAGAGCTCACTCATCTCCATGGTCCTTGTGTAGAGAACAGTGCTCACTGTTCTAGCTTATCAAATTTTTCATAGCTTATGTAGTTAATACTCTATGTTGCTCATGTTAATGTATTAGACACCATCTACTCAAACCATCATCATTACCACCGTTTCATATGTGCTGAAACTGAGGCTTGGAGGAGGGAATGGCTTGCCCAAAGTCACAGTGCTCTATGCTGGTGGCTGTACTCTGGATCCCAGACCATTGGCCTCCAGTCAAATAGTCACCTTCAAGACATATGACCATCTGGTGGATCCCTAATTTTTTTGGCAATTAAATCTGACCTTTCTATCAGTGCGGTAAGCTTCCTGAGGACAGAGAGTGTCTTCCACCTTCCTTGTATGCATTTAGGGAATGGAGCTGTGCTTTAAACATAATAAGCAGTTAATAAATATGTGTGGGCTGAACTATTCATTTGATAACAAACTGCTAGAGAGTTTTCTGCTTGGATGCATAAACATAAACATACACAAGGGGATATATTTAGCCATTTTCTTGCTGTTTTAATTTTATACGTGTTGCATATGTATTTCTACCAGCTATATTGGCTTCCTCTTAGAAGTAGAAAAGATAAGAATCAATTAGTCTCTCAATTAATCAATCATGTTTTTATCATTTACTGTCCTTTACAGTAGAAAATCTTGCTGAGTTGTTTGTTTTGTTTTTATTTTTATAGTTTAGCAAAATGGATGTTACTTTACCTCTGTTTAACAATTAAGAAAGAGAGACCCCTGAAATGTTTCCCCAAAGGCATGGCCAACTGGGGAAGACTGAGGAAGTGCATGAGTAATGGGTCCCCGACATGGATGCCAACAAATAGTGTTGGATTCTATATTTTGAAGCTGAAACAAGATTCAGAATAATTTTGGCCAGATGTCAACAACTTTTTCCTCTTTTCTTTTTTGTAATGGGGCAGATAGTGAGTATTTCAGGCTTTGTGGGCCTTAAACAGTCTTCATCATAGCTACTAAATCTTACTGCTGTAGAGCATCAATAGTCATAGACAATATGCAAATGAATGACCATGCCTGTGTTCCAATAAAACTTAATTTATGGACAATGAAATTTGAATTTCACATAGTTTCTGCCATGTGTCATGAAATATTATTCTTCCTTTGCTTTTTTTTTTTTAAGTTTATTCTTAGCTCCAGGGCCATACAAAAAGAGGAGATGGCTGAATTTGCCACACAGGCTGTAGTTTGCAGAGCCCTGATCTAAGAGCACCTCCCTTTCACCTTGAAAAGGAAAATGGAAGAGGAAATTCGGATGGCGAAATCATGGCCAGGCTCCATCAATAGCCCACTCCTTCTGGTCCTCCATGTTTCTGTCCAGCGCATGGGATCTCCTTCAGTTCTCTATCTCCTTATTGTAAATAGCTGGGCATTTAGTAAATAGAAAACAAATTTCTGGATTAACTGATAACAAAAATACCTTTGCAAGCCAGTGCCAGCAACTGCCAGATTGTTCTTTGAGGCAAGCAAGGCCCCCAGAGGATTCTAGGTACACACCTTCCACATCTCATCAACAGCCCAAATGGAAAAACCTCCTTCCTACGTGGAGGTGAGACCCCCACACTGGAAGGGTGGCGGAACTCAAGCCAGAGCCCCAAGGATCTGATTGGCAGACGTCTCTGATCCACAAAGTTCTTTTAACTGACGCAGCAAATGACCTTGAGCTCGAGTAGAAAAACAACGGGCTTCTAGTACATCCCAATTTGCTCCTCTGAGTAAAGTCACATGAAAAGACATATCTAGCAGGTGGGGACTCAGGAGATGTACCCTCCAAAGAAGCAGGATATAAGGGGTGACAAAAGACTCCTTAGCCAAAGTCAATGCATTTTAATACAATATTTAAAAAATCAAAATTAATAATGAACATCTAGACAAAGGAAACATCAAAATTTTAAATAAAGTCAAGATTGAGTACTGTACATGCTTGTCTCCCTGGCTTCATAATAATATTCCCTGTAGTTCCTGCCTTTATTGAAAAATTTTGGTTTTTTTAGCATAGATTTTTTTACAATCATTTTGAATTTTGGAAATACGGAATTGTTCAGAAAACACTGTACAGAATGTAAAGGAGGCAAAAGGAGACTTATATAGTTTTATCTTTAAAGAAGACACCAAAAACACACTTACTTGCCCGAACACAAAGAATCCAACTGTGACCCATGAGCATTCATATCTGTTTTGCTGCCATCTCAAGTTGCTGAGCATATTTTTTTTTTTTTTTTTTTTTTTTTTGAGACGGAGTCTCGTTCTGTCGCCCAGGCGGGAGTGCTGTGGCGCGATCTCCGCTCACTGCAAGCTCCGGCTCCGAGGTTCACGCCATTCTCCTGCCTCAGCCTCCCGAGTAGCTGGGACTACAGGCGCCCGCCACTGCGCCCGGCTAATTTTTTGTATTTTTAGTAGAGACGGGGTTTCACCGTGGTCTCGATCTCCTGACCTCGTGATCCGCCCGCCTCGGCCTCCCAAAGTGCTGGGATTACAGGCGTGAGCCACCGCGCCCGGCCGCTGAGCATCTTTCAGGGAAAAAAGAATCACTGAATGTGTCCACTTGAATGTAATCCCAGGCTAGTTGTCTCTCTAAATTATAAAATGTTTGACTGTCACTATCTATCTCATGAAGACTCAGCACTTACATCTGTCCAGTGCCTCGGAATAATTCACGCTGAGGAAAAGCCAACACTACACTAAGTGGAGTGGTCACATACCCTATGGTAAGTCTCAATACTCTGTCCGGTAAGGTGTGAGTCAGTCTAATCACAGGCACTGAGATTAGAATGCAGTAATTGACGATTTTTCATCGACAGCAATGTTTACTACCTATTCTGCAAAAACAGAGCTTCTTAAAATATTACAGAACAAATTTTTCCTTAGAATCTCCAAAATTTACACTCAAAAATAACACTGATGCTTTCCTCCCCTTTCACTAATAGAAATATCAGTTATTTCTCAGAGTCCCCCACACAAGCGGCTAGAGTAGAGAAATTCCTAAAGAATTTCATTCTGATCTTGACTCCTAAGAGTCATCAAGCATGAATCCTTGAGGCTACCTATGTCCTTCTCTCTCTGGGTACCCTCTTCACACGTCCTTGGCTAAATATCTCTGCCATTCCTGATGCCTTAGCCTGAACCAAATAAGACATCTGAAATAACAAGCCAGTCTTCTTTCCATATCAATCGTTGACAGCCATAAGCATCTCTTTGATGTTTGTAGACAGAAGAAGATGGAAGAAGGCATAATTAGTTGGTGTTTTAATGTGTGTGGTATTTTCCACTTTTTCTAATTCCTTTTTTAGCTAAAGTTCAAATTGTACAGTCAAAGAAGGCACTGGCAGAAGGAGTGATTATATGTTTCAGAGGTCAGAAGCCTGACCCTTTGCTGTGAAAGTGCCTGGAGGCGAAATTGAGCCAAGTTCAAAGGGAAGTCTAATTGGCTTTCTTGAGAACTGGTGCTCTTGAAATATTGAGTTGCTGCTATAGGCTGTCCAGAATGGCCCTCAAGAGGCGGTCTTTAAAATGCCACTGGATAGCATCACTCCCTTGCAATAAGTTGGCTTCTAGGGTCCTCCCTGAGCCTAGATCATTTATTCATTCAACAGGAAATATATATATATACATCTATATATATGTATATATATATATATAGATGTATATATATATATGTATTTTTTTTTTGAGATGGAGTCTTGCTCTGTTGCCCAGGCTGGAGTGCGGCGGTGTGATCTTGACTCCCTGCAACCTCCTTCTACCAGGTTCAAGCGATTCTTCTGCCTCAGCCTCCCGAGTAGCTGGGACTACAGGCGTGTGCCACCACACCCGGCTAATTTTTTTTTAATTTTTAGTAGAGACGGGGTTTCACCGTGTTAGCCAGGATGATCTTGATCTCCTGATCCCGTGATCCACCCACCTTGGCCTCCCAAAGTGCTGGGATTACAGGCATAAGCTACTCTGCCCAGCCCAGCAACAAATATTTTTTAAGCATTGTCTGTGTGCCAAGCACACTGTTCTTCCACGGGAGCTGTGTTCAAAACCCTTTATTCAAGAGATCAATGCTGCCTAATGCTAGAAAAGACCATTTATTCTTCCTGCCATGGCCGTGCCATCCAAAGAATCTGTCTTTGCTGAAACAGTGGCCGATCAGTCATATAATTCATTATCAAAGCCTACCAACTAATGGAATCTCCCCTTTATCCTACTCCATTGAGCTTTACTAAATTCCTCCCCCACCCCTACAAATGCCCAAAAGTTTCTTTCTTCCTTTCTCCTCTCCCTTGCTTGTGTTACTATGGTGAACATTCTGCCCTGCCAGCATCCTCATGAGGGCTAGTCTCAGGTCAGACCAGATTCCCAGGACAGGGTATAGGATGTTTATTTCATCTTCCCTTGGAAAAGTCCTAAAAGCATATCACAGAAAGCCACTAAATGCTAAGACTCACACTTCTCATTGTAATTCCAACACTTTTCTCTCATTATATAGATGCTCAGAGATCTGGAGAAAAAAAGCTTAATTAGGTTTTGTCTATATGAGTAATAAAGGTGAAGGGGTTATGGTTACAAGATGGGAAGGGCCTTGTGAGTCTATAGGATTCAACCCTCTGTCTCAGGTAGATCTACATACAAACTCCACTGAACAGGAAGGGAAGATGGTTAGTAAAACTGACTGTTACTGTTGTTGTTCTTTGAAACACCTCTAAGAAATTGAAAAATCTCTTGGGATATAGGGCCTGTGAACCCTCTTTGAAGGCATTTGTAAGACCTGTTAAAGTCAACTTCCTCCATATGATAGCTAAATGGACAATTAGTGACCAATATATGGAATTATTGTTGCTGCATTTTACCTGTTACTTGCTCCCAGTCACCACATCCAGGCTGGCCTCAACATGGCTAATAAAATTATCTTCCTGAAACACAGGCCAAATCAGTGTCACCCTTTTCCCCAACCTCGGAAGGCTTCAGTAGATTTCCACTGCACATTAAGTGAAGTACACAATAATTACCATGGTATGGAAGACCCTCAGTCATCCATCTGTATGCCTGGACAACAAAGACACATGGGCTTTGAAGCCTGGAAGACTGAGGTTCAAATTTTATTTCTGCAATTTGCTAATTATTTTGCTTTAGGACTGAGCCTCAGTTTCCTCATCTCTACACAAAATGGCAATTAGAACCTCTGTCTCCTAGTGCTGTTGTTTGGATTAAATAAAGTGAGACTTTTAAAATACTGAGGACGATGCCTAGCACAAAGCAGGCCCTCAATAAACTTTGTTACCTTAAGTGTAAACTGCACTAAAAATTATTATCTTCTCTGTCAGCTCTCTGATCTCCAAATTTATTTCCTATCATAATCTTCCTCTCATTGAGTGCTCCATTTGAGACGTTTCTCTCTCCATTCCCAGGACACACTCTGCTAAATAGAGTCTTCCCCCCAAAATCCCTGCCATGCCTACTCCCAGAAGTTTACCTTTTCCATTCTAACCTTGCTCATTCTCTCAGTATCTGCTCTTTAAGGAAGTAATTTTCTTTTTAGGTATATATTTTTTCTTGCATCTGGACTTGATTCCCATGATACTTTTTGAGAATCTAAGGTGGCACTTACAGCCTTCAGCCTATTTTTAAACATGTAGTTTACTCTACTAAATTGCAGGTTTGCAGAGGGTAAAAATTGTGTCTTTTATATCTCTCTATCACCCCAAGGCACTGATAAAGCTGCATCCGTCATGATAAAGCAGTATGATGAGATCTTTTAACAGGTCATGCTGAAGTAACAAACAATCCTCAAATCTCAGGTGCTGACTACAACAAAGGTTTCTTGTTTGCTTGCATATATGTCAATCGTGGGTCAATGGGAGCTCTCCTCCTTGTGTCTCCTTTGTACTGAGATCTGGGCTGAATATGTACAGCTCCTCTCTGGCACTTGACCTTCTTGAGGCAGAAGGAAATGAGTTCATGGCAGAATGATGCAGTGGTCCTTAGATTCTCTTCTGGGGAGTGGCGTGTGTCACATGATGTGGTCAAACTTGGTACCACTGGGATGGGGAGAGCAGATGCTTTCCTGGGATGTTGCACCACACACCCCATAGCAACAGGCAGTGGTGTAGCATCATCCAGAGAAGGGCGGCAAAATATTTGAACACATTATTGCAGTTTACCACCCTTGTACATCAGAGGCTGTCAAGGAATGCTATGAAAATCAAGTCAATTTGCATCATTTTAAATAACCTTCTGAAACCCATAGTCAATGGCAGTCAGAATATTACTAAAAACATTATTTACTTAATTAGAAAATGTGCCCTTTGTGAAGAACTACCAGTGTGATTTCCCTTAGCTCTATGTATCAGAAGTAAGTGTTCTTTTACCCATTACCTATGAAACACTGTTCGTTATTTTACTGGCTACTAGGAAGCTCCTGCCTAAATAATGGCTCCCATTGGTGAATTACACAGGAATTTATGGAAACTTTTTCAGAATTGACCTTATGCCTGGCATTATTGTATTTTACTTCTACCCTTATTCACCCAGATGTAAGTTTACCACCTGTATTTTTCATAAACTATTAAAAAATACATGGATTATAAACAAATGAGCTTATCTTAGACATACCCTTTGAGACTGTTTGAAGCTTGTCTGCCCACTGGACTTTATTGTATTCTTGCTTAATGCTTTAGCTCTGCCTTTGAGGAATAAATGAAAACACATGTGGAAGACAAATCACTCCTTGTCCTTCCAAATATGCCATGAACTGCCTGATCAAAGGGAAATGAGAAAAGCCACTTTTCAAATGGGGCCCCAGGGGTCCCTGAACCAAACCAGTCTCTCTGGGGCCAGGAAGGACAGATCCCCAAATCTGCTCCAGTTCCCCAAGGTGCCTGCTGGACCCAGCACCTTTGCCCTCATCATCAATGAGAGGAAGCATCGATGTAATCCTTTATGCTTGGTGGGACTGTGGGAAATAATATCACAGACAAACACTGGACCCCCAGGAGGGGCCTTCTTCAGATGACAGGAAGGCAGACACAATTGCAAATACCTTGTGCCTGTGTCTTCTAAGACAAAACAGTTGGACTCTTTGGACACATGGCTGATCTTCTCTCCACACATAGGGTAAGAACAATTCTATTCCTTACCCCATGGCTACCAAAGTGATGGATTCCTAATGCTGGGCTGACTGTTTCATGCATCTTTATGAGTACCACGTGGGACTTCTCACTGAGTTTACGATGAAATGTGAATCCCTAAACTCGGATTTTGGGGCCTTCAGGAGCAGCTTCCTCATTCTCCATCTCTTGTGTTTCTAATTCCCTAAATTTTACATGCTCTTCCTTAAGTCCATTCCTTTGCAGTTAACTTTAAAAAATGATGATGATAGCAAAAATAACAATAATGATACTAATAATACAGTAAGCCCTAGCTGAGCTATAGTCATCCTTTCCACTCAACTGAACACATCTTTAGAGAGTCTTCTCTTTCATCATCAGATGTGTTAGGCAACCTACTTTGTGACCTCAGCTGATGCCTCTATATATTGTAATACTGTGTTTTATCAACTTGTCTATGATTCCTTGAGGCCAACCAAAGGCGATGTTCAAGCTCTTCTTTCCATCCCTAGCCACTAGCTCAGTATCAGGTGTTTAGGAGATGCAGAATGAATGTTTGCCAAATTAATATGCACATAAGTTAAATAGGACCCCAGTCGGTTATATGGGTTTAGTGAGTCACAAAGAAGAAAGTGGTGTGGGGACGGTTGGAGGGAACAGAACAGGAAGAAATAATACCTCCTTGAATCAACAGTGTCTACATCACCTCAGGTGAAAGGTGAGAGAGAGAGGCAGGCACTTCCTTCTTTAGAAGGATCAGAGGGAGCAGGAGGCTGAGAATGTGACCATTCACCCCACTGAATTAGACCTAGGGATGGTGACATGCCCGGCAGAAACTCCTGTGTGGGGCCAAGTCATCTTGGCCATGCAGGCAAAGACATGGTGAAGCAAGAATCTCTGTGGGAACATTTTGTAAAGAAGAGGCCATCGAGGATGTGGGGTTTTACAAACAACCTTCATCATTATGAGAACCGTTACCACTGTTACTACAGGAAACTGTGCACACAGTAAAAATGAGATGGCAAGCACAGGCTCTGTTGCAGAAGAAGAAATGGAGTACATTTCCTGATAGTAGAGTAAGAAAGAAAAAAAAAATTCTGAGCCACTATGACGCTGCCTAGTAAAACATAGTGAGAGACTCCTGTGTAATTTTAAATGTTCTGTTAGCCACATTTTAAAAAAATGTAAAATTAAACAGGTGAAATGAAGTTTAATGATGTATTTGACTTAACCCAATTCATTCAAAATATTATTTCAATCAGCAAACCACACAAAATTATCAATGAGACATTTTACTTTTTTATGGTATACTGAGTATGAGAACTTGAGTTTGTTTTCCACCCACAGCATATCTCAATTCAGGCTGGCCACAGTTCCAGTGCTCCATAGCATAGTGTGTTGGTCACTCTGTCCTGGAGGGCATAGGACGCTGAGCACTGTCTTTACATGGTCCCTGTATCTAGTGTGTAACTGACTTTGAGGAAATATGGACAAGGGCTTTTAATGACAAGAGGCAGACCTTGAGGTGGGCCACATGTCACAGATGTCACAGCCAAAAGACTTCTACTTTGGTGGTCCCAAGGCCAGCATAAGAGGTGCTGTGAGATCATAGAGGAGCCCCTTCCCTTCTTGATGAATGGTCTGCATCAACACCTACAAAATAATAGTTTGGACCAGATGATGATAGTCTCTTAAAAGTATCTGCATGCATCATCTCCAACCCGCACCACCACTCCAGAGCTAGAAGTCAGACTCAACATTCACACTGGCCCTCATATGTTGGGTATGACATTGAAGGTCACATTCACAACAAGCCACAGAGCCAAGATGGGAGCCTACACCTGTGAGTCAATTCACTGGCTTGTGGCAAATAGTTAAGGGCACTTTGCTTGTTATTCTAGGAAAAGATATTGGAACTCTGAATTGTGCGTATGCATAACAGATTTGATTTGCTCAATTGATATGAATGACTACATCACCAGGTAGATGACCTCTGTTCTGTGGTACCTCCTGCCTTCTCAATTAAAAACTTTGCAGGCTGCCTTTCATCTTACTTAGGTTGAAACAGAAGCACATTTCAAACGTAGTTTATTTCTTCCACCTCTTTCTTATACTCCGGTTGGTTTGGGCTCTTGAGCATTCATAGAGACAGCTCCCTGTCATTTTCTTCACATTTTCCAAAAAGAGGAAATGGGGAAAAATATCAAAACACCAGACAGGTTGTTATTGCAGCATCAGAAATCTCAGTGGGAGCTTTGTTAAGTCACTGTCCTCCACCAGGAAGCAGGAGTACACCTCTAAGGCATTCTGAAGCTACCCAGACATTCAGCCCATCCTCCCTCTCTCTACTCCACCCCAGGCAGATCATAAACACTTCTCCTGCCAGCCTTGGCCTGCTGATGTCAAGAAAAGCCCATGCACCAGGTCCTGTCCCAGTGCAGGACTGGGAAGAATAGCTTCAAGCATGGGCTCGCCTCCCACACTGATCTGGTTCAAGTCCCAGTTTCTCATGTAGCATGTGGCTCTGGGAACATCTCTTATCCTATCTTCCTGTCACGTTCCTCACCATAAAAGTATATTACTAATAATACCTCTTCCCAGGGGCTACTGCCCCTGAAACAGTGCAAGTTAGTGTCTAGCATGTGCTGGCACATGGGAAATGCTCATGAAAGCTCGCTAAAGACCATGTCCATTGTCATAACAACAATAGGGATTCAGTGAGCGCCCTGAGGTAGACCTTGAAGCCATATGAAAATACTTATCACATCCTCCCCGGAAGAGCCAACTTATACATTTTGAAAGAAGTGCTTATTTTACTGAAAATGCCATCAGAAGATACAGAAATGTTTTTCATTAAACACTGTGTAGCAAAAGGCTATAAAACCTTCCTTTGAACCTGTTCTCCTCACCCCATGTTTCCTGCCCTGGTGTTAACTTCTCTTCAGCATTCTTTCCTTTTCCAATGGCTTCTGCAAGCTCCCCATCTGCTCAGGCTGACAGCTTGGTCCCCACTCAGAATCACACAATTCCAGCCAATGTCACCCCACCTTCAGGAAGCTGTGGACACCATCCAGGCCTATGCTAACATGACACGCCAAGCATCTTATTGTGATTATGAATATATAATTCCTGACCTCAAAAAATTGAGTGTCTAGAGGAGAAGACAGACACGTAAAGAGGTGAGTACCTGGGAGAGAGGAAAAGGTTTTTGGAAGCATGCATCATAAACCCGAATAAGGCATGGCTTTTGGAGCCCAAAGGTATCAAAGAGAGCTTGATAGAGCTATCCCAACCATCGACTGAGAGATGTGAAGAAGTATTCCCTGGGTGGAAAGAAATTCAAAGTGAAATTCTAAAGGACATTGTAAATGTAATAGAATATGCCAAGGTATAGGCTTGTGGAATGTTTGGGAAAATGCAAATCATTCCATACTGTTTATAAGTACCCTGTCCTCCCTGGGAGAAAAGGAGTAGAGATGATGGGGGTTGGAAATGAAACTTAGAGAAAGGCTTAGTTGGGCCTGTTAATGAATTTGAACTTGATCTTGAAGATAATGGGAAGCTACTGAAGGATTTCAGGCTGAGAGATGGCATCAAAATCTCTATTTTAAAAATGTAAACCTGGCCATTATGTTGGGGAAGAAATAGTGACAAGAAAGAAAGAGACATGGGTTTGTAAGCTATTTTGGTGATGCAGGTGGAGAATAATGAGACACTATTCACGTCCAAAGCCTGGCAAGTAAGATGTGTGAGCTTGGGCAATTGGAAGACAATGCACATATTTCACTTGTAAGCAGGAGAGTGAGACTCAGCCGCAAGAAGTTTCTGTCACAGCTATCATAACTGTGAGATACCAAGTATATTAGTAAGGATTATGACAAGATGTTATGCACCAGACATGGGTTTTTCTGATGGCTTGCATGTGGTAATCCCAAGTGAATATTTTGGGGGATAACCAAGTGAAATTTGGAGTTCCTTTTAGTCACCAAGCTCATCTTTCTCTCCCACGTTTCCCCGACTCCCAGTTAGGTCTCAGAATGCTCAACACGCTCTGCTGATGGTGCCAGTCATTCTTTTTCTGAATTTGCTACTACCTTTCTCCTGCTGTGTTTCCTCTTTCCCACTAAGAGGGGACATGCTGGACTTGGCTTCCTTTGTGATTAGCACCACTGGATTCAAATTTATTAGTCCCAGGAGCAGGAGGCTAATGAGTTAAATGCCCTGATTTAATTAAACCACCTAATGGTTTCAGCTTACATAAATTCTCACCTGATCAGTCCGGCATCTCTTAAATACATTATCTCTGGCACTCTGCAGGAAGGCAGCAAGCTAGATCCCTGAAACATGAGGCAGGTCCCAGTCCCTAAGCACTCAGCTCACATATAATAAAGAACAAATCTGTCTTCTCTCAATGCCTGAATCTTTGGTCACCTCAAATGCAACAGTCTGCCAAAGGTAGTCAATGTCCCGAGGAGCTGGCTTCTTTCTGGGATAGATAGAGTTATATTTGGATGATCCCTTACTTTGAGCTCTGCAAACCTGTCTTATTCCCAGAGAGGAAGTTCAGTGCAGTGAATTGGTTCATGGTTTGGGTGTCAGAAGCATGTGATTGAGTCTCTTACTATCTATGTAATCTCAGCAAGCTATTTAACCTTCTGGTTCTGGTGCTCTTAACTGCAAAAGAAGCACTGCAATGCCAACATTTCTACATCCCTGTGAGGGTTAAAGAATGTAATGAATATAGCATACATAGCTTCGGTAACACTCCCCTATTATTATTATCATCATGGTGTGGACAGCAGGAGATGAACCTAGGCATCCAAGGCAGGGGCTACCATAGGCAAGGAACGAATGATCCTGGGTACTCCAACAGAGGCAGCATTGTGGCCACTGGTCCAGGGTTTTGCAAACAGCATAGCTAATCTTTCCAACCATGCTAAAAGATGGGTTTGATGAATTTCCCAATTTAAAGTGATCTTCCCAATGAAGATCAGAGATGTGAGATTATGTGCCCAGTCTCATAACTAGTAAGTCTTCCAATAAGGATGCCAGTTCTATTCCATCAGTGTTTTTGACTACCATCTTCCCTACGTGGTTTTCTAAATCTCAAGCCTGTGGAAAAAAAATAGAAAAATAGAAAAAGTATTATGGGTAGACAAGCAGGCAGAAACATGGGTGGTCATAAGGCCTTGTCAGGAAGTGAATAAGGCAGAAAACTATGAAAAACAGATTTTTCACAAAATGCAATCTTGTACCATTTAGTAATTAGGACAAACAGAAGTTCCCATGACATTTTTTTCTTATAGGATGTGCTGTTTGTTAACTGTGTTAATAAGGCTATCCCTGAATCATAAAGATGAGATCACATTCAGAAAACTTATTTTCGAAAAACAGAAGACATAGTGGAACATTCTAAAAAGTTGTTTTTATCAAAAATGATGACATAAAATATTTGGGGCTCCAAGGAAGAAAGCCCTGTAGCAAAGTGTCTGGTACATAGCACACACTCCAAACAAACAGTGACAACTGGATCCACGAAGAATGCGAGAAAAAATCAGCACATCACAGCCCATCACCCAAGAATTCCAGACAAAGTGATTCTGGGCAATTTTGACTCTAAGAAGGCTCTTTCTTTGTCACTACCATGGGGTTGACCGGAAAGCTGGGTCTCCCTAAACTTGTGCTGATTGATGTATTTGATTTTTGTGAAGTTTCAGGATACAAGAGCATGCTCTCTCTGCATGATAGGGGTAGGAGAGGAATATAGTCTGGATGTTTCTGTGCCCCCAAAATGTGTATGTTGAAATTCTAATCCCTTAAGAAATGATATTAGGAGGTAGAGCTTTTGGGAGGTAATTATAGGTTGGTGCAAAAGCAATTGTGGTTTTGTCATTACTTTTTATTATTTTTAATGGCAAAAACTGCAATCGCTTTTGCATCAACCTATAGATCACAAGGGTGGAGCCCTCTTGAGTAGTATTAATGCTCTTATAAAAGAAGACTGAGGGGCTTTGTTTTCTCCACTATGTGAAGACAAAGAGAGAATTTGTCATCTGAGATGAAGTGGGCCCTCAACAGACCCATGCCTCAAATCTGCTCATGCCTTGATTTTGGATTTCCCAGTCTTCATAACTGTGAGAAATACATGATTGTTCTTTATAATCCACCCAGTTCCTGATATTTTTGTTATAAAAGAATGAATGTACTAAAACAGAAAGAAAGCACAGCTGAAGAGAATGTTTCTTTACTCATCGAATATCTAAAAAAATTCTGTAGATGATGCTGTATTTAGAAGCATTTTGACTGTGGAAAAACAGTGTTTTGGAGCTCTCCCCAGTAAGACTTAGAATGTATCAATAAGGAATGAGGACCTTCAGTTTAAGCAGAAACTCCAGAAAGATTAAATATCAGTAAATGGGGCCTTTCTGAAAGTCTGTGGGTGGAAATCAAAGGCAGAGAACTATTCAACAAACGCACACGGAGTGTTTAATATGTCCTTGAAATGGTGCTTCTACTTGGAGCACCAGAGGCAAGGTCATAGCAGCCAACATGCTCAGAGATCTGTTCGGAGCCTGGCAAGTAAGCTTGTAATGGACTGAGAGCCTCCAAGAGGTAGACCCAGTACTTCTGTTCATTTAATACTCACAGCACCTCTGCAAGGGTAGGGTGGGTGTTCCCGATCCCAATTTTATAGAATAGGAAACTGAGGCTAAGAGAGGTTATATAACTGGGTTCAAACAGCTAAGAAGCTACTGATAATGATGATAACAATAATGATGAAATAAATTGTGTTTGTGTGTGTAATCATCAATAGGAAAGGGGCTTCCATTCCTTACCTCCCTGAAAACAAATGTCAAAAGTATTATAAGAATTTATATTTGGCTAGGATGGTCCTGTCTCTACTGCTGAGTACTGTGTTATATCTCCTTTTTGAAAATATGACTGTTTTATTCAAATAATTTGAACATATATATATATATATATATATATATATATGCCCTCAAATTAGAGCCCACTCCCCAAGCCAGATCCCACCCCTCTTCCCATGAGGTCAAGACACGTTCTCCTATCCAGGTTCCTAGACACCCCACAGGCAAATTCTCTATCAAACTCTGACACTTAAAACCCTGATAGATTTTTTTCCTCCGGATACCATCTGTTCATTAAAGTCAACATTACATCTTCCTGTCCCGGAGAGCCCCAGGCAATCCTCAAATTTTGCTGGACTGGAGAAAAAACAGGCACAAATTTAAAGACCACAGAGCATTCGTCTTCCAGAAAGAAAGAAACAAGGAAAGAAAGAAGAAAGGAAAGGAAGGAGGGAGGAAAGAAAAGGCTAAAACAGGAGTTCTCTCAACTTCACATATGCTGTGAATTCAGGCTCAGGATTGATTTTTCAGAAATTCTACCCTGTGTTTAATATCCTTTGTGTGTCCATCTTGGGGACAGGTGATAAATTTTTGTTCCCTGGCAGAGCAGTCTCAATTATGGATCTGTAAGCAGGGGTTGTGATACTGCTTGGTGTGATTCTTGTCCTTTCTTCTTCTTTCTTTTGTTCTTGGGCGTGAACATTCAGAAGTAAAGCATGGACTTATTTAAGCATCTCAACACGTATTTTTCTTAAAACAGCTTCCTTTAGTTGGAAAAGAGAGTTGTGCATTTGTATCCTTTGTAGAAGAAAACCAGGCTCTGAGGAATCACAAGCAAATGCATATGTCTAGTTATTGCTAAAATCTGTGGACATGATGAAGTCTCTCTCCCTCCCTCCCCACCTTGAAATATACAAGCTACCATCCTGCAACCAAAAACGGAATGGATTATCAGGTTGATTTTAGGAAATATTTTCCTACTGAGGGGACTCCCATACCTCAGGAACCCAATGTGGAGAACACAGTTATATGAAGAAAAGGAAGATAAGCATGCTGAGGGTATTAATCATTATCAAGTCAAGTTGTCATTCATGTGCCATGATTATTGTTTTTCACATTCACCAAATGCTTTCCTGATAAGAACAACACTTAAATAGCAAGGTAAGAAAATGGCAGGGGCAGATTTTTTTTTTAAATCTAGGTGACATTTTAATAATAAGAGTGTACAATATTCAGGATATTAAAGTCTTATTTCCCAGGCAAATCAGAGCAACGTGACTAATCCACAGATACCCAAGAAAGGAGCTAATAGAAATGTCATATTCATTCATTCATTTATTCATTGACTCATTCATTGCTTTAGGCCAGAGCATATTCACAATTTGGGGAAGATATCCAGGACTCTTCATGATAGGAGGTAGAAATTCAATGGCCTGCAGTCTTGACAGGTAACATAGATAAAGTCCTGTATCAAGTGGGACCTGGGCAAAGCTATGACCTCATTCCAGGTCAAAAAGAGGTGTTTTAAAGTTCCCACAGTGCTAAAGCATTATTATTTCTCCCACCATTTTCTGTATTTTTGGGGAACTATGTGGGTTACAGCCCCTCTGACCACAGTAACCTAAATGACCTCTCAAAGTGGACCTCCCATCAAACCCTTGTTAAGGTTTACCACCCAGATAAGAAACATGGGGATATTTTCATTTGATAAAGTCATCTGCTTTCCTTCCAAACTTCCTCATCTGTGTAGTTATTTTTCCTATCTCTCCAAGAAGATACAGGGCATCTAGAATATCAAGAAAAGCTCCAGGAAGGTACCATGTAGTGTGAGAAAAAAAAAAGCCTAAAGGCCAGGAATGACATTTTCTGTGGAAGGAGTTAAATACTGGTCCAGTTTTCAAAGGGAATGCTTTCAGTTTTTGCCCATTCAGTATGATATTGGCTGTGGATTTGTCATAGATAGCTCTTATTATTTTCAGATACGTCCCATCAATACCGAATTTATTGAGAGTTTTTAGCATGAAGGGCTGTTGAATTTTGTCAAAGGCCTTTTCTGCATCTATTGAGATAATCATGTGGTTTTTTTCTTTGGTTCTGTTTATATGCTGGATTACGTTTATTGATTTGCATATGTTGAACCAGCCTTGCATCCCAGAGATGAAGCCCACTTGATCACGGAGGATAAGCTTTTTGATGTGCTGCTGGATTCGGTTTGCCAGTATTTTATTGAGGATTTTTGCATCGATATTCATCAGGGACATTGGTCTAAAATTCTCTTTTTTTGTTGTGTCTCTGCCAGGCTTTGGTATCAGGATGATGCTGGCCTCATAAAATGAGTTAGGGAGGAATCCCTCTTTTTCTATTGATTGGAATATTTTCAGAAGGAATCTTACCAGCTCCAACTTGTACCTCTGGTAGAATTCGGCTCTGAATCCATCTGGTCCTGGACTTTTTTTGGTTGGTAAGCTATTAATTATTGTCTCAATTTCAGAGCCTGCTATTGGTCTATTTGGGGATTCAACTTCTTCCTGGTTTAGTCTTGGGAGGGTGTATGTGAGGAATTTATCCATTTCTTCTAGATTTCCTAGTTTATTTGTGTAGAGGTGTTTATAGTATTCTCTGATGGTAGTTTGTATTTCTGTGGGATCGGTGGTGATAACCCCATTATCGTTTTTTATTGCTTCTATTTGATTCTTCTTTCTTTTCTTCTTTATTAGTCTTGCTAACAGTCTATCAATTTTGTTTATCATTTCAAAAAACAAGCTCCTCGATTCATTGATTTTTTGAAGGGTTTTTTGTGTCTCTATCTCCTTCAGTTCTGCTCTGATCTTAGCTATTTCTTGCCTTCTGCTAGCTTTTGAAGACAGGGATGCCCTCTCTCACCACTCCTATTCAACATAGTGTTGGAAGCTCTGGCCAGGGCAATCAGGCAGAAGAAAGAAATAAACGGTATTCAATTAGGAAAATAGGAAGTCAAATTGTCCCTGTTTGCAGATGACATGATTGTATATTTAGAAAACCCCATCGTCTCGCTCAAAATCTCCTTAAGCTGATAAGCAACTTCAGCAAGGTCTCAGGGTACAAAATCAATGTGCAAAAATCACAAGCATTCTTATACACCAATAACAGACAGAGGGCCAAATCATGAGTGAACTCCCATTCACAGTTGCTTCAAAGAGAATAAAATACCTAGGAATCCAACTTACAATGGATGTGAAGGACCTCTTCAAGGAGAACTACAAACCACTGCTCAACGAAATAAAAGAAGACACAAACAAATGGAAGAACATTCCATGCTCATGGACAGGAAGAATCAATATCATGAAAATGGCCATACTGCCCAAGGTAATTTATAGATTCAATGCCATCCCCATCAAGCTACCAATGACTTTCTTCACAGAATTGTAAAAAACTACTTTAAAGTTCATATGGAATCAAAACAGAACCCACATTGCCAAGACAATCCTAAGCCAAAAGAACAAAGCTGGAGGCATCATGCTACCTGACTTCAAATTATACTACAAGGCTAGAGCAACCAAAACAGCATGGTACTGGTACTGACAGAGATATAGACCAATGGAACAGAACAGAGCCCTCAGAAATAATACCACACATCTACAACCATCTGATCTTTGACAAACCTGACAAAAACAAGAAATGGAGAAAGGATTCCCTATTTCATAAATGGTGCTGGGAAAACTGGCTATCCATATGTAGAAAGCTGAAACTGGATCCCTTCCTTACACCTTATACAAAAATTAATTCAAGATGGATTAAAGACTTAAATGTTAGACCTAAAACCAAAAAAAAAAAAAAACCCTAGAAGAAAACCTAGGCAATACCATTCAGGACATAGGCATGGGCAAGGACTTCATGACTAAAACACCAAAAGCAATGGCAACAAAAGCCAAAATTGACAAATGGGATCCAATTAAACTAAAGAGCTTCTGCACAGCAAAAGAAGCTACCATCAGAGTGAACAGGCAACCTACAGAATGGGAGAAAATTTTTGCAATCTACTCATCTGACAAAGGGCTAATATCCAGAATCTACAAAGAACTCAAACAAACTTACAAGAAAAAAACAAACAACCCCATCAAAAAGTGGGCGAAGAATATGAACAGACACTTCTCAAAAGAAGACATTTATGCAGCCAACAGACACATGAAAAAATGCTCATCATCACTGGCCATCAGAGATATGCAAATCAAACCACAATGTGATACCATATCACACCATTTAGAATGGCAATCATTAAAAAGTCAGGAAACAACAGGTGCTGGAGAGGATGTGGAGAAATAGGAACACTTTTACACCGTTGGTAGGACTATAAACTAGTTCAACCATTGTGGAAGACAGTGTGGCGATTCCTCAAGGATCTAGAACTAGAAATACCATGTGACCCAGCCATCCCATTACTGGGTATATACCCAAAGGATTATAAATCATGCTGCTATAAAGACACATGCACACGTATGTTCATTGCGTCACTATTCACAATAGCAAAGACTTGGAACCAATCCAAATGTCCATCAGTGATAGACTGGATTAAGAAAATGTGGCACATATACACCATGGAATACTATGCAGCCATAAATAAAGGATGAGTTCATGTCCTTTGTAGGGACATGGATGAAGCTGGAAACCATCATTCTCAGCAAACTATCGCAAGGACAAAAAAACCAAACACCACATGTTCTCACTCATAGGTGGGAATTGAACAATGAGAACACTTGGACACAGGAAGGGGAACATCACACACCAGGGACTGTTGTGGGGTGGGGGGAGGGGGAGGGATAGCATTAGGAGATATACCTAATGTAAATGATGAGTTAATGAGTGCAGCACACCAACATGGCACATGTATACCTATGTAACAAACCTGCATGTTGTGCACATGTACCCTACAACTTAAAGTATAAAAAAATTTTTTGAAAAGGAAAAAAAAAAATTTTTGGTCCAGTTTTTGTTTGTTTGTTTTTTGAGACAGGGCCTCATTCTGTCACCCAGGCTGGAGTGCAGTGGCGGAATCTCAGCTCACTGCAACTTCTGCCTCCCACGTTCAAGCGAATCTCATACCTTGGCCTCCTGAGTAGATGAAATTACAGGCATGTGTCACCATGCCAGGCTAATTTTTTTTGTATTTTTAGTAGAGAAGGGGCTTCACCATGTTGCCTAGGCTGGTCTTGAACTCCTGAGCTGAGGCAATACACCCCTCAGCCTCCCAAAGTGCTAGGAATACCGGCATGAGCCACCACACCTGGTCTGGTCCAGTTTTTGTAATGAGTGACTAGTCGTAACACACGTATACAAATAACACACACTTGCATTGGCAGATGTGTACCCCCACACACACTTTCCAATTCATCAGCTTTCAAAGCCTGGATCAGATACCAGTAATACCTCCTTTAAGTTGCCTTCTGGGCTGCGCCAGCTAGAAGCTTTGTCTTCCCCAGTTCTGTACCTTTGTCTCCAACACTGATGGATTTCTAACTTGTTCTATAATTCATTAGAAAGTAGTATGGTGCGGTGGCTCACACCTGTAATCCCAGCATTTTGGGAGGCTGAGGCAGGTGGATCACCTGAGGTCGGGAGTTCGAGACCAGCCTGACCAACATGGGGAAACCCAGTCTCTACTAAAAAAAAAAAAAAAAAAAAAAACATTAGCCGTGTGGGGTGGCACACTCCTGTAATCCTAGCTACTCGGGAGGCTGAGGCGGGAGAATCGCCTGAACTTAGGAGGCGGAGTTTGAAGTGACCCAAGATTGCACCATTGCACTCCACCCTGGGCAACAGAGCGAGACTCCATCTCAAAAAAGAAAAAAAGAAAAGAAATAAAGGAAAAAGAAAGTAGTATGGTGTAACTAAGGGGAGAGGTTGGTTAACGTGTACAAAGTTTCAGTTAGACAGAATGAATCAGATCTGGAGACCTACAACATAGTGACCACGGTTACTAATAATGTTTTGTATACTTGAAAATTGTTAAGAGAGTAGATCCTAAATGTTCTCACCACAAAAAGATAAGTAAGTGAGGTGATGGATCTGTTAATTAGCTTCATTTAATCATTCCACAATGTATACATGTGTCAAAACATCAAGTGGTACCTTGTCAATACATATAATTTTTAGTTGTCAAAAAAAAAAATAAGGAAAGTAGTGTGGTATAACTAAAAGACTGCAGATATTGTATCACATTGATCTGGTTTAAATAATTATCTTGTTGCTTAATCTGACCTCAGATACCTAATGAACTAAAGGACACGTAGAGCTTTCATCAGGAAAATGGGCATGATAATATCTAGCTTCTAGAGACCTTGTTAAGATTAAGTGCCTAATGTAGCATAGGCTTCAAAGATTTATGTTTTTACCTGCATATTTACATTGTATATACATTGCATTATTTCTACTAAATTATAGGCTCTTTTGTGCAGTCTATTGCAAATTCATTTCTAATTCCTATACTACCATGTTATGGAAAACAAGAGTAATAGTCCATAAATGTTTGTCGAATGAACGTGTAACGATATCGTCATTCATGTCCAATTTCATGTTCACTACTTTTTGAATCAAATTGAGTTTTCAAGGTTCTATCCACCACCATCCGTGATGTGGATAGTAAAACAAATTGAATGTAAAAATATGGGAAAATTAGGCAGAAGGCCTTATGTTACTTGGAAGTGAAACGAATCATATCAAATTTTCAAGACTCTATCCATGAATTATCTGTGATGTGGGTAGTAAAATAAATTGAATGTTAAACTATGAGAAAATTAGGAAAAGGGCCTGATATAACTTAGTAATAAAAATGGATCCTTTTGTACATGAGTGTATAAATGATGTCTATATGCGAATCATGCTTGTTGTTTGCATTTTTAGTAGTGTTATTCTTAACCTCTCTACCAACATTTTATTGGATTCTTGAAAGTCATTCTTTGCGCATTTACACTATTTCAAAACATCTGCTGCTTTGGGGTTCAAGCTGTGCATTAGGGTTCCGAGAATTCACAGAGAAATTTCAAAGCAGGTCTCCCATCTGAATAACTCGGTGGGAAATGCAGTAGAAGCCTGATCTTTTATAAGATTGCTTATGGCTGTCCTGAAATATTTGAAACCCAATTCCTTTTCAATTGCTTTGTGTTGCTATTTCTTTCCAAACTACATTTTTTTTTCTTTTTTTTTTTTTTTTTTTGCTACATACATCTCTTCAGGGACAATATAGTCCAGCTGAGTCAAGGGACCCAGTGTAGACAATTCAGGTCTCCTGATTTTAGGCTTAGATGCTTTCTTTCCAGCTCTGGGCCACCTATAGCAGTGGATTAAATTGTCTGAACATCTTTCAAACCACCACATCCATCTCCAACTCACATCTCGTCATGCCTGTAGCTAGGGACTGATACAGTCTCATCTCATTCCCCTGCCCCTGATCCTCTTGTTTCCATCCAATCCACACATCCTCAGTGGGCCTGTTTAGGATGCTAGGTTGGCATTTGATCTTTTTCCTCTTCTCAATTACAAGTATCCTGGTAAATCTCAACACCACTTTAGCTCCGCTCCTTGTCTTCAGTGCAAATCCGTTATCAATTTACAGCTGCCTTAGCTGACCTGGAAATCCTCATCCCTTATTCCACCTGGCAAAAACCTTCCAAATTCACCCAGAGCATTCTGACCCTGTCATCTTGGTTCATCTTGAGTTCTGACAGCATGAACCAAAGAGCAATTAATAACTTATTTTAAATAACAGTCTTAATGGTGAATAGCATTGCTCAAATTAAAATGAATCTCATTTTAATACAGTGATTTAGAATAGGTTTATTTAGAATATTTTATGTGGCATTAGTAAGTGCTAAAAATTTGGAGAATTTCCTTCCTTCCATATAAAGGTTCTTCTTCTCAGTCTAATATAGACAGTGGGGCAATGCAAGGTGGTTTCAGAGAAAAGCAGAAAATAAACAAATACTGCTGACCAAATGAGGGAGCATGGGTCTTTAATTCTAGTCTTGGCCTTTTTACTATGCAATTCTAACTTTGGGCAGTACCTAATGTTGAAAAGTTCTTGGCCATGGTAGGTGACATTCTGGTTTCTCTTTCCAACCAAATCCCTACTAAGATATAAGAATTTTTAAGTGTGTTACTCCTTAATAATATTTGCATGTGAAAGCAGGTAACTGAATGTCAAGGAAACCTCAAAGACTCAAAATGAATCAATTTTGAAGATGGAATGTCCCAGCATTAGAGCTCTTCTGGTTATGTTGTGGACAGAAGTGAACTCTCATATGAAATGCAGAGGCTGCCTAGGCCTAGGGTGGTCATGGGCTACTATGGGGCAGCACAAATCCCTCCGCCTAGTTTTTTTTTCTGTCTAGTTCATGCCTTTGCACAATATATGTGCTTAGTAAAGTTGATTAAATTATTATTGACCACACCTGATTGACATACTCTATGCCTCTACCTAAATTCAGTCAAACAGATAACGGGCAAAAGATGAAAAAGGACACATAAAGTGTTCAGTTTTATGACCAGAAGCCAATCATTGCTACCTGGACTAGAGTTTCATCATCCGTTGAGCAAGAGTGGCAGACCAAATGTTCTCGACATCCTGTCTCAGCTAAAATGACTCACTTCAAGGATCAGGTAATGCTACATAGTGTTGATTCTCCAACTCAAACTGAGGTTCACTTCCCCTAGCTAGCAGAAAGCTACACAAGTGCCAATATACATGGAATACATATTTTTTTTCTATCCAGGAAGCATACAAACTTTTTTTTTTTTTTTTTTTTTTTTTTGTTGAGACAGAGTTTCACTCTTGTTGCCCAGGCTGGAGTGCAACGGCACGATCTTGGCTCACTGCAACCTCTGCCTCCCGGGTTCAAGTGATTCTCCCATCTCAGTCTCCTGAGTAGCTGGGATTACAGGTGCCCACCACCATGCCTGCTAATTTATGTATTTTTAGTAGAGACAGGGTTTCACCATGTTAGTCAGTCTGGTCTCGAACTCCTGATCTCAGGTGATCTGCCTGCCTCGGCCTGCCAAAGTATTGGGATTACAGGCATGAGCCATCATGCCCAGCCAACTTTTAAGTGTTCTTTTGTATGAACCTCTGGCAGGTGCTGCCTATCTCCACTTGTGTTCCTCAAAACCAGGAAGCAAAGGCTCTCTATTGAAATGCTAATAGAGGAGTCAACGGTATAATAAGAGTGAATCCCCTTTGGGTCTACATTTAATTTATACATAAAATAAAATTGCACATGGCCTTGTTTCATAGCATATTTGTTTAATTATCCACATTTTAGAATGCATTTTCCTTCTATTAATTCTCAATATTTAAAAGAGGAATAAAAATGTCAGTTTATCTGTACACCTGATAATTAAATATAGTGTGGGGAATAATTACATTATCTAATAGGGGAAATTTGTCCAGCTCCAATAACTAACATTTAGCAAGGACTTTGCTAATTTTCTTCTCCTCTAAGGGTGGCTTTTGATTTTTCCTCTCCCTTTCTCTCTAAGAAAAGGGGACCAGGTTGAGGGAATCTCAAATGTCATTCCCCCTTTTCCACATTTATGAGCCTCGTCTTACCATGAGAAAGTGATCCAGCAACCTCTGCTAGGGGAACATCCAGGTTTCTAATTTCAGCTTTGATTCACATTATTTTTTTCAAATATTAAGCAGTTGTTTAAGAAACAATTTTTTAAAATAGCAACTCAATGAATTTTTAGCCTTCTATTTTTAAATTTTCTTTATTCTTCTTTTGCTTTACCTGGGTGAGATATTTCACCATAATTCACGCCTATGTCACTTTTGAGTTAACAATAATAATAATAATAAACAATAGCAACAACAAACAAAAACAGTGATTATTCCGTGCAAGGTACTGAATTATCTCCTTCTCCCAGGGGCTTGTCATTTATTGATGATTTCAAGCCTGGACTTACCATCACTATCTTTTACTAAAAGTATTGATCATTCCCTCCTGCTGTTTTCACAGTCAAGATCTGGGGTTAAACCAAAATGTTTATGCACTGGTCCCGGGAATGGAGGGAAAAAAAATATTTTTAAGTCAAAATAATCTAAAAGAAGGTTTAAAACTAGAAGAAAAGCCAGGTGTGGTGGCTCACACCTGTAATCCCAGCACTTTGGGAGGCTGAGGCAGGCAGATCACCCGAGGTCAGGAGTTTGAGACCACTCTGGCCAACATGGTGATACCCCATCTCTAGTAAAAATACAAAAATTAGCCAGGTGTGGTGGTGCACGCCTGTAGTCCCAGCTACTCAGGAGGCTGATGCAGGAGAATCACTTGAACTCAGGAGGCAGAGGTTGCAGTGAGCCAAGATCACACCACTGCACTCCAGCCTGGGTGACAGGGCAAGACTCAATTTCAAAAAAAAAAAAAAAAAAAAAAAAGCTAGAAGAAGAGAAGAGAAATATTTGCTAAATTTACTACTCTATTTTTTAGATACTGGAGTTTTAAAAATGTTTACATGGATGGGTGAGTACACACAGACACACACACACAGGCATTCTTCTCCTCTCATTTCCTGGGGACTGGTGAGTTAAATCTGTACTGTTGTGAGCCATTCCTTATTATTGTTATATTCTGAAATATTAATAGCCCCTTATATTTAGACAGTGCTTTTGCAGTTCTTTCTTTTCAATTACGCAGACGTCACAGGAAGTGGCCTTCTGGGCAAACACTATATGTACTAAGTGATTTTTTTTTAGGAAGCAGGTAGATTTTAAAGTCTTCTTAGAGAGGGCCCCTTCTGAAAGATGGAGAAACTGAGTCATGAAGTTTAGATAGATGATAAAAGTCCTCTTATCCTTTGTTCTTGTCATAGTACTTGTTATGAACATTTAGATTTATAAATTAGTTTATAAATTTTTTTATATGTAGCTAATTTTGTTTTGGCAGAAATTCTATAAAGTAGGAACTGTTCTCCTTATTTTAAAGATTATGAAGTGTATTTAGAAGTTGAGCTAATTTTAAATATTTTCCATTCAAAGATGACGAGAGCCAGGAGCAGAGAGAGCCCCAGCCTAGTGGCCTTGTTGCTATCACTCCACAACATCTCTATTCCAATGTCACCAGGTGTGGCACGTCTTCATTTTCCCATTTTGTCTTTTGGGTGAATAATATCAAATAGAGTTTGTTACTCTAAATGAGACAAGAAATACCAAGTGCTGAACTGAAATGCCAGCTGTATCAGTTCTGTTGGAACTGGGGGACAGTCAGATGATGGTTTAAAGTGTCAAAGGAAAAAAGTGATGTCCACCTTGGGAGTCACCTCCAGTCAAACCCATGGACAGGGTCCTGTGGCCTCCAGGCAGGTACTGAGAGGCTCCGCCCACCAACCGGGTGCAGCCCCGCCCCCTGTGTTGTTCTGCAGCCTGGAAACCAGGGATGCTTTGTTCTCTGTCCATGATGCCCCTAAGGCCCCTCATGCCAAGGATCCCTGTAGTACAACCTCAGTGGGAGAAGAAGAAAGAGGACCAAGGAGAAATGATTGTAAGAGGGAAAGGGTCCAAGCTAATAGAAGGGATTACAACAGGATTTAGTTTTCTCTTTTAACAGGAATTTTCTCATCTGACAAGACATCTGGATGTAGGCAGGTCCAGGGCTCATTCAGCTGCTTATCAAGGTCACTGAGGACTTCATTGTTCTCTGGTAGGCTGTATGCACCGTGTAGACGTGATGGTCCCTCATGCTGTCAAGGAGGCTGCAGTTGTTCCTTGTATCACATCCTCTTACAATGTGCAAAAGTAGCAAGAGACAGGTTCACTCTCTCTGTCTTTCTCTCTCTGTCTTTCTCTCTCTCTCTCTAATGCCTCTCTCCTTTTATGTGGAAAGAAAATCTCCCTAGGGAGTTTTTCCACTGGACTCTGCTTACTCATCACTGCCCAGAGGGAGACACATAGCTACCCCCAACTACAAGGGAATGTGAGATAACAAGAGTCTGACGTTTCCATCTTATTTCATGAAAGGCAGTCTTTGTCAGGATGTCAGAATCAGGAGGGGAATGGACCTGGGGCAGGCATCCGGGAGTATCTGCTATGGTGGTCTAATCAGACTACCTCATCTCTAGGTCCCAGTGGAGAGCATTTGACCTCAGCCAAGTCAATCAGTGCCCTGACCTGGGGTTTCTTAATTAAAAATGGGCAAAAAAATAATAATTAAAAATGCTTTATGCTAATAGAATTGAAAAAGCTGCAAACCTAAAGCTGCCAGCCTCCAAAGTTCCAGACTTTTGGAGAAATCCAGTTTGATAAAATCGAAGCTGAAACACAGAGAGAGGTGGCATGAGAGATGGGCAGGGATTTTCCCATCTGACTCTGGGATCCAGGCTGTTGTGGTCTCTGCTCTTTGTGTTTGGTTATGCAAGCCAAGGAATTCCCCTTTTAGCTGAGGAATCATTTATAACACAAAGATAGGCATTATCACAACCCCCATGTTTTAGTTGAAGAGGAGAAGTATGTGATTTGCCCATGTCTGCAACCCTGGTAAGTAGCAGACCCATGACACAAACATAACCCTCCTACATGTAAAACCCCATGTTTTTTGCATAGCATTGCTCAGGAGTGCAGATAAAAGGTAATAATAAACGGGAGAGAAGATTTTAATGGTAGTCAGGAGATACAAATTCTAGACTGCCTCCCAGCACTCACTGGCCATAGAATTCATGCAAATCAACGTTCCCCTCTCCCCACCCACTTTTGGTGTTCTCAGTCTTAAATGGAGGTTAAATGTTTCAACTTGAAATCGCAGAAGTAGAAATGGCAGTCAGGCATGGGGTGATACTCATGTGGTATCCATTTTTTTGTTTGTGCAATTGTTTATCTCATGGCTGTATTTGACACAATCATTATAATCATTCATATTTTCCTTCTCCAACTATGTTAACCCTCCGGTGGTTTATTTTTCATTGGGGTGCCAAAACTTCTTTTATTTATTTAATTCATTTATTCACCTAGAAAGGCAATTTTTACCAGCTGCCTGGCAGGTTCTTCTAAACCCAGACTCAAACTCCACCCCTTTGTATTTTTATGGATTGCTCTTTCTGTGAATACAGGTGGGGCAATTAAACCCTGAACTTAGCATTTGGTATTTGGTTATTTACTGTGTTTGCTAATGGTTTCCCTAGTTAATTAATATAAGCTTATCATATTAGAGATTTCAACTTTCCTGAAGGAAACTAAGAACTTCTATCATGACCTCAAGCCTCTATAGAAATCCCAGATTTGTTTTAGGTTACACCAAGACAAATCAATACCAAATCAATCGTTCAGAGTCAAATAGCATTTTACTGAATTTACAGAATTTTATAGAATTCAAGTATTCCTTAAAATTCGCTGGAGACAGTCATCACCTTTCTCATTAAAAAAAAAAAAAAATTAAGAGATAGGGTCTCACTATGTTGCCCAGGATGGAGTACAGTAGCTATTCACTGGTGAGATCATAGCACATTACAGCCTCAAAGTCCTGTGTTCAAGCAATCCTCCCACCTCAGCCTCCCTAGTAGCTGGGACAATGGGCATATACCACCATACTTGGCTCCCTTCCTCATTTTAAAATAATTTAGTTCAGAAATATTAAATGGCTCACCCAAAATCCCATAGTTAGTGGTGGGACTTGTTGGGTAGGTAAATAGGTGATAGAGTCCTGACAGTGAAGACTGGAAAATTAAAAAGGGGTGCAAAAAGCTAACTGATTTTCTTCCTCCCTCCTTTCCTCCCTCCCTCCCTCTCTCCCTCCCTCCTTGCCTCCCTCCCTCCTTGCCTGCCTCCCTCCCTCCCTCCTTCCTTTCTTCCTTCCTTCCTTCCTTTCTTTCTCTTTCTTTCTTTTTCTTTCTTTCTTTTTCTTTCTTTCTTTCTTTCTTTCTTTCTTTCTTTCTTTCTTTCTTTCTTTCTTTTTCCTTCTTTCTTCTCTTTCTTTCATATGTGACAGGCATTAATTTAGGAATAACACCATAGCATTTCATCAATTTTCATTTTACAGATGAAAATCTGTAGATCAATAATCTCAGGTCCTCAGCAGAGCATGGTTTTAAACACTAGTTTTGCACCCTTGTCTGTCAGACAAAAAAAAAGCGTATTCTCTCTCTCTTTTTTTTGGTGTTTTGTTTTGTTTTGTTTTGTTTTGTTTTGTTTCATTGGAGACAGAGCCTTCAGACTAGAGTGCAGTGGCTTGATCTCAGCTCATTGAAACCTCCACATCCCAGGTTCAAGCAATTCTTGTGCCTCCAGCCTCCCAAGTAGCTGGGACTACAGGCATGTGCCACCACGCTCAGCTAATTTTTTGTGTTTTAGTAGAGACAGAGTTTCACCATGTTGCCCAGGCTGGTTTCAAACTCCTGAGACCAGGCAATCTGCTTGCCTCGGCCTCCCAAAGTGCTGGGATTACAGACATGAGCCACCCCGTGCCCGGCCCATTATGCCCTTTATTTCTAAAGAAAAGATGAATGAATTAATGTATCCATTCACTCACCTATCCATCTTCTCATCATCTCACTGCTACTAGGCTCTGAGTGGACCCTCATGATACATATGTGACCCAGTCAGGCTTCCTCTTGCTTCACTGAATTTCACATTCTTCTGGGGAAGATCCTCTTGAGGCAGACCACCTACTGTAGGCGACTCTCCTGTCCACTGAGAAGCCAGAAGCCAGGGGACAGTGCTAGGCCTCTAAGATCCAGCAATGATTTCACTAAGAGTGTGAGCCCTTCCTAGAGAGACTGGTTGGTTGCTCTAGTATTGCTCAATACCATCCTTTGTTCAAATTCCATCTTGAGGAAGCATGGCTGTGAGCAAACTTTGAATTCCCCTACAGTTGTCTAAAGCTAACATTCAAGTCCATATTCCAAGCCATCATCAAGAACTATGGCTTGCCACTGTCAAGCCATATTACCTTGGAAGATTTGCAAGTTTTCTTTGAGCCACAGGCTCTGTTTCCAATGGCACACTTTAAAGAGAAAGGTGATGCTTTGGGACTAAGGAATTAAGTGTTTTCTTCCTAGCCCTGGGGAAAGGAGGTCAGGGTGTATCCATCAGAAACTCATGGACGGTGCTTGTCTGGAAACAAAGAGAGGCAGCTGGGACTCCCTGTTTGAAGTTGGATAGAGGCCCGGTTTTGAGGGAGAGGCATTTGGAGAAAGTCTTTGGAGAAACCATATTCATGGCTGTTTTGTTGTGTGACTAATGGGGTTTGCCAATTTCACTCTCCAATGTGTAACTACCTCCACTAGACTGCCTTCAACAAATTAAAATTAAAGAGTAAACCCTTAAATACCTACTTCCAGTTGATTTGGCCTCAGCAACGTACCAGTGAAAATTGTATTTTAATTTTTGACTTTTGTTAAGAATAAATAGTCAGAGATGTTTTACCCCTTTAGGCTTCTCCATTAAAAGTCCATCTAAATGCTATCAGCTTTATTAGCTAACATGAAAATTAATTTTTTTCCCAAGGTGAGTTATCATTGTATAATTCCATTGGTTAGCATTTGCCTTAAATTCAAAGCTTCTCTTGAAAGGTTTAGCTTAGCAATACTATCTCAACAATTCTTAGGCTGGTTCTGAATTCTAATCTTGTCACTGCCACTGCTTTGTTGTATTTTCCCTAATCAAGTGTGTTCTACCATAGGATTTCATGCATTCCTAGTAATTCCTTCATTCATTCACAAATTTGCTTTTCCATTTATTTGTTTTGCAGGCATTTACTTAATCTCTCCTATGTGACCGACTCAGCTGAGACTACAGGTGCACACTACCACACCAGGAAACCTTTTTCTTTTATTTTTTTAGATGTGGCCTTGCTATGTTGTGTAGGCTGCTCTTGAACTCCTGGCCTCAAGTAATCCTCCCACCTCAGCTTCCTGTCAAGTTTCACTATTAAAGGTCATTTTTTCCATTAGAACCAATGCTTCATGAGGTTCCTATGAGATCGCATATCTGTAGTGTAACTGACAAGACCCTCATCTGCAAAAAGATGTCTTGTATATAGAGGGCCTTTTTCTATTCTTATCACTTCTGAGCTGCAGAAGGTCTCCTAAAGATCAATAGATGAATATGCAACCAATTCGGACTTTAAGGCATTTTACCTGATCTTAGACAATTGCTTTTTTTTTTTTTTTTAGAATTGAAGAAACTGAGGTCCATAGCAGGAAAGAAAAGTGACCTACCTAAGATCAGGGCCAGGGCTAGGACCAAAGCCCATGCTCTTAACTCCCAGTCCTCTCCCCACTTTCCCACCTGTCCAGGCTTGCCCAGGCACCTACCAGTCAGTGCTCTTCCTCGTGCAATTCACTAAGCCTCCATTTTCTTCCCTGATTGCTTTTTTAAAATCCATCCAATTCCAAGATGTCTAAAATAGTTGCATCTAGCTTCATCTGGGTTTAGCTCAGAATGTTTATATAATCTTTTTCCTGGTCATAGAATCCCAATAAGTTATTGTTACACCCAAGAGGGCAAAGGCCAACCAGACACAGCAACCTAAAATTCTTCCCCCATAGGCTTTGTAGGAAGATGGGAAAGTAGTTGTGCACATAGCTGGTCCCAGCCTGACTTGATTCAGTTCAGCCACCCACCACCACCCCCTCAATAAAAGAAGAAAGAGAAAGAGATAGAAAGAGAGAGAGAGAAAGAAGAAAGAAGAAAGAAAGAAAGAAAGAAAGAAAGAAAGAAAGAAAGAAAGAAAGAAAGAAAGAAAGAAAGAAAGAAAGAGAGAGAGAGAAGGAAGGAAGGAAGGCGGGGAAGGGAGGGGAGGGAGCGAGGGAGGGAGGAAGGAAGGAAAGGAAGGAAAAGGAAAGGAAAGGGAAAAAGAGGAGAGAATGCGAAAGTGTTCTTGTAGCAGGATCTGGCCACAGGTCACCCAGCCCTACCTTTTCCTCATGAAGCTATGCTTTAATAGGGGCTGTACATTTACAGATGGATGGGCAGTCTGGTCCCTGCGCCTCGCATGCTGATGCTGAGTGTTCTGGGAGTGGCCGGTGCTCCACCTCTGAGAGCAGCTTGACTCCTCCGGATCCCCCACTCAAGCCCAGGAGGAGACATGGAGAGTACTCTGGGCTGTGATCTCTTGGTTTTCAATTGCAGGATTCCTGTCGAGGTCTCAGCACTGGGGCATTTCTCCAAAGCCTTATGTACTTACAAGTCTTTCTTCCCCTCTTAATTTGCCTGGAGCCAGGCTTTCATCTTGACTCTTAGCCAAGAGGCACCTGCTGAAATATTCATCAGCAGAAATTGTGCTATGGGTGCTCTTTCCTATTTGTCCAGTTCTATGTCATTAGAATAAGGGCGAGGTGAATGGAAATGGAGTTTGACACCAGAGAGTAAAATTCACTCAGAACTCCAGGTAAGCGGCAATTAACCCTTTTCTGCGTAGGAGGCTAAGTACTTACAACAGACCTTTGCAGCCATTCATGCACTTGTTCTTGGATCAGCAATTCCTGACATCTATTCATTCTTTCAGTACACTTTATTGAGCCCCTACTGTGTGTGAGACCCAGTGCTCGACCCTGGGCATAGCCAGATGCATATAATTGTGTCCCTGCTCACCAAACCTCATAGTCCAAAGAGAGAAAACAGAGAAACATACAGATAACTGTAACATAGGGCAAGTGTAGTTATGAAGTTAGGTATAGGAGAGCATAGAGCACAGCTCAGATTTAGAGAAGGAAAGGGTGATAAACACAATTTTCTGAAAGCAAAGAACCCTAAGCCAATTCTTTAAGGCTATATATATTTTTCAATTAGAGGGAAACTGAGTGGCAGGGTGGAATTTTGTAGAGGGTGCCAAGAAGAGGAAATGGACCTCCAGACAGAGTCAACAGCAACAGCAATGGCAGAGATGCAAAGAGAAATGACATTATGCATGTAACTCTGAGCAATCCTGGGATACTGGAGAAGAAAATGTTATTAAAGGTGTGAGATCTGGCAAGGAAGTGGCCAAAGTCAGATCAGGGGTCTTGTCTGTATGTCAGGGAGCTTGGTCTTAGTTTTTTCTGTCTTAGAGGAGCAGAGCATATAGTTGAAGAGTTCAAGCTGTAGGAGGGTTAGGATATGTTTTGGACATATTACTCAAGCTTTGGTGGAGTGATAAATTGTTAACAGAAAACAAGTTAGGAGGCTGTTAAAATAGGCAGAAGATAACAAGGGTGTGAGTTGGGGTAGTGGGAATGGACTGGAGGACAGAGATTCAAGAACACTAGACAGGACTTTCTCATTTTTGTGCAAGAATCATTTACTGAACAACTTTTATTAGTCAGTTTTTACTCTAGATAATAGTGGGAAATACCAAAATCAGTGTCAGAGTCTATTTTCCTTTACACAATTTGAACTCAAATTAAAGGAGTTCTATTAATATTTAACCAAAGGCAAGGGGGAGGGTGGGGAGCAGAGAAGGGGTCCTTGTGAGTTTCATAGAGCGGGCTTCATGTTTCTAAAACAGGATGCAGTCTGCACCCAGCCCTCATATTACATTTGTGGTTTGGATTGGGCTGGTAAGGATTGCACCGGCTTTTCAAATCTCTGGTGATGAAGGCTTGACTGAATCAACTCAGACCACAGCAAAGGCTCTGCACATCCCAGGCAGAGCTGGTTGTCTCTTTTCATATTCCTAGCCCCACAGAAGAATGCCAGCTATCAGCCCAGGCAGCAACTTAACAAAGCAAATCCCTGGTTGCTATCAACTCCACAATGTTGGTATTTATAAAGGAGGATTTTTTTTTAACTTTTTGTCTCTAACATAGAATTATATAGGGCCCTATTGCCAGTGCGCCCCATAGGCAGTCCCAATTTTTGTGTGTGTGCCCATGTTGACATAAAAGCGCATCTGAATTTTACTTGGAGTTAAAACACTGTGAGTGCTCCTGGCTGAATACAGTGGGACCGCGATATTGTACTGTGAAAACAAGAGCTTGAAAATTACTTCTGCAAAATTGAACTCTTTCCCTCTATGTATATGTATATGTGTGTGTATGTATATGCATATATAGGTATATGATAGCTGCATACACAATGATAACTGAGAAGAGAAAGTAAATCATTTGCATTTTGAGGCAAGTTTTTCTTCTATTGCTGTTATTAATTCACAGTGTTCAAATCTCTATGACCCAGTTTCCTCATCTGTAAAATGAGGATAATTATATTTATGAATAAAACACTAGGAGCTCTTTGGATGAAAGAGAATTCATGATTGGGAGAAAGCAATTTTATGACAAACTACAAAAACTGCATTCGCTGGGCACCCAGGCACTTGTTCTTCCTGGAGCCAGACTGTTTCACTGGAAGCTGATGGATAAAAAATATTGATATACACGCTAAAGCTCTACTGAAATGCAAATGGAAGTCACTGTAGAATGATAGATTTTAAGATATGTTGACATGGCTGTTTGCTTGTGGAATTCTTACCAGCCCAGTCCCAACCAGAAATCTCATAATATACCATGGTTGGTTGAAATACTGTTCCTGAACTGTGCCACTTTGCTTTCTGACTGTCTGGTCATGATTGGTGGTGTCAAACCAGATATGTGTCCATCCTGCTGCTTCTCCTCAAGGCAGAAGCTACAGTTTTTTAATAAAAAGCTTCTGTGACCGGGGTTCTGGGGCTTCCAGGATTGCCTACAGTCTTCTTACTGTGTCTTCAGTATTCAAGCCCTTTGTTGCATGAGTTTTCCATTGCTGTAATAAATGACCATAAACAGTGGCTTCAAACAACACAAATTTATTATCTCACGGTTTCTGTGGGTCAGGAGTAGGCACAGCTTAGCCGATTTCTTTGCTCAGAGACTCAGCTGGTGGTAGTCAAGGTATCAACCAGCAGGAAAATCTCTCTCTTCAAGTTTATATAATGTAACCCAATCAAAGAAGTGGCTGCTTCATCACATTCACAGGCCTTGTCCACAGCCAAGAGGAAGAGATCAGAGGTTCTGTTCACCGGCGGGGTAGGACTCTTGGAATTCTTCCACGCTTGTCATTCCTGGTGTCTCCTGTGTGCACATGCTGCGTATCCTCTTCTGTCAGGTCCAGGGTCTGGACACATTTTAAAGCAGAGATGATTTTGGCCTGGGTTTTGAAGGAAGAGTAGGAGTTAAAGTTGAAAAGGGAAAGGAGACCATTCAGACACGGCGAGTGAGATGACTTGGTCGAGGTTTGATAATCATAATGCCAGCTGTGCTTGGATGTATGTCTTCTGCTGGGGACTTGGAAAGTAGTTATTAGACCCTTTATTTTTGATATGTCATGTATATGGGGCTAGTCACACCTGAAGACCTAAATCTTTCAATGTAGATAGCAAAGGATGATTGAAGGAAAAAAGTGAAACAGCTTTCTTCCACTACTCTGGCACAATAAGAATAAACATGTATTTAGAACTGCAATCTTTCCTTCATGCTTTGTCATAGATGCACGTTAACGAATAGGCTTGAAAAAAAATGCAGATTCCTGAGTCCCATGTCTAAAAATACTGATTGAACAGGACAAATGTGATAGCCAGGAATCTGCTTGAAACAAACCTCACGGGTATTTCTAATGCAAATGTCCAAGGGCACGTCTCCCCCAAGGTAGAGGCTACAGGCTTTTAATAAAAAAGCTTCTGTGGGCTGGGTGCGGTGGCTCACACCTGTAATCCCAGCACTTTGGGAGGCCGAAGTGGGCGGATCACAAGGTCAGGAGATCGAGACCATCCTGGCTAACATGGTGAAACCCCGTCTCTACTAAAAATACGGAAAATTAGCTGGGCGTGGTGGTGGGTGCCTGTAGTCCCAGCTACTCAGGAGGCTGAGGCAGGAGAATGGCGTGAACCCAGGAGGCGGAGCTTGCAGTGAGCCGAGATCAGGCCACTGCACTCCAGCCTGGGCAACAGAGCGAGACTCCGTCTCAAAAAACAAACAAACAAACAAACAAACAAAAAGCTTCTGTGACCAGGTTTCCAGGGCTTTCAGGAATTCCTATAGTCTTCTTACTGTATCTTCAGTATTCATAAGCTTTGTTGTATCAGTTTTCTGTGGTTGTGTAACAAATTACTGCAAACAGTGGCTTAAAACAACCAAATTTATTGTCGCATGGTTTCTGTGGGTGAGAAGTTTGGGCACAGCTTAGCTGGGTTCTTTGCTTTTTCCAAAGGCAAACCTTTGAAACACACTGGTTTAATGTCTTCCAAGTCCTTCACAGAAATTTCACTTTTCCTCTCAAAGTGACATAAGGTTCATTTTACAGATGAGTCAACTGAGGCTTAGAAAATGATTTTCCAAAACACCAAATCAATATATGATAAGAGTTGGGGAACAAATTCAGATTTTCTCTTTCAGGCCTCAAGATCTTTTTTGGCTTTCCTGTCTCTGAAGGCATAATTTAGAGATGTGAGTATTGATGTGATCTACTTCCAACTGGCGTTTCGGCTTTTCTTGTTTGTTTGTTACTTCATCTCCTTAATATTTATGCAACCTGGACCAAAAGGTCTGCCTTTGTTTCAATTCCTATCCAAAGCCCTGCAGAATTCACATTAGCACTTCCACAAAAGTCATAAAGGCTCTGCAAACTGCTCACAGTTTAAATATGGAAGTCAAAACCCTAATCACAATTTAATATAACTAAATATGTACATACTTTATGGTCAATCATCCAGACCATTTACAGAGTCCCTTGGCTTTGAAATTACTAGATCTCAAATGGTGCCGTAGATGAGCTTTGCTTGACATGACATATATTGAAATAGACTGTGGAGCGATCACTTAGGGATGAAAACCTCACTACAGTCTTAGTGAACCAAAGCTAAGAGGCAAATTATTCAATTACAGTAAATTTACAGTAGCTTAATATTTGATAAAAGTGGTTCTCCCATCATCAGAGCATCTTATTGAAAACCCTTGAGCAGCAAAATAGCGCCGGAAACTCTTAAGATGTTTTAACCACTTATTAAGAAAATTCATCTAGCTTGATCTTTTATGAGCAGTTTGCCTTAAATATACCTTTTTTTTTTTTTTTTGGTAATTGTCAGGTACTTTGCACATGCACCGTTGGCCTTGAAATTAACCCACTAATTGTTCTACTGTGAGCAGCGGTGGGCATGGGTGGAGCACACAGCAACACCCACTGAAGTAAAGGCTGCTTGGGGTTGAAAGTGTGGCCTTGAGAAAGGGGGACTTCGTCCGTACTTTGGACTTGCAGGTGAGGCATCAGTCCTGAGTGCTTGCCCTACTGAGATGTGCCTAGCAAGGGGACAGATGGCTTTATGAAAAGGCAAGTTGCACATCACAGGTCATGTTCAATGAGAAGCCAGTTGTCTGCCCCAGAAAACTACAAAGCAGGATTTCTCATATTTTAATGCAGAGATGAATCAACTGGGGATTTGGTTAAAATGTGACTTCTAGTTAGGCCTAAGTGTCTGCATTTCTAACAAGCTTGAGGGTGATGATGCCCCTGCCGCTGCTCTGCAAAAGCCTCTTAGAGTTGCAAGAAGATAAGGACACTCCTGGCCCCACCTGGACCGGGCATAGGTGGAGTCTCCGGTGCGGTGCCTGACCTGCAGGACAACAGAATATAGCAGACAGCCCTGGTGGGGTTTGAACCCAAGCTCTATAGGTTCCTAGCTGTGTACAGTTTTGGATGAGCTGTTTAACCCATCTGAGAAAATTCTATCACATTGGACTTGAGAAAGGACATTGAGTTCCTTCCATCCTGACTCTGGCATGCTGGATTGAAGGGCTTGGGGAAGTTCATCTGGCCCTCCAGCCTCCTTGGATAGGTGCATTCAAATACAAATGCCACTCTGCAGCTTGCTTTGGAGCTGCCATCATGTAAATAAACATTCCCTCTGCCCAAACCTCATCCTCATGAAGCCACGCCGGCTAGAAATGTTGATTTTTCTAACTTCTAGAATCAGAGTTCGACTTCTTAATCTGGGTTTAGTTAAACTTCCCTACTGCTTAGGCACTTGTCTTCAAATATAAAAGAGGCGAAGAGAGGGGGTGGAAATGCTAATTAGGCCCTGTCACAATTCCAGCTACTGTTGTGAGAACTCACAGTATGCAAATCAGATTAAACCGACCCCAAGCTTCTCAGGGCTAGGAGGGCAGGGATTGGGGACTGGATTGACAATTGCCGGGTGAAAAGGTAAAAGCTGGTCCTCAGCCTCCTCCCAAGATCCCCATTTCTTTCATTTGCTCTGCAGTGTTTCTGAAGCTCCCAAGCTGAGAGACACCCAGCAGGAAAAGTCGAATCAGATGAGATGTGTGTGTAGTGTGTGTTAAATAAAACACAGTCTGCTCCCCAATGTCGCAGCTGTATTCAGAGTAAAAGTGAGCTAATGGCTTTAAACACACACACACACACACATACACACACACTCACACAATCACCATTCAGCTCAGTATAAATGTCACAGCATCAAATACCAAATACTGAGAATTATTAACGTAAGTGGCCTTCTATAATAAAGCTCATTATTAATAGGCCTATTAGCTCAGCATTCATTTGAACCGACAGCAACTTCTTTCTACGGCAGCTGTCTGCTCCCTTTTTTCATCCAAGACCCCTTCTGACATCTCAATGTATATTAAGAGGCAGATAACGGGGTGGGGGAATGGCAGGGAGGCGTGATGAAAGGAATGCAGATTATTTTAAAAGGGGGAAGAGAGATGGGGAGTTCCTATTTATCAAGCATGCATTAAAAAATAATGGCAAGCATTATTGAGCATATATCACATGCAGGCATGTTACATGTATTATTTTATCTCATTCCCAGAAAATATAGAACACTGGTTAAAATTAAGTTACAGATAAATCACATTAGAAAATATAGGCATGTTCCAAATATTGCTCCAATTAGATGTCATTTATCTGAAATTTGAATTTAACTGGGTATCCTGTATCCTTAGTTGCTAAATATAGAGCAAATCATATTATTATCCACATTTTACAAGTAAGGGTACTGAGGCTTAAAGGGGTGCAGTCCAAGGTCAGCCTTCACATTGGGTAAGAATTGCTGACCTTGAACCTTGTTCACTTCAGAACTCATTCCCTCCCCAGGATTCCCAGGAGGCTTCCTACATGTGTGTCAGTTACGACACACACAGCTCAACACAAGCTTCCTCTTATTCATTTTCCCAGAGGTTCATGTAGTTGTCTTTATTGTGCCCATTTTGCAGATAGAATTGAGGTTCTGAGCTGTCAAGTATCAGCAGAGTCATTTTGGTCATTTGTCCAGCATTTGCTGAGCAGCTACTCAGCACCAGGTGCTCTGCTGGACACTTAGGCTATAAAACTCATATAGAGGCTCAGTCTTCAAGTCTTATGCATACAGTAAATGGAACAAGGCAAGTGCACCAATCAGGTAAGTGAAATGTATGATAAGACAAGGTTAACTGTCAGAACTTCCCAAAACAGTTAAGCTGCTGTGTCAGTTTCTCTTTCGCAAAAGGTTTCACCTGGTGAAGAGCTTTTGAGGGGCAGATAGTGTAGATTAATTTTTTAAAAATAGTCTTAAAGAAAACCCTAGATTTATATATGCAAAAACAGTGTTTTATTTTTAGCTTAAAAGTATTATAAAACTTCTAGGGCAATGAATCATTAGGTGAAAACTTAAGAAATTTAATAAATGGGGATCTGCAGAGACCAGTTTCATATCACACAGAAAATGACACGAAGAGATGGTCACCCTTCATTCATCCATCTCAGCTCAGTATCAAATGATGGAGAACAGATTATTTGACATTTATTAAATGAATATGTGTTAAACACCTAGTATATGTCAAGCACGATAATGGAAAAGTACACACCTGCTCTCAGGGAATTCACAGTTATTGCATACCCTTTCTGACCCTCATTTTACTCATCTGTAAAATGGAAATATGGGTGATGCTTACTTCACAGGGCAGTTGTGAATGTAAAATGAGTTAATATACTTAAGCTCTTAAAATAGGGTCTGGCACATACTAAATATTCAGTAAACTAGAGCTCTCATTATTTTTTGTTGGGGGCTGATAAAATCACATAGGTCTATACTAACAATATATACTGACATTACAGTGTGATAAGGGGTTATTTGGGGCAGATGCATGGTGATGTGGGGCCAGTAAAGTCAATCTGCAGCAAAGCCATAGCGATAAATGAAGGCTTCATAGACTACAAGGTGAGTCCTTCCCTAAAAGGCAGGAGGAAAGGACATTCCAAGGTTAAAATTAGCTAACATTTATTGATTCATTGATGTAGGCACTCTTTCCACATACAAGTAAGGAAACAGGCTGTAGCTTGCAGATTTGGGATATGGACAAGTTGGTGTGGTTCTTGCTCCTGGTAAGTCTCTCTGGACTACAATGGCAAGTGATCTGGGGCAGCTGGTGCCCAGTGAAAGTGGAAGGAACAAGAAGGCTGAATGTGGGGGTGAGGCCAGATCAGGGGCAGCATCAAAACTCGTGGAAGCTGCTGACTTTGTCCTGTGAGTGACGGAAGACCACTGAATAGTAGACAAGAGGGGGACAGGGGAATGAGTTGGTCAGAGTTGAGTTATAAAAAATATGACTCCAGTGGAAACGACAAAAATGACTTGGGGAGAGAGAGAGAGAGATTAGTACCACTTTCACTCATCCCCCCATCCCTCTACCCCTTGCTCATATGCACACACACACACACAGAAAGAGAGAAAATGGAGGTATAGCTTTCAAGTTGTCTTGTTTGTGTGGCTATGAACTCCAAAGTTTTGGCAAATACATCTAAATTACATATATAATAGCTTTTTTTTTTTTTCACCAGAGAGATCCTTCCTGAAGAAGGCTAAAGTGTTCCTTGTAGCCCAGGATTGATCACTCCTTGTAATTGAAACCTCTCAAAATAGTGTAACGTGGCTCTCCACTTGCATGATTCCTTTAAGGAGATGTTGAAAGCCATGTAGGAAATGGACCGTGCTTAGTCAGTTCCAGTACTGTGTTTGGATGTAACCAATGGTTGGTAATTTAATAAATGAAACAGATGGATGGATGGATGGATTAATTAGTGGATGAATAAAAGAAGGGATGAGTGAGTGGATGGTGGGTGGGTGGATGGATGAATTAGTGGATGGATAGATGAATACATAGATGGATGCGTGGATGAGTGGATGGTAGGTGGATGGATAGATGGATGGATGGAAACATGCATAGACAATAATGTGAATTATTAGGCAGACAGATAAATCAAAAGTCTAGTGGATGGGATGCTGGTTTGATGGACAACAATTGATTAATGAGTGAACTTAAGGTTTACAACTTATTACTTCTGGAGGCTTCATCTTCTCAGAGGATCTTTTTGGTGAAAAACAAAGCTATTATATATGTAGTTTAGTGGTAGAAAGTAGCAAACTTCAGCAACTTAATAAAAATACATGGCTTCTAGAACCTCAATCACTTTTAAAAGATAGAGAAATCATTCAGAAATATGTCTTCTTTTGAACAATAAACCCACATATATGTTGTTGAAAAAATGTAGATATATTTGCCAAAATTTTGGAGTTCATAGCTGCACAAACAAGACAACTGGTTATAAGTATTAAATGAGTGAACAAATATAAAAGCCCCTAGGATTATGCCCAGCATTTAGTAGAAACTTACTGATGGCTGAATATCAATAAAATTAGGACTGGAGCTATAATATCTAGGATATTCACCAGGTTAATGAACGCTAGTTGCTACAGCAGGTAAATCTTGAAGTCTCAGTGGCTTAACACCATTGTATTAGTCTGTTTTCATACTGCTATAAAGAACTGTCTGAGACTGTGTAACTTATAAATAAAAAAGGTTTAATTTACAGACAGTTCTGCATGGCTGGGAGGCCTCAGGAAACTTACAGTCAGGGTGGAAAGGGAAGTAGGCACATCTTACATGGCAGCAGGTGAAAGACAGCAAAGGAGGAACTTCCATATACTTATAAAACCACCAGATCTCTTAAGAACTCACCATCATGAGAACAGCATGGGGAAAATCACCCCCAGGATCTAATCACCTCCTTCCTTTGACACGTGGGAATTACAGGTCCCTCCCTTGACAGGTAGGGATTACAATTTGAGATGAGATTTGGGTGGGGACACAGAGCCAAACCATATCAACTGCAAAGGTTTTTCTTCTCACTCACATTGCAAGTTCAACACCAGTTGTGGGAGATCGTGGATGCAAGGGTTTTTTCACACAGTCACTCAGGTATTGAGGCTAATAAATTCATCACTGTACAGTCAGTTCATTTGAAACACAGAGCTGTGTGGTCACTGAGGTAATGGAAGATAAGAAGTGGTGAAAGCAGCCCTTAGCCTAACAGGGTCTACATCACCTCCTCTCCAGTCAATTGAGCAGAACTTGGCACAGGGTTGGTGTCATGTTCACATTCACCTTAACACTGCTTTTCTTGCCACCCTCTGCTCTGCCATGGGAGACGATTCTGCCCACATGCAGGGTCAGCAGGGAGTGCCTGAGAATGAAAACCTCTGATAGTAGCCCTCAGCCAACAATGAAAGGAGAAGCAGCAGATAAACACCCTAGCTTCCTTACTGCTCCATCAGGGTGATTCTGAGGGTCTCTTTATACTGATTTCTAGAGTTCCCAATGCGGTAAGCTCCAGTTGACTACAGTGGAAGTCGGCTTGATACACCACTGGTTCTTGCCCTCACCTCTTCCCCTCCCCTGCAGCATCACCAGAGATCATCTTTTTAGGATACTACTAGCCTATCAATCCTTGTCATGGGGTCTCCATCTGGGGAAACCCATATCATAAAACCATCCAACTCAAAGACAGTTGCGTAGGAACTGAAAAGGAACACTTGGAACATTTGGAATCCACTGGCTTTGCCACACCCAGCCTGTCCAGTGAAATGACACCACCCAAACTCATAGCACAGGGAGAGGTTTCTGCCTGTTCACAATCTATTTCTAAGTCCCCAGAAATGGTGAAAAATCGGAAAACTCGTGGCCGTCATGAATTGATTCTTAGTGTTGTATGTCTGAGTCAGCCACATAATGAGGCTTTGCAATCACATCCGCCCTCCTTACACTGATGCTAAGCTTTGATTAATGAAGCGATAACCATGGTATGAATAGGAAAAAGGACTCAGGCCTAGTCACTTCCACTCAATTGCACATAGTTAGTGTGATACTTGATATAACATTCCAACAATTCCCTATTCAGAGTCCAGTCTTTTTTTTTTCTTTTTCTTGTCTCTTCATATGACAACTAAGTCTAAAGTTATTCATCTTGGTATTAGGCCCTTAATTCCTGTCTACGCATAAAAGAGCAGGAACAGCTACCCTGCTCAGGGACTTAAGCTGTTACTTAACCTTGAATCTTTTTGGCTCTTGATTTAAAACCTTTCAAACCCTTTTTAAGAGAAAAAGGCATTTCTCATTCTAACATTAATATCTTCACTGTCTTTCCCCACCTGAAGGATGTAATACGAGGCTTAGAGTATGCGTATGGGGCCAGATTCACCAAAAAATAACTGTGTACCATTCATTCATCCATTTATTTATTGCTCATGCATTCACTGAGCATCTACCATGGGCTAGAGGTCATGATGGTGGTTCTCTCATCCATGAGAATTGTGCAGCCTTGTAAAGACAATACAAAATGCACACATATAGCTGATACAAAATAAAGAGGGATAAGTTACTTAAAAATAATACAGTTCAGAGTCCGGAGGAAGGAAAGATGGCAGTTCATTGGGTATGCAAGTGTGTATGGAATCCAACAGGTATTTATTTATTCACTAATTCATTTAAAACAATGTTGATCATCTCATGTGCTGGGGAATCTGCTAGCTCTAGGGAAAGTGTGGATGGATAAAAGTGACCTAGTTCTTGCTTACCTGTGATGTCTACAGTTTACTGGAAAGGGAAGGTAGGTACTATCTGAAAATGTTAAAATGGATTAGTTGTAAGAGGTGTGAGGAGATGAGGACTTATTAGACCAAGGGAACAATGGAAGCATAAAGCCACAAAGTGGATGTGGGCAAAAGAGTGAAAACAAAAAAGTCCATTTAGTGGGGTGAAATGGACTGGGGTTATGCATGAAAGGATATCATGCTGAAATCAGGGCTTTTGGTCAGATCTGGGAGGAACTGGCTGCCCATCCAAAGAGCATCTGAGATCATTTCAGCAAAAAGGCATGTGATTACAGGATTGATCCAGCAGAGCAAGACAGGCAAGCCATTAATGCAGAGAGGAAGCAGTTCCAATAACAGAAGTGAAAAATACCAAGACCTGAACCAGGGCAGTGGCCGAGTGGCGAGTGACACAGGAAGGACTTGAGAGGTATGATGGCGGCAGAGCCTGTGGGAATCATGACCGCCAGGATACAACTGTTTAAGTCCACAGAGGAAAGTGGGACAGAGATTGGGTGCTCACTGATACTGGTTCCCCTTCATCCTGGGCGCAAATATAGACTCCTTTTCCAGCATCCCTGAGAGATCAGTGTGGCCATGTGACTGAGTCCTGGCCAATAGAAGATGAGCAGAAACTTCCTGCAACACTTCCTTGCCCAGCCCATAAAAAAGATTTTCACATGTGAGCCATTTGCTGCCTCAACACCCATCAGGAGAATGGGGAGACCAGGCACAGAGAGGAGAGTGGAACCAGTCAGAAGGGGACAGCATCCCTGGGTGCCTGCCGAGGGCAAGGGTCAGCAGACGTTTTCTGTGAAGAACTAGAAAGTAAACCTTCTAAGCTTTGAGGCCATGCAGGGCCTCTGTCACAGCTACTCACCTCTACCATGGTAGCATAAAAGCAACCATAGACAAAGTGTGAATGAATGGCGTGTCTGTGTTCCAAATAAAAGTTTCTTTGGGAAAACAGGTGACAGGCTGAATGAGGCACTTGGGTTGCAGGGTGGTCAAATCCTGGCCTCCAGCAAAGAGTTGCATCCCATTGACATCACTGGACTGTGAGAAACCAGGGCATGAGGCCCACTTTGGTTGGTTAAACTTCTGAGCCTTGTGGGTGGTTTGCTGTGATAGTTAACTTTGACTTACATAAGAGGAAAGAAAAAAGGCCATGAAACCATCCTATGTTCCTCAGTGAAAAAGTGACAACCTATGGGATTTAAATAAGAAATGCCATCACGAGCTTTAACAATCCCTTGAAAGTGAGTGTGACTGGGGATGTATCAGGGCAGAGCACTAAAATGCCTAGAAAATCCTGGACGACACAGTCTACGAATACCACAAGGTCCCACAATTTCATTGCTTAAAAGTGCAGTGAATTGATGGGGAAGGGCCCCTTTTTGTGGCACGGTATGATAATTGGAGTTTAGACACATTCGTTTACTGATGGAAAATTTTGCTGTCTGCATTCCAGAATTCAAAAGAAAGAAGGAAGGAAAGAAGCCTTGGATGTGAGCCAGATGGAGGAAAACTGAAGAAGTCTGTCATCAAGGCCTCAGGTAACAATATCATAATTTAAAAATCTTTCTAACAGTGGGGGAGTAATTAACGATGCAGCTTCCACTTTTCCTGTTTCCATTTCGGCCAGGCAGAGTTCTCCACGTGTGTGTGTCTCGCACACGCATGCAGGTGCACACACATAATCGTCAGGGGCAGGAGAAGCGAGGAGCAGGTAGCAATAAGTTTTAAAAAGTGTATTTATTCATTTGCGAGCCATCATTAAACAAGGGCCACATATTTGCCTCTGTTGCGACTTGCAGGTTCCTTTAGGTGTTTTAATCAGTCTGCAGACTCTGAGACAAGTTGATAGACCACCCTGAACAATCCGCAGCGGCATTCTTGCAGGATGGATTTAAAAGCCTTTCTGATTTATTTGGGTTTGAAAGGACAGAAGACAAAAGTATCATTCTGGCTGGCAACCACATTGACTCCTCTTAGAGAGACTTTCCCTCATGCCTTAGTGACAGGGAGATTTCAAGTTCCCCCAAATGCCCAGTGGCAAACATTCCATTACAAGGTCACCCAAGACAGCTTTCTTTCACTGAATTTCTCTCTGAGGTGCTCAAAGATCTACAATTCATGCACTTGCTCATTTATACTGCTGATCTAAAATGATTTCAGAATTGATCTGGCAAATTTGCATGAAGTGCAGTAAGAGCAAGATACCAATTTTCAGGCCACTTCAGCCAAAACCCAGTTGTACAGCCAGACAGCTGTGTGACCACTGAGCTATCACTGCCATTTCCTGAGCCTCAGCTTTTTTTCCTGCAGAGGTAGGCATTGAAGATTGGCTCAGATTTCTGTTTTCCAGAATGTGTTCCAAAGGATGTTAGTAACAATACTGTGGTAAAAGGGTTCAATGATTAATTATATCAGGAGTTGTGTCTCAGTACCACCAAAAAAAGGCCAGAAGTGACAGTAGGTTAAGCAAGATAGAAGTTCCTTTTTTCAAATAAAAGAAGTAGTGGCCAGGATGGTGACTCACTCCTGTAATCCCAACACTTTGGGAGGTCAAGGCAGGAGGATTGCTTGAAGCCAAAGTTTGAGACCAGTCTAGTCAACATAGTGAGACCCCATCTCTACAACAAAAAAAATGTTAAAACAATTAGCTAACTGTGATGGCATGTGCTTGTAGTCCTAGCTACTCAGGAGGCTGAGGTGGGAGGGTTTCTTGAGCCCAGGAGTTCGGAGCTGCAGTAAGCAATGATAGTGCCACTGCATTCCAGCCTGAGCAAGAGGGTAAGACCCTGATATGGTTTGGCTCCATGTCCCCACCCAAATCGCATCTTGTAGCCCCCATAATTCCCACATGTTGTGAGAGGGACCTGGTGGGAGATGATTGAATCATGGGGGTTGGTCTTTCCCATGCTGTTCTCATGATAGTGAATGGTTCTCACGAGATCTGATCATTTTAAAAAGAAGAGTTCCCCTGCAATGCTCTTTTTTTTTTGCCTGCTGCCATCCGTGTAAGACATTACTTGCTCCTCCTTGCCTTCCACTATGATTGTGCATCCCCCCAAGCCACATGGAAATGTAAGTTCATTTAAACCTCTTTCTTTTGTAAATTGCCCAGTCTCAGGTATTTCTTTATCAGCAACATAAACACAGACTAATACAGACCCCATCTCTAAACAAATAGATAAATGAGTAGAGAGGTAAGCAGTCTTTGGCTGGCATACCAACGAACCCAGATCCTCTATCTTCCATCTCCACTATCCTTAGCAATGACTTTCATCCTCAAGATACTTTGTACTTCAAGATGGTTGCCAGAGCTCCAGCCATCACATCCACATTCCCAGAAGCAAAAAAAATGAGGACGCATAAAGCATGGTAGACAGGAAGAAACTTCTAAATAAAGAGCTCTTTTTAAGTAGTCTCTCCTGATGTCCCTTAGGACACTTCTGTTTTAATCTCATGGACCAGAATGTAGTCACATAACCACATCCAGCTGTAAGAAGTGCTGGAAAATTTAACTTAGCCAGGAGTATTGCCAATGTGAACAAAATCAGAGTTCTATTACGAGGAAATTTGAAGAGAATGGTTACTTACTGGTGACTAATAATTCCTACCAAAGTGGCCAAAGAAAACTATAACATACTGGGTTACAGTTGAGTAGATTTCTTTACTGTATTTTTCAGAGCTTTTTAAGTGCAAATGTGCATTGTGACATTTCCAGTATGGGATATGTGTTTCCTAATTATTCGATTATAGATTCCCATTATTTCAGAGCATCGTGTGAAATTCACAGTGTGAGAAATAATTTTGAGGATAGCTGCATGCGAAGATCTCAAGTTTTCTTCGTTATTGACAAGGTGTTACATTATCTAGATCAGGGTCCCCTCTTCCTCACCAGATCCCCCAAGAGAAATCCAGATTTCCGCTATTCTTTCCCTCCTGACAACCCTCTGAGTACTCCTGATAATCTCAGGAATTATTCCAAAGCCCCCTGTGGGCATTGCCCTCCCTGGTCTGAAGGGGACATATGAGTACCTCATCTCTGTCATTGTCGTATGTAGTCAGGCATTGATGGATACTCGCCAAGATGAGATCATGATCATGTTAGGCAGCAAAGTCTTGATTTTATTCACATCAAGTTAGGTTATAATTGGAAGAGACCAGAACGAAGGGTCCCATTTTAGGAAAAGCCCTTTATGCAGCAAAATGCAGTGACCACATCATCATGATTTAAAGGGGACAATTGTGAATTAAAAACAAAACAAGTAAAAAAAAAATACTCTTCCACGTGTTCCCTTCATGCAAGGCCCTGTGTTAGTTCCATTAGCAACGCGATGATCTATGATGATGTCAACACACAATTCTAAGTTTCAAAGCTTTGCAGGGGCATCACTGACCCATGCATACATGTTTATTGAGTCCTTATAATGTGTGAAGCCCTTTGTGCTTGTCTTTTAAAAACTCATGGGTCAAGCAGTAGAGAAGAATCCTAAATAATTAAGTTAGAAAAGAGTTCTGGAGGTCTTCACAGAGCTGCTGATGGCTGATGGAGCGAGATGCCCAGTAATGAGGAACACGAACTCTAGAATAAGACACGCATGGGAATGAGCCTTAGCAATGCCATTTCCTAGACCTTGAGTAAGTTATTTAACAGCTCTGCCTTAGTTTCCTAATCTGTAAAATGGAATAAAGAAGAGATTTCATTTCATAAGATAGAATTAGCTCTTAAACAAATCACGCGGGCCGGGTGCAGTAGCTCACGCCTGTAATCCCATCACTTTGGGGGGCCGAAGCTGGTGGATCACCTGAGGTCGGGAGTTCGAGACCAGCCTGAGGAACATGGAGAAACCCCGTCTTTACTAAAAATATAAAATTATCCAGGCATGGTAGTGCATGCCTGTAATCCCAGCTACTCAGGAGGCATGGTTGCAGTGAGCCGCCGAGATCATGCCATTGCTCTCCAGCCTGGGCAACAAGAATGAAACTCCTTCTCAAAAAGATAAAAAATAAATAAATAAAAACACACCTAGCATCTTACCTGACATGTGAACATCCAGCAATGACATTTGTTGTTGTTAATGTTATTCATTCTTATTATTTTTATGGCAATATGGCAGTGGGGATACACAAAGGAAAGGAGGATGGCTCAATCTTGGAAAACAGGGACTGAGCTACCACTTTACATGGTAAAAACTTTAAATGATTTTCAGAAGAAAAAAGTGTTCGAGGAGATGATGATATTTCAGTGGTCATCTAGACCTGCCTGTCAAACAAAACATCAAACCTAGTTCGTAGTCTGGGCCATGCTGGTTTTCAAGTCTGCTGTTTACAGCAAGCTCCAGCCAGTTCCAACTGGCAGACATATTGCTTCAGCCAGGACGGTCTACACATTAGAATTTAAGTGATCCTCTCACTTGATGACCTGCCCAGTTTCTGTGGGATTTTTTTACCTGGCATATTTTTGTGTTTACACGCCTGGCCCTATTCTGGGGGAAGATGTTGCTAAGAGGAGAAACAGTGGTGAAACCCTATAGGAGGAGTGAGGCCTGGACCAAAAAATCCACGATAAGGTCAGAAGCCAGGAAGGCAGAGAACAGGACTGAGCATGGGTGAGGTGAGTGGACCAGGCCAAGGTGTGCAGAACCAGCCTCCAGACGCACTGTGCTGGCTCCACAGAGCCATTCACAGCTCATCACAACCATCCTTAACCACTGGGCCACTCTGGGCAAGTGACTTCCTCCCTCCAGTGCCTCTAGTTTTCTCATGATGAAAGATGTGGGTAAACGACATCACGACGGTCACTTTCTGAATTCTGATTTCAATTACACAGCTCCCTAGATGCAAGACAGAAAGATTTTGTCAGAGGAGAGAGTATGTCTTCATCCATCGACCCACATATGCTATCCAGAAGCTTCTGGGGTTCTTGGAATTTCTTGCAAGAAGTCCCGCTCTCCGAAGAATAATTCCCAACACCACAGTTTCTTTTAATAAGGAGTTACATCATCTTTTTAGAGACTACCACCCACAGCCTCACCACAGATGGATTGTTCTTAAAAATGAAGTCTTTGGATGTCGAGGTCACCCCGAGCAATACAGCATAGGAGCATTGGGTCCAGGCCTCCCACCTCTCAGCCCCCTCACTTCTGCCCACAGAGCAAACCAGCAGGACAAGAGAAGGTTTTCGCTTTTCATGCAAAGATGATTCCTTACTCCTCAGCTGCATTTCGGTGTTTACTGCACTAGGTTTAGCAATGCTTCACAAAACGCCTGTTCACAAAGTACAAAGAAAATTAAAGTGAGGTTTTTGTGATAAACATGATAGTTTTCATTTCCATTTTTAAGGCTTCTCGAGGATATTTAACTGATTTGTCCCACGTCCTGCACTTTGTTTTGTTCCAGTTCTATAATGGGAGTATTAATTGGTAACACTTTTCCACGAGGCCTGGAAATGATTACAGGAAAGAGTGAACATAAGCTGTAAAGTCCTCACTTACCAGAGCCACAGAAGATATAGAGTTGCACATTGGAAAGCATTCTTTTCAAGGCAGCCTGTTCAAAGGTCTTGAAAGCAAATGTCATCTGGGTGGCATCTTCATGTGCTGGAGTCACCACAGTGGCTGCAAAAGAGTCCCTGGCATTGGCTAAACTCCTTGTGCCACATTTGATAGTCATTCAATTTAGCCAGTTTATCTTAAAGTCTGCAATTTGAGGATTGTCATAATTTGTATAAGTTTCCTATGAAGAGTAAATGAAATAGCAGGCCCCAGTCATCTAATAAGGACCCAAAAATCATTCATACCTTTCTTCTTTTTCTCCTATTGGCACAAGGATTTCATTTATTAAGTTATTTTTCCAAAATGTAATTCTTTTATTTACTTGAAGCCTTGAAAACCTCTAGCAGTATATGGACTGATTTTTCAAAAATTAACAAGCTATATCAAACATGTGTTAAATTTATAAAACCGTGCTAAGCACCATGAGAAAAAAAGTTGATCCCTTATTCTAAAGGCACTTAGTTGGAATGGCAAAGCAGAAATGCAAGCATAAATGAGCGACTGTGAAAATCTGAAGCAGGATATTAGTAGGGGTGCTCTTTTGTTACTTGGGGTGATGGGTCAACAGCAGAATGAGTAGTATGTCTGTGAGCTCCTCAGGACCTTCACTTCTTTCTTTATCTCTGCAGCCCCCATGCTTATAGTCTATGATACACAGTGGGATATCAGTAAGTGTGTCTTTGGTGGATGGATGAGTAGGTGGATAGATGAATGAATGAATGAATGAATGAATGAAAGTTCAATTTGTTTTTTTTCATGACCAGCAGTAGACTCACAGATTGTGGGTCAGCAACAGGAACAAGGCAGAGTAGAGATATTATAATTGTCTCTACCCCAATATGTCTGGGGTCACAGCTGGTACAGTTGACTGAGGGCTGGCTCAATGGCTGGACCTACCTGGAGGCTCATTCATTCACATGTCTGGTGTTTGATATTGTCTGTAGGCTGTCAACAATGGGAACACCCACGTGTTCTTCCCAGTGGCCTGAGCTTTCTCACAACATGGAGGTTCTAAGGATGACATCTCAAGGAAGAGAGTCAAGCAAGGGCTGCCTGGCCTTTACTCACTCAGAGGTCATGCAGTGTCTCTTCCACCCTGTTGGTCAAGGCAGCCGTCACAAATGCCTCCCACGTTCAAGGGGAAGAACACAGAAACTGCCTCTGGATGGGAAGTGACAAAGCCTTGGAAGAGCCCATGGAACTAGAAATATTGTGACCATTTAAGAAAAATCCTCCACAAATATGACAAATTGGAATGAATGCTTCTCAGTTCAGACTCACTCAAGTTGGTGCAGAGGTGGGGTGACTGGAACATATTTTTCAGGTGATTTGGAGTTTGGAGCAGGGAAGCCTGGGGAATAGAGTTGGATGAGGATGTTGAAAATTTACTAGCATTCAAAAATCAGGCATGAAGGACTCCTTGGTTACTTATGATATAAAGGGAGGACTTCAGGGAGCACAGGGCCAAAGAAGCATCATTGGTTTGACTGGAGAACTGGAATCCTGTGACAGACATACAGAGAAAGACAAGCCTGTGGGAAGCCTCGTAGCTGGTGGCCGTGGGCCTTGGGTGTTCAGTCCAAAGCTCACCCTCCCCACTTCCCACTTCCCATCTCCATGCCTTGGAAATGGTGGGGAGACACATGGACCCTGTTTCAGGCCAACATGCAGTGACTCAGCAAATGCACCTGAGAGGTTGGGAGAAAAGGAATGAGGGTTGATTCTTATGATTCAGGGGGCTGAGGGAGAACCTACGGGAGAGAAAATTACTCCACTGCTTTTATTTGAAACCGTACTGAAACCTAGTCTTTCCTGAAGGAAATAGAAAAGGAAAAAAAATAATATATCCATTTTCTTGAACGTTGAAGGCCAACTCAGAGATGGAAAGCACTCTCTGAGAAGAACATGTGAGGTCACTGTGTCTCCCCAGTTCTGTTCCCCAAGCAGGCTGACATGGGAGGAACTTCTTATTTTTTCCCTCCGATGTTAATTGAATGTGCAGATAGAGAGGTACTAAAGAGATGACATTAAAATGAAATGTGTCCCCCGGGCACCTACTTCATCTGCGCTCTCACCCACTGCCCTCCATCTCGGCAGAACAACTTATTTTCTGGCCAAGAAAGCCATCTTCAGTTATTACTTCTCTTTGTCTCTTCTCATATCTCTTAATGGAAACGTTCCAGTAGCTGCTGGCTAGAAAATTAGCCATATGAACTCTGATTCTCCCTCTCTCTCATGTTCTTTCTTTCCATGTCTCTCTTCTCCTCAGATTAGTGAGAAAATTCAGCATTGAATCTCTTTCAAACTCTTCTCTCTGCGCAGCCTGTTAACACATGGAAAGGGCTAAGATTAAACCTTAATTTAACTCTGTCTCTCACCCAAACGTCACCAGACTCCTGGCCCAGTTTAACTTTCAATCATTTTCAAAAAAGCCTGGAGAAGTGTGGCTCCACACTGCCTGTGTCTCCTCTGTGACCTTCGTCGCCTGGTCAGACGCCTCGTGATGAAATCCAAGATGGCATTAGGGAGGAGAAGGAGGGTGAGAAGAGATGAATATTTATTGAGTTCTGGCATATGCCAGGCACTTTAAATGCATTATCTCCTTTGATGGAACAGCCCCAAGGAATAAATATGTGTTTCTCTATTTTTTTTCAAGGAGAGAAACTGAGGCTCATAGAGTATAACTCTCTTGTCTAAGTTCACACCAAGATTAAGGGTAGGGTCATAATTTTCTAGCACTGATGCCAATGCTGCAACTGTCCATGAGGCTGGATTGGCCACAAAAGTGCTCAGTGACCGACGCAAACCTAAGGATCAGAAGCCCTCACAGAGACTCTTCCAGTATGTGTTGCCATCTTCCATTTCCAGATAGAAAACTGAAGCTCAGAGAGGTTTAATCACTTTCTCATCCTTCACACATTTAGAATGTAGAAGAGTTGAGACTGGAACTAGGCTCTGCTGTAGTTCAAAGCTCATGCTGTTCGAACTGGAATTACAATTTTGAATATTTGCACTACAGCTAACCCACCTAAAACCAAATTATTTCACTTTATTTCTCCTGGAATACCTAATATTTTTTCCACTCAAAATCAAATTAATGGAAAGATGAGAGCCAAAATGCCTTCTAAAAAAGCAGTATGATAGAATAGTCCGTTGTGTTTTGTTTTTGTTGTTGCTGTTTTGAACAATTATGAATAGTAGTATTAACTCTAACAGGATCAGGCAAGTAGACATGACCAGGAGCTTAGACCAGCAATGACCCTGGAATGATGGATCCAGTTCTTATGAGAAAGGACATGGTACCCAAGAGGTGGGGAGACAGGTAGCAGGCCAAGCAAGAGGCTGTAATTCTCCATTGATGAACGCCAGAGAATCCAAGGGCTAAAACTCAGGGTGGAGCTTATGACATTCACAAATGCAGGAGAGAAGGTAAGAATTCAACATTAGTTAAGTTTGTCATGTCAGCAAGCCAATAGATACTCTCCAAGTTATATGAATAAAGGTGTGTTTATCACAGTGTCATTCAATCATAACAGCCGTATATATACATATATGTGTATATATATATATGTGTGTGTGTGTGTGTGTGTGTGTGTATATATGATTTGTTTATGTATGGATGTTAAGAATCTTCCATTCAAGAATCATTGAATGAATAGATACACTCCTACCCCAAAGAATTATTACACAGACATTATAAAATGTTGCAAAAATTTGCTGAGAAAGAAAAATGACTTTCAGCTCTACTCCCCTTACCCCCTAATATGAGAGGGGGCAAAATTGTCCTCTCTCTGGATAAATTTACCCATATAAAAATATGTAGAATGAACCAGGAGGAAATAGTGCCAAAATATTCATAGCACATGGCTCTACACACACACACAAAATGAGGGTTTGTTTCTTGTTATTTATTCTTTGTTTTTATTTTTTTCATAATAAGTGTCTATTTTGTATAAAATGAGAATATATTGCAAGGTGAGAGACTAAGGCCAAGAGTTTGGAGCAGAGCTGGCTATGAGCCGAGGTCAGGGTCCCCAGCTATGTGCTGTTGGTAGATTTCAACCCACAGGGGCTGTCCAGTATGAGAGTCAGGAGGGAGAAACTAACATGGATGGATGCCCTCTCTGTTCCAGGCCAATGACTTATTATCTCACTCCATCTTCTCAATGTCTTGCTTAAGTATATATACTTATCTCCATTGTTTAGATGTGAACTTGGAAGTTAATAAAGATTAAATAACACATCCAGATTCAGCCAGCTCGAATAATAACAATAGTTAATTATTGAACATGCTTGCACCATAACAAATGCTACGGTCTTTCCATACATATTTCAGTTTAGTCCTTGCTACAGACCCATCTGTCAGGTGCCATGCTTTCCTCAGTGCTACAGATGGGTAGCATGAGGTGCACTTGACTCAACATCCCATAGGTCATAACAGTGGAGTCAGTATTGGGCAGTGAACCCCAGCGAGCACCATAAATGACTTCAGGACACAACCAGCAAAGTCTGCAGCCAGCAATATCAGCATTCAAACTCAGAGTGAATCCAAAAGATGGTCCTCCTTCCAATATAGTTCCTCTGATTACACAAACGTCAAAAAATGAAACAGCAACCAAACCAATGAACGATCCTGATATTTCATTACAGCTCAATCACCAATGCATTATGTACCCTAGTTCATCCTGTCTGAGAGTCTATTTAATTTTTTACATAAGGAGAAAGGATGTGATTTGAGAACCTTTGAAGTCCCTTCAAAGTCCAACCTTACTAGGAAACACATCTCTGCTTTGGAGTCTTTGCTGGCTCACTTTCACCTTCATGTCTTAGAGTCCTTAATAAAAAAGTGTGTGTGTGTGTGTGTTCGCGCATCTATATATACACACATATAAATATACACATATAAAAATATTTATACTTATCCCCATTGTATAGATGTATATATTTACATATGTATAGATGTATATATTTACATATCTTTATGTGTGTATAGACGTATATATTTACATATATTTATGTATGTATAGATGTATATATTTACATATATATGTATGTTACATATGTATGTATGTTAAGAATCTTCCATTCAAGAATCATTGAATGAATATATACACTCCTCCCCCAAAGAACTATTATGCAGCCATTATAAAGTGTTACAACAATTTGTTGAGAAAGAAAAATGACTTTCAGTCTGCCATATGTCACCACCTCATTGCAATGGCTTGCTCAGTATATGTATATATTTACATATATAATATACATATATGAATAGATGTATATTATAAATACATATATATGAATATACATATATAAATATATATATGCGTATTTAAAACTACTTTTACTTTAAAATAATTTTAAAATCACAGGAAATTGAAAGAAATTCATGCAGAGAGTTCTGGTGTACCCTTTACCCAGCTTCCCCCAAAGATAACCAGGAAATTGACATTGGTACTATTAACTAAGTGCTATCATTATACTTTTTACTTATATAATGATAATAAGTATATTATCTTGTATAATTGTATAATAAGTATACATTATACTTATTACTTGTTATACTATCATTATACCAAGCCACAGAGCTTATTTGAACTTTCCTCATTTGCTTGCAATCATCTGTCTAGCTTCCTTTGTCCTCACAAGAGGCCACGCACAAGGAGGAGCCCATTAAGCTGTCCATCCTGTCACCAACTCACTCCTCACCCTTTGCTTCCCAGCAATTTGATCTACCTATGAATCTCCAAGATATCATATTGTTTGATTGTGTTCTGCTCTTGATCCCAAATATCCTTTCTCAACATCACTGCCAGCAAATGTCTCAGATCCCAAGCTCCTATCTTGGTGTTGCCTCTCCTGCCTCTCTTCCCATGTCCCTGCTGCCTGCCATGTGTCACTGCCTCATTGCAATGGCTTGCTCAAAGTCCAGCCCCCTTTGGAAATATGCCTACCTTGGGCTGGGATTCATCTTTACTTTCTGGAGATTTTTATGCCAGCACCATGCCTAAGACACATGCTCACAGGAGGAATGAACAAATGCAACCTGTGAGCTTCAGAGCTATTCTCTTTGTATTCTGAAGTGTCTCCTAAATGAGAACCTCCTTCACCTTAAAAAGCTTCCTACTGAAAGATAATTAATTTAGAAATAAAAAGTATATATAGAATGTGGTACAAAAAAGAAAGAAATATATATATACATACATATATATACTCAAACTATCATTGCACTTAAGGCACTATAGAACTCTTTTATCATTTAAGAGAAAAGCAAAACCACTGTGCATATAATTTAATTTAAACAGTGAAAATAATATTCATTCCACTATGCATTAGAGATACTATTTTAAAATTATTTCTCATATAAACACATTCTCTCCAGTCCTCATTTGTTCTCCTTTTTGCTCCTGCTCTCAGGCACAAATTACTGTTAAGTTGGGCTGAATAATGAATGAAAACAGTCACTGTCGTTAATGACAAAGTGTAATATTGAGCTGATGAGACCTCTTGTTTGCAAAGCTTTCTCTCTCTTCCTCTTTTTTTTCCCCAAACATTCCTTAGCAAGAATCACTGGCAAAATAGTTTATATTCAACGGAGTATCTAATTGAAAGATTATGAACGCGTGGAAATGTAGACTAGCAGGACTGATATCCTAAGGAAAAAATAAATAAATAAAACAATCCTCCCTTTGGATAAACACACTTACTGGTGTATGGCAGTCTCTTATTCGGAAGAGGAGCTTCCGTTTTAGAGCTTATGCAAGTCCCACAGAGATAAGCTCTCAGCTTATGAATCTCCATCATTGCGTTTGGGAAGGGTTTACTTGAGCAGAGGTTAATTTCGCCCTATTACAGTTGCTGAAGTGCAGCGTGCCTTGACATCAATTTCCTGTCAGACACATGTTCTTTGAGATGTGAGGTTCATGTATATGAACATCGTCTTGGAGAAGGCCATCTGTTTTCTCAGGCCGAGGTGATCTTCAGGGAGTAGGTCAGGTGGGTCAGGTCCAGGGTCTGAATCACATCGGTAGCACTTTCTAGCATTATTTCACTACCTACTCAGGTAAACAGCATTACTCCCTGCCACCTTGGACTTTTATAGATAATACTGAAATATCTCTAAAGTATTTCAAAGTATGTCAATTAGCAAGGGCCCAATTAGAAAATTGTAGAATCTCAATAATTAAAGGATAACTATGTTATTTTTTTCTTTTTTCAGTTATTGATTTATTTAACAAAGCCTAAACTAAATGCCAGTGGACTAAACAATTAACATGAGTCAGATAAGAGGTTGGGTCCCAGAGATAGAGAGCTCAATATACCACAAGGTCCTAGTTCTTCAGGAACTTAAAGTCATTCATAGGAGATAAGCAGGTACACTATCTCCTCCCATGTGAGAAGTCCTCACTCGGGTTGCAAGAAGAAAAGTCTGCAGATGAAATAAGCAAGCAACATAGATGAGTGGCTCCTGATCACAGAGGAGGGCCAACTTCCTGGTAGAAATATCAGTTGAACTTTAAAATTTGCAACATAGTCTTCAGATATGTGCAAACCAACATTTAACCCTGGTATTCAGAAAGTGCTTGTACACATGTGCATGTGGGGTAGGGTGGTGGCTCAGTGGGTCAGTGCACTGACTGCAGTGTGTGCTGGCATGTGAGCATAGGTGCTGAGCCCCAGATGCTGGTGCACAGTCTTAGCATGCATTCAGAGGAAGGCAATGGGGTTGTCTGAGTGATTATTTGCTTACATAGCATGGAGATGATTCCTGATTTACCAAATACTAGAAGAGGTGGGGTGTAAAGGTAAAGGTACATTTCTTCTCCAAGAGGATGGATGATTCCATACATATGTGAGCAGCCATACTGCTCGAAGCAACGAAAAACAGGCATCTAGGAGGGACCCACGTATTATCACATGTCAGGGCTCAAACACATTTTGCACTGGTTCCTAAATCCCCAAGTATGGCATGGATGGTTTTATAGCTGCTTTGGCTGAAAGAACAAACTGGCTTTTTCTCATCTTTATCTTTTTCTTTCCAAGTTTAACATACTCCAAATATGTACCTTAGTCTATCATACATTTTGCAATAAATAATAGCCCAGCCTGCTGGAATCTCCCAAGGTAGTGGGGAAACAACCACAACCCAAGGAGATGGCATTTTGAGCAGGCGTTGTGGGGCACTGATGAGAGCACGAATGCCTAAGTTTGAGGTAGTCAGAGAGGGCTCCCTGGAGGTGGTGGTAATGTTTGTATAGGCTTTAGAGAAGTAAACATAACTTCTCTTGATCAGTTTATTCAACCAATCTTTATTGAGTCTTCCGTGCAGAGGTGGAAATGAACATTCTAGACAAGTGGATCAATAAATCCACGAGTACCAAGATCATCAAAAACTTGCTGTAACAGTAATCAGAAAAATAACTAAAACAGCAACACCTAGAATAAAATAACCAACATTAACTGAGTGTCACTATATTCCAGGCAAAAAATATTCAGATACAGTGAACACATCTCTATTATCACTGGAGTCTTGGATACTGGGGGTGAGATGGAGAAAGAAGAGCAAGTCAGAGAATGATGGTGCAGTGCCGATGTGATCATAACTTGATGGCATGTGCTGGATTCTAGGTCCCTTTGTACAGTATCTTAAAAATTATGTAAAGAAGTTTGAGCTTTATCCAGGTGGCCTGGTTGTACAGAGTAAACAAATGCATGGTATGGGGAGAAAGAGTTGATTTGCTGATTTCCTAGAGAGACAACCAGACAGATATAGCAGATATCTTGTGATTCTCTCCCAGGTAAATGGAGCTGCCGGCTATAGAGGTATTGGAGAGTAGCTCTTGTGGGGACAGGAGCACAAATGGGATACAGTTTCATGTTCCCAATGTTTGTGCAGGCTTTGAGGTCCCTTCCAGTCTCTGTCCACCTGATGTCACCAGCCCAAAGGCCAACAGGGAGTCCTTCCCACATCCAGGAGACCCCAAGCTCCAGTGTCCTCACATCCACTTCTGTTCCTTCTGTCGTCCTGGTCCTAGCCACCCCCATCCTCACCTGGACAACTTCACCACCTGCAGACTGGCCTTTGGGCTTTTCCTCTTGTCTTCTTGCAAGACACTCTCTGCTCAGAAGCCCAAAGGCTCTTGAGGAAGTGCAAAGTGTTTACATCCTCCTTCTGCTTAGACTCCTCCTATGGGAATTCCATCATACTTTGAATTCAATTCATACCCCTTGACCTGCTTACCAGGTCTTTCAGAAGCCAACCCTTGGGGATTTCTCTCTTGCTCTCTTTTTACATCCATCACCTCACCCTGTTGCTAAACAGGCTCCAGCCACGCTGACCTTCTCCTTGATTCCTGAGCCCTCTAAGTTCACACCCACTATAGTGCATTAGCCCTGTGGATGCTTCCACCAAAGTGGCTTTCTCTGTCCTTGTCATAATGGGCTCCAATTGCATTTCCATCTCCACCCAAGTGCCATGTCCTCAGAGAGGTCACCCAAGCTGTCTACCTGCAGCAGCCATCAGTTGCTGTCCACAGCACTGCTCATTTTAATTATCTGCATAGAACGATTCACTGTTGTCTTTCTCTTTATTTTTCATCTTTTTATTGTGTTTCCCCAGCAAGCTCCTTGGGATCAGAGGCCTTAACCTAACCTTAAGGGTCACCTCCTGGAACAGTGCTAGGCACATCATGGGGTTCTCAGAAAACAAATGAATCTTCCATTTTCATTCTATAGATGGAAAGACATCTGATAAGGTGTGGATTTGTGCCCTGGCCGTAATCTCATGTTGAGTTGTAATCCCTAATGTTGCAGAAGGGTCCTGGTAGGAGGTGACTGGATCATGGGGGTGGATTTACTCCTTGATGTTCTCATAATACTGAATGAGTTCTCATGAGATCTGGTTGTTTAAAAGCATGTAACACCTCACCCTTCACCCTCTTCCTCCTGCACTGGCCATGTAAGACATGCCTGCTTCCTCTTCACCTTCCGCCATAATTCTAAGTTTCCTGAGGCCTCCCTAGCCATGCTTCCTGTACAGCCTGCAGAACTATGAGCCAATTTAACCCCTTTTCTTTATAAATTACACAGTCTCATGTAATTCTTTATAGCAATTCAAGAACAGACTAATACGACATCTACCATGGGTTAGTATGACCAAAGATCATATGAAGAACTTTTAGGTGTCTGCGTAACAATGATAATAAAAATTCGAATGAACTGGGTGACATATATCGAAATTCTGTATCACACTGTGCTAAACCCTTGAAAAGCTCCAATTCCATTAAACACATCACAAACTACTCAATGAAGTACATACTATGCAAATTCCTAATTTTGGGATGAGGAAACGAAGGCCTGGAGACATTAAGTATTTTGGCTTAGTGCAGAGTGAGATCTCAAAACTGGCAGCTATGGGACTTGAATTCAGTCCAACCTGACTTTCATCCATTATACTGGAGTACACCCATTACTTGTTCACTGTTCCTTTTATGAGTTGTGACACTGAAATATTTCCAAGAAACGTTCCTGTGACCTAATAAATGCATATGTCCTCCCATTACAGAATGAGTTCTTGCTGCTGTTGTTGAAATAATAAATAAATGTATCTCAACATCTTCATTTGCTGCTGGAGTCTCAGGGCTCAATTCATTGCTCAATCACAAGCATTTTATCTTAAAAATAAATATGCTTAAAAATAAATATGCTATTGTATCCTTCTAAATTGATTTTAATTTTCTGGTTCTGATTTCATTGACTTATAGTTTATTTTATTGTAAGCCTCTCTGGATCATTTTAGATAATTTGAACAATTAGAATTTTCAAGTCAATTAATCATATACTACTTTAAGACGAGATCATGGATTATCATCCTGATTTTACAGACTGGGAAACAAAGATACTTGACAAAAATAAATAAGCAGGTAAATTTTGGAACAAAAGCACTCTTTTTATTTTATTTTATTTTCTTCTAAAAAAAAAGCAGGATACATGTGCAGAATGTGCAGGTTTGTTACATAGCTATACGTGTGCCATGGTGGTTTGCTGTACCTATTGACCCGTCCTCTAAGTTCCCTCTCCTCACCCCACCCGTCCCCAACCAGCCATTGTGTTGTTCCTCTCTTCGTGTCCATGTGTTCTCATTGCTCAACTCCCACTTGAAACCAAGACCCTTTCTAATTCTCCCTATTTTGTGTCTAGAGATTGTACCATTATATCATGCTGCCTTTTGCGTGTGGGGAATATATATAGTTTTTAACATTTGAATTTTCAGAATGATGGCCATAATAAAAAGCAGATGTTTATTGAGTGTGCTATATGCCATGTTCCTTACCAAAGGTTTTATTTACACTATTTTGATGTTTTGTCCCTTGAAATTTAACGTATTTCTATTAGTTTTCTATTGTTGTGTGTGATTGTTAGTTTATGTATAAACTTGGCTAAGTTATAGTACCGAGTTGTTTACTCAAACACTAATCTAGGTGTTTGTGTTAGTCCGTTCTTGCACTGCAATGAAGAAATACCTGAGACTGGGTAATTTATATTAAAAAAAAAAAAGAGGTTCAATTGGCTCATGGTTCTGCTGGCTATACAGAAAGCATAGTGGCTTCTGCTTCTGGGAGGCCTCAAGAAATTTGCAATTGTGGCAGAGTAGGAAAGTGCGAATTGGACTTTCAAGGTTGAATAGGAGTTTTCCAGAAGCAGCCAGAAAAAAGGTATTTAAGAGAGATGAGCAGCCCAGTACAAAGCCTAATACAATAGCATGAAAAGGCTTTGTTCAGTAAAGAAGAGAGATGTATTTCCATTGCCATTCCAAGGACTTGTGGCTGTGAGTGGCTGGTCATAGAGGAGAGCTTCAGAATGTAAGAAACCTTCTAACGTTTTACTCCCCATTTTGAGGTTGATGATGTTGAAAGTATAGAGTATAGAAAAGTATGTATTCTATCATGTATTCTATAGTACATGAAGGTATGTTTCTACGCTCGAGACAGGATAGAAAGGAGTTTAAATAGTTGAGAAGGATTTGAGAAGATGATATTCCAATCATTTCACATTATTCTTTAATTTAAAAAAGTAAATATTTTTATAAAAGTAAAAAATGGCTTTTTTGTAGAAAATTCAGGACATATTAAAAAATATAAACACGCAAAGTAAAAATCATATCTGGTTGAACCTATACAGATACACTATAACAATTATTGTAGAAACTTCTGCATAAGTAATATATAAAAAATATAAACACAAATATATAAATTTACTCTATGTAAATATTGTCTTTATATATTTTACATGAAAATTAATGATATATTATTTATATATTACATATATAAGTAATATATTACTTATATTAATATGTCATATTAATTATAAATACTAATACAAGCTATCAATATTTGAATATATTATATAGTATATATTAATATATAAATTATATATAATTTATATTTGTAATATGTAGTTTATGTATAATACATATATTACATATTATATATGTACATATAATACATACATTATATGCCTATACATATATAATACGTATCATACATATATATTATGTGTATGATACATATAATAGATATATGTATCATACATATAATATATATATGTATCATACATATAATATACTTATAATACATATAATATATAATAAAGATAAAAATAAACATTTGTATATTGAAAATGTAACACATTCATAAACTTTAAAAAAACCTAATATGAACATGTTCCCATATTACTAAATATTATTTTACAGCATTATTTTTAATAGCTGCAGAGTTATTCATTGTGTAAGTGTGTCTGAATTTATTTAGCCAGTGACCTCCTATATACCATCACATTTGCCTTCCATTCAATATTATTCATATAATTGGCATGCTTCAAAAGTTCGTGAATACAAAAATGGGGTCATAGTTCATCAACATCCAAATCGTGATATCTGCTGGCCCCTACCTGTTGATGCAAGAACCTTGTCTCCTTACAGTGCTTGTTGGTTGTTCTCTTTTCAGAGATTCTCCAGGGCCCCGTGCTAGGTATCTGCAGGGACACAGACCATATCTATGTATTTTAGCATCTTTAGAAGGATCATGTTTGCTGCTGAGACCCTCAAAGATAGGTGACCCCCTGGGTTCAGTGTCATCTACCACCAGTGTGGCTTGGGAAGGGTCACCAATTCTAAGTGATCATCTCACAACTCTACACCTAGTCTTTTATACTCCTCTTTATGATGTTGGAGCTCAGACCTTCAAACTGCATTTCTCCTTTGCCGGTCTGCTCCCTACTAGATTTTGCTGAGAATATATGCTAGAGGGAGCCTGGAAGGAAGAAACGAGACAAAGAACTACTCCTTTTAACTGTTTTTATTGTCACTGGCAGTGCTGTCTCAGCAAGAGCTCAGACCCCTGGCAGCCAAAGGTGGTTCCAATAACCGGACTTGCCTTCCGTGTGGTCCTTCCAGAGATCCAGTGCATCAAACCTGCTCGGAGATATCAGCACCTGCCAGGCAGCTCCTTTGCCCAGAGTATGGGTCTCTGGCTTCTCCTCTGGGCTCCAGAAATACCTACACCAGTCTGGAGGCTTCCTTGCCTCAATGGGCTGAGTCTCAGTTCTGCAAGGCTCTCCTCCAAGTTCCCGCCTTTTAGTAATCCAACTTATTTTGTTTTCCTTGAACTCTGATCCTGCAATTACTATCCCTCTGTCTCCTTAGTGTTTCTTTTCTTTTCAGTTATTCAATACCTGTTCAGCTTATTATTATATACTCTCTTCTTCAAAATAAGGTATATAAACAAATACACCTAAATACTCATGTTCAAGTATGCAAAAGTTCCCATTTCTAATTTTATATACGTAGTGGAGAAAATTTTTTCTTCTTTGGTAAATACAGAAATTTTGTAGATAAAAGAAAGGACATGTAAAAGAATGCCTAACTTATGTCCATTTTAAAACTGAAAGAGCTCGGCAGTCCTCACCTACCTGCAATTCTCCTCATCTTCTCCCCTACATGTCTTGCAAGAACAGGCTCATGTAGCAGTAGAAGCTCACACCCTGCTTCATGATGTCCTCTGATTTGTAACATCTGGTAAAATGTATGAAAATAATAGCATAAAAGATAAGAGGAAAGAAATGGAAATATACTATTTTAAAATTCTTATAGAAGGGTTATGTTATTAATGCATGTAGACTTTGATAATATATAGATACCTTAAGCAATAAATGAGGAATAACTAAAAGCTAATATAGTAGATTTTTAAAACTTAAAAATAAATAATAAATACACAGTCCAGAATTTAAAACAAATAAAGAAATAAAGAATTCATGGGTCAAAAGTAATGCAAATAGTAAAATTAAAATGGCAATATCAGTAAATAAATGCAAGTGAACTATACATTCCAATTAATAGGCAGGAATTTTCAGATGAGTATATAAGCAACAACCAACCCTACGTTACCTACAAGAAATCCACTTTAAAAGCAAAGACAGATATAGATTTAAAAGGAATGGATAAAAAAACATAATCCATGAAAACACTAACTGTAAGAAAGCCAAACAAGACACCAAGACAAAGTACAATGCCAGAGATAAAGATGGATATTTAATAATGCTAGTATAATCATCATTTATTAATGATAAACAGGTCAACATTTTAAGACCACATAACAATACTAAATGTATATATACAAAATAAAGTTTCAAAATACCTGAAAAAAACTGACAAAGTAAAAGGAGAAAGAGACAAATTCACAATCATATTTGGAGACTGCACCCTCTGCTTTTTAATATTTGATAGAATAAGTAGATTTAGAACAATTCAGCAAGGAAAAAGAAAAGTTGAGCAACATTATGAACCAAAAACCAACTTATAAAACTTAATGAATATTTATGGTACAAAGCACACATAATTTTCACCAAGATAGACTATATTCTGGGCTATAAACCAAACCTCAATAATTTTGAAAACTGAATTAAGTGAAAAACAATAACAAAAAAGATATCTGTAAAGTTTTCACATTCACCAATATATTTTTAAATGACCCATGGATCAAAACAGAAATCATAAGAGATAAAAGAAAATATTTTGAATAGAATTAAAATAAAAACCTTGTTTACAAAACTTTCAGGATGTAGCTAAAACTACATGCAGAGGGAAATTTAGAGCTCTAAATAACTATATTAAGAGGGAAATAGGATTTAAATTACTGACATAAGTTTTCACCTTAAGAAGCTAGAGAAAGAAGAACAAATTATATCTAATGCACAATAACAAAAATAGTAAAAAAAAAATTCAAAAAGAAATGACAAAAAATAGGAAAAAAATGAGCAAATCAATGAAACCAAATGATGGTTCTTTGAAATGATGAGTAATAAAATTTATACCTTTGGTTAAATTGATCAAGAAAAGAAGATAGAAAGCAATATCAGACATAAAGGAGGGGACAGTTTGAAGACTCATATCAAGAATGAAACAGGAGTTATCCTAAGCAAATTAAAAGGACCAAAGAATATAAAAACAATGGCAAATCTTAGATTAAATAGACAATTTCTTTAGACACACAAGTTAGAAAAACTAACATAAAAAGAAATAGAAATTTTGAATAGCCCTACATCTATGTTTTTAAAAATTAAATTTATATTTAAAAGTCTTTCCACAGAGAAAATTCTAAGCTTAGGTAGCATTGCCTGGTGAAGTCTATCAAAAATTCAAGGAATAAGTAATAAAATCAAATGTAAATTCTTTGGGAAAAATATAGGAGGAGGCAAAACTTTCTAACTCTCTATTGACATTACTTTAGAATCAAAGCAGAAAGGGACATTACAAAAAATGTTAGAAAAATGTTAGCAAATCAAATCCAACAATACATAAAAAAGATAATGCTTTACAACAAAGTGATTTGCCTTAGAAATGCAAAGTTGACTTAACATTAAAAGAAAATCAAAATAAAGGAAAATCATTTATCATTTCAAAAGATGATAAAATATTTAACAAAACTTAGTACTTAGTCATGATAAAAACTCTCAAAAAATTAGAGAAAAAACAAAACCAGTTCAAACAAATAAAGGGAATCTATGAAAAAGATGCAGCTAACATGCTGTATGCTGAAATATTTAATTTCCGCTTTAAGACTGGGAGCAAGCCTAGGATGTGCACTCTTACTACTTTTATTCAACATTGTACTAGCATTTCTAGTTCAAGCAATAAGCAAACAAACGATCCAAAAATGCACAAAAGATAAGAAAAGAAGAGGCAAAATTGTTTTTACTTGCAAATGATAAAATTAATTACATACGTTTTCCAAATAATTCAACAAAAAGAAAATATTAACAATGAAAGGTGATTTTTAACAAAATTACAGAATATAAATTCAATATACAAGAATGAATTTTATATACTATGAGTGAATGATGGGCAATAAAATTATAAAAATATGATTTGCAATAGCATAAAACACATAAAATATTTTGGAATAAATTAAATCAAATAGACACAAAACCTGTACACTGAAATCTACAAAATATTGAGGAAACAAATAAGACATAAATATAAAGGGAGATATACCATGCTCATGTACTAAAACAATTAATATTTGTAAGATTGACTAGAAAGTAGTATGAGACAACTATCTGTGGTGATGGATGTTGAAGGGATTATGAGTTACATGGGTGTACACATTAGTCAAAATTCAGTGAAACACACAAGGTTTATGCATTTCACCACATGTAAATTATGAGCACTGTTTTGTTCCCACATCATCCCGTATACCTTAATATCTGGAGGCTGGGTGGATGTCCTCTTTACTTCCCAATGCTCTTTCCAAATCATCTCCTTTCCTTCCTTCCACAAGATAAATCTTCAAAATATGTATGATTCGATTTTACTATTATTTTTCTTGTTGCTGTCATCTATTAATGACCTATGGCTCCCTATTATTCATTAATTATTTTCGTAAGTGGCTCCAGTCATCATTCATAATAACATTAACACCATGTTGCTAACTCATGTAATGCTAAGGCCTGTTATTCCTTGTGCATCCTTTAATAAGGATGTTATTTAATAAGGATCTTTAATAAGGATCTCTTTCCTTGTGCATACCTTTAATAAGGCAGACATCCTCAGTACTACGTACAAATTTATTAGAAATGTAAATCTTCAGACACTAAATCAGAAACTCTAGGTCAGTGAGGTTCAGCAATCTGTGTTTTCACAAGTCCTTCCTGTGGTTCTGATACACACTGAAGTCTGAGAATGGCTGTTGTAAGGAACTTACCCTTCACTCTATTTTAGGTATCTATGTACATGTTCCTGTCTTTAAATTGTCATCTCCAACAGCTTCACCATCTCTGAATCAACTTCAAGCCATTCAACACTCTCTGGCTACATCTCTAAGCTTCCAGTTCATTCCAGTCTTCCCAGTCCAGAAATTCTGCAGTGTCTTTGAGTACTCCAGTCCATTTTTCCTACCACTTATTTTATATCTGTTACTGATGGTAATCATTAAAATTATTTCACCAATTTCAGACTATTCTCCTTTCCAAAACACAGTAGAACTAACTGCTCCCTGACCACCTCTTAAAATTAGATGGAGCCTTGTGATTTGAAATTTGAAATGTAAGCAGAAGTGATATGTGACATTTTAACTGCCAATGCATGTCACTTACCCTTTTCCCCTCCTGTTGCAGTGGTTGTGGAAGCCATTATCAAAATGGAGCCTTAGCCCAAGTCCCTGAGTGACCACAATGATCAGAGACCACTTCAACCTCCTTAAGAAATTAACTTTTGTTTTGACAAGCCATTGAGATTTGGGGCTTGTTCCTTATCACGGCATAACCTAGCCTGTTCTGGTTGGTACGGTCTCTCACTAGATACAATTTCTCTCACCATGACCTTAAGGATCCCTTGAAGGCAGACTGCTTTCTCTTGCCCTTTCTCTATTCATCAGATTTCCTTTGTAACCCTACCTCTCTTCCAAACCTTGTTCATTAGTCAGGGGTCTCCAGAGAGACAGAAACAATAGTATGTACATATATACAGATTTATTTTAAGGAACTCGCTCACAGAATTGTGGATGTTGGCAAGTCCAAAATCTGCAGAATAGGCCAGCAGGCCGGGGAGATCAGCTTTTCGTATTAAGGCCTTCAACTGATGCGGTCGACTCACACATTATGGAGGGCAATCTGCTTTTCTCAGTCTATCAATTTAAATGTTAACCTCATCTAAAAAATTCCTTCACTGCAAACATTTAGAGTAATGCTTGATCAAGTATCTGGGTGAATGGCCCAGACAAATGGACACATAAAATTAACCATAATACCTAGTTATGCCCAACTGCTTACCTTCTTTGTATCTGCTCCCCAGAAGCTGCTTGTGGCTGGAAAATGTTACAAAACGGTGTTGAGTGGACACATCAATAAATGACCACACATCTGAAATGCATTTAATCCAACCAGATGATTCTTCTACATTTTCTAAGTAAATTTTTCTTCCCAAATCTAGACATGATTATTTCACAGCTTCTCTTTCCTCAGGCACACTGTCTACGGTCTACTGATGACCTCTCCTTACATCAAAGAGAGATTTAGTTGGAGAGTTTATATCCGATTGCATTTATCTTTGATGCATTCAGATATGAAGTCCCCAACTGAATTTTCCCAGTGATCCTAGCTGTTGTCTTTATGTACAAGCCCTGACTTCCACCCTGTTGACGGAGTAACCACCACAACTCATCCCAAAGACAAACTCCCCTATTTACGATCTCTATCTCATATGTTCTTGCTTTCTCAAGAACTGTATGCCTCCAGTTTTTCTCATTTTATTCAGTATCATCAATTTTTCCTTCTCTGCTGGATCATTCTCATAAGCTTACAAATTTGCTACAAAATTATCCATCCAAAATAAAATTCCCCATGCCCTGACATCCTCTTCAACTACCATGCCATTTTTCAGGTTCATAGCAACACTTCCCCCTCTGTAACCAAGAATTTTCCACAATTTGAGTGCAACTGCCCCTACCCCCTACTTTTTCCTTAATGGACCATTCACTTGTCATTTCTTTGGAGAGGTCCTCAGATCCTGTCCAAACTAAAGCAACTCCCTTCCATTGCTATCACGCTACTTTATTTTTCCTCTTCACAGAAGTTAGTAGTAGTAGCAGTATGTTTCTATCTACTTAGTTTTTTATTTGTGCACATGTTTTTATCTGTCCCAGCCCATGAGAATGTAAGTGGATTGAGAGCAAGTCCTGAAGCTGCATACACAACTCCTCACTGCCTGCCACCAACCTATGTATTGCCTGGCTTATGGCCACTGTTTCTAAGCAAATTGCAACCAGCGTGAATTCTTACCAAGAAGAGAAACAGTGCTATTGGAGCATCCAAGTCTGCAGAAATGTAGTTTTCACTAAAAACAGCACTTAACAATTTACATAACAAAGCAGGATATTTAACTTCTGAGTCTAACACACCTGCTTTCTTAGATTTGCCCATGAATACCGAGGAGGGTGTTTGCTTAATATTCTTCCCTGTGTAGAGATTGCTTCCAAGCCACAAAGCAACCTCCACCAAGGGCTGACCCCAGCCTCCACATCTTGGGGAAGGGGAGATGCCTATAGTTTTGAAATAGTTTTTTGTTTGTTTGTTTTTTGTTTTTTCTTTTCTCTCTGTCTTATTGTCCTCATTTTGGTTTTGTTTTTTTCTGCTACCCCACCCATCAAGGTAACCAAAAAAATTTTTTTTGCATCCTAATTCTAGGCATGGCACCCTAAAGCTAAATTTTCCACATGTTTATATTGTTTCCTTGGGATAATTGTCCAGATGCAGGTCTGCAGGGTACAAGGGTATGCATTTTTTTAAAGGTTTTGAAACACAATGCCAAATTGCCCTCCAGAAAAGCAGAAACTGTTTATCCTCTCCCAAGCCGGAGATGTGGGGGCCTAGCACCTCATGGCCCTGCCTATGCTATGCATTATTTTTCCCAGGCTTTCCAATTTTAACATCAGGGTGTCTCTTCCTCTTGCAGGGGAAGGGCAAAGTTGGCTGGTGCCAGCTCTCCTCTTTCCACAGGTGTTGAGCCCCTTCCTGACACCTCAATCATGCCACCCATGCGTATTTGGTAGAAGGCAACCCAAAGCACCTTTAAGCCTCCCTTTCCAGGGCTCTGAGTAGCTTGTAAAACTTGGGCTTTCCAATTGGGACTCCCCCTCTCTCAGAATGTATGAGGTTGGGAGGCACACTCTCCACCACAGGATCCCTGATCCTCCACTCTCTCCACTTCTAATACCATATCCTCCCAGCAGCTTCCACAATAATGGACACATTTTCAGCTTTCTCAGGTCGGGCAACTTATCAAAGAGAACTCGGTGGGCTCACGCAGAGCTGCAAGTGAATCTTAGCAGCTTCCTGCACAAGTACATCATGCAGGGACTTGTGCTCCATTTTCGTGGATTATGGGCTCCGCCAGTCCCTGGGAAATGAAGTTACTATCCAATATATGCAGCTCTGCTGAGCTGTTGAAACTTTCTAAGGCAAACAGATTTTCTTCTTTTATTTCTCTCCAAAGTTTATTATCATTTTGGGGAGGATGGAGATGGAACGCACAATTCAATGCCACCAGAATGTATAGGGCTAAGTAAATCTGCAACGTTGTTATTAGCTGTAAGATAAAAAAAAAAAGTGATGGAACCACATGCATCTAATTTAACCTACCTTGTTCCCATCAGGTGGTTAATCTCCGCACTGTTCTCACGAGCACGTTATTAATAATAATAGTAACAGCATGCCCCAATGGAGCACAGTATGTGCCAGGACACACAGGGAGGGCTTTTATAAGCATTGTTTGGTATAATCCTCATGGTATTATTAAACATTAGCCATCTGCATTTTGCCCACGAAGAAACTGAGGCTTGCAAAACATGAATCATAGGTTTTAAGTTTTCACGATTCAATGTGGAATTCCAAAGATCACTAGCCTGAGTGTCACTTACTATGGGGTCTGTGGCACATGTAGTCTCAGGCTCATCCCAAACCTGGAAAATCAGAACCTTCATTTTAAAAAGATGCTTGGATGATTCATGAGCACATTACAGTGTGCAAAACAGTAATTGAAATTGCACGGCTAATCAGGAGAGCACCTGGGATTTGAACCCCTGTCTCACGGATGCCCAGCTTTCTTTCTATCATACGGTGCCATCTTTCATATAGTAGCAAAATGGAGAGAGAAATTCTCTAGCATCTATAAAGGAGCTATTATTGTGTGACTATACTACCATTATCTTGCTGGTGTGTGTGTGCATGTGTGATTGTTTATTCTCTGTCTATCAGTGTGGGAATATAGCCACTGATGTAGTAATATCTCTGCTGTAATGGGGTAGGAAAATAAAGGTGCTTTCATGAATAGAGAATGCCTGTCTGTCGCATGTTCATCTGTGACACTAAAGGATTATTTACCTATCATTAAGATACAAATGCTTTATCTGGTACTATTTTGCCTGTAGCAGAAATCGTATTAAACGTGCAGACTATTATCCTGTCCATCCATTGAGGTGCGTTCCAACCCTATGTAATATAATATAAATGATGAAAAATAAATCCAAGGCAATTTGTCAAGCAACCTCCCCATTCTCACTCCCCTGCCCTTACCTGATTTTGACGGAAGGAACAAAATCCAGCACGCCTTGCACAATATGGATCTTCTTTAACGTCTCTGCCTGGCTCAGTGTGGAATTCGTAGGGCAAAGTTAGAGCAAGCATTTAGGAAGTTTTTATTATTTATTTAAAAAATCATATTCTTCATAATGAGCCCCTCACTGGCATCCCTGCCAGTCTAGGTCATGCATCTCCCAGCATCACTGCTTCTCTGCCTCCTAAACAACTCCCCACGTCCCCCTGTCTCCTGCAAGGTCACACTCTGGTATGGCAAGGTTTAACAGAGGTATTTGTACTGTGAATTCTGCCTAGCCTTTTTGTCTGCCTGTTTTATTTATTTTCAACTTTCAGCACATTAGTGTTCACTTACAGAAACACCAGAAAGCAATCTCTTTTTTAATAATAAATATACTCAGCGAGGAAATGTTGGTGCCTTATTTTCCATATTGTCTAACAACAACAACAAAAAAGTCAGACAACATATTTCCTTTTATTGAACGCTTATTAGCATCTTGGAAACTGTATATAAAGTAACTGGGCCCACAGACAGCACTCTGATATTGGTGTTAGGAAACCCATTTTGTAGTTAAGAAAATTGATGCTTACATTTCACTGATAAAACAAAAGTTAGAATCTTTGAATATGATTTTTTGTATTTACATCAACAGTCCCAAGGAAATTTGTATTCTTCTTCCCATGCAAAGCAGAAATGTTCCTTGTTGAACCCAAACTATTTATGTATCAATATATTTATTTATTTATGTATTTATGTCAGTCTTACTACTTTGGGTGTTTTATTTATTTATTTATTTTTGAGACAGGGTCTCACTCTGTCACCCAGCCTGGAGTGCAGCAGCTCATGCCTGTAGTCCCAGCTACTCAGGAGGCTGAGGCATGAGAATCACTTGAACCCTGGAGGTGGAAGTTGCAATGAGCTGAGATTGTGCCACTGTACTGCAGCCTGGATGACAAAGCGGACTCTGTCTCTCTGTCTCTCTCTCTCTCTCTACACACACACACACAACATACACACACACACACACACACACACACATACATATATATAGTGTTGTTGGCTATTAGGGAATTTTGAGCAAGCAGGAATGACAAAAAGCACTTGAAAATACAAACTCTTGGCACAAGTAGGTGGACAGCAGAATTTATATGCTGGACTCTTGGGATATGAAGCAACAGGGCTTTATCCTGCATTAGGAGAAAAGTCCGTGGGAGACTGACAACAAGGGGGTGGACTCTGGCTCTTCTGCATTGCTTCCACCATGAAGAGGGGATTCGCTTTGTGGATCAGAATTCCTGAGAATACTGATGTGATGCTTAATACTGAGTGTTGGCTTGACTGGATTGAAGGATACAAAGTATTGATCCTCAGGCTGCCTGTGAAGGTGTGGCTAAAAGAGATAGAGTCAGTGGGCTGGGAAATGCAGATCCACCCTTAATCTGGTGGGCACAATCAAATCAGCTGCCAGTGAATATAAAGCAGGCAGAAAAATATGAAAAGGAGAGACAGGCCTAGCCTCCCAGCCTACATCTTTCTCCCGTGCTTGATGCTTCCTGACCTTGAACAGTGAACTCCAAGTTCTTCGGTTCTTTCAACTTGCAAAAAACCTATTGTGGGACCTTGTGATCGTGTAAGTTAATACTTAACAAACTCCCCTTTACTATATATATATATATATATATATATATATATATATATATATATCTCCTATTATTTCTGCCCCACTAAGAGAACCCTGACTAATACACCTAGCTTTAGCAATGTTAGAGACAGTGGTGTTCTAAGAAAGAGAGACAAAAACCAAACAGTCTTGATTGTAGCCTTGACTAATTTCTATGGTGTAAAACCTTCTACCATGCCTGATTTCAAGCCATCAATGGGACATCGCTCAACACGGATCTGTAAAGAGATGTCTGCAGTGGCTCCCGGGAGTGGGTGTGCCCTGGGCAGCCCCTGGCTCCCCGCCAGGTTGGAGCGTTTTTAGTCTACTCTCCTGGGTAGCATCTTGTGTTAGAGTTCTCCAGGAAGCAGATACAAAAACTACATCTGAACTGTAGGAGATTTATCAAGAGGAATGCCAGGAAGGATAAAGGGGAGAGGGAGAAGTAGGAGGGAGATTTGTGGGTCTGATACCTGTGAGAGGAGAGAGAGAAAGGAGGAAGGTAGATTAGGAAGCGCCACAGGCTGCAGAGCAGTTCTGAGAAAGGCATGGATTCCCTCTTAGGGACATTCTGTTAGAGGCCGAAAAAGGCCTGGCTCTATCCCCTCAGTCAAATCTAATTATTAGCTGGAGCAGCTCAGGGAGTGATGGCTTTGTTGTGAGCCCCGTGGAAGATTCTGGATCTTGAGGGCATGGCCGCTGGAGGCTGTTGGCTACTTACATCCCTCACAGAAGGTTCTATGTTGGAAGAAGATCTGAGGAGCCCAGATCTGAAGCTGTGCTACTTCAGCTGGTAACATATCTGAAACCAGAAAGGATCAAATACGAAGGCAGTCTGGCGTGGAAGGCCTCAGACTGCCTGTACCAGAATCTAAACACTTATTAGCACTATATAAACATATAGACTTCTAAGATCTTTTGACCTGTGGAATCAGACAATTTTGGAAAAGCTACAATTTTTAATAAACTTCCTAGGTAATTTTTTTTTCATCAAAGCTCAGTAGAACAAAACCTGGCTTTGCAGTCAGATCTTGCTGTGTCATATTGGAAGAAAAAAAGGTACTTCAATTCCCTAACTGCAATTTCTTTATCTACAAAGTGGACATAATAATAAAGTGATGATCGGGATTTTAGTTTTTATTTTAATCTTTTTATTTCTGATAATAACTAGATGATAGGAATAATTATCTCTTAGTCATTGTCTGTGACAACAAATCTCACTGTAATCTCCTATCTGCAGTTGCATTCAGATCATCCAGAATTGTACAAGTCACTAGGAGGCAGGTTCTTAAGTGTTTCTCCTGATGGCTATTGGCCTGAGAAAACCAGACCTGCACTAAAAATTATGCAAGTTTTAGAAGGATTGTCCTGTGAGGTAACACAGTTGCAGTGGAAAGGACACATTTGTTGGAGCCAAATATGACCAATTTTTTAAACTTTCTGAGTCTGACTTTTCCCCTTTGTTACATTGTTACGCCACCTCTGAATTATCTCTTCCCCTTTGAGAAATGAGAAGAAATCATGATATATTAACACAGGTGCATTCTTTTTATGTGCTAATCCCATTGCTCAGATTCTGTGCTGAGGAAATAATGGAGAATGTTGATTTGCCTTCTACCAAGATGTTCATTACAGGATTGTAAACATTGTTGAAAACAAACAAACAACTCAGGCAAAATTCAATTGTCTAATAATAAAATAATAATGATTAACTTATTCACAATACTGATAACTGTCTTCCATCCCAGAGACTGAGTGATTTAGTCTTGGGAGAGGAGGTTCCCAGGCACTGAAGTTTTACAAAAATTCCCCCCACCCCATTCCAATGTGCAGAATCCCAAATGTGATTGAATGTTTTGAAACCGTGAAAACCATGTTATCAAGCATTTATTATTGCATGTAAGTACTTATATTATTAAGAAAAATAACAAAAAATACCCACGATGTCAAAATATATGCACAGGTAAAAGAACAGAAGGAAATAGAATACAAGGCGATCTATGGTTGTTTCTAAGCGATGATATTTTTTCTTCTTACTTTTCTGCATTTGAAAACTTTCTTCCATGGGCATGTAAAACCTTACTTAAGATTATAATAACATTTCCGCAACCTCGCCAACATCAGTTGTTTCTTGACCTTTTAACAATCGCCATTCTGACTGGCGTGAGATGGTACCTCATTGTGGTTTTTGGGAGACACTGTGGCGATTCCTCAAAGATCTAGAATCAGAAATACCATTTGATCCAGCAATCCCATTACTGAGTATATGCCCAAAGGAATATACATCATACTATTACAAAGATACATGCACGCATATGTTTATTGGAACACTATTCACAACAGCAAAGACATGGAATCAACCCAAATGCCCATTAATGATAGACTGGATAAAGAAAATGTGGTACATATACACCATGGAATACTATGCAGCCATAAAAAAAACAAGATCATGTCCTTTGCAGGGACGTGGAACATGGGTGGAGCTGGAAGCCATTATCCTCAGCATAGTAATGCAGGGACAGAAAACCAAACACCGCATGTTCTCACTTATAAGTGGGAGCTGAACAATAAGAACACACGGACACAGGGAGGGGAAAAACACACATGGAGGCCTGTTGTGAGGTGTAGCGGGAGGGAGATCATTAGGAAAAAGAGCTAATGTACGCTGGGCTTCATATCTAGGTGATGGGTTGATAGGTGCAGCAAACCACCATGGCACACATTTACCTATGTAACAAACCTGCACACCCTGCAAATGTACCCCAGAACTTAAAAATAAAAATTAAAGCAAACAAACAAGTGTGCATAGAGTACACAATCAGCCATAGGCAGATAATCCCACTCTCTACTAAAAAGTCCACGTTAGCCCCTCCTCTTCAGTCCTCTACCTTCCCTGTTAGTAGTCATTCTCCCAAGTTCAACAGCTTCTCCCTAAGAGAAACCATGACTTTTTATAGCTATATCTCCAGCTACTGGTACAGAATTTCGCATAGAGGTGGCACTTAATGACTATTTGTTAAATGAATAAGTAGGTGGCACCTGGCATTTAAATGGTACTTAAATCACATGCTTCATCATTTCATAACTGAGACGTAATAAACACTACAGATCCTTTCTCAGGATGTGCGTTCATAGCGACAGGTTCCAGATACAGTGAGGCTGCTTATCCATTCTATTGGTTGGAGTGTGATTTTTAATGTGTCTATAAAGAGTGGTTTTCAAATTTAATTGCAGTGCCGTCCCTTCACACTCTCCCTTATCTTTGACCGCACTTTCCTCTTGGTGCTCAGCCTGGATTTTATGGCCCTTCCACACATAATAAAGCATCCCAACAACTTTTTCACGTCATCTTCAATGAGTTCAGAAAATGCAACAGTTTGCACTCTCCTCCGTTCACAGTTTATGGCTTCTGCTTTCATTCTACAAGGCTAAAGCGAATCGTGTGATAAATGTCTGTCCTATGACCGTGAGTGTGATAAAGTGTTTCCTTCCAAGTTCTCCTTGCCCATTGTAACTTACGAAGCCAGAGAAAAGAGCATTCCAAGACATCCTTCGTTTTCCTTCTTAATTCTACCAAATTTTCCAACATCAAGATTTCTGCTGTCACCCCATCCCAACCTCCATGCAATTAAACTTCCAATAAGAAACATAGAATAATTGTAGAATGCAGCCATATACCATGATTAGCATTAGTTTGAAGGAGGGCAAGTGAGTTAAAACAGGTAAAACTGAATATATAATTAATACAAAAAGAAAAGACATCTACCCTGAAACAGTGCCACTTCAAATGTGTGACCCACTATGAAAACTCAGAGCCCCTCCCAGTGTCAGTTTTCCGTTCTCTAGCATAAGCAGAGAGAAGTTTCTAGAAGTTTTCACCTTCAGTTTTTAAGTCATTCTTACGATCATGAATGTCATGTGGTAACCCACTTCATTTATTCCTTTATTTAGCCAAAGTTTATTGGACACCCCTCAGGCAGGACCATAGTCAACACTAGGACGGTGTCACCTTTAAATTGAGGTACTGTGGGTCTCAGAATTAGGCCCTCCATTCTCAAGGGTCCTCCTGGGCTCTCCTTCAACCTCAACCCTCCCATCTAGCTGAGGACTTCCTGGGACTGAAGGGACCTGCTCATCCAGAGCCCACTCCTCCTTCCCCATCACATTTCCCCTACCCAAGACCCCAGAATTCCTTGCTTAAAGCTGCAAGCCCACTTCTACTGCCTATGCCTATGCGGGCCTCTTCCTGTCTGTATTCTGCAGGGAAGATGGTGTCACCAGTGGGACAGGAGCAGCTGTCTCTACGCTCCACGAACTCTGTAGACTTGCAGTTGGTCCTTGCTGCAGGATGGGCTCAAAGGTGGGAGGGAACTGTGGAGAGGGCCTGGTTCTCCTTTCATTCTCTTACTCCTACATCACAAACACTGGGATTTCTCTGACTGAGGAGGCCGTGTAATTAAACCATTAGAGCAACGGCTGCCCTTCTGAGCATCCATTCAGTTAGGAAAAGGATGGAGCTATTAAATAAATAGATTCAAAAAGAGAATACTCCAGGCGCGGTGGCTCACGCCTGTAATCCCAGCACTTTGGGAGGCCCAGGTGGGTGGATCACCTGAGGTCAGGAGCTAGAGACCAGCCTGGCTAACGTGGTGAAACCCCATCTCTACTAAAAATACAAAAATTAGCTGGATATGGTGGTGGGTACCTGTAATCCCAGCTACTTGGGAAGCTGAGGCAGGAGAATAGCTTGAGCCTGGTGGGTGGAGGTTGCAGTGAGCCGAGATCCCACCACTGCGCTCCAGCCTGGGCGACAGAGTGATACTCCATTTCAAACAACAACAACAACAACAACAAAAAAAACAAATAATGAATACGATGCTGGCTAGTGATAGATGTAAATTATTTAATTTAGGTAAAATAAAGTAGTTGGAATGACTCTGCCTTCATTCATTTTTTTCTTTACAGGCATACACACATACATATCTCTTATTTTACAGCTTTTCTTCCCAGGAACAAGAAAAGCGTGTTTATTATTGCAAACACCACAGATCTATAAAGAATAAAATCAAACTAAGACTTAATTCCATCATTCATATATATTCACTGTTGGTATGATGTTGATTATACCCTCTTCTAAATTTTACAGTTTACAAAGTCTTTTAACACATGTGACCACATTTGATACCACACCTGATGAGGTTTGGCTCTGTATCCCCACCCAAATCTCAACTTGAATTGTAGCTCCCATAATTCCCATGTGTTGTGGGAGGGGCCCAGTGGAAGGTAATTGAATCATGAGGGCAGTTTCTCCCATACTGTTCTCCTGGTAATGAATAACTCTCACGAGATCTGATGGCTTTATTAAGGGTTTCTGCTTTCACTTGGCTCTCATTCTCTCGTCTGCTGCCATGTAAGACACGTGTTTTGCCTGACGCCATGATTGTGAGGCCTCCCCAACCATATGGTGGAACTGTGAGTCCATTAAACCTCTTTTTCTTTATACATTACCCAGTCTCAGGTATGTCTTCATCAGCAGCATGAAGACTGACTAATACAACACCCCTGCTAGGTAGGGATTGTTAGACTCACTTTGCAGAACGGGGCAGGGTGGGCTCCCTGCAGATAGGGAGGGATCTTAAATTCACACTCTAGAGTCTAAGGACACAGTGGTGGGGAAAAGGGTTGTCTAGGCAGGGACCTTGTCTTCATTATGGTGCCCTGAGTTTGTGAGGCTGGATGGGAACCTCTGCCCCACCTCGGGCTCCCTCTTGGGGCAGCCTCTGCTCCTGTAGTTTCCCATGGGTGGCCTCATTGCCATCCTTTGCTTTGCTGACCTTCCTATTTTAGAATGCTGGTTCTCATCCTTGTCTACAGGGGCTTCAAAAGCCTTAGGAAATTGCCATTAACGGCCTTGTCCAAGTGTCTTATTCTTTGCCTAGAAAAAGGGAGAGAATTGGATAAAATTTGGAACAAGGAGAATGTATAGTGTAAAACAAGATCAGCCTGCAGAGCTGGAGAAAGGAGAGCTGTGTGTTGGATGCTGTGTTGTGGCTGCAGTAGATACGAAACGTAACATTTCAGTTGTGTCCATGAAGTAAGAAGGGAGTTTCTAAGCGTGAACACAGTGAAGAATGTTTCCTTCAGGGCGTCAGTGTCCCAGCTCTGGCAGCTTTATTGTAAGTAAGCGTCAGTGTTAACCTGCTATATTATTAACGTGTTCCATTAGCCCTAATACCCAATCTAGCATTCATTTTGTAGATTACTTCCTTGAAAGAGAATAGCACCTTTCCACACGCCTCCAATATTTTACAGAATGAAATTAAGTCACTAAGTACTAGCTGCAAACCAGCATTTACAATTCTCAATGCTGTGAATAGCCACCTGCCTGGAAGGTGGCTCAAACGAGAAAGACAATTGAATAAAATGCTGATCAATGTGTACTTATATCTTTACTTATATAACATTTTAATAGATCAGAAATCAACTGTAGTGTTTCAAAAAGCACTCAAATTAAGGACTTATTTTGCAAATGCTGTTACAGACAGGGAAGAACAACTTTCTTTCTACACCATCTTGTACCCTCCTGGGGTGGGTTCCCTACAGACAGGGAGGGATCTTTAATTCACACTCCAGAGTTCAAGAAGAAGGCAGGCAATCATTTTAAATATATGTTTTAAATATATATATGTGTGTGTGTGTGTCTGTGCGTGTGTTTCTACATATTGAAACATATATGTATATGTATATATATTTTATATTTATATTTTTATAGAAGAAGGAAATTGTATCTGTAACACAAAGCCGTGTAATTTGGGGGAAGGTAAAAGCTATCTGCTTCTCTTCTGTCCAGTGTGGCTTGAGAACCAAAAGCATCCACCTGCACACACAGCTGGATCAAATCACCAAGGACTGAAACTCTCTGTCCTCACTCAATCTACTCCCCACATTAATACAACTTTACTCTTCCACTGCGTTGGTTAGCATGACTTTACTAGGCCAAAGATTCTGGCCCCAGGCAAATGGCTTGATGACTTCACTGTTCATTACAAGGACTTCCCAAAACAACCTTAAACTCTTCTTCAATGTAAAAAATAATTGACACTTTGCACCTAAACATTCTTTCAATCCCTTGTTCACTTTGCTAATCCTATTCAGTCTGGACTGTTGTATTACGATTCTTACCTAATCCCAGTCAAGCTGTCCATTGGAAGACCTGCTTTAAACTGAATTTCCAATCTGGAATAATTTCCAGCCTTCCCCCGCCCCACCTCACAGACACAGCCTCAGCTCTTTTGAGGTTAACCATTACTTTAGTAAGCAGTAAACAGCTTTTACTATCCACAGGTTGTGCTGGTGATATTTGGAGAGCCAGCATTCAACGGAATTCCAAATGGTAAGGTTGATACAAAAGTGGAAGGTGACAGTGGATGGGCAAAGACTTTGCAAGCCTTAAACACACAGAAGTGTCCTCATGGTACTTCTGAACATATGATGAAAAAGGGATACAGGGCTGGTTCTGCATTTATTGCTTCTTTATTGAAATGCTGATGCAAGACATATACTTCTAGATATAAGATTAATATTCATCTAAAAACCAAGTAAGTTAACACTAATGGTTCACATTTTTTCTTATTTTAATGAAATTCCTTTGTTGCAAAATAAAAATGAATACGTGCCCATTCCTAAAGACATTTCAGTATAGAAATTTGCTTCTTCCAGCCCTAGGTTCTTTAACTTTTGTGTATAATAAATTCTCAATTTTAGAATTTGGTTTTACAAATTTTATAAGTTATAGAGCTTTATGCTGTATTGTTTGGTATGAATCTTTAAAAAATAAAAATAAAAAGCCATGGATTAAAAAATAAAGAAATGATGTTCTTTAGTGGTAGTGATCATTTAAAAATAGTAAAATCATAGCTTTAAAACATGATCATTTATTTACTCATATATTCATTCAAATATTATGTTTTAAGCCTCTGCTGTATTTTAAATGCTTTTCTCAGAGCCTGGGAAGATGATTGTAAGCTAGACATAGACCCTGCTCTCAAGTAGTGGATAAGAAACATGAACAAATGTGTATAAAGCAGCCACCAATAAGGCAACAGGTGTGAAGCTTCCAGAGAGTTGCAGTTTAAAAGCCAAGGTGGTCAAATTTGGAGGACATCATTCTTAAGCCCTTTAATGGGGAAGAAGATGAGGAGACAAAAGGGAAGCACTGGATTGAGGAAGGCTTCCTGAAGGTGGCCTTTCGTTTCATTTTTGAGGTCTGGGTGGGATTCAGCCATGAAGATGTGGATGTAGGAGGATGTCCCAGGGGGCTGAGACCCTGCAAGAGCGAAGGCCACACCACAAGGTATCTGCGGGGCATCTGGAGGACCAGGTAAGGCTGGAAAAATGGTGCATGGTGTCCCTTTAGACAGCTATGACTCTCTAGTGGATAGAAACTCACCATCCCACTTGTTCACTTTAGCAATATATTTTTGTCACCTGCCAGGTCTCTTCTAAGTGTAAGGGTGGAAGTGGTAAAAGAGATAAAGATAGTCCTTACTCTCCCAGAGCTTACAGTCTACTTGCGGGGAATCACCATAAAACAAATAAGTGTGCAAATAATTGGTTAGGGTTTTAAAGGAAACGGACCCAGTGACAGGGAATAGCAGAGGTTCAGGGGGATATAGAATCCCGAGCAACACTGTCTAATGGAATGCTCTGTAAGGGTAGAAATGCTTTCTCTCTGCACCGGGTGATATAACAGTCACAGCCACATGTAGCTACTGAGCACCTGAAATGTGGTCTGTGAGAATAAGGATTTGTATTTTTGGTTTTATTTTATTTCAACTAATTTGAATTTCAGTAACTGCCCGTAGTTGGTGACTACTGTGTTTTCCTCCAGTTACACTTGCAGAGGGTAAATTTCAAGCCCGTGGATAGCAGAGATTGTTTTCAGTACTGCAATACTTCTGTAGCCAGGTCTCCATTATGTACTAGACACAAATTTGAATGCCAAAAGCAAATGCCCTTGACAAGTGCAATGGGAAGGGCTAAAAGAAACTACTGTACTGTTTGGGGAATCCAGAGACTGCCGTTGAGCACCCAAGGCATGTACAATAATGTCTGTGGAAGGAATGAGCAGAGGAAAGGAGGCATATAAGACACACCTTGTGGGATTCACAGAATTTCACTGGGTGGAGTTAGCAGGTTAGGCATTTCAGGTGGGTACTCTGTGAGCAGAGATAAGAGGGTGCCTGAGGATGGTGAGCTATGAGAGTGGGTGACAGTACAAGAAGAGCTGTCCACAGGTTTATACACTGCAGCCACTTCTCATTTGTGGACTTTTACAACAGAGAAGGTAGCTTCCGCAGACGTCTGCCAACCTTTCCAGGATCCTCATGTTTGAACTCGGCCTTGAAAATCCAGATAACAAAAATGGGTCTTGACACTCTTGAGTCTCATTAACAGGTTGCTGCCCCCCTCATTTCCTTGCCATCCACAGTGGAACTTGTCATAGCTCTGGAAGGAAAGCAGGGGCTCTGGTAAAGAATGACAATTACTAGAGACCTATTGAGAGTCAAGAGCTTTGTGCACTGTATCACTTCCACCCTACCGATGACAGCAAGAGGTAGGGGTTGATGTCAGAAGGTCTCAAACAGTTTATGAGGCTTGTCTGTAAGTCCCCAGCTGGTGAACTGGGGCCTAGCTTGCACACTTGACACTGTTCAACCCAGACCTGTCCATGTGCCCCCAAGACACATTCATATTTATGTAGATACCTGTTATGTTCCAGGTATTTGCTGAGCCTTGAAACATGAGCTATCTCTGCAATTACTTAGCTTTCGTAATTTAGGTGTTAAAATGACCGCCATTTACAGATGAGGAAACTAAGACTTCAGGAGGGGCCTGGCCCAGAACTAAGTGACAGAGTTGAGCCTCCAATCTGGCTTTGTCTGACACCAGAGTCTGCAGTGTCTTTTACCTTTCAGTCAGCTTCCTACAGTAGTAGGGGATTTAGAAGTATACTTTCACTGAAGTCCCTGATTTTACAGAGGCACATCTTGCTTGGGGTTGAAGCACACATGTTCTAGACTTCGGGAAACCAGGGTGGGAGTCTCAGCTCTAGGGCAAACCCAGCACATGATGACCATTGCAATAAGAGTAGTAATAACAATATAACACAATACTATTATAGCATCTATATCACAAATATGATTATACAGTCTATTATAATAGATTATATTATATACATCATGTTTCCACATTTGTAATAATTTATAATTACAATTTATAATAATATAATGTAGGTATATTAGTATGCATAATATAGCATAATAAATGACATAAAATAATGTATTGATATAATACAAATTTAATATATATATAATTGACAGTTTATTATATTATATATAGTTATATAAAAATCTAACATATTAATATTTTAGCATATATGTACACGTGTTATAATATGATATAGTGTTATATTGTATTAATATGTGCTATTTTCTATCTTACTATATAGTAACATATATAATATAATAAGAATGATCTTCATCCACACTGGTAGATAACCTTCCTAAAGCCCAGGAAGTCTGTCTCCCTCACACAGCTCCGAAGAGTCAGGACCAGACCGTTGTGTCTGAACCAGACCCTTGGCTCTCAGTTCTCAGCCCTTCTGGCCAGTGGTGGCCTGAGCCTGTCCCTCCCCAGCCATAGGGCCCTGTGTCACTAAATGCAGATGCTCCATCCAGCTCCCAGTGCTGCCTGTGCCCAGCACATTGCTGACCCTCACTCACGTCTTCAGGGGATGTCACCCTGCAGCATAGTGGCTGCCAGAGGGGAGGCCCCTCAGGCTCAGGCTGCCTGTGAGGACAAGGGGCTTTTACCTGTCAAGAGGCCTCACTATTCCTCTTCCAGGGCTGGGAGGGCCTGGAAGTCACCGAGGAAACAGACATGATTTCAGAAAACAAAAATAGACTAAATCACAGTGAAGGACCTGAGGGTTGGGATCAAGTTTCTGCACAAAGGATGATTAACCAAATACCACCACTGGAATGTGGGCTTGGCAAGAGGTGAAAGGCACATGAATGGAGCTGTCTGCATACTTGGGAAGTGCTTTTAACTCTCATTTTCATTTAAGAAAATATTGACTAACTTGCCAACTCTGCTTGTTTCCCTTCCCCCTTCTTCCTGGTAGACAGTGAGATGTATGAAAAGAACAGGCGCTTTGGGGTCAGACCCTCACTTAGTGCCATGTGAACTTGCAAAAGTAACTTTAACTACCTGAACTTAGGTTTCTGATTCACAAGGTCTAGGAGGAGCCATGAGACATTTGCATATTTAATAAATTCCAAGGTGAGGCTGGTGCTGTTGATCAGGGCCACACTTTGATTGCTGCTGGAATTGGAGACAGAGATGGTTTTACTCAAAGTTTTGCAGCAGATTAGGATCAGGAAAGCCCAGGAGAGGTAGATAAAAGTGTTTGCAATTCTTCATACTCTAGATGTATTTGAATTATATATTCATGCCTTTGGCCACGTGACTTTTAAGACCACTCACAGATGTGATATTCCTCTGCCCCACTAATATCAGTGTTGGGCATATGACTTGCTTGGGCCAGTGGAATTAGTTAGAAGGACAGTGAGCCAGTTTTGAACCAAGGCCCCCTAAGGCATTGCCTGTTTTTGTTGACTCTTGGATTCCTGCCATTCACCAAGAGCAGAGCATGCCTCTAATGGCTCCAGTCCAAAGAGAAGGAAGAAACACACAGCATGGTATTGAACACAATCCTCAGTCTACAGGCAAGTCCAGCTGCTCATGATCCTGCTTTAGAGCCACTCAGGAAAGACCCCAGCCTAGCTCAGTCAAATAGCAGATGACTCATAAACATGAACATGTTTGTTGTTGCAAGCCACTGATTTGGAGGGTAGTTTGTTATATAGCATTAACACAGCAATTGCTGACAAATACACACTAGTGTATTAGCATTATGCTAGGACCATCTTTCTGTCCAGAAAGACAAGATATCTTGTCATTTATTGCCTACCATGTGCCAGGATAGTGCATGTCACCTTGTATCTTGGAATGCAATGTTTCAATCATTTTAATACATGTCTCTCTAAACTCAGCACCCTTTAAAAAGTGGTTCCTGGTAATTACAGCTTTTATTTGTATGAGCTTCGCTCTTTACCTATAGCCCCCAATCCAAATCCTAACATGTCTTGGTTGGCCCCCTCCAGTCTCTCTGGTGGGTGTCTCTGATGTTTAATTACTCAGGTTTCAGAGGTCAACACAGGCTGCACTTGCAGTCCTGCTATCACTGTGTCATTGCCTCACCCAGCACATTCTTGGAGAAAAAAGAGAAAAAACCAAATATAAAATCTGAACTTTAGAACATGGGATGAAGGCAACTTGTTTTGTGGTTCTCATTTGCAGAGAAAGAAAAAGGGGCCTATTTTCTTCTTATGAATAGGCAGGATTGACATAAAAAAGTACTTCAAGAGCTGAACTCACTCACTGAACACAAATGCAGAGAAATTCTGTATACCTTTAAATGTTTTATATGTCCCAGTCATATATAATTTATTATGTTGTGAAGCTGAGTCCTTCTTTGAATGAAAATTTTACTGTCAGAGCCTGGGGTACTTTAGTTTGATGATTTAAAACTCCCAATGCACTTGTAGCAAATAGCATGATTTTATGACAGTGTGTTTGTCCAAGAGGTCAGCTTTCAGCACAGTAGGAAATGTCCCTAGTGAAACTATTTCAAAGAGAAATATGTCTCCCAGCCTAATTCTTCTTGCAGAAAATGCAGGTGCAATTCCAGATAGCACTGATGTCCATCTTTCAAGAAGGCACAGGGCAGCAGAGCTGCTCATTCATCTTGCGATTTTGGACTAGGGCTGCAGACACACAATTTGAATCCTGTCTTTGCCCTCAATTGGCTGTGCCTCATGGCTTTCAGCTATAACATGAGGTTAATAATACCAGTTTTGAGGTATTTTTTTGTAAGAATTAAATGAGACGGTCATTTGTTGAAGTTCTTGATTCATAGTTACTGCTATTTCATATTATTCTGCAGACTCTACTTTGAATAGAAATTAGCCCAACAATGGGATGTGACAACATCCAAAATAAATAAAGTGACCAGAGTGCTTCTAGACAAAGATCTAAGAATATCTATTCAATGCTGTAAAGATTCAGCAGCCAGTGGGCACGGGCACTAAAGGGAACAAGTAAAGACATTTTAGTTATAAAGGTTTGATGAAGAGAACATGGTACATTAGGGAAGAATACTCTGGTGCCTCAACCTCCACCCCTTCCTATCCTGTGTACTTCTGGGAGCTCTGAACTAGGAAAGGCAACAGGCTTTTAGACGACTACGCATCTAATCATCCATCCATTAATCTATCCATCCATCCTTCCATCCATCTATCCATCCATCCTTCCATCCATCTATCCATTCATGCACCCATCCACCTACCCATCCATTTATTCATCTATCCATCCACTCATCCACCGATTCATCCAACTATCCATTCATCCACCCGTCTACCCATCCAGCCAGCCACTTGTCTATCCATCCATCTAGTCTTTGTTTACTTACCAATTCATTTCACCCATCCATCAGTCAATCTACTCTATGAGCAGTGATGACATCTGAGTCCCTGACGTATACTAAGGTGGGTTGGTGGGTTCTACAAACACCAAGATGTAAGTCTGAGTTTAGGGCCTCAAGGTATTTAAAGCTTAGTTAAGGGTCAAATCAGGCAACGCCACATTTTCAAAACAATGGGTTCAACATTACAAGAGAAGGGGCATGAGGTGCTAAGTAAGCACTAAGCAAGGATACCCTTTCAATCTAGAAAAATCCAGGGTGCCTTTCAGGAACTTGACCTGAGGATCATTTGATCCTCAAGGGGGTGATCGATCAAATGATCCTCAGAAAAGGCATTCCAAACAAAAGAAGCAACTGGCATATGGCCTGAAGCATAGGGATTACTCTGAGAATATAAACTTAGCTCAGGCTGCCATAACATAATACCACCAACTGGGTGGCTTGAACAACAGATATTTATTTTCTCATAGTTCTGAAGGCTAGTTCAAGAGCAGAGTGCTAACAGGGTTTGCTTCTGGCAAGGGCTGTTTCCTGGCTTGCAGAGAGCTGTGCTTTCTCAGTGTGTCTTTGCATGGCCTTTCCTCCGTATACATGAAGAGAGAGAGGGGTCTGGTGTCTCTTCCTTTTCTTATAAGAACACCAGTCCTATTGGACTAGAGTCCCACCCTTATGAACTCATTTAACCTTCATTATTTCCTTTATGGACCCATTTCCAAATATAGTCATATAGGAAGCTAGGGCTTTGACATATGAATTTGGGAGACACAAGTTAATCTATAACAATGGCAAGTAGCTTCATAATTCTGGCAGAAGTGAGGAGAGGAAAGGCTGGAATGGTAAGCAGGGGTGCACTCAAGTTGGGCTCTGGGTCTCCCAGGATCAGGGGTGCACTCAAGGTGGACTCTGGGTTTCCCAGGATCATGAATAAGCCTAACTCAACAGATCAGCATGAGAAGGTGCTTGCCTTCGGCAGAAAGAAATTGAAACCATGACACTTTAGCCATTTTGGGGTCTGCATTCCATTCAGACATCCCTCCTTCCCCTAAAACATAATTGCAGGCCTCAAAGCCAAAGCCACCTTTATCAAGGTTTCAAAATTTTGCTTCCCACTGCTTTCTCTTGGGCTGGAGTCTTCCAACCTCAGAAGCCTGCAGATGTGACTGGGGAGCATCTCTCTTGAAATCCAGGTGTACACTGATGGGTTTTGATTTAGGATTTCTTTCCCTTCGAGGTGATCCTAAGTGGAAGCTGTCTCCAGAGGAGGCTAAATTCATTTCTGAGATCTGTGGAGACAGATTAAAACCATGTGCCTGATGCCTTGAAATTTGCAAAAGGAGGGGCTTCCAGTTAGAAGAGAAGCCACATTCTCCAGGCACTGTGATCAACATCTCCTGGCTCCCAAGGAAGCAGGGTGGACACACTTCTGCCATAGGTCGCAGCCTCCATCCCTGGCTCTTATTCTCTGCTGAACTTATTAAGTTGGTATCAAGTCAACGCGTCCCTTCCTGATAGTACACAAATTCTCCAAGTGCTGCAGACTTCTGCACCTTTCCTCTTACCTGTCACTTCAGCTGCCTTTTAGTGATGTTAAAAGAAATCTTTACTGTCACTCCCATCACCCATTCACTTTGTTCCTTGGCTGTGACACTCTTGTTGTGTTTCTCCCACCGCCGCAACAGACTCTTGTGAATTAGCATTCGCCAAATTTATACACGCTCATTAGTCTGAATAAATTTAAAAGCTGCTGCTCCTGAGTTTTAAAAATGTAACCAGGCTTTTCCTTGGATATAATTGAGGCATCTTTAGAAAAGTAAATTACAGTCTGACTCCCAAGTAGGCATTTTATGAGTTTAGAGTCAACGGGTCTCTTTGCAGCATTATTTGACCTATAAATATCTGGGGGTGGGGGGATAAAATAATAAAATCCCCCAATCAATTATTCCTTCTCCTGTTTACTTTGCCCCCTTCCTCACCCTCCTTTCTCACGCACGCATAGAATATCAGCTACATACGGCTACTAAGGAAACTCCAATCAAACCCACTCTAGCTATTTCAATGGAGAGCAGCAGATGAAAGCGTGGGGTTTCTCAAACCCAGGTCCATGGGCCAAACACATCAGAACCACATAGGAGAGCATTGATAAATGCGATTCCCTGAACCCCTGGAATCAGAAACCTTACTGTTCGGCCCTGAGAATCTCTATCTATTAAAGAGCCACATCAGATTCTGACTTTCAATAAATCTGAAACTTTCCCTTGCAGTGGGCTAAAGACCGACTTTGGAGCCAGTTTGGCCCAGGAGATAATCCATACTTTGCTATTTTTTCACATCATGATGCTGAGCAAGATATTCGTCCCCTCTGAAGGGGACAATACTTTATAGTGCTTCTGATACTACAACAACAAAAAAAGATATTCTAGTATATGTGGTTGTAGGTAATTGACATGCAATCAAGGGTAACTGCTATAACAATAATTCAGTCAGGTCAGTATCCTATCGATCAGGGTTAATCAGGTTGTTACTTCCCGAAATCATCGGACTTGCCCGGCCTACTTTGGCAAGAATACTTGCCTGCAGGATTTTCATTCAAGGAATATTGTTTTAGAACTGCAGCTGTAGGTGATGAGGATGTGGGAGTGAAAGCCCTCTTATACATTGCTAGTAATAAATCAAATAAGCTAATATAAACAAAATATGAAAAGTGCAATGTATAGCATTTTAATGGGAATAGTCCTGTGAAGGAAAATAAAGCAAGGTAGGCAGATAGGAAATGCCAGGGTGGGAGATTGAGGGGTGCATGTCAAACAGGGTGGTCAGGGAGACTCCTCAGAGTGGCAACATTTAAAAGCAAAGACCAGAGAGGGGAGAGGGCACCAGCCAGACATACAGGAAAACAGCACATCATGCAATGGCAGGTAGGGCAGGAAAGGCTGAAGGGCAGGTCAGGGATCGGCTTCTTTAGCAGTAAGACCCAGATGGGCAGAGTCCAGGAAACATGTGCCCCAGAAGGCATGTGCGTTTGCAAACCCATCTGCCTAAGTCCCTGATCCCTGATGTCCTCAAATGAGCTCACTGGGCAGAAGCTGTTGAGGATTTATCCTCTTTCTCTTGAAGCAGAAGTTCCAGTTCTGCCTCTGGCTGTGTGGCTTTGTGAATACCACTTCACTGTTCCGGAGCTTCCATTTCCTCATCTTTCAAACAAATAAATGACACCTGTCTGCCATGGGCTGTGACCTCTAACAGGTGCTCATTTAATGAGGGATCAGGGCGGTTCCTACCTGCAGGGCTGAAGTCAAAGCTGGGAATGACCTTAGAAGGACTTGGGAATGAGGAAAGTGACCAAGCCAGGACCTCAGCTCAGCCAGAATGCAGAAGCCGTGTTTGCAGAATCGGCAGCAGCTCCACAGCAGTGGCTGTTTATCGGGATAGGGAAGGGCCAGCTGCAAGAGCATTTATGTCAAAAGGCCCAAAGAATGTTTGGATGCTCCAAGAGGAGGGAAAGTCCATTTGAGATAAAGAGCAAACAAAGCAATAAAAAAAAATCATTAAGTAGACATTTTTTAGTAATAATAACCACTAATTAGCAAACACTTATTATGATGTGGAAATAACCAGGTACTTTGCTATTATATATGGTCCTAATCTTTGTGAATTAAGCACTTTACAAAGCAGGAAGCACGGCTCAGAGATGCAAAGAGGAGCATGAGGTTGCACAGGTAAGAAGACTAGCCCCAGCTTTCTGCTTCCATCTGTCCCCTCCAGAGCCGCCCCACTCCCAGGCCCCTGAGTATCACCATGTACCCCTGAGCCCAGACCATATTTACAAAACGAATATTTCTAAATGTCAGAGGACAGCAAAATATTAATACACGTGCCTGAGAAAAAAACTAACAAAAAGAAGAAAAAGACCAAAGTGACTTTTTCTTCTGTGACAGAGGCAGGCACAATTTAATGCTGATGTGTTTGTTCATCCAAGCATCAGTTTGGGCCAAGGCTCTGTGGTCATTCACGCCCATGCCCCCACACAGCCGAGACTCTTCAAATGCTCATGAATGCAGCCAGGCAGCCCAGACCCCTTAAGGTGCTTGCCCATGGGTCGTTCTGCAGTAGGGCCTGGTGGTCAAGAGCACTGGAGCTTTCAGCTTCATGCCTGGAATTAAATCTGGATGGACCACTTTGGGACCTTGAGTGAGCTGTTCAACTCCCTGTGCCTCCCTTTTCTCATCTGTCAAAGGGGGATATGAATATTAGAGTATCAGCCTCATGAGGAGGTTCTGATGGTGATGTGAGATTAGCTATGTATCAGGCTCAACACAGGCCTGGCATGTTGTAAAAAGTCCCAAACTCTTAACTACTCCCTAATTCATTTACTACTCCATTCATTGTTTATTTAAACAAATACAACAATAATTGTAATTATTATTCAAGTGCAGGAAAACTCAGACTTATTCATTTCACTACACATAAAACACATCTTTAAGGTTTTCAGCTCTCACTCTACCATCCCCAAAGCACACACATGCATGCACACACACGCTCTCACATACACACAGCATACATATACACACAAGCCACACATGCATCACTACACATACCACATACACACACCACAAATTCACACATACAACACATATACGAACACCCTACACATATAAATGTATACTCATTCAAACACATGCCATACAAAATGCCCACATATGCATAGATACATACACACACACCACACACACCCATCTCATTCCTTCTCTGCTGCCCACAGGGACACGTTGGGGCATGCTCTTTCTCCATTCCATGTCTCACCTGCTCTTCATGGCAACGGTGACTCTCTCCAGTTAGAAAGTTAAATGAGCCTTCACACTTCTCTACTGACCTGTGTTTCTTCACCAGGCAGTTTCCTAAACCTCTTAAAATTTCATGCTACTCCTGCATCTCCTTGCCTAGACTGTTCCATAGTCTTCTTGGGCTGCTAAAGCAGAATACTGTCGACTGGATGATGTACAAACAACCAAAGCTTATTTCTCACAGTTCTGGAGGCTAGAAAATCCAGGATCAAGGTGCCATGAGATCCAGTGTCTGCTGAGGGTTTCCTTCTTGGTTTATAATCAGCTGTCTTCTCTCTGTGTCCTCACATGGCACAAGGGGCAAGGGAGCTCTCTGATGTCTCTTTTGTGAAGATGATAATCTAATTACCCGTCTAATCACCTACCGAAAGCCCCCTTCCTAAAATCATCACACTAAAAATTAAGATTTCAACATATGAATTTTGGGACAACGCAAACATTCTGTCTTTAGCAACTCTGAACTCCTTGAGACTCTTACTAAAATGTGCTCTTCAGGGCTGAGGACAGAACTTTGAATATTTTCCTCTCTTGCAAAATGTCTATTGGATAAAATAATCAGTTTGAGAATTGGGCATAATTCGAAATATGCTTGTTTCAATTGAACCAAGGACCTAATACAACTTTGTCATCCCAAACAATAGAATTGTAGAATGGAAAGGGCCTGGATTAATAGTCACTGCACTCACGATTACCACCGCCATCATCATCAGCTTTGTCACCTGCACATCATCACCACTGTCCTCATCCTCCCGACAATCAGGACCACCATCGTTGCCATTGTTATTATCATCACTCTGTCGGCACTACCACTGTCATCTTCACATCACTGCCACCCTCACAGTCTTTAGGTTCCTAGGATCTTCTAGCACTTTGGAAATGTTTGAAGAGCATTTCAAAGTTCCATCTGGACCAAGCCTCCCAAAGCCATTTAGGTTTTATTTATTCAGGGTGAATCATTAATTTTGTTCCTTCCACTTCAGCTCTGTGGTGAATTGGATCATCTCTCTCCACTGATTCAATTTGATAGCATAAAGGATGCTGCAGGCTGGCTTTGAGTTTTATGTTTTAGGTATTTCTCCTGCACAGGACTTCAAGGGAGCTCTAACCACTAAGTCTGCAGGTGCTGGATATCCTTCCAGAATCCACCACCCTTCCTGTGATCCTTCACATTTCAGGTTTGATGATCACTAAATTCTGGGCAGACAGAGCAGGCCAAGTGCTGCCAGACTGGAACTCAAGCCTTTTTTTGTGTGCTTCAGTCCTATGTGATGAGCAGCTGTCTTCTTAAGTAGCCTTAAAGATACCTTTAAAAAATCATTTTTTGGCCAGGCGCAGTGGCTCACATCTGTAATCCCAGCACTTTGGGAGGCCAAGGCGGCGGATCATGAGGTCAGGAGATGGAGACCATCCTGGCTAACATGGTAAAACTCCGTCTCTACTAAAAATACAAAAAATTAGCCAGGCATGGTGGCGGGCGCCTGTAGTCCCAGCTACTCAGGAGGCTGAGGCAGGAGAATGGCGTGATCCCAGGAAGCGGAGCTTGTAGTGAGCAGAGATCACGCCACTGCACTCCAGCCTGGGTGACAGAGCGAGACTCCATCTAAAAAAAAAAAAAAAAAAATCTTTTTTTTTGTCTTGAAGAACATATTCTGCTCACACACTATCAGAAAGGACCTGTTACTGGCAATTCACTTTGAAATGAATGAATAAAAATCACGTATCTTGTAAATACACACTTATTTATGGATTGTTAAAAATGTTCGAAAGTATGTTTTTAAGGCACGATAAATATGCATCTTTAAAACCTTATTAAAATATCATTCTTGATTGAAAAAGCCCAGCCTTGTTCTAATCTATCAGATTAACAAAAGCCAGAGGAAACTTGATATGGTGGGATGTATTATTAGGAGGATGCTAAATTGATTGCTCTTTGTCGTTACTTTTAATGGAAAAACAGCATTTACTTTTGCACCAACCTAATGTTTCCTTTGGCTTCTGTGACAAAGCAAAATTAGCTTTGCTGGGTCACTAAACATTACAGAAGTTCATTCTCTCATAGTTCTAGAGGTTAAAATCCAAAATCAAAGTGTCAACAGGGTTGCCCACCTGAAGATTCTAGAAAAGAATCCTCTCTTTCCTCTTCCAGCTTCTAGTAGCTCCAGATGTTCCATGGCTTATGACCATATCATTTTACTTTCTGCCTCCTCTCCTGTCTCAAAACTCCCTCTGCTTCTCTGTGATAAGGACACATGGGACTGCATTGATGGGCCACCCAAATAATCCAGGAGAAACTCCTTCTCTAAAAGTACTTAACTTAATCATAGCTCTTGCCATATACGGTAATATTTGCAGACAAGTTTTAGGGATTAGGACACGAGCATATCTCTTTTGAGGACATGGAGGAAGCAGGTACTTGGGTTCAAATCATAACAACACCTACCAGCTGTACAGATACAGGCATGTTACTCTGTTTTCCTGAGCCTGTTTTCTTTTCTGCCAAATGGAGTAACTTCTATTGCATAAATTTATATGAATTTTCTTAGGGTGATTCAATGAGATGATGAGTAAGTATAACAACTACTTTTAAGTGTAAATGTAGAGCCCATGTACAGGGATTTGTTTTTTTGAGATGGGATCTTGCTATGCTGCCCAGACTGCAGTGCAGTAGCTATTCATAGGTGCAATCATAGTGCACTGCAACCTCGAACTCCTGGGCTCAGGTGATCCTCCCACCTCAGCCTCCCAAGCAGCAGGATCTACTACAGGCATGCACCACCCCGCTTGGCTAGGATATTTTTTAATATGTGTTAGAGTTGACAGTGAATTCTTATCCAGGGTATTTTTTCTTCCCTTTTCCCTGCATGTCAGTTTCAGACTCAGCTCCAGCTATGTATGGCCCATGGACTATGACTTTCTCACACTTACCCCGACAAATCTTGCTTCCTTATCTGCTCCTCTGTGGTCAGGGATGGTGAGTGGGTTAGCTCTGGGCTACTGGGCTTGTCCGCATGTGTAAACCAATTTCCCAGGAGCTGCCCTATGCTGCTGACTTGAATTAGACTGAAATTAAAAGCCTGTGAAGAAAGCAGAGCAGACATAGTCATGAGAGTCTTGAGATTACTTCCTCCCTGAAAGTAACTGCACTGCCCTGTAAAATGCTGGCTCTGAATGAGGGGTTTGCCCAGCACTTTGCAGGGTGAAGTTTTTCATAGCTCAGGAGTGCACTGCCTGGATTCTAGTCCCAACTCTGCCACTTGCTTGTGAGCTTGCTCACATCCTGTAATCTTCTAGATGTCTCTGTGTCTCACGTTAATGTGGTGATAACAATAGTATTTACCTTGCAGAGACATGAGGATAACATCATATAAAGCATATGAAATGCTTAGCACTATGTTTATCACACAGTACCCATCTCTCCCTCCGTCTATCCCTCCGTCTATCTATCCAACCCTCCATCCATCCAATACTTACTTGTTGAACTAGGCAATGTTTGAAAGAATGCAGTCAATTTGGAAAACAAACAAATTAAAAGCAGGTAATTTCAGAAAATGACAAGTGTTAAGATTAAACCTAAATAAGCACAGTCATAGGATAATGGGCAATTGAATCTTAAGGCCCTGAAAAAAAGATAACGAGAATTTAATGCAGGAGTCGTAAGTAACCTTTGCTTGTGAATGAAGAGTAAGAAAGTTTTCTGTTTACGTTAAATACGAAGGAATCACCTCAAACTCATTCTCTGTACCCTTGGACAACACATTTTGCCTCCCTGGTCACAGTTTTTTCAACTATGGAAGAGATGGACTGGACTGCTCACAAAATGTAATGACAGAATCACCACTCACCCAAAACCTCTCTCTGTAGTGGGTTTCAGGTGAACCCTGTCTCTAGACTCGGCTCCTAATGTGTATCTGGGATCATGTGGTCCCTACAATGTGTGATCAGCAGAAGAACGACCTCCCGAAGATGTTCACATTATTATACCTGAAAATTGTACCCATGCTACTTCATGTGGGAAAAGAGTCTTTGCAGATGAGATTGAGTTCAGGATCTTGAGTTGGGGAGATGATCCTGGATTACCCGCATGGGCCCAATGTTATTACAAGGGGAATGGTAGCAGGATCAGAGTTGGAGGAGATGTGAAGATGAAAATAGAAAAAGATTTGATGATGTCACACTACTGGCTTCCAATATGGAGAAATAGGTCATGTGTCAAGAAATGTGGGCAGGCCCTGGTAGCTAGAAAGGGCAAGGAAACAGATTTTCTCTTCCCCGGAGCTTCCAGAAGGAATGCAGCCCCACCAGCACTCTGCTTGCAGCTCAGTTAAGACCCATTTTGGACTTTTGACCTTCACAATTTTAAAATAAAAAAATTGTTTTGTTTTAAGCATCTAAGCTTGCAGTAATTTGTTGCAGTGGCAATAGGGAACTGATATATAGGAAGTTTCAAAAGAATTAATCTATGTTCATAGAATGATAGCCTACTGTGTGACAAACACGATGCATATTATGTTATTTACTTCTTAAAATGCCTCCATAAGTATCGTCCTCCTCATTTTAGAGATGAGAAATCTGATGCTCAGAGAGGTTAAGTGCTTAGTGAAGGTCACACAGCATGTGTATGAAAGAGAGATTTTGCAATTCTGGAGGGATGCACTCTTAATCCACTGATCTCCAAGCTCACCATGCTGCCTGCCCACTCAATTCAGTGTCCTGGCTGCCCAGCAGTCAGCCCTTCTCTGACTTTCTATCTCACCCTTTCCCTCCACCCAGGTGCCCAGGTTTTTTGCTTTGTTCATCTGTTCATTAAGTAGCTTTGAATATTTGTACTACAGCTCAGGAAATGGAATTCTGTGCTTGGGCTTCCAGTCAGCCCTAATAAACAGCTTCCAGGTTTTTCAAACACAACCCCGTCTCTAGATTCCCTGACTCCACATGGTTGCTGTTGCTGAGTCTTGGTCTCCCCAGCTCGAATCTAGTAGGAAAAAAGAGGGCTTTTCCAAAGGCTGGAGGGTCATATTAATGGAGGATAAGCAGATCCCTGGGAGGCCAATGAAGAGGTTCTTGTGAGAATTGTTTACCTTTGGAAATGAGGGAGAACCCGATGAATGCTGAGGTCACTCAGGTCATTACATAGACCCTCACACTGGCACTCAGAGTCCCCAGGACCAAATAGAAAGACTGCTACAAAATAATGAATTTCAAGGGGAAGAACAATACATGATTTTTTCTTAATGAGATAAAAATGTAGAGTGCAATCTCAAGAGGTAAGACAAATGAGAGGGCATTTCCCCCTGGAAAGTTAGAAAAGAGGAAGTGATCAGTATTAGTTTTCTCCATAGAGGAAGCAAAAGGGAGAAAGAATTTCAGACTGGTGAGGTTGTCCTTCCTGGCTCTCCCACTTGGTAGCTGTGATAATTTTATATGTCAACTTGACTGGACCACAGGGTGCCCAGATTCAACATTATTATGAGATTAGCATTTGAATCAATAGACTCAGTTAAGCAGATTGCCCTTTGCAGTGTGGGTGGGCATAGTTCAATCTGTTGGAGGCCCAAATAGAACAAAAAGGCAAAAGAAGGGGGAACTAGCTCTCTTTGCCTGACTGCTTGAGCTGGGACATCGACTTGCTCCTGCCCTTGACTGGGACTTCTACCATCAACTCTCTGGTTCTCAGGACTACATCACCAGCTTCCTTTGGTCTACAGCTTGCAGACAGCAGACTGTGGGACTTCTCAGCCTCCATATTCACACAAGCCAATTCTTTACAATAAAGACATTTATTATTCCTGTGGTATTGGCAAACCAGAAAGCCTTAAGTCACCTGTTTTCTCCTCTCTACAATGTGCAGAACCCAACAAATCCAGGATGAGCTGTTGTGCATAGAAAACAAACTGAAGAAAAGCTTTTTGCAAAGTTTCTAAGGTTATCAAAATTGCATCTCCTGCTATTATTTTGTTGTTGTTGTTGTTGTCATCACCTGGTATACTAGAAGAACTAGAAGGAGATTTTCCCTCCAAAAAGAAAATTAAATATTGTGTGATGTGGACATTTGACCTGCTAGAGTCTTACATGTGCTCTGAAAACAAAATCTGAGTAATGTAGACCATTTCTACATAAGGCAGTCATGTACCTAGGAGGCTCAATTTTTTAAATTAATTTATTTATAAAATGGTTGCAATGTAAAATAATGCAATAGTACAATGCAATATCCATAAAACTAGAATGTTAAGACTAAAGGAGGAATATAAATAAGGTAATAGCAGCCATATCTGACTAATTTGACCTTCCAATATGTTGCAGAGCTTGCTGGTGTCCCAGGTGAAGTGAAGACATGATCAGTCATAAAATATTCATTGTTGGGAAAGAGTGATCAGGTCACTCTCTTGGGGTAAATTACTTTATTTTCCAGCTATATTTCTAAAGTACTTTTATGAAGAGTTCATATAATTTTATATTTTAAAAATTGAGATATTTCATAGCATATTCTCAAATGTATAGAATATTATGCCAAACCTCTTTCCATCCCAGCTTCATCAACAGCTATTTTTTAATATTTTTCATCATCAACTAGTTGTGTAACAAATAAGTACTATTCACTTTTACTCTCAGAAATGTAGTTTCTTCGCCATGTTGAGAGGACTACAGATGCTTTTTGTAAAATGGTTAGCATGGTCTCTGAGACTTTGTCAATTCTCAGTATATAGTTGCTGTTATTATTACTATTTTTATTTTCATTACATGGAAGTCCAGGGGACACTAAATGATAGAGATGAAAATATTTCTCTAAACATTACTCCAGCAAGTGGGTTTCTGTAGCACGGCAGGCAAGGAGACCAGAAAGATGTCTCAGCTAAGATACAACAGCTCTTGATATGATTAGAAAATTACAATGCAAACATAATTTTAATGCTTTTATGGGATTGATAGAATATAAGGGGAATCTCTAAGAAATAAAAACAAAGAAACAAGCATGACTGAGCTGAGACTGGAACAAGGAACTTGAGCAATGAGCAAGTCTACGTTAAGGAAGCCAAGCCCAAGAGCCTGGTAAGATGGAGGAGCTTGACCTCAGACCTACATGTAACATCAGCAACCTTACAAAGAGCCAAAAATAGTACCAGGTCTGCAGGGTTCTCTGGCCCTCAGCAAAAGCAAATGAAATTCCTTTCTCAGATCATACGGCACATGTAGTCCTTATGCATAAGTGTATGTTCACACACACACATGGAGTTATAGATTTGATATAAAATAAGTAATGTGAAATATCTCAAGAAATAAAAGACGAAATCAAAAAATTAGAAACAATTTATCAAACATGGCACAGCAGATTAGAGAAGAGAGCTACATAGTCTTTCTAGAAATAAAATTATTGAAATTCAAAACCTAGTAAATGCATAAACATTAACTGAGAAACGAACTGAAAATTGGTGATTAAGAAGGCAAATCAGAAGAAATGCTCAGCATATTGGAAAAAAAGGCAAGCAAACAGAAAATATAAAAAGGTGATAAAATGTAGACATACAGAACGTAGAAAAATGTAGACACACAGAACGTAGAAAAATATAGAAATTGCAATGGATATCAAGCAGTATTAAAGAAAGCAAACAAGTAACTTCACACTTCAATGCACTGTTGTAAAACTAAAGAACTTCAAATAAGATTTTAAAAGCAGCCAGAGTGAAAAGATGACCAAGCTAACACTAGACTTCTCAAAAGAAATAATGGAAAAAAGAAGATGGTGGAGTAACATTTTCTAAGTTTTGAGAGATGGTAAATTTCAAGCAAGAACTGGATACTCAGTAGAACTATCATTAAAAAGAAATATATAAAAATATTTTTTCCCAACATTTATTTTAAGTTCAGGGGGTACACATGCAGGTTTGTTACATGGGTAAATAGTGTGTCACTCGGCTTTGGTGTACAAATGATTTTGTCACCCAAGTAGTAACCATAGTACCCAATAGGTAGTTTTTCTATCCTCTTCTATCCTCTTCCTCCTCCCACCCTCCACCCTCAAGTAGGCTCCAGTGTCTATTGTTTCCCTCTTTGTGTCCATGTACACTCAATGTTTAGCTCCTACTTATAAGTATGAACATGTGGTATTTGGTTTTCTGTTCCTGCATAAATTTGCTTAGAATAATGGCCTCCAGCTGCCTCCATGTTGCTGCAAAGCACTTGATTTTGTTCTTTGTTATGGTTGTACAGTATTCCATGGTGTGTATATGAGTACCACATTTTCTTTATCCAGTCCACCACTGATGTGCATCTAGGTTGATTCCATGTCATTGCTATTAAGAAAAGTGCTGCAATAAGCCTACATGTGAATGTGTCTTTATGGTAGAATGCTTTATATTCCTTTGGGTATATACTCAGTAATGGGACTGCTGGGTCAAATAGTAGTTATGTTTTAAGTTATTTGAGAAATCTCCAAACTGCTTTCCACAGTGGCTGAGCTAATTTACATTCCAGCCTGCAGTGTATAAGCATTCCTTTTTCTCCTCAACATCGCCAACATCTGTTACTTTTTTTGTTTTTTTAATAATACCCATTCTGACTTATGTGAGATGGTATCTCTTTGTGGTTTTGATTTACATTTCTACAATGATTAGTGATGTTGAGCATTTCTTCTTATACTTGTTGATATGGTGTGTATGTCTTGTTTTGAGAAGTGTCTGTTCATGTCCTTTGCCCATATTGAATGGGGTCGTTTGTTTGTTTTTTTTTCTTGTTGATTTAAGTTCCTGATGGATTCTGGATACTAGACTTTGTCAGATGCATAGTTTGCATATGTTTCTTCCCATTCTTTAGGTTGTCTTTTTATTCTGTTGAAAGTTTATTTTTCTGTGCAAAAGCTCTTTCATTTTATTAGGTCCTACTTGTGAATTTTTGTTTTTGTTGCAATTGCTTTTGGAATCTTTGTTGTGAAATCTTTGCAAGGCCAATGTCCACAATGGCATTTCCTAGATTTTCATTAAGAGTTTTTATAGTTTTATCTTTTACATTTAATTCTTTAATCCATCTTGAGTTGATTTTTTTATATGGTTTAAGGAAGTGGTTCAGTTTCAATCTTCTGCATATGGCCAGCCAGTTATAGCAGTACCACTCATCAAATAGGAGTTCTTCCCCCCTTGCTTGTTACCGTCAATTTTGTGGAAGATCAGATGGTTGTAGGTGTGTGGTTTTATTTCTGGGTTCTCTAACCTGTTCCATAGTGCCACATTGTTTTGGTTACTGTGGCTGTATAGCATGGTTTGAAGTCAGGTAGCATGATGCCTCTGGCTTTGTTCTTTTTCCTTGGAATTACTGCAGCTATTTGGGCTCTTTTTTGTTTGCATATGAATTTCAGAATGGAATTTTCTAATTATGTGAAAAATGATGTTGGTATTTTGATAGGGATAGCATTGAACCTGTAAACTGCTTTGAGCAAAAGATATTTTCGAATAGCTCAAAACTGAGAAAATTATGACCAACAGAATGTTCTAAAGACATTTTTAAAAGGTATTTGCAGGCAGATAGAAAAATATTTGGGAAAGAAAATCTGAGAAAATGTGAACATCGGCATTATCCCAGCAGTTTCCCTCACATGATTTCACTGTTTTCACAGCAGATGCATAACATAGGTGCCATTCTTCTCACTTGAAGGCAAGGATTGGAGTGAATTGACCAGTGCAAGCCAGATCAAAAGTAACAATAACGCTTTTCCAACACACCTCACCACGTGCCACTGGCATCTGCATTTGGCCGTGACTTAGCCCTAGTAAACAGTTTGCAGCTCTCATTCGTGCCCTGTTTTGGAAAGGGTTCTAATTCTAATTTTCCACTCGTGTAGGGGACTGGGAGTATTTGCATCATGTAACCTTGAAAAACACACACACAAATCCTGGAGAACTCCAAAGTCATTCTCCCTTTGTGACAATGACAGGTGCTTTGAAATATTTGTTTTACTTCAGAAGTTAGGTGTTGAGGAAAAGGGCTTTCCATGTTCCACAGGATTAGTGCTGATCAAGAAAATGGATTTGTAAGACGAGGCATTGAAAAGCAGGTAGATTAAAAATAAACAAACAACAAAAATAATAAGCTAGAGTAAAGTAAGTACCTTGTAAAGCCTGTTTCTCAATGTAGAGTTTGACCAGAATCATTCTGTCACTGCTATGAAAATAAATTTCTGCCCCTGATCTGTCACTTTCTACCTTGCCACTTGAAGACCCAAATGCTATCAGATATGGACATTTCTCCATAGCTGCATTTTAACAGCCTCAGAATTTTTAGTTTGATTAACACATTGATAAGACATATATTTTAGTTAATACAAGGGTGCCTGTGGGATTTTGGGGGAAAAAATTCCAAAAATGAGGCCACACTGGAAATATTAAATACAGATATAGCAGTAAAACATTCAGCTAAAATAGCAATAAAATGGACCTCCAATGAGCCCCTTGAGGAATTAAAAAGAGCAGCTTCATTCCGCGGGTGTGTTCAGACAGAAATAAATCAACTTGGCTCTGCCAAGTAGAAATAGGACCCCGGTATATCTTTATTTAAGATATGTAGGTTGCCAAGCCAGGAGAGTGTGGAGGAGAAATACATATTGTTTTTGAAACTAAAACATGAATATGGTTGTAATTTTAATGTTTCTTGCTGCAAAAAGGTCATCTTTGGCGAGGTCGGGGCTTTCTTAAGGTCATTTCCCATTGAGATATCTGCCTTCCCTTGACATTTCATCTAACGGAGGCCCAACTCTTCTGACATACGAAATGGGTTCTTTGCACACCCCATGGCTATTTCTATCAACATTTGTGATTCGTACACAGAGCGGAATATGCACTGATCATAGACAAATCTCCAGTCCCTCGGAGGCTGTAGATGAAGTTCAGGGAACAAGAGAAAGTTTTTTTATTATTATTATTATTTAAAGGGATAGAGACCATATTTCTAAAATAAGAGTCTAGCATTAAATCCCTGGGTGGGGGAAGGGGATACAAAGAGATTGTGAATATAAGAAGTATTTGGTTTGTTGTTAATCCTTCACCACAAAAACCCTTCACACAAAAAGTATACTTTAAGGAGAGAGATATTTAATTCATTCCAAAATACTAGCAGGTCACCTCTACTCTCAGGAAAAGCAGAGCAGATTTATAATTTTATAATAATTTTAAAATTAGATTACCTGAAGCTGCACTCTAGTAAAATACATTATGAGCACCTACCTCAATCAAACTTCCCTTGGGTAGATGTTTTAAATGGCATGAAACCTGGATCTGAAAGAAGACCTTGTAAACCTGCCTCTGTCACTTTTCATCTGTGTGACCACGGTCTAGCCGTTTGTCCTCTCTGAGCGTTGTTGGAATGTAGTGACAGTAATATATAATTCTAGAACATGGATCACACTTGTCTGAGAGACATTTGCAGAATAGCCTAAATTGGAAGAATCATTATCATTGTCTTTCATCACTGATGACTGTGATGTTTATTTTAACAGCTATGTACAACAGAGCTAGATTTCCTAAGTCATTGAGGGGCTATTAATCTATATGGAACTTCATCTAAAAATTGCAAGAAATCATTTTTTTCTTGAGATATATGTCTATTTATATTATCCAGTTGCTTTTTATTAATTTACTTGATATAATCTTTTTTTAAAATTATACTTTAGGTTCTGGGATATATGTGCAGAATGTGCAGGTTTGTTACCTAGGTATACTTGTGCCACGTTGGTTTGCTGCACCCATCAACCCGTCATCTACATTAGGTATTTCTCCTAATGCTATCCTTCCCCTTGCCCTCCACCCCCCGACAGGCCCCAGTGTGTGATGTTCCCCTCCCTGTGCCAATATGTTCTCATTGTTCAGCTCCCACTTATGAGTGAGAACATGTGGTGTTTGGTTTTCTGTTCCTGTGTTAGTTTGCTGGGAATTATGGTTTCTAGCTCCATCCATGTCCCTGCAAAGGGCATGAACTCATTCTTTTTGTATGGCTGCATAGTATTCCGTGGTGTATATGTGCCACATTTTCTTTTTCCAGTCTATCATGGATGCACATTTGGGTTGGTTCCAAGTCTTTGCTATTGTGAATAGTGCTGCTATAAACATATATGTGTGTGTGTCTTTATAGTAGAATTATCTGTAAACCTTTGTGTATATACTCATAATAGCGTTGCTGGGGCCAAATGGTATTTCTAGTTCTAGATCCTTGAGGAATCACCACACTGTCTTCCAGAATGGTTAAACTAATTTACACTCCCACCAACAGTGTAAAAGTGTTCCTATTTATCTACATCTTCTCCAGAATCTGTTCACAATTGCTACAAAGAGAATAAAATACCTAGGAATACTACTTACAGGGGATGTGGAGGACCTCTTCAAGGAGAACTACAAACCACTGCTCGAGGAAATAAGAGAGGACACAAACAAATGGAAAAACATTCCATGCTCAAGGATAGGAAGAATCAATATCGTGAAAATGGCCATACTGCCCCAAGTAATTTATAGATTCAGTGATATTCCCATCAAGCTGCCATTGACTTTTTTCACCAAATTAGAAAAAAAAAAAACTACTTTAAGTTTCATATGGAACAAAAAGAGCCTGTATAGCCAAGACAGTCCCATGCAAAAAGAACACAGCTGGAGGCATCAGACTACCTGACTTCAAACTATACTACAAGGCTACAGTAACCAAAACAGCATGATACTTGTACCAAAACAGATATATAGACCAATGGAACAGAACAGAGTCCTCAGAAATAACACCACACATTTACAACCATCTGATCTTTGACAAACCTGAAAAAAACATGCAGTGGGGAAAGGATTCCCTGTTTAATAAATGGTGTTGGAAAAACTGGCTAGCCACAAGCAGAAAACAGAAACTGGACCCCTTCCTTACACCTTATATAAAAATTAACTCAAGATGGATTAAAACTTTAAATGTAAGACCTAAAACCATAAAAAGCCTAGAAGAAACCCTAGGCCATACCATTCAGGACATAGGCATGGGCAAGGACTTCATGACTAAAACACCAAAAGCAATTGCAACAAAAACCAAAATTGACAAATGGGATCTAATTAAACTAAAGATCTTCTGCCCAGCAAAAGAAACTATCATCAGAGTGAACAGGCAACTTAGAATGGGAGAAAATTTTTGCAATCTATCCATCTGACAAAGGGCTAATACCCAGAATCTACAAGGAACTTAAACAAATTTATAAGAAAAAAACAACCCCATCAAAAAGTGGGTGAAGGATATGAACAGACCCTTTTTTTTTTTTTTTTTTTTTTGAGACGGTGTCTCACTCTGTCACCCAGGCTGGAGTGCAGTGGCATGATCTCGGCTCACTGCAAGCTCCGCCTCCCAGGTTCACACCATTCTCCTACCTCAGCCTCCCGAGTAGCTGGGACTACAGGTGGCTGCCACCACGCCTGGTTAATTTTTTGTATTTTTAGTAGAGACGGGATTTCACCATGTTAGCCGGGATGGTCTCGATCTTCTGACTTTGTGATCCACCCGTCTCAGCCTCCCAAAGTGCTAGGATTACAGGCGTGAGCCACTGCACCTGGCCGAACAGACACTTTTCAAAAGAAGACATTTATGCGGCCAACAAACGTATGAAAAAAACAAAACAAAACTCATCATCACTGGTCATTAGAGAAATACAAATCAAAACCACAATGAGATACCATTTCACTCCAGTTAGAATGGTGATCATTAATATGTCAGGAAATCTATTCTTTAGAACAGAGCTGCCCAGATAAATATAATGCAAGCCACATATATAATTTTACATTTTCTAGTAGGCACATTACAAAAAATAAAAACAAATTAATTTGAGACAGAAATTTGATGTATCGCAATATATCAAAAATATTATAATTTGAATATGAAATAAAGATAAAAATAAATAACCATTTTTATAATTATAATTATTTGGAGACAGGGTTTTGCTCTCTCACCCAGACTGGAGTGCAGTGATGTGATCATGGCCCACCACAGTCTTAATCTCCTAGGCTCAAGCAATCCTCTTGCCTCAGCCTCCTGAGTAGCTAGGACTACAGGTGTGCACCACCACACTGGGCTAATAAAAATTATTTATGGGATATTTTACATTATTTTTCATACTGCATGATTGAAATTTAGTGTATATTTTTATACTTGCAATCATATCTCAATTCAGACTAGCCACACTTCAAATGCTCAACAGCCACATGTGGCTTCCATGACAACTGTGTTGAAGAGTGCAGCCTTAGAATAAAGGGGTTGAGAAGCAAACTACTCCATGCTTGTCCTAGCTTAGAGGAGTGGAAAATGAGACACGGAAGGAGGAAGTGACTTGACCAGGGTTATGTATTATAGTCATTTAAATGGTGGACCCCAAGAAGGGGGCTTTTTAAAAGTAAATACAGAACAAGACTTGATTGTTAGAAAGTTGACAACTTATATTAAAAAAAAAAAAAAAAAGTACCCAAAATGGAGCCAAGCCCATTTCCTACCTTTTTTCAATATTGTTCTTTTGGACCTGGTAAATTCTTAAATGAGAGTAGGAAAAATGCCTTTGTTTTCTTACCTCCCACGTTAGCATTCTTTGTTGTTGGAACATTTCACTAAGTGGATCATCTAACCCCATCTACTGGGACTTAGGGATTTGGGGGGTCACCTGTGCGTGTGTGTGTGTGTGTGTGTGTGTGTGTGTGTGTGTGTGTGTGTGTGTTCGGGATGAACAGTTGCTTTGGAGAAAAAAATCAGCGTACCAAGAAGCAGGGAAAGTGTGACTGCATGGTTTCAGGAAGGTGGGATGACTTGTTTAAGAACCCACCCTCCGTACACCTGACCTCATGCATTGGGATCTGCGTCCCTCTCACAGCGCTGGCTGTTCTGCCCGATATTCAGGAGGAAGCAAAGGCACATGGCAGCTGTCCAGACAGTGGGGGACCCAGGTGCTGTCCTTCTGGAAAGCATCCAGGTGCCCCCAGGGTTAGAAAGAGGGGAATATCCAGGTGTAACTGCAGGTTTGCTTCTTGTTACTGCCTCCCACCCTGTGCCCTCCTGCTTACACGCAAACCATCTTGGGCAAGCCTGGCAACCATACCTTCATTTTCTGCCACGTGAAAAGGCCAGAGGCTGCCAGGGGAAGCCATAAAGTGTTTTTGTTCATTCATTTGGAAAGATTAGGAAATAGGGCAAGAGAGTTGTACATTTCTCCTGGAGGACCTCCCAACATTGTGCTCTGAAGACAGGCCTTGCCTTTCCTGACTCATAAACTAGAATGATCTACCTTTCCATACAGTGAGGCATAATGGGATGCAGACAGCTCTGCAGGCACCATCACAGATAGCATGTTCCATTTCTAGCTCCTTCTCATTTCATTTCTTCATTCATCCATTAACGTCTCTGCCTTTGGGGAGTTCATTACCTAATGAAGGAGGGTGATGCATCAATCAATAACTTCAGCTTAGAATGACACTGGCAGTGAGTGCATGTCAATGGCAAAGATGTGCATGGTGGAAGAAGCCTCTATAAAGAGGGGATCTGAGCAGCTCCGAGTCTTAGGAAGAGCTTCCTTGCAGAAGAAAAGAAGGAACTGGAGTCAATAGGATGGACAGGATTAATTAGGTTGTGGGAGTGAAAGGGCAGAGCTCAGCACAGCTCTCTCCTGGTGGGAGAGTAGATTGTACCTTTAAGGAATGGAAAAAGGGAATGAAACATTTGAAAAAGGTGATTCCTGAATTCTTTGACTCTCCTTTCCTTTCATCAAGGGGAGGAGTTTATGTCCTTTGAAATGACGTAGACTTTTGTGACTGCCTCAGTGAACAGATTATGACAGAACAATGCTTTGTAACTTCCCAGGTTCAGTCATGCAAAGCTAGACAGTTTCTGGCAGGTTCTCATTGAACACTCGCTTCTGAAAGACTGCTACTTGCTCCCTTTGAGGTCCCAGCCCTGGTCAACAGTCCCAGCTGAGCCTGTATTTAGCCATTTCAGCTCAGACTCCAGGCTTGTGAAGAAAGATGCCATCTTGTAGGTGGACCCTCCAGTCCAAGCTCATGTAAGACCCAATACCTGGTCTCAGACATCCAGAGCAGAGTAGAGGCAAGGACAACCATTCCCACCGGGCTTTTTGTCTAAATTTTTTACCCACAGGATTTCTGATCAAATAAGATTGTTGCTGTGTGGCCCTTCTAAGTGTGGGGTTCTTTGTTTCATGCTAACAGACAAGTGGAACAAGTCATGTAGGCAGAGTGCAAACTATAACGACCAGGCACACTGTGAAATGAGGTTGGAGAGATATCTGCTTTGGAACTTGCTGGTTTTGAGAACCATAATGAGGACTTCGGTCACTATCCCTAGGGAAATGGGAAGCTAGTGAGAGGTTTTGACCTAGGAAAAACAAAACCAGATTTGTGTTTTGAAAGATCATATGGGCTTCAGTGTGGACAATGCTGGATTGAAAAGGGCCTGGGCTAGGTTTGGAATCTAGCTTCAGATGTCATTGACTTGTCTAGGTGAGAGACAGTGGCATCTTGAACTAAGAGGGTGGAAGTGGACCTTGGTATAAGTGAAAAGAGTAGAGAGATCCTTAGAAGGTAAAGTTTCCTTGTGTTGACCATGGCTTGATGAAGAGGATGTGTCTCTGGGAGAGGTCTCCTTGGCTCCTAAGAGGAGAGTTATACTGCTTTTTGATGGTGATATCATTTATTCAGACAGAGGAGTGATGAAGACAAAGAATTTGGCTTTCGACATTTTAAATTAACCCTCGGCATTCAAAGTAGAGATAATGAGTAGGTATTTACATGTAAGGGTCTACAACTCAGAGGAAGAAGCTCAACTCGGTCCATCAGTTGAGAGTCATCAGCCTAGAAATGACCACAAAAGCCACAGATTTGAATGAATTGGCCTAGGGAAGAAGTTCAAAATAAAACTGTGGAGTTCAAGATGAAGAAACTCCAGCATTCAAAAGGCAGTAATGGAGGATAGGCTGAGAAGAAAAATCTTAGAGATGGAGGAGTGTTCCTGTGTTCTGGAAGCTTGGGAAAGATCATGAAGAGAATGAAGATCATTAACAGAATGAGCATGAAAGATCATGAAGATCACTAAGAGAATGGCCCAAGCAAGAACTCATCAAGACGGCAGATGTGAGCAGAAGGCAGATAAGTAGGAGAAAAAACAAATGTTGGGAACTGTAGGGAAAAAAAAGAGACTTTTTCTAGGAGCTGTCTGCAAAAAGGGATGCTCAAGATAAGGTGCTCATTAATGAGGAGTTGAGAACAATGATTTTTTTATCTCTAAAAATGGGAAGATCATGCGTAAGTTATCTAAAATCATTGTGAAAGATCTCATTAAATGTGCTGGAGACAGACAAGGAATAATTGAGATTTTAAGATTCTTGATCAAGCAGGGAAGTCTGTCTTAGAATAAGGGGTGAGGGATAACCTCAAATGAGAGAGGGGACTGCCTGCTTGAAGTTACCGGGACAGAAGAAGAGGATGTAGGTTAGTTGAAGGTGTGATATTCACAAGAAGTTGAGGGAATTCTCATCCTATTGTTTCAAATTTCTCTAAGAAATAAAAAGTTTTGTCATCTCCTATGTGTCGTGGGAGTGATTGCAGAGATTTGAGAGAAGTGCTAAGGGTTTAAAATATCTGTTTTGAAAATGGGAGGGACCTTGATGGAACAAGAAAAGCCAGGAGGGCTTCCGGTGGTGGTGATCCTGTCTTTGAGGCTGAACATTAATGCATTCTGCCTTGCTCGGTTATCTCTTTCAGCAGCACTTGCTCCTTGAATGAAGATGAATGAGTCAGAGAGTTCATTTGGAATTTGAGTTTACCAAGATATGAAAGGCAAAGGGTAAGGGATTTCAGGGTCCTGGCAAAAATATTCCTGCAGCAATCTAGACTGTGCTAGGAGGAAACATGGGTAGTTAATGGGTTAGGGGAAATTCCAGGGCTTTAGCTGACATTATTGAACTGCTGGGTTTAGTTGACATTATTGAACTGCTGAGTCAATGTTGCTCCAAGACACCAACATTGACCGAGAATCTATGACCTATGCAGCTCAGTTACATGCTTTAGTACCTCATAGTGGTTATGAGATTAGACTCTTGCATCACACTGTCTAGAGCTAAATCTCAGTTTCTCCACCAAAGAGACAGTGAGCTTGGGCACATCACTCAACCTTGCAGGGAAGCTACTCTCCCTCTTTAAGACCGAGATGGTGGTTATTGCAGAACCTACATCATGAGCTTGTCATACATGAGTTAATATGCACAAAGTACTTCAACAATGCAGACACATATAAACAATGCATATTTAATAGCATTGCTTTCGATGCTTACCCAAAACCTTGAGGCAGCTATTATTGCTTCTATTTCATACTTGAAAGAAACTGAGGCTCAGGGAAGGTTAGGAGTTTGCCCCAGATCCCAAATAACTAAGGTATAAGATCTGCTTAGCCACAATAATGCTTAAAGCTCATATAGTGCTAAGCTTGTTTAACATTTATTGTCCTTAGTGGCTGGAAGAATTGGGATCTAGAGAGAGCTGGTTTAACTTCTTCTTTTTTTTTCTTTTTTTTTTTTTTGGCTAGTGTCTTCGTTTTATTTCCAAAAAAGCAACAGCAACAGTCCTTAGAAGAAAAGTGAAAAAGTGACTAAGGCTGGTGAGCATTGATTTGTCCCATGCAATGAATATCTGGGAAATAACTCTGGGTGGCCCTGAAGTGTGACCCAGGCCACTCATTACTTAAGCGTTCTTCTAATGCTTTTCCTCTCTGATGTAAACTTTTAAAGAAAGAACTTTATTTTTCCATACGTTATTGGGGTATAGGTGGTATTTTGTTACATGAGTAAGTTCTTTAGTGGAGATTTGTGAGAACCTGATGCACCCATCACCTGAGCAGTATACACTGCACCATATTTGTTGTCTTTTATCCCTTGCCCCTTTCCCACTATTCCCCCCAAGTCCCCAAAGTCCATTGTTATCATTCTCACCCTTTTGCATCCTCATAGCTTAGCTCCCATATATCAGTGAGAACATACAATGTTTGGCTTTCAATTCCTAAGTTACTTAACTTAGAATAATAGTCTCTAATCTCACCCAGGTCATCGCAAAAATGCTGTTAATTCATTCTGTTTTTATGGCTGAATAGTATTCAATCATATGCGTGAATATATATATATGCACACATGTATATGTCAGAGTTTCTTTATCCACTCATTGATTGATGGGCATTTGGGTTGGTTCCAAAATTTTGCTATTGTGAATTGTGCTGCTATAAACATGTGTGTGCAAGTATCTTTTTAGAATAATGACTTCTTTTTCTCTGGGTAGATACCCAGTAGTGGGATTGCTGGATCAAATGATATGCACCTTGCACTATTCCAAGATGCCTCCTGGAAAGTGTCTTGGACCATTTTCCCACCTGCACCATGTGGGTTATTTACTAGGTACATCTACTTCACAGGTGTGTTATAAATATGATATGGAACATGAAAGTTCAACTGTAGAGCAGTCTCTGTTCTCTGACTTTCTCCCTTACTTTCTTGTTACTTCTCATTTCCTTCCATTTCCAAAGGTACGATAGACTAGAGTATTCCCCAGCCCATGGACACAATTGCTTTACTCCTGAAGGGCCTAAGAGGGCTGTAAATGAAATTGGGATTCCAACAAAACAGATTCCATCTACTGGCAGCATCTTTGGTCCCTTAACAAGCCTCAAACACAGACAGTAGATCTTCTACCTCTTTGTCATCAAGATAAAGCCAATTAGGGGTATAAAAACACAAAGTAATACAAATAATAGACTCTTTATCAAGAGATTTGGGATTGGACCAATCTTGGACATATAGCATAACTATATCAACTGTAACTGTCACGGTAGCAATATCTCTTACAGACTCAGAGGCCAGTTCCAATTGGTTTACAAAGAGGGTGGAGAGAGGAACTATACAGAGTAGGGGTAGAGAAGTTATGCATCCACCAAAGACAGCTTTCCCATTTCTTTCTTCTCACATCCATGCCATGTGGCTATTTGATGACAGAACTTTTTATCTATGGTATCTCCCCTCTCTGATGCCTTCCCACAAATATGGCAGGGCTGGGACCTTACCTGTTGGAGACAGAGTACTTGATCTGGGCATGCTATGTTTGTAACCCTATCTGGGTCCAGAGAAGTCCCCCTGTGGAATGTATTATTGAACGCATAAGTTAAATTACTGCCAGGGGCTCCGGTCACTCACAGACAAATCCCCAACACTTTAGTGTGGCCTTTTCCATAGAAAGGAGAGATAAATAATGATTAAAAAGGAAAAGTCAAAAAATAGTAACATGAGCATATCATTTAAAAATATGAAGAAATAAACAAATAAATGAGATACAAGTGATAGGCTCTGAGAAGCAGGATTTGGAAGAGAACAGGATTAGGGTGGGAGATTACACACTATTTGACTCATTAAACTACATACATAGACTATTTTGATAAGAATTAAAAAGTTAAAAATATTATTTCAATGTTTCTATTCTGTGAGATAGGGAAGGCGATAATAAAGACTTTTGATAACTGTCAATCTTTAAGAAAAGCGAAAAGCAATCTTTCAATTAGTACTTTGATGTAGCGTGTGTTTCTGAGTTATTACTTATATTTTTATTTCATCAGAAATATTCTATAATTAGAAAGAAAATAAGAGAGAGATGATAATCCAATATATACAGTAAAAGAATATTTACAAAATTATGAGACTACCAAGGTCCAAGAGCAGTCTAACCATAATGCCATTTAAAATTCGCATATTTGTAAAAGCTTTTTTAATGTCTATTACTTTACCTGAAGTAATAGGTAGGGGATTAGAGCTTGCTATATACATCTTAGTGATAAAGATGCTAGGTTTATATACATTGGTTTTCCCATGGTTTAATAGTCTCAACCAGGTGGAGCCTAATCTAGAATACAGGTAGTTTCTCTCTTCCCTCTTTTTGCAATGCTTTGTCCAGGATCCTGGAAAAGCTAAGTTATGCTGCAATAACAAATAGCCCCCACAGCTCCATGAATTCAAGCAACAAGTATGTGTTTACAGTGCCTGCTACGTGTCCATCCTATATCACTAGAGACTGTTTCATATAGTAGTGGTTCTACCCATCCAGATAGACTGAATCACCATTATTTGGAACATTGCCAGGCATCACCCCAGGGTGAGAAAAATCTCTGAAGCCTGTTACCTGGAAGTGTACCCAAAACATCTGCTCAAACTCATTGAAAACTATGAGACTTCATATGCCCACAAAGGAAAGATAGGAATGTTTAAAGAAAAGGTCTAATGACTACCAAGCCTTCATGTTCACGGGTGATTGAAACCACTCCTCCTTAATAGTAAGACAATTTTTCGCCACAGTTAGCTAGGACAAACTTTTTTCTCATGGCCTGCACCTCATCATCCCTCCAACAATAATAACTACTGGGGCAGCAGAGGGAGAGGGGTTGGGAATTGAGGAGAAATAATTCAAATGATGCATGTTGGAGGGCACCATGTACAATATAATTCAGTTGTGCTAGTATCACTTTGTTTGCTGCACCAAGTTGTGAATGAGATAGTCCTTTCCTAGAGATCCTACCCCAAGTTGGTATAATGACCTGAGCAAGTATTTTTAAGGTAAATAATGACAATAATGATGATAAGTGTGAAAAGTGGTTTATTTCATTTTTCCTAAAGTCAATGTCGATGAGAAGGAAGAAGAGGTTTCCACATAAGCAAAAAATTAGAGGAAGCGAGGTGAGGTACTCAGGGCTGGAATGCAGAGACTTGAGGACATGGTCATTTCTCTTTTGATTGAAGATGAGGCAGGAAATGGGGGTGAGAGTGTTTATACTGCTTCCTCGTAACAGTAAAGAAAGATAAAAATAAATATATATACATGCATTACTGGAAGCGGTGAGCAGAATACTCTAATGAAGACAAACTGATTGCCCATGAAGAATAAGAGTCCTCTTATGTTTGCATTTATTTTCTACTAAAATAGACTGGATTTTGATCATCTAGAAAGGCATAGAGCAGGCAGAATTATGTGTAAAAACTGCCTGCATTTAGGAACTTGATTAATGGATCTCTAAGTCTTAAAAACAAAACCCTAAGGTCTTGTAGTGTTGAGAAGAGGAGTTTTAAGTCATAGTGACTCAGATGCCTCTATCTCTCCTTCCTGTACATCTCTGTTTAGTGGGTGGTTTTGAAACATAAAGTAGTCAGTATATGAAAGACATCTGATATATCTTCTTGCTTGTCAAACGTCAAAACACAGCAGTAAGTTATTCCGTTTTTCTTTGTTCTCCTAAAGTAACTTGGTCTGAGTCACACATTCAAGGAAAATCACTACTTGCTCTGGCTTTGTCCAGGACAAGCCCTTATTAGTAAATTGAAACTCAATCCAAGACCATCAAAGTGGTACTTCAATGAGTCTGCAAGAACCACCATGTTACTAGGTTTGAGATGCCAGATCTCAATAATCAGTAATGCAGATACAGCTTAGATCACAATGCCTAAGTCCTTTTAAATACGTGGAAAGCCTTCCCAAGAAGGATGGGTACAAACAAGCCCAGACTGCAAAGACTACAATAAATAGCCAACTTTTCAATGCCCAGATACAGACAAACACCCACAAGTATCAAAACCATCCATGAAAACATAATATCACCAAATGAACCAAATAAGTCACTAGGGACCAATCCTGGAAAAACAGAGATATGTTAATTTTCAGACAGAGCATTCAAAATAGCTGTGTTGAGGAAACTCAAAGAAATTCAACATAATTCAGAGAAGGAATTGGAAATTTTACCAGTTAAATTCAACAAAGAGGTTGAAATAATTTAAAAGAATCAAGCAAGAATCAAGAATTTCTCCAAGCAGAAATTCTGGAGTTGAAAAAATGCATTTGACATATGGAAAAAGTGTCAGTCTTTTAACAGCAGAATTGATCAAGCAGAAGAAAGAATTGGTGAACTTGAAGACAGATTATTTGAAAATATACAATCAGAGAAGACAAAAGAGAAAATAATAAAAAAGTGAAGTATGCCTACAGGATCTAGAAAATAGCCTCAAAAAGGCAAATCTTAAAGTTCTGGGCCTTAAAGAGGTGATAGAGAAAGAGATAGCAGTAGAAAGTTTATTCAAAAGGATAATAACAGATAACTTCCCAAACCTAGAGAAAGATATCAATATTCAAGTGCAAGAAGGTTACAAAACACCAAGCAGCTTTAACCCAAAGAAGATTACCTCAAGACATTTAATAATCAAATTTCTAAAGGTCAATGATAAAAAAGGATCATAAAAACAGCAAGAGAAAAGAAACAAACTTGCAAGTATGGCTTAACGTATGCAAATCAATCAATGCGTTACACCATATCAACAAAACAAAGAATAGAACTATGTAATCATTCAATTCCTGCTGAAATAGTATTTGGTATAATTAGTATCCTTCATGATAAATACCCTCAAAAAACTAGGTATAGAAGAAACATACCTCAACATAATAAAAGGCATATATAACAGACCCACAGTTAGTATCACACTGAATGGGGGGAAATTGAAAGCCTTTTCTCTAAGATCTAGAACATGACAAAGATGCCCACTTTCACCACTGTTATTCAACATAGTAATGGAAGTCCCAGCTAGAGCAATCAGAAAAGAGAAAGAAATAAAGGGCATCAAAATGGAAAAAGAAGTCAAATTTTCCTTGTTTGCATATAATATGATTTTATATTTGGAAAATCCTAAATGCTCCACCAAAAAAAAAAAAAAAAATGATAAATCCTGTGAAGTTGCAGTATACAAAATTAACATAAAAAAGCAGTAACTTTTTTATATGCCAACAGCCAACAACCTGGAAACAAAATAAAGGAAGTAATTCTATTTACAGTAGCTACAAGTAAAATAAAATACCTAGGAATTAACTGAAGAGGTGAAAAATGTTGATAAGGTTTGGCCGTGTCCCCACCCAAATCTCATCTTAAATTGTAGTTTCCATAACCCCACATGTGGTGGGAGGGACCCAGTAGCAGGTAACCGAATCATGGGGGTGGTTTCCTTCATGTTATTCCCATGATAGTGAGTAAGCTATCATGATGTCTGATGGTTTAATAAGGGGCTTCCCCTTCCACTCTCCTCTCATAGCTCTCTCTCTCTGCTGCCTTGTGAAGAAGAATGTGTTTGCTTCCCCCTCTGCCATGGTTGTAAGTTTCCTAAGGCCCTCCCAGCCGTACACAACTGTGCATGTGGTACATATACACAATGGAGTACTATTCAGCCATAAAAAGAATAAAATTCTGTCATCTGCAAGAACATGGATGAAGATGGATGTCTCTATGTTAAGTTAATAAGCCATGCACAGAAAGATAAATATCACATATTCTTATTTATCCATAGGGACTAAACATTAAAACAATTGAACTCATGGAGATAGAGGGTAAAAGGAAGATTACCAAAGGCTGGGAAGGGTAGTGGTTGGGGTAAGGAGGAATGGTTAATGAGTAAAAAAAAAATAGAAAGAATAAACAAGACCTAGTATTTGTTAGCACAACAGGGTGACTATAGTAAAAGATAATTATTCATTTTAAAATAACTAAGAATATAACAGGATGTGTTTGTAACACAAAAGATAAATGCTTGAGGTGATGAATATCCTATTTCCCATGATGTGATTTTCAAACATTGCAAATATCTCATGTAACCCATAAATATATATATCTACTATGCACCCACAAAAATTAAAAATTAAAAAAAGGAACTCAAATAAGATGGAAAATACGCTTCTTATCTTCCTAGAAGATGAGGTTTCTCTCTTCTGAGTACTCATATTAGTTTTATAGGACGGTTGTAACAAATTATCACAAACTGGGTGGCTTAAAACAACAGAAATTCATTCTCTAATAGTTTTGGAGACCAGAAGTCCAAAATCAAGACTTCAATAAGGTCATATTCCCTCCAAAATCTCTAGGAAATAATCCTTCCTTGCCTCTTCCAGATTCCTGCATCTCCAAACATTTCTTGACTTCAGAAAGCATCACTATACTCTGCTTCTGGCTTCACGTGGCCATCTCTCTGCTTTGGTGTGTCTCAAATCTCCCTCTGCCTTTGTCTTATAAGGATACCTATTATTGACTTTAGGGCCCACCCTAAATACAGGATGTTCTCATCTCAAAATTCTTGATTACTTCTACAAGGACCCCATTTCAAAACAAGGTCAAATTCACAAGTTCTTTTTGGGGGCCACTATTCAACCCATTATAGTACACATTTAGGAATTGTCAGGCAGCATAGATGACTGGACTTCTTCAATGGGGTATTGCTCTTCTGGGAGGTATATATGACATTTAGGAAAGGGGAAAATTTCTTCAAGTCTTCCTCACTCACCCAATTAGGATGACTTAGATTTGTAAAATCTCAATCCATTTCTAAGACAGTACCAAGTGGCCTCTGGAACTTGGGAGAAAATTATTCCTTATCACTAGCCAGGCTCTCAGGATTCAGTTGTTCCAGTTTTTGATTAAAAAAAAAAAAGTCTTTCCTGAGCACCCATTATGCATCCTGGGCTAGAAACTGGGTTGACAAGGAGGTGGATGGGACAAGGCATTGGTCACTTTCTCCCAGCCATAAGCCCTCCTTTGGAGACCTGCTCTCTTCTGCCTTCTAGGGAAAAGTGAATTTAAGCAACACAGGTTTTGTCTCCCTGGCCTCAGCTGATTGGATCAGGAATGGATATCTGGCCATGTATCAGCCCCACAGTGAATTAGGAGATGAAGCCCCTGTTTTCTTGTTCACTGTGGAGCAGTCTTATTCACGATGTGCCCAGTGACAACTTGCAAAAAGGATGAGGCAGGTGCTTAAAGGGAAGAGATGCCACATATCTCCAAGGAAAACAAGCCTTCTCACTGCCTAGAACGCCCCATGATCTTTTTTGCAGTTAAGTTCCAAATGTCCTCAGGTTTCTGTCCTCTGCAGCCAGCTGATCTCTGGCTATGCCCTCAGTGAGGGAAAGGGACAGACCTCTGGCACAGCTAGGCAAATGGTGCAGTACTTGGTTTAATAAGGATGTGAGCAAAGTGCTACAGAAGTTGGGAAGAGGGTGGCAGACTGGCTCTGTAAGCAAAGAAAGTGTTGCCAAATAGGCAATACCCATTTGGAAAAATGAGTAGAAATTTTGGAGGCTGAATTTTATTAATTAGTGTGCTCATGAAGTAGTTCACACCTTGAATTCACATCTGGGCAATACCTGAGACCACTTCAGACCAGTTGAATAGAAGTTGTAAATTCCACATGTGTAGCTTTTTAATCCCCCCAGGTGATTCTGATGTACAGAGAAGGCTGAGAATCACTGACTTAATGAGTTACATAATAAACCCACTTCCTTCTAGAGCAGTTGCATCCTCAATTCTCTTTAGACTAATAGCTACAGTGTCATCATCCTGAAGCCAACCATGTGCCACGCAACTACATTCACAGCCCCCTAGTGCCCCACTGTGTGAAACATGCAGCAGGTGCTAAAGAAATATGTTTAGCTTTTACGCAGCACTAGCAGACATAGGCTTCTGATACTCATTGGGCTGCATCACTTGTTTTTGTCAACAGCTTCCTCTCCTTCATTGATGACATCAATGACTCCTAAAAATCATCCTGTACTTTATGTTTGCATCTGCCTATCTTCTGCCACTACATTAGTTCAGGCCTCTCACATGACATTTTTATTACGGATCTCTCTGCATCCAATGAGTCATTTTGTTATCATCATAATCATGATCATCATATACTCACATACCTCAAACAGATGCATGCACCCCACTATCTATCCATTATCTAGCCACCGAGTCATCCATCATCCACTTATCCATCCATCACCCAACCATTCACCCACTCACTTATCCATTCATCCATCCATTCCTCCACACACTCATCCATCCACCTGTTCATTCATTCATCCATCCCTCCATACACTCAACTACTCACCTGTCCATTTATTCATCCCTGTCTCCACACACTCTACCATACAACCCATCCCTTCATGGGTAGAGTGAGGGTTCAATTTAGAGGTAGAGATGAGGAGATGGAGGCTGGATTTAGGGAGGATGTGAAAGCACTCCAGCAGAGTTAATACCTAGTGGACATGTGAATGGTCAAGACAAGTGTGTCCACCTAAGAGTGGCTTCATAGTCACCCCTGGCAGAGGGAACAGACTGATCATCTGCCTGAGGAAGTGAAACAGAATGATCCATGCAGAGAACTTCCCAGGGGACCCATGCAGGCTTGGGTGTTGGGAGAGGGGGAGAGATGGTGTGCTGAGGGTCAGGAGGGAGGACCTTAGAACCTGGAATAAAGTGTTCAATTTATATGGAAGACTATGGAGATCGCAGGAGGATTTTATGCAGGGATGGGAGTGACATGAAGTGCATATCTCCAACCATGGAGAAGTCCCTCTCATCTTTTCCAGTTTCTGTGCATGGCCCTTGGCTTGTTTAGGAAGTTGGCTCTGGGTAGATGTGCCAACACAAAATTAGGGAGTACTAGAAACCACTCTCTCAAGGAATAAATAACTCCAAAAGTGTGAGCAGTCAGTTTAGAAAACCTCACCCTGCTGCCATCATTCCTGCCTTACAACCAGTTCCTGCCTTTCCCCACTATAACTAAGAAGGACTTTAGACAGATTTTATGCTGAAGATTCAACACTTGGCTTGGGCTCTCCTTCCTCCACTCTCTCTCTTTCGCCTGCCCTCCCTCCTCTCACCCAGCAAGACAGGGCCTGGGCATTCTCCCTGACCAGTTACTGGGAGGGACACTGAGAAGAACAGCAGCCCACCACCCTTCAAGGGCAGCAGGCAGCATATGAGAAGGTCCAGAGGTGCAAGAGAGCCTGGTCCACTGAGGTTTGAGCTGAAGCCTTTTCTCCTAGGGGTCTGGTGGCAGGGTTAGAGGGAATGAGGTAGGAGAGGCCCCTGGAGGGTAAAAGGACACTGGAGTTTCAACTTTATTCTGAAGAGGAAGAAGAGAGAAGAAAAGAACAATAAAGTATTTTAAACTTATAAGGGAGATATTAAATTTATATTTTTAAATTTTTAATCACAGATATAAAAATTACTGGAGATGGAAAAGTATATGTATATATAGATGTGAATATGTACATCATATATATGATAGCTAAATATAAATAATGGATAGATAATGGATGGATGGATAGATAAATACACAGATACAGCGATAATTGATGAATGGATGGACAGATGGATGGATGGGTGAGATAATGAGTGAATGGATGGATAGATGATAGATAATGGATGGATAGATGATAGATAGATACATACATAGATAGATAATGGATGTATAGATGATAGATAGAAACACAGATATATACATATTGAATGAATGATTGGACAGATGAGTGGATAGGTAAGGTAGATAGATAGATAGATAGATAGATAGATAGATAGATAGAGAGATAGATAGATAAAATTTTGGAATTCATCAAGTCTTCCTAACATAAGAACTTGAATTTATGAAGTCTATTCACAAGAACTAGAAACCAGAGAGAAAATGTTGGCATATTTGTTTGTTTATTTTGTTTTTTGTTTGTTTGTTTGTTCTTGAGATTAGATGGAGTCTTGCTCTGTCACCCAGGCTGGAGTGCAGTGACACAATCTCAGCTCACTGCAACCTCTACCTCCAGGTTCAAGCAATTCTCCTGCCTCAACCTCCTGAATAGCTAGGATTACAGGCAACCATGACCATGCCCAGCTAATTTTTGTATTTTTCATAGAGATGGGGTTTTGCCATGTTGGCCAGGCTAGTCTCAAACTCTTGACCTCAGGTGATCCTCCCGCCTTGGCCTCCCAAAGTACTGGGATTACAGGTGTGAGCCCCTGTGGCCAACTGGTGTATTTTAATATATAAAATTATACATATTTTATGTCAGAAGATACAATGCAAAAAGTTAGAAGACAACAGATTGAGAGACCATATTTGCCACTTTTGCACAAAAATTATTAACAATTTTAAAAGCAGCTCAATAGGAAAATTAGTCAATTCATAGAAAGATGAAATATTAATTCACTGCAAATAGCCACTAGTAGTCAGAGAAATGCAAATAAAAGCAATAAGGTGGCATTGTTCAACCATCATAATGTTTTTCTTTAAAAAATTGATGATGGTTCTAAGCTGAGAAGCTGGAAGAACGTCTGCTCTTTCACAGACAGCTACTCAGAGTGTTTCATAAACTGATACAGTCTTTTTAGTGAGCAATTTGGCAATTACTTTTCAATTGTTTTTTTTTCTTTTTTCCTTTCCTTTCCTTTATTTATTAATTAATTTATTTATTTACTTTTGACACAGAATCTCACTCTGTCGCCCAGGCTGGAGTGCAGTGGTATGATCTCAGCTCACTGCAACCTCTGCCTCCCAGGTTCAAGCAATTCTCCTGTCTCAGCCTCCCGAGTAGCTGGGACTACAGGCGTGCACCATCATGCCCAGCTCATTTTTGTATTGTTAGTAGAAATGGGGTTTCACCATGTTGCCCAGGCTTGTCTCAAACTCATGAGCTCAAGTGACCTGCCTGCCTCAGCCTCCCAAAGTGCTGGGATTACAGGCATGAGCCACTGCTCCTGGCCCTCAAAATGTTTTAAAAGTCCACACTGTTTGTCCCAATGATATGCACGCAGCAGTTTGTTTTTACTGCGTCATAACCTGTAATAGCAACAATGGCTCCAAAACTAATCCCCATGTCCTTCAATAGATTATGTGTGTGTGTGTGTGTGTGTGTGTGTATATATATATATATATATATATATATATATATATATATATCCCAAATCTTTGAACTCTAAATTAGCAAAGAGCTCTTGAGCATAAGTTATGGCAGTTATATGAACAGCTGTAGAATTATGTCATTGATAGATAAAAAGAATAAGCCCCAGAAATAGATGAATGCTCCCATTCATGTAAACAAACAAGTAAAAATTTGTCTGCATACAAAGTAGAAGATGGCCTGGGAGTCTTGCGGGAGTGGGCAAGCTTGTGTGAGGGTGCTATATTTTTTTTGGCAAAAAGGGAGTTTATATAATTGGCTTTATATTATTTATTTTTAGACATTTTACAATGAGAATGTGTCTATTATTTACTCATGTGATTTGAAAGAAAAACCAACTAACAAAATGTGGTGTAAGAAATAGATCACTCTGGTAGCAGTGCCCAGGATGGATTGAAGTGATCGGAAGGCCTGGAAAGGGGATCTTGCAGGGATCTGGGCAGCATGTGAAGACCTGTGAGCTGATCCACAATGGCCGTAGTTGAATTTGGGGAACAGGAGCTGAAGTCATGAAATGCTGAGAGGGTAGAATCCAGACCATTGGGTTATCCGACAGGGCAGGAACTTGTCAACAAAGATGCTCAGAATATATTGGGTAAGATACCAGGTGATGGTGGTGCCATTAACAATGATAAGTAATGCAGAATGTGGAAAAGCAATTGAATCCCGAGGAAGCATGCACTTGGTGTTATTTTATGTAGGGGTTATACTTAGGAAACTGCAAAGAACAACTGGGATCAAGGCTATAGGAGTTGGGTGAGCTGTAGACCAATTTTATTTGGCCTCTAACTTAGGTTTAATAAATGGACTTAAACCATCCCACTTTGGAGCCAAAATGGAGATTAATTGTCTCAGCTCCTGACCTGTGGACCCTGAACTTCTACAGCTTCTCAGGACAGCAAGCTCTTAACTGCCAATGTTTCAAAAATCTGAGAGGAAAATGTCTGTTTGTCTGGAATGAGGCTGCCCTCACTAACTACAGAGATTTTCTTTGCTTTTGCCTGGATTCATCCCACTTGTATTCCTCACCTGGTGAAGCTTAAAAGCTCTGATTGATAAAATGGAAAGACAAACCAACGACCAAACATCTATGGAAAACAACAGTCTACAAAGAATGTGCTTCACCCCATACCTTCGGGGTTGGATAATAGCGTGAGCCTCAGTACAGGGAACTTTTTCTTTTTCTTTTCATCGATTTAGGTGGTACAAAGTGCAGTTTTATTAGATGGATATATTGCATAGTGGTGAATTTTGGGCTTCTATTTTAGTGTAAATGTCATCTGAATCGAATAGACTTTACCCAACAGGAAATTTCAAGCTTGCTTTTGCAGGCTGGCCTGGCGACTTGTTGAGACTCAGTTTTCTCCCCTTCCTTTATGTTCATTTCCTCTTTCACAGTATAATGTATGATCAACCTCAATTTTGATATCAGCCCCCAGTCCATACCCCACTTTTAGTGTATAATTTTTTTCCTCTGGAAGGGGAGTTGATTGATGGTAGCAGAAAGGACACTGGAAAGAAAAATAAATTAAATTTATGCAAGTGGGGAGGGGGTTGCCTCATTAACAGAATAATTGAGCTGTTAGCTAATTTTACTTGTTATCCGCAGAAAAGGGCAAAAATCTTCTAAGCAATGACTCCTCTTCTTCCAAATGATTAAAAGAACAACAAAAAGATTTGTATCTTGGATGTATCTAGTAATTATATGCCTGACACTTTTTTTTTCTTTGTAAACATCATACAAGGCAGATGTATTTTTAAAATCCTGGCAATTTACACAACACTATGAAAGTGTCAGTTCTTCCTAATCAGAATTTTCTGCACTTCCCCCACTCTTATTAGCAGTAATTTCTGCTAATTGATAATTATTGCCTTTTTTTCTTAGTCAAATCTCGTTGTTAGTGTAACAACACTTCCTGCTTTGCTAAGATCAATATTTGTAACTATCACTGTAAATAATGCATAAAATTAATAATAAAAGTATGCTTGCTCAATACAGTGCAAACTTCATCTATTTTCATATCAGCTCCTTAATTTAGAGTTATTTTATTTTATTTTTTTTGCCACAGACTGGTAATAATAAGTAGCTCTTAAGCCCAAATAATGAAACTCTTCATATGTAAACGTCATTAGGACTTTGACTAAAGCCTGTTGACACAAACTAGGCTATCACTGGGCTCTGGAAGTCCCTCTGGAGAATAAATCTCACTCCCTTTTCAAGTCCCTTGCAATAAATCTTAATTGATTTATAAAAGAGAATTGTTCTTTACATCCTTGAACTGGACTGGACTGAGCCCTGAGTGATCACTCTTGGATTTCTGTAGCTAATTTCCAGGAAATTGATGATGTCTTTATGGCAGTAAAGGGCAAGGCCAGCCAGCTGCTGGGTCCTAGCCCAAAATGAGCCCTTATCAAGGACCACCGGCAAATGGCCCCGGAAAAGATTCAGAGAAGATAACATCATCATCCCATTCTCCCAGAATATGTCCTCCAACCCAAACCTACCACTCACCTCACCCCTATGCTTAATTAAGTCGAAAATACTCATTCTCTGTAAGACGAAGACCATGATCTTTAAAAATTATTTATGTATCTATTTATACATGATTCAAGAGTGTGAGAATACAGGAAGGTATTGCAGATAGAAGAAAGAAGAAGTCACAAAGCCAAAGCTTTCCCCTCATTTTAGAGACAGGGTAGTCCTTTGAGAAACACTTTCCATGTGACAGGATCCTTGTAAGAAATGATACTCACTCTTCGCTGTAATGGAGAGAGCAGGGGAACTGGGAGCACAGGTTCCTGTTTCTAAAGCTTTGTGCATTAGCTCTGAGACTGACCAAGACCATATTCTTTTGGGGCCTCGGTTTTCTCAATTGTAAAATGAAGAAATTCAGAGCATAAGAAGTCTCTAAGCCTCTTCCTATTCTTTTACTCCACTCTAAGTCAATGTCCATTGACTCCACTATTTATTTATTTGCTTGCTTTAAGGATGAAAGCAGACACAGCCAAAAGATTGATTTCATAAACTGCAAGGGGACAAAAAGAGGTTAAGAGCTCAGCCACTGGTCGGAGGCCACTGCAGGCCAAGGAAAGGTTCTACCCTCATAATAGAGAGCAAGCAGTGCTGGAGGTAAGCTCATGTGTCACCAGGTGTTAGCCAACATGGCCACTCTCGCTTTTTAAGTAGGAGTAAAAGTATCAAGAAAAAGGAAAGACTGTTCTCAGAATAGAGAAAAGATTGGCTTCCAAATAAAAAAAACAAACTAGAGTGACATGAAAAGTGACAGGTTTTCTGCATAGAAAAAGAAAGAAAAGAAGAGATTACCTCCCTGAAATCAAAATAACCCCACAACTAAGACAAGCAATGGGATGAGATGGCAATAGAAATGGGACAGACAACAAACCACCTGGAAGCAACGCAAAGCAGGATGACAAAGATCAAACTCACACTGGAGCCAGAAAAGGACTATGGAAGGCAGAAGAGGCACAATCAGCCCTGTAGAAAGTAAGCCACTGTTGAGGACTAGGAATTTTACATTCCTCATCAGAATGTAAAGGTAATGAAAAATGATATGGCAGATCACAGTCTTAGGATACAAAGATGAATTTTAGTCTATGGTCCATTCAGTGAGTATTTATTGATAACCTATCATATAGCAAGGACTGTTTTTGTATCTTAGCTATATAAGCGAACAACACAGACAAAAATTCATGAGCTCTTGGAGCTGACAGTCTAAGTCAGTAGTCCCCGACCTTTTTGACACCAATGACCAGTTTCATGGATGACAATTTTTCCACAGACAGCAGGTGGGGTGGTGGGGGATGGTTTCAGGATGAAAGTCTTCCACCTCAGATCATCAGGCATTAATTAGATTTTCATAAGGAGCAAGCATGCAACCTAGATCCTTTGAACCCTTGCATGTGCAGTTCACAAGAGGGTTTGTGCTCCTATGAGAATCTAATGCTCCTGACCTGACAGGAGGTGGAGCTCAGGCAGTAATGCTCACTTACCTGCCACTCACCTCCTGCTGTGCGGCCCAGTTCCCAACAGGCCATGGACTGGTTCCAATCTGTGGCCCAGGGATTGGGGACCTCTGCTTTAAGTGACAGGTCTCATTGAGTGCAAATATTATCAGGCAGAAATAATCAAAGGAACACCCATATTTTAGCTACCATGTTTCCATTCTTTATATGTAAGGTTCAGCCACCCATTCTTTGAGGTAGATTATGTTCATATATAACTCGGAGCCCTATGCCCAAAAAAGGGCACCAACTTGCCATAAATGGCCAAGCAGAAAAGGGAAGAGAAGAAACTCCCAACTTGTCACTGAACAAGCTGCTGTTTCTTAGTTTGCTGTCTTGATCTCTATTGAACTCTAGGCTCTGTGAGAGCTAAAACCTGTCCCAGTAACCACTGTGCAGGATATTTTCCTGAACCACATAGGAAACCAATAACTATTTGTGGAATGTTAAGTTAATGAACAAAACCTGAAGTTGTTCTACTGCAGTTTATGCTTTCAAACACTTAGCTATACTTATTTTACAACGGAACAAAAGGTTCCGATGTTTATGAAAGACCTGAGTATAGAAATTAAAGTTTAGTCTATGATTATGGAAAGCCAATAAAAATAAATTTAGGTCTAAAGATGTCCTGACAAAAGCATCAAAAGGATGTAAACAAAGACGGTGTATACCTGGTTAATAAATAATTTGCCTAAAAATAAATGCAGATCATGCTAACTGGGACTTTAGCTTTCCAACACTGAATGTTTTGATTGTTATATAAATACTTTCAAGAAAAACAGTTCTGATCTTTAACTGTAAAACTGGCAAGGCTTTACTCCATCTAGGGAGGCAATCAAAAGACATCATCATCTATTTAAACACTCAAAAAAGGGTGCCACGCACTCCCTCTTCTTGGAAAAAAAAAAAAAACTGATGAAGAAGAACCCAAGTTTCCTAAAAGATGAATTCAATTTAAATAATTCAAGAATGAAAAAAAAAAAAAAAAAAGAAAACATTGGTCACGAATGTGGACAAGACATGAGTCACAGTCCAGTTCCTGATCTTTTGAAATAAAGAGCTCTGCCTTGTCAAGGTTAAGTTTCAGTTCTGCCATGCACCATATTGGTGTCTAGGACAGGGGAAACTTCTGAGACCTTCATGGAGTGATTTGGCACCACGGACAGCGTGATCTCCATGACAGATGAGTCCTAGTCGTTTCTACTGTTCCCCACGGGGGTCAGGGTCTCTGACCCCTTGTTCATTTCTTCCCTTGTTGCTCTTTCCCTGAAGCACTCAGCTAATTTTGTGCTCCAGTGATCAAGATAGGCATGTGTCACTTTCTGCAGAAAAGAATAAAAGCTGATGAGTATTTGACATTCCCAGAAGCTGGCAACTAAATCTTGGCTCAGGTGACAGCCCACTAAGCACATGCTCTGAGTACATCTGCATTTAGACCTTGGGTATGTCCCACAAGATGCACATGTATGTTTCTTTCCATACTTTAATAGCAAGAATCTTTGCTTTGAAATCCAGTGAATTCATCTAAAATAAAAAGGAAAAAAAATGTTCTGAAAACATTTTAAGAGTCTTTCCAAGAAAGAATCCACATTTGAGAGCTTTGTCTTATTTAGGGACTCTACAGACAGACAAACTGTATGAGCTAAGATAAATAATTCATCGAATCAATACACCTACATAATGAATCGGCCTGGGCAAATTTCTAATACAGACAGACGGATCAACTGACATTTTTCTTGTTGTATTGTTGTGTATCAAAATTCTCTAACCACTCATTCACCTTGTAAATGTAAATTTGATGATTAACTGAAGCATATGATTTGGATTATCCAAAGACAAGAGCTATGGTCTCTAGACACCACAGGCCTCTGTTGAGGTCATTCCTGGATCCATTGCCTTCAAGATGCCAGGTGAGGTCACCTACGGTTAAGCCTAGCATCATCCATACCTGCAACCTCCCTTCACCTGCTAAGGAACAGACATATTAAACTGTACACACACCCCTTGCCTGAGGCACCATGTTCCTGGATGCCTTCAGATCTTTGTCTATATTTCCCTTTGTCTGAAATGTCACTCCTACCCTTCTATTATTTTGGGGAACTTCTGTCCAGTCTTCAAGATCTAGCCCTATTCTCCCATTCTATGGAGGAGGAAATGAAAACCAGAGAACCTCAGCTATTTGCCAGAGATCAGGTGGTGCTAGTGTCAGGACTTGGCTCTGTGGCTTTCAAATCTATGTCTGTGTCTGCCTATGGGTGGAGAAAGAGAGGCTGTGTACGCTGTTTGGATCACAATATTATTTATTTATGGTGTGTGGTTATGTATAAATTGTGTGGAACTTTATATTTTTCGAGTTTCTTAATATGGAAGCTGACATCACTGATTTTAAGCCTTTCTTCTTTTTTAATACAGGCATTTTTGTGCCAAAAACTCCCCTCAAAGAACTGTTAGCTCCATCCCACCCATTTTTTTTAATGCTGTGTTCTAATTTTCATTCAGTTCACAGTACCTTCTAATTCCTGTCTTTTATTTCTTCTGCTTGAAGTTCACTGGGATTCTTGGATCTTTAGAATATGGTTTTCATTAAATTTTAAAAATTACAGTCTTTAGTTCTTCAGGTATTTTTCTGCTTTGCCCTCCTTCAAAGACTCCAATTACATGTATTTTAGGCCATTTGAAGCTGTTCCACATGTTGCTGACCCTCTGTTCAATTTTTTCCTTAACCTGCTTTCTCTCTGTATTTCATTTTCAATAGTTCCTATTATTATATCTTCGAGTACATTAATCTTTTCTTCTGCAATGCCTAATTTGTTGTTAATCTTTAGCAATGCACTTTTCGTCTCAGACATTATAATTTTTATCTCTAGAAGTTTGATTTGGGTTTTTCTTTTTATATGTCCCATGTCTCAACATACTCATTTCTTGAGGTCATTAAACACATGAAATTCAGGGAAAAGTTTTAAGAATTGTTTTAATAGCCTTGTCTACTAATTCTATCAGTTATGTCATTTCTGAGTCAGTTTCAGTTGATTTATTTTTCTCCTCATTATGAGTCATATTTTCTTTCTCCTTTGAATGCCTGGTGATTTTTTATTAGATGTTGAAGACAGTGAATTTTACTTTGTTGAATGTTGGATATTTTATATTCTCATAAATATTATTAAGTGTTATTCTGGGATATAGTTATGTTACTTGGAAATAGTTTGATTCTTTTGGATCTTACTTTTAGTATTTATTAGACAAGACCAGAGCAACATTTAGACTTCATCCTACTGCTAAGATAAAGCACATCTGAGCGTTCTACCTGCTCTCCCATGAGTTATTAGGTTTTTGATTCTGGCTGGTGGGAACAGGAACTCTTCCCAGGCCTGTGGGAGCTCTGGGGATTACTTCCTTTGACTTTTTTTTTTTTTTTCTTTTTTGTGGTTCTTTCCCAGCGTTGGGCACATTCCACACATACATGTGCTGGTCAGCACTTAGTTAAAGAGTTGAAGGGAACCCAGAAATTCTCAAAATTTCTCCCAGCACCTCTCTCTGTTCTCTGATACCCTATCCTGTGAGCTCTAGTAACCTTAGCCTCCTAGCAATATCCCCTCAACTCAGGGAGACTACAAAGCCCTCTAAGCAATCAGCTTGGATAACTTGAGACTATGCTCAATTTGTTTTTCATCTCTCAGGGATCCCTGTTCTTCTTGAAAATGTCCCATTGTTTAAAATGATTCCTCAAGTATTTTTAAATTATTTTTATGCATTTTATTTTTGAGGCTACTTTTAGTTTCTTTTACTTCTCCTGGTCATAAACTAAAGTTGGGTTTAGGTTTCTATCATAACATGACTCATATAATTAGAATCTTTGAGAAGAATCTAGAGAAATATGTTTTGCTGAAAAAAAATGCTGATTTATTTATTTATTTTTTTTTTGAGATCACGGCCAATTTTATCCTTAGTTTAGGGAGCAGTTCTCTTTGAACCAACTCACTTTCTTCAATTGCCCTTTCTAAGAGTCTGATAAACTGGGTTCATGCCTTAGATTGCTTTTAACAAGCTATATTATATCAGACTAATGACCTGAACTCTCTTGCCTCAATATCTTTAAATCTGAAAAATGGGAATTTTATCGCCTACATAATGTACTAATAATTAGTAAATTAGAAACAAACAAACATATATACATATATGTGCAATGGCTTCCTCGTAGGAAATGTCTGGAAAACTATTGTCTAATTAAAGGCAATTGAAAGCTGTACACTTTAAAATGTTACGATTCATTCATTGTCCCAAAGCCAATAACAGCTTTTTTTAATCCATCTGCCTATTTGTTTATTTATTTATTCATCTTCATTTTCATCAAGAGAGACCTGTAAAATGTGTTCCTTTAACAAGGAACTCAGGCTGGGTTTGGTGTCTCAGCCTGTAATCCCAGCACTTTCGGAGGTAGAGGCAGGAGGATCACTTGAGCTCAGGAATTGGAGACCAGCCTGGGCAACATAGAAAAACTTTGCCTCTACAAAAAAAAAAAAAAAAAAAAAAATCAACTTGGCCAGGTGTGGAGTGATGTGTGCCTATGGTCCTATTATAGTCCCAGCTACTTGGGAGGCTGAGGCAGGAGGATCACTTAAACTCAGGAGATTGAGGCTGCGGTGAGCTATGACTGTGCGGCTGTACTCCAGCCTGGGCAACACAGCCAGATCCTATATTAAAAAAAAGAGATAGAGCTCAAATTTGGACTTTATTCTTTTACTTTCTCTAATAACAGCTATACTCTAAAAGATGCAGGAATAAAATATTTATTTGAAATTGAGTGTGTTTGCAGCAGTGTATTTCACATATATATGAGATTGAAGTTTCTCTTACAGGTAAAAATAAGTCCTCAATTAATTGCCTCAGCCCAGGAAGAGGGCATTTTCATTTGGGAACCTGCTGAGAGGTCTGCAGGAGACTCATGATATGCAGCGCCAGCAGCTCCCATAACTTCGCCTGGGTCTCACCAGGCCACGCACACAGAACTGCCCACACACCTCAGTCAAAAGAGCTCTCGCCATCTATCCCACTGGAGAGAGATCATTAAAAATGCAGCCAAGTGTAATGCTCTCACATTCTGCCATTCTGTGCTTTATGTAAAGGAAACTTCCCCTGTACTGGCATTGGTATTTAAGCTTCCAGAGGCTTCCAGCGGCTTCCAGATGATGCTTACAGTGGGCTCACTGACGTAATTTATTTCCCTCCATCTTAGATTGTCAACTCTATCATGACCTGCAACTGAAACCAGAGTGATTTCTCTATGTCCCTGGAATTATGGGAATAAGAAGAAGGAGGCGAAATTCTATTTTTTCTCATCTATGTTATTCAGAATAAAAATAAAATCATTCTTAATTGCCCACTGTAGTAGACATGCGCGGTGTCTGTTAAACTCACAACATCGTCTTAGCTTCTTTTCTTACTCACAGAAAGGGGCCCTGAGAATCCACACAATGGCACAGTGGGTTGGGCTAGATGTAAACAGGTGATATAAGATGGGCCAAATGAATTTGGAATTGAAATTTTATAAGCTATATTTCATAGTAGGTTAGCTCCCAGCAAACACAAAGTCTATGGGGGAGTCTTTAAAAATTCAGAGCTATGATTTCAGTGTCTTTCACCTCGTAGATACTGTATATAGTAAAGCAGATCTGCAGATAGAAAAGAAGAAGTTGGATTGAACTGAGAGAAGTTGAAATATGACATCTTTGTGCATTTCCTAGACTGTATAGATGCTGTCCCATGCCTTGTTCAAGGACTGGGTGTATTACCCCAGTGGAAGACATGACTGTGGGCTTCAACTAAATGCCCAGTTTTTATTTTATCCAATTTGTTTTGGTTTCTTCTGCTTGCAAACAAAGTGCTCTAACTCAATGGGGTGACATATAGTAAAAAAATTGCTGAGCTATACCTAAACAGACAGAAAAGGTGCCAAGAAATGAGGGAACACCTAACGTGATTCCTAACAACTTTGCTGAAAAACTTATTTAATCCTAAAAGGGTCTCATGGTAAGGATATTTAGTAGGTCCTTTTTACAGAAGGATAAACTGAGGCTCAGCTAATTCAAGTGATTTGGACAAGATGCTAAAGTCAGTAAGTTTTGGAATCAAAGTGTGAAGCCAGGTCAACTATATTGAAAGTATGAGGATGCCACACTAGTCCTTAAAGAATGACAAAGGTGGTATATGACATGTCACGTCTGAATTCCTTGACTACAGGTTGGTTTATTTACAGATCATAGGGACATACTTATCAAATTAACTGAAATAGAGCCTGAAATGTCATTCAAATGCAGTCAGATAGGGATACAGTCCAGCAAGGACAACCTATGTTCTCCATGTATAATAAGCAATTAAATGAGTTTCTTGTTAATTCAATCAGAGAGGGACAGAAATATTGAAATTCCTTGGATCAAGAAAAAAAAAGTTTTTAATGCAGTTGACCTTTGTCATTTTCATGTAAGAGAAACTGATGATGAGCCACTGAACTAGCAAATTAGCTCTTCAGAGATGTTGACAGGGTCAGTAAGAAATGAAACCCATCTTAACAAAGATGAGCTGGTTTCTTAGGTGTATGACCCAGTTTTGCAGGCTTTAGCCATGAAGAAGTTCAGAGGAACTTTGAAAACAGACTTTAAAAATGTACAGATTTTATTTGTTTTATCTTGAGACATTCGACTCTTTTCTTCCCATTCGAAAACCAGTGAAATGTAAAGGATGGGATTGCCAAATCTTATGAAAGGTGCAGTTGTTTTATCTTTTTCAACTGTTTAAAAGCAAACATTTGAAACGCTGGGCATCTAAACTACATCAGGCACTGTTACTTCCATAGATCATTTACTCCTCACATGAGAAGAGGAAACATTCTTTCCAATTTGCAAATACACAATTTAGAAACCAAAAATTTTCATAACTTGCTACAATCTCTTTCCCTCATCACCATGTTACAATTTAAGATCACTGTGGAGAATGTGGGGTGCAGAAATAAGGCAAAGGTTAGTTTGAAGATCATCAATTTTATTGTTTATATTTTCTGGGTACAGGCTTGACTATAGTTCCTATACTTTTTTGAGATGGGCATGGACCTCTGACTGAGTTCTAGCCAATGGCTCTAAGCAGAAATGCCTTGTAGCAATTCCTCCCTGGTCTATAAAATACTCCCACTAACAATTTTTCTTGTTTCCCTCATTCCATTGGCCCGATAGAGACAAGTCTGAAAGTCCTGTGTTAAAGGTAGGGTAGTGCAAGATGAAAGGTGCCTGGGTCCCGGAATAACATGGAGAAGAGCCATTCACCAATTGGGAACATTTATTCTGGACCTCAAATGGCAAAACATAAATTGTAGTGTACTTGAATCCTTAAGGCATTTGGGAATTTACTACCGCAATCAGTGTCAACTTAGTAGTATAAAAAGCTAAAGACCATGGGGGTGATAGCTTTGTTGGTAGGATTTTACATTGAAGCATGGTCCTTAAATGTGACAATTGATTTTATTAATATGTGGCAACTTGGCTAGATTCTGGTGCCCAGTTGTTTGATCAAACAGTAGTCTAAATGTTACCATTAAGGCATTTTTCAGATGTAATTAACATTTATAATCCATTGACTTTAATGAAAGCAGCTTACCCTCCACTCTGTGGGTGGGCCTCATCCAATCAGTTGAAGGCTTTAAATGGAAAAACCAAGGTTTCCCAAAGAGGGAATTATGGCTCCAGACTGCAACATAGAAATTCTGCCTGAGTTTCCAGCCTTTGGACTCAAGACTGATACACTACCTCTTATGGATCTCCAGCCTACTGGCTTGCCCTATGGATTACAGACTTGCCAGCTACCAGAACTGAGTAAGCAAATTTCTTAAACTAAATACATGCATACATACATGTTATATATATATTATATATACAAATATATCAATATACTATATACTATATAAGTCTAATATAGGTTATATATATTAAAATATAATAATATGTGTTATATGTAATATTTATTTAAAGAAATTAACTTAAATGCATTTATTTATTTATTTTAAGCACTATAGACACACATGGAAAGAGAGAGAAGTGGCAGGTGGTACTTGGGACCCTGACTGATGAATGAGATGCTACTACTGACTGGCATGCTCTCATTTCTGGAGAGTCAGGGAAAAACAGTAGGGAGAATCAGCCAGTTTCCAGGACTCCTAACCAACATCCTGTGTCATGGGGACACTGGTTGAAATCCTCTGTCATGTTCCATGGCAGACAGTCCTGCTGACTCAGGTATTCACTGTCCCTCCCAAAGGAGGATTATGCTTTCTAGCCCCACTGACATCAGGCGTGGCCACTTGACCTGCTCCGTCTGATGACACCTGATCAGAGGGGCATATGTCACATCTAGTCAGAGGCTTTAAGAGTCAACATAGAGTTCCTTCTCTTTTCCTTTTGGAGCATGGCTTGCAATGTTCTAGAGACAGGCTGCACCCTCTGCGTGGGTCCCAGAGACCCACATGTGAAGTAGGGCCACAGCCAGCCCACCGTGAGGCAACAGCCGACTCACTATGGAGCCACAGCATGATCAAGAAATGAGCCTTCTCTACTGAAAGCCACACAAAATGTGTAGTGATTTGTTATTGCAGCATATATTAACCTACCCTGACTCATCTGTATCTAACTATCCACAACTATAGATAGCCCCAATTCAAATCCTGGTTCCTACCACTTCCTAGCTGTGTGTTCGGACAAGTCATTTAGTTTCTCTGTTGCTCATTTGTCTCCTCTTAAAAAGAGGAGTAGAGAGTACTCATATAAAGGGTTGTTGTAAGGATTCAGTTAGTTAATACATGTAAAGCTCTTATTTGTTACAGGCACATAAAATGCATTAATAAATACTTTCTATGATTATCTCATGCCTTTTTTTTTTTTTTTAAGACAGTCTTGCTCTGTTGCCAGGCTGGAGTGCAGTGGCACGATCTCAGCTCACTGCAACCTCCACCTCCTGGGTTCAAGTGATTCCCCTGCCTGAGCCTCCCAAGTAGCTGGGACTACAGGCACGTGCCACCACACCCAGCTAATTTTTTTGTATTTTAGTAGAGTCAGGTTTTCACCATGCTGGCCAGGATGGTCTCGATCTCCTGACTTCATAATCTGCCCACCTCGGCCTCCCAAAGTGCTGGGATTACAGACTATCTCATGCTTTTAAAACTCCTCTCCACACAGTGTTCCAGGAAGCCATCACCTTCAGGGCAGACAAGACAAAACTCGAAAGTAATGCATAATCTCCACTCTACAAAGAATCAGCCAATTCTTGGGGAGGAGCAGTGGAAGTAATTTTTTTTTTAACAAGGTGCTAGGTAATACCTATTTTAGGATTTGCAAGCTTTATTTGGTACCTCTTACATATTCTTCTTGTCATTTTTTTCTGTCTCCTTCTCTTTTGATAGATCTTTAAACATGTAAAAGCAATTCTTAGTTGGAGGGACATATAAAAACAGGTCATGGCCAAATTTGGCCAGTGAGCAGAGTTTGACAATCCCTGATCTAACCAACACTTATGGCATCTATTTCTATTGATTTTCTTTATGGGAGATTCCCATCTAACCTCTATTCTGGAAGGAGCTCAAGACCACCCTTCGTGCAGGTAAACATTCAGCGCACAAGGTGTATGCCTGCATTCATCCATTCAATGTACTTTCGCTGAGAGCTAACTGTGAGTCATCAGCTCTTCTCTAGCTGGTTTCACTTCAATAACATGGGAGGTGATGCATCCCCTTGGCTCATCTGTCAGCAGTGAGGTAGACTTATTCATTACTAGAGACTTTAAGTACAGCTAATTTTTTGTTTATATGAACAAATATTGATGAGCCACATTGCAAAATAACAAAGAACTTCTGGTGTGGGTGTTTAGCATAGTCTCATTTGATAGGAAAACTGTGTTGGTGGCACGGATTCTGTTATGTCCCTATGATGGCCATCAGTGGTCCATAGAGGTTATGAATGCACTGGGTTAGGGTTGTCATGAGCATGTGGATGAAACAAATGCTTATGGTTCCTCACTGGAAAACCCCACTGCAAATTAATCTTCAAAATTGGTTCCTGTTTCCAATACTGCAGGAATTCCAGCCTTCCGAGTTTTATTACAAGACAATAGATAGAGTGAGCAGGGGCACACATTTCCGTAAGGAAGTTGTGATGCCCTGTATTTCAGCTCTACAGGTAGGAGCCCTATAAGAGTTCACATTGTCTGAATCTGATGATTTTGCAATCTTTTCTAACAATGTTGTCCAACTTAGCTACTGCCTCTTCTAGTCTTTGGCGTTTGCTTTCAAATTCTGCTTGTCCATCTGTTATTTGTCCTCTGGCATTGTTGCCTGCCCATTTTTTCATGTTTTTCTGGGTTTTTTTTCCTGTCTTCCCAGTGATTTTGCAATATGAGCCTACTGTTTGATTTTTCTATCTTGCTCCCTTTTTGAGGACAGGCTATGAGAAATTCTAGAACTGGAGAGAAGTGTAGGGTCTTATTTCTCTGGTGGCGTATGTCTGCATCCAAAGTGCGTGTTTACAGAAACACAGGGTATAAAGCTCTATGCTTATAAAGCCACAAAGTTAATGTGGACTGTTTTCCCAGAAAATTTGACATCACAATGAGTTGAAACTTTTATTGTCATCAATATGGGTCTGTTATAGAAACGGCCAATGTGTTTTCTTGTTTTTAAGTAAATATAAAAACAATATTGCTGAATGCCTCTTTAGGTTTTGCCTCAAGTTATCTCTCCCTGCTCTTAGAGAACATGTGTAAAAAAAGCAACCTGGGAAACACTGACTAAGCCATAGGGTGAGTGGGGGAGATCCTCAATGCATGCCCCTCAATGCTTCCTGAGCACCAGGCACTGTGCTTGATCTTCCGCATGTATCATCCTAATGATAATCTTTATAATACATGGGGCCACAATATTTACACCTTTGACAAAATCAAGACTGAAAGAGCCAAATTAAGGATAACAGGATAATGTTATTCCCATTTTATTAAGTAACTTTTCTAAGGCCATGCGTAAGAAAGATATTAACACAGCATTTTAAGTTGAGAGCTGTTCTCCCCTTATAAGGAGAGAATTTTTGCTGATATTATGGTCTGAATTGTATATGCCCCCATCCCCAAAAAAAGCCTGTGTTGAAGTACTAAGTCCCAGTACCTCAGACTGTGACCATATTTGGAGATAGGGTCTTTAAGGGGGTTATTAAGTTAAAATGAAGTCATTGGGGTGGGCCTTAATGCAGTATCACTGATTTTCTTATTAAAAAGGACACAGAAACACACAGAGGAAGACGATCTGAAGACACAGGGAGAAGACAGCTATCTGAGGCCAGGAGAGGGGCTGCAGAAGGTACCAGCCCTACCGGCACCTTGATCTTGGACTTCCGGCCTCCAGAACTGTGAGAAAATAACTTTCTGTGGTATTAGTCACCTACTCTGTGGCATTTTGTCACAGCAGCCACAGGAAACTAATACAGGAAACTAATGACAAGGTATTCTCTCCATCTCTATCTATCTGTAATCTATAACTGTATCATCTATATCTATAACTATATCGGTTGACTTTACCTTATCTGAAATGCTTGGGATGAGAAGTGTTCCAGATTTGGGAATTCTAACAATTTTGGAATATTTACATTACCCTATGGATATCATGCAGGACTTTTTGACATTTTCAACAATGTCTTTGCACCATAGAGGACAGAATAAGAAAACAAAAACAGTGAGTAATGCACATAGGTCTGGGCCCCATGTGGGGCATGGCGGGGAACCTGCCCTTGGCACATCCAGCCTGTACACATGCCGTTTTATTACTATTTGTGTGCGTGTTTGCAAGGGGGAAATTGGGTATACATGGAAAAGACATGCTACAGCTGAAGGGGTCAGTCACATGAGGTCAGTGTGAAATTTTCCACTAATTCAATCATGGTGGCCAACACTCAAAAAGTGTAGGATTTTGGAGCATTTAGAATTTTGGGTTTTCCCATTAGTGATAATCAATCTGTATCTATATCTATCTATCCAATCTATTATAAATCATCTATCAATATTCAAATATAGTAGATATAGAGACATATGTAATTCAAATATAAAACATTATAAAGGGGATTTAGTCTTCCCTTTCTAACTATTGTAAGATAGAACCTATTTTAATGACAACATAGTGTCTTCCAATCTTTACCCATCTATACACTTGCGAGGTTTCTACACAGTGGTAATTCCAGCATACACATGCATGTATGTTCTAATATTTCCCCTTATCATTAACACTCAAATATTTATAAAAATTAAAAAGTCTGTTAAATTACATTCTATTTCTTTGTAGCAATATATTGAAATGTTATTATATATTTTTATTTTTGTATGTTCATCACATTAATAATCATTTTAGAAAATGAACAGAGTAGAAATATAATCTCCAGAATAAATTTAAAAGTCCTTCATAATTTTATTATTCAGAGATGGTATGTGAACATTTTGCTGTTAATGTTTTCATTTTACATTTGCATAAATACACACATATACACATTGAAATGTATACATATTCAATGTACTTTTCTGTGTTCTTTATATAAGAAAAGTACTAAATCCTTACCTGTTATCTCTGAAGCAAATATTTTCCCAGATTTGTGTTGTTTTTATTTTCATTTAAAAGGTTTTTTTTTGTTTGTTTTTTACATTCAAATCTCTTGAATTGTATGAGATATTTTTTCTGTCATTTTCATGCTTCAAAATTATGCCTCTATCCTGAGATCATATAAGTATTCACCTGGACACTATATGTGTTATGGACTAAATGTTTGTGCCCCCCAAAATTCATATGTTGAAATTCTAATCCCCAGTAGCATGGCATCAGGAAGTGGGGCCTTTGGCAGGTAATTAGGTCATGAATGCAGAGCCCTCATGAATGGGATTAGTGCCCTTGTAAGAACGGGAAGAGAGCTAGCCCTCTCTCTTTCTCCCACGTGAGAGCACAATGAAAAGTCTGTAGTCTGCAAGCCAGGAAGAGAACCCTGACCAGAACCCAGCCAGGCTAGCACCCTGATCTCAGACTTCCAGCCTCCACCACTATGAGAGATAAATTTCTGTTGTTTATAAGCTGCCCAGTCGATGGTACTTTGTTAGAACACCTCAAACAAACTAAGACAACATAGTTTCACTTTTTCTACCTAGTTATTTAATCTCTCTGGAATTTACCACTACAGCGTATTTTATGGAAGCCTATACTAATGTTTCTCAAGAGGTTAATAAGCGAGCCCAGTGATATGTTTTGAACTGTTCTTCCCTTTGCTGCTGCACTAGTCTTCTATTTCTGCATTGCAAGATCTACAAACATAATGACTTACTACAGCAGCCACTATTAGCTCACTATTCTGTAGGTCAGAATTCTAGGCACAGTGTGTCTCTGGCCCCTGCTCAGGGCCTCACAAGTCTGGAATCAAGGTGTCATTGCATGTGCCCTTATCTAGAAACTCCACTAGAGAAAGATTTGCCTCCATCTCTCTCAGGTTGTGGAAGAATTAATTTTCTTGCCTTTGTAAGACTCAGGTCCCCATTTCCTTGCTCAGGGCTGAGGGGCTGAGGATCACCCTTACACCCTAGAGTCTGAACTCAGGTTCTTGTCATGTGACCCCATCCATAACCCCTCTCAATTTATTTATTTTTTTCCTTGAGACAGATCTTCACTCTGTCACCTAGGCTGGAGTGCAGTGGTGCAATCTCGGCTCACTGCATCCTCTGCCTCCCAGGTTCACGTGATTCTCCTGCCTCAGCCTCTTGAGTAGCTTGGATTACAAGCCTGCACCACCATGCCTGGCTGAGTTTTGTATTTTTAGTAGAGATGAGGTTTCACCATGTTGGCCAGTCTGGTCTCAAACTCCTGACCTCACGTTATCCACTTGCCTGTTCCTCCCAAAATGCTAGAATTACAGGTGTGAACCATCGAGCCCAGCCTCACATTTTGAATCTTGAGAAAGGACTAAATCACTTTTAGATCCCTTCTGATTAGGTCAAGACTATCAGAATGATCTCCTTTCTTGTTAACTCAGTCAACTGATTAGGAACCTTAATTACATTTGCAAAACTTATTCACCTTTGTCATATATGGTAACCTAACAAGTGGGATGCAACTCGTCATATTCACCAGTCCTGGTGGCACTCAAAGGAGTTGGGGGGGGTGGTGGTGGTTATGCAGTGTGTGTACCAGGGAGCACAGATCCTGGGGACAAGTCCAAAATTTTGCCTGCTTCCTCATTACTTTTCTATCACGTGTTACTATAGTTCATCTTTGATAAGTATTCGATAACTTCTTTATCACATGTTACTATATTTCCTTTTTGTTCTATACATCATGACCTGCCAATGAACTCTGTACTCAGGCCTGTGCTCTGTTGCTGCATTATTATAGAAATATAAAATGTTTTGTGACATAGCTAGGCTAGGTGCCCTCAATTTTGTCTTCTCTCAAGAATAACTGTCTGCATTGCCTATTATTTATATATTTATTCTCCCAAATGATCCCTGGCATCATTTTTCAAGCTCCCATTCCCCAGTCTGGAGGCTATCTTATTTGAAATTGGATTTTGAGCTAGTGAAACCAATGTATTATATTGGGGAAAAATTACACCTTTACAGAGTGTGGTCTTTCTACATAGACCATACTTTTACTTTCAAATTTGATTAAACACACGTGTGTTGAGTGTCAACCCTTCACCAGACAGAGTTGAACATAAAGAAGTGTGCTCCATAGAGCTCTGGTTTATGTTAAGAAGATGGATGATAAATAAGTAAACAAGTGAATAAAATTATTTCAAATAATGCTAAGTGCTGGGAAGAATAGGGTAAACTGAGTGAAAGTGACTCGGCTGACAGTGGGCGTGAGAGATGGGAAAAGGCACACCTGTTCCTCTTCTTATAAAGTCAATACTTCTGACACAACATCTGTAGGTTTTTTCCCACACATCAGTTCTCCAGCAGACACCAACTGGGTGTCCTATGACTTAACTTAATTCTGACACTATCTATTTGGAGATAGCATCAGATCCCATGGGTTAAATTTTCAGATCTACAAGACTGCTCCCTACTTTAGATGCCCGTTAAAGGTAGTAGGTTACCCACAACTTCAGCCAAACTTGCTTACAAATCAAGTGTTCTCCAGCCCTGTGCTCAGGTGTGATTAATTTGCTAGAGTGGCTCACAGAATGCAGGGGAACATGTGCTTATGTTTACTGGCTTATTGTAAAGGATTTTCCAAGAGATACAGATGAACAGCCAGAAGAAAAGGTGCATAGAATGAGATAGAGGAGAGAGAGCAAGGAGCTTCCATGCCCTCTCCAGGCAAGCTACCCTAGAGGTACCTCCAAGTGTTCAGCAATTTGGAAGTTCTCAGAATCCTGTCCTTTTGGGGGTTTATGAAATCTTCATTACATAGGTATGATCGACGACATCATTGACCACAGGTGATCAACCCAACCTTCAGTTTTTCTCACCTCCCCAGAATTCAAAGATGAGGCTGAAAATTTCGATCCCCCAGTTCTAGGGCTGGTACCTCAGACAAGGCCCCATCTTGATGCTGGGAGCCACCAGCCACCAGTCATCTCCTTAGCATACAAATTAGACACTCTTAAGTGATACTAAAAGATTCCAAGGTTTTTGGGGAGCTATGTGCCAGGAAAAAGGGGGAAAATGATGACAAAATACATATATATATATATAATTACAATTACAGTATCACAGTGGGCAGCTATGGAACGGAAGTAAGGGAATCCTCTTTGAGATGATTGGACGGTTTGATAACTCTCAACCAATTATGAAACCAGGAGGAAAAGCATTTGGGGAAGAGGAAATGGTAAGTGCAAACACCCTGGAACTGCACAGGATACTATTCATGAGGGACCTGAATCAAGTCCATGCTTATATTTTTCATTAATAAGTTTATACAATGTTTCCTATATGTGTACTGTATCCATAGTGCTTCTAGATAAAATTATATTTTCTGGCTTCTAGAGAGAATGAATTAAGATTTCCATATTTTCTAAATGATTGCTGCTAATATATGGAAAACCATTAAATTTTAGATTTTTTTGAAACAGTCTCATTACTTAACTGTGATTATTCCAAAAATTTTTTTGTTTATAAACCACTGGATTTTCTGTTCTCCTGTTTTTGAGGTAGACCCTCATAACAAATGCAATCATGATGATTTTGCAATAATCTAAATTTTGCATCTTCCTTTTAAAAAGTCATCATAGTTTTGCTCTCATTTCATATCTTAGCACTAGTTTTGTTTCCTCATGCTATCTCCAAATAAAATCCCAGTGGGAATTATTCTTCTGTTTCACAGCAAGTTGCATTTTGGTTTAAGGTAGAGGGGGTGATTCTTTTTTGATATTTTCATGTTAGATATAGGAGCTTTTCTCAATTTGGATGTATTATAAATGAAAGCACTCTAAAGTATCTGTTTTCTTCAAGTTTATTTCTCCTCTGAATAATTTCCTTTAGATATATAAAGAAGAGCTGGCTTCCTGGGTTAGAAGGAATCACTGGGGTGCTCATTGGGGATCAATGACTCTGGGCAATGTTTATCAGTTGTTTACTTGCAATGATCTATCTAAGAGTTTGCTTTATAAATAAAAATTCAGTTGTCTTGGGGGAAAACTGAATCTTCGTTACAGCCATGGGGAGGGATGAAGAGAAGAGAGAGGAAGTCTGACCCAGGCAACATCTTGAAAACACAGCTAGGAGTCTGTTCTACTCCATTTCTACTAAGTGGCTCCTGCCCATCAGGAATTGGCCATTCCATCCCTGTGAAAGTAGTAATGCATCCTGTCCTGAATCTACACCCTGCTGTTAATTTGCAGTGCAATTTGGGTGACCAGTTAACTCCTCTGAGCCTCTTTTTCCTCATGAGGGTTATGTCCTGTTTCTTGTAGGGACTGCTATTAGTATTCGATAACATACCCTATATAAAGTGTCAAGCATCTTGCACAGAGCAAATCCTCAAAAATGTTACCATATTTTCTTTCTTGAGTCTTCCAAACCAAAGAGAATTTCTAGTTGCAACAGAGTCTACAGACATTTCTGTTTAATGTCTCATGTGGAAAAGCAAACACTCAGTAACTGGGAATGATGATTACTGTGGCTGCTTTGTTGTTATTGCTATTTCTGTCATCATCATCATCATCCCCATTGAGATGAGTCTAAGTCAACTGGGTCACCTGGTGAGCAGGACTTTATAATCGCTAGGCCAATTAGACACTGTGTCTTGAAATCGTAAAGCATAAGGACAGTTATCTGCAAAAGAGACACTCTGTTCCTTACATGTTAAGAATGACTGTATCAATGACTGAAGAAGTCACAACATCCGTTTCTTCCTCCCTGTGGAAATTCTTTCCCTTTTCCTCCACCTCACTTCCCCACTGCCCATCAGTCTATTTGACACAACAGACACCTCTGAGAGCAAATGTTTCTATATTTATTACAACTGTGCCCATGTATCTCAAGACTAGACTGCCAGTCTAGTCCCCCCTTAACCCTGCCCCACAAAACACCGAATTTCTCATGTAAATTGTAAGAATTTATTTCCAAACTCTGCCATAATTTTTAACCATCAATTTGGGTGCCATTTCTCTAGACTTTATTATTTCAACGTCATTTCACAAGGAATGTCTGATATACAAAGTGAAATATAAAGTGAAGGAATGATCAGGGAAATTCAAAGCACAAAAGCCGCTTAAATTCACGTTCCTGTACCTGGGTGGTTTTGTTGAGATGCTGTGAGCAGGTGGTACAGTCTTCAGGCCCAGCAGTTATCATACTTGCCTTTAGGAGTTGGTTAATGCTGGCTTGGGCACTGCCCAGGTACAACTGAGCAACACTCACCAAGGGTAATTCTTTGTCACATACATATTAAGTGTCTTAGTGAAAACCAAACAAACAAAAGAAACAATCTGCTGTCAAAATGTTGGCCTTTGACTTGGAGTCAAATAAATATGCTGGATTTGGGATCTGCTAGACCAAGCTTTAAAGCTCATCTCCAACACATAGATAACTCACCTTGAAATGCAGTTTTCCACCTGGAAAATCAGAGTAATAACATTTGCCACAGTAGCATTTTGAGGGGGATGTTAGGGATATAATATGCATTCTATATAGAATGACACTTTATAAGCTTGTAATAAATTGTTACTCTAATGAGTATAATTATCATCTGTTGTGTCTCCAAAGTAGAACCATTGTCACCCATTGAATGTTTATAGCTTCTACTTGGAGTTGTGACTTCTGGTAGCCCTCATCACCATGGCCAATGACCATTTCCTCCTTTATCTTTAAGACTTAAAGTCCAATGGTCTCTCCAGTGAGTTAACCCTAGCTGAACCCCAAATTAGTTTCCTTTTGTCAGCTTCCAACCAGCTGCTTCTGCTGAGATCTGCTTGTCTTTCCCTCGGAGCTCAAAGCCATAGAGTTTTAAGAATTCAGCAGGGGATAAACTAGAAGCTTCTTCTGGATTATTTAATATGGACCATCAATTATTCATTTGCCCCTGACCATTGTCTGGGATGTATAAGGAATAGGTTTAGGCCCTAGCAACTAAGTAAGCACTGAGCAGAAGATGTTATCGCTAATCCCTTGTGAGGTCACCCTGCCCTACTGCACATCACTGAGCTTGTGGTCCCAAGAAGCAGAGCCTGAGATGGAGATCTTTGTGCAAGTGATTTACTGTGAAAGAAACTTTAAAAAGAGGGAGGAAATCAGGGAATGGGCAGGTGAAGATGCTGAGCAAGGATGAAGTCTCAGATGCAGACTCACTCATGCCTGATCCCACAGAAGCTCTGGGGTATAAATGGCACCACAATGTTGGTCCCCTTGGTGACTTGACTCCAGACGATTGTTCCCATGCATCAGTTAGCTATTAGCTGCAGGCCACCTGTGTTGTGGTGGGTGGGTGGAAAATGCAATTTCTAGGGTGAGGAGTTCTAACAGCAGAGGGTGATTCTCTACAGAATGGTGCAGCTTTGAGCCTACAACAGCCAAGACTTGCAGCAATTGGAAAATGGGTGATCAGTCTGAATAAAGCAGATCTATACAAAGTCACAAAGTGACCACTAAACTGATTGCTCTTCCTGAACCCCTGAGACACACACTTGCCCCCATTTTACATAGCAAGTGGGACTTGGTCCCGATTCTCAAATGAGTGCCCAGAGGAAACAATAGATCCTCAGAGCTCAATTCTGCATCTGACAATTTCCTACTATCCTGACTGTTGAGTGCATTCATAATCATTTATCTAATGCATCTCTTTTTCACCAGATGGCAAACTTCAACCCAGTAAAGACGATGTGCCATATCACCTTTATCCAGAACATTGCCTACCCTACAGTCGATGCTCAATAAAAGCATGTGAACATACACACATGAACATACAAATCTACACAGATGTGGCATCTCAGGGATGTATAATCATTCTCAGAAGTAGAGCAGTTTAAGTTCATGTTGAGAAAATATTGGCTCTAACTGTAATGTAATCTGCTTCTGTGTATCATGGACTTGGCACCATCCACCACTTACATCATTCCACAGAACAGAGCCAGTCCTGTTGTTAATCATCCTGATTCCTGACTGTGCTAAAGCTCACCGTGGATAGAAATGATTGGCATCTCTGATATGCAAAGACCTAGTGAAGGTTTGCAATGACTGACTTTCTTTGACCTGGGCCACTGTAGATATCTAAGCAGAACCTCCTCTCCCAAACTGGCCTAGAAAAGTGAAAAAAAAAAAAGGTGGGGTGGGGGGACTTGGAGGATTTCACTCTCTTCTGGACGATAAGAATAAATAAGGAAGAGTCACCTCCCGATGACCACACAGCCAAGTTATAAAGGGGCTCCCATCACTTACACGTGTGCAGAGCAAACCTGCCCATGCCCCACCTTCAATCAAAAAGTCTTTTCTGTTGCACAAGCCCAAGCTTCCAAAACTCTCTCTCCTTGTCCATCATTGCTTCCTTCATCCTGTTCTCATTCTCTGATCATTTTTATCCCTACCTGTCCAAGACATGGTGGAGAGCAGACTCAAGGCCTGACCAAGTCAAACTCAGGATCTTGAATATATAACTTGCCCATGATCCCATATTCTGAACTATCCCTGGACATAGCTTCATCTTCACTTTGAGTCAAAATCATCTTTCCTGCTTGCCAGATCTGGTTCCTCCCCTACATATACACACAAAGTAAGCCTCCTCTTTTCAATATAGTTGTCATTTCCAGAGTCACTGTCAGGCATGAGCGTGTTGACCACACAAGCAACACTCAAACCACAGGAAGCAGGACTTGGAACTAGAGGCCAGAGTGAAAGAGTTCAGATATGGAAGGAGTCCAATCAGATAGAGCTCAGGACTCACATCATGTAGCTTTTCTGGAAAGAGGGCTGAAAACAGAGGATAAGTCCTGGGATTTGGTGCTCAATGTCATGTTCCTGGGGAATGGCATACCTCAGAGCCAAGGGTGCTTATTTGCACAGCTGCACACTGAGGCTACAGAAATGCTCAGTGGCTGTGTGGCTGGAAGGGGCTGCTGTAATGTGTGTGCATGGGGAGAGAGGGGCAACCCTGAAGGCAGAATGGGTTTGGCTGCTCAGGTCCTGTGACTGTGGTTGCTAGGAGGCTCAGGCTCAGTTTTGAAAGGAGCCTCTGAACTCTTGGAAAAGCTCCTTCCAAATCAGAAATGATGAGAAGCTGAACACAACCTTCGGCTCAAGTTCACCAGTGGAGAGGTCAGGAGTAAGTAGTGCATGAGCCAGGGGTTATCAAATTGAACTTTATGCTCTTAAAGATAAATACCATATCCAAATGCTGTGTCTTCTTTGCTAAAAATTACCAGCCAGCCTGGCTATTTATGAACTTTATTCAGAAGTATTTATTGAGCACCTACCGTGTACCAGGCACTACATTATACATTATGGATACTCACACAAAGTCCTAGTTCCTGCCTGTTGTGGTTAATTTTATGCGTCAGCTTGACTGGATTGCAGACTAATTAGATATTTGATCGCACATTATTCTGAGTGTTTTTATGAGGCTGTTTTGGAATGAGATTAACATTTAAATTGGTGGGCTTTGGATAAAGCATACTGCCCTTCTGAATTTGAGTGGGCCTTAACCAATCAGTTGAAGGCCTGAATAGAATAAAAAGGCTGACCTTGTCCTACGTTATGGGGAACGTCTGCTACCTGACTGCCTTGAGCTGGAACATAGGGTTTTTTTTTTCCTGTGTCAAATCTCTTTCTGGGCTGAGAGTCTGCTGGCCTTCAGACAGAAACTTATACTATAGACTCTCTCGATGCTCAGACTTGGACTGGAACTAAATCACTGGGTCTCCTGGCTCTTGAGCTTGCCAACCACAGACCTAGCCACGTGAATGATAGGCATCCATTTTCTCCCTACCTTTCTGTACTGCCTTTCACGATGCTGGCTTCACCCTCTATGCAATATTCTGGATGTTCTGGATTCTTCCTCATTGATTAAAAAAAAAATGGCTGTAGCTGTTGCAGACTTTACACCCTTACAAACTACTATCCAGAGAAAAAGAAAGAGTGCCGAGAGATCCTATGAAGAAAAATAAGGCTTCCCTTTCTCAGAATCTCCAATAAATACTTCATATTTCCTTGTCTCTGATTGGGTTGTGTACTCATCCTTGAACCAATCACAGTGGCCAAAGGGATGGGTACAATAATCGGTAAAGCCAATGAGAGTCCACTCCTGAAACTAGACCCAGGGGTTAATTTTGCTATTAATTACATCTGAGAACAAGAGGGAGTGGTTCCCCCTTAACAATGCTAAGTACTGTTTCCTGAAGATGATTGGATGGAAGAAAGAGAACAAGTACCATACAAATTCACTCCACTGACCTCCTGAGTTAAGCCCTTACATGTGCTGTTCCTCTCACCTCTGCCAATTCCCCTACTGTCATTTCTCATCTCAGACTAGTCCTTCTATCCCCAGTGACTGGTTGACATTTCTGGGGAGCTCTCCTGACCACTCCCTTCCTAGACCAGATTAAGTGGCCCTGTTTTGCCTCCTCCGACACTCCCCTAACAAGCACCTGCTGCTCTCCTGGCACTTCTATCAGTGTCTGAGTCACTTGTTTACTTGTTGCCCAAACCCACTGGACTATAAATTTTTTTCACAGTATTGCCAAGAGAAAACACATAGCTTCAGGTGCTAGGAGCTGTGCTCAAAACTATTTGAAAGGTGAATGCAGGAATGGATGGATGAGTGAATGAATGAGGTGGGTGAATAATGAAATGAATGAATGAAGTGACTTAGACTTTAATCTTAACCAACTGAAAGAAAGAAAGGTCTCATTATCAGCACTCCAGGAAAGCCAGGAGAGATCTTGTTTTCCTAGATACTGGTCAAATTTGATAGAGAATATTGTTTTGAAATATGAAATGCTGAAACCAGGGAAGAACCTGATTTAACATCGTAAGAAGAATCAGACGTACAAAAATAGCAAGTGAATGCAGTTAATTACGATTTAAATATTGATCATAAAGGACTCTTTCAGCCTGAATTAACATAGTGAATTTCAAATCAAAGACCCTGTATAATCAGATAAAGATTGACCATTGACCCTGGCATTGTGCCAGATGACTAAGTCAGGTCTCATCCTTTCTTGGGAAACCTCCCCTTGGTGTTGACATTCCAGGGAGAGGCATGGGTCCAGCACTGCACCCAAATATTGAGTCTGCATGGATGTAATCAGAGATGGGGCACCGGACTGTCTTTGAAAGGGATTTCCTTCAAACCATGAAACTGATCATTAATCACTTTTGCGTAGCTTGCTGTGTTGTTGCAATGATGGGGAAATTCAAGTAAAAAACAAAATTCACCTGACAATAAAATATAAATCTGTGTCAATATCACAGTATATGTGGCAAAAAGCAGCCCAACCATGGTCTCAACTCAAGATAATCAGGACAGAAAGTCTATATAGCACTTGGAATCTCACAGGAGTCTTGGCTTTCCTGTTGTCTTTACTGTACTTTGCTTTAACCAACCTGGAAGGACAACATCACCACACCTGTCTTGCAGAAGAGAAAACTGAGGCCCAGAAGGCTAATGGGATTTGTGCACAGCTACTAACAATTGTCCACCTAATGATTTGAATTCAGATAGCTTCTTTAATGCTCTTCAACACAACTTCCTCACTCTAAGTCAAATGTGAGCAGCATTAAAAGAAAATAAAAGTACAGTATTGTACAGAAAGCAACATACGTCATTCATGGCTGTGTGTGTCCATAAATATGTGTGTGTATATATATATGCATGTATATATGTATCTATATGTATGATAAAAAATAAAAATAACAACTACAACAACAAAAAAACAGAACATGGAAGTAAAAAAAGAGAGTGATTTTCCAGCAGGTTCCTGCAGAGCCCTTCTCTTGATTCCTGAGAGGTTCAATTAACGGATGCAAGTCATAAAACAGTGCATTTTCTCTCTGCTATGATGCATTGTTTTTAATCTCACTGCCTTGTATTATATCACATTCCTATAATTCTTCCGACAGGAAAAGGCTTGTTTCATAAAAATATAGTCCCCAGCATTTGAAATATAAGTTCACATGCAAGCAACATATATATCACCAAGCTGGCAAACTAACTCACTTACTTAATCCACTAAACTTCAGGTGCTTTCTATATTATGTGAAATGGCTTGAAACAGGCAGAAGCTGCCAGGACCCATCACGGCTTCTTTGCTCAAGAGAGACAAGAGGAGAAGGGGAGAAGGGAGCGGGGGGAGTGGAAATTCCCTCAGTGGATTCCACAATAACATGCCTTTCATTATCACCCAGTGTCAGGACACTGGGTAATGTTCATTGTGCATGCACAATAAATTACTATTTACCTGGCAGTGCTTTTGATAAGCTCGTCTCCTCACCCCCTTTCTGTCCATGCAGCACAGAGCAGCGAAACCCCTTTGCCTATAATTCTTATTAAGGTGATACCTTTTCTGAATAAGAAAGTACACACTTCCAAAGCTGGCACTCTCTGGGGTTTTTAAGGGACATTGTTTTTATTGGTTCCCTTTTATTTCTTCCACCCCACTGTGTTTTAATGCTATAGTGACTTCTGTGTATACAACTCTCATATTGAAATGTCGGCTGCAGATATATGCAATATTAAAGAGCGCTTATGAATTTTTGACATCTAATTAGTCGCTACCCTGTTAACATGTCAGGACTCAGAGGGATTAGGGAGGCAGCCCTTTCTGAATAAGTTACAGTGAGGCTCCTGTCCTTTTCATGTATTATTCTTTAATGTAGGTGGTGATTATTTGGCTGTGATTAATTGATGAAGCCCATTGGTCTGGCAAGTGGTGCCGAATTCACCATTCCTCACTTTTATTTCTCTCAGTAGGGTTCTGCCACTTAATCGGAAGGACCTGCTTCCTTCCAGGCAATCTCTCTGTGCAGCGTTCTGGGGCAGAGGGACTGTTCTGGGTGACCCACCTAGACCCTTTCACAGCTCTTGGCTCCCTGGTCAGCAGTGGGTTTTGCATCCTGTCTTCTTGGACAAGCCCTGTGCCCTGTGCCCCCTGGCCAGGCATGTCTGAAATGCAGTGGCACCCCCTATACAAAGGCTTCCTGTTGCTCCCCTTTTCTCTCATATCTGATTTTCGAGCCTTGCTTTCTGGTACCTTTAACACCTGTAGCTCCCTGCCTGGCTCAGTTTACTTCTGGGTTCAGCTGCCTGCCAAGACGCCAGGTGACAATCGGGGCTCTCCAAGGCCGCTCCTGCCATTGTCTCCAGCTGTGGGGCCCAAGAAACCACACACGTGAGATGCACAGTCTGATATGGCCGGCTCTGCCCCTCTGGGTAAGTGATACCAAGCTCTAAAAAAAGGCAACAATGAGAAGCGGATGTTGGGGAGAGGGGACCTGCTGGCTGCTGCTTTTGGGCACTGCCCCATGGGTGTCAAACACCCTGCTGTGTGCAGGCAGCTTCCGCCTCCTAGGAACTCTATGCCCACACAGTCCTCCCAGAAGCTCCTGTCCCAGCTCCCTGGGCTCCCACGGAGGAATCCTCTTTCACAGTGGGTTCTTAGGAATGTCAGATCTGATAGTCTTGGATTTGAAGCTGGGCAAGATTTTTAACATTTTAGATAAAGCAAGCAGGGAAATGATTTGTGAGTATAGCTCTGTGTTTAAGCACAGGGAGAGGGAGGTGTTTTCTGCTTCACCGCATGACTCCCCTTCCATACACCCACATGTGCATGCAGGCACACACATGTATACACACAGGTGCATGCATCCATACACACAGACCCACACATGTACACATACAGGCCCACACACACCCATAGATAGACACACACACTCCCAGGTACACATGCAGGTGCACACACCCATGCACACACAGGCATACACAGGTACACACACAGACACACACTCTCTCTCCCACAGCTTTCTAGACAAAGGCTCTGCCATCAGACTTTCGTACCCTGGCCTCCTGGTTTTATGAACAAATAATTCCTTTTTTTGCAAAGCAGAATTCCCCGCCCCCATTATAAACTCCCACCATTCAAATCTATAATTGGGGGAGTAACAGAGCTGTGGCCGACTTATCTTTTTAAATGCACCGACCCTGGACGAGCCATCCTAAAAATGTGTAATTATAAATAAACCTTCACCTATGTCAGCTGGCAGGGTTTTTAATTACTGCACTTGATGTCAATCAAGGCCAGCTCTGGGTATGCATGTTAGGGGGCAATTTCAGAGGAATTTTGCGGACATAAGCTGTTTGCCTTATTCTATTATCTGCATTTAAAAGGGGAGAGGAGGAGATAAGGCGACAGCCAGGAGGGGAGAGAGAAAGAGCAGCTCATGGAAAGAAAATGGTGGGGGAGGCATTTTACCGAGGCTGCAGCATCCTGCTGGGGCTGGGGAGGGCAGATACTGGACATCTCTCCTAACCCAGGGCCCCACACTGCTGGCCCCCTCTTTGTCTCCCAACCCTTTCTTGCAGGAAGATAAGGAGGGAGATGGGAGTGAGGTGTATATTTGCTGATGGAAGGGGGTGGAGGGGGCCCCTGCTAATCATGTGGGGACAAGGCGGGGATGAGGGTGGGGGTAGGATGAGGGTGGGGGTAGGATGAGGCAGGGAAGGAGAAGATCAGGAAGAGCAAGAAGTGTTGGGGGGAAGCGCTAAAAGGAAAAAAAATCAATTGATGCATATTCACTTTCTCCTCCACTGCGGATTCTATCCGAAGGAAACACTGAACTTTGTAGTGTTAGCAGCAGCTGAAATTTAGAATTATTGTTTCCTTCTAACAGAAGACTCATTTTCCACGGCCGCATTTGCAGCATAATAAGCTTTTTGTTATTTTTTCAATTAGAGTCAATTGACCTAACAAAATGCTTGGCAATTAAGTGATTTTTGTAATGGTCCGGGGGTAATTTAGTCGAGCTTGTCAGCTGTGTTTCATGAAGCCAGGCTGTCTTTTTTTTTTCCCCACTGCCTCTCTCTCTCTCCCTCTCTCTCCCTCTCTCTCTCTCTCTCTCTCTCTCCTCTCTCTCGAGCATAATGGCTCATAATTTCGAAATCTTTTCCTTCTGTTTCCCTCACAATAATTCGCAATTACAGGAAGTTGTTGGAGGTGATTTTTTTTTCTACCTTGCCTTTTGAGTCAGTAATTTTAAATAAAATGTACATACTTATAAAAAGGCAGCTATTACTGAAATCACTTTTTGTGTAAACTCAATTATTTCATGAATAGTGACACCAGCTTATACTGGGTCCCACTCCTGAAGGCTGAGGCATTATTATCTTCAGGGTAAAAGGTTTGGAACATTCAGAACACTCTTTCCAAATCAAACCAGCATTCAATAAGGTAAACACGACTTCAGGAGAGCAGGAGGCGGCTGGGTTACCTGGCCATGAAAAATGGCAACCTCCGGGCAGCCCTCATCTCTGTTTCCTCCCCTGGGCAAGGACTGGACTTTGGCTTCTCATCCTCTGATTTATGAGGAAATTCCTCATTTGCCTAATTGATTCATTTTCTTAAGACGACATCTGGAGTTACATTTTCTTTTAAAAGGCTGCAGTTAGAGCTGATGACTAGCTCAGATGTTCCTTCATTGTGTTACTATCTGTTTATACCTATCTTAAAAATATATAATATTCTGCACGTATCTGCATACGTGCATACATACAGAAATAGCAGAAAGACGTGCTGGTGTTTTTTCAGACAAATTCGCCTAGGAGGTAATGTGAGTCGTTATCAGGATTCATCTTTAACCTTTAGGAGGCTCATGTACATTTTCACATTGCCTTATGTGTTTGAAAATGATCTCTGCCTTCTACTCCTGAGTTACAATCCCTGGTTGACTTTAGTTGCCCCCACTGTGAAAAACAACTTAGCAGTAGCCCACTTCGTTCCTTGGTAAAAATCTCCCCAGTAGGGGGCAGTAGAAGAGCAAGCCAGCGGAACCCCATTTCGGCTGGCCCTTTAACAGGGCCAAGACTTCCCCGCTCTGGGAGGCCCATCCCCTCTTGGCTCCCGTTGGAACGCAGAGTTGGAAAGATCCATTAGTACAGAACACTGGTTTTGAATTGGTCTCCCAATTCTGTCTGGATAACATCTAATCAAATGCTCCTCCCTCTCCTTTTAGGTTTTATATCTTTTCAAAGTGATTCATTGAAAGCTGTGGCTGTTGTCAGCTGGGTGCTGGGAGCACTGAACAAATTCCCTGCCTAGGTTGTGTAGACAACGTGGGGAATGGGAGACCCTTGGGATCCTGATGGTCTCGCCAGGCCTACTGAGACAAGTGTCCAGTGCCATCGGACCTGTGCTCATGCAGTTACTTACTACCATGTGAATCTGACCATCAAAATTCTTCCTACATTTCAATTCCCCCAACTCTAAAATGAGGAGGTTGGGCTTGATACCATCTCAGAACTCTTCCAGCTATAAACTGCAAACCAATCAGGTATTAATTAATTCATTCATCCACTCTTTACAAGATGCACCCTGATCTGCAGAAGACATTCCTGTGTATAACAGAGTCATCATATTCTTGGGTTTGATTTGTTCTTTTTTAAAATATGGAATTTTTGTTTAATTCCAAATGGTTTTCTTTATTCTTTTTGTTGTTGTACAATTTACCCTCAACCAAAGAAAGAATAACGATAATTTGGAGAGTTAAACTTATTTCATAGCTTTAAATAGGTGTGTGATTTCCACAGTGACTGACGTCTTACCTGTATTTTGAGATATTTGGAAATCTTTACCTGTTTCCCCAGTGGTCATGGACAGCCTTGGGCTTGACTTGGTTTAGATTCTCAGACACTGTGGTTTGGACTGGGCTGGGGCTGGGCCCAGCCTCTCAAGGCTTTGATTAATCCACTGCACCTCTCATTTTCCTGACTATAAAAGAGAAGCTACAGTTCTGAATAAGCATCTTGCAGAAGAAAGAAGCCAAAGCAGAAAGTATTAAACTTTCATCCAGCACCATAGGAGAGATGTAGTTATTAAATTTCAGCTGCTTATCAAACTGATATGAAAGTCATTTTGCATGATTGCTTTGCATCCTCAAATCTTCTGCTTTTATTTGCAATGCATCTCCGTGCTTTCTTATTAGAAAAATACTCAAAGGATAAAAAAGCTGATAATATTATTCGGTTTTGACAATTAGGTAGAAAAAGCATTCAAAGAAGTGCTTTTTTATTGCAGCTGGTAATACTATTGGAGGTCCTCCTGATAGCAGTCTATACTGATGCTACCCAAGGTGACACTGGTTTTATCTTTTAATTGCCGTGTACTGGTTATACTGGATCTGGGCAAGGGAGGCTATTTCTAATCTTTGCATTGGGACATAGGACTCTAGCTTATATGACAGGTTCAGCTTATCCTGAACCTCTTGCATTTGCTCACTCTTGACTTTATGTTGTGTCCACTGCTCTCACTTGTATTGGGCCTAGGATGAGGACTTTTGCTGACTATTCAACACACCTTTGTTGAATATTTACTGTGTGTTGGGAAATGCCTTAAGACCCAGAGATGTAGCTTCAAGCCATAGACCACCTACAATTGAATTTTATCTCCCCTTTTTCAATTAAATCATCAGAGTTCACTTTTAAATTATATGCACATATAAAATTCTAAATTATGTATACATTTATGCACATAAAGATATATGATTTTTTTCATCATTTCACTATCTTTTCGTGGTCCACAGAATGCAAAAATGATTATTTTGACTTATTTGCCAGTTCTATGGACCTTATTTTACTTTAGCCTTTTAAATAGCTCTATGAGGTAGAGACTCATTTTCTTTTGACAACAGAGGAAAGTGAAGCTTAGTGGGGTAAAGAGACTTGTTCAGGATCATACAGGTGGTATATGACATCTATGTGATTCAAGTCACGTCTGTGAGACTATAAAGCAGTGCTATCTTTTGGCCTTAGCCTACTGCCAGCATCTCCGTTAGCATCTCTCACCAATAGTCGTCAATGCCCTTTATTTCCATGTGTTCAGATTCTAGCAAAGTAGGGAGAGACCTCAGCACAACGGGCATCATCACCCAGTAATAGACATGAGCACCAAGGCTTTGGGAGCTGAGACAGAGGAGTAGGCGCCCCATGCACCAATATCTCTAAGCCCCATACTTTCTGCTTTTTTGCAAGGAAATGGAGATTGCTTACCACAACCATTAGACTGCTGCTGACAACAAGGGAGATGCAGCCACTGAAATCTAATTCTGGAGAGCTAAAGGGACTCTTGTCGGAAGAGGGAAGTGGTAGCTGTGCCCCGTGGAAATAGCTCAAACTGAAAGTCAAGGAAGATCCTAATTAATTTAACAATAATTTGTTGAGGTCCCACCATGAGCCAGACCTGGTTCTTGGTGCTTGGGATAGCAGGGAAACACATGAAGGCAAAGATGCTTGCAACGGTGGAACCTACGTTGTAACTGGGGAGTCAGACTAAACAGCAAGCCACAGCACAACATGTCAGAAGACAGTGTGCTATGGAAAAAATAAAAGTAAAGCTGGGTCAGGCAGAAATGGGGAGCAGTTTCAGTTTTCATATTAAATACCCTGATCAGGAATGTGAGATCTAGCCCCAGATATGTCTTGCGCATCTTTTCCTTCTAGGCTTCATATTTCATGAACCAAAATTTCCCAAACTTGATGGATCTTAGGAATCACTAAGGAGGAATGCGGTTTTTTAACTTTATAGAATCCCAGGCTCACCTAGGGATTCAGACTACCAGATTCTTCTGGACCTGGAGCCTCAGAATCTGCATTGTTTAACAAACCAGCCCAAAGTATTACAGATGTACAGCTTTATTTAAGAAGCCCTGGACTAAAAGGCCAAGCGTACTCTAGGGGCTCTAGAGTGAATCCTCTCTGTTCATCATCTCTGTGACCTTGGGAATATTATTGAACAAAGAGGTATTCTTTAACTTCTGTGGTTGTTAATGTGGGTTAACTAATACAACAAAAGTTGGCAAAACACCTAGCCCAGGTCTTGGCACAACATTGGGGCCATGTTTTTTTTTTTTTTTTTTTTTTCCTATTCCTCCTCATGGCACTAACATCAAATCATACTTCGTTGAAATTATGAACACAGGAGAAAGCCATTTGAATAGAAGCAGCAAGCTCTATAAAGGCTGAGAAAAGAGGAGAATAAAAAATTCGTAAGCTCAGGCATACTGAGTTATGCCTGTAATCCTAGCACTTTGGGAGGGAAGAGGGAGGATCTCTTGACCTCAGGAGTTCAAGACCAGCCTGAGAAACATAGCAAAACCCATCTCTACAAAAAATTAGCCAGGCATGGTGGCACATGCCTGTAGTCCCAGCTACTCATGGGGGTTGAGTTGGGAGGATCACTTAAGCCCAGGAGGCCAAGGCTGCAGTGAGCCCTGATAGTACGACTGCACTCCAGCCTGGGTGACAGAGCAAGACCCTGCCTCAAAAACAAAAGCAAAAACAAAAAGAATTTGTAAAGTGGTTACTCTGCCAAGAGAGAAAAATAACTCTAAGCCGTAATTTAGGCAGAGCCCATTTTACCAATGGGGTTGTGAAAATATGCATTCAAGTAGCTGAGATGATGAAGAAAGGATGGATCTTAATATTCTCCATAATTAATGCTCTCTATATTGGATGGGGTCTGATTTCCTCCAGGTTAGGGGTGACGGGAGACAGTGATCACTGAGTCTAGCTGGCTCAATGTCAGTAAGAACTGCTGCTATCTCTCTTGTTTGCACAAAAACCTGACATTCTGCCTTTGCCATAGAATTGTCTGCCATAGAATGAAATACAGCAGAAACCTGTATTTCATTCATCACCTCAGCTCTTACAAAGCTGAAATTGTATTTAAAAATTAAAAATGAAACAGAAATACAAGTGCCAAAGAGTGCACAGCACAAAAATATTCATCCATGCAAGGGAGGAATTATCTCTTTCACTTTTACCTCCCAAGCAGGCTCCTCCCGCTCCCCGCATCACTCCTTATCCTTTTACCCTGCTCTGTGCTTTATAGGACTTATTCCCACCTGATATATCATCTATTTCATTTGGGGTTTTGTTTGCTTGTTTGTTTTGCTATATACCATTACTTTCTCCCTCTTTTCAATACAGTGTCTTTGCTCACTGCCCCATCCCCTAACCTACCATGTTACAGGTGCTCAAAAAATATTTTTTTGAATAAATGAATCTCAACTCACTCCAGTTTTCCTACTGGTGGCATGTCACCGATCTAGTTATTCTGTCTTATAAGTTCATCTAGGCCACTAAGCTGGCATGATCATAGTATTAAAGGCAATTCAAAAAAGAGAGAGAGAAAAAAATACAGGGAGAAAGAGGAAAGTAATAGGAAATTGAGTATAAAGGCATTCAATCCAGCATTATCAGCTTTATAAATTATATGTCAATGTCTGTAGACTCCACGTATCTTATAGCTTAAATTTTAATTTGGGGTGTTTTTTTGTGGAATCCACCACGGTAAGGGCAGAGCAAGATTTTAATGGCCAAAGGCTATTTGCAGATTTGCTTGCAAAATTGCCAATTTCAAATATATTACAGAGAATTTGGACAAGACTGAAATATATTTGCAATGAGTCAAATATAGAGTTTATTTTTAAAAACATACTTTGATTAATTTCAGGTACCTAATTATCTCCTCAATTTAACAACTACTTCTGTTTAAATGACAGCTTTTAAAATATTTGACTCTAATAAACCTCCCCTGAAAACTTGTTATGCTATTAATTTGATAATACTTTTTGTAAATGGAATGTTCATTTGGTAAAGACAACTCAGTGTGTGTCTAAAAAAGTCAATCCTTGCAAGAATATGATACAAAATAGTATTTTACTATCTCACTACTAAAATGACTGTACTGAGTGTCCATCCCCTCTGCTCTGATGGTGTAGGGTGATGTTTCTTTGAGGCTGGGGATTGGATGACCATCCCAGCTGAAGCCTATCCAAAGCCCCCAAGTCTCTAAGGACTCCTATTGTAGAAGTGATTCTCACTGCAGTCCAGTCTCATACCCAAAGACAAGTTGAGAAACTCAGACTTCTACCCTTTTCCACGTGTTCTTGACAATAATGAAAAAGATGTTTGTAGTATCTAGATATGTCTTCCTTTCATAAAATCATCATTTGATGGTCAGCAACTAGAGAAGACTACAGAGAAACTGTGACTAAGAACAAATGGACTTCTCCTTTCCCATGAGATGTGGTATGTTGAGTGGCCACTTGGGAGTCAGGTTTAGATTCTGAGCTTAGTTCTGCCAATGACTGTTGTGTTCAAGTCCTTGTAGCTACATCTGTAGAATGAGAATATGGGACTAGCATTAATATTTTATCAGTTTATGAAGGTAAAAAAAAAATCATGGTGGACCATCTCTTAGACTTGTAAATTCAAGCCAGCAAGCATTTATGCATTGGACATTCTGTGCCAGGCCAGTTTATAGTCCCTCTGCTAAGTGGAATTAAAATATACAATACACATATGTGTATGCCCATGTGCACACACACTCACACACAAGACAGTGGCTGCCTGCAGGAGGATTGCAATCTTCAGGATGCTGTCAATTGGAAAGATAGTATCATATAGAAGAAAAAAAGTAGACTTCTGGGATTCAGATCTCAACTCCACCCATCAGCATCTCTGCCCTGGCGGGCAAGTTGCTTATTTGACCCAGAGTATCCTCAGCTGAAGAATAAATGGAGATAGGAATGTATACATTATGAGGTCATTACAGAGATTAACATAGACTTTTTTTTTTTTTTTTTTTTTTTGAGACAGAGTCTCACTCTGTTACCAGGCCGGAGTGCAGTGGCAGGATCTCGGCTCACTGCAACCTCCACCTCCCGGGTTCAAGTGATTCTCCTGCCTCAGCCTCCTGAATAGCTGGGACTACAGACACACACCACCACACCCAGCTATTTTTTTTTTTTAATTTTTAGTAGAGACGGGGTTTCACTATATTGGCCAGAATGGTCTCAACCTCTTGACCTCGTGATCCACCCACCTCGGCCTCCCAAAGTGCTGGAATTACAGGCATGAGCCACTGTGCCTAGCCAACGTAGTCTTTTTTAATAGACCATAATATATAATACTCTTATGCACACAGTAGGTGCTTGGTAAAGAGTGGTTGTGATGACTGTAATGATGACAATGATGGCAATGGAGATAGAAGGTTCTAGATTGAATCTTCCCATAAATGAGTTTGCCAGGACAATAGGAAATTGCAGCTCAGAAGCTGTAACTCAGGGACCTGAAGGCTATGAGTCACCACTTTGCTTCGTGCCTGTCAGTTCATTTTTGAGAATCCACAGAAATAGAAATGTTCTATCAGACCAACTTGGATTGCCATCTGGCCCACACATTTTCCTGGCACGGCCCGAAGGCCAGCACTGCTCTTCTCCCCTCCAAGCAAAACCCCAAGTTTAGCAGAACAAAATCTGCTGCTGAAATGCATCAAGCACGGCATCGGTTCATTATCACAATTAGCATATTAGTAGTAGTTATAAGGCAATTAATGTTAATAATAATTGAATCTGTGTTAAGGTCATTAATATAACTACTAGTTATTATAAATGGCTAGTATCCTATTTAATAAAAACAGAAACAGTAATAGGGAGTGCTTCATACTTTTCAAATGGCTTTCACATTTCTTCAGCTCACTGAGACTTCTTTGGAGATATTATTATCCTTAGTTTCTCTTTGGGGAAATTGAGGTTTGAAAAGTTAAGAGACTTATCCCAGATAATAAACTAACATGCAGAAAATTTGGAATTAGGAATTCCACCTTTCGACCACTGGGGTAGCAAGCCCTGGAGTTTGAGTAGAGAGAGGAGAGACATGTTCATCAAGTAAAGCACTATTTGGCACAACCACTGAGTATCACAGGATGCCAGGACCGGAAGAACTTTGGTGTCCATCAGATTCAATGCTTTTATTATACAAGTGAGGAAACTGAGGCCCAGAAAGATGAATTATTCCCCTCCAGTGAATAGCGTTGTGATACAAATTTCAAATTAATTTTTATGTCAGAGTCCCTTTATGTAGTCTCACTCTTGAGCCCCCGAAGTGACCTATTTAAAAATTTTCCTGTGAGCTGAAAACCAGATAATCAAGTTTGGTAAAAGTGTGTATTAACTTATCGATTTAGCTCTAAAACATACCTAGTTGTATTTCCCAACATGTGTCTCTTTTAATTCTGTGGCATAGTATTAGTTATTTTGTTAGGATTCCTTGGATAATTACATGTGAAATATACTGGGTTAAAATGTGACTTACACAGTCTCTGTTTTTGTTTTTATTACTGACCTTTTTATTTTTTTCCTGTGTTTCCATCCATGTTTGACCATAACATTATTTGCTCTCAGAAAACTCCTTGAGACTCATGTTTAATAGATCACAAAATTTGGGGAACTTGAGGGCAGTGGGATCTCTTGCAGGGCTTTCATGCATTTATTTGTAGCAGGTATTTCTGATATCTGAAAGTCTGCTGGGTTTGCTTCTGAGTGTGTGACCAATTTATGTCAGATTAAGGTCTGAAAATATCAACTGCAGATATGAGGGGAATCATAGCAATCTTGTTTTATTTTAACTCACAAGGACATTAGCAGCCACCGAATCCATGCTATGGGAGATGATTCCAAACTTCTTTTTCAGCCCTAAACCCCTAATGAGTGGCAGTCGTCCTCAATCACTGTTTACTAAGTGCCTACAATGTGCCACTTTTCCACCATTTCTGGCTATTTTTGGCTCCTTCTGGATCTGGGTGTCCTGCGGTGAGACACCTGAGGAGGAGGCATGCACAGAAGGGAGAGTATTTATAGGTTTGGGGCTTTGAAATTAGGTAGTTGTACTGGAGCAAATAATTTCTAACAATATCATAATCTCTGAAGGTGGCCAGATAAATAAAGCTGTGAGTGAAAGCAGTCATTTCTTCTACGTCTCCCGGATTGTGTAGCTACTGGAAAAAAAAATTCTTATTGAAGAAAATTAAGAATAATTAGAGAAGAAATGAGAAAAGTCAAAAGGATTTGGCCAAAAGCTTGGTAACATTTGCAATTTTCCTCCGAGAGACGTTCGTTTTACTAGTAACCCTTAAAATGCACAGGCTTTGAGATGGAGGAGTTAGTTCTTACTGATCTAAAGTTTGGCTTCAGCTGTGTCAGTCTCAAAAATCTGTTTGTTTGTTTTATAAGTTTTTAGGAAAAAAATATTGACTTTGAAAATTGCATGAGAATAAAAAGTCCAGTGAACAATAACTTTCTTTCTCAAAGACCTATACATATGGATTTTTTAATTTTGCATTCAGGACCACATTTTCAGCCGCTTTTCCTCCCCCAGCCTCCTCTTTAAATATGTAAAACTCTGCATGCCTCTAATTGTTCCTTCAGTTGTCCACTTGCACCTTCAAATTATGGGACAAGTGGCCAATTGGGCCTGCAATTGGCTAATTGCACCGACAATTAGCCAATTGTGGGTATAATTAGCTGCATGTAGAATTAATCATATGCATAAAGTGGGCGTCCACTCTTTGAAATCATAGAACTAAATGTGTTCTAGATGCACATCTGTACTCGGGCACAAAAGGGACACAGGCGAGAATCCTGGATGAATCACTGTTAAGAGAATCATTAAAACAAATCTGGTGCTTGGTTAAAAACGCCACATGATTCAATTCTGAATATTAGGTCTACTTGCTTTCTTTATAAGGAGCTTGGTATGGACAAGGCAAAGAAGATAAAATTCTTTCATCAGAAGCCTTCTGCAAGAAAATGTCGTGGCGGCTGTCACCATCCAATTGCATTTTTTAAAAAATTAAATGGTTGGATTTATGATACAGTTGGCCAGTTGTAGCAGGTGGACTCTGTCACTCGAGTCTCCATAAGGAATTACATTCAGTTTGGTCCAAATACTTGCCACAGTGAGACATGTTCCATCTCAGTCACATTTAGCACTCATGTTTCTTAGTCTGGTTTGTGCCTATTCTTGGGGAGACCAGGGGAACCACAGGCAAAAGTGGTATCCCAGGATAAACACATTGAACGTTTTCAAAGCAGTAATTTTATGTGATGGCAAGCAAGATAAAATAATTTTAAGTTTCAAAGTAAACAACAGAAAATTTTGAAAGCAGTTAAAGTTGTAGTGGTTAAAATCTCTCCTTAGATTCATTATTTATTAACTCTGGGACTTTGAGCAATAATTTATTTAACTTTCCTATAATCTAATTTCTTCATCTATAAAAAATTAATATAAACGAGTGATAACTACCTCATAGGGTTTTTTTTAGAATTAAATAAGGTTATTTAAAATTATATAACAAAGGTGAGAGCATGGAGGGAAGTAGACAGAAAGAGAAAAAGAGAGAGAGAGACATGAAAATCCAAGACTCAATAAATCAAGACATTAATTTATTAAAAGCGCTGTGATTTCCTGCTATAAATAATTATTTGTTTATCTCAGAATTTTGCCAAACAAAAATGATCAAATATCAGTCTTTTTTTGGTAATAATATTACTAGCCACTAGAAAATACCAGTCTAAATCAAAAATGGTCAGTGGATGCCCATTGACCACAGAGCAAATTTCAGATACTTAAGCTGATTTCACTCTTCATCATGGGCCCTATACTTCCCTTCTACTCTAATCTTTTATTTATGGAGGAGCCTTTCAGAAATGTACCCATACTCCAGGCAAGCTTGTTTACTGAACCTGCCCACCATGCTACCCACCCTTATGTTTAAAGTGATCATCATTGACATGAGACAAAGGCTATGAGAAATGCATGGGGCTATATCCAGAGTTAGAGGTTTTGAAGGAGAGAACTGCAAATAAGAAAACATTGGCCGATAATAGAGACATGTTTCTTTATTACCTAGATAGAGTCTTTTTTTTTTTTTTACATGAAGTCTTGCTGTGTCACCCAGGCTGGTGTGCGGTGGTGCGATCTTGGCCCACTGCAACCTTCACCTCCTGGACTCAAGCGATCCTGAGTAGCTGGGACTACAGGCGTTCGCCACCATGCCTGGCTAATTTTTGTATATTTAGTAGAAATGGGTTTCACCATGTTGGCCAGGCTGGTTTAGAACTTCTGACTTCAAGTCATCTGCCCACCTCAGCTTCCCAAAGTGCTGGGATTACAGGCATGAGTCACCGTGCCCAGCCCATTTTTTTCCTAAGTTCTAACTTTTGGCTGGGTTTTGAACACGTATCAGTATTTAATGCATACAAAATACACACACGCCATATGTATTTCAAGAAAGGAAGAGAGGTAGGATAAGAAGTACTTGTTTTTACATCAGGTACTTTTACAGGTGTTGTTTCATTTGCTTTTCAAAATAATAACATTACATACGAAATAATTGCCCAGTTTCTAGGATAAGACTACTGAGTCTTTGAGAAGTTAAATGATTTTCCCCAAGTCATATAATAGCAAGTAATAAAGAGACAGCATTCAATTTCTTGTACATATATCTCAAAAATTTACGTTGAACAAGCTTGATAAACATAAACCATTAGAGACTTAGAATTATAAAGAAATATTATAATTGTATCTCATGTTCAAATGCATATAACAACCTGTTTAAGAATAAGCACCTCAACAAAAGTACGCATTTGTGATTTTCTAGATAGGTATTAGTTTGTGTTAGGAAATTCTACAAGGATCATGTTGATGCTGAGGTCACATTTTGTGTTTTCTTCAAAATTGAATTGAGCTTAAACTCTGGATTTACAAACCAATGTCTGAATTCCTGAAAGAACTCAAAGCAAGTCAAGGCCAGAATGATGTCCTCAATCTCTGTGCCATTGCAGAGCCCAAACTCAAGAGAAATGCACAAGAGATGACTTATTCATTGAACACACTTTTCTAGTTGGCCCTTTGTCCAAGCTGACTGGTGGACTGTTCATTGATAACATATTTGATGTTTCACCAAATATATTGTCAGCATTTAAACAAATGTACTCTTCATGCCATCATTCTTGACCCACACTTCCAATGTTACCTCTCTATGAATTCCCTGGCTCGGCTCTGGCTCACGCCTGTAATCCCAGCACTTTGGGAGTCCGAGATGGGTGGATTACTTGAGGTCAGGGGTTTGAAACCAGCCTGGCCAATATGGCAAAACCTTGTCTCTACTAATAGTACAAAGTTAGCCGGGCGTGGTGGTGCGTGCCTGTAATTCCAGCTACTTGGGAGGCTGAGGCAGGAGAATTGCTTGAACCTGGGAGGCGGAGGTTGCAGTGAGCCAAAATCGTGCCATTGCACTGCAGCCTGGGCAACAACAGTGAAACTGCATCTTAAAAAAAAAAAAAAAAAAAAAAAGAAAGAAATTCTCCTTGTCACCTCAGGATAGATCTAAATACTTTTCAATAGTCTTACACTTCCTGGCTTATAATATGTAACTATTGTGTTCTTATCTGTATCTGTCAGCTGTGCTGTAATGATGCTGTGTAACAGATAACTTCCAATTATTTGTTACCCCATGTTACATGCCAGCCTTAGGTAGGCTGAAGCTTTGCAGCTCTGTGCTCAAAGGCTCCCCTCCAATCTTCTAGTGGAATGAGGATCTGCTTCCTGGGTCTTCTCATACTGGGACCCAGGTTAAAGGAAGAGCCCCTGCCTGCTGAATATTGTTTGTTCATGGCAGATATCACGAATAAGGGAGTTGGCTGAAACTCTCACTGCCTCTAAAAGCTCTTACATAAATGAGGTTAATGTTACATTTTTTTAAACGTCCTGTTGGCCAAAGAAAATCATACAATCAACCTCAATGTCAAGGAAATGGGATATAAACTCTTCAGAACTGCAAAAGTGGAGAGGAAGTAAATGTTTATGTACAAAGAACAAAATTGATTTTGTTATCTACATATTATGTTTCTCCCCCACTGATCAATAAGGTAATGGGTCATAAAATAGATATCTGTCTTTCAATCTCTTATTTCTAGCATATAGTGTGTTTCCAGAGAAAGCTTATTTAATACTTGAGTATGTCTTTAGATTCACTGGTAAAGGAGTAAAGGCATTAAATGGTACTTTCTAAAATGGTTAAATTGTATCAATATTTAGCTTTTTACATTTCTCTCTCTCTTTCTCCTCACACACACACACACGCACACATCTTTTCCTTTAATAGTGCCATTTTAAAGATGAAGAAACTGACCTAAAGAAATGAAGAAAGTCTGTGTCCAAGGTAACATAGTTAACAAGTATCAGGATGATAAATCATACAGTCTTGTTGGACTGCAGATCATATAATCTAATCCATAATCTACCTACATTGTCTTCTTCTGCTTTGGCAAACTGGATGAAGCAAAAGAGCAAATGGTTTAAGCAAGAGTGTGTTAGGGGAGCTTCTTAGATGATGTGCCAGGATATTAGAGTCAAGCAAGGAAGGTCATGCCTTCCTTTTGTCTTACTATAAGAAGAGGCGAATATGAAGATACACCATGTAAGGGCATCCTTACCATAGGCATTAGCAGCAGATACTCTTGTAGGTTGAGGGATCATCTAGCAGTGCTTGCCTAACTTTCTTATATTACAGCACACATAAGAAATGGTTTTATCTGTTTGACACTGCAAGAAACAGCAGATGTGTGAGCAATCTGGAAAGAGGTGACATAGGCCTATGAGGCCACCTAAAATAACTGGAACACCCTGCTGAGGACAAGCCTACTGGAGATCGCCCCATGCTCCAGAAAGACACACACTCACTCCAGTGGGAACCAGAGGGGATGGGTAAAAAGGTTGGGATACAACCCAGTCATAGGCAAGGTGACCTAACACCTTGCATGAAATATTTCTCAGAGGTTTACTAAGCACTCACGTAAATACTGATGAATTCTTTATTCGAAATTCAACTGACGGCATAGGATTGGAATAAATTACAGTATAATAACTGGTCTTGTGAGTCATTCAATCTGAGAATGTGAAGGACTTTAAATGTCATTATTCTGATTCCGCACTTCAGGGCTTGAACACCCCTATGTGTGCATTGCCCATTTGAGTCCTCAACTGTCCTCAGCACAGCCCAGTCTTTTCAAGAGACAATTTCTTTAATTATATGGGAAACTCTAGTTCAGAATCAATAAATTTTATAATGATCACTTGTTTTTTAAGCTTGCTCAAAAGGATAGGAGACTGCAGTAGCTGATAAAAGTGTTATTACTCAGAGAATTGGTTATTAGCAGGCCAACCAGAAAGAGAAAGACAAAAAAGTGTTGTTTTCAAAAATTAGAAAATATAAGGACAAAGAACCATGGTGTTCTGGCACATTTGGTATAAGGGCACCTCAAAGTCATGATTGTTTATGTAACTAATAAGTGTTATACACAAAATAAAGTTTGAAGAATAATTAAGTGGTTTTGAATATGTATTGCAAAGTTTTCCCACCGCATTGAGATAAAACAAACACATAAAAAAAGACGATAGGAATAAATTTGCCTTCAGAGGCAGAAAGGGAAGGATTCACCCTTGTTGAAGTCCCACCTTATGCCTGAGATTATACACCTGTTATTTCCTCTAGTTAGCATAAAAAGATCTTTTAGGTCTGTTTCATCTCATTTTTACCACTGAGGAGGCTGAGATTCAAGGAAAACCCTCTTGGTTAAATTTATATTGAGAGCCTCTAATCCAAGGGCTTTCTCTTCTAACGTCCCTGCTGTGAGATGTATGGATAATATGGATAATCCTTGCATGTGGAAGTGTGTTTCCAGATGAAGTAAGAAAAGTTGAGGTTCTGGTATTAAAGATAATGTCTTGGAAGACAGGGGGTTGTCAACATTTTGCGCAAAGTCATCTGCAAAACTAAACCCAGATCCAGGGCCCTTCCCTTCCCTGCCTAGCTGGTTGCAAGTTGCAAGCTCCTTCCCCTAAGTGAATAAGAGAGGGAGGTAGAGCTTGGACTTCACATGCAGCCTGCCTGTGTGAGTGACCGACAGCAGGCTCACCCAAAGCATCAACTAAGTTTTGCTTTCTTGTATGTATAAATAACAACAGCAATGTGCCACTAGCACAGTGCCGTTTCATTTAATGGCGCAGCACTGAGCAACTTAATTAATCTTTTGGTCTCTGAAACATTCATCATAGTTTTTCAGGGGCTCTGAAAAAATGTGCTTGCCTCTTGAAGCCATTGACACAGAGACCAGTGAGGAGTGAGTTGGCTTTCCCTTAACAAATTTGCTCAGCTGTGAATCTGGGGTCTAATGCTTTTGAAAGTGGAATTTCTGTAGATGTTAGTCATGGATTTAAAAAGTAAAGACTGATTGCATTTCTACGATGAGTCCCTACTGTGTGCCAGGATAAGCACTGGGCTATTTTACTTAACTGTTCTCATTAATTCATCACTAAAGCCCAGCGAGGCAGGTATCTTTATATTCATTTTACAGATGAGAAAATTAAGAACTGGAGAGATAAAGCTACTTCACCAAAGCCACATTTCTAGCTAGGATTGGAACATGGGTCTGTCCAAAACCCTTACCAGGATCATGAAATTTGTAGTTAATTGTAACAATACTGATTATAGTTATAATTGAAGCAAAACTTACATACCATTGGCTATGTAAGTTATTGTATATTCATTTAATTATATGCCAGGCATTTCTGCATACATGATTTATTTGGATTCTCCAAATAATCTAGCAAGTTAGACATATTGTGCATTTGTATTAGTAGATTCATGATGGAATTCTTCAATAATTATTGTAAACCTTAGTCAATATGCAATATTAGTCAACAGCACTTTGCTCTTATTTATAAGTACAATAAATAACATTTAGTTAAGATTATTCCTTCATTTTGTAAAATGGCTTGATACCTAGTTTGTTGGCTTTTGTGATGTTTGAAAATGAGATAGGTTATGACATGTGCATAACATAAGGTGATAGATAAATAACTAGTTTTAATGGGTAAATGATGGCATCTATACCACTGAGCTTGATGATATCAGTATGCAAAGAATCAAATGTATTTTTTCAGAGGGAACTAAGATACCTTAGTGCCTCCTTCCACCCGGACTCCCTTCTAAAGCTACAAACTGCAATATTGATCAGATCTTTAAAGTGACCTTACTCTATGGCAGTGAAATTACGTTTTAGTAATTTATCCTAAGAAAATAATCAGAGATATACTATACATTATAGAAAGATATGCATGTTGGATTATTATAACAAAATACTGGCAGCATCCTAAGATTGTGACTGGTGATATCAGTTATAGCGTATTCATTTAACCGCATACGATGAAGTCCTTGAAGATGGTATGTACATGTACAGATACAGGCACACATACATGCGCATGAGCTGGCACACACACATACACACATCTATAGGCAAAGAACAGAAGAATACCAAGAACAATTTAACAGTGGCTTCATTTTGGGTGAGGAGGGGATTATGGATGAGTTTTGGTAGTGTGTGTGTTTGTGAGTGTGCGTGCACACACGTGTGTGTGCGTGTGTGCGTGTGCCTGTGTGTTGTGCTTCATTCATCTTCTTTCTGTTTGCCAGGTTTTCCTCATTGAGTATGACTTCTCTAGTATGGCTAGCAAATGAAGAATCATGCTGACATACTCTGTGGTGTAGCCCAATCCTGCTCTTAACCATGACCATTACTGTAACTCAAACAAAACATCCTGGAACTGGTCATACCTTCATAGCCTCAGTGAACTGTGTAGTCTCCTTGGTAATCATGGATAACTGGTAGATGCTTCAGGTTCTAAATGAAGCCATGATGCTGGGATCCATTAACAAAATCCAAAGTGAATTTGTCTTAAACATTTGCAAGTGGATGGAGGAGAATCTCCACATTTCTATGTGGACGGTTCAGATGGCAAAGCAACGGTTTCTGCAGTGAAACAGGTTTCATACAAGGACACTATCAGTATAGGTAATATGCCTTTGTTTATTTAAACTCTTGGTCATTTAGTTTTCTGCCAGTTATTTCCAGAACAGAGTAATTTATGATGTGCAGGGTAGGCACCCTCAACAAGTTCACATAGTAGGGTATCTTAACATTAACAACAAAACAGGAGTCTGCAACATCAGATTGTAGCATTCCTCAGATTAACTGATTAAAACATGCCTATTAATGAAAGGCTTTGATGCATTAATTCAGTAACCTTTTAAAATGATTTGTTGTATTTTAATCCCAATAGAGTCTCTCTCTCTCTCTCTCTCTATATATATATATATATATTTATATTTATATATTCATTTAACTGCATACCATGGAGTCCTTAAAGATGATATATACATGTACAGATACAGGCACACATACAGGCATATATATATATATATATAGAGAGAGAGAGAGAGAGAGAGAGAGAGAATTGCATACACATGCTCTCTCTCCACACACACACACACACACACACACACACACACACACACTAGCATGTAGTATGCTTCTATGCAAAATCTAACACTTATTTATATGAACAATGAACTTAATGAACATAAACTATTGAGCACTTACCATATGCACCAGGCATTGTGCTCAGTGTTTTCTAAGTATTATTTTTGTCTGACTGCCATCACCTCTTTAACAAATGGGACACTGGCTTGAGAGGTTAGTAACTTGGCATGGTCACACAACGCGCTTATCCCTGACCCTTGAGCCCATATCCCACATGATTAGGGATGACTAGTTACAGTTTTACAAAGCCTGTTTAGTCCTACAGAAAACCAAAAGGATGGAACCTACCTCCCAGTCATCTTGGGGACTTACATTGGGAACTTTCGCAAAGACGATCAACACAATTGTTTCTAAAAACACTGGTGCAGACTATGGGAGGAGCCACCTGCTGAAAACTGAGGCTGAAATTCATACCTTGGATAGCTCTGTGATGCATGCAAGTATTTGCGTGCTTGCCAGGATATTAAAAACATCCAGTTGTTTTGCAGCCTCACCTCATAGTGGGTCAGACCCGGGAGTCCTAGAAAAAGCAGTGTGGGTTGTAAGATCCCCCTGTCCTGCACTCAGGGGCTGGCCTTGCTTCCACTCACTGGGTCTACGACTGTGGGTGAGGACCTTTCTCTCTCTCAGCTTCAGTTTCCTCAGCAGCAAATATATCAGGCAAGAGGTTTGGGCTGTGTGTGCCAAGCTCTTTTACCCAAGGATCCTAAGACCTGAAAACAATGAGTTTTTATTCTCTCTGGCATCACTCACACAAGCACAGGCACTTAAATGTCTCCATTTGAGATATGACTATTTACCAAAAGATTCAACAGCCTTATCCTCTTTCAGGCTAAGCTTTTTTCTAGTTGTTGGTTTGTTGTTTGCTTAGGTTTTTGTTTTGTTTTGTTTTAGGAGGGAGAGGATGTTTTGTTTGTTTTGTTTTGTATCTGATTCAGCTAATGTTCTAAAAAGTAGAGTAGGATACTCATCACTTGGCCTCAGTTAGGAAGAGGACTCCCTGGGATGCTCCCTGCTGTCTTCCTCAGCACCCGCAGGTAGATGTTTTGTGTCCAGGCATCGTGGGAGACCGCAGGGAGGAAGAGCCATATATACGGTTGAGACAAGCTATGGAAGCCCAGTCTCTGAGTCCAGGGGGTGTCATTCTTTGCTGCTGCTTCTAAGGGGTGAATCTGCATCGATCAATGCATTCACTCCACTCTCCCCCTGCCTCTCCCTCAGTTAACACCCCAGCACACACAAAACCAACGAAGGTGATTATCTCTGCTAGCATAATTCCTCCCTAACATCTGCTTTCGCCCATAACACTCCACTAATTTTTCCCTCATTTCATTACACATAATTTTCTTTCAACACAATCTACATGTATTAAGTGGTAATGACTTTCCAGTTAAGAGCAAATCGACACCAAGGGACCACCGGCCCCCCCACGGTTGCCTGCAGAGCCTGACTCTGGCTATTAGAGATAAATTCGGTACCTCAGGAAGCTGCAGTGAGGTAATCAATCAATTAAGCGGTTAGGACATACATTATCAAACTTCCACAGTGCGGGGGGCAGGGGGCCATGCTGATCTACTTGCCATGATTTTTTAGGAATTCAAAAAAATGAATAAATAAGATGGAGAGCTATTATACAACCAGGCTATAATTTGCCACTCAAAGTCAGGGGCTGGTGTTGTCAGACTCAATGCTGCAGAGTAAATGGGGGAAACTGTGGTCCTGTATGTGCCCTGTCTGGGTGGGAATCACGCCTCTATTGTTTACTAGCATTGTGTCCTGGGGTGCACAGGGGGCACCTGGGAGTCTGAAGTTCCTGCCCATTAAAAAGGAAAAGAGACACCCAGAATTACAACTGTGACTGCCTAGGTTTGCAGTGGGGATGAACTAAGACCATGCACATGGAAGCACCTAGCCCACAAGGGGCACTCAGGAAACCTTAATGACCTTACTCTGCCTGTAGACTTTGGACTTAGGAAATGTAAGGTGACCAGAGATCACCAAAATGCCGACATCAGACTTAGAATTAGTCATCGTCGTTGTCCTCATCATCGTCATCATCATCATCATTTTCCTCAAGTTTTTGAAGAAAAAGCCAAAATTCATAGAATCCTGAAAATAAATTCAGAATACGTACCAGTCCTTGCTCCCTTGCTGAATTTATAGGTGTTCCCTTTGTACCCACATCTCAGATAACCTCATCTGTAAAAATGGGTGTATTAACATCATCCACCACAGCAAGGATTATTGGAACACTCAAGAGAAATATATATTAAACTGCTTTGAAAATTGTAAAGCATAAACAAAATGGGATTATATTTAATAATATAATTTAACCTACTTTTTTTTTCCTAAACTTGATTCCTCCTGTAAATATTGCATGAGTCTGAAAAGTATATTAAATGGTTCAAAAAATAAGCTAACGGCAAAGGCAGAAGGCAAAAAACAAAAAGATGGGTAAGTGTGACAGTACGAAAATGAAATATTTATCAAATAAATAAACTAAATAGACAGAATATTTTTAATGTATGTGTCAAATAATAATGCGTAAATGTGTTTATATGATACATAATATGTAAGTTCTAACAAACTGATTAAAAGGAAAAGATAATAAAATAGGAATTTTAATAACAGTATATAATGTTTACTACATTACAAGCACTGCCCTAAAAGTTTCATGTATTTGAATTTATTTAACAAGAAAAAAATCAAATAAAAATCAACAAATAAAGAAACAAACACTGAGGCCGGGCATGGTGGCTCATGCCTGTAATCCCAGAGTACTTTGAGAGGCCAAGGCGGGAGATCACCTGAGGTCAGGAGTTTGAGACCAGCCTGGCCAACAAGGTGAAGCCCCACCTCTACTAAAAAAAAATACAAAAATTAGCTGGGTGTGGTGGCGCACACCTGTAATCCCAGCTACTCGGGAGGCTGAGGCAGGAGAATCACTTGAACCCAGGAGGTGGAAGTTGCAGTGAGCCAAGATTGCACCACTGCACTCCAGCCTGGGTGACAGAGCAAGACTCCATCTCAACAACAACAACAACAACAAAACAAAACAAAACACAAAAGAAAGAAAGAAACACAGAAATAATATATAAAAATGTTAAATCTCCTTATAGTCAAGGAAATGAAAAATGGCATTGAGGAATTATGGTTTTTTTATCTATCAAGTTCATAAGGTTTTGAAAACTGCCATCGCTGGTGCTGAGGCTTCAGGAAAAGAGATATTTTCTATACTGCTGGTGGAAGTGTAAATTGATTTTTAAAAAATAGAAAAGAAAAAAAAAACTTTTTGGGAAGAAAATTTCCAATCTGCATCAAAAGCTTAAACATATACCCACCCATTGACCCAAAAATTATACTTCCCTGGAGTTTACTCTTAAAAAATTAAGGGATGTTAGCAAATATTTAATGACAAAGATGTTCACCACATTGTTGTTTATAGCAGCAAAATCTTGCAAGTGGTAGAGTCTCATGCTGGGAGATGGTGTTCATTCACCATTCACGGAGCAGTTTCACTGAGCACTTGCCCAGGATCAGGCCATGATCCAAGGGCTGACACAGTGCAGAGAGCAAAATAGACTGGGTCTCATGCTCATGGACATCCAGTTATAGTGCAGGAAGATCTAACAAGTGGTGTTGTGTGCATGTGATGGAATACTGTAGGTCTGTTTTCGCAAAATATTTACTTAGGGCCTACCGTATTCCAGGCACTGTTCTAAATCAGGACACGGCAATACACAAGGCGAGGAATCTCTGCACTCCTAGAGTTTATGTTCTAATTGGGAAGATAGAAAATATATAACTAAATATTGTGTTGCTGCAGTGTATTTCATGATGTGGAGAAGAAAAAAAAATCATGTTCTAAGAAGTGAAAATGGCTATATGACAGTGCCTGCAGTGTGAAGCCATTGGTGTAAATCAGCAGAAATAGGCAAGCTACACATTTCTAAAATGTTAGGAGGATTTACACCAAGTCTCCAGATTTTGTTCTAAATTTTTTGCATTTGTTACTTTTAAAATAAAAGCAAAACTAAACTGAAGCAGAGATTACTGATACATACATACATCAAGTCAATGCTTAGCTATTGATTCTACTTCTAAAAAAGTCATTGGATTTATACTTTGTGAAAGCCTCAAGATTTGATTTCTTAATAACTAGAAACAGTAATGAAAATGAGTGCTAGGTCATTCTCCTGATTTTGTTTTTCATAGTATATAAGACTTATGTCCTAAGATCTGAAAAAAAGCAAAAGACCTTAGGATTCATCTTCAGCCCAGTACTCAGTTCAGAGTGGAGGAAATTTAGGAGACTTGCTCAATTCTTAAAGTAAGAATTGGGCCCTAATCAACTCAAAATGACTTGGTTTCACATTTTTTTTCAAAACACAACCTCACTATCTTCCTCTCTATGATTTTAGTTTAATACTCAACCTATTGCTACCTGCTCAGTATCTAAAATGACAGAAAGCAGGGAGAGGAGTAAAAATATCACCAACAATGATTAGCATTTCCATGATACAGTCTACCTCTAAACAAAAGCAGGACAAAGCTAACTAAACTATTGTTTAATCTCCTTAGAATAGAAGTAGCTTCTCCATCCTGTGCACAGGTAAAGGGAAAGTGAGAATGGGCATATCATAGGAGCTATATTTTACCAATGAGAAATAACGAATGCTTTATTGCTGAACTAAAATTGTTCAAGCCTATTTTGATCACGATGTAGTTCTATACATTTGTAAATGCACCCTGAATTAACCTGGAAAGCAGCAAGTTAGACATTGTCTCCTTTATCAACACTGACACTAGGATAATTATTTAGGATAATTATTAGAACATAACTGTAGGGCGCTTTATGGTTTACAGATCCCACTTACAAACATCTGTCATGTGATTCTGCCATGAATCCTATAGTGCCCATCTTGTGCCCAGTTTATAGGCAAGCATGTTGAGGTTTTGGTCAATCAAATGGCTAACCTGCAGTCACATCTCAGAAGTGGAGCAGAGCTGATACAAACCCCCTGGCATCAGTTCATTGCTCCTTCTTGAAGGACAGAATGGGAAAAGGTTTTTTTATGGGGGCGGGGGGGTTGCGGGGAGGGACAGAGTTTCGCTCTGTTGCCAGGCTGGAGTTCGGTGGTGCGATCTCGGCTCACTGCAACCTCTGCCTCCTAGGTTCAAGTGATTCTCCTGCGTCAGCCTACTGAGTAGCTGGGATTACAGGCATGCGCCATCACGCCCAGCTAATTTTTGTATTTTTAGTACAGATGGAGTTTCACCATGTTGGTGAGGCTGGTCTCGAACCCCCGACCTCGTGATCCGCCCGCCTCAGCCTCCCAAAGTGCTGGAATTACAAGCATGAGCCACTGCTCCCAGCTGGAAAAGGTTTTTTATAATAGATTTTGGATTGAAAATTCTTGTCAGAAATTTGGAAAGGGGGTGCAAAATCAAATGAGGAATTTATTTCATTGCCTTTTTTTTTCTTTTCCTTCCTTCTTTCCTTTCTTTCTCTCCTTTCTTTCTAACATAACCAATAAAACCTATTGTATGTACTATAAAAATCCAGCTGTCTGTTTTGTCTGTCTTCTAAAACCTTTCACCTTGTTTATTTTTTGGACCAAAATGTCTTTACTCAACCAGCTTTCCAAGCCAAGCAGGGTTTCAATTTTTTAAGAAGTAAATTTTAACAGGACAATATGGAAGCTCCGAAGAACAGTAGTCTACGAAAAACAAATCGTTTGTTTATTTGGCCATTTGTTTTAAGACAAAAGTAGAAACACTGGGCTGAACAGAGACAGGAGAGGCTTTGGGCAATTTCCTCTGAGACCATGAGACCGGGCAGGATGAAACGTGAATAGAAAACATGCCAGATGTATGCTGTGCAAATACAAACACAACTTTCTATCACACACTGATTTGGTCATCCCTTTTTCTTTTTCTCAGAAGCTGATGCCCCCATCACTCTATGGAGCTGGAGAATACCGTCATACGCAAAGTGATCCGAAAGGCCCCTTTGCGCCCAGCCAATCCTAACACACAAATCCCTTCCACCTCTCAGGGCTTGTGGTGCAGTTTCTCCCCCTGGAATTTTGTCTCAGCAGGTATCAGTACCACCAGTGTGCCAGAGAAGAATGCAGTCAGGATGGCAAGAAGTACAGTTTTACTTTCTCCCATTCTGTCTTTCCATTTAGCCTATTTTCTTGTCCCCCTCTTCCTCCCCTCCTTATTGCAAGATGTCTGGCACCAAGCGTCTGGCATGAAATCTTACGGATCTGCATTTTCTGCAGGGCTGTAACAACAGGTTTCAACTTGATTTGCCATCCCTGTGAAACGTGGAGTTTCATTTGTTTGCTTCCGAGGACAAGAAGGGCTGTAGCTCTTAGTGCTGAAAGGGGGTATCTTTATGTTGGATTGGATGTTTCTAAAGAGATGAATTTGACTGTCATGTATTATTTAAGAAAAGTATTTTTATTGTATTCTGTATTGTGAAAGCACATTCCACTTTTGCATGTCATTTCACTGCTTTGTTGTTTTAAAGTTACTATTGGCCTTGAGAATATCCACTGGCAGAAATTTGCACTTAGCGTTCTAAATAAAATGTTAGTCACAAAAAGATGGTGAGAATCATGTTACCTGGGCATCTGATTTTACAAGGTGGGGAAACCGAGTCTGGCAAAAAAGAAACGGTTTGCTCAAGGTCAGAGCTGGTTATGATAACACTGGAAGAATTCCCGAACTGGAGGGCCTCAGATCATTGGCATAATCCACATGGTCTTCAGGATTGATTCAATGTTCATTTTATTTTTTGCTGTAGCCATTCTTATGCACTTTTATACCACATCTTCGTATACTTAAAAACAGATGGCCCTTATATGTAATACTATCTCTCTGGACTCACACATATTATTAATATTTGATTATTTTGCAGAATTTTATAAAATGGTTTTCCTACTCTGACTGTTTTTAAATGACATCATATGCCTTTGGAGAATTTTGAATTGGAGGATATTATCGTTTTTTGGCCACTTCAAATATATTATGAGTTATATACAGGAAACTGATTTTAAAGAGTGATGGATGGATGGATGGATAGCGTGGATGAGTAAATAAATGAATACACAGGTATATATTTACATTTGCACACATACACACCATTTTAATAATAAATGTATTATTTTGTACAGAGACCTGATTGATAAATGCTACACGTGTACATCTCATTGAGCTCAAGGACAGAGCTTCCCCTCTCCTCACTGTCTGCAGTGCCTGGTCCAGGCAGGACCTGCCATCAAGTCAATGCTGAAAATGTTGGCCACACAAAAACATCTGCACCGTCGGAAGGAACAGAAGCTCCAGAACAATGCCTGGGCTTCAAGATCCAATGGAACTTTGTCAGTTGAACGCCAGTCTTGAATCCAGGTCTTCTTGCTTCCAAATGTGGTCCTCTGCTGTCTCATCAGCCTCTTGGGGCCTCACGCTGGGCTCCAGTTCGGGGTGTGAGGAGACGCCAAATGCTTCTCAGAATGGCCTATCTGGGATCTCGCCCAGTGCCTTTCTCCCTCCTCTTGCTATTTTTCGTGTCTTTTCTCTTCCCCCTCTCCCTGTGTCGGGCGTGTTTACTTGCAGCAGCCAGAAAGACCACCTTCCACCCGCCCTCTCTTCGGTTCAGCTGCACCTCTCTACTCCAATAAACCGTTTGCATTCCATCTGGTGAGCGTTTGCTCTGAAGACATTTCCTTGTCAATCTCTCCCGCCACATTAAAAATCTGTCATTACGATTGCATCGCCGCCTGGCTCCTGAGATTTCTGACTGCTTTATTGCTCTCCTCATTTTTTTCTCTTGCCTGCTACAGCCGAGAAGCAGAAATAAAGGTTTGTTGTTGAAACATGGCCGGGAGGAAAGTAGGAGGCACACATCTGTCAAGACATTACCTTTCTTCAACCAGGGATTAAGGTGTTTTACGGCACTCGCTACTGAGCAGTCACACTGAATAAATTTTCTCAGTAGAACATAAAAATGAACTCATACATTTTGAACCAAGTTTCTTCTTTCCAGCCAGCCCCGATCATTATGCAGTGGCACCCGCATACAGGGGCGCCAGCGAGTTAGGAAGTTTCTCAGACCCATCCCACCTCCCGCCAAAGCTGCATTATTTAAATGCCCGTTGAGGCGAAGGAAGCATCGGGATTAAGGGGAGATGGTGGCTGTGAACACTCAGGCTTCCTCAGCTTGTGGGAGAGAACAGAAAGATTTAAAAGAAACCTGGCCCCAGGTGTCCTCACTCAGGCCTGGCAATGCCCGATCTTGCTTTAAGAGCCGGATCAAATCCCTTTCTGTGGGGAGTGGCCCCTGGTTCCTCCACCATCCTGTCCCCTCCTCCCTGCCCTGTAGGAGCACTTATGTGACAACTGCCTGTTTCACAGCCCATCCTCCTACTTTCTTCTCTATCCCGGAACCTCATGCTTACAAGACTTTACAGTGGCTATTAAGAGCGATGTAACCATAATATTTTGGAGGGCTTTGTTTTGCATTCTAAACTTTGTACATGGATTAGCCCATTTAGACTTCCCAGCCACCCATTAAAGTAGGTCATTCTGCTCTCATCTTATAGATGAGGAAACTGGGATAGAAAGTCGTGTTAAGCACCTTGCAGAAAGTCAAAGAGCTAGCCAGGGACAGACCTAGGATTTGAACCCAGCATCAGAACCCCTACTTCTAAGACCAGCAGTCTGTTGTTAAGTGCTGTGCTATTCTGCCAAGGGCATAGGGCATGGGGACAGAGGAGTTTAGGAAAGGCTTTGAAACAACTTTCTGGCACAGCAGCGTCTTGGTAATGAGCAAAGGTGCCTGGGAGCGCTATCTTGTCCTGGTACCCTCTGCCCTGGGGGCTGCCACAGCCCCACCCAAAGTTACAGAGCAACAGGATTGGTGACCTGGGCTGATGCTGCATCTGAACTCCCTTTGTGACTTTCTCCACTATTTCTCTCTCTCTCTCTCTTTCACACACACACACACACACACACACACACATACACACAATGTCCTCTCCACCTTTCTGACTATGCTATTCTCTCTACCTGGAATCCTGAAATTCTCTCTATTATTTTTTTAAAGGTAGGGAAAACTATTCATCCTTCAAAACCTTTTACTTTCTGTGAAATCTTTCTTTACCCTTCAAGAATAAAATACAGACTCCCCACAACAACAACAACAAAAACAACACCCCGCGTGTCTTTTCTCATCCCTGAGTAATGGCACCCACCGAGTTGTATTATACAGGATCTGTTTTCAGGTCAGTCTCCCCGATAACCATCACAAAATTCAGCACCCCGATACACACTGAGCCCTTAGTAATCTTCATAATAACCCTAAGAGATAGCTCTGCTCTCATCTCTTAAACTGAAGACCTTCTGTTTAGCACCTCAATACCATTGTGTTCTCTGGATGGCCTAATGGAACCAGCAGTGCAGTGAGGTCTGGGAGCAAGACTTGGGGATCTGGAGATTGCCTGGAATTGAGGGCTGGAAGCTGGTTGTGGTTTCTATGGTTTCTAAGAGCTGCCCTTGAACCATGCATCCAGACACCCTCAAGGCAGGGCTTGCAGGAGGCACCTCCTTATCACCAGACCTAGGCTCAGGACCTGGCAGATAGTGCCCGCAGGGAAAGAAACTCTGCTTTGCTACCAGAAACCTACTTCTAAGACCAGGCTTGGTTTTCCTGGATGGCCTTGCTGCTTGCATTGCTTATAATGGTAAAAGTCTGAAAGCAGCCGGGATGTTCAGCTAAACAGGAATCCCTATGATAATCCAGTCATGCAAAAGAGCCCTATGCAATCGTGAAGAAAAATGAGGTCACTCTAAATGTGCTGATACAGAAGAGTTAACAAAATTAACTATTGTTAGCTGAATAAAAAGCAAGAGGCAGAACAGCGTATCACACAAAGAGACAAACATGCATGATAACATGTAGACTACTCCTGAAAGAATGAATAAAAACCAGTGGTCATCCCCAAAACAAAAAATAATTTTTCTTGTCTATCCATTTTATGTAGTTTGAATTTTTGGCAATGTGTAGGTCTTATTTGCAATAAAATATGAGTTAATTTTAGGTAAGTGCTTTATGAAATCCTAAGGACCACCCTGAAGCGCAAACAGCATCACTAGAGTGGATATGCCCAGCCATGGGTTTGTGAGAATTGGGGAACTCCAGCTCAGTGTAGACAGGCTGGGACACAAGTAAGGACTCACCCTCTTAGGCTGAGCTGGCCCTGGACTAAGGGACGCTTTGCTTATCTTCCTTGTGGCCTAGGCACTGAGCGAATGACCCATGTTCATTTTTGCTTCCCAGCTCCTGTCTATTCTGATCGGATAAACGGGCCAGTTGGCAGGACCATTGTGATTAACCTTGGCTGATCCCTGAGTGAATGATCTTCTGGATACAGGTGGTAGGCCTTGAGCTGATTTGCCACAAGGTAGAAGTCTCAATGTCCCTCATTACCCAACAAACCATTAGGCAGGGAATGACAATACCATGGCTCAGATTGTTTCCCGATAGCCGTCATGGCCTGTCTCCTACATAGAATAGCACGCATCTTGCTGTGAGTCAATCCCTTGCCCACTGGCTGCAAGTCATGTGAAATTCAATTAACTTTCTACAGGAGGAATAAAAGCAAGGAAGAAGCTGCCACACCTCGAGAGCCAACATGTTACTGAGCACTGTGGTCAATCAGTATTTTTATCAGATTAAATTAAACATTATCCCAATGACAAGTCCACATGGCGAGCGTTATCATCCGCATTCTACATACCCAGTTGCTGAGGCCCAGCTGCAAGGTGGTGTAGAGGACAGGATGGGGGAGCCTTTCCATTTGATCTGTCTGCTCCGTCTGTGAGGTGAGAGTGCGGGGGCTCTCAGTTTGAATATTGTCTCCACCAGGGTCAAGGGGGGCTACCTGGGGGATTATATCACTTCTCTATGCTTCAGTTGCCTCAGCTGTAATGTGCTGCTTACGCCACTGCGCTATTGTGAGGATGAAATGAGATACCGCTTAAAGGCCCATCGTGCTTGGCATACAGTAAATGCTCAATAAACCCTACTCATCATTATAATCCAACTTGCCAAAATGTTCTCCTTTTGGCTTTACTCCCCAATCAGAGTTCACACATGCAGAGATGTGGGCCCTTCCTTAAGTTTCCCTTTCTTCCTATCCCCACCCAATTTCTTCAAATTTGTTTTGTTAGTTAGATTTTTATTTTCTTGTGACCATTTTGTAAAACTGGTTTTGGAGTCCAAAATCCTGTCAACTTGAGCACATTAATCTGCAATCCCCATAAGGATGTGTAATGTGATTTATAGATGCATTTTCTTTAGCTTAACAATATCACGTTCACATTTCGGCCTCGACGGCCTTCATCACCTTGCCAAACTCTGGAATTTTATTGTTGGATCAAATAAACTGTGGTTATAAATCATTCCCAGATGTCAGCCTAATTATTTAGAATGCGTGGGGACCTGTTGGATGGAGTGCTTTGGCCACACACTCGCCGCGTGTTTCTGACAGCAGCTTCCTCCCCGCCTCGCCCTGAGAGCTCTCGGGGCTGGCTCTGAGGCACTGGCTTTCTGCCCCAACCCCAGGGCTTCCAGGCATTTCCTTTTTTATTTCTCAAAGATGTCCCCACCAATGCTGGTTTCCAGGAGTTGGGGTTTCCCATCAGATCCCTGACCCCCTTCCACAGAAAAGCAATTTGCTTCCCCATGATTTTTCACAGCCAACGTTGACAAACAAATGGGACACTTGTCAGGGCTACTTGCTGACCATGAGCAAAGAGGGGAGTGCAGGGCTTTGGGGTGGCAGGAGGGTGGGGCTAAGCTTTCGGAAACAGAAGCCCTCAGGGTCATCCTCTGGTCCTGCTGGCGGCACCACTTAGCAAGACTGAAGGGGAGGACAGAAAGGAGCCCTAGTTTTTTTTGGATCTTAAATGGAGATTTTCCAGAAAATTCATTCAGAGAAGGAGCACCGACTGTTCACAGCTCGAGCCACAATCCCCAAAAAATCAGCCTCTGCCTACGGTGCCTTCCTCCTTTCTTCCTGTCTTCCTCGTCTAGCTTTGCCTTTCATCACATGCCACCATGGAGGCTCCCACCTGCCTCTCCTCTCTCTACCGTTAGGGTGACTCTGCTGGAGAGGAGACTTCACTGTTAGGAAGGGGAGACCTAGGATGGGCTGGCCACACACGGGCCAGGGGCTGCACTGCCTACCGCATCTCTCCTCCCGTGGGGACTGTACAGGTGCTTTCTTTAAAAAGTGCCTTGATAAACCCTAATATTTTAAAATATTCACTTCTGTATCCAGGCCTCTCTCAAAGAGCGACTTTAAGGGTGGTTAATGTTTACAAATGCACGCTCTGCACAGTGGAGCAGTGGCCGTGCCCTTCTAGTTTCCCTGGCTCCATTATCAGGAGAGGAATCCCTTGCTGGAGAGCATCCCAGCTGTGCGGAGGTCCCAGCTGCTGATGTTGGCCTCTGCTGCCCTACCCCTCCTTCCGATCCAGGGCCCAGTGGCCTTCCTGCCGGAACTCGGCCTCCTGCCCCTGCCCTCCCACCAGTGTGCGCGGACATGCAGGTGTCTACCCTGAGCCTCCTCCCCCGTCACCTGGGTTGGTGTTTAGCCAGTTGACACCGTGGCTTGTGGTTTTGCTCCGCCAAAGCCTCCGCCACATGGAGCGTTCCAGGGCGAGCTATAAACGTGACCAGGCCACGAGCTCAGCTGTTGGCAAAGGGTGTGACCAACTGAAAGTGTTTCTTTGGAGCGGCTAAAACAGCAAGGTCTCCAGGGTGGGGGGAAATGGATGGTGACGGATTTTTCTACAGTTTCTTTGTGAGATTTTTTTTAGCTTCCACCCTCTCTATCAGATTAAAAATAATAATAATAATAAAATCCCAAAAAACGGGGAAAAATGCTGGAGATGAAATTGTTTGAGAGGCAGACCATTATAAAAAGAGAAAAAGAAATGGCTCAGGGTTTCAAAGACTTCTTACTGGCTTATCAGCAGGGAAACAGCTACTGCCCTGCGGCCTCATGGGAGAGCTTAGATGTGGGAACAAGTTGTGAACGTTACTGGATCATAGGGTGCCAGGAAGGTGTGAGGGGTTGGTATTAAGGCGCTAACAAAACATACAGAAGGTGGAGAACTTTAAAAGATGGGAGAGGGCCAACGAGTCCTACTTGGGTCTCCAGCAATGGCTCTAGGACACACCCTGTGCTCACCACACCAGGGAGTAGAAGCTGAAGATGCCTAGAGTTCAGTCAGAGACACCCAGAGTTCAGTCAGAGATGCTGAGGGTTCAGTCAGAAATGACCAGAGTTCAGACAGAGCTGCCCAGAATTCAGTCAGAGATGCCCAGAATTCAGTCAGAGGCAACCAGAGTTCAGTCTGAGAGTATCAGAGTTCAGTCAAAAACAACTAGAATTCAGTCAGAAATAACCAGAGTTCAATCACAGCTGCCCAGAGTTTAGTCAGAGACACCCAGAGTTCAGCCAGAGACAACCAGAGTTCAGTCAGAGATGCCCAGAGTTGTCAGAGATGCCCAGAGTTCAGTGAGCGATGACCAGGGTTCAGTGAGAGATGACCAAAGTTCAGTTAAAAAAAAAATCAGAATTTAGTCAAAAATGACCCAAGTTCAGTCAGAGCTGCCCAGAGTTTAGTCAGAGATGCCCAGAATTCAGTCAGAAATGACCAGAGTTCAGTCAGAGACACTCAGAGTTCAGTCAAAGGCTACCAGAATTCAGTCAAAAACAACTAGAATTCAGTCAGAAATGATCAGAGTGCAATCAGAGCTATCAGAGTTCAGCCAGAGATGCCCAAAATTCAGTCAGAGACAACTAGGGTTCAGTCTGAGATTATCAGAGTTCAGTCAAAAACAACTAGAATTCAGTCAGGAATAACCAGAGTTCAGTCAGAGCTGCCCAGAGTTCAGTCAGAGACACCCAGAGTTCATCCAGAGACAACCAAAGTTCAGTCAGAGCTGTCCAGAATGCAATCAGAGAAGGCCAGAATTCAGTCAGAGATGACAAGATTTCAGTCATAAATAGCTAGAGTTCAGTCAGAAATGACCAGAGTTCAGTCAGAGGCAGTTTAGTCAGAGATAGCCTGAGCTCAGTCAGAGACAACCAGAGTTCAGTCAGGGCTGCCCACAGTTCAGTCAGAGATGTCCTGAGTTCTGTCACTGAGCTTGAAATGACACACCATGCCCCCAACTCCCATTCTGGGAAAATGTCCATAGTCCAGGAAAAACACAATCTTCAAATTGAGGTTAAAGTTCAAAATGTCCTGTTAGTACAGCCCATCACTGAATGGACAAACTGCCTTAGAGAGCTCCTCATGTAATTTTGGGCTACCTCATGAATGTTTCTGTGGAGGAAAGATCACTAGTTTTGAGGTCAGACTGTCTTGGGTCAAAACCCAGCTTTGAAAGGTGCAGTTTCTGTGAACGTGGGAAAATTGGCAAATCTGTGCAGAAGTGGGGAAAGTAATGCTTCCCTGTAAGGACTGCTATGAGGGTGACATAAAGCTCCTCGAAGAGGCATCAGTGCAAATTAGGTCCTGAACCAGCGTGAATCCCTGAGCATCACACAGGTGGCGTTCTGGCCGTGGTCCAATGTGTAGGAGTTCCAGAATGGGTGCAGAAGGACAAGCAAAAGGATGGGAGGGTGAGCGGAAGACTGAAATAAATAGATCTCTGTGTCCTTTCCAAATTGCTGCTGTTTTTTTTTGTTTGTTTGTTTGTTTGTTTTCAAATTTTTCAGAATTTTTTATTGGAAAAAATTGAATAATTTTTTCTTGAAAGAATTTTCCCTTAGGGAAACTCAAATATTTTAAAGTCGAATTGGTGAGAAGCTAAACTCAAATCTCTCCTAAACCTAAACAAGTGAATTTTTTTTCTTATTTCTCTAAGTCTAATAGGCAATCAGCTATCTAACTGATTAGTTTATTGACCAGTTAAAAATATTATAGATTCAGTTTCCATTAAGAAACAAAATAAATTACAACCCAATGATGATCCCACTCAGTGTCAAACCCTGTATTATAATTTGAACCTGAGAGGTATTTCTTCTTTCTCCCTCAGATGTGGTGCTTTGTGAAAAGGTAAGATACCAGCCAGGCCACTTGGCAATGGCATGACATAAGGTTTGGAAGGATCTTTCCTAGTCATTGAGGTCTATTGTGTGGTCTGGGAGGCAGCACAGCTGACCTGGGGCAGAGACTCCTCAGCAGGGGCCACTGCCTCTCATTTGGTTCGTAGATCCCTCAGGCACTCCTCATGGGGAGTGAGAAGGTGCCCTAGGAAGTTCTTCCTGTCCCCCTCTGCCTCCTTTACTTGACACGTCTCAGGCAGAAAAATCGTATGCAAAAACATGGAAGTAGGACCCAACCTGTTGTACTCCAGAGAGAGAGAGTCCCTAGTCTGTTCCCAGCACTGCACTCCCGGCTCCACAGGCATCAATGCTTTATGGGCCTCACACCGGGAATCCCTCGCATGAGCACCTGGAGGGAGGTGCTTTCATTCTTCTCATTTTACTGATTTAAAACTTGGAGCTGAGAGGGAGGGAATAACTTATCCAAATGACAGTTCTTGAAGGCCTGCATCCCAAGATTAGCAAATGTGGATTTAGTAACCTTGGGATGGGAGCAGGAGTTAGAAGAATGAAAAAGCCATTACCCCTGATCCTGATTTCAAGGGGATCCCAGCCTGGGTCAGCTAGTTAAAACTCTTCTTTTCCATCAAGGAACATACGATGGATTCATCGACACAACAGGTATTTCTTGAGCACTGACTTGTCCCAATCACTGATCCAGACACAGGGGGCTGTGTGCCCCCAGGGACTGAGAGGACAGCTGCAAAGCCTGTGTTCTTCCCCATGAGCCACAGGGTCCCTTGTGTATGCAGAGAAACGCAGCAGCGCATTTGTACAATAAAAAGACCATTTTACAGAGTTGTCACTGGATATCTCTAATCTACTTAAAAATGTAAACTAAGTTCCCATACTTTAACTATGCCTGTGAACCATGTGTGGGATTCAGTGTGTGACCTGTGGGTTTGCTGTGATAGGTATTGGGGAAGGAACATAAACCAACCCATGCAATTCCCGGGGCTAACAACTAAGCCAGGGATGGCCACTCCAGGTGGCTTCCAAGGCAAGGTGTGATTAAAGATGGGTGCATGTCAGCCCTCGAAAAAAATGAGAACATCCAGATAGAGGAACTAGGACAAGCAAGAGGCAAGCTCTGTGTGGTGGGTGGCCGGTCAGGAGCAAGGGGACCCATGGTTGATTTAAACTGTTGAAGAAGAAACCCTGACTCAGGGAGTGGCCCAGGAAGTCCCTGGGACCTCTACAACCTTATATATGCCATGTTAAGGAAGTTGTCTGTGCTACATGGTTGCTCCCCCTTGGCCCTGTTGACATTTGGGGCTAGATCCTTCTTTGTGGGGGGCTGTCCTGTGCATTGTAGGGTGCTGAGCAGCAGCCCTGGCCTCTACCCACTAGATGCCAGTAGCAGTCCCTCCTCCAGTTGTGATAACGGAAAATATCTCCAGGCATTGTCAAATGTCCCCTGGGGGCAAAATCGCCCTGGGTTGAGAACATTGCTCTAGGCAAAAGGCTGTAAGCACACAGGGACAGCCTGTGACTAGAGGGGCCTCAGCAGGAAACAGCCCAGAGAAGTCACTTGGGGCCTGCCGCAGTGCTTCCAGCTCAGGGGCAATGCCTGGCACACAGTAGGTCCTCAGCAAACTGGTGCCAAGCCTCCGTTGTACAACAGGGCTGTTGCAAGATACTCAAAGGATCTAGGTGTCAAAATGCTCTGCACTGGGCAGGGCTAGGGCCCTGTCAGACCACCGTCCCTTGGCCTAGGAGGCCACAGTGGGCACCACCTCCGGCCAGGCCATGGTGGGTGGCTGTTTATCTGTGTGTCCACAGCTGCCTACCAGGCATATTAAAGGCCATGAAATAAGGATGAGGCCTAGGAGGGGTAATTAAAGCCACGGTGACATTGATCTGCTGAGATTTCTGAGAGAGCCCAGAGCACACAGGGTGATTCTCCATCTTACCTCATGCAGGCCCAGCCTGATTGGCCCCCTGGGCATTGCTGGGGCCAAGGAACCTCACCTGTGGCCGGGAGACTCCCAGGGCAGAGCCACGCTGGCTTTAGAGGCTGTGCAAAACAGGAGGCCTGGGCCTGGGGGGCAGCCCAGCTGCTGCGCTTTGCCCTGAGAAGGCAGGAGCAGGCCAATCTATTAAAGACACAGGTCCCCATTCTCAAAGGTCTCGAAAGTTAACCTCTTCCCCTCCTAGGCCCAGAGACTCAGCCAGGTAGAGAACCTGAAATGCTCCAGGGTCATGCCATCTGCAGGGCAAGTCCATCTTTGCACATTGGCCCAGATGCCCACAAAAAGGTTGCAGTCTGGATGCAAATTAAGTCAACAGTTAATTCTTGACCCTCTACCCTGAGCTAGGAAGGGTGCTTACTTATAAAAATAGGAACATGTAATATTTTCTTGCAATAATAGTCTTTGCAAAGATGGACTCTTTGATCAGAACAATAATTGCATTCTTACTGTTATAGTTACCGATCAGTGTTTCTTTGTGATCATTTTAGCTTCAGTTTTACAATTAGCATAATGAATGAAATTAATTAATGTATGTTCAGAGTCAGAAAGAACCAACACTGGCTTTGGTTTTACCCATGACTTGGGCAAATCATTTGAGCATATTGTGTCTTCATCTCTCTATTGATAAATAGAGATAAAAGTAATCAGTGCCATAGATTGGAAAGGATCAAATGAAATGATTGCAAAATCACGAGCTTAGGAATCCTTAGTTCATTTGCTCCCTAGCTATATGTTAGATTCTTTCTTATACTTAAGATTATTACCTCCTCACAGTCCTGTGAAGTGGTCATCAGCCACGCACTTTACAGATGAGAAAACTGAGGCAGCAAATCCTTTCTGAGCTGTGATTCCATATGAGGAGACTCCATACCCACCCCATCTCAGAGGGGATTACTGAGGAGCTCACGCTGCAGGAAGCCCAAGTTATTTTTTGTCTTCCAGCTGCTAAAATCAGACAAGTAGAAGGCAGGTGCCCTGCCTCAAAGCCTGCGATTGCCTTCCTTCCTGCCTGCCCATGAACTGGCATGCACTGTACTTCGTTACATCATTGCAGCTTCTGGTCTTCCTTTGTGAAAACCTGGCCTGTTTTTTGCCCTCTTCCTTCGCCACACTGGTGGGGGATGGGAGCTGCCCCTCTGATCTTTGCACTGTAAAGGAAGTAGCAGCAACCCTATCAGATGGGAGGAGGGAGAAGTTTTCTTGGGGCCTAGAAAAAAAAATAGCCTGTCTCCCACACAAGTGGGGCACCTGCGGTGAGATCGCCGGTCTAAATATAAAGAGATGCTTTTTTTTCTCATGAGCTGTCTTGAGTGGTGTGAAAGATTCTTCCAGAATTTTGGAGAAGACGTACCTAACTAAAGTCCTAGAAAAAGCCCTGTCTCCTGTGATTTCTACCTGACTCTACCCTCTGTGTTTCTAAAGAGGGTGGTGCATGAGCTTTAATAGTGGAGAGCTGTGCACTGGCTGGAGGGTGGGAAATGCACATCTGAACACTGCTTCACATTAAATGCACTGCATTGCAAAGACCCTGATTAGAGAAAGGCTTGGAGAAATAAGTTACCAATTGTTGAATGCCCACGGTCTATGCGTCTGCTTACTTAATGTAGGTTTAATGTGAGTGCCATGAAGCCTCTTCTGGGTAATAGCAATCTTAGGCAACATTAGGGAACACTTACTGTGCATCGGTCCCTGGGCTGATCTTTTATTCCGGCCAAGGGGCCTCCCTAAGAAGAGTTTAGGATGACTGCTATGCACATTGAGGTTGGGTGACACACCCATGAGGGCATCACCCCAAATTAAACCTGGCCAGGCTGACAGCAGTCTGCCCTCAACAACTTGGTTGAAGAATGTTCTCTGCTTTCCATGCATGCCCTACTTGTGAACAACACCTAATTGATAAAGTGAAACTGTGTGTGGTTCTTGGTTGCCATATGTGTGGTCCACCTATGGAAAAGAAGAAAGACCTTCTCTTGAGACTTATTCTGTTCCAGCCTATAATCTTATAGTCATGATTCCAAAGAAGTTTTGCAAAACCAAAAGTAGTTTTTATCATTAATCTGGTGGTAAAACCTGACCTGAACTGATAGAACTAATATAAGGCTATTTATAGTCTTTATTTTTCTCATGTAATGTAAACAGTCATTTATTTCACTGCAAAAATGTTGTGTTCTATCCCTAAGTGCTGTCCTAGACTCCTCTGCAAGATGCTCTACGATATGTAATTATGAGACATATTATTTTAAATGTACCAAATTCTGATTTCTAAATTACATGTGGTTTCAAAGGTTTCTGAAAACAGATCGTGGGCCTGCAAACCAAATCTGTAGTCCCACTTTGAAGGTGTATCCTGTAGACACCCTTGGATAGTGGCAATTATAGGGGTCAGAGAGATCGATCAACCTCAACCCTAATTCTCGTTTATGAAACTAAAGTCTGTGGCATCCTCGGCCAAACTGGAACTCATTAGAGCCTCAGGTTGCCCAGTTACAAAGAGGAAAACAGCACCAGCTTCCTTGCAAGGTTTCTGTGAGATTATATACTTAAAGGTTATTCATGTATTGGCCATTGGGACACTCTAAGGTTGTCCATATTTGCAGATGTTCTTTGTAATGAATTTCAGAGTCAAGCACAAAGATGTAGTAAAATTTTCACCTCTTCCAAATTTGCTGTCCTGTGCTTGGAGTAGGACATGGCCCCTGGGAGCTTGGGGCTGGGGAGGAGGTAACAGCCCATGAAGACCTGCCTAGGTCAGGGCAATTAGCAGGAGCCACCAAGACCTTCTCAGTATTAATTAGCTGTCCCTGCCCTGGTGCTACAGAGGATTTCCAGGCCTCTGGAGAGCCCTCAGGGATGTTGCCACTCACAAAAGAGCTCAGCTCTGACCATAAGAGCTGAGTAAATAGGATGAAGCTTGGCTTCCAAAGGGCCAGGGGCTGATGCAAGAAGTATCTCTCTGTGCGCAGGTGAGAGGCAGACTCTGGAAGGATGAAGTGCGGACAGTGGGTGGAAGGACTGGGGCCTGGTACCTGCATGCTCAGCCTCCCTGTTTCCACTCTGATGTGGCTAGTCTTTCTCCTCTCTGTTTCTTCCTTTTTTTTTTTTTTTTTTTTTTTGGTTTCTGCTCTGATCTCTCTGTTTCTCTCCTGCATTGGGCCTCTCTCTAACCTGCTTCCTTCTACATGTCTCTGTCTACGACCTTGCGGTTTGGTCCCTGTCGGTCTCTCTCTAGGCCTTTCTCCCTGTCTCTGTGGCTGTCTCTTCTCACATGCATACTCCAGGGCATTCTACCCTCAGAGCATAAAGCTTAAGTCATGTGGCGGCTGATGGTCCCTACTCTTCCACTGAGCCCATGGTTCTCTCCAAAGAGAAGGTGATTCATAGAGCACAGGATAGCTGGCATTTTCTGGGTGACAGTTCTATTATATTTCAAACAGAAATATTTATTCAACAGATATTTATGGAGCACCTATCACCTGCCAGACACTGTGGATGCAATAGTGAACAAGAGAGGAAGTCTTTGCTCTAATGGTGGGCTGGGGAAAGGCATTATATAGAGACGTAAATGAGACCCGGCATTTCAGGAGGTGATAAGTGCTCTGAAGAAAAATAAAGGCAGATGATGGGATAGAAAATGCTGGGGGCAGGGGAGAATGATCACTGACAAGGGAGCTTTGAGGTGTCCTGAGCGAAGTGACAAAGTGTGTTGCTAACCAGGAAAGAGCTTCCCAGACAGAGGAAAAGAGAAAGTGCAAAGACCCTGCGGCAGAAACCTGCTGGGTGTATTTAAAGATTAGCCAAGAGTACGCAAGATGATAGAATAAAGGGCCAGAGAAGCTTAATATTTTCCCATTTGATCTTTGCAATCTTTCTTCTAGAGAGAGGTCATTAGCCAAATGTGGATCAGAAAATAGAAATTGTTGGACACAAATCACAGAAATTTCAAGTTAGTTACTAAGGTGAGATTCTAACGAAAACCTACAAAGAACAAACTGCCTTCCACAAGGCTTTACTAGAGCTGGGGGACTTAGAATGAAGCTGTAAGCAGCAGCCAGCTATTAGGATCTTATTCAAATGGAGTGGCATAGGGACAGAGCAACTGTCCCAGCCTCCAAAGTCAGGAACAGCTACCACAAGTGATAATCCTGAAAACTCTGGCTTCTAGGAGGAGGCGAGAAACAGCATGAGGATAGGTTGAAATCTGAACCCCAAAACAATTGACCACTCACAACTAAGGAAACTGGGGCTCAGAGATGTCAAGCATTTCATCCAAGGCCCACAGCCTGTGAGCAGTGAGATCTAAATTCAAATCCTTCCCCTTCACCTTGTTGCATGGTACTAGCGTACAAGTGTAAAATGAGATTGAAAAATTCAAGCAAAAGGATGCCAGAGAAAAATACCATTTTTCTCCTAGTATTTGAAACACGCCTTTAATTTGGGTTGAATGGATTTGTGAACCATCAGCAACAGCATTTCATTGACAAAGACTATTTTCCACCAAGAAAAAAAGAGGGTTATTATTTTAACCTCCCACCTCATTCATTTTCTAAAAAGAGTGAAACGTGATTTTGAAAGAAGAATTACATACATTGATATCACATGAGTGGGAAGCAGAAGCCGTCAATGAATCATCTCCTTTCTACAACTCTCAAATCAATCCAGACACATGTCAGGTTGATGTCCATGGTGTGGGACCATTTCCCTGATTGGATCTTCACTTAAGGTGTGTTGGCATAAGGGAGAGAGGAGAGTCTCTGGCACCTTCACCTTCAATATACAGTGAACATCCACGATAAACTCAGTCATAGAAACATTCATTCACTAATTTATTATTTTATTCTTTCTCTTCCTTCCACTTTTGCTCATTAAACAATGTACTGTGTACCTACTGGGTGTTGAGTCCCCTGCTGCCTATGGAGCATCCAAAGACCAACAAACTACAGTCTCTGCATTTTATTAAATTGGGTTTATTTATGAGAAACAAGGCTGGGTTCCTTTCCTTAGGGAACTCACATTCTAGTGGCAGCTGGACAACTGAAGACACTAGAATCCAGCCTGAGGTAAGGGTCAAGTCAAAGGTAGGATGGGAGGAGTCAAGGCTCTGTACCAGGGACCTGAAGACATGAGTGGAGAAAAGGTTCTACTTGCCCCCAGACCTCAGTGGGCTGCCTTGGGGTGCAGGGGTACAGCCTTGGTCTGTGGGGCTCAGGGGGGTCGGAGCAGGACAGAGAGCCCAGATGACAGAGCATAGTGTTTGTCAGAGGGGATGCAAGAAAGGACACATGCATTGCTCTTTGCATGGAAATATTGATTATTTGAGACTCTGAAACCCAGACTGAGTCACATCCTCTGGTAGGAAAGCCCCTGCCCCAGTCCCTCTCTGGGGTTCAGCCAAAACACTGGAAACAGATGAGGGGCCCCAGCACAGTGATCACACTTGCCAGGATTTTTGTTCTGACCAGGTGTGCCCCATACAGATTGTTGAAGTTGTATTCTGACTCTTGGGGCTTTCTAAAGACTTGAAAACCAGATTCACCTACAGGTGAGACTGCTACGGAGTATACGGATCACAGTAACAAATTGCTGTGCGAAGATCAGGAGAATGGTCAGGTTCTGGTCTCTAGTGTCCAGTTAGATAAGAGGCTTTGGGCAAATTACATAACCATTCTAAGTCCAATCTTAGTTCTCCATGAATAGAGGACCATTACTCACTCCACCTAAGTGCTATTAAAAATGAGTCGGGCTATGTTCAAACAATTTGTAGTCTGTCATATATAAATATGAAAAAGTAGCATCATCTTAAGAATTTATTGACATAGTCACACCTAATATATATGTTCATGAGCATAAATAATATTTGGATATCTATATGTAGTATTCTATATGCCGGTATATGCAATTGGATTTAAAATGGGTCTTAAAGTACTATTTTAACTCTCATAGCTTTCTGATGGCCCCGGAATCAAATTAGTCAAAGGCCATGATTGCCACAGCGAAAGATAATTTTAGGAATGATAAGAATTGCAATACCAGTTAGTACCGGCTTGTTAATGAAACTTCAAAGTTGAAACCAAAGTGGGATCTGCAGATTGCCCCAGAGAAAAAGTCCTGTGGTTCTGCAAATCTTCTTTCTGTCTTTAATGAATGCTTAACCTCCCTGCACTTGAACTTGGGCATCATGGCCAGTAGTCAATTTTCACTCTAGTTCATGTATTTTTTTTTTCCTTTTAATCCTGAAAATCTGTAGCCATGTCGTCAACTCCTTCTTAATTATACCATATTCTTTACATCTGTCCTGCTAAATAACTCTAATTGAAATAGCACCGGCGTGAATTTTTGTAATGTTCCCCCCAAGACATCCCGAAAGTGACTCACGAGAAAACAGACTGAAGTCACAGCTGGAAGCACGTCAAGGATCATTTCCATTTTTACATGATTAATTTGAATTTAATATCTTAAATCAAAACCTGATTAATTTAAATAAAATTTTGATGGTGCCCTGCTTCTAATATACATTGCAGTAATTAGATTCGGCTTAATGTGGGTTTTTTTACATAATTAAAAAAAGGAAGAAGTGAAGTGTAACAATGCAATGTTGATACAAATCTGTCTAAATATATATAGGGGACTGCGGTTCTGGACATTAGGTAAAGAGAGGATAGCTAATTGAAAGGACTTTAGTGAGCTGAGAATAAGCGTGACTATTCTGGGCTCATCCCATATCTATAGCAAAACATCTGATTCTATGATCAAAAGCAGAAAAACTTTTTGTTCCAAGCAAGTGATACCCACAGTGGGCCCTAACACCAAGAAGCAAAGCATGGACTTGATGCTATCTTCAAGCGCAAAGGGTCATTACTCCACTTGTCAGACATGGATAGAGGCCCCCCTATGTCCATTGGTCCCGGACAGAGCAGGTGCCGACATTGCAGACTGACATAAGCATCAGCTCCAGTCAAGCAGGGACACTGTATGGACTGTTGCCAGCCCCCATCTTTGAAGACATAGCCTCTGGGCCATCCCCAGAGGAGCTTGATTTGCACAACCTGCCCCTCTTGAGAAAACGAAATGAATCTGGGTTACCAACTTTCCCCCAAATCTAGACTTCTGTTTAGCCCAATTCCAGTTGGCCTAGATGCATATACTATGAGGTCCCCTAGAAATAAACGTGCGTATCCAGACATCATGACTGAGTGATCATATTCCAAAGAGATCTAGCCCAAAGTTCTTATTTTATAATCAAAAGGAAGCAACCTGATCAAAAGAGTCCACCCACTTACAAACACAGATTCTGAACAATTTTTTTCTAAACCAAGTCTTGACCCTAATTTGCCAAGTGACCCTAGACAAGAATGTCAACCACTATGGAAACTACTTGTCCGTGAGGAACTCACTCCACCAACCCCAGTCTAGAGAAGGAAGGCTCAGAGATCCTTCCTGAACCAGAGACCTGAGGTTGCTGAGCTGAGCAGTATACCAGATTTCTCAGGTGGGCGCATCTGATGGAAGGGTCCCGAGTGGCTTCAGCCAAAGCCACTGTTCTCAGTGAGCTCCAGGGCCCATTCTTCACTAGCTTAGGATGTTTATGGACTTCTGTGAAACTCAGAACCAATGATGGTGAAGGAGGCGCATGACTTGATGACAGAGCAGAACACAGATAGAGACCGACACCTTTATTTTACATTCCATGTTTAAATGAGGTCATGCAGTTTTCGTCTTTCTGGGTCTGGCTTATTTCACTTAGTATAATGTCCTCCATGTTCCAGGCCCCTCCACATTGTCTAACCACACACACATGCACACAGGAATTGTAACTATGGGAAGTGATAGATGTGTTAATTAGCTTGATTGTGGTGATTATTTCACAGGCATACATATACTGAATCATCGAGTCATACTCTTTCGATGTAAGCAATACAATTTTTAAAAAGAGCCCAGTGTCTCTTACTTTCATTTATTACTTATTAATTTAGTTTGTTTGTTTTGTTTTGTTTTAAGACAGAGTCTTGCTCTGTCACTCAGGCTGGAATGCAGTGGTGCGATCTCAGCTCACCGCAACCTCTGCCTCCAGAGTTCAAGCGATCCTCCTGCCTCAGCCTCCAGAGTAGCTGGAATTACAGCCACCCACCACCACGCCCGGCAAATTTTTGTATTTTTAGTAGAGATGGGGTTTTGCCATGTTGGCTAGACTGGTCTCAAACTCCTGACCTCAAGTAATCTGCCTGCCTCAGCCTCCCAAAGTGCTGGGATTACAGGTGTGAGCCATCACACCTGACCTATTTATTAAATTTTAATTAAAATTAAAATTTTATTAAATTAAAGGAACCTTTGGAATCGCCTGAGGAAAACAATTACATACTGCTGTATACACATGTACACAGAATAGTTTGCTTGTAATGGTAACAATTGCTATTATTTTCCCAACTTAAATGTAAAATTTCCTCCAAATTAATCAAAGATATTTATCAGCTGCCTTCTATATGCATAATATTATGTACAGAGTAGTCTACACTCAGGTCTTCATAATTTAGAAACTGCAAAATAATGCTCTATACTGTAAAACTGCTCATACCACAGAGACTTATTACATTTCCCTTCTTCCTTCTTTCCTCTCTCCTCTTCTTCTGCTGTCCTTCCTTTCCTTACTCCCTCCCTTCCTTTCCTCTTTCCTTCCTCACTCCCTTGATCTTTTCCTTCTTTCCTTCTTCCTTCATTTATTTCTTCCAACAATGCAGTGCCCTAAATGCTCTTCCCTGAACGTTTGTCCAGGCGCTGTACTCTCCACAGGGCTTCAAAAAAGAGAGAAATTAACACAGGGCGTGCGTGTCTCTGAGGCTGAGGACACAGGGGCCTGGGAGGGTCATTGAGGAAGACACTCACCAACATTTCTGTCTAATTTTAACTGGCCAAGTTTCACATTCAGTTCAGTTTCTATCATTTAATTTTTCCTCAAAGGGTTTGATTTCAGTCCTCCACTGCGAGTTTTAGCCAGGAGCATGACTTTTGAGAGTCATTTAGAACACAGCTGTGCCTTGTAGCACAAAAGGGAGTGGAATCTTGATCTCACACGCATTTGCACAGCTTAGTGTATGTAAGGGAGACGGTTTAGTCATTTGCTTTGAGCCAAAATGGACAGAACACACTTGAAAGTCACTTTCAGACTTCCCTGCGGATTCCCTGTGGCATCTGCACTATCGAGTTACTGTAGCTGTCTACACTACTACTAATAATTATTATAATTATAACTGTTTCCAAATCCTGACACCTACATATGTTGCATGCTGTGCTCACAATTTCCACACAACATCCCTGTGTAATGTACATTGTTCAAACCATTTTATAGACTTGGAAACTGAGCCTCCTGGAAATAAACAACATCACTGGGTTCCTATACTAGTTGGAACCAGAATCCAAGCTCAGCCTTGTGTACCCCTTGTTGGGCAGCTGGGCCAGGCCCCCTCTGTCAATCCAGGTACACAGATAAATGGCCAATCCCTTTGCTGGGGCCCAGAACACACTGACTCCTCTGCAAATGTTCACCTTTGAAAGGGCTTTGGTGAAGATCAGCCAGCCTGTGCCTCACCAGCCTGGGCATCTTCTGACGCATCAGTTGACAGAGAAAAAGAACTCAAATAAGGAATTCAAGGAAATCACTGATTTATTATTTATCACAAATGGCCTAACACAATGACTTTCTAATCTGACAGCTGGGACTTTTGATGGCAATCAACAATTTAATTTATTTCTAAATTTAGATTTTTCCTTTTTCTGCATCAAACACCAAAGCTGGCTAAAAATAGTCACACAGTGAATGTTAGAGGGGAGAATTTTACCTCTTATGTTTCTTTCTTTCTTTTTTTTTAATGTCAAAGTTAAAGTCAAAACAAAATTAATCAGGAGGGGTTATCTATAATGAATCACCATGCAGCTCAGGAGGAAAGGGTCTAGGGGGAAGATATCTTTGCCAGCAGCCAAAGGAATGTTCTTTCAAAGAGTCACATTAGACTATAAGCTCCATGAGAAAGATTGCAGATCTTCCATATTCAGCAGCATGAATCAAAACTCTTCAGCTCTAGTCTAACTTTCTTTTTTTATTATATAGCAGTGGGGGTTGGGGTTTGTATGGGCTGTGATTTAAATGGTTAATTGAAAGGAAGCCGTGGTGAGCTGTTTCTGGCTACAATATTACGCTACAATCTTATCTGAGCTTACAGAGTTATTTCCAATTTGTAAATGCTGTATGCATTTCTACCAGATAAAACACTTAAAAATCCCAGACCTGAGTAAAGTGACCCTGCTGTTCTAGAGCCTTCCTCACCTGCCCTTTTCTGCCTCTCTACCTCCTCCTGTTCTGATGCCCCCCACCGCAACCCCCACCCCACTCCTCCTCTTTCCTGTCTCTGCTGGGAAGTCAGGTCACTACTCAAGCCTCCCCCTTAGGCAAATAAACTTAGTCATAAAGTGGTGGAATGAAGTGTAGTCTTGCCTGTAAGACTCATTGGACAGAGGAGAAAACTGAGGGTCAGAGAGGGCCAGTGACTCACTGAGGTCTTGTAATGAGAGAGTAACATTGTTGGGACCAGAATTCAGGCTCTGTCCCTCCTAAGTCCAAAGTCCTTTGGGTGGCATAGAAATCCCCAGAGAAATTGCCCGCCATGACATTCAATAAGAGGTTACATAAATTACATGTTGGAGAACCAGGCCCATTCGCCCCAGTTTCCTGGCTACATCAATGTGATTTCACAATTCCAGGAAATCCTTGCTTGGGAAGAAAAAAGTTGTAAACACCTTTATTATTTATTCTACAAACTTCCAAGAAAACCCATGTAAAAGAACAACAAGCTATTCTAACTCTTCAATAAGTAGTGGTAAACTTGGAGTTTACACCCCACAACTCTTTGAAAATTTTCACCTCAAAATCTTCACCTTGCTACACCCACGACCAATCTTTAACTATTATCTCTGGACCCACTTTGATTCCTAATGAGAGAATCATACTGTAAGGCCCGCCTCAAACCAGCCACTAGAATTTCATCAATATCCAGTAAGACTCTAAGATCGTGCTTTCTGTGAGAGTCACTTGGTGTTGTCTTGTGGACAGGTTGTGTTTGAGGAGCTGGCATTCGACATGGGTAGAATATGGCACCATGTATGTGTAGTGATGAAAGGATGAAAGGTCTGGATGATGAGCAACAGGAGAACTGCCAAGATGCAGCAGGAGGAAGTCTCCATAAAGCGGGCAGTCTCACTTCCAGAGCCACGCCCTAAGTCCTGACAGAGGGCAGACATGGCAGCTCTGGTAGAGAGAGGCGGTCCTTGCCCTCAGGGGCTCACAGCTCAGTGGTCCCTAGGACTCTTCAACACACAGCAGTAATGCCTCATGCCACATGGGGCATTTGTGAAGAGGGAGATGGTAGACCCAGAGGAGGGGTAGGTAAATTCTTCCTGTTAGATTGGTAAATGCTCTTTGTCAGGTGATTTGACCCAACGAGGAGCATCTAGAATGAGAAGCTGGGAATGGCCTTCCAGGAACCGTGGCATAAGCTGCTTTGGGATCAAGTGTCTGCGGGACAGTCTAGGCACTGCTGTGTTCTGACTGACTGGATGTAGGGAAGTGCCTTAACCTCAGACATGTCAATATCTTCATCTGTGAAAAAGGAAAAATAATAATAGTACCCACCACAGCAGATACAGTGGCTCAAACATGCGAAGCACCGAAGAAAGCCTCGGTAGGGTAAAATACATTATCTTAGGAGTTTCAATGTGATCCTAACAGCCTTCTGATTAAAGACCACAATCCAATGGCTACCCTCTCATTAGAAAATCAAGCATGGATTTCAGAGATCAAGTTCTTTCTGCCCCTAGCCGGCTGGGTAGAAATGACCCTGTCTTTTCTCTGTCTGAACCCGTTTCCTTGTCTAAAAGGTGAGTGCAGGGGACATAATGACCTCCAAAGGACTCAGTGGTCTCTCAATGCTGTCCCTAAAGCCCCACACCTCTGTAGCCCATCACCCGCCTCATCTTCTGGGAACATCACCTTTGCAAATTCATCTCTTGCCTGCGATATGAGGAATATCTCCAGCTTTGTTTCTCTATTATAATAGATGTAAATTAATGTTTTGCCTTTGTTTGCCGCGGTAATCATAGAGGCAAGTGTATATTCCTAACAGCTATCTTATTTTCAATTTGCAAAGCATACTGTGCTTAATCCCACGAGCCAGATCGTGGCTCCAGATATGAATTTTAAAAGATAATTAGCCCAGTGCAGGAGGTGCTCTCTGAGACAAGGAGCATGCACCAAAGCCTGGTCAGAGGGGTCCTTTGGGGGACCCTGTTGGGTCACAGATTCTCCCCCAACCCCCCGTGGTTTATTACTTTTTTTTCATCACTGCTGCCTTTGTGAGAATCAGATGATTTGTTCATGAAAATTTAAATCATGTTCATACTAGAAGCTGAAATTTCTTTTTGGGGTTGTTATTTGAGGATTCTCCCACCACCCTCCACCAATATTTTTTTATGATATTCATGGCAGGTGACAATTTATTTTCTGTTCAGTTATTTTTTTCTTTGTAACTCTAACTGAAAGAAAACACGAGGTCTGTGGTGGTTGTTTGTAATGTTGATGCCTATGGCAGATTAAGTGACCATCCATTAGAAAAAGCCACAGAAGGCCCTGGGTCCAAAAGATGAATGCCCTTCCCAGCTTCAACCATGGACTCTGCCTGCAAGAACTTTACCCCCAGCAGGAAGTCAGTTATGAAAACAAGCACACATTTCAACGGGCTGAAGAAACATGCCGGTTTGCCTGTATCACAGGACATTAGCCGACCGTTCATTGCACCCAGGGCTGGCTTTGCTTTTGCTTGGCTGTCGAGTTGACACATGCACATGAGTGGAACCTCTGTGCCCAGCACGGTGCTGGGACTGGGGGGATGCACAGGTGAGCAGGTGCAGCCCACGCTGTCAGGAATGCCCTGAGAGCCTGGCAACACTCCCGGGACTCAAGAAGGCAGGTGGGATAAGAGCTACAAGAGAGGTGCTAATGGTACCACTGTTATCATCAAAGAGGGTAGAGTAGATTTCCCCTCACTGCGCATCTGGGACACCTTACTGGAGGAGGTGGCATTTGAGCTCGTTTTGATGAGATAGCATATATTTTAATCAAATCATGTGTACCTGAATCAGGTAACTTATATTTTGATATTATGAATCAGGTAACTTATATTTTGATATTATGATCCCTCCAGGAAAATAAAAACTAGAAGATGGTAATAGCTCACATTTATGGAAGGCGACCTATACAGCAAGCTTTTCACATCATGTCCTACGTATCTCATGAGGATGCTGAGATGCTCAGGGGCTCTGAAACATACCCGAGGGTTCACAGTGAGAGGGTGGCAGAGTTGGAATTTGAATCCTGGTAGGTTTGTTCCCAAAGAGAACCTGGCATATTGGATTATAGGGGCTATTCCTGCCTGACAGATCGGACAGGTAGTGGAAGGAGAAATGCAGCTCAGAGCCCCATTTAGGAGGCTGGTTGACTGCATCATAAGACACCCTCTGCTGAGGCTTGAAATGCATTGTTCAAAACAGTTTACAGCCAATTTTGGTTTGCCTCTGATAGAAGGAGCTGAACACAATTTTGATTATTTGCTTTAATTCAAATCAGGTTAACAAAATCAGTATATTAGTGCAATTTAAGGACCTTTTTCCCCCTTTATTACATAAGCTAGTGGACTTCCCATCTGATGTATGAAATGTCACTTTGTCTTTAATTCTTGACGTTCACAAACACTGGTGCTACTGGAAAAGGAGTGGGAGTGAGCGTATGTGTGTGTGTGTGTGTGTGTGCATGTGCATGTATGTATATACACATATATATGAGAGTGAAAACCAAACTGAGGTTTCAGATGGACTTTAGAAGGATTGAGCAGGTTTTGAAATGCGTCCTGACTTGTCATTGGCATTTGTCATATTATCACATGCTTGGAGGTTTTCTCCTGGGCATTTCTGCATTTTTATCTAATGTGGTCACACAGGGTGTTTGCTATTTCAATGAACATAAAAATATTTTATATAAACTATTTACCAAGGCTCTCTAGAAAGGAGAAAAAAGATAGTTCTAGAGTGTCTTAGAATATCTCTTCCCTCTAGCTAGGTCCAGAAACGCTAGTGTCCTTGCCAGGCATATTTCCTTAGAATAAAAATGATGGACTAAAGTTGGGACCATTTCATATATAAAACTTGAACTATTAAAAAGCCTCTTGTTCAGAGACTTGTTCTCTTACATTTAAATATACTTTAGTATTCCAGAAAAAAAAATGCTTAGACCCAATGAGAGAATACATACAGTGCTACCAAAAAAAATCAAGTCATAAAGTGAAGAATCAGCCTCCAATTGGTGAAATCCTGTCTTGGTGCTACAAAAAATGATATGTCTTTACTTAACGGAGTTTTATGGGGACTAACAAGGTAACTCCATAAGACAGAAAGAAGTTTCATTAATTATAGTCTGATAAAAGAGAGCTTTGTTATCAAGAGTGCATTTCTTGCGCTAGGCGTTCATTTCTCAAACAACATTGGCTTTCTTGTATATCATGGTGTTTAAAGGGAGGAGTGAACAATTGACCTAGAGATGAGCTCTTTGAAAAGTTCTGTTTTGCGTGATATGAATGTAAAAGAGTGGAGCATGAGCTATGAAAGAATTTCCAATAATCTCTCCTTGAGGACAGACAGATATTGAATGATGTGATGAGTGAGGCTATGGAACTAGGACCTCTGCCTTTTTTCACCCCTCCACTTGGGCTGGGGAAGCACAGTTACTCAGAAAAAAGTTAATTCAAAATATTTTCAAAGGTTCTTTCCTTACAATCAAAACACTGTTGTCTGTGGCAAATGGCACACCCACCTGCCCCCAGGAAAAGAAGCTACATGACTCCTGGGGAGATTTCTTCTGGGATCCTTTCCTGCAAACCTGCAACACCCATGAGCACCCATGAACTCTGCAATTCTGTGACTTTCCCCACCTGTTTCATAAGAAGGCAAACTAGGGCTAAGACCACATGTAGTCACAAAACCAGACCTGTTTCCTGCCCTCGTTCTTCCCCTCCTCCACCTTGGATGGATTTTCATACAACTTTGATGAAAATAACTAGGAGGATATAAAGATCTCTGTGGGGAGATCCTTTTGGGAAGTCCAACATCCCTGGACAGCTGAGGATCCTGGATTTCTTGGTGGACACGCCAACCCAGGAGTCCACTGTGGGGTGGAGTCACGGCTGGAGCCCAGGCGTGCTGTGTGGATTAAATGAGTTAATGTCTGGGAAGTGCTCAGAAGGGAGAGTTCTGAACACAGAGAAAACATGTTACTATCATTGTTATTTGAAAGGAATTGGAGGTCAATTATTTGCTACCCTACATTAGATGAATCTTTATTTTATCACCTCTCTTACCACAAAAAGTGTTCTCTTCCTTGAAAAATGTCTTTTTTTTCCTAATTTGCCTTGAAGTCAAATCCTAGCAAAACCAAGCAGTTGTTATTAATAGCTACATAAACACCGGAAAATAGGTCGGCACCCTCTTTTTCTCCCAGAAAGACATTGGCTAATACAATCTAGCCCCTGATTGATTTGTTTGTTTGTTTGTTTCACCTAGATATGTTCAGTAAACAAGGGAGAAAATAAGAGTCTATCAAAGCTGAACTTCTCTATTCTTGAGCTATCAGCCTTTTGCTTTGCTTTCCCCAACAATAAATAAAAGAACGTATTGAATATTTTAAGGGGTGTTCTTGGGACAAAAACAGTCTCATGCACACAAAAAGTCAGCCTTTATCTGCTGTGATCTTGGGAAGTCCAGCACACTAGCCTGGAAGTTTGTCAGAGACTCTGAGCATCCTAAAATCAGGAAATTTGTCTTCTTCATCAATGTAACCCCAACACCTAGCAGTAGGAAGTTTCCATTGCTGGTAAAAATAGGCTCACATGCTGTGAGGTATAAATGGTCATTTAAAAGGTAAGTTAATTTGAAGAACAAGACCGAGTCCCCAGATCCATTTAATTTTTAATTTTTGGCAGTGTTTCCCAAGAACCAGGCCACTGGTTGAATGATTAAATTCTTGCTCATCTTGGAGGGAAAAAAGATACATTGCTGTGGACTTTTCAGAAGACTAAATTTGTTATTTGCAACCCTTGGCCTTCTTTTTGATATTATCTCTTTGAGACCTAATATTGGTGGGTTCACATGCCTTGCTCTTTCACCATTATAGAACTGGGTTTTTCTTCTTCTGCTGTCTATTTAATTTAATTCTCAACCTTGAGCCTTAATGGAAAGAGAACATTTTTCTCTTCATAGACACAGTCTGCCAGCCTTTTCCTGCTCGTTGTCCCTCGAAAATAAGTCAGTAGACTCTCATTTAAGTGGTTATCCACCAAGGAGTTCATTTACTAAAACATTGCATGGACAAATGGAGGACAGTGACAAAGTTCTATCCATGTTCTGTGGCTTCTGTCTTTCATAGGCGATTCTCTGATGCACTCTGGCAATACTGCCTGTCTACTTTGATTCCTAAACCTGCTGCTCATGAATTAATCTCTTGCTGTTGTTCTTCTGGGTAGGACTGAGCTTCTAATCTGGGCAGAATCCCAAGTCCTTCTGGCCTTGGGGGAATTATTTACCCTGTTATGGACCTTTCTTCTCAGGGACTCTGTCATAAGAACCTCTGTCAATAAGCTTTTCACAGGAAGGCCCTCTTGAAGGCCACACCCTGGCACCCTTGTTCTGATGAACTGTCTCCTGTGGCCTCTCACCCACAGTATTTCCTGACCTGTTCCTGGTCTCAAATTCTCAACCCCTACTTGCTAAGAACTGATGGAATGGAGACAGAAGGGGAATAAGACATGGCCCTTGCTGTGGAGGGGTGTGAGGGAGTGTTTACTGGGTGATTCAAAGCTTATTTTGGTAAATGGCCACAGGAGTACTCACCACTTCTCCTGTGCGGCAGGCATCTGGCACCTAAGGATGTCCAGGCTTAGGAAAATTCAGGGAGAAATGTGAGGTAAAATTGCTCCAAGTATATCTTTTCTTTTAAGAGTGCGATAACAAAAATAGAGGCACACATAAAAGGATAAAGAAAAAATGAAAACAAGCAGTGAAAGACAACATCCGCTCTCATTTCAGTTTCCTGGAAGCGGAATGTGGTTGGGCAGATGGTGTTCTTTTGTTTCACTAGAAGAAACGGTAAGGTGTAAATACACATGATACACACAGCAGTGAGGATGGAGAAGGGGCTCGACTCTAGGTGCTCGGTAATTTCTAGGTGGGTGGGAGGTTTTCTTCGTTAGGTTAGGTTGGTCCTGCCTACTGAGATCCGAAGATACTGCCTTCGACCTGACAGCTTCCAAATGGGGACCACAAGCTCTCTAATGTTCCATAAATGGGCTACCAGGAAGTCTGTGAACACCCTTACTTTTTTTTTCTGCAAAATGTTGTAGGTTTGTGCATTTTCTTAGAGGAGTTTTTTGTGTTTCACAAGATTAGCAGAAGATTCAATGGCCATTGGCTTCTTGTGTCTTCATGCCTTTTCAGTTTGCTTCGGTAAAGTTAGTTGCATGTGACTATATGAAGTTGCTTAATATAATTGCCCATATTTGCATTATATTGGAGACTTTTCAAAGCTTTCTCACATATAAGCAACCCCTTTGACTCAGTAACAGGAGCTGTTACCAGTAGCCCATCTTACAGCTAAGGAAATGAAACTTACAGCCATGACTTGACTGGCTTATGGCCACACTCATGTCCTGTCAGGACAGAGGTAGGACAGACACTCCTGCCTCCTGATACTTTCTGGTTTGGTGCTCCTCTTACTTACTGCTCTTGCTCTCATTTTTTCTGCCAAAATTGCCATCAGTATCAGTGAGGAGTAGGAAGAATTTGAGTCTAAAACATGCATGAAGTGAAGAGAAAATTGATAAGAAAATAAGTCAATGTGTCTCATTCTGGTTAATTATACCCATGTTTGACTACCTCTGAGGTTATTTTGAAGCAGAAATAATGTTATTTACCTCTGCATTTTCAGTACCTAAACAATGCCTCCTGGAGCATAGTAGATGCTCAATTATTTGAGGTGTGCATAAGTGATTCAAAGTATGAAGAAAGAATCAGATGCCCAAGGCGTATGTTGCCTGGTTTCCAGATACCTGCCCATCATGGATTCTCAAATGGGCCTTGTCTGAAGTCTCTAAGATGGCCCTATGTCATTACAGGATGATAGGGAAGTTTGCCAGAAGACTTTTGATCAATGAATGATAAAGTCCATTGATAAAGCTTTTATCTCCCGTGGTCTTATGTAAGAGGTGTCCACGTCATCCCATCTGGATACAGCTTTTGAATTATCCCTCTAGGGTATTAGGAGGTCTAGTGAACTGTGCACTTCATCAAATAACTTGCTCTTAAATAAGTCACACACTCCCAGGTGCAAAAGATAGGAAGATCTCTTTTCTCAAATAGAAGCCGGAAAGCAACTACCCGATTCCAATAACCAAAGGGTGGATAAGATGAAGCTATAAAACTTGCTCAAAAGAGCTCTTGCGAGTAAGAGGTTGAGAAGGGGAGAAGTTACAGTGATTCTAGTAATTCAAGATTCTAAACAAAACAGGACTTAGAGAAATGGCAGTGACAGTTGCCACTAGTAGTGTGGTATTAATCTTAGTCTGACCCCTGGATCCAGCAGAAATCCCAGCTGAGCTTCCAATTTTTATGTAAATGGGAGAGTCAACTGTACACATTTAAGAGATGTTTGTGAAAATAAATATTTGTTTTTATGATTAATCTTGGCATTACATGATATGGAATAAAATTCTAGAACTGAAACTCCCATTGAGAATATTGAACATTCTAGAGGTAACTCTTTCTTCTACAATTGATCAGCATAGATCTTTCACCCCAGCATCAATCAATCATCAAGATAGAGTCATCTCTATTACCTTTGGGGCAAATTTCCCTGGGCGTGGGACACACTTTTCTAAATTTTTAAATGTGTGAAGCAAGCTAAAAGACATAGTTAGGCAGAATTGGATTTTGCTGAAAAGCCTCCACCTGTTTTTTTTAAAAAAGGAAACTTCCAAGATTGTAGAATTATATCCATCGCCTCAGAAATGTTGGGATCTGAAGGTAGCATACCAATGTGTGTATAGAGCTAGTTGATACCAATAAACATTGGCATTAGGAGAACATGTATTGTCTAAATTTCTCCCCTTTCTGAGGGACAACTATTTTTCTTGGCAGATTGGCAAGATAATCCCAAAGACAAATCCAGTGCACCTTCCCCACACCCTGGCCCATAAACATAAAGGGATAGAGTCTAGGACCAGGTCAAGATGAAGATTTCAAAATAAAATTCTTAGAGACCCAGCATTCTGGAAACTAGAGAACATCATGGCTGGGAAGGGGGCATAGATGGGCACACCTTATACTATGACAGAGACAGGCTCTCAAAATGGAATGGGGATGGCATTTCAGTAAATGCCCATCACCTAAGACAGAGATAGTCTCCCCAAATTTTGCACCCTTAATATCGCATTCACTCCTGAGACCAACACAGTAAACTAGGTATAGGAAATATGTTTGCCTCTACTGTACAGAAAGGAAACTGAGGTACATTCACCCATTCTTGTTGACTGCCTATATACACAAGGCTCTTTCCAAACTACATAGGTGAGCAATGACTTATAGCTTCCTAAATTGGTTGCCTGATATAAGTGTTAAAGACCATTTTATGTTCATTCTACAGACAATGAATATCAAACATTTCTCTGGTCTTGACCAAAATTTCATATTTTTTTTCCCCGAAAATATCAATATGAGTTAGAAAATAGGCTCTAGAGCTTTGGCTTAATCCCAGTCACCAACTCTGAACCTGTTTCCTCATCTTTAAATTAGACTAATAAGATCTCTCTTGCATCACTTAGAAGTCTTTGGGGTCATTAAAGTTAATACTGAATCCTATTTCAATTGTACATGTATTTATTAAATACCTACTCTATGCCAGGAACCATACTGGACACTGAGAGGACAATGATGAATAAGACCCACTTACTCACTCTTCCTCCTAGTGAAGCTCATAGTCTAATGGCAAACGCAGACATTGAACATAGACCGACATGCATAAGGCATGCAGTGGAAGGGAAAGCATGGAATGGGATGGGAGCCATCGCAGGAAGTGTAAAGAGAATATTAACTATATTGGGAAGATGAGGCTGCAAGCTTTCCATGAAGAAAGTGAAAGAAGTGAAATGTAAGCTAAAACATTCGTATACAGGAACAGAAAGCCCTACTTTTATTATAGTATGTGCTAGTATTAGTCTTCCACAGTATTGGTGTTCTATTAGTAGAAAGATCTGTGCTATCTCTGTGTCCTGTTCCGGCAGCACTCTGAGCATCCTCCAACATGGGAGAGTGAGGAAGCCGCATACTGTCAGATCTCAATGCCACAGTGTCATAGATGTCTATGATTTGAGGAACTCAGTCAGGGTGGCCGGTTGAATGGCTGTGGATGGAACCACCAACTCCTGATTGGCATTCTCCCTGCTGCACTTCTGAAAGGAAGGAAGAAAAGAAAATCTTGCAGGCACCCACACATCCAAAAGGAAAAAAAAAAAAAACATGTCAGTTGTACCCACTCATGTCATGTCTGCTTAGTGACAGGCAGAAGTACGCCCACTCCTGGTGGCCCAAACTCCAGAAGGAAAGTCATGTTGGAGCTGCCCACACTCTCAAGGATGACATGGGAGCTGGGTCAGCAGGCAAGTCATCTCCAGCATCTCAAAGGGCTGGGGAAAGAGGGAGGGCCTAAGTCAGGTGTAATGGGCCAGTGTTCACCTCTTCTTCTAGACTAGGAGAGCCTTGAGGTCAGGGATGACCAGGACTGAGTCTGGGAAACTGATAAAGAAAGATATGTTTATAAGAATCACTGGGAATAATTAGAAGGGCTTCCTGTTGCATGGCTGCCTTAGGACTGTGAAGCTAACATAAATGCTGGAAGACTCGCTGAGCAAGAGAAAAAGAAGAGCCCCATTCTGAGGTTCAATTCAGCACTGCAGTCTCTTGCCTATCTAAAGAATCACAGAAAGCCTGATCTCTCCATGAAAATTCACTTCTCCCATAAAGAGTTCAACCCCTCAACTCCCCAAAACACCATTAAGATCAAATCACTGGGAAATCTTTTATCTGCCATTCAGAATTCAGCAAAAGAAGCTTGGAAATCTGCTTATAGACATACCACAACTGACTAAGCCAAACATGGGTGAATGCAGAAAACAAGGGATCCATTCGTTGAAGGATTACCCAGGCCTTTAGTTGCCATCTTTGCAAGCATCCTTGATACCTCTCCAAAGCCTTGAACTATCAACTAAAGACCAAGAAAGTCTACAAAATCACCAAGGATCCTGATGGTGCATGTAATTGCTCTAAGAAGCTGGACCGAGAGGAGCAGTGACATTTGAAGTAGTATAGAGCTAAAAGAAATGACTTGTTTCCTCTTTGGTTTATAATCTTTGTGAGTTTTTTAGAGAATAATTGAAGGGGATAACATATTATCTATTCACATAGATAAGAATGGGTAGATAAATAGTTGGTTATAAGGAATCTTTTGAAGTTAGATTTTTTTGTTATCATAGAGCAAGGAACATATTTGACAAGCAATACCCTAACACTTGGGCTGTTATCTGAGAACCTCCCAGGTTGCACACCTATGCAAGTAGGGAACTGAATATGTAGCCTACTTGTTCTGAAGCTAAGCTAATCTGGATTTACATTTGCAACCTACTGGGTTTCATTTATTCAACATAACAGTATAAAATTATACAGATTAACTGATAAGATACTAATAATTTGATTGATAAAATGGGGTCCCATTTGCCATATTAAACAAAGGGGAGCTGAAAGAATAATTGAACTGAAGAGGCATTTGAAAGCTGTCAGAAGAGAAGCAAAGGCAACATAAGCTGAGAATACACAGGTCTGCTTCCATTTGGTGGGCCATAGACAAGCCTTCTTTGAGGAGGTGATCTTGGAGCTGAAGAAACTGTTGCTTAAAACACAAAGGAAAGATGGCAAAGGTTGAGAGATGGTGGTAGCAATAGAACATGGTATGGGAAAATGGGGGGCTATGCAGTGACATCACATGGTTTAGTTTATCTGAGGAGGTATCCAGTGCATCCTTTGGAGGCCAAGTCAAAACATGTGAACTTCTTCTGTAGACAGCAGGAAGCCCTGGAGTATTTTCAGCAGAGAAATAATATGTTCAGAGAAACATTTTAGGAAGATAAATCTAACCATGGTGTGAGGGATGTTAGAAATAGCCAATCTGGAGACAAGGCAATCAGTCATGAGGCTCACGCTTTGGGAAGGAGGAGAAGTGAGGAGTCTCTGTGGTCCTTGAGGCTGAAAATTCCAGTCTGGTTAGACAGGACTCCTGATTCCTCAACACCCAAGGGGAGAAACTGGCATGTCTATGTTCTACTTGTTCTCTGATTCCCCTTATGTTAATATTATCCTCTCTTCTTGGCTGGGAGGAGGTACCAGTAAAATTAGGAGTGTCAGAATGAGCTGCTTTTTTGGCCCACGCAAGCCACTTACATTTTCAAATCATTCCTATCACTCTCAGCTGACAGGCATAGGACTTTGTTCTGATGCCTTCATTCAGAATGGAGCCTTGGAACGAGGCAGAAAGACCCCCCCTGCTCAGGTTTACCCACATCACCCTCACTCAGACTCTGTTTCTTTGCTACAGCATGGGGGGTAATAGGAACACCTGCCCATGCGGCTGGGCACACTTAGCACACTGGCTGGCACATGATAAACTCTCACTCAATGCTTCTTGCTATTACAGGTCTGCAATCCCTTACCTACAATTCTGGAAGCCCAAACGCTCTGAAGGCTTACATTTTATGACTTATTTGACTGCAACAACTGGCCTGATCTGAACTCATTAGGCAGCAAAAGTTGACCTGGACCGACACTGGGCTGTTGATAGTCTTTATTTATCCGACTTGGTGTGCATATTCATACATTTTTCTGCAGAAATATTAATGGGCTTGATTGCAGGGCACTGCCCCAGGCTCCACTGGGGGTGTTAAATAATACTGAGTGCATGCAACATATTACTGTTCTAAATCTGAAACATACTGAATGCCAAAGGGCACAAAGGTTTCAAATATGGGGTCATGGATTCATATTGCAAAGCTTGTATCTTTTTAAGGAGTGGTTGGCAGCCTTCACATCTAGATGCAAAAAGGAAGAAACTGTTGACACGGAATAGAGTATTACTTTTTTTTTTTTTGGTCTTTTCTTTTTATTTGTCAGATGCTGAAATAAGAAGTGAGCTTCTGAAATGCCTGTGGGTGGTGCTGGAAGCCCAGGGTGTGAAGCCCACCTCCCACCCAAGGAATTTCAGTTTCAAAAGTCTGACTCCGCTTTTGTCTCGGCATCCTGTTGAGAGAACGTGAATGGAGAGGAGAATTTGGCTATTCTTTGTCTTAAAGATGGGACACTGAGGTTTTGGGAGTTTCAGGACCTAGTGATAGGTCCTACAGGCTGAACAAAATGGTGCCAGGACAGTCTTAACAACTTTTGAGTTTTGCATCAAACAGTCATAAGGCCAGAAATATCTTAAGCAAGGCTTTGGTTCTAAGACCTTCTTTCTTTAGATCCTGCATCAGGTGAACCATATAGTAAGTACTCAGTAAATCTGCATGGGATTGGAATGACTCTGTTTTCTTTCTCTCTCTCTTTTTTTTTTTTTTTTTTTTTTGAGACAGAGTGTTGCTCTGTCACCCAGGCTGGAGTGCAGTGGCGCGATCTTGGGGCACTGCAACCTCCACCTCCCATGTTCAAGTGATTCTCCTGCCTCAGCCTCCCAAGTAGCTGGGACTATAGGAATTTGCCACCATGCCTGGCTATTTTTTTTTTTTTTTTTTTGAGACAGAGTTTCGCACTTTAACCCAGGATGGAGTGCAGTGGTGCGATCTCGGCTCACTGCATTCTCCACCTTCCAGCGATTCTCCCGCCTCAGCCTCTTGAGTAGCTGGGATTACAGGTGCCTGCCACTACACCCAGCTAATTTTTGTATTTTTAGTAGAGATGGGGTTTCACCGTATTGTCCAGGCTAGTCTTGAACTCCTGACCTCAGGTGATCCACCTGCCTCGGCAACCCAAATTGCAGGGATTACAGGCATGAGCCACCGCAACTGAGTGATTGTTTCTTTCTCATATCTTCTCCTTTGTCCATTCAGCAGCATAGGGAGGGACACTGAGTATCAAAGAGCAGCCTTTCACCTCCTAAATGCAGTTGGCAGAAGATTAATGGTGGGATTGGACTAACACAATCAGTGTTTAGGTAAAGTTTGTGTTTGAGCTACTACAATAATTTTAGGGAGTCTGCTGGATCTCTCTTCTTCTTTGTTCTGTCTGCTGAATAGTGGGCCAAGATGACACTCTGAGCTTTCCACCCTGAAAGACAAACACCAGAATCTTGGGACTAGAGTCTTTGGCTTGGAGATTGTGATGCCATGAAAAAAAAATTCCCCAAATGGAACATGTCTTCAAGGAAAAGACAAGCAATGTTTTCTGGGTGGTGTTGATACAAAGGATCCTGTGTGAAGAGTTTGGAGACCTGTTTCATTCCACCACCAAAGTACCAGCAAGGGTCCATGAACTGGGGGATTTTGAAAACTCTGTAGAAACTCAGAATCTTTTTTTTTTCTTTCTACGTGCATAAGCTATGTTGGAAAATAAGCACACTGCCATCATTCCAAGTGCACCTCAAGTCCTACCTCATCTGCAAAGCCTCGATTCCTTTTCACCTTCACTGTCTGGACTTTTTGCAATCATTCCCATTCCTCTTCTCCGTGGGGCTACTTCCAGAGCCTGCAGTGTCAGGGAGCTGTGCACCGGAAGCCTTGAAGGGCTAGTTGGTCTTCCCTGTGTTTCCTGGGACGTTGTTGTTTAAATAACTTGCCATCCACCCACAGTTCTGGATCTTCACATATTTAAACAGAACTACTGTCTCCCTATTATCTGCCACACCAATAGGGTAGGGGTGCCATGTTCTTCTAGGAGGATAGGCTCTAACCCTTGGAGTCATTGCCAGCTCTCCTCTCTTTTCTACCTTCTGGTTCTAAGTTGTTTTGGGCCAAAGAGCCCTTTGAGACTCAATGACACTTTGTCTCTTCCCACATGGAAACACACACGAGTAATACTATCTTTCTTACCATTTCCAGGGGTCACTAACCCTCAGAACTTCATCCCTGGGCCCCCCACCCTCCATCAGTGCAGGGTTTCTCAGAGTAGCCCGTGAACCACTGCAGTGGTTTGCTTTAACCCAGATTCCCAGACCTCATCCCTAGACCTACTGAGACAGAATGGACAGAGCAAGGAGGACAGATGAGCTGCCCAGACCACGTGGTTAGTATGTGGTGACCCTGGGATTCAAACCCGGGGACTGGCTTCCAAGGTAATGTTTTCATTACCTCGATCACAAGGGGGTTTGATAAACTAAGCAATCAGAACTTGCTGGTTTTCCAAGGAAGAATTGACAGGATGATTGAGAGAGAGAGAGAGAGAGAGAAAGAGTGTGTGTGTGTGTGTGTGTGTGTGTGTCAGGAAGGTTGCAAAGTAGTATAGTCAGAGTTAGAGTGGCCTAAGATTTAGGGAGGAAAGCAATATACACTCAGACTCTGTCCCCAAATGTCTGAACTCTACAGTGATCAAGACACTGCTGAGATGTTCCCATTACTAGGTGCATTTTCCAACACATGATTTGTTCCAGCATCCCCTCCAGCTTCCTAAGGACACCCAGGAAAAGCCAATCTTATCTGAAAGACCATACCCTTTGAACCCAAAGTCACTGGAACTCTTGACAATGCTAAGGATTCAAGATCTGCTGCCCCTGAGGGAACAGCCCAGACATAGACAGAGGAGGCAGAGCACCAGCGTCCTCACCCCGTGGGACTTTCCAGGCAGGCTGACCGGAGCAGGTTTCTGTGAGAAACTGATAACTGGGCTGGCTGCCCCTGGCCTGCCTGCCTGCTCGAGACAGGGAGTGACAAAGTGCTGCATCACCTTTTTCTCCCGCGGTTCGGGTTCACACTGCTGGGCTGGGCTCCAGAGGAACTGGTGGTTAGTTTTGTGGTCACCCAGCAGTTTTATGAAGGCCCTTAAGGTGCTTCAAGTACCAGGTGGCCCCAGCGTGGTTTAACTGTCTGGGGGCCCGAGCTCTCTCAGTGGCCACCTAAGTAAAGTAGACAAGCTTCATGTGAGAATTGTTCAGTTGGCCATGGCGATTACATAATGCACTAGAGGTGCAAGGACCACGCTTGCTATTCAGTAAGATATTACAAGTTCATACATTGTAAATTAATAAATATGCCAGCCCTCTTGTGGCATGTGACAGTGAATCTAAAGCAATTGGAAACATCCATCGCCTCATCTGAGAGTTACAGCAACCCCATTGGATGCCTTGTGGGTTCCATGCTGCAGATGTGCAAAGTGAGGATGGTCAAGGCTGAGGGTCTGTCCAACTGACCAGACAACAACTGAGAGCCTTCCACAGGTGATGTCAGATTATTATTCCACAGCCCCACACAATCTGGAGTCTCCCCACTTTGCAGACAATGAAACTTCCCTGTTTGTAGTCTAATTCTTTCCCAGCTAGCCCCTCTCTCTCACTGGAACATCTCTCTGAAAGCTGTGGCTTACAGCTCTCAAGCAGGTAGGATCAAGATGGCTATATTTGCTCTTGGTTTTCTTCCCAGATGCTCTGTCAGACAGCACTTCTTAGCACAAATACAGAATACAAAATAACTCAGACCGCCTTTCAAGAGCCCTCAGGAAGCTTTGGGGTGACATTTTAACTGCCTCTTCACTTGGTCTCAGGCCTTGTTTTTTATTTATTTAAACATCCATCATAATCTGAGTACCAAGAATATGACCAGGCATGGACCAGCAGCTGAAAACGCAGAAGATTAAAGACACGGCAAACACTCATACACATACATGCACAGATTTGTTCACACAAACACACATATATGCACATGCACACACACACACACACACACACATATGCACACGCAAACATGTCCCACCTGTGGAAACAATAGTCAACTGGGGAAGCTACCCAGCCTGCTCACTGACCACTTATTACATATGCACCCAATGCTGTGTAAGGCACTTCACTTTTTTGCAAATGTGGCTTCATTTTTTTCTCACAATTCTTTTTATCACTATATATTGTGAAATTACCATCTTGGTGTGCGTGGATGTGTTTATAGTTTTGTTCTCACCAGGTATGCATAACCTGTTGATGGAAGAGCCCTGTCTTATTAACCCTTGCATTCGTGTTCATTGATTCACCCTCAAAATGTTTATTGAATGTCTAATATAGGTCAAGCACAGGCTAAATACAGACTTGGGGATGTGATTTTTGCAAGAATAAATAAATGAATGAACACAAGATGAAGAGACTAGGGAGAGAGCAGGAGTGGAGGCGTTGGGATGAAAGTCCTTGTCATCTTCCTGAGAGGAGTTGAAGAGCTTGCACTCAGCAGAGACAAAGGGATGGAGCCTTTGAGGTGGTTTACTGTGCTGAGATCCAGCTCTCCATGAGGAACCATGGACCAGGGGCAGGCCCATCCACCCCTTTCACTATCACTATTCACATCTGTAAAGTGATAGCTGTGAGTCTCTACCCCATAAGGGTCATTGGAACATTGGAGAAGCTCTGACATGTAAAACAATTAGCCAAGTGCCTGGACATCCCCAGTAAAGTCTAGTGATTATTAAGAGTATAAATAGATGCACAAGCAGACTAAACAAGCATTTGGAAATATGTGCATTTGCATAAACATATTGGTAATTAAACAAAACAACAACAAAAAAAAAAACCAGAAGAGAGAGAATTACATAACCAAATCTCACCCTTTATGATTTTAACTCTCTTCCATCATCTGGAGAGAAGTCTTTGCAAGTTCTGCAATAGAATCTTAACCTATCATTAGAAAACTTCCTTGAAGGTTGAGGGACTCTGGCCCAGCCTCTGGAATCATTTGGATACCCCTGTGTCCGGACCCTGGCCTTTCCCACCCCTACCCTCACCACCCCCATGGAGCAGACTCTCCTTTTCCTTCAGGGCTGATAGTAAAAGACATATAGTTCCAGGTCCCCTGAGCTGGAGGGTAATCCAGCTCACCAATTACTTGAAATTAAAGTCAGGTAATTTGAACCCATCTGTTGGACACCTGACCACAAACCACCTCTTAGCTAACCCTGAGCTGGATCCGATTACTCCCCAAGTGCCTGCCCGGCTTCATTATGCCACGGCCATGGGAAGGGAGGAAACCAAGAGGTTACTGGGGTCTTCAGTTAGCGCTTTGTCATTAGCGTGGTTATTACCCGAGTCCTCCCTCCCAGCAGACTTCAAGATATGGGAGATGGGAGGGCTAGCTGGTAACCGGACCAGAGGCTCCCAGGTCTCACCAGATGGAGTGGAGCCTTCATCAGAAGGGCCAGCAAAGGGCAGGCAGCTCCCCAGACAGGAGTGGGTGGATTCCAGGAGGCCAGACTAGGACTCCGTGGCTCCATCTCAGATGTGCTACAGATGGTTCTTAGGGGCAATTATGGGGAACAGGGCAAAGCCTGGACACTGGCATCTGTAAGTCTGGGTTTGATAAATAGATCTGCCCCTTAATAGATACTGGGAAGTTTCTTGAACAACAAAGCCTCAAGTTCTTTGCCAATACAATGAAAATTGTGGAAATTAACTTAGACTGCCTTTCTAGAACCAGAGCAGACTCAGAAGTCTCCATTAAAGGGGAGTGTACCTGGACAGTGTCACGAAAGCCAAAACAGAGGGAATTCAGTCACCGGGTATTGAGGGGCTCAGGGGCAAGTACCCTGTCTCTATTCTAGGAATTGGAAATCAAAGCTCACAGAGGTTGAGCTCTGATCAAAGAAGGATGAGTAGATGGAAAATCCACTGTATAGATGCAGATGTAGCCATACCATGGGCAAGCGAATGGGGAGAAAATAGATATCAGATTCTGGAAATGTAGATAGGGATAACATTGCCTTTCTTCCACAGTGTCAGATGGATTCTCAACCCTGTGACCCCATTCTTGGTAGCAGAGTTTTCTTAGAGAAGTCTTTAATACCACAAGAATATGATTACCCATTTCTCCCAAATATGATTACATTTTCAGCTCCATTCTGCATTTTTTCCCTCTGGAAAATTGAGCATCTTATGCCCAAGAAAAAATGATAAAACTCCATTTGACTTCACTAGGGCAGAACTAAGACGGTTTTTGAACTGAAATTAAGTTGATACATTGAGAGCTTCTGTCATCGTAATACAACATCAGGAGAACAGGCAGGGAGGAGTTTATCCTAGTAGCGTCCCTCCAAAGTTCTAGTCAAGTGGAGAGGGCTTTTTGATGTATCAAAGACAGTGCTATCTTTCAAACTGCATTCATATTCTAACGTCCTATCATCATTGTAAAATAATGACAGAGCTAACATCCAACTTTTTACATGTATTTATTTATGGTTTTCAGCAGTCAAAGCAAGGAGGCACAGCCAGCTGCCTTTCACATCTGGCTCTAAATGAGCCACGGCACTGGCTCTGTCCACATTTGCTGTATCCATGGTACTGAGGTCCTGGCCTCTCCTCAGTTGGCAGCTGCACTGGCACTTCTCCTCATGGTGGCTGTCCCTCAATATTGGCAAAATACATTCAATCAAATCTGCAGGTGATTAAACTTCAGATGTCTCTGAGCTCAGCAAAGTGAGTGTCTTGATGTCAAAGACGGACAGTGCTTTAAAGCATTCCACTTCAATTTCTTCCTCACTCTCTCCCACTTCCGACATTGCTGATCAGTGGTCACCCAGCCCCTCTTTCCATTGCCCAGTTGATGGGGCGCTCACCACATCACAAGTAGCCTATCAGATCTGCTACCCTTATAAATTAAGACCTGGAGGAGTCAACACCTGCTAGTCTTCCTAACCTCAATCCATGTCACCTCCGAAAGTGCACTGATCTCCAGCCACACTGATCATATTGTCCTGAGCAATGCTAAGCTGCGTCCTGCCTCAATGATAATGAATTTGCTGCTCCCTGCCTGAGAGAGGGGCCCTTTTCATCGCTGCCCACCCCTGCCCTTTGGTGTCAGTTCAGGTGGAATCTTTTCAGGGACACCTTCCCTGACCACCTCATCTACAGTGGCTCTTACTGCCCTGGACCTCTATCCACTCCCGATCCTCTGAGCCCATCTTCATCCCCTTCATAGTACTGCCAATGTGGGAAATGATCTGGCCTATGTATGCATTAGCCTGTGTGTGACTACGTACTGTTTATGCATGTGTTTGCTTGTGCACTACCATATTCTGTTTAAGTACATGTTCACCTGTGTACAATCATATACCGTTTGTCCGTATGTACCTGCTATCTTAGTCTGTTTTGTGCTGCTATAATAGAGCACCACAGACTGGGTGATTTATAAAGAACATAAATCTATTTCTCACAGTTTTGGAGGCTGGGAGATCCAACATCAAGATTCCTATAGGTTTGGTGTCTGTTAAGGGCCTGGTCTCCACTTCCAAGGTGGTGCCTCGTTGGTGCATTTTCAGGGAAAGGAACTCTGTGTCCTCACATGATCCAAGAGCAGAAGAGAAGGGCAAACTCATTCCTGCAATCCTTTTGTATAGAAGCATTAATTTATTAATGAGGGCAGAGACCTCATGACCTAAACACTTTCCATTAGGCTACACCTCCCAACGTGATTACAATGGGGATTAAGTTTCAACATGAGTTTTGGAGGGGACAGAAACCTCCAAACCACAGCACCTGTGTCCTATTATATACTGGATATGCATGTGCTTACCTATATATGATTCTGTACTATCTATGCTTGTGTTTATCTCTGTACTATTATGGGCTGTTTATGCATGCATTTACCTGGGTACTATCATGTATCTCCTCCTCTGAAGTGCACGATTAGGAGAGAAGAAGTTCCTCTGTCTTGGTCACTTTTGCTTCTCAGGTAGAGTAGCTCCTCTGGAAACCCCTGCCTAATGAAGGAAACCTGGCAGGGCACACCTGCTGTCCAAAGTCCCTTACTGAGAGCAAACGTCAGTCTCACCACAATGCCCGTCACTACCACTGCCACTGCAGGCTGTAACTCTGCAGTTGAATCTGGTTTCTTTTGTCCATGAGCGCGTGCTTTATGATGCCAAATGGGGGATCTGTGGCCTTCTCAACTTTGAAGACAGAAATCAGGTCTCCCCGGTGTTTCCAATCCCTACAACAGCTTAAATGTCTTCATTTTCTTCACAGGAAAAGTATCTTTTAGGATTCTGCTCAGATTTAATTTCCTCTACAAGGAAAATCCACTCCAATGTAGCTAGCTCATCATTCTAGTTTGTCGGCATCTTTTTTGGGGTCTGGGAGATTGCATTACAATATCTCCCATTGCCTCTCCCTTGGGCTATGCACACATCAGATGAGGTTGTCTTTGTCTTTTTTCAGGTCATTAATAGATAACTTTGAAAAGAGTCTAATGATTAATTCTTAGAGATTCCACAAGGCTGGCTTTATTAATAAAATTAGCCTTGGGTCTTGAGCTTTTCTGAGGTCCCTTAAAGAAAGATATTCCAAATATTCAGCCATTTGAAAAGGTATCATAGAAGCAGGAGGTACTCTTACACACATGTGGTTCAACTCCCTCATTCTCCAGATGAAGAAACCATGATCCAGAGAGAAGTTTATCACACGCAGAGGAGCAGCCAGGGAAGGACGTGTGGCTGGTGAGTGGGAGAGTCAAGCTTAGAAGCTAGAGGCCACACCTCATGGCCAGTAGGGGCTGGCCTTGCCTTCCTGCACCTACAGGGGCCAGAGTGGAAGGTGGGGAGACTTTCCCTCTGGCTGCAGTGCCTCAGAATCAGGGGTGAATTCTGATTCTGACTCATGCTGAGCTTTTGAGCTGGAGAAGCCTAAAAGATCAGAACACCAGCAGGAGACTGGGCTGGGTAGTGGGAACTCGGGTGTGGGGCCAAAGGTCAGAGAGCCTGAATGGGAGTGATGGAGGCATTTAGGAGTGAATAACAGCTTTGCCTGCGGCCAACACTGGATTAATAGCAACAGAGACTGGGGCAGAGACATTTAGGGGGTCTGAGTTGGAGAAGATAAAATGCTGAGTGTTAACTACAGAGGAGAGACCCCTGGGGCCCCTTGCAGAGAGGTCAGAAGCTTGAGCACATTAATTTCATAGAAATGCATTCAGGGGTTTGGGAGTGGAGAGAAGGGAGTGTGGGGATGACTGCCTTCCTTGGAAAGGTGTGTCAAAGGGTGTCTGAAGGTAGAGGTGTAGACAAGCCGATGGGTTAGAGACAGTGGCCACCCAGCTACAGGATCAGTGTGAACAAAGACACAGAAACTAGAATACGAGGGGAGGTAGGGCTGGGAACGCACCGGGGATGCTGCAATCTTTTTCCTTCACCTTGCCTGCCTTGGTCTCTCTGATGCACAAAGTTAACTCAAATTCTGCTCTTACCTGGAGTGATCACAGCTTGAAACTTCAGCCAAGAATTGAAAGAAAAATCCGGGAGAAGAAGAAATTCATTCTGAAAGGCATGGAGAAGAAGGTTGTTGAATTGTTTTCATCTTCAAAGAGGAACCTGCAGAAGGAAGGAATCCTCGGTCAAGCCCTCACCCCCATGCCCGCCTCCTTTCTCTAAGTACAACCTGAACAAATAGGGCATGTTCTCAAAGTCTATGGCCTTGGCTTTGAACCTAAGGGACCCTAACTGGGACTTCCCAAACAGGTGGGAAGTTTGTGAGGAACAATGCCACTAAAGGTTATAGGGGCATTTGGCAGGCCCAACTGGGCAGCTTGGCAGTTCTTTTAAGCCAACAGTGCCTCAGATTCTAAGTCTGTAAAATGGGTGTGATAATAATACCTCCCCCCTCAGATTGTTGTAAATTTGTCATATAGGGGTAGATTTGTTAAAGAATTCCATAAACTGGAAAGCAACCCATGAGTGTGAAGACCAGCTCCTTCCCCCAACTCTCTTTCCTCCCCAACCCCAACTCTGACGCCATTGTTGAAACATTTGCTCTGGGAAGGACAGGAGAGAATAAATATTTTTAAAAAACAACTTCTGTCTTCCAATATGCTAGCACTTGCTTGCATTTAATTCTTGCCATTGTCCTGAGAGGCAGATATTATTCTCTCTAGAGATAAGGAAACTAAGCTGTAGAATATTCTGAGCCTGGCCTGGTTTCTGCCCTTCAGTGCATACAGAGCCAAGAGCTGAAGTCACGTCTGCCCATCCACCTCCACGCCCTCCCCAGTCCACCCCACACTGGTGGGTGTGTGCTAGAGCATCTTCCTTGGTACTGATGCTCAGAGTCAGCCCCAGGCTTGGAAGGGAGCTCAGAGTAGCAAATAGGCCCTGACCCACAGCTAGAGCCAGGGCCTGCGCAGGCATCATTCATACAGTATGTCTTCAATTTCCATGGTGGAAATAGAGCTGCCCATGGGGAAGATGAAAAAACCAAGGAGAAGAGCACTTTCCCAGCTTGTTCAATGCTGCTTAACTACAACAGCAGAGCTAGACATTGGCCATTTCCTGCCCACTAGGTACTTTGAAATATCTGCAGGGATGGGAGTGACAGAAGACAGGACCTCTCAGCCAAGTGAGAACTGCTGCTCACATCGAAAGTGAAGAGACCACTCTGTCCTCAGGATGGTTTTTTGTAGCATGCATGGACGGGAGCAGTCCTCAATGAATCATCCTTGGAGGGGTTCCCAGGACCAGCAAAGTAACTTGGGGATACCTGGTCTTACCGGACAAGTGAGATATGAACCTACCGAATAGTATCATGTTTCAAGATTCAGCATCCCAATCCCTGTGAATATAGCACTCAAGATAAATCAGTGATATGTCAACACACGCAGTGCCCAAAGCTTAGCAGATCTCCATTAGGAAACGTGGGCTGAAACAGACTGAACCACCTCTGGCCCTCTGTTGCCACTGTCATCAGCAGTAATAATTAGTATCACTACTGATTATATTAGTAGCAATAGAATTAATATTGATATCTTAGTGCTAATGTTAGATTTTTATGGTATTTGACTTACTAAAAGACTCTTTGAATAGATCTTCAGTGTTGGCAAGTTGTTTGGATATATTTTATGTCATCCCACGCTTACAATAAGCAAACTTCCTTGACGGTTGTATGGACCCTAATTCTTAGTGTCCAAGCTCTATCAGTTCCTCCCAGTGTGTCCTTCTGTGAGTCAGTAATGCCACAGAAACTGAGTTTCTTCTTTTGTGAAATGCAAATGATGTTGCCTAGGACCCAGGATTCTCTGGAGGATAAAAGGAGGTGGGAGAGCACTCGGCACAGTGGTGGCCATGATTTTGTAGCCACAACCGTCATTCCACCATTGTCACTCTCATCTTGGGGCTATTTCTTCTGCTATGTACTAGGGTCAGGGCTCTGGGCTGTTCCCATTGGGCCAATGTCTTGCAATTGCTAAGTTTCCCAGCAGGCAATTCCCAGCCACCACTCCAGTGCTGTCCTCCAGGCACTTTCAGGCACCCTGAAGGCAAGACCAACCCCAGCACCCCTGGTTGGCCTGCTGAGGCTAGGGGTGGTGCCTGCAGTGAGGATCACCACTGCAGGCAGCTGAAGAAGGCCCCTGTCACATGGACACCCTGCCCACACCACCCATGATGGTAATGACTGACAACTATACACTGCCTTGTTTTAGACACAGGTTTCTTTGTCCATCCAAGGAACCCTGTGGTCCAATTTCTCTAAAATTCTCTTGCAGGAAATGAAGAACCTGAGGTCCTTGAGAGCTACCTTGTCTGACAGTCACTCAACTGTAAATGCAGCAGCCCAAGTCTCAGGTCTTCAGATTCTGTGCACTTGGGAGCAACCGAGCAACCTGCGGATGGGGTCATTCAGGTGCCTAGGAGCCTGTATGTAGCTGGTCTAGTTCAACCCTGTCCCTCCTCTCAAACCATGCTCAGGCTCTGAGGCTTGGCGTCCTCAGGCAAGCCGTGTGCATACAAGTCTCACACCACCGAGAAAGTCCAATCGTCAGCTTCACTGCTGGGAGCCTCAGACTCAGCTGCACTCCTGCTTGAACCTGGGGTCTCCCATTGTGCACGGCGTGCCACGCGGCTTGCAGCAGCCATCAACTGCCTGCCAGAGGGGGCAGCCAGTGTCAAGCAGTAGGGGTGAGAACTAGCAGGAACCTGGGCTTCCCTTGAGTAGGAAAGGACATTTGGGATTGATTTGAACAGGATGCATTATAAAGCCTGGGTTTGCATAGGAGAAAGGCTCATAAGAAGCAATGGAGTGCATAAAGCAAAGAAAGGAGAGAGGGAGGGGCAGAGGGGAGAAAGGGAAAGAGAGAGAGGGACGGAGGGAGGGAAGGGAAAGAAGGGAAGAGAGAGAAGAGGGGCAGAGGGGAGAAAGGGAAAGAGAGAGAGGGATGGAGGGAGGGAAGGGAAAGAAGGGAGAGAGGGGGAGGGGAGGAGAGAAGAGGAAAGATCCCTCATTTCTACTGTAACTTGCTGGCTTGAATTCATTTAGAGAATGGGAGGAAAGGGTCCATGATCAAAAGGAAGAAGAGAGTGGATTGGGTCCAGCAGCATGTAGACAGTCTCCCAAATCTACTTCCTCCTTTGCTCACGTTTGCCTGTGTGTATGCACTTATGCATCTGTGTGTGTGTGAGAGTGTGTCCCTGTGTATCTGCACATGTGTGTGAAGAGACTTATTGGTCATCCTGGACCCATGTCCATGGGTCCCTTAGCCCTGCAGGTCTGCTTTCAGCAGCAGCTGGAAGGTGAATTCAGTGTCACCACCCAGTGACTAGACAGACAGCCTTGTCCTCTTTGTGGACTTGAAGAAACAAAATTACCCCCAAAGTTTCACTTCTCTTGCTTGCTTTGCCATCAAGGTGGACTTTGGTGCTCCCCTTTCAGCTTTCAGAAAATGTGTGAGGCTCATGTGCTTTGGGGCTGCCCCTGGGTAAGAGGACATCAAGGCCATTCCAAATCAGATCTCCTGAAAGCTGGAAACTCCCTTCCCAGCTACAATTTCCTTTGGTGTATATGAAGAAGCAGGGGCTGGTGCACCCATCTGAGCCCTGTCCCATGTCACAAAGCATTTCTCAAATGCTCTGAGTTCAATAAAGCCCCAAAGTGCATTGTGCCAAGTCCTCTGTCCGATCCCTTGATTTTAAAAGTCATGCATATTTTGATTGAAATTTAATCCACATGTTCCTGATTTATTTACAATCAAATCATCGAAATATTATTTTAAGGGCTGTTTGATGTCTAGGAAACCTTTTGAGGTCTTTTTAATATGATTTTAGAAGCCTCTTTCCTTAGAAGCCGGAAACTTTGCTTTGCTACTTGTAAATAAACCCAGTGGAGATGAGTGACTTAAGTCTAGAAATGTCATGGCATTTGACAGGGGTTTGAAAACAGTAGAAGTCCTTTTTGCACCCAATAAGAGCTGCATTCAGATTTGCAGAACTTGCCTTCGCAATGTTCCCAGTAGCCCTTCGTCGAGGCATTCAAAGGCTACCATTTGTCCTAAATGTTTCATCACAATCCCCTTGTTTTCCAATGGGAAGGTCAGGCACTGACCTTTAGTGGGTACCCTGGGTACTGCGTTTGATGCCTCAAAGACAGGACCTCCTCTCATTTCTCCTGACAGCTTCCATGCCATGAATATCAGGATTTGCTTTCACCAATGGGGGGTGGGATATCCAAGAGGTTAAGTGACCTGTCTGCTGGTAGTCTTCTGAAAATATGGGATTGAGACTCAGGTTGGTCAGACACCCAGGGCACTCCACCCACATCACCAGGCCAACTCTCCACGTTCAGTAATAGAAAACAATACATAAGTATTGGAATGTTTCTTGCATTTGTTTTGAGCTTTGCACATGTGCAAATATCTTAAACAATCATTGTGGGCATTGCCAGGGAGAAATGTACAGGAAGATCACACAGCAGCGTCCTGCCAAGGTGGTGATGCTTATGTTAAAGCTGTGAGCTAAAATGATCAATTATTTCATTATTTTATTGGATTTTCCTGACACATTGTTAAGAAGGTGAGGCAAGAATTATTAATCTTACTTTAAATATAGAGAAACTGAACTAATAAATCAAGAGCAAAGAAGCCAAGGACTTCTCTTCATATTAGCAGAGGTCAGAAAGGAGCTAGTCCGTCAGCCTGAAGGGTTGCACCTTCGACATGGGCGTCTGGCAGCACATTGTGAAACTGTGCTCTCTAATTTGTTAGCTACTAGCCACATGTGGTTACTTACATTCAAAGTAATTCAAATAAATAAAGTTAAAAATCCCATTCCTCAGTCATACCCACTATACCTCAGGTTCACAATAGCCTCCTGGGGCAGGTGGCTGCCATCTTGGACAGCCCAGAAAGGGAATGTTTCCATCACTGCTGAAGGCCTTGCTGGACAGTGCACATCTGAAGACTCTGCACCCAGACCACCAACTTGGGGCATTTTAAATTAGTCACGTGGTCCGCCCCATCTCTCTTTTCCTTTCCATCCTTCAACAAGCTGCTATCCTCACTACCATCTGGGGTCCCTGTGACCTCCCTGTCTGTCCCCTTCTAATGCCTGGCCCAGGGGCAACCAGTGTTTAAACAGTTGCTGGAAGGCCTGGAAGGGCCTTGGCTCCTGGCAGCTCCAAGACTCTCAGTGGAGCAGTGCAGCTGCCTGCTCTGCCCTGCTGTGTTTCAACTAATCATCCACAGTGTGGAAGAAGGGGGCTCCAGGGGGAGGAGGAAGGAGACTTCTGGAAGGTGAGGCACAGCAGGGTGATGAAGAGCTGCCAGGGAGCCAGACATCTGTGCCCAGACAGAGTTTCACCGATACGATCTTTGTTACTATCCTTGTGAGAGATAAACAACTTGCAGGAGCAGCGTGCAGGGAGGAAGTGCCCTGCTGAGAAAGTGGTGTGCAGAGGCCAGACACTCAGCCCCTGCGGTCAGGCCCAGGGCGAGGAAGGCGGGGGAGGGGAGGAGGCAGCCCGGGCCCCCCGCACAGGTGACAGGAGTCACGGCGCCCACCACAGATGTCACCCAAGAGAGACGTGTGAGCCTTGGCACATGAGGTAGTAGAGGTTCTGTGAGAAAGAGGGGACAAAAAAACGGCAGAAGAAAAGTGGGGCTGAGCAGGTTGAGCTTTGTCCTGCATATCGAGGCTAAGGATTGGGATTTATAACCTGAATCTGCCACTTACCCGGCTACTCTGCAGTTGGGTAACTTCTCTAAGACTCAGTTTTACCATCCAAAAAAATGGGAGGTCTGTTTTCAAGATACATTGTCACAGTGTGCCAAGGTTTCTCCTTGAGCAGAATCAGTAAGTTGTTCTTCCATGAATCAGAGTTCAGATGGAGGATGGATGGATGGATGGATGAATGGATGGATGGATGGATGGATGGATGGATAGAAATTCTATTAAAGCATTTTGTTTTGTACAATGGATAGATGCATGCCTTTCTTTCCCAAAAGACTAGGAGCTATTCCAAGAAAAGGGATGGGTCTAATTCATTTGTAAATCTTCATGTGTAGCGCAATTCCAGATACACCTGCTCAGAAAAAAAAAAAAAATGAAAGGAAGAAAAAAAGGGAGGATAACAGAAAAGGAGGAAGAGGATGCAATGGGAACATATGTTAAACCTCAAATTCATTTATATATGAGGCACTGTCACTAAGATTTTTTCTGTGTGGATTAACTTTGGAGTATGGTGATACCTTCAGATCTGAGTTTGGGTTTAGAGTAAGATTGCAAATAAAAATATAGGATGCCCAGTTAAATTAGAATTTTAGAAGACCAACAAATATTTTTTTCTCAGTATGCATACACAATATTTAGGTCACATTTGTACTCAAAAATATCTTGCTCATTTGAAATTCAAATGTAACTGGATGACTTGTGTTTTATATGGTAACCATAGTTTTTGGAGGAAGAAAAAAAAAATAACAGGCCTTTGGACTTGTCATTAACCTACACGTGTTTGAGCACATTTCACCAACGAGCTCCTCAGTGAGATTTGGGGTAAAAGCCTAGTTAACAATAAGGGCACACTCTGCTTCCTGTTTTCTATGTTCCTTGTACAGATATCTTCCCCCAGGACAACACAATCACTTAGTCGAATACATATAATAGAAGCCTAAGTATAGCCAGTGATTTCTAACACTGGTGACTTGGAACTTTTGGAGGGATTTGGAAGTTTCAATGTGAATGGGAATGTCAGAGTGAAATGAAATATTCTAAGTGAATGAGAATGTTTAGCGTGAATTAGAATGGGCAGAATAAATTGAACACCAAACATTCAGCAAATGATCCAAGTCTCAGCCAACCCTGGTTTAATCTTCATTTGTGCTCCCACCTAAGGGCAAAAGTGACCCAACAGAATTATCTGAAACCCAGTAGAGGGTTCTGAAACCGTTAGTTTTTTATTTATTTCCAGCATGGCTTCACCAATTCATCCTTTGTCATGCATCAACACTTCGTAATACTATTTCTTCTTCTCTTAGGTCTTAATTACCATCCCCATTTCTCTATCACGTTCCCATGCTCATAAAACCAATTATTTCTGAGTTGGTCTTTTCTTTCTATTATTACCTACTGAACACCTCCCTTTCCGCACTAAGTCCTATTGTTGACAATAATTTGGTCAATCTAAATACACCATTTATTTCTGCCTTTTATTCTATGTTTCTTCTCCAAGTTCCCGAACATGAGGAGAAGTTTATTAGAGAATTCCTCCAACATAAGAAATAATTAAAGATGTGTTTTTCTTTTGAAGAATTAGGAACACTAAAAGGCATGCATTTTTAACATTACAACTTATTGGTGTGGATGTATTCTTATTCTCTACCTACTCCCTTATGTTATAACACTTTTTCTGGGAATATTTGATCCCATAAAGCCCTTTTTTCAAGCCATCTCTCCTTCCCATTCTGAAATGATCTCTCTGGAGAGTGGCAGTGATGATACAATAGGTTGGAGTTACTATTATTAAAAATTACTACTTTCCTTCACTATGTTTCTTTCGTTACCCAGTGGGATTTTGATTCCAGACATTCTCCTTGCTTGACATCCACTGGGGAAGTGATGAAACCATTCATTATTTAAAAGTTTGGAAGCCACAAGTATTACTGTATCTAACCAGATTGGATTGACTTTTTAGCTCTTTTGATTAATAATTCATAAACCTGAGGATATGTGAATTGGGTGAGCACTAACCTGCTAACAAAAGAAGAGTAGGAGATGAATGTTAACATGGCTCCTGTGTTACTTAACACTTCGGACCAACAAAACAAACCCATGTGTCATGGAACCTGTTTCATACTTTCAATCCCCAATCAATATTTCATGATTAATGGGCCCATATGTTCACGCAGGTCCCCTGCAGTACAAAATTTGCACTTGCCTCTCCCATGTGATGGTGTACAAAATGCCTTCTCCAAAAAGAAAGGATTTTGCTTCCTCTAATGAGAGCTTATGTTCAATTCACTTTCCAGATTGTCTGATTGTTTTGTTTTTAATTTTTCCTTCTTGGGTTTCATTGTAAGGTGGAAATCCTCATTGTACCCAGTAAGTGCTCGGACATCAGATCAACCAATTGAAAGTTTCTACAAATGATAGCACTTGTAAGAGAGGTTCATGTAATTTGCAAATGACACATGATATGTTTGAAACCTGGTTAATATTATGCACCATAAAAACTATTTCAATTGGCATCTGAGGACCTGGGGTTGTGCTCTGTCTGTCACTGACAAGGTGTGTGACCTAATCCAAGCAACTGCTTTATCTCTCTGGGCTTCATTTTATTTTGCATGGTGACTAAAGTCACCCTTTTAGCATTGCTGTGAAGAATGGAGTAAGATTATGTGAAGCACCTACACAGTATCTGGTTTATGGCCATACCCTCCTCATTTATTACTTTAATGTGTGTGGAATGTTAAATGTTATTAATGTGATTAAATATTAAATATTATTAATGTTATTTAAGTTATTTTATTAGTCAATAAAACAATATTAAGTCACATGGTTGTGATGTACAGTGTATTAAAAGCACTTTATAAACTATAATATGTTGAAGCAACCGTAAGGGATCACCATGAGGTATTATCTAGCATTTAAAGTGGTAGTTATGCTTTCGTTTTGACGTTGAAGTGATCTAAATATTTTCTTTCTATGAAAGTGTATCAGAAGAAGAGGATTAGCTTATTAATTAATAAACCACAGGGCATTTAAAAAATAGAGCAAAGGAGAATGTATTCCACCGGTTTTCTCAGAAAACTCCCAACTTCTGATTATTTGGGGTCAATTTCAGTTTACACCTGGGAAGATTTCACTATCAAAGCTGCTACTTAGGAGTACCTGATGAATAACCAAAGATTTCACAGATTTAAAATCAGCAAACAAAATGCAATCAACAACCTGTAAGATATCCTGATGCATTAGGACTCACAGCAGAGCACTTCCTTCAGAAGACCTCTGGTTTCTGACTCCAGGAATCCTCCTTCTGCTCCACAGCCACTCCAAGGTATTGTGAGAAGTAGGATTGGATACTGGCTTTTCTTTGAGGAACACACTACAAGAAGACAGGCTTGGTCTAGAATTTACCATAATTTTTTACAAGTGCGTAAACAAGTCTGAGAATATTCAACTCGGACTTTTCCTTGTCTATCAATCCTAAAAAAAGAATAATTTACTTTCCAGCCCCATTCCTAATGTCCTCAAGATAAAAGGTAGAAGAAAGTTTATATTCTGGCCCCTTTTGCCAGTGAGTTAAAAGGGAAGGCAGAATTTCTCCCTCAATTTTGCAGACTATCGAATTACCTAAAACTTCCATTCTTAAAACTTTGGGGTGAGGGATCGTCGTACAATGTTCTTTTGCCTGTGTGATTTAGGCATCTTGAAAACCATAGATTTTGTGTGTGTGTGTGAAGGGGAGAAGATGAGATCTTCCCAGATATGTAACATGTTGTTGCCTATAGTTAGACATAAGGTTGCCTCTTTTCTTGCCTGTAGTTAGACCTAAACTTACCTCCTTTTCCTTGCTTAGAGACCTGTAATGCAGAGGTAAGCATAGTTCTACACCCTCACCTTTCTGACACCTGCCTCTCAGAATACCAAGGATTAAAGGAAGCCTGGATGTGCAGCTTAGAATCCAGATCCCAGCAGAGAGAAGTGCGCACATCCTCTCTGCTGTGTGTGTTGGTGTTGGTGGGATTTGCAGCCAGCACCCACCTTCCACTCTCGTTTGTCGGGAGCATAAACAGAAGCCAGGACAGGGACAAGGTGACATTTGATGAAAGTCACACAGCCATCTTGAGCCACACTGGGGTCCAGCCCTGACCTGCCTCCCACATCCCCCTGCTGCCTGTCCCCAGCAGAGAGACAAAAGAGAAAAAAACACATCTCAGGGGATGCACTAGGGCTCTTCCATGCATTGTCTGATTTCTCATTCTCTCTTCAGTTGGGTTGAGAGCCTGCCTCTTCTTCTGTACCTGTTTTGCAAATGACCCTCAGCTCTTATGCCTCAGCATCAGGAGCTGCTTGCAGGAGCACAGGGAATGGAGCCCATCTTTGACTCGAGAGCGGGTTTCTGCCACTGCAAGTTCCAAACAGCATTTAACAGAAATTACCAACGTTTGTCTTGGGCAGGGAGGGTGTTGTGTGAGGGGTTTTTTTTTTTATTTCCATCAGGGATTAGGAAGAGCAATCATCTCCTGCCTCTCATCATTACTTTTCCCTGTATCTTTTGCGTTTTTCTGCAGAACCATTTTGCAGGTACAACAGAGCGATCTTTAGAGATAATCTGGTGATTATTACAAATTCAGCCTTTCATGCTACAGGCATTAAGAGATGAAAATTGCCTCAAGTCCACTGTTGTACACCCAATCTGTACCTCTGGACTTCTGTCCCGAGGTGAAAATGCAAACAGAGCAGATATTTAGAATCATTTTGACAGTTCATAAAATTAAGCAGGGATTAGGGATTTGCCTTTTTAAATAATGCCAGAGGGTGCACACAATGGTAATCATATCATCCTGCAACAGGTCCAGTCAAAGTTGAACGGACTAGCTAGGAAGAGAGAAAAAACTGTCAGGTTATTAAATCTGCCATGTATCAGCTGTTGAAAATCCATTTTTTAAACTTTAAATTAACTGCCTGCCTAATGGAGACACCATCCCCAGCTCCCAACACCAGCCCGTCCTTTGCCGGCATGTGTTTTGTTCAGACAATGCATGATTTAGCTTCGATGTCTATGCACATGACTACATCTAGTCAGAGGGGACGATTGTATAAATATGCATGCAGTACAAATAGTTTAATTTTAATTGGGACGGAGTAGCTGATGTTGAAACCATTTGTGTAATTTTGAATATTAAGTGTGATATCAAGCATGTGACTGGGTCTATTAGATATCAAGAAAAAAAAAAGTACTTGTTTTAATTGCAGTGTGGGGCGGGAGCCTAAGTACTGGACCATGTTCTAGTCCTTCTCCTAAGTGTTATAATTTTGACCAATAGATTCTTTTTTCCAATGCTACTTTCCAATGTTACTTTCTCCCAATGCTATTGGAGGATTTTAGACCAAGGTGGTCTTTAAAGTGCTGTTCTGAAAGACTGGTGATCAAATTCTTCCTTGTGGGGAGAAAGGAGCTCTTGATGCTCACATGCAATGCTGAAGGGAGATCAAGAGCCTGTCAATATCTAAACAAAGGTTAGAATTATGAAAAAGTAAATCAAATGTAATGTAGGAAGGAAAGGCATCACATACATACACACACACACACACACACACACAGAATCACTCCCATACAAACACACACTCCACTCACATATATGATCTAAACTAGCAAAGAGCCTCCTGTATTAACATGCTACCAAAATTTAACTCTTAATTCCACCTCCCTGACCCTACCTCTAAACACATGATTTGCCCTCTAAGAGCCATGGAGGATGATGAACTGGGAAATGATCCCAGGGAGGAGAGCTTGAGCCTCATCCAGGACATCCCCCCACTCCAAAGTGGGGAATCCTCATCATGTCTGTCTGGGTTTCAGAATTGCTAAAGACTGGCGGGCACTGTGTGCTGCTTACTCTTCCCTTCTTAAATAGGAGTCCTCTTGCTTTTGTTCTTCCCTTGTCCCCATAGCACCTTTGTATTTGGGGGTGGTGGTGAGATCACAACTAACTCACATTTTTATTTTATGGGACTTCAGATGGGAGAGGGCAGTCTCCAGACTTTATATAGAGACAAAGATGACATTCTGGATTTTGAGTCCAAGATGGATTGGATAGGACTTTTGTCTTTCTTTAGGAAGGAGTGAGCATCTTGTACATGAGCAAAGGAGGAAGGTGAATACTAGAGACCAAGCGGGCAGATGAGGATAGACAGTACTACTCTGAACACATTTTCTGTCCCTTGCAGAAACACACTACTTCCCGCCACAGTAATGTCAGCCTTGACCTTGTGACTTGCTTTGGCCAGTCGAATATGAGTCGAGGTGGTGGGTGCAGCTTATGGACAGAAGTTGCTAGAATCCCTGTGTAGTTCTGCTCTCCTTCATTTTCCCCTTCTGGGAGACCAGCCTGTCCAGATGAAGAGGACACATCACAGAGCCACAGAATTCCTGTGATTCCTTGATGAACAACAATATATGTTACAAATAACCCTGCCTCTCTGTGAACCACTGTGATTTGGGGATTGTTTGTTATTCTAACATAGACTTATCTGACTGATATAAGTAGTCAATTTCTATGATGACCACCATAAATGTCCCTGTTATCAAACCTTCCCTCTCCATCCAAACGGGGGTTGCTTTCACTCAGGTCACCATCATACCCTCCCTTGAGGTTTGTGAAGGGATTCTGTGAGGTTTTCCTTCCCCTTTTCTTGTTACCCTCTGCTCCATTATCCATACTATAGCCAGAGTAATCTCTGCAAAATACAAAACCCATCCTCTCCCTTTCCCCCTGAAACCCCTTCAAAGTCTCCCTGTTCACTCTGAATAGAACCCAAACTGCTCTCTGTTTCTTCCAAATCCCTTCATTATCCAGGCCCTGCCTCTCGGTCCCTGCCATTGTCTCTCTTCACTCTGTTCCAAGCTCACGTGCGTGCCTCAGTTCTGCTCACCTTTGTATCTTTGCACACATGGCTCCATCTGTACTCCTCATTTTACGTTTGGCTCTTTCTCGTCCATTCGTTGCAACCTCACACTTTTCCTCCTCTACACATCCCTGTCTGACTGTCTCTCCCCATGGTCAAAGCTTACTGCCCTTGCTGTGGTTTTGGGCTCCCTGTGGTTGTCTCTATGCTGCCTTGTTCTAGTTTTTTGTGTTTTCTCAGGGCCACAGAACCCAGAACATAGAAGATACTCAGTGAGGTGGATGGATGGAGGAAGTATTGGGATGAGCAAAGCACCTACCATCTTTTCTAACATTTACAGAGATCCTGACCCCCAGGCAATGCTAATGCCAGAGGGATGTGAAAGCAAGTGACAATCCAAATCAGAGGGTTGAAGAGAAAATCTCTGGTCTGTCTGTCCTTGGATTCACTCTCTCCCTGTAGTCTCATCTAGAGATGCAGGGAGTAGCCTGAAAGGAGTGATTCCCTTCCTGTTTCCCTCTTTCTCCCCTTCTCTCCTGTAGCAGCCTCTTGCCTTTTACCTAGTGCATGTCCTTCAAAGAGGGGTAAGAAAGGAGAAGAGTCTAGGAGTGATAGACAAGATAAAAGCTTTAAAAAGTGGCCTCTGGGAACTCAGTGCTCTGGAACCATGTGGTCTGGGGAAGAGAACTCAGTTGGGTGACTTAACATGTCTTCAATTATGCATAAGGGCATGTGGATGCTAATCAGCAGGCGGCTGTCCTTGCTTCACAGCAAAGCCAGGGCGTGGGAGGAAACACTGACTGTGCCATGTGTGAGGGCTGCAGCTGACCCGATCGACTGGTTGACTGGTCAAGTGACATTCATTGAGGTTCCTAAGAGATGACCCCTGGACATGCCACCAAGATGTCTGGTCAGTGCCTGGGAGCAAAGGGAGTAGGCAGAGGGGATTCTTCCAAACACTATTGAAAAGACACAGAGGATTTGCAGATACAGCCATTGTTGTTTATGATTAAATATGATTATCCCAAGTTCTCCCTTGCTTGCCTTTGAGCTCAGGTCCTGCCTTGCCTGCCCTCTGGGGAAGCTGCTCCCCTTCTCTGGGTCTCTGTCTTCTCAATTACAACACGGGCATGTGAATAATAAAGAGTTAACACATTCACTGAACACTTTGTGTGTGCCGGGCACCTTTCTCAATGAACCCTCACTGCACCTCTGTGAAGAAGACATATTGTTATTTTCCTTTTATAGATGCAGAAACTGAGAGAGGTTAAGTCATTTTTCCGTGGTCGCCTGCCTAGAAAGTGCTAGTGCCAAGGCTAAAAACCAGGAATCCCATTGTCAGAGCCCATGCCCTGAGCCATTGCCTCTTAACTGCTTCTCTAATTTTTTTTTTTTTTTTTTTTGGCTAATCAGTCCATATACACGATACACTCCCTTGGTCAGCACTATTTTTCCTATTTTTGTTTGTCTTTAGCATGTCTGAACTCTGCTATATAATGCACCAGTTTGTTCTGTTACTGCTTTTTATGTCTCAGTTCACTAGGGCAGAGACCTTTATCTATTGTGTTCATTAATGTACTCTGAATACCTAAAAAGAGGTTGAGGCATAGCAGGTGCTCAATCAAATTTGAATAAATGAAGGAATGATGGTGAATTGGAACCATGATCCAAGGTAAGGCATTCCATACAATATCCGGGAATCCCATTAGAGTCTGAGAATGTCAGCCACGCTGATAAAGCCAGAGATCCCACCAACGGTCACAGGCTTATCTTCCTTCTGCCTTAAGTTTGGTCACTCTTCTTCAGCAATTCACTCCTAGAGACTGAATATGACAACGATTGAGGGTAAACCACCAACAAAACAATGTGCCCTTCTCCTTGAAGATATTCCCCAGGTTCACTTTGGCAGGGGAGTTGGGAAGGGACCTCAACTCTGGACTTGCACAGAGTTACATGAGTCTCTGGACTCATGTACTTGCCTAGAGACTCCAGCTGTGCCTGACCTCATGGACTCTCTCAGAAAGCACTAGACAGGGGACACATCTCCACATTGAGAAAACCAGACCCTCCCAGGCTTCCTTTGGCCCACATGTGATACCCAGCATCACCATCTAGGAGGTACGCAGGGACCATTCTTTTGCTTGAGAACAGAGGACAAAATGTTCCACAGTGTTTGATGGGAACAGAGCGAGGAGGCGAGTGTAAATTTCAGTATGAATTGATAACACTTAGTCAGCCGGCTTCTAAAGCAAAGGGTATGAGAGCCTAGTAAGTGTCTTGGCCCGATTCACACAGGGGTCAGATGGGCTGCTCCTGGAGGAGAGGATGGGCTCTGAGCATCTCTCAGGGCATGTACCCAGCAGTAGTTCTGATCATTTCCAGGGCACTGACTGTGACCGGCCACCACGCTTTTGTAAAGGCAGGCCCCCGGGGTGGTGGGCTGTTGGTGGAAGTCAGTCTAAGTTGAAGTTTGGAGAAGAAGTGATCTAGGACATCTGATCTGCTTTACACATTAAAATAAAGGTCACAAACCTCAATGCCAATAGCATTCAGTTCACATTAGAAAGAGCAAACTGGCTGGGTGGAGACTAGGGGAATATATAGAGCACATGTTCTGTCTAAATGGGGCAGCAGAAGCTCGATTCCATCCAGTCTTTGCCACAAGAAGTAGGCAAAACTCCAGTTTTTTAAAAAATATTATTATAATTATTATTTTATGAGAAAGTTCCCTATCTACATGTTGGTAATAAGTGAGATTTTAACTCAAAGGAAAGTAAAGTCAGGAGGGAAAAAGTGATGTTCTATTGGGTACCAGCTAAGCTGTGCTGGAACCTCATGTTCATTATCGTCTTTTCCCTACCATTTTTGGAGGAGTACATTCCTGTCCTCATTTCACAGTTGACAAAGCTTTGACAGAGGTTGGAGAAATTATTTGTCCAAGGTTCCATGGCCATTTAAGTGACTGAGAACAGCGAATGCACAGATCTTTTGACTACAAAGTCACACTCTCCAACTGGCAATCGACCATTTTCTAATAGTGAGAGTTGCCCCACAATGGACTCATCCTCATTAAGTAATGAGTTTCCAGTCACTCTGAGCAGCCAAGCAGAATCTGCATAGCTTCCTTCTAAGAATGCTATAAGAGGCTTTATGCTATAAGAATGATTTAATGATGAAATAAGATGAGATTATATGTATGATTCCTTTACAGTACCACTAACCCATGTTTTCTTTGAAACTCTGTAGCTTTTGGTATGGAATCCTTGCTCCATAGATTCACTCTGAGCAGAATTTAATATGAAAAGTCTACCTTGAACATGGAAATTTTATATCCAGGGACATGATGGAAGTTTTGGTGCAAAAGTAGTATATTAACTCCTGATGATTTGTTGTTTAAATGTAGACTTTCTTGCTACTCTAAATCCTTTGAAGTATGAGACTGTGAATGCATAGATATTTCACCTTACAGTTTTGCAGTCTTGTAAATCCCTGTCAGTGGCAGCAATTAAACCTACAAGTAGATGACAGCCTCTTAGAAGGAAACCAACAATACATGTATACTGTATTTTATATTGAAATCACTATAATTATTATTTCTAGAAAATAATGTGTCTGAATAGGGTTGACTAGAAAATGAATCATAAAACACGATAATAATATTAAATAGACCACATTAAATTATTTCTGGAACGAGATGGTAGATAGATAACTAGCTTCCTACCTAGACAGATAGAAATAGCTACCATAAAAAGTAAATATATACAGCAATTTTTATTATGCATTGCATTTTTTTTATACTCACCAGTTCATTTAATCAAAGCAACAAATCTGGGATTTGTTTTTGCCTAATTTACAGAGCATGGTATTGTGTTAAAGATTTTAACACCAGGATCTAAGTTAGTCCCCTAAACAATTACGTGAGATCAGTATTATTATCATTATTACTATCATTATTGTTATTACCTTTTAAGGCAATCTAGAGCCTCAAAGAAGATACAATGCTATAATTAAAGACAGTAGTCTGGTCGGTGGTTGAACCATGCCTAGAAGTAGAATCTTATAGCATGTCTAACCTCTCTTCTTTTGATAACATTGCACTACACCGAAAAAAGATAAATATTTTCTATTATTTGTTAGTGGTTATATATTGATTTTTAAGGTTAAACAAGTATATAGAATAATAACCAGGCATAAGGTGATGCCAAGACCAGGATGATGAGAATGAAGAAAATCTATATGACTGATTTTCTTGGGCAATGTATAAAACCAAACATCTCAGATATTTAAAACTAATTAAGCTTCTGCTAAAACTTCCAATAGGTAATTTTTATTGACTTTAAGATTTACTAATTTTCAGATATTAGGCACTCAGTAATTATTTGTGGAATGAATAAAATAAATGGGAAAAATATTTCTTTATTTGAATATTTAGGAGAATCTCCCAATATTGAATAGTGAGCATTTAATCTACTTCAGAGTTGTAGTATTTTTTGCTGACGGTGTACTCTTCTCTGGAAGTACCACGTAACAGTGAAATTCCAAGTTGCCACGATCTTGGGAGAAGGGGACTTCCTCCAGAAAGCATGGAGCATGGCAGATGGAATGGACTTTAGTGTAAGCCAATTCCAGATCAAAATTCAACCCCACCCTGAGCTGTAGCTAATTCACTTCTCTCTGAGCTTTGCTTCTGTCATCTAGAAAATGGAGCAACAGTATCTTAAAGTGTTCTTATAAGCATCACTTCAGATCTAACATTTAATTAATAATCATCTTTTAAAATTCTGCTTTGTGTCTTTCCATAAATGATTTGCAGTGCCTTACAAAAGTGCACGTAATGCAAAGTGGAAAGTAAGCGTTGATAACAAAGAGATTTTTTTAAATGTTATACATATTGATATACAGATTCTCTCAGTACCTGGCAAAATAAATGTTTTGTCTTCCCTTAACTTGTCAGGTCTTTTGGAGAACTATCATTTAATCCTTAATACAAAAACCATGTTTGGGAAGAGACATGGATGAAGTCAATCATCTTTCTCCCACTCCCCAAACAACTGAAAAAATATAAGCAAAGGAAAAGTGTCATGATTGGATTCTTTTATTTCTCACTAGCTTCCAAGTTCCTGGCCATTTTCAAGGGAGATATGGTACCTTAGCTTAAATTGCTTGTGACTCTTCCCAAATTACTTTCATTTGTTCCAGGTTTTGAAATCCATCCACATCCCCCAGCCCCATCCTTCCCATCCCTGTCCCGTACATTTTTAATAATGCCGCCATGGCCTTCATACTCATCTATGGTGTCATTAAATATCTGCGGAGGTCCCTGTGTCATATGGGGAACAGATTGCCACTCAGTCTTTCCTTTGCTAGGAGTCAAGCAAGGGACAATGAGGCCCACAGCCTCTGTGCTTCTGCAACTCTCTGCTCTGCTCTTTTTCCTGGTGATGAGTAAAGGCTCTGAGAGGACCCCTGCAAGGACAGTATAGCTATCAAGTGTGGGCACTCCAACTTTCCCAACTTACGTGATAATTCCCAATCATGCCTGTGGGATATTGTGGCTTTCTCTGGGAAGTTATCACACACAAAGTGATGTATTCTCTGGAAATATTAGGTTACACATCAACTTGGTCTAAAAAGGACAGATGAGTCACTATTTGAACTTTGGCTAAAATGTGGGAGATTGGGATCTCAGTCGGATCCAAACGACTCTGGAAAAGCTGTGGGAAATGTCAGGGTAGAAAGAACACTTGACAACAAAGCGAGGGTAGGGGAAGGCTCGCTGGCTCAGGAGGAATGCAGAGTGCAGAGGGAAGAGTAAGATGGCGGTCAGCAGCCAGAATCAAGCTCGTCCCCTCCTGACTCTGCAAACCTGGCAGCAGGTGGGATAGACAGGCTCCTGGTTTTACCAACCTTGTGTCTATCTGGAAGGTTGGATGTGAAAACAGGGAAATAAGAAATGGCAGATTAGACTTTGGGAGGCCGAGGCGGGTGAATCACTTAAGATCGGGAGTTGAAGACCAGCTGGCCAACATGGTGAGACCCTGTCTCTACCAAAAATACAAAAATTAACTGGGTGTGCTGGCCCGGGCCTGTAGTCCCAGCTACTCGGAAGGCTGAGGCAGGAGAATCGCTTGAACCTGAGAGGCAGAGGTTGTGGTGAGCCAAGATAGCGCCACTGCACTCCAGCCTGGGTGACAGAGTGACACTCTGTCTCAAAAAAAAAAAAAAAAAAAGTCACAAGAGAGATGATGTTTTGATAGGAAGAGAAGAAAGGGATTTCTCACTTCCTGGAGAAGGAAGGGAGGAGCCCAGGACCTCCAAGAGCACTGGGTGGTTTCTTAGGGCTCTGATGTGATTTGAGGCCTCATTTCCTGTGCCACAATCATCAAAGATAGTTAAAAGTGCCAGAGTTGGGAGTTTCAGAGCATGCTCTATTATATGCTGTACCTCTTTTTGGTAGAGTTCATAGTTAAAATTACTTCAAGATCTGCCTTCTCATCTAGAAGTTCTATCTAGAGTTTCTATGCATTTCTCCAGTGTTTATGAAGTAGATACTTCAAAAATATGTATTATGTCGTAAATGGAAATGATTCTAATTCAACTGAGGAGCTAGTATGTGCTCAATTGGACCCCATCAAGAATTGAGCATGTATTAGGTCCTCGATTTTATTGAAAAAGAAGGAGGAATAAAATATTGAAATAAATGGGAAGAAACTTTAGAGATGATCACATCGAACTTTATTGAGAAAATTTGCAAATTTTTGGCAGCACCTTTGCTCAAACTTCACCTAAAGCCCCACTAGTCACCATGCTTATGTGGTTAACATACAAAGTCCTTGAGTCAGAAGGCTACATGTTTTTCTAAAATTTAGTAAGAACAATTTTATCCTTTAAAAATATATTTAGTTTTACTCATTAATTTTATGTCTACTAAATACATCACTAGATAAAAAACTATAACATCGCATAAATAGCATACTACAAAATATAATACAATTGATAAAAACCTATAAAAAAGGAACTACCATGCACAGGCTTCTTTTACTTCATAAATGTTATGAAAATGACTTAAAATGTTTTTGAAAAATTATTGGGAAACATTGGGGTTGGATAATATTTCATAATTTAGCAGTCTTAAATATAAGGAAATACAATTAGCTGAGAAAAATTATATAAGCAGCAATTATAATAATTATTATATTGAATAGTCAAGAGAATAGCACCAAAATATTATTAAGAATGATACTTCTGGAAAGCACTTTTGTATTTACACCTGTGTTTTCACATGCAATGGTCCGGCCATTCCTCAAAATCAACCTTTGCAGTTGGAGTATTTTTGTTCTAATTCTGCCAAAAATGAAATGCAGGCTTAAGTGATTTGCCAAGAGTCTTGCAGCTAAAAGTGGTAACACTATGCCTCTGAGCATGTCTTTTGCTTCGAGGTCTAGATTTTGGTGGTTATTACGGCTGATATTTGTTTTTAAACTGCACAGTGGTTGATTAATACTTGGGAACCAGAAGGAACGTTGAGTTTCTTGGGGAGCTCTATTTATGCCACTATTACTTGGCCGGGAAGTAAATGTTTTCCTAGAAACCCCATTGGCCGGGCTGTGTCACATGGCCACATGCTGCAAAGGAGGCTGGGAAAGTGTGCCTCTGGCAAGGCAAAATTAAATGACCCAACTGGCCTCTTACCAAGCAAGATTCATGCCCTCAGACGGGTGCATTGCAGTCTCAAACAAAATTTGAATCTGTCTGCAAAGAGGTGGCAAAGTGTAGTTAGGGTAGATGACTACCAGTGACTGCCACAGTTGGTCTTTGCTTATGGTCTTTTCAATCCCTTAACTCTAGGTGTTGTGTTTTCCATAAGGTCGATTCCCAATATGTAACAGTTTATAAAGTTTAAAGCACAGGAAAAATTAAATCAAGTGGCCACCATGTCCAAGGGCCCCTCTGGCCTGATAATTAGGTTGATATTTGCAGCAGGCATTCATTGAGCACCATGGTGAGTGTTTTATGTGCAGTTTTCCATTTCTCAATTTCACGCATTAAACATGGTGCAGTTGATCCCTCCCGTTCTCACTGGCTGATGCCTACCCTCATGTGACACTCAGCTCAGATATCCACTCCACCACTGGGCCTTCTTGGATCGTCATTTATGTCTCCCATGCTGTGTTAGATGTTCTTTCTCTGTTCCCCATGTGCCCAAGTTTCTCCCTCTCCTGCTCTCCCTTCCTTCCCTTCTCCCTCCTTCTTTCCCCTTCTCTCTCTTTTTCTTGCTCTTCCATCCTCATTCCTTTATAAATATCAAAATATATATTTTAATATCTGCCTTCATTCTTCCTCTCTAATTGGATAATAGTGGGCTAGAAGAAGGGAACCCAGTTTCCTTTAATTCTGTTTCTCAACCTTTAGGCCCAGTCAAAGCCTAGAGCAGGGACTTGGCACGTGTGTCTCTTGTATGGAAGACAGTGACTTGCCTAATGTCAGGAAGAAATTTGGATCAGAATCTGCATCCTGGATTTTGATCTGTGTGCTTCAGAACATGGCTTCCATTGCTGCTGAGAGAGTCCTAGGCCAGAAGAGGTCACGGAAATTAAAAGCCACACAAGGTGTCAAGACACACACCAGGCCAGCTGAGCCCAGGGCTGGAGGGCTTTCTGAGCACCCCAGCTTGTCTTAACCACAGAGCCACCATCCTTCATGGCCCCCAAATAATGGTGCATGTTAATTAAACCCCACCACTCTCCTCTAGAAGCCTCTGTCACCAGGCTGCTCCTCACAGGGGCTGGGGTGCCTCCTTTCTGTGTCATCTTCTCCCCAGCTTCCCCCGACTGTTGCCGATTTCCCATGCTCCCCTGGCCTGGGATTGAGTGGCAGCTCAGCTTCAGAAAGCAGGTGTTGTGGAAGTGAAGCGAGCATCGCAGACAGCACATTAGGTAGCATCCGTCCCGGGGGACCCCTGAGGCTCCAGCTTTGGCAGCCCCAACTGCTCCTCCGAGGGGTGGGAGGGCCAGGCCTGCCCGGCCCTGACCAGATGTTTGGGAAAAGTGCCAGGCTACAGCAAAGAAAATTGCTGCCAATTTATCTAAGGTGTAATAAGTATTAAGGAAGCCTCTTTCTCATGTTTTTGTTTACAAGAAAGGCTCAAATCTTACAAAGACTCAGGGGCTTCGGAGTGCATCTCCGTAGGTGTCCCTGGGACACTGCACTGAGAGTCTATGGACATGGGTTCTAGTCTCCATTTTGCCACTGACTTCCTTGGGACCTTAGAACAATCTTTTAGCCTTTCTGGGTTTTGTTCCCTCCATTGTAAAATGAAGATGAAAAACTAGAAAATTTCTAAAGACAGTTTCAGCTCTTAAAAAAGTGGGAAGAATAAAACCTGGGACTCTAAAATCTACTCATCCTAAAGATACATCCTTAGACCAGGATGCCTAGATTATTTGAGGTCAAAAGAACTTAAACGTCATAGTTCAATCTCTTAGTTGACAGAGGAGTAAACTGAGACTTGGAGAGGTGGCTGTGCTTGGCAAAGCTCACCGGGTTCATTGGTTGGAGCAGAGCTCCACACGGAGCCAAGGCTCCTGGCTTACAGATCCAGATGAGACCACCCTCAGCCTTCCAGACCATGGCTCCTGGCTAGGGCTGCTGATCTCCCAGGGTGCATTTCACAGCCCAGACCAGCCCACAGAAAGAGGGAGAGAGGGTGATGTGTGAACTGCTTCAGAGCGAAACTTGAAAGGAGATGAGCCGAAACTCGAAACAAGATGAACTGACTGTGTCCTGGCTCAGAGTAAGCCGTGGGTGGGCTGGCCTTAGACCCAGGTCTGGAAGCCCCGGCCAGCGCCTTTGATGGGGCCTAGCAACTGGGCCCAGCTCAGCAGTTTCTGACAGTTTCAGCCTCGAACAAGCAAAACTCAGGCCGGAGTTCATGTGAAGTAGAGAGCTCACATGAACACCCAGCTCAAAGTGAAACGTGGGGCAGTGAGAATTCACACAGCCTGAAACCAAACAGGGAAAAAAGACATTTAATGAGTGCCCTTCAGCTCACCAGCACTGCCTGCCTTCCCTACAATTTACTTCCACCGTTCAGCCTAACTCAATTTCGGGAGTCACAACTACCTCAAAGGCAAGACAGTGCATCCACAGAAGGAATACTGGGGTCCCAGAGATCTGGGCTAGAATCCCGGACCTATGGTTTAGTGCTGTGCATCCTCAGGGTAGTGACTTCACTTCTCTGAGCTATAGTGTATGGATAAGGGAAGGATAATAAGACCTGCTTTACCAAGCTGTTAGCCATAGTATCAGCAGTAGAAAGTGCTGTTGAGCTCTGTGTGCCAATCTGCTCTGTGATTTTTATTTGATATTCCTTTTAACCCTTTTTCCAGCAGTTCCATGCCTGTCCCATTGACATCTTCATTTCTATAAACAGTTCTATTGAGATATAATTTACATACCATAAAATTTACCTGTTTCCAGTGTACCAGCATCATTTTATAAAGGAGAAACTGATGCTCAAAGAGGTTGAGTTTGCCACAGATCACGTGGTACAGGACAGGTATGGGCAATTTTTTTCTGTTAAAGGCCAGATGGTAAATATTTTTGGCTTTGGGGCCTTAAGGTCTCTGTCACAACTACTAATTATTCCTTTGTAGTACCCAACAGCACAGAAAATATGTAAACAAATTGGTGTGGCTATGTGGCAATCTTTTTTTTACAAAAGCAGGTGGCAGAGTTGGACCTGCTGGCCCCTGGTGCGTGATCTTCCACTACTTAAGACTCTATCATGATTGCCCAGGCCATTGAGAATTATATCTGACTTCCTTGTGTTCTAGAGGCCCCCAGGACCTAGCCAGGACTCCCCAGGGCAGGCGGACCCGCTGGCTGGTGCTCAGTCTCCCACCTCTCCCCACTCAAGCTTGGTCAATCTCTTCTCTCCTTCTGCAGTGTTCTGCTCTCTTTTGCATGGCTGGTTTTCTCTTTTCCTTTAGGTCTCAGATTAAATGCTGCTTCCTCACAGAGCCCTTCCTGACAATGCTACAGATCACTTGCTGGGATTCACTATACTTCCCTTGCTTGCCCCCTTCAAAACACCCAACTCTTCTTGCAATTTTTTTATTAATTTGTGTCTTTGCTTTTTTCTTCATCAACTTCCCTCATCAGCATAAACTCCACAGAACAGGAATCATACACATCCTGTTCTATATCCCTCTCTGATCAACACAAAGAAGGGGCACCATGTGAATTTGTGAAATGGATGCAAGTGAGGCACTGGCCCTTCTTTTGAGTTTCACAGTCCATGCTCTGGCCATTTGTCCACTGCCATCCATGGCCTCCTGTAGACAACCTTGGCAGAATTAAGAGCATCCCTTAATTCCTTGCTCCTCCCACCCACCCCCCAAAGCTGATTCAAGCTTGGCAATGAAGATACATATCCTTAACTGATATCAGTAGCTTTGATACTGTGGGTAAAAAAGCTCTAAAATTATTTTTTGGCAGGGCGCAGTGGCTCATGCCTGTAATCCCAACACTTTGGGAGGCCGAGGTGGGTGGATCACCTGAGGTCAGGAGTTTGAGAGCAGCCTAGCCAACATGGTGAAACCCTGTCTCTACTAAAAATACAAAAAAATAGCTGGGTGTGGTGGCGGGTGCCTGTAATCCCAGCTACTCAGGAGGCTGAGGCAGGAAAATTGCTTGAACCCGGGAGGCGGAGGTTGCAGTGAGCTGAGATTACACCACTGCACTCCAGCCTGGGTAACAAGCGAAACTCCGTCTCAAAAAAAAAAAAAAGATTTTTTTCATCCGCCATCCTCCTACTCCAAGTTTCTTAAAGAGATTGAGAGATGGTCTGAAATGTGGGATTGGAGCTATGACAAGGGAAGATTTTTCCTGAAGACTCAGGCTGATGGAGTCCTGGGTACTCCCGTTCTTAGGGACTGAACAAGACATCCCTTGTCCCCAGTGCAGCCTCTGGTTTCTTCTCTCAGATGCAGGAGAAAAGTAAGAATACCCCCTCCTGTCTTTTTATTAATTTCCTTTCTGGTTGTCCGAACAACTGTTTTCGTCCTGGAAACATTTAGAAATTGTACACATGCTCCTTATTTTCGACCTTTCCTTTACTTCTCTTCACTCATTGAAACCCGCTTGAAAGGCTGGGGGCAGCCTGCCAATTTCTCTAACCCTAAAAGAAGAAAAAGAAAACAACATAAAACCTCAGGCAAACGTGTTTAAAATGCAGACAGTGGTTCACTTCCATTTTCATCTTCCAGTATCAGTCTGTATAAATCAGAAGCTGGGGTTGCTGGGTTATCATGTACATTCTTGATTTGCAGTGATGCAAGTCACTTTATTCAACATCAAGAAACAAATGTGGATGCTGCTCCAGGGATGAAAGGGTTTCTCCGTTCAAACTCCGCTCTCTGGAATGTGTTTAACTGAGTAGAAGAAGATGATCGAATAAGCGGACAGTCTCGTCTCATCACGGGTGTTCCCTAAACTCTGTGTTTCTGGATGTGCCCTGCTGGTCAAAATTGGAAACAGGTTGGGAGAGTTGAAAGAGTCCCAGTCATGTCTACTTGAATTTGATTGTTGACTTCATCAATGACTTTCTGTCGGAAGTTAGCTACATTTTTCAGTCTTTGAGATCTTTAGCTTTCCTTTAAACTAAGTCAGAATAACAGTACTAATGCTGCAGGCTGACTTTGGTAATAGAGGTGTCGTCTGTGTAAGGGGTCAGTATGTGCCCATCTCATCGAAGGCCCTCAATAAAAGGAAGGCAGTGTTATTGTGACAACATTTTCTCTAGTCTGTGGCCTTGGCTGTGGAGTGTTCTCCTGCACATCATGCATACAAAACACCCCATATGTTTGATGTGAGCTCCGGGGTCTGCGACCAACCGTGATTTGAAAAGCAGATGTTATTAATCTTCTAAACACTGCACATCAGCCATGATGTCATTTAGGACTGACAGTGGATGCGCTGCCTCCTTCCCTTTTGGAGATAATTATTTTGAAGCACTAGGAGAGGCCGTTTGTTTTTTAAGACAGTTGGGGCCAATTTGCCTTTTGAGAATCCAGTGGCAGCCTGTAATGAAAACATGAAAATAAGCACGGGCCCCAAGCTCAGACATTCAAGGCAGGAAGGCTGCAAAGCAGAGCAAAGCTCCATGTGGACCGCGAGTGCCTGCCTGTAACCTATGGAAGAGTGGAAGGAAGGTGGTGGAGAAGCCAGCTCCTGGAAAAGTGCCGCAGCAAGAGGACATGCTCGTCGTGGCATAGGGAATGTCTCACAGAGTCCAGACTTCAGAATACTGAAGGAGCTATTTCCAGGTTTGAATTGCCTAGCAATGAGGCTCTATTATCACAAACCAGGATGGGATGGGCCCATCTCTGGAAGCAGTGCAGGAATACATTCAACTCAACAAATGTTCATTGTGCACCTGCCATGTGGGAGAGAATGATGACCACAGGTTTATGGCTCCTTCCCTGGAAGGAGCTCAGAGACAAGGGTAAGCTGATATTGACCACACATTGTGTAAGGCACATGATGGGCATCCCTCATCTGATCTTCTTCCCATAGCACCGCAAAGTAGGGAATGTACAAATCCACAGAGATAAGGAAGTCTGAGAGGCAGGAACAACAGACAAAGGGTGTCAAGTACTAGGACCTTAGAGAATAGGTGAGAAGGCAGCAAATCACTTGGCTGACAGTAAGAACAACACCAAAGTGTCTGCCTGGGGTAGGGGCATCAAGGGCCAGGGAGATGTGCACTGGGGAGTCCTGGGGAGGCTGAGGATGGGACAACCACTTGCCTCTGAAGGCCAGATTCAAGGTCAGACTGAATACAGGATGACTGGCCAGGAGGCTACTTCCACCCTGCCGCAGCATGAACTGCTCCTTCCACCCTACCCTGCCAGAGACAAGAGACATGGAGTTTAGTCTGTAGAAGAACTGAACTAGGAAGGCTCCAGATCCCAGGTAGCCCAGTGAAACCAAGAAGATTTGGTGAAAGTGTAGTGACTGCATGGTGAGATCCTTCACACCCGTTGCCTCAATTCACTTCCCCTACTTGGCCACCAGAACATGGTTAGGATGAGAGAGGCCAGGCAAGGGATAGGAGCTTTATCATCATTGGAAACTCTGAGCAGCTGATGATCCAGGACCTACAAATATTAAAATTTGGAGTTGAACCAGTGAAAGAGCTAAGTCTTTTATCTATTTTAAAGCAAAGTGTTTGACAAATCTCACCCAGCACACGCAGCCTCCACACAAGCTATGGCTCCACGCTGTTCATTGTCAATGGGCAACAAAGGATCATATGTATTTGAGAAAAGCATGAACTTCAGACTCTAAATCTAAAAGGAAAAGGAGACACTGCAGGGAACAGAAGATAATTATATAATTTAGAGAAATAAAAGAAGATACTGCATCTATTGCAAAAGAATAAGACGCTATTAAAAGAAAACATTTGGAGCAAAAGAAAACTGTCTCAGGATTCAAAGTGCGTTAGCACTTAACACTACTGAGTTACACGCTGAAAAATGATTAAGAGGGTGGATTTTATACTATATATATTTTGCGCAGTTAAAAATTTTTAAAGTATCTAAATAGTTTCACAAAGGATACATACATATGTCATATGTATATGGGATATATAATGAACCCCTTCAAATCAATAATATGAAGACAAATAACCCAATAAAAAATGGACAACAGACACTTCATAAAAGAATATAAAGAATATAGACAAATGGCCAATAAGGACATAAAAAAATGCTCAACATCATCAGCCATCAGAAAAATACAAATAAAAATCATAACAAGATACCACTATATAGTCACCAAAACAGCTAAAATGAAAATGACTGACAAAGCCAAATGTTGACAAGGATGTGGAACAATTAGAATGCTCATGTACTGTTAATGGTAGTAAAAATGGTTGAATTATATTGGAAAAACTTCTGGCAGTTTCTGAAAACAATCTGAACATCGTTCTACCCTATGACCTAAACATTCCACTTCTAGGTGTATACCCAGTAGAAATAAAAAGATGTTTACTGGAAGAACTGCACAAAATATTAACTTCAGCTTTATTCATAATAACCCCAAACTGGAAACACCTCAGGGGTTCCCTGAATGGCAATTGATAGTAAATGAAATAATACTCAGAAATAAGAAGGAACACAACATGGTTACAGGTAACAGTATAGAGAAATCCCAGAAACATGTCAAGGTAAAGAGGCTGGACACAGACAGTATGCAATATTATTTCTTTTATGTACAGTTCCTTAATGCCAAACTAGTGCACCATGAAGAAGTCCAAAGCGCCTTTTCTTTGGTAGAGAAGTAGAGAGTGCCTCCTTCTCCCTACTTGAGGAGCAAGCAGAGAGGTCTTTTCTGCGATGGGAATGTTCTCTATCTGGACTGTGCTTTCGGTTGCACTGGTGTATGCATCAGTCAAAACTCATCAGTGTGGGACACTTAAGATTTGTACACTTTATTGAATGTAAATTTTACCTCAAAAGAAAAAAAAAGAGGCTTAAGCAATGATAAAACAGAAATGATTGCAGACAGGGAAGATAATCAAAACACAATTTAAAAGGTCCTCGAAGTGTTCTGCACGACTGGTGTAAAATGACCCAAGGAAGGACTGTCATTTTTATTTTGTTGTTATTTTGCTATCAGATAGTTTATTAAAAGTTAGTGAAGTGCGCCTGTTAGGAAAACAGCTAACAATCTATTTTTAATGATAAAATTCAAAATCTCCAGTGAAAATTCGAATTTTGAAAGTTTTCTGTATCTCTCCATGAATTTGACAGCTTCCCAATTCTTAAGGACTTTTTGTAATGAGATTGGTGATATTAACCAATGTGTTTTTCATATAGTATGATGAAATGTTTCAACATTTTCAAGATCTACACGATCATGTAAACTAAGTGAACTCGAAGGAAAATAATTCATTCTATCAGAAAGACACACACACTCGCATGTTCATCGCAGCTCTATTCACAATAGCAAAGACATAGAATTAACCTAGCACGGCCACTTTTAGAACACTGGAGATACAAAGAAGATTTGTAAAGCTTCCAGAGAGCAAGAACAAACAAGTGGCATTCATGTCGTTAAGACTCTGTATGACACCGGCTTCTCAGCAGCCCTGGGAGCGGGAAGGCTTTGCCTCATTGTCCTTAGACTCAGAGAGAAAGATAGTCTAACCTAGAATTCCATGCCTAGCTGCCAAACTACAATCAAGTGGGAAGGTCGGATAAGGACATGCCCATACATATCCTGTGTCCTTTCTCCAGGAATGACAGAAGACTGTGTGCCCCAAACAAAGGTGATAACTAAGAACAAGGGGGACACAGAATGCAGGGAAAAAAGACCAATCAAGGGCAGAAGTGAAAGGAATTTCCAGGATCAGGAAGGAAGGAATTTCTAGGACTATATGTGTGGTTTGCAGAAAAATAAGACCAGACAAAAGCAGGAGTATAGAAAGCTCCAGAAAAAGACTTTTCCTAGAACAAAACAGACCCTACAGATGATCTGATTCTCAACTGCATTAGGAAAAACATGTACCAGAGAGAGTTCAGAGATGAATTAGAAGTAAGGATATGGAAAAGAGCAACAATGACTTAAACAGACGAGGTAGTGGTTAACTCAGTGAAACTGTACAAGAAGGGAAGTCCAATCATCACACTCCCTGTGACTCAGCATGGACAACACAGACATGGCCATGATGTCAGGATCATTATATACTGAGTCAAACAAAAACTGAACAGTAACAAGAGGAGGGAGAAATGCACAATTTGTGTATTTCTGCACGTGCATGGGAGAGGGCATGCAAATTTCCAGTGCTCATTTTGTATCATAGAAAGTCAACAGATATTCCCTACAATAAGCATAAAATATGTAGCTATGTAAGCAGGTTATTATAAATATATAGAGATAAATAAAAAGCAAAAACACCTAAACATTCAAAAGCGTTTTCTTCTAGGGGGCAGATATTGGGTGTGAACAGGGCTAGGGCAGAGGTTTGCTTTTCTCCATTAAGATCTATCTAGTCTTATTTTAATTTTAAACCATAGATGTATATGTGTATGTATGTTTGTATGTATATGTATGTGTAGATAGAATATAGTTGCATCAATGATAGGTGATTGATAGATATAGATAGCTAGCTAGCTAGATAGATAGATGATTGATAGATAGATTAGATAGATGATAGATAGATGATAGATAGATAGATAGATAGATAGATAGATAGATAGATAGATGATAGATAGAATGTTAGATTTTTTTAAAAAAAGCTCTGATTTGGCGAAGAGCAGGGTGACATGGAAGGCCATCAATCCCTGACCTTTGAAGTTAGAGAGGGCTCCTAAAAGGACCTTTAACTGAGCCAAAGCATAAAAGATAAGAGGAAAAGATGTTGGTTGGGGAAGGGTAGGAGAGGAAGGTTCAGAGAAAAACAATGAGAGAGACAGAGAAGATGTTACAGGAAGAACCTGTTTGGCCAAACCAAGTGTTTTCATTTCATGAATAGAGCATACTGGAGGAAAGGGACCTCTCTAGAAGTGTATTTCATGGAGACTGACCTAACTGTGTAAAATGCAGAATCATACAGAAAAAAAGAATTCTCAGTACTGATGTTGAAGGCCCTGGTTGAAATAAACTCCATGGTCCTGGAAGGGATGCGAAGAGCATCCGCAACCTCCTAGAACCCAGACATCAAAAAAGAGAATTGAAATGGAACCAGAGCTGAGACATTTTTCTAAGTCCCAACTACCAGGAGGTTTCCTAGACACTGGAGAGAAGAGGTTGAAGTTTCATACAAAACCAAAATTGCAATTGTGTTATGCAATTTTGCCGTGTAACTATTCATGTCAACTTTATCCAAACATCATTCTGTAGGTAGGTGCCTTCATTCTCAATTAATCCGTTTGTGGCTGAGTAAACCCGTCACCTCCAGATCTTGAAAAAGGACCCTGTGTGGCTTCAGATCTTGAAGACAGCAGGTAAGCATCTGCGTTTCAGTAGCCAGACCAGCAGCTCCAGGGAGGGAGGCGAGGGGAGGGTGTTATTTAGGTTTGGTAGGTGAGGGTCCGAGAGATTAAATAACATATCTGAGGCCACACGGTGATAGTGGGGGAAGTTTTCTTCACATATTCCAAGCAATTCTCGCCCTACCCCCACCGACCCCATCACTAAAAAGGAGCTGATGTTGACCACCTGCCAGGTGGCATGCAGCATGCTGCAGAGTTTACATATATTCTGTTTATGTGCGTAACATTTCCAAATAATGTTAGTCATGCCCATTTCATAGATGTGGAAACTGAGTCCATGATGCAAACTGAGAGTCTCAAGCCCAGGCCTTTTGTCTCCATGTTCAAGCTGGACAACTAAGAGATGGGCTCTTTCTAAGCCCGCTATTCCTCTAAGAGCTAATGCCCTCATGCCCCCATAATTCACATTTCCCATATCTCCACTGAATTGAACTGAACCCCTCACAATGGCTTCCTTCCACCATCTTCCACTGGCTTTTTCCATCTGTCAGGGATGCTAAGACCTTTAAGTCAGCTAAGAGTCAGCTACGTGAAAGGGCTGAGATGCAATGTTGTCAGAAGAGGAGTAGGAGAGGGTGAGGGGATCAAAGAGGAGAGAGATGAAGCAGCACTCATCTTGCATATGCTCAAGGTAAGTAGGCCTCCTTCCACAGATGAAATCTGGGGTGAACTGTGGCAATCGAGCAGTCCCCAGAGAGCAACAATCCCTGCATTTCTGAAAACCCACAGTGGCTCAGTAGCGCTAGGGAACCACACAGAATCCCAAGCACCCCTCTCCTTTCAATGACAACACAATTCTCAGTGGTCAGTTGGCTATTTCGATATGCTAATTACCTAGGAGGCAACTTACCTCTTGGGGTTTTGCTAATCCCTTGCCCAATTGTACAGCTTCATAGGGCCAGTTAGTCATCCTTTAAAGTATGCTCCAGAAAGTAAATGTTCTTTCAGATTGCCAGGGACTTTTTACTTAAGGTGGCCAGCCACTCAATTTCCAGGAGCTGGGAGCATCCACCCACAAAACCATGGCCAGGCTTGCCAAAGGGAAGGCATGCTGTTTGGCACAGGGACTTTAATCTACTGCCGATATTTCATTATTATAATGCAATAATAAAAGTAGGTGTGTACAATAAAGCCATTTAATAATAACTATTATCAGGCACACATTAGCCTGCCTTTGAAGAGGCAGTTTGTATGCAACGTAATTCCTGGTAGGGGGAGAATCAGTGGTAGAACACTTAAGCCTCATGGGAAGACGAGGACGCAATGGGCTAAGAGACATGGGGCAGCTGTGTGTGGCCCTCAAATCGAAGAGACAGCTCTGTCTACTGATGATACCGCATTTCAACGTTATAGTAATACCACTGAGTAGTTTTCATTGTTTTGTTTTTTTGTTGTTGTTGTTGTTTAGAGGGTGGAAACTGAAGGCCAAAGAAGTGAAATAAACTGCCTATCCCTTCAGCTGAGCTGTGACTTGAATCTGACTCCATGGATTATATTCTTTCTAAATTCCTAAAGTTTTGAATCTTTTTTTTATCGTCTCTTAAATAAATTTGTAGGCTAATCTACAATTTCTAAAGTAAATTTAAGGAGAGTCCAAAATGTGTATAGCACTTACTGTGTATCAGGCACTATGTTAGTGCTTACATATGTCAACTTAATCCACCCTCACACAGGACTATGACATTCATATCATTATTATTCCCATTTTTAGTGTAAGGAACTGAGACACAGAGAGGTTGGGTCATCTGTCAAGGGTCACACAGCTGCTTACTGATGCACATCAGATTTTAACCCAACCAGCCTGGCTCCCAATCGCTTCACAGGACTACTGAGCAAATTGGAATCTGATGTGGCACCTTCCTCATCTGCTGTGCTGCTGGGGAGGAATCTTTTTAGGATTGTAAACGATGTTGCTCTTCACTCGTGCTGTTCCTGATCAAAGATCCAGAGACCATTCTGTGTGTTTCTTTTCTGATAATAATGTAGCCATATGAGTTTTCAGTTGCTGCTGTAAAAACTGAGCACAAAATTGGTAGCTTAAACCAGTGATCCCCAACCTTTTTGGCACCAGGTAGTGGTTTCGAGGAAGACAATTTTCCACGGACTGGGAGCAGGGGATGGTTTGGGGATGACTCAAGAACGTTACATTCATGGTGCACTTTATTTCCACTTTTATCACATTATAATATATAATGAAATACAACTGACCATAATGTAGAATCAGTGGGAGCCCTGAGCTTGTTTTCCTGCAACTACACAGTCCTATCTTGGGGAGATGGGAGACAGTGACAGATCATCAGGCATTAGATTCTCATAAGGAGAACACAACCTAGATCCCTCACATGTGCAGTTCACAGTAGGGTTTGTGTTCCTGTGAGGATCTTATACTGCCATTGATCTGCCAGAAGGAGGAGCTCAGGCGGTAATGTGAGTGATGGGGAGTGGCTGTAAATACAGACGAAGCTTCACTTACCCTCCTGCTAACCTCCTGCTGTGCAGCCCAGTTCCTAACAAGCCATGGACCAGTACCCATCCGTGACCGGGGACTGGGGAACCCTGGCTTAAACAACATAAATGTATTACCTTCTTGATAGTTTAGAAACCCAACATAGGTTTCATCAGGCTAAAAGCAAGATGTCTGTTAGTCAGTCACCCTGGAGGTTTGAGGGTAGAATTCATTGCTTTGCCTTTTCCAGCTACTAGAGGACACCAGCATTCCTTGGTTTCTGACCCCCTTCCTCCATCTTCAAAGCCAACCAGGTAGCATTCCACTCTACATTCTTCAATGTTCACATCTTCATCCCCACAAAAGCTGGAAAAGCTTCTCCACTTTGAAGGATTCATATGATACGATTACCCGGGATAACCCAGGATAATCATCCTATCTCCAGGTTCATATTCCTGATCTTTCCTGAAAAGTTCCTCTGCCATATAAGGCAGTATAGTCACAGGTTGTGGGGATTCAGACAGGGACCTCTCTAGAGGTCCATTAAGAGAGGTCCATTATTCTGATTACCACACTAGCCAAAGCATGACAGAAGTGATGAGCACAGGCATCGCCGATTTTAACTTTGCATTAAGGCAACTCTCACAGGATCTAGATATAAAGATCAACCCATAAATAATGAAAGTTTTTATGTTTGAATACCTGTCCCATAAGGCTTATTATTATCACTACTCTTAATTTAACATGATTATCAGCATTAATATTATTACCATATTAACTAGCATCTGTACCTCAATGCAAAAGCTTTTTTTGAATTTATCATTTGTTTGGATCAAATAAGGACACACATGTAAAAGGGCTTTGTAAACTTCAAGTTTCTGTCCAAATATGAATCGTGATTAGAGGCCTGCATGTGGAGTGATAGGAGGAAGCACTGAGTACTGGTAGATGCCCATAAATACGTGTGGAGCAGAATGAAAAGCAAAGCTTTTGCTGTGACTTATATGGAAAGAAGGATCTGAACTTAATTTAAGCTTAAGAGAAGTTGATGATTTTCTTGCTTCCCAGATTTATGAAGCTATTAGAGATTCTCAACAGATGAATTATGGGGGGTGAAATTGTAGCCCACGTACAGCTCAGCAAATGAGCATGTTGTCATGGTAGGGAAGACTGTCACTTTGGGACAGATAAGGCGACCTAGAGTAGCTGTGTACTCTATACACATAACTGTTCCTCTACACAGATCTGAACACAGAGGGGTAATGAGTAAGAAAGAAAAGAGCCAGGTGCAGTGGCTCAAGCCTGTAATGCTAGCCCTTTGGGAGGCTGAGACAGGCGGATCATGAGGTCAGGAGATGGAGACCATCTACTAAAAATACAAAAAATTAGCCGGGCATGGTGGCGGGCACTTGTAGTCCCAGCTACTCGGGAGGCTGAGGCAGGAGAATGGCATGAACCCGGGAGGCGGAGCTTGCAGTGAGCCGAGATTGCGCCACTGCAGTCCATCCTGGGTGACAGAGCGAGACTCCAGAAAAAAAAAAAAGATAAAAAGAACGAAGGAAGGAGGGAAGGAAGGAAAGAAGGAAGGAAGAGAGAGAGAGAGAGAGAAAGAGAAAAAAAGAAAGAGAAAGAAAGAAAAAGAGAGAGAATGAGAGAGAGAGAAAAAGAAAGAAAGAAAGAAAAAGAAAAAGAAAGAAAGAAAGAAAGAAAGAAAGAAAGAAAGAAAGAAAGAAAGAAAGAAAGAAAGAAAGAGAAAGAAAGGCTAAGAACTGGCTTATCTTTATGATGCGATAGGATGAAAGAGCCCCTTTGTCCTAGACTCAGCACATGGAACCAGGTATGAGGTTTCAGGGGCCTCACTCTACTTTCCTGGGCCTCAGTATTTCCACTTGCATGTGGACGAAATGAGATCTAACAGTCCTTGTATCCAGATACACACTGCTTTCTTTCAATGACAGCCCCAGAGAGTGAAGCCAGGTTTTTGCCCTTGGTCCACTCTTGATGAATTTATACCACTGAATCAACAGATGGTGTTATTGTCCTTGAGTTAAGTGCATTTCTAACTTTAATGCCATATAAATGTCCTGGGAATCTTGTGAAAATTCAGACTCCCATTCAGTGGTTCCAGGGTTCTACATTCCTGTAAGTTCCTAGGGGATGCTCACACTATTGGCTGATGGAGCACACTTTGGGTAGTGACAACGTTCCGCCTACTGGAGCTTGCAGACTTGTCCGGGCACCTGGCTCACTGCTCTGCCACCCCTACCTCACAGTCCCTCACATCAGCCAGGTGCCGTCTGTAGGACTCACATTATCTAGAACCCTTTGAGTTGCTAGTATAGGAACAGAGGGAGGATTAGCCCAAGCACAAAGTGGGGGTTGCACTGGCTCACATTTTGTGAAAGGTGAGGGAGCAGCTGGGGAAGGCTGGGGCCAGACACTTCCTGGAAGGGACCCTCACCTCCTGCCTCTCACCCCTGCTGCACTCTCCTTGTTGGCCGGCAGCAGCAATTTACAGGGCTCCAACCCCAAGTAAGAAATTTGGGGGAAGGTTCCTAACTGGCCCAGGTTGGATCACAGGCTTGGACCAATCATTTGGGAAGTGTGTATATGTGGGGAAGGAGGTGAGAGACATTAGATTATTCCCTGTGGCCAGCGGGAAGCTTCCATTCTGTTCTCAATGTTGCAGCTGGGGAGGAGAGGGATTGCTCCCCAGAGAAGGGGCATGGCAGAGGCCTGGCCCCCAGGAATTCTTGTGCACATGCCAGCCCCTGCCCCCTGCTTTGTGTGTACAGGAGGAGCACCCCTAATCCCAAAATCCAAAATCTGAAATGCTCCAAAATCCAGAACTTTTGAGCACCAACATGATGTCACAAGTGGAAAATTCCACACATAATTACTTAACACAAACTTTGTTTCATGCACCAATTATTTAAAATATTGTATAAAAATTACCTTGTGGCTATGTGTATAAGGCATATGAAACATTAAAAAAAATGTGTTTAGACTTGGGTCTCATCCCCAAGATATCTCATTATGTGCATACAAATATTCCAAAATCTGAAGAAATTGGAAATCTGAAACACTTCTGACCCCAAGCATTTTGGATAAGGGATACTAAATCTGTATTGCAAACCTTGTGAACCGGCATCCAGGAACTGTTTCTGTATCAGGGTAGTAGTGTGGATTCTGGGCAAAGGGTCCTGTAGCCCCCTTCCATTTTCGCAAAATATACGGTGCTCCTGTTTGTCTGTTTCTGTGCTACGTGGGGCAATGGGGTCCCATGTTCCCAGGAGTAGGAGCTACAGGCATGCTGCTCTGAAGTTTACCTGGGTCTGTTCTGGTTGCACTCTGCTGTCCTGGTATAATTATTCATAGTGCCCTCCTTTCTCCTTCCTAAGGGCTCTGCTTTGGACTATAATTTATAAGAAGCCTGGGCTTTGGAGTCAGACACATCCAAGTTCAGAGCCCACCTTGATGCTGTGAGATCCTGGCAAAGCCACCCACTCCCTCTGAAAAGTGGATTGCGGAGATTAAGAGAGACTACTGAAGTGCCACGTTTAGGCTGACATCAGGAGCACCGGTGATACCTCCTTCCCATGTTGCGAAAGCTTTGATTTTGACCCATCCTTGAGTCCTGAAGCTTGAACTCTGACCAGCCTGGGGAAGCTCATTCGGTATTTTGATTTGATTTGATTTTTTTTCCTTTCTCTTTATCAGTTCTGTGGCTAAAAGACCTCAGTCCTCCAGGCAACATCACGTTGATGCCTTTCACAAGCACTAACATTCCCATTTAAAACCGGAAAATATTTGACTATCTTTGTTGTTGCTGCTATAAATCCTATTGGATTCACATCAAATGGGACAAATTTTAAATTTCACCCATGAGACCTTTATCGGGTGTGCATCCCATTCAGAGACCCACAGTGGAAAATGGATTTCAAAATTGTGTGCACTGCATTTTGAGGCTGAATATTTTAAAACCTGAATGCATAACCAAAAAATTGGAACAGGGCGAATAAACTGTACTGACCCATATCAATGAATGATATCAACTCCACTTCTACCCAGAGTGAGTGGAATTGCTTATCAAACAGATCCCTTCTCATCTTCTCATAAATTACAACAACACAGAGAATGGACGGGACCCCCTTCCTGTTATTTCTTCCTGTATTTTTTTTTTTTCACGGCTTTCTCACATCATAGCCTACAAAATAAGATTACAGGAATTTGTAAATCATTAGGAGCCTACAAATTGCACATCTGTGACTTAGAAATTGGTAAATTAAACAAAAGAACTTTTTCTTGTATTTACAGATTGTGAAATGGACACTATCAGGTTGCCTTTAAAATACGTAATAAAACACACCTTCAGATTCAAACCTACAGGTAATCTTCTCACAGATGAAATGGTTCATATAACATTAGTGACACCACAAAATACCATATTACAGCTCGTGACTTACCATCATGCCTTTTACATTCTGCAAGACTGCTGAATCTTATTTTTGTTAAAAGTTATCATGTTGTCAATTTTCTAATCTAATTCCTAATCATGAAAATGTACCCTGATTTCTATTTCACTCGAGCCAGTAATAAAATATTGTTTTCCTGTTTTATCATCGATTTTCTGTGGTTATCATGGTGTCGTCATTTATTACTGTTGATGGTTCCTAACATATGTTTTGACATCCAAGGCATAGATTGTAAAATTCAGTGAAAATATATTGAAAATTTATAAGGGCTGGACGACCGTGGAGTTGTTGCTGACATGTGGCATTTCTTCATGAAAGACTGAGAACATGTGATCACACAAGGATTTCTCACTCATTCAGATAATTGTCATACAATGGCTCTGTCCCAGGCTGTGTGCCTTAGGTTCCAGGGTTGCAGTGATGAGGGAAACCCTGCCCTCACCTTGCAGAGATCAAATTCCAGCGGCGGTGACGGACCTGTGAGAAGACATGCACAGCATTGAGTCACTAAGTTAGCTAAACCTTAGGATTGTGTATATCTTTAAAGAAGACAAAATGCTTTCACATTTATTATCTTATTTGATCTTTACGGTAGCTCTGGGAGATGAGAAAGACTCTTATTATTAACCCTATTTACCAGACAAGAAAGCTGTTAGAAATCAAGATGGTATTTTGTGGTATTTGATATTTGGACCAGGAACTTGGTAATACAGAATCCTAGCCGACCAGTTACATCAACCTCTGACAGATGTGAAGGGTGAGCTGAGAGGACTCCCTGGTAGGTGGATAACGATGCTCCCAGCAGAGTTCTGGATGGGGTGAGTAGAACCTGCCCAAGGCTCCAGGCCTCGGCAGGACATCTGATCACCCAGGAAGACTTCTACATCTTGGGCACCTCCACTCCAGCCAGGCCACATGGAAAAAAGTGTGCAGGACGAAGGGAGCTCACTAAGACCTTTATGGAGCTTCTGCTATGGGTCAGGCTGTATTTAATAACCTTCATTTTACAGATTCATAATCTGAGTTTCAGGGAGAATAAATAATTTTCCAAGTGTAGGATCAGTTTGTTTTATTATAATAAGAAAACATTAAAAACTTTAGATAGACACAGATATATAGATACGGTTTATACCTATTTATCTATAACTCATTTATACCTCCATCTATATGTATATATGCAGATATAGACATAGATATTGAGCTGGATATAGACATAGTTATTGGTATAGATACAAATACAGATATATCTATAGATGGCTACGTTTTTCACCTTTTGTTGAGGCACATAGCATACATACTGAGAAGCGCACATGTAAGGGTACAGCTGAAGGCATTTTCACAAATCAAATGTGCCCATTGAACCCTCTCCTAGCTCAGGAAACCTTCCATCATCAATCCTCAGGAAGCTCCCTCAGACTCTCTCAATCCTTACCTACCCACCTGCTCCCAGAGACTAACCACTATCCTACTTCTAACAGCTGATGTTAGCTGTGTCTGTTTACATGCTCCAGGCAAACAAACTCCTACAGCATGCACTCCGTTGTGCCTGGCTTATTTTACCCAATATTTTGTTTGTGAGCTTCAGCTTCACCTGCGCTTTTACTGGAGGACTCTGTTGAGCCACCCCATACGTGAGCTATTAAGAGGGGCCAGCATACTTGACTTCCTGGTTTGTGTTCACGCCCTGACATTTTATGAAGCTATTAGGTTGGTGCCAAAGTAATTGTGGTTTTTGCCATTGCAAAAGCTACAGTTACTCTTTTACCAACCTAATAAAACTGCATGTAAACCTTATAAAGTGCAGGAATAGAAATTAACAAGAGGCCAGGGTTTGTGACCATGGCGGATCATGAACTAGCTGTGTAGTCTTAGAGAAATGCCTTAACCTCTCTGTGCCGGGAATCACTGGTGACTTGGCAGGGTTTTGCTCTATTATCCATTCAAAATGGTATTTCTGGGTTTAGTGTCCTATAGGAAGAAATAAGGACAAAACTTTCCTCAAGCCGTAAGTGTTTATTTTGCCTAGTTAGCTGTTTAGACTTGGGAGGTTTGCTCAAACTTGCTTAGCTATGTGTTAAAGTTTCAGTTCAACGCACTCCTGTTGATTTAATAACTCATTCTGGCACGTTCCTTTCCCTGGATTACTGCAATCACATCCTTGCTGGCTATTTGGCTGCTGTTACCTCTTTCCAGGCCCTTCTCAGCAGAGTTAGGGGTTGGGAGGGGCACTCTAGAATGATCTTTAAAACCAAACGTAACTATAACATTCTGCTGCCGAACATTCTCCTTCAGCTCGCAGTTGTCTATAGGATAGACTCAAAATTATTTGACATGGCATCAACAACCCTTTAAAACTTGGCCCAGCTTGCCTTTAGGGCCTCCTGTCCAAGGCCTTCCAAATTCAGACTGCCCTCTGCCTCAGACCCAACTGCTGCTTCCCTCTATGTTCGAGAGATCTTCTCCTTAAAATTAAGGGAGGACTGTATCTCAGCAACAACGAGGTCAGCCAACTACAGCCCCTGAGGGCCCAATCTGGCTCACCACCTATCTGTAGACCACGAGAGCTAGAAATGGATTCGCATTTTTAAATGTCCAAAAAGGATAATGACACATAAAAACTATATGAAGTTCCAATTTCAGTGTCAATAAACAAAGTTTTATTACAGCCATGCTCATTCATTTATGTACTGCCTGTGGTTGCTTCCACACTATGGCGGCAGAGTTGCTTGGTTGTGGCAGAGACTGTGTGGCCGGCAAAACAGAAAATACCTATTAGTAGGCTCCTTACAGGAAGTCCGCTGGCCTCAAATCTATGTTCACAGAATATTTTTGAAAAATTCTACTTTGCACATTTATATATATATGTGTGTGTGTGTGTATGTTTATATACATTTATAAATGTATATATTTTATAAAGAGAACTTTTTATTTATTTACTTTTTCCCCAGAGTAGTGTGCTCTATTTAACACTGTATCCCAGCTTCTGATATCTTGACACACAGCAGCAGGTAAATTAAGTATTTGCTAAATTGCCTTGGCTGGTTTGGTACACAGTTTAAGTCAGTGGCTCCTAGGTTTAACTAAGTGGTGGTTAATGTATCTGCCCAGAAGCTGTAGGTAGATTTAAGTTTTACTTGAATTGCTTACTTAAGATTTAAGTAGATGTAGTATTTAGAATAGGAAATGTTGGGGCAGGGGGGTAAATCTAGTTTTATTTGACAGGTATTTATGATTAGCTATTAACAGGCATTGAGTTAGGAATACCAAGTTCATGGCCATCAAAGATGAAAAAGGTACGAGCTCTTCCTTGAAGAAGTTTATTCCCTAGATAGGAAGGGCAGATGCTAATGAATTGTCTAAATGCTCTTTTAGTTAGGCCTGTGTCTTTCAGAGGGGAAGGCATTCTTTTTGGTCAGAGATAGATACAGTATAAAATTTTAGAAGTGGAAGGGAATTTAGAGATTAAGAGATGAAGTTTGGTTATTTGACCATGTTCAAACCAACCGTTTGACTTTACTAACCTCACTTCCACATTTGGCAAATAGGTTTGAGGGTAAAATAGATCAAGCCTGGCGTCCCTTATAGCTCAAATTCTAAGGTTTAATTTTTTAAATTTTACTGTTTGATTTAACTTTTTGATAGATGTCTTATCAAAAAACCATTAGTATCCAAGCATGTTGCCTTTTAGCTTGTTTTAATATACAGGCATGTATCTATTCTAAAAATATTATTCAGAGTCTCTTCTTCACAAAACGAAAGAAAGACCCCTCTATCTTAAAAAAGTACTAGAACACATGAAACAAAAGACCCTCCATATCTATGAGAAGATAAGGCTAAATTTTCAAGTTCTTTTTTTAATTACTAAATCACTTCAAACAGTTTCCAAACATAATAGGGACAATATGGTGTGACTCTTGATGTTGGCTTCTACAATTAGTGTGTTATTAATTAAACTCTTGAGTACTATAATAACTTGACAGTTAAAGCCCTTCTTTGCATTTAAAGTGCATGCAAACTGTGGCTCCAATTATAAATAAACTCTACTGCGATGGGCTTAAAACTGCAAATTTAATTATTCAGAGCAAATTGTTCAATCTATGCTCTATTCTGGAGGATGCTTCCTGAATATTCTCGTGTGCTCGATATGAATGGGGGTCTAAAGTAGGGTTCCATAGCATAGGCCTGCTTGCGCATCTCTCTGCCCCAGCTTCCCTACCCTCCCTGCTACTGCTCCAAACTGGAAATTCACGTGGGTTTTCCAGGCATGCCTCATTCAGTCCACTCTCCTTCACCATGGCGCTGCAAAAGCCTTTCCATGCAAAACACAACTTGACCATGTTCTTCCATCACTTCCTTCAATATTGCTGAGGATTTCTCTAACTTTCAGGATGAAGTTTAGACACTAGCACATTATTTCCTCATCCTTGCAAAAATGTACTTCACCCCCATGCCTAGCTCCTTACCATCATATCCGCATTCATCTTGTGTTCCACCACATTGAGCCCACCAATACCCCTTCGATGAGTATAATCGTTTCATGTCTTCAATCGTCTGCACATGCAATTCCTTTTTCCTGGAATTCCATTCCCTCTCTGGCAAATTTCTATTTATTTCGAGATACCCAACACTGCTCATTTTTGCAGGTCATTGCACTGGAGAGAAGATGTTTCCTAGAAACACGGCTGAGTTGGAATGTTGAATGGAGTTTAAAGACCAGTAAGGAGCTAGGTCTTCTGAGCTATCTCAGAAAAGAATTGAGATGGCTAAGAACCCCAGGCTGTGCCAGCGATTTATACCATTTAGGGATCCCAGGAATCCAATCACTCCCTCAAGGTGATTTTTTTTTTTTTTTTTTTTTTTTTGAGGCGGAGTTTCGCTCTGTCGCCCAGGCTGGAGTGCAGTGGCGCGATCTCGACTCACTGCAAGCTCCGCCTCCTGGGTTCACGCCATTCTCCTGCCTCAGCCTCCCGTGTAGCTGGGACTACAGGCGCGCGCCACCATGCCGGCTAATTTTTGTATTTTTAGTAGAGACGGGGTTTCACCGTGTTAGCCAGGATGGTCTCGATCTCCTGACCTCGTGATCCGCCCGTCTCGGCCTCCCAAAGTGCTGGGATTACAGGCGTGAGCCACCGCGCCCGGCCCCTCAAGGTGATTTCTTGCATAGCTTCCAGTTGCTTCCCCACAGAGAAGCAAGTCCTGCTATAAGTATCTATTGTACCATTGTCCCTCTACCTAAAGTCCTACAGAGTACTTTTTCAATACTCACGAAGGAGTAGAACTGACTCAATTCAAGAAAATTCAAGGATGCCAGGTACAGAACTTACTTTTTCTTGGTGGGGGGAGGGGCGGGGGAGGGGAGACTTGCTCCTTTGCCCAGGCTGGAGGGCAGTCCTACAACCTCGGCTCACTGCAATGCCCACCTACCGGGTACAAGCAATTCTCCTGCCTTACCCTCCCAAGTAGCTGGGATTACAGGTGCCTGCCACCATGTCCGGCTAATTGTTTGTATTTTTGGTAGAGACAGGGTTTCACCATTTTGGCTGGGCTGGTCTCGAACTCCTGACCTCAAATGATCTGCCCACCCTCGGCCTCCCAAAGTGCTGGGATTACAGGCTTGAGCCACCACGCCCAGCTCTAGAACTTATTTCAAGAGGACTGGGGGAAAAAAATGGAGAAACACATGTAAATGACTTGAAAAAAAAGCAAAGCAACCCAGTTGCCCTAAGAATGCTACAAATAAATTATTTCAGGGATTTTAACAAGAAAAGGATCAGCCCCGGTTGGAGAAATTGTCAAAGTCTTCATGAAGGAGGTGGCATTTGTATTAAGGGTATGAAGGCCAGTTAGCTTAGCCAAGACCTGATCAATATCACAGACTAATCTCCATGCTTCAAGTAGGACTCACACTCTGCCTATAGACTCTCTATCTTTTATTTACATAAAAGATTTTAGGTCCTTTTGGTTTGTCTAAGAAGGTGTCTTGATAAAAAGTAATGATTTCCAGACTTCTATTACTAAGCTAGATGACATTCATGGCTTTTGCCACAGCTAATCTATCATTCATGTTATTGTCTCATTATTGTTCCCTTTAATGGAATCACTTTTTTACTTCAGTTTTTTGTACACACACTATATTACATTTTTAAAGGGGCAGCAGTCTCCCTTGTCATCAATTAGAGATGAGGGTAAAATAAAGACAATGAGAATAGAACATTGGTATGAAATTCTAACTAGAAGCTGTTTCCTGCTGAGGCTTGAGGGTATGCCTTACCATCTCTGTTAAGAAGGGAGACTCCAAGTCTGCATTATAAAGATGTTAAAGACACACATGCATCTGAGTCTCAACTTGAAGCTTCCTCTTGAAGCATCTGAAATGAAGTTGAAAAGGATAGACTGGTTCTCATAATGGGATTTGGTGTTATCTGATGCCATTGCCATGAATTGCCTAAAATCATCTCGGGTCCCATCTGCGTAGGCCTGTGCACTTGGGGAAGCTTTATTAGGAAGGAAAGTGCTCTGGGCCCAAATTCAGACACCTGCTTCTACTGCCAGGTCAGCCACCCGATGTCTGTCAGCAAATCATTAAACCACTGAGACGTCATTTCCACTTTTCCACAATGAGAATTATAAAACACATTATACTGATTTCCATGGAGTCATCTATCCATTACATTGCAAATACACATTGTGAACCTACTATGTGATAAGCCCTTTCCTTGGCTCTGGGCTGTTGTGAAGAGGAGATGAGATGAGCTATTGGATGTGAAAGCACACGGGGAATGGATAAGCAGCCATTATCATTAGCACGACAATAAGCTTTGAAAATGTGTCTTTCCTCTCCTGGTAATATTCCCAGATGACCCACATCATGCCTGGAGAGGAACTTTCCTAGGCCAGAAGTCTAGAAAAGCTGGAAGTAGACCCTCTGTCCATCCCCTGGAGCTTGGCCTCTGAAGTCCCTGAGTGTCTTTAATGTGCTGGTGTTTACATTAGGGCAGGTATGGTGACTTTAAATCTGTGCCCGTTGCAATTAAAATGCTTGTGAGATAAGATCAGAAGCTGAAGAGAACAGCTGAAGGGCAGTCAAAATATTTTAATAATGTAACCATGCTTCAAATTTTAATTTGGTTTTACATTGCCTGCCTTATTATCTGAATGGGACAAATGAAAATGCAGTAAACTTCAGAGGTCTGATTAGCTCGAGCCTTCAAATCCTTAATGATAGGGAGGGTGAGGCTGGTGCTTCTCAGCACTTCTAATATGAGCACACCCTAGATGTAAGGGTCTGGCCTCAACTCTGACCCTAATCATGTGCCCTTAAGTAAGTCACTCCCTTCACTCAGCTGGTTTCCTCTTCTGTCAGCTGTGGAGAGGACCCCCTGGCCTGCATGTGTGTCTGTATGCTTCAGTGAGCCAGTCTCACTCCTGGACATCGTCCACACAGGACAATCCAAGCCCAGCTTTCCAAGTGTCCCAGATTCTTGCCCTAATTCCTCTTTCTAACAGAATATTCTTCTCCTTTTTCAGGCAGTTTTTAAAAAGAAAGACTTCACTGAGGCCTGAACATATGTATGCTGAGTTGTTCCTTTCTATTCTACATTCTTGTCCATACAGTTTCAAAATTCTTTTTCTCTGCAGCCTTTTCAAATGTCAACTGGAATTGACTTTGCATCTCTTCTTTCTACTGCAAATTCTGTCACGTTCATCTGGTACTCAACACTAGCTACCTGTGAGACAGTGGTCAGCTGTTCACCATTTCCTCTTCTTCATGCGCATGTGGACAGATGATATTTTGTAGACCTCTTTGCAGGTATGTGAGGCTATGAGTGAGTTCTAGCTAAGAGGATGCTAACAGAAGTGACGTATACCTCTTCCAGACCTGGTCCAGGGAAACCTCCCTGGCAACATCCTCCTTGCTGTCTCTCCACTTCTGGCTTAATGCAGGTATACCTGGCAATCTTGGAGACCATGTTTTCAAGATGATGAGGTTATGAGATGGGAGTCAAAAGCCTGAATCCTCCCTTGGAGTAGAGCTGTTTTTCAGTTGGAGTATCGGCATTGCGCTTTCCAAGAGTAAAAATTCCACCTTCATCCTGACTGAGCTGTCATATACTCCAGAGCATGTATGTTCCAGCAGCTAGGATGCCTCGTGCACCACTAATGAAGTGAGCTTTTCTGGGGCAGAGGCCCTGCTGAAAGGACTTCCTCCACTGGTGCTGTGTGTAATCATTCCTGCTGAGATACGGATTTGGAGGAGGGTTTGATAAACCGAAGAGCGTAAACTCACTATTTCATTGTCACGTTGTGACAAATGCATACCTTCTACACTAAAAGCTAGATCTGAAGCCACAAAATTAGAATTCCATTTCATATTTCTCAATATAGAATACATGGTTAATCCATGGATCCATGTGGTAAAGAAATCAGAGTGGAGAGTAAATATTTTCTATCATAAAGTACCGAATAAGCATATTTATATCTTAATTTTGTGGATGATTGAAATGCATTTTCTCGCCTATGTGTCTCTCTTTTTTAATTTCTTCATTAATTTAATACATATATTCTGAGCACCTACTATGTGCTACACAGTGTTTAGGGCTCTGGAGAGATACCATTTAAGCAAAAGTCTTCACTCACATAGGGCTTACATTCCGTAGCACACAATGAAAACCAAACACGTAAAAATGCTAATGTAATCAGCTAAATGCTGATACACTCTCTGAAGAAAGCCTAAGGAGGCAGCAGCTTCATGGAGAAGGCAGCATTGGAGCAGTCCCCCGGAAGAAATAAAGGGCCTGAGCCATATGGGCTTCCAGGGGAAGAGTATTCCAGGCAGGAATCACAGCAGGTGCAAAGGCCCTGTGGTGAGAGCATGCACAGCATGTTTAAGTAGGAGTAAGAAGGTCAGTGTCATGCAGCAGATTGAGTGAGGCGGTAGCATGATGGGAAGTTGGGAGATCAGGTTGGATTAATAAATGGGCAAGAGCAGCAGATGATGCAGTCACTTGCCACTGAATGGACCTTGTCTTTTACTCCAAGTGAGAAAGAAAACTGCTGAACAGGTTTGAGCGGAGGACTAACATGTGCATATGTTACAACCACCTCCCCATGGTTGCTATGATGAGAATAGATGCTGGAGCAATAAAACTCTCTTCAATAATGTAAATGTTTTATATCTGTCCTGTCCTATAATGTTGCCACTAGCCCCAGGTGGCCAATGACCACTTGCAATGTGGTGAGTGCAACTGAACAGTTGAATGCTTAATTTCCTTTAATTTAAATTAAACTGAAATATATACAACTCCATGTACCTAGCAGCTATGATATTGGACCATACAGCCTTAGAGGGAGAGAGGCTGATGATGTGACCAGTTGGGCTATGAAAATATAAGTGAGAAATGAGGTTTACCTGGATTCGCGGGAGGGAGCTGAGGATGTGGTGAGAAGTCACCATATTTCAGATGCATTTTGACAGCACAGCAAAAAGGATTCTGAACAGAGAAGAGAGAAAGGATTCCTGTGAGATTTCTAGCCCAGTGGTAGGAGGGATAGAATTGCGATTTTCTGAGCTAGGGAAGATGAGGGAAGGAGTAGTTTGGCTGAGAGAAGATAGATCAGGAATTTGCATCTGAACCTGGTATATTTGGGCTTCCTGGTGAGCATGGCATGGAGCTGTCAATAAGTCAGTTGCAGGTACCTATCTATAGAGTTAAATGGGAAGGTCCTCGCTGCAGAAGTAAGAGTTTCAAAACTGATATTTAAAGACACAAGACTAGACACAAGACTAGGACAAATGCCTAATGCATGCAGAGCTTAAAACCTAGATGATGGGTTGATAGGTGCAGCAAACCACCATGGCACATGTATACCTATGTAACAAACCTGCACGTTCTACACATGTATCCCATAACTTAAAGTAAAATTTTAAAAAATTAAAAAAAATTAAAAATGAAGACACAAGACTAGATGAATCCACCTAGGGAATGGGAGTGTAAAGAAAATAGAAGTGTTTGGCAACTGAGTTCTATGGCACGCCCATGTCTAGAGATCTGGGTGATGCAGAGCATTGAGTAAATGAGGATGAAGTAGACATCCAGAAGGTGAGAACAGGCAGCAGGTCATCGTGCTGTTGAGCCTCATTGGGGAAAGCCATGAGCTGGCCACTGATGTCATAACAAGGCTCATCCAGTAATTCTGGGGAGAACTGTATGGGCAGGATGGTGGAATGAAAGCTTGACTGGATAGAATGTCAAGAAGAGAATAGAGGACAGCAAAGGGGACAGCAGTGGTCAGCAAGTGCAAGGACTATTGCTGTAAATGGGACAGAGAGAAGCAGGAGGGTGTGTCTGTAAGCATGAATGGCCTGCTCTGCTCCTCCAGTACTGGGCTGGGTGCCAGGGTCAATTCTAGATAGATAAATCAACCCTTCCTTCTTTCGTTCTTGCTTTTCCTCACTCCTTTCTTTCCTGGCCCTTGAGAGAACTAAACAAAGTAGCTTCTTCAGAGGAATCCCCTCCTCTGTGCTGACCTGGCAGGTGACCTGCACACCCCACTTTGTCCTTGCATGTCACCCCTCTATCCTTTTTCCTTTGACTATGGGCTTCTCATGAGCCGAACCACCCACTCTCATCTCTATGTAGCAAACTGCAGAGAATATAGTTGGTGCTTATCAAATGTTAGCCAAGGCAATGTTTGTCAAAATGAAAAAGACACAATTCCTTGTCTTTGAGTTGCTCAGGCCACATGGGGAAAGGCAGGAGAGGCAGTTTACAAACTGCTAATGGCACCCAGCATGAGAGGGGCTCTGAAGGGAGGGGGGAAAGAATGTACCAGAAGCAGGTCAGTGAATAACTCTGAGTCAGGGGAGGAAGAAAGTGCTAAATTTCCTAAAAGTGAGCATAGATCCTTCGCCATGCTGAGAAAATCCTCCTGGCTGGGTCATTGGGGAAGGTTTGGTGAGCAAGGTGGGGTCTTAACTGGGACCTAGAGAAGTAAGCCCTAATTTCTCTCGGGACCAGTTTCCCTCCAGCCCTTAGCAGGACACTCCTATGGTCCTACTGTGCATGACTGGCACGCAGCTCACAACCCATGAGGCTCAGCAAATAACTCAGCCAGGACTGGTGTCATGGGCCTGTGACCCGTGCAGTCACACCGGACCCCATGGTTTGATGCTCTGTGGTCACCAGGGTGACATTATTCACACTTTGTGAACAAGGGGTCCTAAAATTCCTCTTGAGCTAGTCCCTCCAGGTATATACCCAGTTCTGTGGGTCTTTAATCTATTCACTGAGATGAGTCCATGGAGATGCACCTGGATATCTGTGCCATGTGAAGTTGCTATAAAAATTTCTAAATGGTTACTCTTAATTTCTGCACTTTTCTCTTCATGAATTAGTAGCTTTTGCACAGGTATGCAGGACTGAAGACCACATGTAGAGTATGTTGCCCTGAAAGATAGTTGTGAATTGGGAAGGACAGCTCTACCAGGCTGAGGGGACAGGGCTTATCCGCTCAGACAATTTAGTCATATATAAAAATGTGTGTGTATGTGTGTGTGTGTGTGTGAGAGAGAGAGAGAGAGAGTGAGAGAGAGATGAAAATAGAGAGAGCCAGAGAAACTTCCTTGTGCCTTGGTCAAGGAAACAATGAATGTAAGGTCTCTATGTTATTCTTAAGAGGAAAAGGGACGCATCTTCTTTGTGATGCTCAGGGGACCAGCATAATGCCATTTCTAACAATAAATGCATCTCCGTGCCAGTTCATAAACTTTTCCATACCCATTACAATAATCTTTATAATCCTTCCAGCAATGTGTATGAAACATGAGTAAACCTCGGGCCCATTTTCCTGGTAAGAAAACTGAATCCCATAAGGTTTACTGAGTTGACCCAGGTCACCGGAAGCCAGGCCCTGCGATTCCAGTGCCTAGGACTCAGTCTCTATTTGTTGAGTGAATAGATATTCCAAATGTGAGAATGATTTTTTTTCTCTCCATTTCTTTCTGTGAGTGAGCAAGCTTTCATTTTAGCAGGAGCCAGAAAGGTGAATGGTTTTGTGGAATTCTTTCTATAAAGAATTTATGAAGATGAAGGCTCTGAGGACCAGGCCTGTGTTTGCTGGAGTCGGGAGCACAGGGATGCATGGCCAGCCCTTCTTGCCAGCTCGCTGTATATTTACCTGAATCTGAGCTCCAGCTAAAACCCTTGTGCTTGGAGACAGAGTAAAGGGTTTTCTCCTTCTCCGCCTTTAATGTCACGCTCCCTTTAAGCAAGTGCAGCTGCACAAAGTTAGACCCTCCTGGTACTGTCTTCTGAAGTCCAAGGCTGGTGCAGGATTCTGAGTTTCAACATGGAGTTTATTTCTGCTTAAAGGCAACCCTCAAACCCAGTCATTTATAGGACAAAATGCACTCTGAGACTTGTTGCTTTAAATAAACCTGTTTAACCAACCAATGTTGCTCCTGCCACAGACATTTTGCATAGGAATTGTAGTGCCAAGGGGGAGTTTAATTAAAAGCTAACAATTTCCAGGCCTGGAGTTGGCATGTGGAGCCCCCTCTGAGTCTGGAGGTGAGAATCCTACTGTCGGCTTGTGTGCAAAGCGCGTGCGGCAGAGGCTCAGGCAGAAAGGTGGTCCTTTGAACTGGTGCCCGGAGGGCTGGATGCTGCCCTGCTCTTGGGGCAGAAGGCTCCTCTGGCTTTGAAGAGTTGCTCACCATGTTAGTGAAAGGTTCTTCGTTTTCAGAACAAACTTTATTGGGTGATGCTGTGTGTGCCAGGGAAAGGTGTGAGAGGTGGGGACAAAAAACACAGGGATTATGGCATTCATTTATTCACTCCTTTATTTCTTCAACATATATTCAGCCATGACCATGTCAGCAGCCTTGCACTCAGAGCATCTCACCACTGGTTACCTGTGCACTGTCATTATGGTTTGAATTGTGCTTTCTGAAAGATCTCGAGGTCCTAACCCCCAGTACTGGTGAATGAATGTGACCTTCTTTGGAAATAGGGTCTTTGAAGATAATCAGGTTAAGGTGAGGCCCTTAGGATGGGTCCTAATCCAACATGGCTGGAGTCCTTCTAAAGAGACACAGAGATACACACACAAAAAATTGAATATCATGTGAATTGAACATGAAGGTAGAGATCAGGGTGATGCTTCTACAAGCCAAGGAATGCCAAAGACAGCCAGCCAACCAACAAACACCAAACAGGTTCCAGCAGCCTCAGAAGAAGCCAATTCAGAAGGAGGCTGATCTTTGATCTCAGGTAGAGGGGAATAAAAGCATCTCACAGTGCTCACAGAGGCACAATCTCAGCCTCTCTAATCTGGCCCACCCTCCATAGATTTTTTTTTCCCAGCAGCCCTTTCCAAGTCATGGGTTACCAGCCCTATGAATTCCATTAAAGTCACTAATTTTAAGCTCCCTAAGTCCAAAATGTGCTCTCACTTAAAAGGCAGAACAAGAGTAATAATACCTGTGAACGCACCTTGGCTAAAAGGCAACATTAGGATTTGTACAGAAAAGAGCACATATTTGTCTTGTCTTCTAGCTGATATGTTACCTAAAGACAGTGAAGTGTATTTATATTTGTTGTGCCCAAATCTGGAAAATTGTATAAAAGGATATTAGTACAATGTTAGTTGTGCTAAGTGACAACTAAAATTAAAATTAATTATAAGCCCCCCCAACACCCCCCCAACTTACTGAATGGGCTCCCTCTTGGCCAAGGGAATCCCAAAGGAACCTTAAAAACTAAGTTCCAGCCATGGCAGGAGGGGAGATCAGACATGCCTCATTATACCCACTCTTGCCATTTAGGCACAACTATTGACCAGTATTAATGTTAAAATAGAGACCATAACCCTGACAGAATGGACTCTTTGTGGCAAAAAGGCACCAAATTAGAAACAAGACTGAAGGCCATGCCAGGCAAGCGTTGAGTCACATACCCCTATGCTTAAAGAATAAACTATGTTCTAATGGCCACAAATGTTTCTTTTTCTTTAGCAGCTAAACAAGTACTGGACTCGAGATAAGCAATATTAAAACAATGGCGTCCTTCCACCTCCAGACATGAACTGACCCCCTGTTCCACAACCCAGCTTTGATTGGACAAAGAGACTGATTTTGATAACTTTCTCCGGATAAGAGACCACCCACCATGGACTGGTTCTGGTCAGTTACAGAGGGTGTGCACTAAGCATCCTTATGTCTCTCCTTCACTTTTTGACATACAGTGCCTAATTTCAATGAATTTAAATGTTAAGCCTCCACACCAAAGTCAACATGAGGTGAATGTAATATGCATGCTTGCTCAGTACACATGCATCAGGACTCCCTTCACGAATATTCATAGCTCCTCCCATTACCTGTTGCATATGTATGTTTATCCAACCTATTCAGCATAAAGCTCCTTCTACAATCCCTCCTCCTTCTAAGTGCCTGATAACAGTCTCTGCCAGAGGCTATGCTTTTCATCCTGTCAGAATAGCCACCTTGAACGTTACAAGCTTTTATAAGAAATAAAGTCTCCTTGCTAAATTTATATTTGTTTGGCTTTTCAAGTGAACGTGTCCAAGGTTAAACAGCAATTTCAGGATAGAGCCAAGTGTAGGGTCTATGTCCTCTACATGCTGGTGGGCCACTTCTCCAACCTGCAGCACCATCTGATCTGTGTTCAGAATTACAGTAATATCAGAGATGTTTCCTAGAATTCACTGCTGGAAGGAGATGAAGGAGGAAGAAAGCCAGGCACTGCTCTTAACTTTGACAAATAGTAGTTTTACACCCAGGAAGGGTCATTTATTTTAGAACCTTCATTTCCACAACTGGGAGGCAATTCCATGGTCTTGGACATTCCAAAGCTTTCTCCAAATATCTTGAAGTTCCCAAGGCTTTGTTCCTTGTGCTCTGAATTCAAAACACTGTGTCCTTTGTGCCCTCTTCCACTTCACTCCAGATGCACATTGCACATCTTTTTTTTTTTTTTTTTTTTTTTTTGAGACAGTTTTGCTCTGTCACCCCGGCTGGAGTGCAATCGCATTATCTCAGCTCACTGCAACCTCCGCCTCCCGGGCTCAAGTGATTCTCCTGCCTCAGCCTCCCGAGTAGCTGGGATTACAGGCATGCACCACCACGCCTGGCTAATTTTGTATTTTTAGTAGAGACATGGTTTCACATGTTGGCCAGGCTGGTCTCGAACTCCTGACCTCAGATTATCTGCCCACCTCTGCCTCCCAAAGTGCTGGGATTACAGGCGTGAGCCACTGTGCCCGGCCTCCAGATGCACATTTCAACCTCACAATATGTCTCGAAACCAACCACTCCTTACTGCCTTCATTGCTAACATGTTCATCCAGGGGTACCATAACTCCTGCCTTGACTATTGCAATAGGCTCCATCTAAGTAGTCCCCCTTCTTCCATATCAGCCTGGTCTGATCATCACAGAGCACCTAAAGTGACAGTGTACTAGTTTAAGTCAGGTCACACTCAAACTCTCCATCTTTGTTTGTGCCACTGTAATGAAATAGCACAGACTGGGAAATTTATAAAGAACAGAAATTATTTCTCACAGTTCTAGAGGCTGGGAAGTCCAAGATCAACCTACTGGCAAGTTCAGAGTCTGGTGGGGGCTGCTCTCTGCTTCCAAGATGGTGCCTTGAATGCTGTATCCTCCAGATGGGAAGAATGCTGTGCCCTCACTTGGCAGAAGGTGGAGGGGACAATAAGAATCAAACATTCTCTGTGAAGCCCTTTTATAACAGTATTAATTCATTTATGAGGGTGGAGCCCTCATGAGCTAAACACTTCTCAAAAAGCCCCACCTCCCAATACTGTTGCATTAGGGATTAAGTTTCCAACAACTGAGTTTTGGGGAGCACATTCCCAAACATAGCACCCTCTAAGAGCTTCCCAATTCACTCACCTTAGAATGAACCTGGAGAGCTGACAGCATCTAACTTGTTTCTTCCTCTCTGACTGTGTTTCTCCCTTTCTCATTCTGCTTCAACCACATTGACTTCCATGAAGTTTCTCAAACACTCAAGCACGTTTCTCCCCAGGGTTTTGGCTTTTTTGTTGTCCCTGTATGGAATGTTCTTACCTCAATAACCAAGAGTTCCTTTCTTTTCTTCTTTAGAGTGCCCACACAAATGCCACTTAACTGGGGAGGCCACCCTCCACTAAAGGATACCAAACAGCAGCCCCTCCCCAATGCTCTTGTCTCTCTTGCTTTACTTTGTTTTTTTATATATACTGTAAATTCATTTATTTACTCCCTTCTTTCCCTCATAAGAATGTGAGCTCCTTGAAGGCAAGGACTTTGCTTTACTTTATCAACAAAACTCTGTATTGGTTCCTCACACAGTAGTATTTTGTGATTAGTTTACATGAGACCTCAGTTAGCCAGGCTATTTTATTATCCAGAAAAATATCTGTTGAGCCAGACTAGATATTCATGGTTACACTTAGTGTTAGGAATACTCTCCAAGGACAGGTACATTCAGCCTTGGATCTGTCTTAATTTCTATGTTTAAAAGGTTGAGATCACCATCAGCTGCAGGGGCATGGTTGGTTTGCATTCATTATCAGACTATTGGTCAGTGGGTTTAGCTGTCCACGGATTATTGGTCTGGAGCCTCTAAGGCCCAGCTGGGACCCAGTCAGACTTAATCGGCCCTGCCCTTACGGAACCTTCAAAGATCACTTCTTTTTCTATTTTAGCATTTATCTTAATCAAGTTTTTACCGTATTTGTTATAAAAATAACTAACTATAGTCAAATATGCTTATGTGCCAGAAATTTGCAAAGCATTTTATATGCATTTATTTTTAAAAAATACAGTTGAATCTTGAACAATGCAAAAGTTAGGGGCACCTGCCATGTTCGCAGTCAAAAACTCACATATAACTTTTCACTCCCCCAAAACTTAACTATTAATAGCCGACTGTTGACTGGCGCCTTATCGGTAACATAAACAGTCAATTAATACATCATTTTTATGTTATATGTATTATACATTGTATTCTTACAATAAAGTAAGCTAAAGAAAAGATAATATTATTAAGAAAATCACAAGGAATAGACAATACATTTACAGTACTGTGCTGTATTTATTTTCTACTATAAGTTTATGTCATCTGTTTTCAAGGTAAATCTTCTGTCTGAAACAGTGGGCAACTGCAGTTGCAGACCTCAATCTACAATAAGTATCAAGCAATTAAACTTTTTCTTGTAAAGTTATGACTTTTGTCTGCTGCTTGGAAGCATTTCTGGCATCATTAGTGGCACTTTGTATGGGTTCCAGGTGTTATTCCAGGTTTACAATATTGCACTGAAAGAAAAATATGCAAGAACCATGAGCAATCACTTTTTACTGCTATCCGCAATTTACTGGAGAGAGGAACTGCCCACATGGAAGTGATGCCAGTCACATGGCATGTAAGCTGATACAACATGTGAGCTCCCCACAATAGCAACAGGAGGTGGCTACAAAGTTATTACCATAGAACTGTATATACTTTCTTTCTTTTTTTTTTTCTTTTGAGACGGAATCTCACTCTGTCACCCAGGCTGGAATGCAGTGGAGCGATCTCGGCTCACTGCAACCTCTGCCTCCTGGGTTCAAGCAATTCTCCTGCCTCATCCTTCCTAGTAGCTGGGACTACAGGCGTCTGCCACCATGCCTGGCTAATTTTTGTACTTTTAGTAGAGACGGGGTTTCACCATGTTGGCCAGGCTGGTCTCAAACTCCTGACCTCAGATAATCTGCCCACCTTGGCCTCCCAAACTGCTGGGATTACAGGGGTGAGCCACTGTGCCCAGCCAGTATGTATTATTTTACGCAGTTGATTTTTTGCAGTTATGATTTAATACTGCATCTATATGTTTGTTTATATTTCTTTTCAATGTGAATGGTGTCAAGTACAGTCTTTAAGTGTTTGTATTAAGTTTTGATAAACTTTAACTTTTTGTAATAGATTGGTGTGAGTTATATAGTAGTAAATGATAAAATACACTAGTATCTACATATATTTTGTGCATTTATCACATGCCTAACTTTTTTCTAATTTTTCTACATTCTAGGCTATGAGTTTTATCTGTAAGTTTTATCAAATTGCCAAAAATCTCCAAAATATTTTTGATATGTATATATATTTTATTCCTATAAAATAAATATGTATTTTATAATATATATTATTCCTATAATTATAATATTTTAATATAATTTTAATCCACATATAAGAAGACCCTCACAGTTCAAATCCAAGTTGTTCAAGGGTCAAGCTGTTCACTAACCAAGTGTCCAGGCACTGAACACACATCTGTCAACAGACTCCTGAATGACAATTTCTCATTTGTTTCTTCCAATGATATCTTGCTTTCTATCACCCGTATTTTATAGATGAGAACACTGATGTTCCAAGAGGCTAAATAAATTGCCCAGCCTCACACAGTTGAGACTTGAAGCCCTGTCTGCCTATTTGATGTCTTCTCTACATATTGCTCTGCACGTCTTCCTCCTGTACGATGATGTCTCTCTGCAGCCAGTGATGATGCTTAGACCATGCTGCACCCTCAGCTGGTTAACTAGCTGAATTTCCAAAATGAGAAAAAAAGAGCCCTGGGAAGAGAGGAGGGGAATGGGTTCATAACCACTTTCACTAAGAAAGGAAGGTAGGAGAAGGCAAAAACGTTATCAAGAATAGGAGTTAGAAAACATTAAAATGAAAACTCTCTCTACCCTGGTGACCTGTGTGACCCTGTGCTCATGATGAAACAGGAATTACAGGAAAAAAAATAATCTCACCCACTGCAAGAGCTAAAATATAGCACTGGGGTTGATTCCAGAAAACAGCTGCTTGAATAAACTCTGTGGATGTACTGCAGGAACCTTCTGTCTGTATCTAATTTCCACACCCTTGTGGATTTCTAGCCAGTCTAAGTTGGCAGCCCAGAAATCCAAGTTTTGCTGTGTGCCTGCTATTTAATACCTAGTCTGTTCCCAGCTGTGTTCTTCAGACCTGCAAAAACTGAGCAAAATTTCAAAGACGTAGACCAGGAAAAAAACCTACATCTAGCCCTGCCATGTCTTGGGCACTGTGATAGTTTGTTTTGTGCTGCTATAAGAGAACACCTGAGACTGTTTATGTTATGAACAGAAACTTGTGGGCTCATGGTTTTGGAGGCTTAGAAATCCAGATTGTGGAGCTGGCCTTCGGTGAGGGCCTTCTTGCTGCATCATAGCATGGTGGGAGATGAGAGCTTGAGAAAAAGAGACAGAGCAGGAGGGGGAGAATCACTCACTTCCTCAAAAAGGACATTAGTCCTTTCATGATGATGGAACCTCAGGGTCTAAACACCTCTGAAAGATCCCACCTCTCAATACCATTACGATGGCAATTCCATTTGAACATAAGTTTTAAAATGGACAAGGACTGAAACCATAGCAGGCACATGCATGTTGGAGCAATGGAATAAGAACTAGAGGACTGGGTTTAATCCATAGTTCTACTATCTACAAACTACCTGACTCTATTATTCTGTTCTTGTATTGCTGCAAGGAAATACCCAAGACTAGGTAATTTATAAGAGGCTTCATTGGCTCAAGGTTCTTCAGGCTGTACAGGAAGCATAATGCTGACATCTGCTTCTGGCGAGACCTCAGGAACTCCCAATCATGGTGGAAGGTAGAGGGAGAGCAGGCATGTCACATGGCAAAAGCAGAAGCAAGAGGGGAAGGGGGGTGGTGCTACACACTTTTAAACAACCCGATCTCAGGAGAACTCACTCATTATCTTGAGAACAGTACTAAAAGGATGGAACTAAGCCATTCATGAGAAATATGCCCCCATGATCCAGTCACCGCCCACCAGGCCCCACCTCCAATACTGGGGATTACATTTCAATGTGAGATTTGGGCAGGGACATACATTCAAACTATATTTGTGACCTTGTGCAATTGACATCTTCCCTGGGCCTTAACTCCTTAATTTCCTAAAGGAACAATTCTATTACTCAGGACTTCCGTAAGGGCAAAATGAGGTAATGTGCGTCAAAGTCCATTTTGAAACCTCCAGGAAATTTCTCCTGCAAATATAGCTAACCGCTGTTCTCGGCTTCTTGTTTATCTTGTACATTTCTCAGGACTGTATTTCTGCACATACCACACTGCTTTATAAAGGCCAAGAGATAGATGACCAAGATCACCTGTTCCTGGCACGGTGCAGGCACTGCAGAGATGCATAGGCTTGTGTTTCCCTAGATGCTCCCAGTCTAGTGTAAGAAATCCAGGTGCACATGGAGATATTATTAAAGCAAGGGCTGCTTGCTCTTAGAGATGGAGAAACAGGCTGGGTGCCGTGGCTCATGCCTGTAATCCCAGCACTTTGGGAGGCCGAGGTGGGTGGATCACTTGAGGTTAGGAGTTGGAGACCAGCTTGGGCAACATGGTGAAAGTCTTGTCTCTATTAAAAATATAAAAATTAGCCTGTCGTGGTGGTGGGCACCTGTAATCCCAGCTACTCGGGAGGCTGAGACAGGAGAATTGCTTGAACCCAGGAAACAGAGTTTTCAGTGAGCCACGACAGGGCAAAAAACAAACAAACAAACAACAACAACGACAAAAACAGTGATTGGCAAAAGTCAAGAACCCAGGAGAATAATTCCCTCTTCCTGAAACAGTCATAAAAGGTGTTTCAGACCTAAAGGAAGGGATACACGAGCTCCAAGGGCCTCGAGGGTTTAGTTATAGATGCCAGGCTGAGAAACAAACAAAAAGGGGCTGCTGAGATCACAAACAAACAAAAAGGTGGAGCATGATAATTTTTCTCAAGGAGCTGCATTTGAGTTAAGTCTGGAAGGATGAAGAAACTTTGCATTAGGAAGCAAAACACTGCATTTCTAACTGAAGAGTGAGAGTAAATTGTTGGAAGAGGATACAAGAGGGATTCAGGGTCCAGATCAGACAGGGTTAAAGGACATGCTGAATAGCTTGGATTTCTTTTCTACAGAGGATCTGTTCTTATTGGAGGGAAGTGAAGGGTGGTAATCTGTGCTTCATGAGGACAACGTGGGCTCATTGTAGAAGGAATAGAGCTTTGAGATAGCCACGTCAGGCAGAACAGTGATGACGTTTGACCCTATTGCATATCCAGAAGTAAGTAAATGACTTCCCTGTGTGCAGATTTATACAAGATGGCTCTTTACCTGCTTTATTTATGTATGTAATTTGCTCAGCACGGTACAATCTGGCTCTAATTGTCAGTGTGGCAGAAACTTTGGGCAGCCTACCCCAAACCATCCTTACTTTTGCATTGCTGCGCTGACCATGTAGATAGTTCTGGCCTGTGACGATCAGGAACAAATCCTAATTAATTGTAGAAACAGCATCTCCCTTGCTGGTGATGGGTGAAATGAGGGCATGTAACCCGATGTGGCCGATGAACTGTGAGGAGATATCCTCTTGCTCTTTCTGGGAAATAGTTCCTCTCTTATTAAAAGAGACACAAAGAGGAGATGCCCCTTTGTTATGAGTTGAACTGTGTCTCCTAAAAGATTTATACACATCCTAACCCCTGGTACTCCAGAACATGACCTTGTTTGAAAATAGGATCATTACAAATAAATTTAGTTACGATGAGGTCATAGGGTAGAGGGCCCTAACCCTGTATGACTGGTGTCCTTCTAAGCAGGGGAAAGAGAGACAGAGAGAAGAGCACCATGGGAAGACAGGGACACACAGGGAGAAGACAGCCATGTGATGGTGGAGGCACGGATTGGAGTGATCTATCTGCTAGCCACAGAACACCAAGGATCACTGGCAAACCCTGGAAGCCAAAGAGGTAAGGAACAATTTGCTCCTACAGGTTTCAGAGGAAGCACGGCCTGCTGAACACCTTGATTGTGGACCACTAAAGTCCAGAATTGTGAGACAACCTGTTTTTGTTGTTTTAAGCCACTCCGTTTGTGGCACTTTGTTACAATAGCTCTAGGAACCTAATTTCTCTCTCATTTACAGGTCTCTGTAGAATGCCAGAACAGATGCAGCCATGCAGAACTTCGAGAGAAGCTGACCTGGGGCCAGTCTATCTGCTATGGAAGGCAGAGAGAACGCAGAAGGAACCTGCATTCCTGGTTCCTTGACTGAGCCAATGTCCTAATTTTCCAGAGCCTCCCTGCCATCTGGTTCTTTGCAGTGTGGTGTCATAACCTGCTCTGTCCACTTGGGTCAGGGATCCTTTCATTTACTGGAGAAAACATTCTAACTGCTCTGATTAGGTTGATGCTGCCTGGTCACACCATCAGGAGAGCCCTTTTCACTTGAAACTATACAAAGACAACAAAAGAAGGCTTTGATAATTACTATCCTCCTGTTCTTTATGAGAACTTTACCTGATTACTCAACATTCTGATGCACAGTGAGTTCAATCTTCCTCTCCATTTTCTACCCTAAAATAACACATATTACTGGGGATTTACACCTATGCTGGGCCACTCTGGCTTCTCTACTGTTTTCTGAGTCTGTACTCTCCCAGTACCTCTGCACCATACTGGAAAGGGCTCGTTTGCTTCAGTGCCTTCATGTATTAAGCCACACTGTACTCAACACTTGCTTAAAATGTATGCTTTAGTAGAGTACACTTACACAGCCAGTGTTACTTCCCCATTTATCCTCTGTGAATGGCCAGCTCTCTGCTTGATGTGTTAGTAACAGACATGCTGGGACTATGGACTGAATTGTCTCCAAACTTGATGCCCATGTGTCTTCTTGGTTCCATTCTCTCTGTTTGGGAACAATGTCCTAAAGAGTCTGGGTAACTGGAAGGACAGTCTAATCCCCTCTTGAATGAAAGAAGCATCTCTTGCTCTGGGCTGCCATGGGCAATGGATCCACTGTTGAGGAGATGAATAGCATTGCCCAGGTCAGTGAGTGATGTTACTTGTGTGCTAGCGTCAACCATACCCCACCCACAGCTCTACTCCAAACATTGAATCTCAGGAGGTACTGGGACACATGGCTACTTAATTATTTTATGGCCAGTGTGTGCTACCCACAGTGCCGTATAGTAAGAATATCATTATTCATTGAATGTGAACATGATGCCATGCATCTTGCTAAGGACTTCACATGGGTAATAGAGAGAAAATTGCTGCAATAAAATAAATGTGGTAAGTACTGTCATTATCCACCATTTACAGATGCAAAGACTGAGCCACGGTGAGGTTGAGTAGCCTACCCAAAATAACACAGGCGGTATGTGGTTGAGCTCAGTGTTGGTATTTCCTAGATATATATTGCAATATAAATGGAACCAGAGAAAGCAGAAGTAACAGGCAGCAGAAGAGAGGAGAGAGCTAGGAGAGAAAGGAATCACTGTAAGCCAGGAACTGTGCTCTGAGTGTGAAGAAACAGAAAAAATCTAGGGGAAGGAGAGACAGGCTTGAGAGGTCTGGCTTGAATAGTTGCTGGGATTTCTGGGTTCTCGTGAGAGGGAGACTCATTTTATTCATAAATTAAAGGGCATGAGAAAAACTACAGGGCTGGAAGGGCTGGAAACCCCTGAGTTACACAGACCTTCTGAATATAAATTGGATGGGAGAATTAACATTCTTAAATGCTCACTGTATCAGGCACCATGCTGGGTACCTTAGAAGCACTAACTCATGTCTCTCCATTTGCCTGGGGCACAGGAGAGTTGAGAGAGTTCCTCAAAGTGTTCCAGCCAGGGAGGGGCAGGGAAAGGGTCAGGACCCAGGCTGGCCTGATGCCAGAGGCCACCTTTCCCCACCATGTCAGCCACCCACAAAGAGAGCATTTCCCACTGTCTAGGTTCTGCACACAGCTGCCTGGGTACATTGCATATGGGGGGTCCCCATGGGGAGCTCCTGATACTGAGTCTTTCCTGCCTGTTTCCATTTCCCCTGGGGTTCAGCTACAACATGCCAACCTTCTTCCTCTCAGCCCCTTGCCCCAGGGCCTAGGGGCCTTGGGGAGAATCCAAGCTCAGCATCAAGACAAGCAATAATGGTCTTCAGTAGGGTGTCAGAGAAAAGCAAGTTCACCCATGCAGTCACTTCTGGACCAAGACACCTCTGCCATGGGCTTTCCATTTCATCTCTCTGTGTCCAAGCAGTAGTTAGACAGATAGCTTCATTGAGATTCGCTCTTCTTTTTCACTCATATTTGACTTTTCTCTCCTATTTTCTTATCCCCTCCTTATTCTCTCCTTGGCATCAGTAGATTCTCAATAAAAATAGTATTTCTCTTTTTTATTCTCAATAAAAAGAGTATTTCTCTTACAAAATAAGAATGTAAAAGCTCAATTAAAGGCGAATGGTAAACAAATTCTTACATAGTCACATAATCACAGTTGGCCATAAAATGTTGAGTTGTAGAATAATTTGAACACTTGCCAAATTTTACTAACCACAGTTGAGTGATGGAAGTACAATGCAAACAAAAAAAATAATATTTCCTTTCTCTTCTTTAATTGCTCTTTATGCTTACAAAATATGCTGAGGACACTGGGGAGAAAAACACGGTCCAACTTATCTCTGAGGTAGATGCTTATCTCTCAGGTAGATGGTAAATTGACAGAGAGAGAGAGACAGATAATGGTGAATGGACAGACAGATGGATAGTTAGATCAATAGAGAATGGAGGATGGATGGACGGATGGATGGATGGGTGGGTGGATGGATGGATGGATGGATGGATGGGATAAGTAGATGAATAGGTAGATAGAGATATAGATAATGTATGGATAGAAAGATGGATGGATGGATAGAAAGATGGATGGATAGATAGATAGATAGATAGATAGATAGATAGATAGACAGATAACAAATGAATGGGTAGAGACTGGATGACAGATGATGGATGGATGGATGGGTGGATGGTTGGAAGGATGGATGGATGGATGGATGGATGGATGGATGGATGGATGGATGGGTGGATACATGAGATAGATAGATGATAGATAGATAGATAGATAGATAGATAGATAGATAGATAGATAGATAGATATAGGTTTACATACATATATCTTTATCTGTCTATCTTGCTATTTATTTATCTATCTGGTGGAATTTGAAATATTTGTGTGATCCAGGCACCTATCTTTAAAAAGGATGGAGTACTTGACCTTCCATCCTTGTCCCATGGCCCTTCTTCCTTTGCTTGTTCAGTCAAGCCAAATCCCACCACGTCTCTATCATTGTAAAACTTTTCAGGGAGAAAACCTCAATGGAACCAGGGAAAGCATACCTACCAGGTCTTTTACTTTTACTTTTTTTTTTTAAGGTTGAGTTCCACACACTGTTGGTGGCACCTAAAAAACCACTGCCACCAGTTGAAAAGTTAATTATGGATTACCCCTTGAAATAAAATACAAGTTTTATTAGAAGTGGAGGGATAAATCAAAACAGCTGGAGGGGGAATGCCATGAAACTGCTATGACGAAGCCCATGATGTTCTACTTAGAGTAAACATTCTTTTTATTTTATTTTTTTTAAGTCCTGGGTCTGCTGTGTAGAAAGTCATCATCGCTTTCATGTGGGACAAAAGAGGATTTGGAAAGGGAATTTCCTTAAATCTGTGCATTGAAAATGCAGCTTATGGGAGCCTAAAGAAAATACGTTTTGCTTTTTCTTACAGTGGGTGCCTCTTAATTGTGACTTTTATAAACCCCTTCTGTAGCTATCATAACCATCCAATTATCTAACTTCATTTTCGTATGATTAAAAGAGCCTCTCTTGCCGAACATATGACAATTATTAGAACGTTTCTAAAATCTTTTTTTCTAGTGATATGAAACTCCTGTAGATAAAATAAGTCTTGATTTATACAATCCTCAAGTACATGTGAATGTTATGTCTATAAATAAATACTCCATAGTAGATGCAAAATCCCTTTATAAGTAACAATACATTGGCATATTCATTGACCAAAAAGCCTTGTGATGTTAATGTTAACAAAATTAAACTTCAGCCATTTCATTCAACTAGTAATTCCTGAGTTCTAAGGACTAGGCACTATGCTAGGCAGGGAAGCTATATATGTATGTGTGTCTGTGCCTATGTGTGGACAAGTGTGTGTGTGCCTTTTTCTTCAAGAGTTCATATTATCATGGGAAACTATAGATAAATCAACAGAGGAATAAAGCTAAGGTTGATAGAGAACTTTCTATATGCCAATTTCTATTCTATGCACTTTACATCTAGTATCCCATTTAACTCTCACGTCAGCTCTAAGGGGAAAGTATTGCTATCTTTACCTTAGAAATGAACACCCTGAGAGTATAGTGGGAAGGCGAATTGTTTATGTTCCCTAGAGAGTGACTGATTTAGCTAGGGTAGATAATAAAACATATATCACAAAATATCATACATAAAATAATAGACATCTATTTACATATCAAAGTCATAATATAAAAAGCCATGGATTTTAATTTGAAGAATTGAAAAAAGCTTCAATGAAGAGAAAATTCCCAGGGAGGTAGTGAAAAGGATGACTGAACAGATAAAAATATTTTACGAAGAAGGAATGAAAAATAGGGAGAAAAGTAGGCATTGCATTACTTTTAATAAAAACAACAAAATAAGAATGTAAAAGCTCAATTAAAGGTGAATGGTAAACACATTCTTACATAGTCACATAATGCACAGTTGGCCATAAAATGTTGAGTTGTAGAATAATTTGAATGTTTGAAAAATTTTACAAACTAAGGTTGACTGAAGAAAGTACAATGTAAAATTTTGTATTAAATATAATCACCATAATGCAAATAAACACAAGCACACACACAAAATTATAAAAGAAGATAGAGTGTTTGCCTTGTTGTAAGATTATGGCTGATTTGTATTTTCATCTCTATTATTCTGTAGTCCAACTATTTTTATTCATTGTGTCCAGGTATTTCTTTTATAATCTGAAAAAGCTATAAAATATGAAATTATGAAAGATTGATGGACCTTAAATGTATTGTCATCATTTTCCTGGCTTTAAGTTGCAAGAACTTACACCATTCAGACATTTGTTGTATAGCCAAAGCACAAGTTTAGACAGAAAGCATCAGTCTGACTCATACCATGTGCTTCCCTTGGCCCACAGAATGTTAGGGTACAGTAGTCTGGAAAATGTACATTAAGGTTGTTTTCTGCCTGTGGTGCTTTAGTGCATGGAGGTAACATGAGTGAAGTATTGAGTGTAATCATGATTATAAGTGACATAATATTATAGAACTAAGCTATGGAGAGGGTAGAAGGAATGGGAAATTCTATAGATTTCTATGACTATTAGGATATTAGGCTATGATCATGGAGGTTTTCAACGGAACGTGGAATCAGAAGATGTTACTTTAAATTCCAGACCACCATGTTGAGACAATTGCCTGAACTCCCTCTCTCTCTCTCTCTCTCTCCCTACCTCTCCCTTCCTCCCTCCCTCTCTCTCCCTACCTCTCCTTCCTCCCTCCCTCTCTCTCCCTTTCTCTGTAGTCTCCCACTTGTTCTCCCTCTTGGAAATGATTTTCTTATGGTCAGAGATTTAACTCAAATCTCACTGCTAGTTAGAGGCAACCTGGACTCACCTCCCATTGCCTTTCTGCAATCCATTAGTGTGATCTGGCAATGCTCTCCTTCCTTTGTTAGTATTTCTTTTCATTCTCCTCCTGCCTTTTAAAACCATTCATGTTCTAGAGCACAGGTGACACATTCTGAGCTCAGTTTCTGCACCATTTTTCAAACTTCATGGAATGCCTCTTCCCCACTAAGGCAAGGCATTCCTGAGTAATGAGTGGAAAAAGTTTCCTGAGTCTATTTTTCAAGTTAAATAGAAGTTAGGCCTTGCAAACAATAATGACTTATCTGAAACCAATTCTTGCCCAGTTTGGAAAGACTACATGGGGAATTGTATTCAATAGCTGGAAACATCCAGTAGAATTGAATCTGGTGTTAAGTCAGGCTTGCAGAGTGCTTGGTAATGTAAAATTTAGCTTCATATTACAAAATCACTAAAGTTTTTTTTTTAACTGTTTTACTAGTGTAGAGTTTTGAACCAATGTTAAAACGTCAGCAATACAAAAAGATGAATCTTAACCTGGTAGGAAGAACATGCCGCTGATCAGAATTTCTGTGAGAACAGATGCAGAACCTAAAAGAAAATTCAATATTAAGTTTTCTTTAATTCGTGTAACAATTTTTAATTTGTATAAATTCTAAATTGTATTAATAGTAATAATAGCAATTTATATTTGGTCATAATATTTAATTTCTTGGAAATTTTCGAATAGAAATCAGGATGATCAAGGTGAAGAACAACACAATTTTATGTCTGAATTGCACTTTACAATTCTCAAAGCACTTAATTTATAAATTAATTATTCCTCAAATTAAAACACGAGAGGACATAAAATTCTTATTAGATTCTTGTTTAACTAAAAGGAACATGGATTATAAATCAGGAGAAAGAGTGACATACAGAGGATTTCTAGGGCTTGCCTTTTTACAGTTCATTTATGCATCCATCCACTCATCTATACATCCATCCATCCATTCATCCTTGTATCCATCCAAACATCGAATCATCCACCCATCCATTTATCCTTTCTTTTACTGCTATGCCTATATATCTTTATACCTTTTCTCTTTTTGCATATATATAACCGCATGTGTGTGCCTATGTATGTGTATAATTTTTAATAGGCATATATAGAACACTTAGGGTCTTTGTCCTCACAGAGCACAGTCTAGTGATCTAATGGCTGGGACATTGTTGGCTGAACTGGAATGTGGATATCAATGTGCTCTTTTCCCACTGATTTGGCGTCTCCCTTTGGGATTTGGGATATCCTGTGGATATGGCAGATATCCTCAACTTAATAGCCATAATGCTGGAAATGTTCCAGTGAAATTACCTGAAGGAAACAAGGCCAGGCTAATGTGGATGACTTGGTAAGGAAGAGACTAGATCAGTTTTTTTTTTCTTTTCATTTTGTGTTGTTTTTTTGTTTTCTGGAGAAAAATGTACACATTGCCTCCAGATAACAAAACAAAAATTATATCAGTCCATTGCATTGTACTGCATTATGCACTTTTAAAACACCTCTCCAGCCATTATTTATTCAATCAATGAGACATTTGGTCAGAGTTCATTACATGAACTTACTGTGTACATGGGGTTGGCCTTATCCATGCTCTTATAGAACTGAACTCAAAGGAGATGAACACATAAATCATGAGGAGAATGAGTAGGAGTATTGACCACTATATTGGCCATGATATGACTCTGGGGTCATCTCAGAAACCATGTGCTTCATCAACCACTGGGTGCCAGAGATCATCGGTGTGTGGAGAGGCTCAAGGAGGCTTCCCTGAGAGCCTCCTGAGACACAAGCAGACCTCAGGCCATCTGACCTAATTCATAGGTTGGGTCAGAGGGTCATGGGTAGGCAAAGTGATGTGCACACAGGCAGTGCTTGGCCACAAGGTTTCACATAAGCTAGCAGAAATAGTTTACACTTTGATTTGGGGACCAGACAGAACTAAAGTCCAATCTTGTCTTTACATACTTTCAGAGCTGGGGCCTTGATTAAAGGCCCTCAACATCTCTGAGTGTGTATAAAATGAGAAGAAAGCACTTTATCTGTGAAGGATATCAGAAGGCTTGGAAATAATGCATGCATAACACTGAGCTTAATGTCTAGCATAGAGCAGACACTTACTAGACTGTAGCTCACAGCACATGCAGGTTCATTAACCAAAGCCCCTCACCTGAGCAGACCAATACTCACAGCTGCTGCTTCTCTCAGCTCTGATCCTCTAACTTATTTTCCAGCCTTTGAGTTCTTTCTCAAATCAAATGGTCTTTATATAGCTTCCCTGGGCCACAGATTCTGTTTATCTATTCTGCTTCTAGCCTTCCTCGGTAGAAATTTAGTTCCCTCCAGCCCCAGAGGTTTGGAAGGGTGTGGTTGAGGGTTGCACTAATATCCTGTGGGCAATAGCTTCACTGAGCTTGACTACCCATTGCAAGGAGAATCCAATACATCTTGAGTACATTCACATAAAACATCAGCAAAATTAGTTTCATTCCTTTTTAAAAGACAGGAAACAATTTAAGAGTTAACCTACCTAAAAGATACACAGCTAGGAAGGAGTGGAGTTTAGCTGTTACCCTAAGTCTCTCTAAGAGACTTAGTACTAGTCTGCTGGCAGCACTGGATTTCCAGTCTAGTAGTTTGAAAAGCACATCATATATAGATTTGTACATTGCTGCACATGTAGTGGACCTGGATTTGGATGATATCCAAATCACACACGACAATTTTAGTAAAAGAGGTGGCTCTTTGCTCCAGGGAATTTGTAGTATCACTGAGTGAACAGAACATGAAATCAGGAAAGAGGAAACAAAGTTTTCTTGAGACAAAGCAACACCCAGAAAGCTCACTTGATCCAGGGAACCTGAACATGATAATGGTGGTACTTGTCAGGACTTGGAGCAGCAGGTGCAAGATTTAGTGGGTTGGTTTTAGAATATCTGCTTGGAAAGTGGAAAAACTCAATGGATCATCTAGACTTTGGAATTTATCTCCTTCCCCACTTCTCCACTCCCCCAACAACAACAACAACAACAATGACAACAAAAACACCTGGAATAAACAGGTCATACAACGAGGTAGTTGATAGAATAATGTACTTTCCTTTCAGGCACCCCTTGGAGGAGGCAGATTCTGCCCTTTAAGCTGAATCTGCCTTTCCTGCATTTCCTGAAACTCCTGCATTTCCTGAAATCTTCCTGTATTTTCCTGAAATTTCCTGCCATTCCTGAAACTTTAAGGTAACTGTGTCATTAAAGGAAGGAGAGAAGGGAAGTATTAGGACTGCAGATTTGGGGTGCATGATCAGCCTGGCTCTGAGCTTGCAGACTCCCAGAGTCAGGGAAGGGAGGAGCCACCAGCAACCTTGTGGCTTACTTGCTGAGCCCTGTCATCTGCCTGAAGCCCAGAGGTGAAGGCATTCTGAAGGTAGTTGAGGCAAAACAAAGCTAGAACATCCTTCTCAAATGCACGACATATATTCATCTACCCCTTGGATAAGTTAGAAAACAGAGGCTGAGGGTTGTAGACCCAACTGTGTGACTCCTACAATTAAAGATTTCCTGAACCAGGGGGTGGCAAAGTACCCCCTCTGTCCAAACCAAGCCCCTCCATCTGTTTATGTAAATAATACTTTACTGGACACAGCCACACCCATTCATTGATGTATTCTCTATGGCTGCTTTCCTGGGTGCAAGAAAGATGTCTGGCCTGGAAAGATGAAAATATTTACTATCTGGCCCTTTACTGAAAAAGTTTGCTAAACCCTGAAGAGGGGCACTTACCAGGGTAGGTGTCTCTGCTCAGTAGACACCTTTATGTGACAATTTCCAAAGGGACGCTAACCCTGGTTAGTCTGTCAAATAAATAAAATATTACAGGCCTTCCCAGTCAAAGACACAGAGTACAAGAAAGAAAGAAAAATAATAATAAAAGGTAATCCCATCGGATTTATCATTTCAGCCCTGAAGCAAGCCGAATGCATCTAAAGAACCCTTTCTCAGTAGAGTGGTGAGGCTGTCGAGAAGGGGACCCATCCACAGGAGCTGACAGGGAAACCAACTCAGGGAAGGGGCTGTTGATGTCCAAGGTCAGTGCTGGCGGGGAGACCACAATCCTCTGAAGACCAGCCTTAAGCCTTAATTTGTCAGGTGTTTTCTGGCATCTGAATCCTACTTACAATTGATATGGGTGGGGTGACGGGGGTACATTTGCTGTTAAAGAACAATTTGCAATTGAAATATGACCAATGCATTATTAATGCCAGGAGCCATTCTGGGGCAATATTTATTTACTCTTGTACAGTCAGAAGAGTCTCACAAGAGAAAGGTAAAAGAAAAAGAGAGAAGGACAAGGGAATGATGGAAAAAAGAAAGAGAAAGGAGACAGGCCAACAGAAAGAGAAAAAGTGGGAAAGAAAAGAGAGAGGCTGGCTTTCTTTTCTTTCTTTCTTTTTTTTTTTTTTTTTGATGTGTTTGCCTTCACGACTTCGAAGTTCTTGCTAATTCCATCTGTCCACAACAGAGCCATCGACGGCGAGAAAAAGCATTTCCATATGTGTAAATTAGCATCCAGCCTCCCTTAATCTGTGCTGTGGTCCTCTGAAGTAGATGGTGAGCTTGCCTGCCAAACCCACTAATGGCATCCGAATAGAGACATTATTGGCTGGAACTGCTGTGGGGCTGTTCTCCCCTCCAACTCTGAACCGGCCCTGGTCTCTTCTGTTGCTTCTACTCTGGACTGACGGTGTCACTTTGCTCAATTTCCAGTAAACACATGGCCCCAGCAGCCCCACTCCCTTAATGAAAGCCCCTTTCCCTGCAGACCCATGCATCTCTCTTCTAATGAGATTAGGCCCTTACATAGTGACACTGTGGTCGCCCTGCCCAGTGGCAGCTCACATGGCCAGCCTGGCTTTCAGAGATTCATAAGAATGTCTGCTGGCATCTGCTCCAAGCCTGTCCCCTCAATAGGTTGGAAGGGAGCCCACAAACCTTGCCCAGCCTCTCACCCACTGGCGGCCACACCTTTCTCTCTTTTGTTCCTTTTCTTTGTCCAGATAAGCCTGGTTCCTCTCTTTCTATTTCAATCTTGCTCAGGACACAGCACTTTATTCATTTATTCAAAAAGCATTTGTGAAATTATTAGGAGGTGCAAGAAAACGGCAGAGATTGGATGTAGTTCCTTTTCTCTTGATGCTTACACTCTGCTTGTGTAGATACAGGAGGCAGGAAACAAACAGTTGGAAGCTGGAGGTGCTTTCCAACGCAAATGTGTAAGAGCTAGAGGGGAGTATTTAGAAGGGACCGCCCGCAACGTATGATTTTGGTTTCCTGGGTTTCACCCTTGGCATTTTCTCAGGATTTTGGCTTAAGCCCATTCATTTTACCAATCCTATCCTGACCCTCTGCGGTGGTTTGTGCCTATCATCCCAGCTCTGAATACAAAGAACTTGTCCCTGTGCTGACATCCCTAAAGGATCCCAGTGAAACACTTCTGTACCTGGATTATATTTTTCCCTATAAACCTCTTGGGGAAACCTTCTTTTGCCCATTTATTAAGGAGTACATGAGGCATTTGGAGCAATTGGAAAGGGTGAACCCTTAAGGTCATTGAGTTCCTCAATATCCTCCCTTCCTACTCCTGTGGGATTTTTCCACCCACTCTTTGGAAGCTCCCACACTGCTGATAGCATTTTTGTCATTGTTTTGTTATTACAAAAGGGAGACACCAATAATATACTGTGGCAGAAAGTGAAATATTCCTCCCCCCTTTTTCTTTTTGTCTGTGCCCTTTTCATTCCTTCTGGATATCAGAGGGTGAGAATCAACAAAAGCAATCAATACATGAAAGGCTGACCAGTCCAAGTCTCTTGAGGAAGAAGGAGGTGTCACATGATCTTGGGTGACACTCGTGCATCAGGAGGTTAATGCTGTATGCCTCTGTCTTCTCATTCAGAAGTTGAGTCTTCCTGAAGACTCCCCTCTTGTCCTGATGCCATCTTCAGCCTCGCTTGGATTTTCAGTGGATGGATGAGGCACAGTGCTCTGAGTTCCCTCCAGGAGGGCTGGGAAGGACCAGGACCACTCCCTCTTCCTGTGGTCCTACACAGTGACCCACTCTCACTCTATCTGCACGTTCCTGATTCCCTCCAGCTGTGGAGAACTTCCAAGAATAATCTAGAAATTCCAGAACATTTAGGCTGGAACCAGGAGGATCTCAGAAAGCACATCATCTGCTTTTCCGACCTCTCATTTTACAGAAGAGAAGAATTCCTGAAGAGACCGATGAACGAGACAAGCACTTAACCTCAACAGAGTCTTAGGCAAAATCACATCACTCTTCAGCTCATCAAAGTCCCGGGTGACAGACTTGGAAGAAAGAACAGAAAATGTGGATTCAGGAAAGCAGCCTATAGAGCAGAGAATGGCTGTCACGCAAGATTGGTTCCATTTATTCTATGTGGCCCCAAGGGCAGCCCTAGTAACAGTGGCTGGGAAATCATGGAGAGTGCAATATTGGGGCTCAATATAAGGAATTATTCCCTGTTTTTCAGAGATCTCCAAAGAGGAAACCAGTTGCCTCACCGTGGACATCGAATAATCAGCATGCTTACAGAAAAGGAAATTACAAGACAGCTGCCATTTACAAAGCATGTTCCAGACCACCAAGTCCTCTTCCACATGATAATTTGATCCTGATACCATCTCTATGAAGCAGGTACTAATTTCCACTCACTTGTTTCTAACGAGGAAACCGAGGCTGTGCAGGGCACAACAAATGATGTAAACCTTCAGGACTCATCATGAACAAACTCCAAAGCCAGGCTGGAACTTCTGACTTTACATTCCAAATGTATCATTATTATAAACCTTCTATTACCGAAGGTACTCGAGAAGGCAGTGAGACAGTGACACGGGTGCTTTTGTACAAGATGCCAGCTTCATGTGAGGTCTCAGGTCAGAGCAAATGAGTGTCCCTTCAGAAAGCTAAAGCCCGGGGGCTCCCCAGGTGACCTGATGGCCCATGACCACGTAGTTGGTGCACACACATGCTACGGTTAAAGATATTTGCTATTTCCAATTCACAACTTTTACTGTTACACAAAGATTTTGCATGGAATTCCTTCTACGTGAAGTATTCCTCTCCTACTTCCTATGATTCTCGATAAATATTAACTGAAGTTAATATTTACATAAATATATTTAGGATAAAATCTTAAACTCAAATAAGCTATCATCTTTTCTGTGAACCCCTCAGTCTCTCACTGCCACTCCCAAGTACCCACCCTCCAAACACCCTTGCCCTGAATCATCAACCCCATCTGTAATTTTTATTCTCTTATTTATACCTTTGACTTGACTATGAATGCTTTGAGAGAAGGACCTTGTCTCATACACCTCAACATCTTTGTCCCTGGCATGCTGTAGATGCCAAGTAAAATCTGAATGAATGACTGATGTAGATGCACCAAGCCTGTTAGAAACTGCTTGCCTCGGGATATCCAAATTTTTTCTCTCCCACGTGCCCACAAGACTTGGCTTCTGATGCAAAGGAGAGAACCATACCTGGCGTCCTCGCCAGCTTGAATGCTGGGAAGGTCCTTGCGGCTGCTAAGCCTGCCTTGCCTGGTGGTGCCAGGAATGGAACCACAGTCTCTTGAGCATAGCAGATTCCATATGCTAGCCCCCTAGTCTGCTAAATCACCAGCCAGCCTAAATTTGAAACATTTCTAAAGTGTTATACAATGTTGCAATAATGTTTTTACAAAACAAAGGCTGAGTTACTGGAAGCCATTTTTGACCAATCAGCATCTTACTGAAAGAGGAGCCCTGATTGTACCATGGGTGACACAGTGCAAAGAAAAAAAAAATACCACAATCAGAGCTCAGCCAGGAAACATGTGTTTTGTAAATGGGGAAGGGGTGGTGAGGGACTATGGTTGAAATGGGAGTGAGGTGGGGGCCAGGGATTGTGAGTGGAAAATGGTTTAAAGTGAAAAAGTTGAACACAAATCCCAGGCAGATAATGCTCAGCTCTTGGGTCCTGGGGACCAATTGTACTGAGATGAAATGGTAGATGCCACTTAGAGTTAGGAAAAGTTAGCGGTCAATCAAACTTCATCCACATGGTAATGGGAGCCCTCACACAGCTTCATGCACTTGGGCTATATTAACAGTGGTAGTGTCTCAGGAAAGGGAGGTGACTGCCTTGCTCTGGTCTGTGCCAGCCAGCCCACACTTGGCATTTTGTCTTTAATTCTGAACACCAAGCTTCACAGAGGATGTGCAGAGAGAATACTCAGCGGGGAGTGACTGAGATACAGACAGCATAAAACATCAGCACCTATCCAACATAAAGGTCAACTTAAAAAGAAAACATCTTGACTATTAGAGGCATGAACTATGTTCAAATAGCTGAAGAACTATAATGAAAGGCCTGGATTGTGTTTTCGCCAAATTCCTTGCTCATTTTGGGCCCTCTGTGGTGAGTTCTTGCATAGATGGACGGATAGATGAGAGAATATGGACAGAGGGGAAGGGAGAAATACCTCGGGCCCTTGGAAAGAAAAATCACAGAGGATGCTCCCATTTGGTGGGAGGAAGAACATTGCAACAGAATGAGCTCTTCAGAGAGATGCTGACTGCCACAGACAGTGGTGAATTATCTGCCACTGGGTTTGCTGAAGCAGAAAGGCATGGACCCCCTAGCCAGAAATGATGAACTATGGACCCAAATGACAGCTGGGGCAGTGACGTGCAGGCTGGGTGAGCATTGGGTGAGTCAGGACACTTCTTACTATAGCTCACGGAAAATCCAACTCAAGACAGCTGAAGCACCCAGGGATGTGTGAGTTCCCCTGGCAAGAAGGTTAGGGACAGGGCAGGTAGGTTTTGTGGCTCCATAATATTTTCACACTCCACCTTCCTCAGCATGTTGTGAGCACAGTTCCAAGTACTGCAGAAAGACGCAGATGAAATAGTGGAGTGGGACTGCAGAGGTTGTCGTGTTCCAAGGCCCCCATGCTGAAGCTGGATTCTTTCTCCCCTGATGCATTTAGGGGAAGTAGAAATAAAAGTAGGATTTGGTTACCAAAAGGAAGGGATGGTTGTTGCATGGGCAGCCAACAGTGGCTGCCAGAGCATTTTATATTTCCTTCTCCTCTAATTTTAATTTAGGCTTATACGATATACATATATGTATTTAAATATCAATTTTACCTACTTAAATAGATGATGGCATATGATAGTTAATACTACAAAGGTGTATGTCACTTCTTGATACCTTACTATTTTTGAGTTCTCTAGTTCTTTGCAAATATATGGACTCCAGGCATGTGTGTGCGTGTGTGAAAATTACTTTTACCTAAATAGGAGTGCTCCATACATACACCTGTCTTAACTAATGTTTAGTTCACTTAGGTAGAGCATTCCATATTAGTACGATGTGTGCTTGTATATCTCTGAATATGTGTGTGTATACACCATATATATACACACACATATATATTTATAGATAATACAATTAAATATATCTATTTAATTTCATATATATATGCATACATATACACACACACACTTGAAGAATTTTTTTTTAATGGCTATCTACTATTGTGAATATTTAAGGCATTTACTGTATTTTGATTCTACAGATTATGTTGCAACAAATCTCTTTATACATTTGCTTTACAGAGTCTTCATAAAATAGCTGGCTCAAAGTGTTTGTGAAGCTTTATTCTAACTAGTCACTGCTGAACGTCTCTGCACTAGTGTTGCAGTAACCTGCGCTTCCAGCAGCAATGAAATACTCTGCATAGCTCCTCACACTCTGCCCCACGCAATGTGTTTTTAGACTCACCTTTGCCAATCTGATAGGAGAAAACTAATATTTGATAATAGTTTTAATTTGCATTTATCTTATTACAAGTAAATTTTGTATATTTTTTATGGGTAAAAGCCATTTGTGTTCCTCTTTCTAAGAACTATTGTTCCATAGAAAAACTGTTTTGTTTAATCTTTTGCCTGCTTTTTTGACTTTTTTTTTGATAATTCCTTAAATGACTAAGTTCCAAGAAGTTGATCAAGCCTCTTTCTCTCATCTTTTAGATCATGGGTTAATCTGGAAAATACACAAATGTGAGACAAGAGACAAGACACATCTCTTCTTTTTTTTCCTGTGGTCACAGAAAGCCACTTGTAGGCAGGGATCTTGGGGTAGCCGTCTGCCCTCCACCCCACCCTTGGCCTGAGACTTGATCAAGCCACTGCCACTCTGAGACTTCCTTCCCCCTGACAAGGGATCCAATCCACAGAGGCACCTCTTGTCTTTCTTGGGGGCAGTGAGCCATGAATAAGCCGATGAGTGTGAAAGCCTTTTCCAGACTGTAGAGCTAGTGTGTGTTTCCAAGCTGAAGCCCGGCCTATTGTAGGCTTGGGCAGAATGAAGCATGTTTTCTTATTTCCATTTATTCTGTGCCCCAGACGTTCGGCAACACCCACAGCAAAGGCCTTGCATAAGGGATGCCAGGGGCATGACTGCCCAGGCTGCACCACTGCCTGGAGACCCACCTCTCAGACCTGGTGTTCATGAGCGGGGTGGCAAGCCAGGCCTGTTGAGCCTCCCCCAACCACCATCTCCTCTTCATCCCTGAATTGGATCCCTCAGAATCTGAGCTCTCCTAAGACTACCGTTCAAAACTAAGCAACGTTGAAGCTGTTGGAGGCCCTTGCTAGTTGAATATCCCAGCTCCTCAGTGGGCAGAGGTGCATTCTGAGCAGGGAAGCCAACTGTAGCGTGATTCTAAATCTTCCTTCACTGTGGCAGGATTCTAAATCTTCGTTCCAGCCTCCCTGTTTCAGGACTGATGAATTATTAACGAGCCCTCTGTTTGTAATGCCGGGCTCTCTGCTTCCTCCAAATTAAATTACTGAGGAATACATTTGATTATAAACATACTTAGTAAATGTTTTCATTGTTGCTTTCTGTAGCTTCCTTTGTACTAAAGTGTTATAATGTCAAAAAGTCAACCGCAAACATCTACAGCCTGCCGTGGAAAATCTTTTAAAGCAAACGCTGGGCAAATTAAGTAATCAGAAATGAAAACCACTTTAGGACAATAGTGAATATAATTTGTCATCTCTCAAAAAAGTCAGGGGAGGGACACTGTAGCAGCTGAGCACTTCTGGGAGGGGTCCTGAAACTGACAGGAGAAAGCTGAGTGGGGTCGGCTGCATCCCTCTTCCTGCTTTTGCCCCCTGACTAAGACAAGTCTCTCCGTGCCTTTCTTTCCTGATCTGCAGAGTGGGAACACTAAGTCGGTCTGACCTACCCGACAAAGCCTCTAAGAAAGCAGTTTTATACACAGTAAATTATCTCCAGCTGCGAATGCCAATTACTGTTTTAACAAAAGTAAACAGTGAAAATGCTGAGAAGATGGAGTGTAACAAATATTTAGTCAACAACAATTCCGCCAACAGGGCCGTGGGCTAAGGGGTCCATAGGTTCCACGCGTGAACATTAACATGGTCCCTATCTTCTAGGAGCTCACAGTCTGGTGGGTAAACACACACACAAAACAATTGTGCGGGTTCAACTGGGCAAGTCTAGCACTGCAGGCACAAACCAACTACTGTAAGTATAGAAGAAGGCATTACAGTGGTCCCCCTTATCCAAAGTTTTACTTTCTGTGATTCAGTTACTCAAGATTAACCATGGTCCAAAATAGGTGAGTGTGATAGAATAAGATGCTTTGAGAAAGAGAAAGAGATAGAGAGACAGACTACATTCATAAAACTTTTCTTATAGTGTGACATTGAGATTGTTCCATTTTATTAGTGGTTATTGTTGTTCATCTCTTTCTGTGCCTAATTCATAAATTAAACTTTATCATGAATACATATGTGTAGGGAAAAACATAGGCTATATGGCGTTCAGAATTTTCCGAGGTTTCCGGCATCCACTGGGGTTGGATAACATGGATGAGGGGCTACTGCATATGCATGACACTGGGAGGACATGGGGCTCAGAGACAGAGCTTTGCTTGCAGATTTGATAGCAGAGAAAAGATGGAATTTACAGTAGGATCAGAGACATCACAGGGATGCTTCTGGGTGAGAAGGAAGGGAGGAGAGTTTCAGGAAAGGGGAGCAGTGCTCGTGTAAGCCCAAGGTATTGGGTATTAGAGAGTGTATTAGTCTGTTCTCATGCTGCTAATAAAAACATAATTTATAAAGGAAAGAGGTTAAATGGACTCACAGTTGCACATGGCTGGGGAGGCCTCACAATTATGGTGAAAGAAGAAGGAAGAGCAAAGGGATGTCTTACATGGTGGCAGGCAAGAAAGAGCGTGTGTAGGGGAACTTCCCTTTATGAAACCATCAGATCTCGTGAGACTTATTCACTGTCATGAGAATAGCATGAGAAAGATCCACCCGCATGATTCAATTACCTCCCATCTGGTCCATCCCAAGACACATGGGAATTATGGGAGCTACAATTCAAGATGAGATTTGGGTGGGGACACAGCCAAACAATATCAGAGAGCACTGCCTTGAGGACCGGAAAGTCGATAATGTTTATGGGTAGAGTGGAGACAAGGGAGTTGGGCGAACTTGCTGGGGCCCAACTATCAAGGGCCTTGGACTGCCATCTTGAAGAGTTTGGAGGCTCTTCTGTGGCTAATAGAAACCATTGATACATTTACATAATAAATTGCTATCACAACTGTCTTTCTTTTTAATTATACTTTAAGTTCTAGGGTACATGTGCACAACATGCAGGTTTGTTACATATATATACATGTGCCATGTTGGTGTGCTGCACCCATTAACTCGTCATTTACATTAGGTATATCTCCTAATGCTATCCCTCCCCCCTCCCCCCACCCCAAAACAGGCCCCGGTGTGTAATGTTCCCCTTCCTGTGTCCATGTGTTCTGATTGTTCAATTCCCACCTATGAGTGAGAAACTGCGGTGTTTGGTTTTTTGTCCTTGTGATAGTTTGCTGAGAATGATGGTTTCCAGCTTCATCCATGTCCCTACAAGGACATGAACTCATCATTTTTTATGGCTGCATAGTATTCCATGGTGTATTTGTGCCACATTTTCTTAATCCAGTCTATCATTGTTGGACATTTGGGTTAGTTCCAAGTCTTTGCTATTGTGAATAGTGCCGCAATAAACATACGTGAACATGTATGTGTCTTTATAGCAGCATGATTTATAATCCTTTGGGTATATACCCAGTAATGGGATGGCTGGGTCAAATGGTATTTCTAGTTGTAGATCCCTGAAGAATTGCCACACTGTCTTCCACAATGGTTGAACTAGTTTACAGTCCCACAAACAGTGTAAAAACTGTCTTTTCAAAACATAACTGAATGACTACCAAAGGCAGTGAAGTGGAAAGGGAATGGGTTTGGGAGCCAGCGAGACCTGGGTTTAACTCCATAGCAGCTGTGTGACCTTGATAGACCCTTCACCGACCCTGTGTCTCACTTTCTTCATCTGTGCAGTGGACAAAACATGGCCCACGTCTCTGAGTTGCTGAGAGGAAAAATGAGACCATGTGTGGAGGATTTCTAGCCTTGCATCTCACATAGAAATAAGCAATGATTAGCTTTTGTGTTATTTTCTTATGGAAATTCTGACCCTTTTGTTCCTTCTTTAAGCACAGGAGAAACAAACAAAAGAACAGACAGGAAGACAGTGTGCTACAGAGGGAAGAATGAGGCCATGTGGCCATCCATGAATCATATCTGCTTTCTCAGCCTCAGTTTCCCTAGAGGTGTGGAGCAAATTTGAAGGGCCCATCTAGCTTTAACTGCCTCTCATGATATCAAATGGACATGTGGGAGACAGAGCCTGTTTAATGGGACCAGGGTCCAGGGGCCCTTCTACGACCACAGCATGAAAAATGACATTTAATGCAAGCTACAAAGGCACCAGATGAGGACTTTAATGAAAATAAAATGGCGTCTCCATATCATCACAAATTAGCTCCATCTATCTGCACAGCCTGTGGTTCTGAAGTAATAGTTTGAAATTCAGCAACACTTATGGTTAACACATGCTGGTGTATTCATTTGTTTTCTTCATCAAACATTTACTGTGCACTTACTAATGCCAAGAACCATCCTAACTTTTAGGGACACCAAGATGAAAGGGCTTATCTTTTAACACAAGTTATCCATCCTCTTCAAGCTCATCAGCACCCCTTAAGGGCAGAAGTTATGTTTTATATGTCTCTGCTGACATTTACAAGTCCAGTGTCTGTTGAACAGTAAGACAATGAGTAACTTCATTGTTGATGGTGGGGTGGTCCTCGTGTTTGTGGGCTGGTGTTTGTGAGACTGCTGCTGATGCTGGTGGTGGTGGTGATGGTAGTGGTGGTGGTAATTGCAGTCGTGGTATTTGCAGTGGTGGTTTGATATTGATTGTGATGAGTGAACTGACGCTAGTTTTGCTGGTAATAGTGATTGTGGTGGTAGTTCTGGTACCTCCATCAGTAGCATAAGTATTGGAGGGGGAGGTGCTTGCTTTGTTGGTGATGACTTAATTTTTTACCAAATGAATATTATTTTGTTCTTCTTCTTGGTGGTATTTTGTTTTATAATTTATTGTTTTTTTACATAAATGATACATATTCATTGAAAAATAATATAAAATCACATTAACAATATAATCCTTACTCGGTTTTGATTCACATACTTTAAAATGCATGCATGCGTTTTATATAGAACAGACTGTTTTATAACCTGTTTTTTTTACTGAATCAAAAACATCATCCCCTTTCCAAAACAAAATGAAACAAAAAACAAAAATCATTATCATTCTTTTTTATAAATAATTTCTATACCTTATTATTAAAGGCAGCATCTTATTTCATTATTGGAGTCTATGATTCTTTACTGAACAAGTTCTTGAGCATCTACTTCCTAAGTTAGTGTAATGAGTGTAGACTTGGAGGAGGGTATGGCAAAGATTCAAAGCCAAACGCCACTCAGAGCTTGATGACATTGAAGCACGTTCCTTTATCTCACAGAGTCCCCAACCATTCTTCTATAAAATAAGGGTAAAAGTGCCTACCTCCTAGGGTATTTTGAGGCTTAAATATAATACCCTATAGAAAGCTCCTAGCCCAGTGACTCACCTATGTCAGATACTCAGGTAACCTTCTCCATTTATTGGCCACGCTACCTGGACTACTTTTGCTTTTTCTTCACCCATTTAGAAAACTTGGGGAGCTATTAATACAAACATGTTCATCTTCCAACTCAGGAGTAGATGTACAAGTGGGCCATGGAGATCCAATCTTCCCATGGTCACCTTCTTGCTCTCTCCCACTCCCCAGTTGTTGTGTCTTGCATAGCAATTGCAGGACAGAGCAATTGTTAGGACCAACGTGCCATTTCTCCCTGCCACAAGCAATGCGGAAGCAGTGAGGAGAGAAGATAGGATCCCCACTACTGGGGTCAGAGGAAAAGGGAGGGCATGTTTCTGCCTTATTTTGCATAATGAGTTGGAACTCAGAATGCATTACCCAGCAGAACCATATTGTAAGTGATAGTAGGTTTCCAGGCTAGCCCTCAAAAGCTGCCACCATCGAAAAAGGCCCTCGGGTCCCATGTAAACAGGGCCATTTCAGTTGACTCTAGCAAGTACTGACTTCAGGTTATTTAAAAAAATTAAAACACGACCAAAAAACTTTCTACTCCTACAGGTGATGTTAATGCTGAGGAATGGCAAACAGAAAAATGTCTTCGGTGAGTATCTTAGTCCGTTTTGTGCTGCTATAAAAGAATACCTGAGGCTGGGTAATTTACAAAGAACAGAAATTTGTTACTCGCAGTTCTGGAGGCTGGGAAGTCCAAGACTAAAGTGCTGGCAACCTGTGAGGGCCTTCTTGCATGGAAGAAGGCCAAAGGGCAAGAGAGGACATGCAAGAGAGAACAGAAAAGGGGATAGGCTCATTTTATAAAGAACACACTTCCCGGATAACAGTATGAATCCATTTATGAGGGCAAAGCCCTTACAACTTAATCATCTCTTAAAGGTCTCACCTCTGATAGGCCCCAATGTGTGTTGTTCCCCTCTATGTGTCCATGTGTTCTTACCATTTAGCTCCCACTTGTAAGTGAGAACATGCAGTATTTGGTTTTCTGTTCCTGTGTTAGTTTGCTAAAGATAATGTCCTCCAGCTCTATTCATGCCATTGCAAATGACATATCTTGTTCTTATTTATGGCTGCATAGTATTCCAAGGTATATATGCACCACATTTTTTTATCCACTCTATCACTGATGGGCATATAAGTTGATTCCATGTCTTTGCTTTCATGGATAGGGCTGCAATGAACATGCACACACGTGTCTTTATAATAGAACAATTTATATTCCTTTCTGTATACAACCAGTATGGGATTGCTGGGTGGAATAATATTAATATTTCAGTCTTTAGGTCTTTGAGAAATTGCCACACTGTCTTCCACAGTGGTTAAACTAATTTATACTCCCACCAACAGTGTATAAGCTTCCTTTATTCTTCATAATCTCACCAGTATTGGAAGATGGAGGGTGTAGGGAGGGAGAGGATCAGGGAAAATAACTGATGAGTACTAGGCATCATACCTGGGTGAGGAAATAGTCTGCACAACAAACCCCCATACACACATTTACCTATGTAACAAACCTGCACATGTACGCTGAACTTAATAAAAGTGTTTTTTGTTTGTTGTTTGTTTGTTTGTTTTAAGAAAAGGTCTCATCTCTCAATATCATTGCATTGGGGATTATTTCCAATACACAAATGTTGGGGAACTCATTCAAACCATAGTAGTGAGAAAGAAACCTGCAGACAAAATTGTACCCCATAAAACTATTAGATGATGAGGGCATAGTCCAGGCAGGTTTGAGGTGGAGTAATTTTCAGGTATGTGTAAGAGCAATGAGTACAGAAGACATGAGCATGTGTGAGGATGAAAGCAAAGCTGAGTGAGTGTGGAAACAGATATTCAGTGTGTGTAAGGTGGGCGGGATGTAAAGGTGAGGGGTACCATGAGACCAGGTTACAGGAGGCTTTAGAAACCATGCATTTTATTCTAGAAGCATGTCTCATAGAGATAGTCTGCAGATCATTTGCACCTCAAAGAGTCATCTTAAAATCCAGATAGCTGACCTTAGCCAATCTTCAAATTAATCCCTGCCTGAGAGCAGGAGGAAGTCACATTCTTTGAGCTCCCATGATTCTCATTCCCACTAAAATCTGTGGACCTGAATTTTGGATAATGGAAAGTCACTGGAGGCCACTGGGCAGTGGAATCCCAGAGGTGGGGGTAATTTCATTCAGACTCATTCACACTGCAGAACTATCTTCCAATAATCTTCCTGAACTCTGCACAAAAGACCATCATCTTGGGGTTAAGATTCGAGTTTAAACATCTTTTATTTCTTATACCAACCTACTGAGGTAAGAATTTTAATTTCTGTCTTAAAGACACAAAAACCTGGGCTTAAAGTTACATGATCTGCTCAAAGCTGAAGCCTGGTTGGAAGACCCAGGGTCAAGCCTGTGAGTCACAATCTGTGCTCTTACGTATGCGTTAACACCCGTTGGCCCAACTGGCCTGGATGGTCAGTCCAAAGCCATTCTGTGAGTTGAGGAATCTTCAGTGAGTTGACCTGCAAAGGCCCCACAGTAAACCAGCAGCAGACACAGGACCAGCTCCCATCCTCTTCCCTGTGGGCCTCCACTCTCCACGGCGGCTCCTCTTGGGTCTTCAGTGCCACCCCACAGTTTCAAATTCCCTGTGAGTATTAGGGGGGCTTTGACTGGGGTGACTTCCCTCTTTCACTGTTTTCCTTCTGAGTGGCAACATCCCTGGTGACAAATACAAACTAATTATGGTCGGTTCCCCCTGAGCATCTCAGAAAGCAGGAAACACAACCATGGATCACACAGCTCCTCATTCCACCTTTGGATTTGGTGTCTTGAGTTTCAGGATGAGAGAAAACTCTTCAACCAGATTCCCATCAATGGACATGTTTAACTGTAAACCCCACGTATGCTCGTAAAATGTGTCATTTAAAGATGCTTTGGGTTGGCACCTGGGACTCTAGGCAAAACCAAGCCACAGCTTAATTTAATTACAAGTGGAGAAACTTAAAGAAATCCTAACTAAAATTTGCTTAGGCCAAGCACTCAAATCCAAATGGGGGAGGCAAGAAACATAGTGACTGTGTGGCTTCAGGAAAATTATGAGGGGTTTTCTACCCTAGTGCCAATCAATCTCTCCTTCAATGTGTGAGAATCCCCCTTCTCATCTATTAGGTCAATAATGTGTGCTTTCAATTTGGTTAAATATGCCCATTCAGTCCCCACAGCCGATCAGATTGTCAGAGAAACATGATGCGTTTTAATAAACCCAGTATTTAGCCAAATACAGCAAACTCCCGTAATAGCATTTTTCCAGAGGGTGGGAAATGAAAATGCATCAAGCGGGAAATATCATGTGTGTAACCACCAGACCATGTCTTAAAAAGATAAGTGTTACATGTAGGGACAGATTATAAGTGTAGTAATTTCATGTGGATGTTTGCATGGGGGAGGCCTTTAGAGGGGCCAGGAAAAGAGAAGCTTCATGCGGAGGTGGGGAGGGGGCAGGGAGGGTGTGATCCATAGTGATCCACATGCCTGGGAGTGTTCCAGCCATCTTGCCGACTCCAAGGAAATTCAGGGCAGTTGGAAGTAAACAGTGGGATAAGGCTGGCTGCTTAGGGGCCTGGGAACCAGCGCCTACCCTGCCTCTTCATGAGCCATGTGACACCAGACAGGTCATCGGATATTTCTGGGCCCCCTTTGCCTCATATGGAAAGGAGTTTAAAATGCCCCAGTTTCTGGAAACAGGCTTCGTTAAGTCCTCCTCATCTCTTCTCTTCATCTCAACCACGAAATCAAATTGTCTGCCTTTTACTGAAAATAACCCAGTATAAAGAGTGAGATGCATTTGCTAGTAAGCTCACTCTAGTCTAGCTCCCAGGGAAAGTGAGAGCTTCAAATAGCATTAATTTTTTCTTTATTATGTATTTATTTATATATTTGAGACAGAGTCTTTCTCTGTTGCCTAGACTGGAGTGCGGTGGTGCAGTCATAGCTCACTGCAGCCTCTAACTCCTGGGCTCAAGAAATCCTTCCTCCTCAGCCTCCCAAGTAGCCGGGACGACAGGTGCATGACACTATGCCCAGCTATTTTTTTTTTTTTTTTTTTGAGATGGAGTCTCACCCTGTTGCCCAGGCTGGAGTGCAGTGGCGCCATCTCAGCTCATGTCAAGCTCCGCCTCCCGGGTTCACGCCATTCTCCTGCCTCAGCCTCCCGAGTAGCTGGGACTACAGACGCCTGCCACCACACCTGGCTAATTTTTTGTATTTTTTTTGGTAGAGACAGGGTTTCGCCATGTCAGCCAGGATGGTCTCGATCTCCTGACCTCGTGATCCACCTGCCTTGGCCTATTTTTTGTGGTTTTTGTAGAGATAGGGTCTCATTGTGTTGTCCAGGCTGGTCTCGAACTCCTGGCCCCAAGTGATTGTTCTGCCTTGGCCTCCCAAGTGCTGGGACTATAGGCGTGAGCCGGCATGCGCAGTCCTTTATTTAAATGTTCACTGCAGTGTTTGCCAAGCTGCATTAGGAAGTTACAGATCAGTCTCCATTGTTCAAAGGGAAGGTGTTCAAAACATGGCTGGGGCTTGAAAGACTGTCCAGGCAGCAGTGGGTAGGCACCGGCATGGTTTCTGGACCCGGCAAAAGCTACAGCTCACACTGGTGCACCGTCAAGGTGGAGGTCTTGGATTAGTCTAGCAGTGCGTTTGATTCTGATTCCCCACGTTGCAGAGCAACCCGCCACCCAGTCAGCCTGGATCTGGTGGATGCTGCCCCTGGAACACAGCATGCCTCACCAGTGCTAAACAGCTGACCTCTCAGAAACTGGGTCCACTGCACCTTCCTGCTGATGACCCCTTTTTCTGTGTAGTCTGGGAGGTGCCTTCTCTCTAGCTCCTGACAACCAGCACTCACAGGAGGAGATGGAGCTCCCACCTGCCTGGAATTGTCAAAGGCCACTGATATTTACCATGAGAAACCATAAATGATTGAGCGGCCCAAATGGCTTAGCACTCTTCCTAACACCTCTCTGCTGCCCTGACTGCTACTCCCAGCTTCATCCTCTGAAACTCATTTCTGATATGTCGTGTCTCACTCAATGAATTGCAAGCCTTCTGAGTTTGGCATTCAAGGATTTTGGACCCACAGGAAACATCTGTTATTTGTATATACTTGTTGTTGTGGAAAGATACTAATTTTTGAAGTTCAGCTTTTGTTTTTTTGTTTTTGTGTGCGTGTCTGTGTGTATTTGTTTTGTTTTGTTTTTTTGAGACAGAATCTCACTCTGTTGCCCATGCTAGAGTGCAGTGACTCCATCATGGCTCACTGCAGGCTTAGTGACTCATGGCTCACTCAACCTCCCAGGATCAAGTGATCTCAACTCAGTCCCCCACCCGCACCAATGCCTCCCCACCTTGCTTGAGTAGCTAGCACTACAGGCATGCACCACAGCATCGAGCTAATTTTTTAAACTTTTTGTATAGATGAGTGTCTCATTATGTTGCCCAGGCTGGTCCTGAACTCCCGGGCTCAAGCAGTCCCCCCACCTTGGCCTCCCAAAGTGCTGAGATTACAAGAGTGAGCCACTGTGCCTGGTTGAAGTCTGGTTTTGAACTTACCAGAAATATTACCTTGCTTTGAAGTCCATTTTTGCCATTTACTAGCAATCTTATTTTCTTCGAGAGAAGAGGTTTCTTAGCGCCTCCCTTTCCTAGTCCAGCATATGGGAACATAAGTCCTAACACAGAGGGCTTCAGGCTGAGCCGGTGTGTCCCCAGGATGGCTGGGCTCTGGTGGGCCTGGTCAGCATCTTAGGACTTGGTGTAACTCAGTAGTTCTCATGCAGAGGCAACTTTGCCCCTCAGGTGACATTGGACAATATCTAGAGACTTTTTTTGTTGTCAAACCTTGGGAGGAAAGCACCGCCAGCATTTAGTAAGTAAAGGCCAAAGATGCTGCTAAACATTCCACATTGCACATGATGGCCCTTAGTGACCAAAATGTTATCCACCCCCAAGTGTCCAGATTGCCAAGGTTGAGAAACCCTGACCTAAGTGGATAATTGTTTTTTTCTAAAGCTTAAAACTATCTTACCAAAAAAACAGAAACTTACATACAAAAATAGCACCAATGTGTTTTTTTCTGCATTCTTACTCTGCATCTCATACATGTATATAATAGACTGTATATGCAATATCATTGTATAAGTCTGTTTTAATATTTATTTTATATTATATGTTATAATATAAAATTATGTCAGAATATAAAATAATTTATATATATAATATAAATACATGTTTATGTATTTTAATATGCACACAAAATAATTATATACCCAGCAAAACAGAGTCAGGAAGACATGGATGGAAAGGAATATTTGGCAGAAGGATCTGCTGAAAACTGCAGGGCCACCTTTGCAGGCTCTGCCCAGAGAGAAAAGAGTACAGGGCCAGACGCGGTGGCTCACGCCTGTAATCCCAGCACTTTGGGAGGCCGAGGCGGGTGGATCATGAGGTCAGGAGATCGAGACCATCCTAGCCAACATGGTGAAACCCCATCTCTACTAACATACAGAAAATTAGCGGGGAATTGTGGCGGGTGCCTGTAGTCCCAGCTACTCAGGAGGCTGAGGCAGTGGAGTCACTGGAACCTGGCAGGTGGAAGTTGCAGTGAGCCGAGATCGCACCACTGCACTCCAGCCTGGCGACAGAGCAACAGTCCGTCTGAAAAAACAAAACAAAACAAAACAAAAAACAACAACGAGTACACACCCCTCCTGTGGGCCTGATTGTCTAGTCCCCTGTAGGAAAACACCTGACCAGGTGCCACTTCCTGCCCCCACCCCAGACCTGCTGGATGTCCCACAATTCTTCCACCATTTTTCAGATCATCGGGCACACCACAGTTGACGAAGCACAGTGTTAGCCCTTCTAAGTTCCAGAAACAAAGCAGTTTCCCACCACTAACCCTGAGTTGATGCCAGGCTGAGCTCAGAGGAATGGGCAAGAATGACTCAATGATTAGAAGTACAACAATTGGAGTTTAGGGTTAAATCCACTCACCCAGGACAGGTAGTAAGTTCTGAATATTCCTGCAAGGACTAAGCAACCAGGTCATTCCTTCTCCTCTGCCACCTAGTTTCCCTTCTAAAGCATAGTTTTGGATTATTCTATACCTCACTAAACTATGGTGTCAATACCGTGGCCAAACCTGCTGTATTCTCAGAAATGGGTATATAGGGGACTCTCTATACCCATATACCCATATGTAAAAGTGTTAGCTTTTACATATTGAGATAGTCATATTGGAGTCTTAGATTGGGGATAAATTGGGCAGTCTTAACTCTTTCACTTCTGACTACAGTGCAAAAAGTAAAATCAATTACTCATAAATACTTGAATTAATTTAATTTTTTTCTTAAACAAAGAGGGAAAATTAAAAGAATCGGCTTGCTCCTTCCTACACTGTAGTGACAAGATTAAAAATTAAATTTATACATATTTCATTTCTACATAATAAAGCCTTTTTGCAAAAAGAAAAAAAAAACACAGTTCATCTAATTAAATCAAAGAAAATTGCCTGCAGCGACGTTTCAGTATTACAATTAAGCCACTGCCAAAACCAACCCTTGGAGCTCTTAAACTCCACTCTGGGTTGAAAAACGAAGTCAGCTTTTGGCGAGTGTGTGAATTCTGAGGGTGACTTCAGGAAAATGTGGAGCTTTTTCTTATGTCAATTTATAAGGGTGGGAAAAAGAACTCCAAGGCTATTTGAGAGTCACTGGTACACTGAAGATAGCAACAAGATCTAGTTTTTGTTGAAAAAAAAAATCACGAACAAAAACCAAAAATTCAGCCTGAAGCTTGGAATTAAAAAAAAAAAATACCAGGAATGGTCTCCTTTTCATCTCCCAAATACTAAAATCATTAAAATGCATGTACCTTAAATAAAATCCTTGATGAGGTGGGAAGGTTTCTGAAAGTCAGTAAAGATCACCTTGTAATACTTGATCTCACAGTTAACGTAGACATGGTCAGTGTGTGGTGGCAGCCTTTTTGAGAAGTATGATGCCCAAACATAGTGAAAACCTCACAACCCCCTTTAGACTCAGCCTTGGATTTGATAAGGGCTGGCTTGGACCTCTCCTTCAGCGACTTCACTACCAGGAGGCTGGGCAGGTTAGCTGGTGTGGACATGCTCCGTACGGAAACAAAGAACCCTGTCGTGTGGCCCCCACCTTCCTGCACACCATGTGGTCTTGTAAGTTCCTAATTTGGTTTCTGATGACATTCTGGCAGAATTGAATTTTGTTCTTGGAAATCAGGTCCTGGAACAGGGAGCAACTCACACAAGCCCTGGCCTGGATCCTGGTTTTGGTGAATCATTCATGCCTTCTTTTAGGTCGAAACAATGCTCCATGGCAGGTGCTGAGCAAATGTTTACTGAATAAAAGTTTCTTTCAGCAGCAGCTTGGCAAGGAGTGCAATGGGACCAGTTGAGCCTGTGTGGGTCTCTGCATTCCTGGTTTCTTCTGCCTGGTGGAGGGTCTGAGTCTGATCCGGAGGAGCTCATGTCTACTCAGGGCTGATAGCTCACCATCAGCCACAGCAGGCTCCAGCTACCAAAGGGTCTTTGCAGCTTGTGAAGTGTGTTATCTCAATACGTTGTCACTGAATCATAGCAACATCCTTGGGGGATGTGCAAGAAATCCACAACTGTTTATCTGAAATCCTGAAATTCAGAATCCTCTGAAAGCCAGATGTTTGTTCATAAATTTGGCACAAACGTATGTGGTGGCAAAATCTTAACTGAACAAATGTGATGTCATTTATAATCTTCATTTATCCTACGGAATGGCACTAAGCATAGTTTTGAGTACAGAAATGTTAATGAGTTTACAGGGCGCTCTCCCAGACCCCGCTGGAGGTAGCACACAGTATACTATATGAGCACTTATTGCCTATTTGTTATTGATTGCTGCTTAACCAAGTATACCAAAACTTAGCAATGTAAAGCAAAAAGCATTTGTTATTTCACATTTTCCACGGGTCAAGAATCTGAACTTGGCTTAACTGGATCCTCTGCCTCAGAGTCTCTTAAGAGGCTGAGATCAGAGTAGCAGCCCAGGGTCTTTCTCAGGCTTGCAGTACAGGTACAAGCAGAGGCATAGTTATCGCAGTGTTTGATTGGGACAGCATACTCTTCTGAGATCGCTCACATGGTTGCTGGCTGGATTCAGCTCCTCACTGGCTGTTGGACTGACACCCTTAGTTACTCACTGGCTCTTGGCCAGAGGCTGCCCTCAGCTCCTTCCCAGGTGACTCTCTCCATCAGAGTAAGCAGGTAAGAAGGACCAGAGAGCTAAATAGCAGCAAGACAGAAGTCCCGGTCTTCGTAACCTAATTGTGTGAGTGAAATCCCATCACCTTCCCCATAGTCTTTCATTAGTTGGGAGTGAGTCGATCTAGCCCACACCCAAGACCAGGGGATTTCAGAAGGACATGAACCCCAGGAGGTGGATGTCTTTGGAAGCCATATTGGAAGCTGCTGACCACATTACAATTCAAAATCTGGGACCCCTAGCCCCTGATGAACCTGTATCGGCACCCTCACTTTACAACGTGGAAATAAGGACTGAGCCATTAACATTACCTTGTTCTAGTGCTCAAGACAGACAAGGGGTGAGCAAACACTTGAACTTGCCCCTGCCATGCTTACCTTCTTGCTCCCTCATGGAACACTCTTCTACCTCCATCCTCAAAGCAGTAAGCGGAAGCCTAGTGGAAAAAGGCACATACTGGAAACCTTATAGACATTGACCTAACCATGGGTTCCATCATTCACCAGCTGTGTGACCCTGGACATATCGCTCAGACTCTCTGAGCCAGTTTCTCATCTACAGAATAAGGCTACTCCTACCCAGCTGCTGCTGCTGGGAAAGGTACATGTTATCCCCTGAAGGGCGCCAATTGCACCGGTGGCTCACAGGTGCCTGGTGAATGGGAGCCCTTTCACCTGCGGGGTTCCCCCTTATTTTTGCTTTCTTCTGCTTCCTATGACAGTCTTGCAACTGGCAGGGAAGGCATGAGCATCCCCATTTCACGGATGAAGAATTGAAGGTTCAGAGGCTATCACTTGATTTCTTTAATGTCACCTAATTAGTCACTGTGACTACCTGACATTATTTTATGAATTTGGCTGTAAGTGTATTTATTGTCTCCACAACGAGAATACAGGCTTCGCGAGGGGAACTTCACTGTCCTCTTTACTCCTTCATCCCCAGCACCCTCATCCCTAGCTGCACAAAATTGTTGCTTTGTAAATACTCATTTGAGAAATCAATGTATAAGCCTGATATAGTTTGACTATATGTCCCTTCTAAGTCCCCAGTGTTGGAGGTGGGGCCTGGTAGGAGGTGTTTAGGTCCTGGGGGAGGATCCTGCATGGTTTGGTGCTGTCCTTGAGATAGTGAGCCAGTCTCATGAGATCTGGATGTTTAAAAGTGCGTGGTGTCTCCCCTCTCTCTCTTGCATCCGTTCTTGCCTTGTGAGGTGCCTGCTCCCCCTTCACCTTCTGCCATGAGTGAAAGCTTCCTGAGGCTTCCCTAGCAACAGAGCAGATGTCGGTGCCATGCTTCCCGTACAGCCTGTAGAACTGTGAGCCAACTGAACCTCTTGTCTTTATAAATTACCCAGTCTCGGGTATTTCTTTATAGCAATGCAGGAAAGGCCCGATACAGAGCCCACGTTACTTCCCTGACCGATTATCCACTGGGATCAACCTGCTAATCAGTGATTGATTCTTCCCCACCCGATTGTCAACTGGGATCAGCCTGCTAATCAGTGATTGACATGGCAGCTGCTAGCACTTATTCAGTAGTTTGAAGGACATACAGAGGCAGTGGTTTTGAAAATTTCCATTCATTCATTCATCTATCCATTTTTGGTTGCTGATCCTGAAAGAATCTGATAAAAGTTATTAATGCAACTACCCCAAGTCTCACAAAGTCAGAGACTTTTAAAAAGGCTCTCAAAGACCTCTGAAGCCCACTCATAGACACCCTGGGGTAAGAGCCCCAATCTAGGGAGGCATTTGGGGAGAGATGTTTTTGTTCTCATATAAATCAGCCTAACCAATATTGCTATTTTTTAATCCCACAGCAGTTAAGAGAAAGACAGAGCTTGAGACTCTAATCTGCCCAATTCTCCCAGATTCTAGGTTTAGTTTTTCAGAAGGAACCATGTGAATATCACTTACCCTCTTCCCCCAACCTTTAGCCCTGGGGGAACACACAGTCTATCACTGGCAGCTGTACTTCCAGGAGACCTGAAGTCAGGCTCTTGCCCATGTGACCTCCCCTTCACCAGCCAGACCCACTCCCCAACCCTCAGCTCCTGCTGGAGCCTGGTGCCTGCACATGGGCTCCTCAGGAGCCTTTATCTGATTCTAAGGCCAGGAGGGTTGCACCCCCTAGGGATTCCCTGACAACTGTCCCATGCCAGGAGACTCCAATAAAGGAAGTGAGCTCCAGCCACTCTCAGGCAGCATGGTGCTGTGGTGGGAAGCGAGCTCCAGCCATTCTCAGGCAGCATGGTGCTGTGGTGGGAAGCGAGCTCCAGCCATTCTCAGGCAGCGTGGTGCTGTGGTGGGAAGCGAGCTCCAGCCATTCTCAGGCAGCGTGGTGCCGTGGTGGGGGGCGAGCTCTGGCCACCCTCAGGCAGCATGGTGCTGTGGTGGGGGGTAAGGGCTTTGCAAGTTCAAATCTCTGCCCTGCTTCATTGAGCTGTGTGACCTTGGGAAAATTATTTAACCTACCTGAGCCTCAGTTTCCTCATCTGTAAAATGAAGATGACACCAACACCTGCCTCAGAGATTGTTGTGAGGATTCAGTGAATACCCTGGACATGAAGGAGTTAAAGCATGCCCAGCTTATGGAAAGCAGTTTATGCATGCTCACCTCATAGTGATCACATTGAGCCAAGGCTACAGCATTGGCTCCGTGTTTGTAAGCGAAGCTACACACCTCATCTACTCACTCCATGCCCTGGGCCAAATTGTTTAATCTGCTAAGACATCAGTGTTATCATAGAAAAATAATAATGGGTGGATTGTCCTAAAGGATGATGTTCCAGGGCTAGTGGCACACACCGGCATTTCCTGAACCAGCCCTGCCTCTGTTCTTAGGTGGACTCATGTGCTTGAGTCCTAGTCAATAGGATGTGCGTGGAAGCTCCCTTCCTGCCTGTCTCCGTTGTCCAGTGCATTCTTCTCTTCACAAATCAGAAATTGTGGGTAGCTTCTGAAAAAGGGGATGGCATAGTCACGAGAAGGAAACTGTGTGGGTCCCTGAGTCACCGCATGGAAGACAGCTGCCTAGGAGGGGCACCCAGCACATAAAGGCCTGTGATATGTCTGAGAAATAACTCTAGACAGATTAGTTCTGAAATCGTTTTTAAATATTTCGATTTCCGGAGTGAAGGCAGAAAACCAATACCACTTCTTCTTAAAATAGTAACAGCTAAACTCCTAGTGCTTACATGTGGCAGATGCTGGAGTGAGGCATTTACATACATTGTCTCGATATGCTGTTTTAACAATCATTGAATTTAATGTTGTTGTTATTCTCAATTTATAGATAAGAAAACCAAAACTTAAAGAGTTTATTGAGAGTTTCTTAAAGTCCCAAAAGTACTAAGAAGCAGATCCTGAACCTAAAACCTGGACTTTATGATTCCAAATCTATGCACATTTTTAACCACATTACTAACATGGTGCTTCTTTTTTTTTAAGGGTACAGTAAAAATTGGTAGAAACATTCCATGAGCACAGATATGATGAAACAGAGCGTTTTGAACGCCATAGGAGAAGGCAGATAAAGAGTTGTCAGGATTTAGCTGAGGAAAGGGTGACTTCCAGTTGAGAATCAAGGAGAGCTCCCTGGTAGAGGTAGCATCAGCTCTATACATCTGCAATACCACATCCTCCTGGTCTCTGCATCATTCTCCATCTCCACTAGCTCTCTCCTCCATCAATGTTGTTCCTCCTTTTAATTTCCTCCTCCTCCCACTACCTGTTTGTTTAGTTGAAGTCCTGTATCTTCTTGGAAGCTCCTCGGAGAAAACACAAGAATTTCTACTCAAGGGTAGGTCCATATGTTTTGAAAGAATTAATTAATAGAAACCGCAGCTGTCTTTCTAGAAGCATGTGTTGCAGAGAGCGCAGGAAGTGTTGCAGAGAGTAGCAGGGTGTAGAGAGCCGATGGGCTGGTGCCTTGGAGCCAGGCTCACTGACGTGGATGTGCCACAGAAGATGGCTGAACCCAGATCTGGGGTGAGGCCTGCTGGAAGTTGTCCGCAGCCTCACAGATGAGGTTATGGGTGTCAACTTAGATTAATATAATGCATAACATTTCACCTTCCTTATGAAAAGATGTGTGTTAAGTTACATTGGAAATTCCTTAAATATTTATCAGGGTAACCTATTATGTTGCAATCTCTGGGACAGGGGCCAGGAGTATGTGATAAAGCTCTTGAGACAGTCCTGAGACCTACTATTAGATAATGAAAACTGTTCTGAAGTAAGTGGGTCAGTCTTATGCTTTGGCTATGCTAAGGAGCATGGGCATGGGAGTATGTAGGTCAACAGAGAGAATATTCTGCAGCACCAGCTACCCAGGAAGAGGTGCCTCAGGTGCACAGACCTAATGTGACACAGACAGGGCCCAGGCTCTAGCGCATGCTGCAGATGTAATTGTCTGGCGTTTGGCTTTTCTCCTTTGAAGTCTTCATCAGGTCATTTGTTCACTTGCTCTTGGAATGGGAGGATTTGGCAGTCAGTACCAAGAGGAAGAATTTGCCCTCAGAGATCAGAATTAGAAATAATTACCATTGCTATTGGCAATAGAGTGAGGATGAGAAAATGCAACCTCAGAGACATGGAGGACTCTGCTTGAATTGGAGTATTTTTCACAAACTGGAGCAGAAGAAAAGAACAATCCACCCAAATTCCCAGCCGGGAAGTCTCTAGAGCAGCCAGCTCACGTCGTAGACAAAACTATCTTCTCAGGACAAAAATGGAACCATCAATTCACAAAAAGCTTGAAAACAAAGAAAAGAATTCCAATGGCTATTTGACTCCAACACTCAGCTAACTGAGGCAGAGCAATCAAACTTATTCTTTTTTTCTGGGTCATGCCACTAAAATAAAACACTTTGGCCAACTTGATAGAGCCAATCAGAGTGAATTCCACACTTTGGCTTTTCAAAATGATTAGCTGCAACAAAAATTTTATTAGGAATGCAAATTATTTCTAATGGAATGCAGTTATGAGATTATTTTGCCCAACATTCTCAATTTACACATGGGGAAACTGAGGCACAGGAAGGGAAGAGGCTTGACTGAGATTAAACAGCCAGGCTGTGGCCACTGTTGTTAAAATTACCTGTGCCTGTGGTTTCCCAAAGAAGCTGACTGTTTACAAGTCCTATGGCAGCATCAAAGTTGCTGAAATGCTCCAGCCTAAGAGCCAGGAAATTGGCAGAGAAGACCTGAAGACCACCTAGACAAACCATGCATTTCATAGAAGAAACCAACACTCAAAGAGATAAAGGGCCTAAAACACAGCTTTCTGGACTTGATTTACTGTGAGAAAGCACACTAAATAGATTAGAAAATGTCATACACATTTTAGTTATTATCATTGTGTTCTACATTTTTGTAAAAGTAATATAATACTTTGGATAAATTTTTGGATCAGGACAATTTTGCTTCATTGTAAAGTGATAACTGGCTAGAAATAGAAATACATAGGGAATAAAAAATCTAGATCGCTTGAAGATTTTTCATATGACAATAGGCTGCCTTGTAGTTTTTGAAGAATGTTTGTTCATTACTCAAACAGTGACTGAGTACTCACTGTCCATTAGCCACAGTGCTAGATCTTAAGAAAGTCAGAAAGGGATTGTTTTCAGGCTCTGTTTTTCAAGAGCTCAATACTAGGTAGGTAAGATGTGATTGATCGTATAATTTTTCTGCAAAATTCGTCATACATCTTCACTCATTTCTATGTGACTTGCTTCTCCTTCTGGTGGAAGCCATAAAGTTCATACCTCATTGACTTTGGACTTGGCCAGTGGGATATGGGAGACAAAAAGTATATACTGTCCGAGCAAATGCTTTAAAAGACATGGAAAGTTTCTTCCACCACACTTCTGCCTTCCTCCATGACACTGGTATGTCCCAGAGAGATGCTGCTCCATCAGCCTGTCTCTCAGAATGAGAAGACATTAGATTCAGCTCCACCCCACAGAGCTACAAACTAAAGCAGAGCCAACCAGCAGCCTACATATAACATGAATGAGACATAAATGTTAATATACATTGTTGAGACTGTGGGGCTGCTTGTGACAAAAGCAAAGCTGATGAATAGAGAGGACATAAAGATTATACAAAGCAATTCTAACACAAGACAGAAGTTGATGACTTCTAAGAGAAACACAAACACAATTTTATGTCTATAGAAAGAAACAGATTGCTTCTGTTGATAAAAATTAGGAAATCTTTCTGAAGCGTTGGTACATGAGCCAGACACGAAATCTAGGAGGACTTGAACATGAAAATAAGTTGGGAGAGATTCCGATGCTCACATTATTCAGGGCTGGGGCAGGAAGTTGGCAAGGAGGCAGTGGGACTTGAATATCCGAGAAAAGCCGGTTTCTCCTCTGTTACCTTGCAAATCCTTTAGGATTGTACTCATTTTGATGAACTACTGTTTATATGTAGAATTTTAGAAACCCTGGTCATAATAGATTGACTGTTTTCCCAGAAGTACTCTCATGAACAGAGTGCTTAACATGGTATACATTGGATGGAGATAGGAGGCCTCGCCTGGATTTAGAAGTGAGAGGAAAATATGAGACCAGCCATCAGAGCTGGGCTTATTGCTCTTCTTGAGATTTAAGGGCTTTGTGATTTTGGATTATGTTTCACCCCTACCTGGCCTCAATTTCTCCACCCATATACTGAGAGGCTGGAGTGAGAATCTCTCAGGACTCTTTTAATTCTGAAAAATCTGAGCTGCTAAGGATTCATTTTCATGAAAGACTCCAAAGTTAGATTTCATTTTGGCTGCCAATTAAGTGTCATGTCACACACACATATAAGGTTGCTGTGTTGACCCAGACAATGAAAAACATCAGCTTTGTCTATGATAAAGGTCTACCAGTTAATTGCCAGTCTCCTCACTCCCCTGGGTCTCATTCTTTCACATTTATGTTAACCTTTAATTTTCCTCTATCATTTTTTAAAAACGGTATGTATTCTTTAGGGATCCTTTCTTCCTCTCACCCTCTAAATCTTAACTGTTTATAAACATTGCTGAATTCCATATTCAATATCTTCCATTTCTGTCTTCCTTATTTCTTCCTCTAATTCTGAAATAACCTGAAGCTTATCACTATATGACTGTTTCTGAGTTGTTCCAGCTGAAAATCTGGGTTGTTCTTGACTTTTATCCCATATGCAAAAGCTATGCCTTCAGAAAATTCTGTTGGCCCTATGTTAAAAATATACTTCAAATCTGAGCTCTTCTGCCAATTTTGACACTATCACTCGTTAGTACTCTTTCATTAGTAGTTGCTGTAGTTTAACTACTGTCCCGGCTCCTTCCGTGGTTTCTGTATGCTACTCTCCATGCAGCTGTCAGCATGATATTTTACAAAGTAAATCCAATATGGCAGCCGGGAAGCTGTACCATTCAGATCTCCCGCTGCAAGGAGCATAAATAGTCAACAATCTCAGCTTCTGTTCCTCTGGATCCACTACCATATTTGTGCCAAAGCTGTAATTCTCAAGAGCTGCTCCCAGCCAGTAACCAAGCATGGTGAAAGTACTAATTCAGGCCCATGGCTGAAAGATATAGAACTCTAGCGGTTGATGACCTTGGCTCAAGAACAAACATTTCTTGGAACTTAGAACAGTACAAAGAGCATTTCTAACCAATCCCCCTCTTTCTCCCTCTTATTTTTATGGAGGTCAGATCTGTATTGAGGTTAGAAGGAGCTGCTCATTTCCTTCAGCACTCACAGGCTTTTGCATCAATGCTTTTGTAAATGAATTCCATATAGGCCCAATTCAAATAAATTTATTCTCAGACACATCATAATAAATCTGCTGAAAACTTAAAACAAAGAAAAATTTCTGAAAGCAACCAGAGAAAGATGACATGTTTCTTTAGGGAAAACAATTATATAAATAATTGGAGATTTCTCATCTAAAACACTGAAGGCCAGAAGGAAGTGGACAACATTTTTAAAGTGCTGAAAAGAAAAAAAAGAGCTGTCAACCCAGATCTCTATAGCCAGTGAAAATATTTTTCAGGAATAAAGGTGAAATAAAAACATCCTCAGATGAAAGAAAACTAAGAGAGAATTTGTCACCAGCTGACTGTCTTAAAAAATGCTAAAGAATGTTCTTTAAATAAAAACCATTAAAAAACTACAAAAGAGGTATAGTTAAAACCTCAATAGATGGATACAAATTATTTAAATAATCCAAAATAAAATAGGCAAAGAAAATAAGAGAATAAAAGAGGTAACAAATAATAAATAATAAAATGGTAGACTTGTCTCTTAAAAAACAATAATTATATTTAATGTAACTAATTTAAATAGGATAGGTAAAAGAAAAACACTGTCAAATTGGATAATAAAAGATGTATGACCCAGTTTTTGCCTATTCAGTATAATGTTGGCTGTGGGTTTGTCATAAATGGCTTTTATTATTTTGAGGTGTGTTCCTTCGATGCCTAGTCTGTTGAGGATTTTTATCATGAAGGGATGTTGGATTGATTGAAAGCTTTTCCTGCATCTATTGAGATGGTCATGTGGTTTTTGTTTTTAATTATTTTTATGTGGTAAATCACATTTATTGATTTGTATATGTTTAGCCAGCCTTGCATCGCAGGAATGCAGTCTACTTGATTGTGACATGCTAACTTTTTGTTGTGCTGCTTGATTCTGTTTGCTAGTATTTGGTTAATAATTTTTGTCTATGTTCATCAGGGATATTGACCTGAAGTTATTTTTACTCATTTTATCTCTGTCAGATTTTGGTTCAGGCTGATACTGGCTTTGCAGAATGAGTTAGGAAGGAGCCGCTCTTCCCCGAATTTTTTGAATAGTTTTAGTAGGATTAGTATCAGTTCTTCTTTGTAAATCTGGCAGAATTCAGCTGTGAATCCGTATCTGGTCCAGGGTCTTTTTTGGTTGATAGTATTTTTTGTTTTTCTTTTTATTACTGAGTCAACTTCAGAATTTGTTATTGGTCTGTTCAAGTTTTCACTTTCTTCCTGGATCAATCTTGGGAGATTTTGTTTCCACGAATTTATCCATTTCCTTTAGATTTTCTAATTTGTGTACATAGAGGTGTTCATAATAGCCTCAGGATATTCTGTATTTTTGTGGGATCAGTTGCAAACAAGACAATAGTGGCATATACATTATGGCCCTGGTAATGATTTGCTTCATGAATGTTCATTTTATTATTATGCTTCTTCACATGCATATATTAAATATATTATTTTGTATGAGTCAAATATTAAATAACTTTTTAAAAGAATCGAAAGAGAAGGAACAGACAATAAACTGGGTATATAACTGCCTAAGGAATGCAGAGTGTGGCCTGAGTATTAAAGCTTGGCTGAGGCTTGATTACTAAAGTAAAAATTACTTAAATGCATTAAAGATCAAAATGTAAGAGAAAACATAAAAAAGTTTGATAACTAGACATCTTAGAAGTTTTTATAATATCTAAACAGGGAAGGATTTTCTTACATAGGCATTCCCTCAGTCTCCCCTGAGAAAGACATATTTGCATAAAACATGTGACTGTGTTAAAATCAAAACTTCTGTTCACCCCAAGTCACCACACCATAGAGATTATGAAAAGACCATTCATAAACTGGAATAAGAGTTGCAATACACATAGCAAACAAAAGGCTCATAGCCAAAATATTGATATGTATGCACTTAATCCAAATTAATAAGAAAAACACAAAATTTAGCAGAATTATAGGCAAAAGCCTTGAACAGTTCCATTCACAGAAAGAAAACACAAATATATGCACATATATAATTAGTATACAAATATACATATATAATTAGTAATGAGTTAAATATATACTAAGACCATTTGCAACCACTAGATATGTAAAAACTAAGATACCTAACAATGCCAAGTGTTGGTGACTCTATTTTATCTTGTTGTTGGAAGTCAAAGTTGGTACCTTCCCTTTGGAAAGCAGTTTTACGTTTTCTTGTAAAGCTGAACGTTTCTATTTTCAAATATGACACATTCTGTTCTCAGATGTTTGTGCTCCAGGACACATGCACAAGAATGTTTACATAAGCCCTGTTTATTGTCGAAAAAAAAACTGGACACAATTCATGTACCCATAAACTGGAGAAAACATAAATGACATTGAGGTATAATCCACCCACCAGATTATTACACACAAGTAAAAATGAATCACTGCCACAAGTCAACATGGGTATATTTTAAAGTATAAGGTGGATTGATCAGTGGTAGGTATAGACTCTTACAGAGAGAATGATGCCATTTTCTCAAACGCAAAATAATAGTATTTAAAAACCCAATACATTGTTTAGGAATACACATACTTATGAAATATTAAAAATGAGAACAAGCCAGAAATTCTCTGAGAGGAGTGTTGATATGGTTTGGCCGTGTCCCCACCCAAATCTCATCTTGAATTGTAGCTCCCATAATTCCCACATGTCATAGGAGGGAGCTGGTGGGAGGTAATTGAATCATGGGGGCAGATTTTTCCCATACTATTCTCGTGATAGTGAATAAGTTTCACAAGATCTGATGGTTTTATACAAGGGCAGTTCTCCTGCACACACTCTTGCCTGCCACCATGTAAGATGTGCCTTTGCTCCTCCTTCACCTTCCACCATGATTGTGGGGCCTCCCCAGCCATGTGGGACTGTGAGTCCATTAACCTCTTTCCTTTATAAATTACCCAGTCTCAGGTATGTCTTTATTAGCAGTGTGAGAACAGGGCAAGAGTGACATATACATTATGGCACTGGTAATGATTTGCTTCATGAGTGTTCATTATATTATTATGCTTCTTTGCATGCATATATTAAATATATTATTTTGTATGAGTCAAATATTAAATAATAACTTTTAAAAAAATAAAAAGAGAAGGACCAGAAAATAAACTGGGTATATAACTGCTTAAGGAACGCAGAGCACAGCCAGAGTATTAAAGCTTGGTTGACTCTTGATTACTAAAAAGAAGGAGCTGGGGGTGGTGGCTCACACCTGTAATCCCAGCACTTTTGGAGGCCGAGGCAGGTGGATCACAAGGTCATGAGTTCGAGACCAGCCTCGCCAATATGGTGAAACCCCATCTCTACTAAAAATACAAAAATTAGCCAGGCATGGTGGCATGCGCCTGTAGTCCCAGCTACTCAGAAGGCTGAGGCAGCAGAATCACTTGAACCCGGGAGGTGGAGGTTGCAGTGAGCCGAGATCGCACCACTGCACTCCAGCCTGAGCAACAGAGCGAGACTCCCTCTAAAAAAAAAAAAAAAAAAAAAAAAAAAAAAAAAAAAAAAAAAAAAAAAGCTTATCTGTTGTATAATAATGGCAAATGTCAAGATGTGTGTTCTTGTCTTCCTTTGTTACATTGAAATCCATACCCAAACCGAATGGTTTAAGCAGCCAAGGCATTTATGTTTCTCGCGAATCGGCAGTTAGTGCAGGACTCAGCGGAAATGGCTCCACTCACTGTCAGTGGGGAAGCTTCAGACCTAGGACTGGAATCCTTAAGCGTTTGCATACTTACAGGTCGGGACTGGAAAGACTTAACCAGCTGGAGGCTGCACTAGCTGGGACTCTGTGAGCATTTCATTCTCCCTCTACCTCTATGTGGCTTCTCCAGCCTGGTAACTGCAGGGCAGTCAGCCTTCTCAGATATTGGTACAGGGCTTCACAGGTGTATCCCCGAGAGAGAGATGGGGGAAGCTGTGAGTCCTTTTCCAAATCAGCCTCAGAAACCATACAGTGGCATTCCTGCCACATTCTCTTCATCAAGGCAGTCACTAAAGTCCACTCACTTTCAAGAGGAGAGAAGATCAAAGCTTGTTCTCGGTGGGGAAATATGAAGGTTCTGGAAGAACATGTAGAACTGGAAATGTTGTTGTGGCCACTTTCGAAAAACACGATCTACCACTGTGTGTTATGTTTCAGTCAGCAGCCTGGCTGGAGTGGAATCAGGAGTCCAGGAAGAGGCAAGCAAGAATGAAGGCTGTGGACAACTGCAGAACCCACTTGCATGCAGGATGAGGTACTCAGGTTTGCCATAGGAGTTAAAGGGAGTCACAGCAAATTAAAGATTTAAAGGATGAGGAGGAGGAAACATTCAAAGAGGATGATTTGTGCCAATATGAAAAGGATGAATATCAGATGGGAGAAGCTGGTGGAAGAAAGATCAGGAGGATGCTTTGCCCAGCCAGGCGGGTGTAAGAGAATCTAGGAGTGGCTATAGAAATTGTAAGAAAAGGCAAGGCCTGGTGGCTCATGCCTGTAATCCCAACACTTTGGGAGGCCAAGGCGGGTGGATCACCAGGTCAGGAGTTCGAGACCAGCCTGGCCAACACAGCAAAACCACATCTCTACTAAATATACAAACAGAATTGGCTGGGTGTGGTGGTGGATGCCTGCTAACCCAGGTGTTCGGGAGGCTGAGGCAGGAGAATCACTTGAACCCAGGAGGCGGAGGTTGTGGTGAGCTGAGATGGTGCCATTGCACTCCAGCCTGGTGACAAGAGTGAAACTCCACCTCAAAAAAAAAAAAAAAAAAAAAAAAGAAAAGAAAAAGAAAAAAAATTGTAAGAAAAGAAAAATGTACAACGCATGGAGGGAAAAGATGGGAAGAGGGAGCTTGTATGTGGAATGTCTGTGAGTAACCAGCAGCTGTCAAAGGCTACAGGTCTCAGGGTGGCATCTTCATCAGTAAACACGATCATCACAAGGAAGAATTCCTAAAGCTCCACAACATCGGTTCTCAACACTATCTCACCAAGAAATCAGGCAGCACTGCATTGCAGGCAGAATGTGATGTCCTGTCAGAAGGGGAACTGAATAATTTAGAGTGATGTCGTCCATAAATATTTAAGGATATGAAAAAATGTTCATGAGACATTGTTAAGTTAAAAAAAAGGCAGATTGCAAAATAATATAAATGCACGGAAAGAAAAGAAAATGTTCACTAAAATATTAACAGGATTTATTTCCAGGTGGAAAAATTATCATCTACATTTTCTCATTTTTTGTAGGTCTAAATTTCTATGCTAAAAAATAGTGTGTATATATATATATATATTTTAATCCAGGGAGAATATGTTTTAATGAGATTTATTCAATCAACCCTTTACTATAAAATTTTATTTCCTCTGTTAAGAAGTTTGCTTAGCCAGAGCTGATTTTTCTTACCTATTAAAATAAGCAGCAGATCTCAAAGTGTCACTCTCTTCCTGGATTCGAGGATAGTAAAATTATTTTCATAATGATACTGATATGTTATTTCTCTTTGTCACTGTGTGAGCATTTGCAAGGATGCAGGGTGAAAAGAAAGCTTCATGTGGCTCTTTCACATGAAGTAAGGTGGTAAGTTAGTGGCACCATGCTGTCCTAGAGGCTACTGTTTTCACTGCCACACACTTGCAGCCAAAAAAAGAAGGAGGTAAAAAAAAGGAGGAGGGAGGCCAGGCTCGGTGGCTCACGCCTGTAATCCCAGCACTTTCGGAGGCCGAGGCGGGCGGATCATGAGGTCAGGAGATCGAGACCATCCTGGCTAACATGGTAAAATCCCATCTCTACTAAAAATACAAAAAATTAGCCGGGTGTGGTGGCGGGTGCCTGTAGTCCCAGCTACTCGGGAGGCTGAGGCAGGAGAATGGCATGAACCTGGGAGGCGGAGCTTGCAGTGAGCCGAGATCAGGCCACTTCACTCCAGCCTGGGCAACAGAGCGAGACTCCATCTCAAAAAAAAAAAAAAAAAAAAAAAAAAAAAAAAAAAAAAAGGAGGAGGGAGCCAGTTTTGTTGAAGCATGTCCTTGATGAAGCAGTAAAAATATGAATTGTATTCTATTTCTTTGTATTATTATGTGCTACAAAATAAGAACTACATGTCCAGTGCTTCTGCATGCTCTATGCTTGGGAAGGCACATGTGTGATTGTATGAGTTACAAGGTGAACTCACCTCTCTTTCCACAGAGGCACCATTTTCAATTGAATGAGAAATTGATGAACTACAGTAATTAAATGCAATGATGTGGCAGACACTTTTGTGAAAATGAGCACAGTGAATCTCCCACTGCACAATTGACAGTATTTGTTGCTAGTGACAAAATTTGAAATTTTAGTAAAAAATACAACTTTTTGAAAACATTACCTTTTACCATGAGCCTGACTGCTTTCCAATAATTATAGACTTGATGAGATAGTGGGCGATTTGCTTTTAGATATTGTATAATGAAATGTGTTGACATTTGAAAGTTCCACAATAACTCAACTGAGCAATATTTTTCAACTAATCAATGCATGATGTTATAAGGTTGTGCATGGGGAATATATCTATTCAAAGTGCAAGAAAGTTAGTGTAAAATGAGACAAAATTTTCATCAATATAGTTTCAGATTCTGCATGGCAACCAATGTGTAAGAAACTACTACTTGTTGAGTTTAGTGCAGTAGAAAGGAAAAATGTCTAGAATTATCTTAAAAGGGCACTAAAATACTCCTTCTTTTCCTGCCTCCATATCTGTGTAAGGCCAGATTTTCATCATATACTTCAACCAAAACAGTATATCCCAACAGCCTGCATGCAGAAGATGAGATTGGAATCTAGCTGTGTTCTACTGAGCTAGACATTAAAAAGATTTGCAAAAATGAAACACAATGCCACTTCTCACTATATTTTTAAATTAAAAGAAAATGATAATTTTTTGGCTTAGAAAATGTGTTTTTCTTAAAATGTTACTTTTAGTAGCATAAAATGGGATTGTTAATTTTTAAAAATTAGTATTTGAAAATTATCAGTTTTAATTTCTATTACTGTAAATGTCACTACATATAATCCATATAAATAATGCTCTTTGGGCTCCTCAATAATGTTTGAGTGAAACAGGGTCCTGAGACCAACATATTTGGAAGCCACTACATTGTAGGAAACAAAATAGAAGATACATAGGAGGAAACTGCCTTCTTCCTGGATGTCTTTGTATTATTAGGCCATGGTATCTGGAGCTGTAATAGCCATCTTGAGGGACAGATGAAAGATGAAGCCAGTCAGCTGAGGACTGCAGAGCAGAAACATGGAAAACAGCTGGGCTCTTGCTGACCTCACGGAGCAACCCAGTCAATCAACTCTATTTACTTAGCTTTGGGCTTCTCATTCTGTGAGATAATGAGAATATTCTGATTTTCAAGCCCCTCTTAGATGGATATTTCTATTATTGGAGCTAACAGCACTGTAACTGCTAAACAGACCATGTCACATTGCACTTGGAGAAACCAAGCATTTACCCAGCTGTGTCAGGTACTGCTATATGATCTTGTATGTTTTATCCCACATAACCTCCACAACCAGTGAAGGGCCTGTATTAGTCCCATCTAACAGATTTGGTAACTGAGGCACAGAGCGTGTACAGTAACTATCCAAGGTCACACAGATAAAGTTGCATTTAATACTCGAACTATATTCTGTTTCACTTCAAAGCCTATTCTCTTTTTATTATAACCTGCACTAGGCTTAATACCTCACGTCTGTATTTCCCCAATCATACCAAGCATAAACATCTCAGAATGCTTTCCAAACACCACTATCATCTTTCAAATTTAATAATCTAATGCAATTGAGCTTTGTTTGTTTTTAATCTTCAGTTTTACTTAATAATTACCTAGACAGTTAGCTTTCTCTTGTTGTACTTGTAGAATTGTTTTCATATTTCATATAACTTTTTTTCACTCTGTATTGTAATTATATCTTGCTATGTGGGTATTCCCAGTGGACTGTAAATTCCAGCATAGGGCTTGATATATAATGAGTTTTTTTTGTCACAGTAAGTGTAGCGACGGTAACTTATAACAGGGTTTTGTAACAGTAAGGTTAGCGATGGAAACTTCGTAGAGCATTCACTGTGGGCCAGGCACTTGATACCTATCACCACTGTTCCTGACAGCAGCTCTTTAATGTGATTATTAATATCTCCGTTTTATAGATGAGGAAACTAAGGCTCAACTAAGGCTGACCTAGCTAGAGATACATGGATAGTTCCTGTCAGAACTAGGATTCCAGCACACTTCCTTTTTGCAGCATTAGGGAGGAAAACCTGAAAGTTATTGAACCATCTCCTATCTAATACCTCTCGTGACAAGAAAGCCACTCTCTACTGGACAATCCATTCTCCTAGAGAAAAGTCTAATAATTATGAGGTTTTTTTCTTAGGCAGATTTGCATTTCTACCCATAATCCTATGATCACTAGTATCTAGATATTTAGATTTTAGTTACAACTATCTGAGCCCCAAAGAGACAGAGAAGGTCAAAGGGAGAGAGAGAGAAAAAAAGAGAGAGACATGATAGGTCCTGAGTGGGGGAAGGGGCTGCCAAGAGTTCATTTTCATAGAGGACTATAGCTACTGAGTTATGGAATTTCTGTTACATTTTAGTATTTTACCTTTTATCATGCCCCACACGGTGCTAAGCATGTTAGAATAATTTTTTTTTTTTTGAGATGGAGTTTCACTCTTGTTGCCCAGGCTGGAGTGCAATGGCACGATCTCAACTCACCTCAACCTCCGCCTCCCAGGTTTAAGTGATTCTCCTGCCTCAGCCTCCAGAATAGCTGGCACTACAGGCATGCACCACCACACCCAGATAATTTTGTATTTTTAGTAGAGATACATTTTCACCATGCTGGCAAGACTGGTGTCGAACTCCTGACCTCATCATCCGCCCACCTTGGCCTCCCAAAGTGCTGGGATTATAGGCGTGAGCCACCGTGTCTGGCCACAATAATCTCTTATTTCTTACAACAACCCTAGCGGTTTAGGGATGTTATTCTTATTTTAAAAGTGGAAAAAATGAGTAACAGGGATGTTAATCTAGTTACCCAAGTTTACACAACTGGCGAGTGGTAGAGTCCAGTCCAAAGAGCCTGTCCCCAAAGCCTCTGACTCCCCACCCTGGACTTCGCTGTTTTTTCCATATACCTGGAAAAGAAGGGAACCAGGGAGAAAAGAGGTACAAACCACAGAAGACCCTCCTCTCTCCGGCGTAAGGTAAAAAACAAACAAATAAGCAAACAAACAAACCAACAAACAAAAAAAAATACATTACACCAAACTTTGACAAGTTTGTTCAAGTACCTTCATTATACATTGCAATTCTTTAAGAAGAGAGTTTTACAAAAAACTTAACGAGCGATTTTAATTTTCCCTCTGGTTTTCAGTTTGTCTTTTATCTGTTTAATTAAATCTGGAAAGAAAACTTAACCAAATACATTTTCAGAAAATTAGTGAACTTTATCAGAGTTATTTATTAGAACCTTTTTCCTCCCTTTTATTTCAACTGCTCAGCTAAAAAGAGTTAAGATGGGAGCTCTAAATAGTCACAGCCAACTCCATTGCACATTTGCTTTAATTTACACAGTGACACATGCAGATCTTAAGAGCATAATTGAATGAGTTTTGACACATATGGGCAACCATGTAACCAAGGCTCAACTGTGCTAAATGATCTCCAAAGAACTGCCAATAGACCCTCCTTTCCCATATGTGACTGCTGCTCCTCCCATCAAGAGATGAAGTCTACTTCCCAATCTATGTGGCAGAATTAAGACTTTGCTAGTTTCAGACCTAGCCCTTAAGAAGCCTGCTTCTGTACCCGAATCCTGTAAAAAAAACAGGACAAACAACAGGAGGAGAGAGCCCACATACAGGAGTGCCATTGCCAATGGCCAACAAAAATGGCAGACCGGTGTGTGGAGCCTTCTTGGCCACTGCAACCTTAGCCATGTTCCTGGCTGAAGGCGGCTCACAGGGGACCAAAGAACCACCCAACCGAGCCCTGCACAAGTGGTTGAATTACACGGATGTCTCTTATTCTTGTGGTGGTTTGTTCCACAGCAAAACGTAACTGATACACCAGGAAAGATCCATAATATTTTTATCACCACAGAGCATTACCTTATGATCACCTGTAGTCAATCCTGCACTACACGCACAGGTAAACACTGCTTTTATTTCCATGCCGGTAGTTTAGTTGAATCTATTTAACTTACAGGAAGGAAACGATACAACGTTCACTCTTTTGTATCTGGCTTATTCTTTTATATATATATATATATATATATATATATATATATATATATATACTTTAAGTTCTGGGATACATGTGCAGAACATGCAGGTTTGTTACATAGGTATACACGTCCCATAGTGGTTTGTTGCACCCATCAACCTGTCGTCTACATTAGGTATTTCTCCTAATGCTATCTCTCCCCTAACCCCCACCCACCCACAGGTCCTGGTGTGTAATGTTCCCCTCCCTGTTCAACTCCCACTTATGTTCCCATTGTTCAACTCCCACTTATGAGTGAGAACATGCAGTGTTTGGTTTTCTGTTCTTGTGTTAGTTTGCTGAGAATGATGGTTTCCAGCTTCATCCATGTCCCCACAAAGAACATGAACTCATACTTTTCTATTCCTGCATAGTATTCTATGGTGTATATGTGCCACATTTTCTTTATCCAGTCTGTCATTGATGGGCATTTGGGTTGGTTCCAAGTCTTTGCTATTGTGAACAGTGCCACGTCTTTCACTGAACATTAATGTTTCTGATATTCATCCATGTGGGTATTTATTAGTTTGTTACTTTTCATTGTCGTATAGTATTCTGAGAGTATATCAAAATCTGTTTATGTGTTTTCCTGACAGTAAACTTCTGGATCACTTTTTGTTTTTGGCTGTGATCAATAAAACTGCTTTGAAAATTCTGGTACGCATCATTTTGTGGAGATATGTTGTCATTTCTCTCCTATAAATCCCTAGAAAGAGTGGGGACATTCATAGTATGGCTGAATGTTTAATTTTCAGTGAAATGGAACAGTTTCCCCAAATGGTTGTACCATTTTACATTACCCCCCAAGATGTATGAGGCCCAGTTGTTACACATCCTCAGCAGTATTTGAAATTGTTAGTATTTGAAATTTTTGTTATTCTAGTTTTTTTGTTTGTTTGCTTTTGAAATGGAGTCTTGTTCTATTGGCCAGGCTGGAGTGCAATGGAGTAATCTTGGCTCACTGCAACCTCCACCTCCTAGGTTCAAGCAATTCTCCTGCCTCAGCCTCCCAAGTAGCTGGGATTACAGGTGCCCACCACCACACCCGGCTAATTTTGTATTTTTAGTAGAGATGACGTTTCTCCATGGTGGTCAGGCTGGTCTTGAACTCCCAACCACAGGTGAACTGCCCACCTCAGCCTCCCAAAGTGCTGGGATTACAGGCCTGAGCTACGGTGCCTGGCCTGTCATTCTAGTTTTTAATGCATGCTTCCTGATGACTAATATTTTTAAACACATTTTAATTTCCTTTTTGTTCTTTCATTTATCTTTTCTTGTAAGATATATGTTTGTCTCTTGCCTATTTTTATTAGGCTGCAATCTTATTTTGATATGTGGAAGTTCTTTATATATATTCTGAATACTTTTTTTGTCAGATATATGTATTGAAAATGCTTTTTCCCCCTTAGTCTGTGGCTTGCCTTTTTATTTTCTTACTGGTGTCTATTGATGTCTTGGAAAGAATTTGATGAGGTCAAATTTGTTGATTTTATTGTCTTTCATTTAGTGCTTTTTGTTTCCTAAGAAATAGGGTCACAAAGTTGTTCTTTTGTTTTCTTCTAGAATCTTTGGAGTTTTACCTTACATTTAGTTCTGCAGTTTATCTCAAAACATTTTTTGTGTGATATAAGGTAAAGTTAAATTATGTGTGTGTGTTTGTGTGTGTGTGTGTGTGTGTGTGTGTGTATAATAGTTGTTCCAGGGTCAATCGTTGAAAAGACTATTTATTGAAAAGACTTTCCTTTTCCCATGATATTGCATGGCGACTTTGCCAAAAATTAATAGATCATATGTTTGTGAGTCTGTTCCTGAATTTTCCATTCCATTCTATTAATAAGTTTTTCTATTCTCACTCCAATACTACACTATTTATGATATTATTGTTTAGGAACACTTTAAAACAAATAGTGTAAGTTTTCCAATTTTGTGTTTTTCTTTAAAGATCTTTTACATTTCATTATAAATTTTAGAATCAGATGGTCAATTTTGTTTTAAGACTGAGTTTCACTCTTGTTGCCCAGGCTGGAGTGCAATGGCACGATCTCGGCTCACTGCAACCTCCACCTCCTGGGTTCAAGTGATTCTCCTGCCTCAGTATCTCGAGTAGCTGAGATTACAGGCATGCACCACCACGCCTGGCTATTTATTTATTTATTTTTATTTTTATTTTTTTTTAGTAGAGACAGATTTCTCCATGTTGGTCAGGCTGGTCTCGAACTCCTGACCTCAGGAGATCCACCCGCCTTGGCCTCCCAAACTGCTGGGATTATAGGCATGAGCCACCGTGCCTGGCCTGCTTGTCAATTTTTTAAATAAATCCTTCTAGAATTCTGATTGACATTTTATTCTATCTAAGATCTAATCCTGAAGGGAATTGCCACATACATGGATTTTCCCATTCAGGAACATAGTAAATATCTCCATTTATTTATATCTATAAAAACATCTTTTAGCAATGTTTGCTAATTTTAAGAAGACAGGTCTTGTACATCATTGGAAAATATATATTAAGTATTTTGCAACTTTTAACAGTATTATAAATAGTGACTTTTAAGTATCATTGTCTATTATTTCTATTAAGAATGCACTGTACATAAGAATTCTGGTACATAGAAATTCTTTATTCTTTTTTTTTTTAATTTTGTATTCCAGTCTTGTATTCTGCAACCTTGCTAAACTTACTTATTGGTTTAAGAGTTTCTAAGATTATTTATGTGAATAATCAAATCATCCCTGGATAAAGACAATTTCATTTCTTTTGTGCCAATCTTAACACCACTTTTTAAATTTTCTGGCCTAGCACTTGCAAAGATCAACAGTATAATGTGAAAAGAAGTACTGAAAATGGGCATCTTGCTGTGTTGCCAATCTTTGTGGCAAAGTGAACAATAATTTCTCATTAATTAAGAATTGTCTGTAGGATTTTTCCCGATGACTTTTGTCAGATTGAGGAAGTTTCCTTATACTTCTAGTTTGTTGATAGATTACAATTTTCAAAAAATCATGAGTTTCTTTTTAATTAGATTTTTTTATGCATATATTAAGATGATCAAATAAAACTTCATTTTTTGACTGTTAACGTGGGATATTTTACTAATTGATTTTCAAATGTTAAACCAACAGTGCATTCTTAAAATAAATCCTTGCTCATATTACATTATATTATTAATATATTGCTGCATTTGATTGATTTACAAAAACAAACCCAGAAAAATGTCAAAGTGATATTATTTGTGGATCTATGTTTATAAAAGTTATTGACATTTTATCGGTAATGTCTTTGTGTGATTTTTGATCTGATAAAATAAATTTGGAAATATTTTCTTCTCCTATTTTCTGAGACAGTATGTGTTGAGAAAGTATGTATAGAGTTGTTATTAATTATTATTTGATTATTGGTAAAATTTACCAATGAAGAAATATGGACGTAGAATTTTCTGTGTATAAAATTTTGAAAATCTTAATTCGATTTATGTAATATATGCAGGGATACATATATTTCCTATTCCTTCTTTTGTAAGGAATGCTTTAGTAGTTTGTGTCTTTCAAAATCTTTGTCTGTTTCTTCTAAGTTGTCATATTTGTTGTAATAAAGTTATTTATTACATTTTCTTACTGTACTGTCCTCTGGATATCTGTAGGACTGCAGATTTTTTAAGAATATATCGCCTTTTATTTCTAATATTGGTAATCTATTCTCTCTCTCTCTCTATCTTCCTCTCTCTCTATTAGTCTGGTTACAGATTTTTTTAAAGCACCAGCTTTTAGTTACATTGAATTTTACTATTGTTTTCTATTTCTATTGAGGTGATTTCCCCCTTCGTTATTAAATGTCACTTCTTACTTTGTGTTTAGTTTCTCTTCTCATTCTAATTTTTTACAGAAGTTTAGACCACTGATTTTGCAACGCTCTTTTTTTAATATAGAAATTTGACTGTATAAATTTTCCTCTAAGCACTATGTTAGCTGCATCTCACATATTTTTATTTAACTTTTTATTTTCAGTTGTTTTCCTCTTTTATTTTCATTTATTTTCCTCTTTTTATTTTAAATCTGTTGTTGTTTTTATATTTGAAAGGTTATTTTTGTAAATAACATATAGTTGGTTCTAGCTTTTTTTATTCATTATGAGAATGTCTGCCTTATATTTGGCATATTTAGACCATTTATAAGTAATGTAATTATCAATATGGTTAGATTTAAATATTCTGTCTTGGTATTTGTTTTCTATTTGTCCCAAGTGCTCTTTCTCTTTATCTGCCCTTTGCTTTCTTTTGAATTAACTAAGCATTTGTTATGATTCCATGTTTTCTTAAGTTAAAGCTTTTGGATCTACCTCTTTATTTTACTGTTTCATTATTTTAATTATTGTAATTAACTTATCCCATTCTATTTTTAAATATTATATCAATTCAAATATAAAGTAAGCCTCTTACAGTGGCATTCTTTCAATTCCTTTTCACACAATTTATGCTGTTGTTATCATACATTTTATTCTATTCTACTTGTGTTATAGATATCACTATATATATATATGGCATCAGCCATTTGATTATTTATTGAAAATTATTAAAAATTGAAAAAAGTCATATATATATCTGACTTTATGTATATATACTACTGCTTCTGGCACTCATCCTTTATTTAAATCTGAATTTTCACCTGATATTATTTTTCTGCTTTCTGAAGAGCTTCCTTGAGCACTTTTTCTTAGGTGAGATTTCTGGTGATAAATTTTCTCACATTTTTAAAAATATAAAAATTTTAATTATATCTTTACTTTTGAAGGATAGTTTTGCTGATAAAATTATGAATTGAAAGATTTTTTTTTTTTTTTTTTTTTTTTTTTTTTTTAATATAGACTGAGAATTTATTGCTAGCAAACCTGCATTGTAAGAAACACTCGAGAAAGTTTTTCAGGATGAAAGGAGATGATATTAGATGTTAACAAGAAAAAAAGAAAAATATCAGGAATTATAAACGTATTAGTCAATATAAAATATGATATGTGTATGCATATATTCTTATATGTGTGTACATATACATATATATTCCTTTATTATTATTTTTTGAGATGGAGTCTGACTCTTGTCACCAGGGCTGGAGTGCAATCCTGTGATCTCAGCTCACTGCAACCTCCACCCCCTAGGTTCAAACGATTCTCCTGCCTCAGCCTCCTGAATAGCTGGGATTACAGGTGTGCACCACCACACTCGGCTAATTTTTGTACTTTTAGTAGAGATGGGGTTTCACCATGTTGACCAGACTGGTCTCGAACTCCTGACTTCAGGTGATCTGCCTGCCTCAGTGTCACAAAATGCTGGGATTACAGGCATGAGCCACAGTGCCCGGCCTATTCCTTTATTCTTAATTCTTTAATAAACATGTAATTGTATAAAGCAGTAATTATTACACTATATTGTTGAGTAAGTAGTACATAATTGGGCATTGTCATCTTGTATTTTATCCAGTACGATGATCTCTGCATTTTGACTTGAATGTTAGTCCATTTACATTTAATGTAATTTTTAGTAGGATTGGACTTATGTCTGCCATTTTCCTATTTGTTTTCTATGTGTTTTGTGTGTATTTTTGCTTCTCTTTTACTTTTTTGTATTAAAGAAATATTTTTATTGTACCATTTTAATTCCATTTACATTTAACTATATACTTTAGAATTGTTTTAACTGAGGTGCCATAAGGATATATATATAAATATAATACATATATATGTATGCATATATATTAACTTATTTCAGTCTATTTTAGGTACACATAGACCTAATTACAATAAAATATGGTAACTTTAATACATCTCCAATTCTACTCTCTCATCTCCCTCACGTATGCATGTTTGTATGGGTATACATCTGAATGTGAAAAAATATTTAAACACATGTATGTAACATATATATTATGAATTGAAAGATTTTTTTCAGCATTTAAAAGATGTTATTTCATTGACTCCTAACCCTCATATTTAATAAAAAAAATCCATTATAATTATTTTATTTATTCCTCTATATATAGCATGTATTTTACTCTGAATACTTTAATGATTTTTTCCTTTATTTATTGTTTGCATTAGTTTGACTATGATGGCTATATAATTTTATCTCCTTGTGATTTCCTGGGGTTCTTGAACCTGTACATGAATATTTGTCTCCAAATTTGAACATTTTTCTCCAAATTTGAACATTTCTGGCCATTGTGTTTTCATTTATTTTTTCACCCCATCTTCTCTTTTCTGTCCTTCTAAAAGTTTAATTATATGCATATTAGACTGCTTCAAACTGTGCAATATGTCACCATGGTTCTGAGTAATTTATTTTAAATTTTATTTCTTCTCTGGGTTTTGCATTAAATAATTTGTATTGATCTAGTTACTGATCCTGTCTCCTGCTGTATTCAATCTTTTAAGCATATTACTGTACTATTCACTTTATATATTGTATTTTTTTCTCAGTTGTAAAATTTTCATCAGGTTCTCTTTTGTAGCTTTTATCTGTCTCCTGAGAGTGCTCAATGTTTGCTGGTTCACTTTTTTCAGTAATTTATTTTCCAAAGTTATAATAGCTTTATTTATTGAAGTTATGTTTTACAAATTCTAACACCTGAGTCAGCTGCCAGTCTGCTTCTTTTGACTATATTTTCTCTTGATTACAAGCCACATTTTTCTACTTTTTGGTGTGTTTAGAGAATTTTTATTGTATACTAGATACCATGGATTTATATGGATACTCTGAATTTTGTTATCATCCTCAAAATAATATTGAGGTTTTTGTTTGTTTTTTTCTGACAGGCAATGAAATTACTAGATCACCTGACCCTGTAGTAGCTTGGATTTATACCTTTCTAGGACCAGTTTACTTTGGTTTTTCACTTAGTTCTTGCTCTTATGACATAGAATTTCTGTGTTTTCAATGAGAAATCAAATGTTTTATGAAATTCCTCTAATCTGGTGGGACGTTAACTCTAAATTGCACCTCCCTACTGGTGGCCAACTCTAACACTACTCAGTTCCTTAGACCTCAAATACTGGCTTCCACCAAACTTCTTGGTGTCCCTTAATGTCTGTCATACACACCAATGCTGGAATTGTGAGTATAAGTGTGAGGTAATTAAAATGAGTTTTAGATGGGACTTTCCTTCCTAGGAGAAAATATTTCATTAATTTAAGTAAAAATAAAAAGAAAAAACAGATGGCAATGATCTTGGGAAGAGATGACCTTCACTGCAAATGGTCATGACTCTATGTTCTAATTCCACTTTTTACTTTGATTCAGTCCAACTCTCTAGGCAACAGACTTACACAAGGAGAGCAATTTAAACACCAGAGATCTTCAAGACAATCTCAGGACAACTCACATGGATTACTAAGGAAGGGAGCTTCTGCAATTGCCTAGCCCACTGTGTCTTCTGAGCAGGGCTGCTTACTGATTATCCAATGTTGGTATCCGACAACTGTGATGCAGTGATCCTACTAACCTTGGCAAATCATCAGATAGAACTTTGTAGAAAACAGGCTCAGCCTTACCCTTATGATTCCATTTCACCATGCTAGGCAGCTTTGGGAGCCTAGGGTAAACTGATAATCTCGGCTAGGAAAATTCTTAGGTACCTTTATTTATACAGGTTTTGTAGTTATTACAAATTACATTCATTATTAGTTGTGTAGTTATTCAGTGTTATCATTTTCCATGTGCCATGCAACCCTCTAATATTTTATATCTTGCTTGTATTCATTCTGTTAGTCTACTTGTCTTAGGTCATTTATGCTGCGATGACAGAGGTCCTGAGGTTAGGTAATTTATAAAAAACAGAAATTTCGTTCTCACAGTTCTAGAGCCTAGGAAATCCAGGGTCAAGGTGTGTTCAGGTCTGGTGTCTGACAAGGGCCTGGTTTCCACATTTGAGGTGGTTCTCTGAATGGTACATCCTCCAGAGGGAAGAAATGCTGTTCCTCCTATGGCAGAAGAGCAGAAGAGAGCAAATTACCAGAAGTCTTTTTATAGCCATACGAATCCATCATTAGGACAAAACCCTTCTGACCTACAGACTTCCCACTAAGTTCTATATTCCAGCACTGTTGCTTTGGGAATTAAGTTTCAACATGAGTTTTGGAGGGGACAAGAACACTCAAACTGCTCTGCTCTAACCATCCCATGGGTTAGGTTTGTGATATCAGTCTTATAACAGAAGGAACTGAAGACTATGATTAAGCCTATGAAACAGTATTGAGACTCAAGTTTGGGTGAGTTTGGTAGGAGATATGGTTGTCAATCACGGAATGCACTGATAATAGTGGGAGTTAAGGCATTAGGTCTGAAATATTCCCTCTGGGTGGTGACTGGCTTTGGATATAGGCATCCTGATGGGAGCAGAGTTTTTCCATGGGACTTTTCAGAATCTTGTCCTGATTATCTGGGGTTCCAGACATCTTCCTGGCTCCTTTCAGATCTCTATCTGGAGAACACAGGCCCCTGCAATCCTAATCACAGGTGGCAACTCTTCCCAAAACAGCCAAATCACCTTAAGGCTTGACTTTGAGCTTTGAGTAAGACATGCTATTCAGACCCTTGCCAGTCCTATTCACCGCCCTGATTAGGCTTATGTGGGAATTCCCATGTATTCACATCCTTTGAAACACTTCCCCTAAGGCCTGGCACTATATAGTCCAGAAGGTTCCCTCACTCCCAATCCTGGCCTATACTGAATCCTAGCCTATGATACTCAGCTAATAATGACATCACAGCATAAAGGAATAGGCAAGCTTGTCCCATAGAGAAGAGGAAAACTTTCCTCTCTTTTAAAATATTACTATTCTCTAGCACTAAGTGGTCCAACTTCAGAATAAAATCATAAATCTGGAAGCTTCTTTAAAAGTCAGATATGGAAATTCTATTACATTTAACTTTTTGTTGAATGGCTTCAGCTATTTTCTTCCTCTAATATCTGGGGTTCAGCCAACCATAGGACACTTGTTCTGTGTTCATTAGTAAATTAATATATCTGGAAGCAAAGATGGTCTCTGGAAGAAGCAGATTCACTTTTCTTCAGATTTAATAAAATTATGTTTGGGGAAGACTGTTGATGTCCAAGAATCCTTGTGAGTCTTTTAAAGACATTGTTTCTTCTCACAAATGAGACCTTGCTGATGCCAGGAAGTAATGAACTGGAAAACCACATGGTGACAGTCGGTTCTTAACTTGGCCCACATGTGTTAGGCTGGCTGGGGAAGAAGCTCGTGACGTCCTTACTTCTTATTTTCCTTTCTTTTCTGTTTTTTTTTTTTTTTCCCTTTTCCTTCCATTTCCTCTCTTGCTTCTACCACCTCCTTCCTTTATCTCTTATGCTATAAATATAGGCTTTATTTACAGGCTTTAAATACAGGCTTGGTATTTACATGTACCAAGGAATAGACTTGGTACATGCTACTTAGTTGTGTGGCCAATTTGTATCATGTAAGCAGAATATCTTATCCCACTGAGTATCAGTTTTCTTATCTGTGACATGGTAATGAGACATCCATTCCTCACTTGCTTCTTCCTAGAAGAATCTGTCTTCCATTTTCACGAGGCCAACTCTCCCCCATTCAGCTCTTAGGAGTCAGGTGAGTGGACAACATCCTCAGATCTAAGAATGAGACTTTGAATGGTCCAAGTCAATAATGGTCATCCCTTCTCTCTGAAGGGTGAGGGGTTCAGAAACCCAGGCTTGCACCTGTCAGAGCTTGAGGCTACGTGTAGGTTGGCTGTGAATGGGGGAGAAGCCTTCTCACTCTGGCCCTCTGGAAACATGCTGCCTGGGAGCTTCTAGAATCCATCATACAAGTACAGAGATAGCCACCCTGAGGATGAAGCTGTCACCAAAAGGAGGCAAAAGAATTGGAAAGAAGTGGAGCTTTATTGCTTATCCTGCTGTATAGACACTGTTAACTTGGACTTCCTGTTATGTGAGACAAATTTCTTTATTCTTTAAGAGAGTTTGCAGGGTATTTTTTTTTGCTTCTTCTATTTAAAAATATCCTAAACATAGAAATATGAAAATCAGATATGATAAATAACAGCCACACAATTAATAGTGTTTGCTAAGTCCTCAAAAGAAGTCATTTAATTTTCTTTCCTCTGTTTTGCTTTACTTTTTTATTGATTCTTTCCTCTTCTCTCTGCAACCCAAACACATCTTGATGTTACCAGGCCTGAAAACTCAGAGAAACCATGATGACGCTCTTAAAATTTATCAGTTTCCAAGAAACAAGAGAATCTCTCGAGTCTCTGAAGGCAAAGAGGGTCTGGTGTAAGAATACACATGTACAAAAAAGAAAACTTACATTCTCAGCCACTTGTCCAGGTTCTAGAAGGTTTCAAAAATAGTGGGAAAAAGAGGAATCACAATATAGCTGGGCCTCATGATCCAGTGCTTCCCCAGAGACTAAGCATTCTCTCTATGCCTCAGCAGAAGGAACTTGTACACCAAGACTCTATGGGACCTAACAATTATCTTTCTGCAAGCCTTCCCTGTACCAGTTACCTCTATCTCAGCCTCTCTAATTCTAATCCAAACCCAAAAATTTGACAAGCACTAGTTGCCTCTATGCCAGCCTCTCCAATTCTAATCCAAACCTAAAAAGTTGATGGGTACATGATTGCATGATTGCAGGTAGGCCAAACTCTTAGGTCACCAGTCACCCAAAGATTGTCTGGAAGGAACAAGCCACTATTCCCTCTTGAGTCCATCTTTGTCCTGAGTTCCTGGGTCACATAGGATAGGGCACAATATCTATCTATATTCATTCAATCAACTGTCATTCATCAATCATTAAGCACTTCCCCAGTACTAGGTACGGCTCCAAAAGTAGGTCATGAGTAAAATAATTAAAGATCTTTCCATGTAGTAGTTACTGTGAAATGATGGGGATGGGGAGAAATATATATAAATCAAGTTGTAAGCAGAGAAATGCATTCCAGGATAAGAGAGTAAAGGTGATATTCTGTGTGTCCAGAGGGATTACTTGGCACAAGGCTGGCAGGGAACCCCACTGTGGACTCATCAAGATCTCTGTGCAGTGGGGAAGCAAAGGACATGAATATTGGAAGGCAGAGTGTTCCAGGCAAAGGGAATCTCTGGGCCAAATGTCCTGAGTCAGGAATGTGCTTGGTTGGTTGGAGGAAGATTCCAGAGGCCAACTGTGGTTACAGTAATGTGAGAACAGTCAGTGTGGTTAAAATAAATGGAGAGCGGGAGACAAGGGGCAATGGTGAAAGCAGTGCTGAGCCCTTTCCTCTGTTGTGGCTCTAAAGGATGGCGATTTTTCATCTGGGCACATGGTGGGTAGGGGGAGTGGTGACAAGCTATGTGGACAGCCTGGGAATGGAAATTCTTGTCTTGGGCTTCCAAGTTCCACAGAGTGGAGTCACTTGCCCCATTTCTTCCCACTAGACCCCCTTGGTGGAGTGAGGACTTTCTCCTGCAGCTCCTCATACTTTCCTACTGCTTTTCTCCTCTCATCCCACCCTTTCCTTCAGAGACATCTCACTCTGCTGCTGGGGTGGAGTCTCCTAGGGCTCCTGAAGGGTCAGCATGAGCAGGACACGCCTCTTGCACCAAAACATGGGTGTGTGGCCTTGATCCAGATATCATCTCACAGCTTTGATTATCATTCAATATACAGGGTGTGCTCAGGACATCCTGGTGATGGGAAGTGCAGCATCTCTATCTTCAACTTATAGAGACATACCCCTAAATGTACTAAACATCATAGCATAGCCTAGCCTAACTTAAACATGATCAGAACGCTTAGCCTGCAGTTGGGCAAAATCATCTAGCACAAGGCCTATTTTTGTAAAACAGTGTTGAATAGCTCATGCAATTTATTGAATACTGTACTGAAAGTAAAAAGCAGAATGATTGTATAGGCGCTCTAGGTAGGGTTCTTACTGAATGAGTATCACTTTCACACTATTGTAAAGTTGAAAATAAAAATCCTAAAGTCGTGGATCCTTTGTCCCATGCTTGGCTTTCAGCTGAGCTCCTTGTCAGCTCTTGCAGCCCCAGGATCCTGAAAATTGAAGAAGCGTTTCCCCTCTGCCCAATGACATAGATCTTTCTTTGGAATCTTGGCTAGGTTGAATCCACTATGAGTTCAAATTTTTATTAGGTTCCTATGGTATACAATAATAATTTTTAAAATGTGGCCTTTGGGCCAGGCACGGTGGCTCATGCCTGTAATCCCAACACTTTGGGAGGCCGAGGTGGGTGGATCATGAGGTGAGGTGTTTGAGACCAGCTTGGCCGACATGGCGAAACCACATCTCTACTAAAAAAAAAATACAAAAATTAGCCGGGAATGGTGACACACGCCTGTAATCCCAGCTACTCAGGAGGCTGAGGCAGAGAATTGCTTGAACCCGGAAAGTGGAGGTTTCAGTGAGCCGAGATCACACTATCACACTGCACTCCAGCCTGAGTGACAGAACGAGACTCTGTCTCAGAAAAAAAAAAAAAAAAAAAAGTGATATTTGTCCCTAGTTCCTGATCCTGAGCTTTTAAAACACTTGCAATCTCCTGAGTGAAAACAGTGTCTTTTGTCAGCTAATGAGATGACTCCTGACAGTGGACAAAGCCTTAGATAGCTTCAGGTTAGGGGTAGGTGGCCAAAAGACCAAGGCACAATTAGAGAGTAAGAACTTTTAGCTCCATCTTCTGCCCTCCCAAGGAGAGAAGCTGGAGATGGAGTTTAATCACGAATGGCCAATGATTGAATCAATCATGTCTATGTATTGTGATCTTCCTAAAACCCCCTAAAGGAGAAGGTTCCAGGAGCCTCCGATCAGTGACCACATCACTGTGCGGGGAGAGTGGGCAGCAGGTGAAAACACGGAAGGTCTGTGCACACACTCACCTCCACGATACCTTGTCCTGTGCTTCTCTTCCATCTGGCTCTTTCTGCCTTGTATCCTTCATAATAAAGACTGTACCAACAGGAGCTTCTCCTTGAGTATTTCCCAAATCACTTAGGCTGTGGATCAATGAATTCTCTTAAGCACTCAAAGACCGAGCCTAAATAGGAGCTTAGCAGGAATCTGTGTTAATCATTAAAGTGGTGTTCTGAGTTCTGTGAGTCATTCTAGTGAATTATCAAACCTGAAGAGGAGGAGTCTTGGGAACCCTTGAATTTGTACTTGGTTGAGCAGAAATGTGAATCATCTGGGGATCCCACTTGCACTGGCATCTGAAATTGGGGCATCCTTATGGGATTGAGCCCTTCACCTGTGGGGGCTGTGCCAATTCCAGGTAGTTGGTGCTGAGATTGAATTGAATTTCTGAGTGCCCAGTTGTTAAATAATTGGAGAATTGGTTATTGATATTGGGGAAAACCCACACAAGTTTCAAAGAGGAGCTTATTAGCTCAATGTTCTTAGTTTTCTCCATGAAAGACTTAGGGCCAATTCTTGGAAGTCCAGTAGGAAGGTAGAACAGAGCTATTTTCTAAGGAAACTCTATGTCCAGAATCAAAGGCTGAGCAAAGTGGGTCGGTGGCCAGGGTTGGCTTCTGAGAAGCTCAGCCTGGCTTAGAATGTTGGTATTAGGCTCCACACAGCCAGGAGCTAAATGAGCCAGAATGGAGATTGCACCAAAGGTCATAGAAAGTGCTAAATATGCACTTTGGGAGGCCAAGGCAGGTGGATCATGAGGTCAAGAGATCGAGACCATCCTGGCCAACATGGTGAAAACCCATCTCTACTAAAAATACAAAAATTAGCCGGGTGTGGTGGCGCATGCCTGTAGCCCCAGCTACTCAGGAGGCTGAGGCAGGAGAATCCCTTGAACCCAGGAGGTGGAGGTTGCAGTTAGCTGAGATCTTGCCACTGCTTTCCAGCCTGGTGACAGAGTAGGACCCCAACTAAAAAATAAATAAATAAATAAATAAGCTAAATATCAGAACCTGTGAAAGCAAGCACCAACCTGTATACCCATAGGGCCATAAGTGGTTGCTTAATCCAAGGGGTCAGAATCTAGGCCAGGCTCAGCACCACTGGGAACTGGGTAAGGGGGACACAGGGCAATGGCTCCTAATGACCTGGAGTCATCATTTGCCTCTTATCTGTGAATTAAGGCAACTGACAAGCAACCCCACTTAGGGAAACAGGGTCCTCAGATATGTCACCTTGAGTCCCACTCCACAGGAATAGAATTCTGACATGCAGAGAATCAGGGATGTAGGGAAGTAGAAGCCCAAGTATACCACCAGACAGAAGTCCTAGATCTCCCATATGATACAGAAAAGCAGTTGTTCCTGTTCTCTGAATTAGGTAGACCAAACTGTACACAATTCACCCAACTCTGAGGGCCATTGCCATGACTGCATTGGGGTGTATTACTCAGGAGGAGATCTGCGCTGCTTCTCGTGTCCTATAACATAGAGTCTGTTGCGCTGGGGCAGCTCAGAAAACAGAAGGCAGAAAGACTCTACTTTAGCTTGCAAGGAATATCAGCATTGTGGCTAAGCTTATGCTAGAACCAAGCCAGCTAAGGTCAAATGCTATCTCTGCTACTTCCTAGCTATCTGATTCATGTTCTAAATTAACAGGAACACCTACCTGCTAAGAGGCTGCCTCACCATTATTTAGTGAGTCTTTGTTGGTCAGCTAGAAATGAAGCCAGGCTATCAGGGTAAAGAAGCCCTCTTCTTGATTTCTGGTATCAGTTTCAACGCTGTGTGTTAATCCATATGTTTGCACAGCCTGCTCCCTCCTCACCCCACTCCTCAAGTTATGTTTAACTCATAAAGGACTGTTCAAACAGGAGCTTCTCCCTGAGTACTACCCAAATCCCTTAGGATGTGGATCAGTGAATGACCAAGCCTAAGAAAAAGGAGCTTAGCAGGAATCTGTGTTAATAAACAGGACAGAGAGTATATACATCTAAAGTGGACTCCTTGCTTCTCCTGAGTAGGGAAACAGAATACCAGGGAGGGGAAAATACTTGCCTAAGGTCACACAACTTGGCAAAGTTTTTCCTGGGGCAAAAACCAAGAATTACAACTTGCTGTTGGCTCCACTTGACCAAGCTGTCTTTCTATAATAGGTGAGTAAACAGAATTTTTATTTTCAAGGAAACGAAAAAAATATTAAGTCATTTTGATAGTTTTTGTTGTTATTCAATACTATAATTTTAGTCCATAAGTACTTCATACAGGAGGGGAAATGAAAAATTTTGACAAACTCCAAGTACCATTCATACCACCCTCCCTAGGTGGTATTCATATACCCTCATCAGAGGCAAAATGTGGTCTATTGAGTCACAGTCAGAATAAAGACCTTGTCATCCTCTCACTCAAGTTGTCAAGAAGGAACCTTTCTTCAAATGCAGGTTGCATTAAGCAAAAGTAGTTGTATGTTTGAAATTAAATCACTCCAGGAGGATTAAAAACAGGATGCATGAATTTCCACTGGGGTCCCTACTGGAATGGGGTGCCATACAAAATCAAGTTGTATTGTATTGTGTGAAATGGCTTTGTGTTAATGCTCAGAATAACAAGGTCCCACTGAGAGCCCTTCATGTTTCTGAATGGTACTTGGAGGTTGTCAAAATTTTTCAGGAAGGGATCTGCACCGCCCTGGCTGCATGAATGGTAGTTTAATAATAAAAAAAAAAAAAGATTGGTGAATTACAATGACATTACTCTTCAGCTTTGGAGCTGTGGTTTAATGACAAGTTACAGAATCTCATGCCTGTGCATTTACGTTCTTCTCCATATTTGCACTCCAGCTTAACTTAGCAGTGCAATGCATCAAGAAGCATTTGGGCTGTGTAACCATGTGTTGGAGGACAGCTGGCTTAGTCTGTTCCGTCTGCTGTAATAGAATACCGTAGACTGGGCGACTTATAAACAACAGAAATTTATTTCTCACAGTTCTGGAAACTGAGAAGACCAAGATCAAGGAGCCGGCCGATTCAGTCTGATGAGGGCTCAATTCTTGGTTCAGTGATGGCTCCTTCTCTCCATGTCCTCACATGGTAGAAGGGCCCAGGGGATTCTCTGTGGTCTCTTTTTGTAAGGGCACTAATCCCATTCACCAGGGCTCTGCCCTCATGACCTAATCACCTGCCAAAGGCCCCTACCTCCTAATACCATTACCTTGGGGATTAGGATTTCAAATATGTGAATTTTGGGGAGACAAATGCTCGGTCTATAGCACCAGCTCTCCTGCTCACCAGCTGTAATAGTTTCTTAATTCATAGAAGTAGACACAGAAATACCAACTTAAGGAGTTGTTGCATGTGAAGAAGACAGAAATATTGTAGGAGATTATGGTATATAGGAAGGCAAATTGTAAATACTGAAAAAATTGGCAGGACAAAAAGAGAATAGGATTTTGGTATAGTTTGGCTGTGTCCCCACCCAAATCTCAACTTGAATGATAATAATCCCCATGTGTCAAGGGTGGGGCCAGGTGGAGATAATTGAATCATTGGAAAGGTTTCCCCCATACTGTTCTCGTGGTAGTGAATACGTCTCATTAGATCTGATGGTTTTATAAATGGGAGTTCCCCTGCACAAGGTGTCTTGCCTGCCACCATGTAAGATGTGCCTTTGCTCCTCCTTTGCCTTCCACCATGATTGTGAGGTCTCCGCAGCCATGTGGAACTTTGTGTCCATTAAACTTCTTTCCTTTACAAATCACCCAGTCTCAGGTATGTTTTTATTAGCAGCATGAGAACAGACAAATACAAGTTTAGTCTACCAGGGCGGCTGTGATGAAGTACCACAACTAGGGGGTTTTAAACAACAGGAATCTAGTTCTTGCACAGTTCTAGAAGCCAGAAGCCCAAGAACAAGACATCAGCAGGCCTGGTTTCTCCTAAGTCTTTCCTTCTTGGCTTGCAGGTGGCTGCCCTCTTGTTGCCTCTTCGCATGGTCTTTTCTCTGTGCGTGCACACCCTTAGTGTCTCTCTGTGTGCGCAAGTGTATTATTCCTGTAAGGACACAAATCAGATTGGATTAGGATCCACTTTAGTGGCCTTATTTTTCTTTATTGTTTTAATTTAATAGGCTTGAAAGACCTTGTTTCCAAATACAGTCACATTCTGAAGTACTGGCGTTTAGGAATTCAACATATGATTTTGGGGTGGGACATGTTACAGCTCCTAACAACCTTGTTTTTTAGTTTTTACCTGGGAGGTATATAAATACTTGAGGACCATATAGATAGTTATATACTTAAAAGCAAAATTAAATCAAACTTTTCAAAGCAATTCCTAAACATAAAATGTAAATTTAAAAATAATTCCAATATTGATAAAATGGTGTAAGTCAACTACAGTCTGATTATGGCTAAAATCATTAAGCAGAATACAGAAGGAAACTACCTGAGGATTCTGAAAACTAACTAAGAGGGACATAGGAAACTGAAGTAACACCCTGAATCATTTTCCACTTCAGGAATGGTATTTACATTGTTTTATTTTGCTTTGCTTCCTTTTTTGTCTGTCAGCTTTGGTTCAAGGATAGATCAAATTGCTAAAAGTATAGTGAGGCCAGGTGCGGTGGCTCAATCCTGTCATCCCATCACCTTGGGAGGTGGAGGCAGGCAGATCACCTGATGTTAGGAGTTTGAGACCAGCCTGGCCAACATGGCGAAACCCTATCTATAGTAAAAAAAAAAAAAAAAAAAAAAAAATTATATATATATTTATATATATATAATATATATAAATATAAAATTTATATATATTATTTATATATATTTTTATATATATTTAAAAAATTTTATATATATATATATATATATATATATATATATATATATATACCGAGTATGGTGGTGTATGCCTATAATCCCAGCTACTCGAGAGGTTGAGGCACAAGAATCATGGGAGGTTGCAGTGCGCCAAGATCACACCACTGCACTCCAACCTGGGCAACAGAGCAAGACTTCATCTAAAAAAAAAAAAAAATGTATAGCAGGCATAGAAAGAAAAACTCTATTCTGGCCAAAGGAAAGGGAAGGCTAAAGGAAAGGGAAGGTAAAACTCCACATGTCAGAGAGTGAGGAAAAATTTCCCCTCCCCTTAAAATTTTTGTTTTCTCTTTTTTCCCCAGCCATGTTGTGAGGATAGCCCTGGTAGCAGAACTATTCCGAGACTTCTGAGGCATCACAGGCACCTGAAGCCCTAAGAAAAGATGCTCCTCTCTGTTAAGAAGACTGAGAAAAAGAGAGTCCCTGATTTTTTTCTCCATTTCTTCTTTCCCACCACTTTGCCCTAAATGTAGTTCCAGTCTCATGGAATTCCCCAACCGTCTAGGCGGGGATAAAATCCAGAAAGAACCTTATCTTTTCATTCAGAGAGACTAGAAAAGTGGCCTTTGGGAACTATTGTCAAGGAAAATCTAGAGAGGAGAGGTTGAAGAAGGCTCTTCCCCACTTTCTGTGCATGAACTTGCATAAGTCTAAGACTTCCCTCTGGGTTGTGCCTGGGTGGAGCAGAGCCAGCAAAGCACAGCAAAGGCTTTAGGAACTGGACTGTAAAATAAACCATAGCCTAAATCCCAGTCTAACCCCTCAGTGGTATATACATATGCAGGCAGATTCAAACAGCACAGCAAAGGCTTTGAAAACTGAACTGTTGTTAGAAACACCAATCACAGGCAGTAAGGTGGAACTTGCACTCTCAGCCTAACTGGATTGATTGCCTATTAGAACAAAACAAAAATCGACATTTTCTAGAAGATTTTAGCAGGATCCAGAGTCTCACAAAATAATATGCAAAATGTCCAGGATACATTTCAAAATTACTTGGTATGTAAAAACACACACACATACATACATATATAATTGTGGCTTTAGCCATCAAAAGTAATGGCAAAAACCCCAATTACTTTTGCACAAACCTAAATACACGCAAAACAGGGGAAGCTAACCAATGCTAAGGGCTAAGAAAATCATTTGGTGCCAATCCCAAGATGAACCAAAACCATATGGTGGAATTACCAGAGGCAGCTTTTAAAATAGCTATTGTAATAATTATCCATGGAGTCAAGGTGAACACTCTGGAAATGAATGTAAAGATAAACATTCTCATTAGATAAATAGAAACTATTTAACATTGAAATTAAAAGAATTCATTGGACTCTGAAGCAGAATTTAGATGAAATAGAAAAGAGTAAAGTACTTGAATATAGATGAATATAAATTATACAAACTGAACATAGAGAAAAATGATCTTAAAAATGAGCAGAGACTCAGGGACCCCTGGGAAAGTTTTCAAAGGTCTAAATCCATGCCATTAGAATTTCGAGAGAAAATAAATATGAAAAAATGTTTGGAGAAACAGTTGGCAAAATCTTCCCAAATTTTATGAAACACGCATTTACAGATTCAGAAAGTTCAGTAAAACACAAACATGATAAACTTTAAAAAAACACTTCCAGAAATATGACATTAAAACTGATGAAAACTGAGGATAACTTTTTAAAAATCTTCAGAGTATCCAAAGGAAACCAATAATTGTATATACAGAAAAAATAATTTAAATGACTATGGATTTTTCATCAGAAATTATGGAAACCAGAGGAAAATAGAAGAACATTTTTCAATTGCTAAAAGAACTATCCATGTAAAATTTTATGTGTAACAAAAATACTCATCAGGAATAAAAGCAAAATAGAAGCATTCCCATATAAAGATAAACTAAGGGAATTAGTAACCTGCAGATATGCTTTTAAACAATTCTTAAAAGTTGTTCAGAGTGAAGAAACATGATCTACAAGCGAAACTTGGAGCTGTAAAAATGAAGAAGGAACAACAGAAATGGTAACCATTTGGGTATATCTAATACAATGTTTTTATCCATTTAATTTTTTAAAATATAAATGAATGTGGAAAACAAAAATTATAGCATTGCCTGGATGCTGTTTCACATATATAGTTATAATACAAATAACAACTTTAAAGGAAGTAAAAAGTTAAATATGGCTATAAGTAAAATTTTAAACTTCTGGTGATTATGTCATTAGTGATAGTGTCAGCCATGTTATTCTGAGAGTGTTATGTATGCGTAATATGACATCAAACAAATAACTGATTATTTTTGGTATCATTGGGAGTGACAACTTTGTCATGGGACAGATAAAAGATCAAAGAGGTTAAGTAAAAAAAATACATATTTATCTTCTAAACACCAAAAATTAAGTATTTAAGTGATAAAAACTAAAGATTCAAAAACTAAAATAATTATATACTCTAAGAAAAAAATACAGAAAAATGTGACAAAGAACTAAATGTAAAATAGAAAGGGAAAAACATAACTGAAAAATTAATCAAAGGTTTAAATAGCAAATTCAAGTCAGATGAAAAGTGTTGGTGAATTTGAGAACAGACATTATATGACTTGTGTAATCCACACAACAACCAGCATTTATTGAGTCTTCAGGCTAGAAGAGGAGGTCGTCATATCCCCAAAATTGATGGAGAAAATAAGAATTCCACCAAGAATTCTACAAGTGTCATTCAAGGGTAAAGGTGTAATAAGGGCATTATAAGATGAATAAAAACTTACCAGGAACAGAAACTTCCCGAAAAAAATAACTGAAAGTTTTATGTCAGAAAGAAAGAAACACATACACACATCCAGAAACAATGTGGTACCAACATTTTGAACAATAATGCTCGAAGTAAGGGTCTTTTCTTGTTCCAGAAAAAAAGAGTTATTACTTCCTTTTTGATTATGTTAAATCAAATATGAAAGGTAACATTTTAAAGACAACCATCAAAGTTTGATAATAGAATGATTATGTTATATCTCATCGGTGGGGGGAAGAAATAAAAATACTCTATCAATCCAATAGAAAGGAAGAAAGGAGAAATGAAAAAAACATGAACCAGTAGAACACATAAAATAAGAAATTATAAATCAACCTAAATATGTCAGTAGTCATAATAAATGTAAATGTTCTTAGCTTGCCACTTACAAGTGTCCGAAGGAGAGGAAGAGAGAAACATAATTACGCATTAAATTTGGAAGTAAAGGATGGAGAAAATATATGCCAGGCAGAAACTAGCCTTAAAAAAAAAACTGGTGTAGCTATTTTAATATCAGGGGAAAAAATTGAAGCCTCAAATTATTACAGAGAACTAAAATACATAAAGGAGTTATTATGGTTTAGAACTTCTGTATACCCAATTATGTATCTTCAAATCATATCAAAGAAATGACAAAATAAAAAAAAACTAGCTAAAGAATCTACTATTATAGTGGGAGATATTAATATACTTCTCTCAGTAACTGATATCTCAGGAACAAAATAAGAAAGATCTAGAATATTTGAACCACATAATTCCTGAGTTTGAAATAAGATATATAGAATCCTGTATCTCCCAAATTGGAGATGAAATGTGCATTTAGAACACGCATAAAGAACATACAAATGTTGACCATTTCCTAGACCGCTGATCCCAAGTGTTTGCCAAAATGTGGAGCAAAGGAATCTGTTACACCCTAGCAGTTCATATCTATGTGGGTACGCCCATTTTGGAGAGCAATTTGGCAATAGCTAATAAAATGAGAAAAGCATATACCGCACGCATCAGCACTTCTACTTTTAGGAAATTCCTATTCATTGCAGCAGTATTCATGTACCAGAATCATACTGCAGCACTGTTTAAAATTGTTAAAAATTGGAAATACCCTAAATGTCCATCAACCAGGGACTGAATAGGTAAATTGAGCTGTATCACACAATGTAATATTATCAAGCTGTTAAAGCTGTTAAAATAAATGCACTAGAGCTTTTTGAGTCAACATGGGTTGATTTCAAAAACCGCTCAGTCCAAATTCCTTTTCCAAAACCTTTGGTGGCCAGATGTGTTTCAGAATTCAACGTTTTAAAAATACTTCAGAGAGGCATATATTTATATTTTGGTAACACCCCCTCAGAAGCTGGGCCAGCAGTATAAAACCAAACATACTAATATTTCCTCTGAAAAAAAAATAGAGATTCACCTAAGTAGAATAAATCATGGCCAAGGATAGCCTCACATGAATTCAGGGCATGTTTTGCCACCTAATGAGTTCAGGTTAGGTTAAACTTTGTTGCCAAATACATTATGGAAAAAAAAATTTGGTTGGTTTTCAGACCTTTTGCATGTCGAAATTTTAGCAAAAAGATTAAAATGCCCAGGGTACTATAACACACACATGTACATATATAATACACATTTTAAAACACTATCAACAGCGCAATATGTTTTATGGCAACATGCATATTTAGGCATTTATAAAAACCACTCATGGGACTGATTATTGCCAAGTTGAGTTGAGAGTTTACTTCTGAGGAGTGAAAGAAATGGTATCAATGAAGGGGACCGGGAGACTTCAATTGTATTTGAAATATTTTGCTGTTGTTGTGTAAATAAGGAGAAGGTGGGGTAGATCTTTTTACAAACTATGCTACTTAAGAAACAAGAATTTAACCAGATGGAAAAAGTGGGAAAGGATATTCCAGACAGAGAAAAAAGTCTACAAAAGTTTCTGAAGTCCACAAAAGGATGACAGACAAGACTACAGATGGCTCCGTGGGTGGAAAATAGGCTTCTCATTGGGTGAGGGGAGATGGTGGGAGACGAGGCTTGAGCTGATAAAGAAGTTAGCAGTACATCCTGTAGGTGGTGGGGAGCCAGGAATGGCATAATCAAATTTGTGTTCTAACAACCCTGCTGGTGGCCTCATAGTGGATGGATTGTACAGATACAGATTAGAGACAGCTACTGCTACGCACCTGTGTGTGGCAAACTCTTTTTATTTACATCATCCTTTTTAGATCTCCCCAGGTCAAGAAGATCAGTATTTATTTCTCCAGTTTGAGAAGAGAAAAACTGAAGCTCAAAGGCCTCATAATTTGTTCAGAGTTGTCCAGAGGAAGCAAGCAAATTGAGATATTCTGAATTGCTCCATTGAATGTTCTGCCTTCTCTCCCAACAAATGCCATCCAACAGGATGGCAAAGAAGGACCTTGGAATGCCTCTGAGATACGTTCCTGATATTGAGAAAAGATGGTTTGTTTTTTTCCCAAAAATGTGACCCCAAAGATTGCATTGTTGAAAAGTTTGGATAGGAAACTTGTGAAATATGCAAGCTCTTTTTACAGAGCTCTCCCAGGTGGTAAGATCTTAGCCGGGCGCAGAGGCTCACGCCTGTAATCCCAGCACTTTGGGAGGCCGAGGCGGGCGGATCACGAGGTCAGGAGATCGAGACCACGGTGAAACCCCGTCTCTACTAAAAATACAAAAAAAATTAGCCAGGGGCAGTGGCGGGGCGCCTGTAGTCCCAGCTACTCGGGAGGCTGAGGCAGGAGAATGGCGTGAACCCAGGAGGCAGAGCTTGTAGTGAGCCGAGATCACACCACTGGACTTCAGCCTGGGCGACAGAGCGAGACTCCGTCTCAAAAAAAAAAAAAAGATCATGGGTGCATGGTAGAATCTGATCCTGGGCATAAAGTAATCTGATCTCCCTCTTTAGGCAAAGGGAAAAGCCAAGCTCAGAGGGAGGAAGGAATGACCCTCAGAGGTCACAGAAAGGAAGACGCCAAGTTGTATTTTACTTTACTCCCAAGTACAGGATTCCTTGCCAATCTTCTTCCATTGTGAATAGAAGGAGGCTTTTAGGTAAAGAAAAAAGGTTGATGAAACATAAACTTTTATTAGATAAAAAAAAATGACATCAGAGGAAGCTGCAGAAAAAGTTATTAAGAAGAGCAGAAAGGACCCCTTACTTCAGTTAATAAATTTTAAAATCAGGAGTTCATAAAAGAGATTATATGTGTGCATGAGGACAAACAGCTCTCTGAGTGTGAGTAGGGCAGATTCAAACCCAGCAGAAGCCTGATATGTATTCTTCTGAGACTTCTTGTAAACAAAAATAAGTTGGAAAATATATCACCATTTAAGGATTGAAAGTATCTGAGTGAGGTATAGATTATACATCTTGAGGATAAAGTATATGCTTTTTATAATCACTTAAATTGAATGTATTTACATCAATCATGAGCAATTGACAAATTATGAAGTTTTAATCATAGCTGAAATTTCTCTCTTTAAGAGTTGGGGAATTGTGAGTTTAATTAAAGTCCAAATGATCAGTTTGGTGCATCATATCGAAAATGTCCTACATGTCATTTAGTATTCCTAACAAGCCATATTTCATCAACTTGCAGACTTAGTAATGTACCCTTGAAACTATACATGGAAGTAAACTTTGTGCAGAAAAGGGATGTCTATCAATATCTGTCGCTTATTTTAGGTGAGACACTATGAAATCTAATGGGAAAGAAATTCTTGTCTTTCATTTATTCTTCAGCTCTCTGGGACCTAACTTGCATCTGCCATATTGGAAGGAACAAGAGAGGAACAATATTCGCAGCCCACAAAGCACTTGTAGTTCATGAGGGATATGCTAGTATACAAGGAAAGCACAGTCCAAGAAGCGTTTGATGTCATAGGATGAGCACATAAAATGCTTAAGGTACTTGTTGAGTACCTTGTTACTAAGTGCCAATTATCAGCCCCAGGCCAGCATCACTTTCTTATTGTTCTTCTCTTCCTGAAGTGAGCCTCCACTGCCCAGCCTTTGTAGTTCTTGCCTCCCAAGGTTGGCTGCAGTACTGGGCAAAGCCATTCATTTCCCCTCACCTTTGTTGTCTTTAAAGAGAGCCTTGTATGCTCTTTCACTCACTTTGAAGGCAGTAACAGTGAACAAAAATGGCAAATAGGAGGATGCCACAAAATGATCCCAAATTTCCCTTACCACAAAAGCAAATCTTCAGAAAAAATATTGTTCTCCTTTCTTGAGTTACCTATGTTTCTCACAGAATGTTACGGAGCCTCGTATTCTTACATTCATGAATCTCAAAAAGACCAACAATCTTGTTCATTTAAAGACCTGAAAAAATAACTGGAGTCACATATCCCTACATCCCCAATAATGAAGAGATATTAAGCCTTTCCTCTGGAGAGTATTATAAATAATATTCTTTTATTTATTCAGTTGTACAAAAACATGTTCAAACCATGAAGTTTTAATATCTGCATCGAGCAAAGGTTATTGAGATGGCATAATGTCGAGTTTATATATGAAACCAACACTCTTCTGTGTGTACTCTAGTCCTTAGCAGCCAAGATCTAAATAACTCTCTCCTGTCTTCCACCATGCTTAATGTTTCTTTTTTTTTTTAACTCTCATTTGGTTATCTTTTTTGAATTGCTAATATATTGGTTTGCTCACTTTAGAAAAAGTGTTGCTTAAAAATCCAGGATGGGCCAAGCTCAGTGGCTCATGCCTGTAATCCCAGCACTTTGGGAGGCCGAGGCAGGCGGATCACCTGAGGTCGGGAGTTCGAGACCAGCCTGATCAACATGGCGAAATCCCATCTCTACTAAAAATACAAAATTAGCTAGGTGTGGTGGCACATGCCTGTAATCCCAGCTACTCGGTAGGCTGAGGCAGGAGAATCACTTGAACCTGGGAGGCAGAGGCTGCAGCAAGCCAAGATTGTACCATTGCACTCCAGCCTGGGCAACAGAGTGAGACTCCATCTCAGAAAAGAAAAAAAAAATCCAGAATGGTTGAGCTTCTGTATGTGTTTTGAACAGGTTTGAGATATGCATGTCCTCTATAGATGATGTTATGGATTTCTTTGCATGATTTTCATACCATTGCATTTTGAAATTTTATGAAACCATCTGCTAAAAACAACTGGGTTTAAAGACTCCATCTCTTTTGAAATTGTTCACACAACAGCTTAAATAAGGAGGGGAGAAAGAATGTGGGAAGTTGAATTTGAAGACTCCCTCTTTTAACTGTTCTTTTCTTCTAACCCAGTGTTTATACTATGGATAAGAGAAAAATCTCAAGACACCCAGGTGTGGTTTGGAAACAGTTCCTAGACTTCTTATTTTTTGCAAATTCATTTTAAATATTTGCATGGGACTGTGTCTACTTATTCCCCAGTGCACTGCGGAAGGGAGCTCTAAGATTGGGGAGGGAAATGGGGACAAAGTGAGTATAGAGGAGTGAGGTTTGGGGGAAACCGGGGAGGTTAAGACAAGATGCATCCAACAACTTATGCAGCTGGCTGCACCTAGAAAAGGACAGGTAATGTTAGTGCTCCGCAAGTCCTGGCTTGCTGGGCCTTGAGTTTTTCATTGGCAGAGCTAAGTCTTAGACCTCAATGATAAGCCATAGGGTTGGAGAACAAAACCCCATATATACATAGTCACATTCTTCAGCTAAAAGAATGGATGGATGGATGGATGGATGGATGGATGGATGGATGGATGGACAGGCAGATAGATAGATAGATAGATAGATAGATAGATAGATAGATAGATAGATGATAGATCAATAGATAAGTAGATAGGTGTCTACTTATACATAGTCACATTCTTCAGCTAAATTAGGAGAGATAATGGGATTTTTCCAGAACCGTGGCTATCTTGAATCTCATGTTTCTGGGTCTCACATGTCTCACCATTGGGCCAGCAAGTGAGAATCAGCAAACCCTGACATGGGGGGAAAAACGGCCCCTCCTCAAGGTCATCTCTGTCCTAATTCTCAGAATCTGTGGATACATTACCTTACATAGCAAAAGAGATTTTGCTGATATGATTAAATACATTGAGATGGGAAGATGATTCAGGATTAGCCAAGTGGGCTCAGTATAATGACAATGGCTCCTATAAGAGGGAGGCAGAAAGGTGAGAGAAAAGTAAGAGACATGATGATGGAAGCCAAGGGTGGGAAGGTGACTTGAAGGTAGAAGCAGATCACAGTAATCCCATTGCTGGGAGCAGCCAGAAGTCAAGGTGCATGGTGACTTCCCAAAGCTGGAAAAGACAGGGAGCATATTTCTCCCAGAGTCTCCAGGAGGAACACAGCACTGACACCTGGATTTCACGACTTCAGACCCCAGAACTATAAGATCATAAATTGGCGTTGTTCCATGCCTCCAAGTGTATAGTGATTTGCTGGTGCAGCAGCATGAAACTCATACACCCCCTCTCAAAGTTTTCATTTTGAAGGACTCTTTCTTCAGACGTGAGGTCAGAAACATTTCAATGAATGTAAAGATTTGACCTTATTTATTTTTCACTTTTTGAAATTTTAGTCTCCCTTTTCCTGAAATTGGTTCTTTTTCAAGTGGCATGTTGAAATAACTGTGCACTTCCACACTGTGATGGTTAATTGTAGGCGTCATGTTGACTAGATGAAGAAATACTCAGATAGCCAATAAAGCATTATGTTGGGGTATGACTGCGAGGGTGTTTCTAGAAGAGATTGGCATTCGAATCAGTGGGCTGAGTGAAGAAGATCTTCCCTCAAAGTGGGCGGGCACCATCCAATCAGCTGGGGACCAGAATAAAACAAAAAAGCAGAGGAAAAGTGAATTCTCTTTCTCTCCTGGAGCTGAGACACCCTTCTTCTCTTGGACAATAAAACCCCAAGTTTTCTGGCCTTTGGACTCTGGGACCTATATCATTGTATCATTGGTTCCTTAGTATAATAGACCCCTCTGTATCATTGACCTCTTAGTTTCTCTGACCTTTGGCCTCCCACTGAGAGTTACATCATCAGCTTCCCTGGCTCTGGGGCCTTCAGACTTGAACTGAACCACACTACTGGCTTCTCTATTTCTCTAGCTTGCAGAAGGCCTGTATTGGGAATTTTCAGCCTCCATAATTACATGAGCCAATTCCTCTAATAAATCCCCTCTTATCTATCTATCTATCTTCCACCTGCCTATTTATTTATTGATCAATCTATCGATCTCTCTGCCTGCCTATCTATTGATCTATCTATCAATCTATCTTCCACCTGCCTATCTATCAGTCACCTGCCTTTCTATCCATCTATCTACTTATCTGTTGATCTATCTATGGATCTACCTATCTGCCACCTGCCTGCCTATCTATCTATCTGTCTATCTATCTATCTATCCATCTGACACCTGCATTTCTTTCCACCTGTCTACTTACCTATTGATCTATCAATCAATCTATCTATCTATCTATCATCTATCTGCCTGTCCATTCATCCATCAATCAACCCATCCATCCACCCACCCATCCATTCATCCATCCATCCATCCATCCATCCATCCATCCATCCATCCATCCATCATATTGGTTCTATCTCTGTAGGGAAACTTGACAAAGACACGCAGTAACAATCTGCAGGCCAATGTCACAGGCCAGCATAAGCCCTTACACCTCTGTAAGACCTGGATTAAGATAATCAACTGGATTATCAAAATAACTAATAACTAGAAAAGGGCCCTAAAAATCCTTCATGCTAACCTTTAATATCATCTTGCCTTTTCTGTTCTTAACATGATCCTGCTCTCCTAGTCATCAGAACACACTTGCAAAGTCTGGGCAGCAGGAGTACTTGCCTACTGCTCCACCCCGACCCCACACCATAAGCGACAATGTGGGCAGCATGTGAGGGGAAAAGGAGAGAAATCATCCATTTTGGCTTCTTGCTTAACTATCAGCATCTTGGCTCAAAGCCAATGCATTCAGCTTATAATAATAACTGGCAGCAATCCAGAGCCTTTTAGAAAATAAGAAAGGCAGAAAGTGAATTAAGAAAGGAGAAGAAGAAAAAAAAGAAACCCAAATAGAAAGAAGAGACCCACGAAAAGGAGGCCAACAAAATCATATTGTTGATTTTTCTTTAAAAAAGAGAAAAGAAAAAACCCACACATAGAACATATTTTCTACAACCATCTGTTTTAATCATACTCCATGGCCTGTAATTAAATTTTAGTGAACATCTTACCTTTCCTGCTTTCTAAAATCAGAATGTAAACATATTCAGATTTATCCTGGGTGTCATGAAAATGAAACAACAAAGCAAAAAACCCTCTGAAATGATTTGGGGCATGAGCTTTGTTGGTGCGACTATAGAGAGGGTCCTATGTCCAACCTGGTCTCACCAAACTCAGAAAATCTGCCACACTGATGTGAGATCAGAGAGGCCGTGGGGTGAGAGAAATGACCTGAGTGGCGACCAGGGCCATGGGGCTGGGAGGAATCACATATGCATCAGCTAAGCATCTCTCTCCGCCAGGCACTGAGCTAGGCCCGTGGGAGGCACAGAGTCAAACACCCCTTGCAAGTGCTGCAGGAAGCAGGGATTGCCATCCCCATTTTTCATTTGAGGACAGGGAGGGTTCAAAGGGAAAATGAGTTTTCTATGTCACAGATTCAGCAGACAATGCAGCCGGCAATCACATCCTGCAGAATAAAGCTCTACTCTCACCTAATCTTCAAGTTGACACTCTCAGCATCTTTCAGCCTCACTTGGGTTTTCAGGCTGTTCAGGAAAAATCTTCCTGGGCAATCGAGAAATGGTGCACGGAGTGGCTCTGCTGTGTTGAGTGGAATCAGAAGCCTGCAAACTCAAAATCCCCATGATTTACAGTGTTGAATGCAAATAAACCATCCACCACCCCTTTCCCTTGAGACCCTAAAAACGGGCAATGATCCTATAGTATATAAGTCTGACTATAAGCAGCAAGGTGCATTCTGGAAATGAAGATAAATATGCAAGGGTGGGGGAGAAAAGGAAGGCAAAATAGTGCATTTGGAAGCTATTTGTAATAGCAGCAAAATTTATAGCAAAGGCCAACAGGATCCTGCTCAAGGATTGGTAATTTCCATTTACGTAAAAAGTATCAAAATACCAAGCATTTTCTATTCCCATGCGAAATGACCTCTGGACTTCTAACCTCATAGATCTTTTTAGCTGGATTAGAGGTATGTAGCTCAGGAGGTGAATTACTCTTTGCAGTGAAAGTTTGCAAACTTTATTTCAGTCCTGAGAAAAGGAGATCATAAGAAAATATGGTTGGCCGGGCGCGGTGGCTCACGCCTGTAATCCCAGCACTTTGAGAGGCCGAGACGGGCAGATCACGAGGTCAGGAGATCGAGACCATCCTGGCTAACACGGTGAAACCCCATCTCTACTAAAAATACAAAAAATTAGCTGGGTGTGGTGGCGGGTGCCTGTAGTCCCAGCTACTGGGGAGGCTGAGGCAGGAGAACGGCGTGAACCCAGGAGGCGGAGCTTGCAGTGAGCCAAGATCGTGCCACTGCACTCGGGCCTGGGCGAAAGTGAGAGATTCCGTCTCAAAAAAAAGAAAGAAAATATGGTTGGAAATCTATTGGAGTTGAAGGTCAGTAGGCCACAGCCTGAAGATGCCTGAATGCACATTCAGGGCTTAAGTTTTAGTCCAACTCCCTGCAAATTCCTGGGATGCATTTGGGAAAGTTGCTTCTGCTTTCTAGGCCACAGGCTCCTCTTCTGTTGATGGCTCCTGGAAGGCTGAATGCACACTGGGACACATGCTGCCCACAGAAATGGAAGGGGTGAGAAACTCATTCCTCAGTGTGCCTTTCCACATGCAAGACAGGTGCCCATGTTAAAAATGAGAACTGCCCATCCAGAGCCTAGGGCTTTGAGATGCAGAGGACCTAGATGAGCATGACTTTGTGGAGTGCTGGCTTCGAGAGCACTACTTAGCACACATCAGTTGCAGATTGATTCTCACAACCTCCCTGAGAGATAATTACCAATCATTTTTTAAATGTGAAGACTGAGGCCCAAAGGGGTTAGATGACCTGTCCAATTTCAAAGAGATGTTATGTGACAGAGCTAAAATTTGAAACCCAGAACAGGACTGTCGGGGTCCAGGGTTTTAATTTTAAACTTTGCCTCAAATTGGAAAATAGGGTTTTCTCCACCCTAAGTGATAAATATAAAAACTAAAGCATGGTCGAGCTGGTGGCTCAAGCCTGTAATCCCAGCACTTTGAGAGAACAAGGAGGGACAATTGCTCGAGCCCACGAGTTTGAGACTAGCCTGGGCAACATAGCAAGACCCCCATCTCTATAAAAAATAAAATATTAGCCAGGTGAGGTGGCACACACCTGTAGTCCCAGCTGCAGAACCTCAGGGGCTAAGGTGTGAGGATTGCTTGAGTGTGGGAGGTTGAGGCTCCGGTGAGCAGTGATTGCACCACTGCACTCCAGCCTGTGGGGCAGGGCAAGACCCTGTCACAAAAACAAAACCAACAACAACAACAACAAAAACCAAAGTATATCAAGGTGTAGCCAGCTTCAAAGAGGGAAGGAAGTACTTGCTATCCCACCCACTCAGGTAAAGGACACAGGCCCTGCAGGGGGTCAAGCTCCCATCCGGCCACCAGCTCCCAGTGTGTCTGAAGTGTGAGTTCAGAGGAAGCCTCTGCCTTCTTAGGGTCAGCTTTTTTGCTCTGCTGAGTGGAGCACTTGAAACAGAGGTCCTGGAAAGCCTTGGAACTCAAAGCGTGCGGCTCCCAGAAGCCACAGCATCAGCCTCAGCTGGGAGTGTGAAAACTGCAGAATCCCAGGTCCCAGCCAGACCTGCTGCAGCAGAATCTGCATTTTCACAACATCCCTGGGTAACTCATGTACCTATTAAAGCTTGAGAAGCTCTGTGCTAAAGGTCCTTCCACTTTTCATGTCCCAAGCCTTGGTTTTACATCTCCGGAGCCAACAGAGGGAAGTCTTGGGTGCCAACAGGAAGGAAAAAGGGTGGAAAAGGAGGTTGCAGGAAAAAGGAAGAGGGAACATCTGAGAAATAGTAAAGAGAGAGACAAATAGGGGAGTGAGGGAGAAATAAAAGAAGTTGGAAAGGCAGAGAAAGAATGCCAAGCAAAAGGGGAGGGGAGGGGAGGGAAAAGGAGAGAGCAAGAGAGAAAGGCAGAAAAACAGGAAGAAAAAAGAAAGACCGGCCAGGCATGGTGGCTCAGGCCTGTAATTCCAGCACTTTGGGAGGCCAAGGCCGGCAGATCACCTGAGCTCAGGAGACCAGCCTAGACAACATGACGAAATCCTGTCTCTACCAAAAATGCAACAAGTTAGCCAGTCATGGTGGTGTGTGCCTGTGGTCTCAGCTACTTGGGAGGCTGAGGTGGGAGGATCACTTGAGCCTGGGAGACAGAGGTTACGGTAAGCCAAGATCATACCACTGCAATCTAGCCTGGGTGATAGAGTGAGACCCCCCTCCAAAAAAAAGAAGAAGAGGAAGGAAGGAAGGATGGAAGGAAGGAAAGCAGGCAGGAAGGTAAGGCAAGGCAAGGCAAGGCAAAAGAAAGAAAAAGAGAGAAAGGAAAAAAAAGAGAAAAACCAAGAGAAAAGAGAAGGGAGATAATAAAGAAGAAAGAGAGGCACCCAGGGACTCAGTCAGCTGACGGCTGGAGGAAAAGCAGGTCAGAGAGGTGCCAGAGGATGTCTGGGGCCACGGACAAGGGAAGGCAGCTCCCCAGCCTGTGCTCTGGCGTCCAGGATGGCGACTTCTGTGATCCTTCCAAACAGCTCATTTCTGTTCCAGTTTACTCACTCAGTTGGGTTCTATTGTTAATGAAAAAAATGACCATTGTCCAATCTTTCCACATGCATGCACCCTCTTCTTGGATGTACCCAGTTATAAATTAGCCATTTTCATGATTAATTTTTCCTGGATGACTCATTCTTCAGGAACTCAGCATCAGCCTAGGCTGTGGGAGTTCGATTTCTGTGGTCATCTGCTCTCCAGCATTCTGATGTGAGTTAACCCTTAAGAAATAATGACAGCAGCCTTGATGGGGATCAATGATGCCTCCGTGCCCACAAATCACATTGCAGAGCTCCTGTTAGTTTTTGAAGCCTCACCAGATTCCTGGCTCATGGTTGTAAAGCAGATGGAGGGGTAGGGGGAGCTTTGATGATAATTTTATCTCTTTCTCTTCTTGGTTTCAGAGGCCAGGTATGCAGGTGAGGAAATGTCCCACATTAAACCTTCTTGACATCACCTTGAAAAGGCTAGCAGACTTTTTGCTTATTTATTCTTGAGACAGGTTATTTAATTTTCCTTTTGATGTTCAAACCCTGGAATGGCATTAGGACAAAGGAGAAAGATAGACCTCTGGTCAGTTCTCCTCACTGCTCACAGCCATGAATGGGGGCAGATTTTTGATCCATCATTTACTCAGTTATCTAATAGGAAGAGGGATACTCATCAATGGTCTTGTTGTAAGAATGAGGGATGTATTAGTCCATTTTCATGCTTCTGGTAAAGACATACCCGAAACTGGAAAATTTACAAAAGAAAGAGGTTCAGTGGACTTACAGTTCCACGTGACCGGGGAGGCCTCAAAATCACAGCAGAAGGCAAGGAGTAGGAAGTCATGTCTTACATGGATGGCAACAGGCAAAAAATTGGTACAGGGAAATTCCCATTTTTAAAACCATCCAATCTCATTAGAGATTCACTATCATGAGAGCAGCGCAGGAAAGGCTCGCCCCCATAATTCAATTACCTCCCACCGGGTTCCTCCCATGACACAGGGGAATTGCAGGAGTTAAAATTGAAGATGAGATTTGGGTGGAGACACAGCCAAACCATATCAAGAGAAAATCTGAGTTTTAACTTAGTTAAATTAAAAAAAAAATCCTTGCCAAACTGAATTTTAAATTGAGTAAATGTTTATTGGGGTATTAAAATGTCTTAAGGGAAATTTTGTTTAAAATATTGGAAGTAGTTTTGCCACATAGAAATCTTGGGACATCTTGTGTCTTAAGGCAAAATTCTGGAGTATGAGATTTGTTTTTAAAATATAAAGACACCAGGATAAGAAAATACAGAAATTTTTGTAAATGGTTGCTTTACTTTTAAAACTATGTAATACAGAAAGCCTAAAGGTCTGAAGCATGCTCTATGCAGTTTTCATATTTGTGTGGGGTCTGGTAAAAAGACTCAAATTGTAGACTTCAATCCCTCACATTTAGGATATTTTAATAATCTGATTCAGTTGCAGTGATAAAGCATATTGACCATGGAAGATGATGAGGATAGCCTGGCCCCCACAAATAAGGAAAAATACCTTATTTTCCTGCCCTCAATAGCCCCACCTTCCCATATTGAAGCTCATGTCCTTGGTTCACACCTCCTGACTTTTGCAATAGTGTTTCCCACCTTGAAGTGCTTTTATCTTCTTATACTTGGGAAATGTCCATCTATCCTTCAAGATCTAGCATAAACATCACCTTCTCTGAATGAGGTTGGTTTCTTCCAGTCTAGTCCTGTGAGTTTAGCTTCCCTAGAGCCAGGGACTCTGGTCAATGCTGGGGGAGAACAAAGACCCAAGGTCTTTTAATAGGCTCCAAGGGTTCCAGAGCCTGTAGGCAGCTTGGGGCACTGAGGAAACTCCAGGGCCATCTTCCAGCCTTCTCTTTGTCTGGTAGCTCAGACTCCTTTGAAAAGCAAACATGCCTCCTTCTACTTATTTTGTTTAGGGTCAGAATATTGCCTGGCACATAGTCTGTAATTTTTAATGTTTGTGGAAGCAAGTACTGCAGTAACTTATTTCAAATCCATTCTGTATCTTCAAATCAACTTGGCATGGCTTTTGTTTGTTTGTTTGTTTGTTTAACTGGTTTTGATTGTACCAGGATAGCTGAACCAGATATCAATTACAGATACCAGCTGGGGGAAAAAAAAACAACTCCATCTCCCACCCCCAACTTTTTTAATGCAAATACGATTGTGTGCATATGATTTTAGAATGAATAGAAATGAATTTATCAGCTCCATGTGTTTTCCAAGATAATATGAATGAGGTAGTGTTGAGGACAGGGATATCCTGCAAAGAAGGTTTAACCCCCAATCTCTTGGGCATCTTGTCCATTCAGTTCCCAAAGCCAAATGCTAGTCACAGTTCTTTGGCCATAAATTGAGAGTTATCCCCTTGAAAGCTACGATTCCAGTGGTGTTTTGTGCATGTTGCCTAGTGTGAGATCCAGATAGATCACATTTTCACACTTACCCATCTGCCACCGCCTGCCTCTCAAAAAGCCACTCAGTCATACTCTTTCAAGAGTCCTGGCTGCCACGGGAATGTATTTTGAAAATGAAATAAGAACAAAAGACGAGTGAGCCCCCTCCCCAGCCCGCTCCAGGCAAGGTCAGAGGCAGAGACGAGGCCGTGAGCTTTGGTCCCATGGCTGCCCTTCCCTCTGCTCCTCACAGACGATCTCTGCCTGAGGATAATTTGGAAAGAAACTTTTGCTCCTGCTGGGTTATGGTGGAAGCTATTCACATACTCTAAGAAGAAATCCTGAGTGAGTTGGGTGCCTCACATGAATTGTAATTTTTTGTTTCCATTTGGTTTCAGTAATTATGACTTTGACATTGCCATGCATTCATCAGTGACACTGTGCCTCCTTTGTTCTCTACAACAGGCAAACAGTTGAGAGAAGATGTTCTAGGAGGGGACCTAGGTTCCCAAGGAAGAGAAGGAAGTAAACACAACTCACAGGAGGCGACAGGAAGGGAAGCACCGGAGCTGAAAGCACACGACATTCTGCAACAATAGAATCAGAAACGGGAACTGCTGTTGCTTCTGGGTTCTTGAAACCATGTTAGAATGTGGGGCGACTTGCATTTGTCCCTTTGGCTGAAGTGAGCTTTTATCCTGAATCAAAATCCACAGGCCGGTTTGGTATTGTTGCTATTGTTTTCTTTGCCTTCTTTTTTTTTTTTTTTAATTTTCTTTCCTTTTTTAGTTCTTATAATGCTAAAGCAGAGAATACATGAGTGCACACTAAACAACCAACACACCACAGCTCTTTGCCTCTTGTGTATTTTAGTGAGGCAGTGTTTTAGTGGGCATAGGCTATTTGAGAAAATGCGGGCTTTCAACCCAGAAGTGGGGTCCAGCCCTTGCAGAATCTCCTGTGGAGGAGCTGTGTGACCTGGGCACATGTGGAGCTTCATTTCATTTGTTCATTAGCGACATAGAGGTAATAAGACCGACTTCCTGGCATTGTTGAGCTGATGAGTGAAAAATCAGTCAAGCATGATTACCACAATGGCTGCCACTGGGTAACCTTGCAGAAAGTGGATCTTGCTTTTATCCACATTCTCTTTACTTAAATAAAAATAAAAATACCTTCTGGAAATAGTTTAGTCCATCTATTTAATTAAATGTCCAGGAAGGGAGTAGCTAATATCCACAAGCTCCCTACCTACCTCCATTCCTCTCCTCTCGGTCTGGGAAGAATGTACAGAAGAGGGGTTACACTCTTTCTAATGTCTGGATTCCTATCAAGCACATACAATGCTTAGATTCACGGACAAACTCCCTGAGGTCACAAGTGGTCCCTGCCAGTGTGATTCAGATCATCCCTGCCTAGCCCTGTCATGCTCCGGGTTTCCCTGACACACTTGCTCTCAGGTTCCTGGCCAGATCTTCTATTGGGAGGCACTATTGGAGCTAGAGGGTGAGAAGAAGGGAGAGGGGAGAACACACTTCCCCCTCCCCTTCCCTGAGCAGCTTCAGCAATGGCGGTGTCTCATGCTGACTCCCTGTCCAGCAGATGATCCTCTCTTGATGATCCTGGCTCCCTGGCAGACCCTGTTGTGCCTGCTTCTTGTTTGAAACGACTTCCTCCACCCTCCCTCATGTGTGTTACTAATTTCCATTCTAAATCCCATCCTTTTGAGATGCCTAGAGTGGGTTCTGTTTTTTTGCCTAGACCTTGAATTTTACTGTGAAGATGTATTTGGACATGGACTTGAAACTACGATAAGCCAAAGAAACTCTCTTCATAGTCCCCTCTTTCTACCTCTGTCCGAAGCCACCTGAAAAGCTTTAAGAACATATGGTCACTCTCTTTCACTTTGCTCTGCACATTTGCTTGGGCCTTGCCAGCAGCTGAGAAACCTCGGAATTCTGGAGACATTCAGGATGGAGCCAGAGGTGGGCACATGATCCAGCTGTTCTCATGAGGCTGCTCTGGCTTTTCTGGATCTAGTGTGACTAGGTTTGCTGAAGTGGCAGGTCCTCTACACCTGTAGTTTTGGGTTTGTTTGTTTGTTTTGAGACAGAGTCTTGCTCTATCCCCCAGGAGGGTGTGCAATGGCACAATCTCGGCTCACTGCAACCTCTGACTCCTGAGTTCAAATGATTCTCATGCCTCAGCATCCCGAATAGCTGGGATTACAGGCGTGTGCCACCACACCCAGCTAATTTTTTTATTTTTTTTTTAAGTAGAGACAGGGTTTTGCCATGTTTGCTAGGCTGGTCTCAAACTCCTGGCCTCAAGTGATCTGCCTGCCTCTGCTTCCCAAAGTGCTGGAGTTACAGGAGTGAGCCACAACACCCAGTCCACACCTGTGTTTTGTGTCTCCATCAGAGTCCCTCTGCATCCTCTGGAAATGCTTCCCTCTCATATACTGATGTCAAAAATATCAGCAATCAGAAGATGAGTTCACTTTGAGGAGTGAGGCTAACCAGAGTTGAAAATAAAGCATTTGACAGGCTGAATCTTTGGCCTGACTCTGTTACAACTTGCTTCCTGGCCTTGGATAAGTCATTTCCCCGCTCCAGAAGTACAGATTATTGAAGCAAGAGAAAAGAAACTTAAGAAACCTGAGAAGCACCATGGATGGCTGGATTCCTCATGGGTCCCTGTTTTGCTGTTGCTGCACCAGCTCAGGATCATGATGTATGACTCTGCTTTTGTGACTCAAGTTTTCATGGGGCTATATTTCCCTACCAGCTTGACCATTATAGAAACCAAATGTGACCTGCCATCAGAAAGGCAGTCTTCTTGCTTCACACAGAGCAGATGCAGCCCCAAGTATTCAGAGGAACAAAAGGTTAGAGAAATAGAGTAACGCAAAGTGAGCTGCTTTGGCCCTGTGCTAAATCCTTTGTGAATTTCCTGACTCAGTAACGACTCAAGGCATTTCTATAAGACACGTGAGTGCTTGGTGTTTACAAAGGTAGAGAGAGTCCCTCAGGGTGGTAAAAGGATACACTAAAAGTAAAAGTCACACAGCAATAGAAAGGAGAGATAAACCCTGAGCTGTCTGCCTTCCAATCCCAGCATCTTCCTGCTGTGCCAGGTTCTCACTGGTGTCAAATCTCAGCTCTTCAGTGAGGATACTGTCTGGCATTTAAAAAGCATTCGGTAGCCAGGCACGGTGGCTCACGCCTGTAATCCCAGCACTTTGGGAGGCCAAGGCGGGCAGATCACAAGGTCAGGAAATCGAGACCATCCTGGCTAACACAGTGAAACCCCATCTCTACTAAAAATACAAAAAAAAATTAGCCAGGCATGGTGGCAGGTGCCTGTAGTCCCAGCTACTCACGAGGCTGAGGCAGGAAAATCACTGGAACCCGGGAGGCAGAGGTTGCAGTGAGCCAAGATGATGTCACTGTCACTGAACTCAAGCCTGGGCAACAGAATGAGACACTATCTCAAAAATAAATAAATAAATAAATAAATAAATAAATAAATAAATATTTGCAAAGCAGAAAACAACTATTCCTTGTGGGGAAAAACATCTCTGAAACCTCTTTCAATGTCATTGTTTTCTAATTGAGGAACTGAGCCTAGCTCTGTTCGCAGAGTTTATTTTTATTTTTATTATTTATTTAGAGATGAGGTTTCACTATCTTGCCCAGGCTGGAGTGCAGTGGCTAATCACAGGCATGATCCCACTACTGATCAGCATGGAAGTTTCACCTTCTCCACTTCTGACCTGGGCCAGTTCAGCCCTCCTTAGGTAACCTGGTGGTTCCCTGTTCTCGGGAGGTCACTATATTGATGCTGAACTTAGTGTGGATGCTTAATAAGCATAGCACACTACAGCTCAGAACTCCTGGATTCAAGCAATCTTCCTGCCTCAGCCTCCCAAGTAGTTGGGACTACAGGTGCCTGCCACCACACCTGGCAGAGCTCTTTTTCATTAACAATGTTTTGGACAGGCGGTGCTCCATCCAAAGACTAGAGAAGCATCCCCATTGTGATGGTGGTAGGAGGTGGTCTTCAGGAGGTGATTCAGTGATAAGGGAGAAGCCCTCATCAATAGTATTAGTGCCCACATAAAAGAGGCCCCAGAGAGCTCCCATGTCCCTTTGGCCATGTGAAGACACAGTGAGAAGTCACAATCTCTGAACCAAGAAGCAGGCCGCCAGCATACACCAAATCTACTGGTGCCTTGACCTTGGAGTTTTCAGCCCCAAGAACTGTGAAAAATAAATTCCTGTTATTTATAAGCCACACAGTTTCCAGTACTTTGTTACAGTGTCCCAAACACACTAAGAAAGGGGGCATGCTGAGATCTAGTCAGATTTGCTGAGAAGATTTAAGAAAAGCAATACAATGTTTGCTATAATGAATACAGCAAATGTTACATAAGTAATATGTCTTATTATTATTATATAGGAAACATGTTATTAGTAAAAGAATACTCACAGATATCATCCCTTTCTGATTACACTCAAATAATCCAATCAGTAGCCCCCAAATTTTCTCCTTCCAAAAAGAAAGATGTTAAGGGACATCTTTTTTCCGGAGAGAAAAAAAGATAAGTGGGTCTACATTTTAAGGGCTGAGAGATTTGGGAGAGAATAGAAGGTAGAAAAAGAGTCACATGGACAGGAAACAGATGAGAAGGTGTTTTATTTAGTTTATCACATGAAGATGTGTTTAAGAAGAGTGGCATTGTATGAAAGGCAGGAAGGAAGATGGGGAAAAGGAGATGAAGACGATGTTGGTAAATGTTCTCTGAACTATACTCGGATCACTTTTAATCAGGCACAAGAACATCAAGGAGAGAATAGAAATCTTTTGAATTACTTTTGATTTTTAAACTTCTTGGACACAATGAGACTGCATGAATGAACTCTGTGTGTCCCTTCCAGATAAGAGTTATACTCATTGACCATCATTTTCACGACCTGAACATTTCTGGTAACCGTTTCTGTATATCCTTGCTTTTTTGCCCAGAGAGGGAGAACTCCCTACCTCAAATACCAGCACATTCTCATTTGTCTTTTACTGGAGAACAGGTAGATCCATTGATGTCAAGAGAAATCCTCCTAGGGCTACGGATTAATAGCAATTGGCTCATTCAACCTGGAAAAATAAATCAGCCATACTAACTCAATCCCCTCTTCCCCCATCCCACCCCCCCAAGATTCCTCTGACACAGTTATTTATTGAATAGCCATCAGCTGGCTGTGTTACTCATGGCTGGAGGACTTCAGGGATGGAATGGCAAAGTAGAATTTTGAGGAAACACATTTTAGTAAACAACATCTGGATGAAGCAAAGAAGAGACAGGAATGTGGTCGGGCATCACCCATGCAGTGACAGATTGCATCTTTAATAAGCAAGCACTTAATTAGAAAAGTAATTTGTAAGCGGCATTAACGGAATGTGAGTATTCAACTTTGACCAACACACTTGCATCAGAGCCTAGGCTCTGTCACATATGAGCACGAGGTTTATGTTTACAACCTGATGATGTCCTCCTGTCTGTGACTTCTTAGTACGTACTCATAATAACTGTGCTGATTAGGAGAATAGTATAAAATATTAGCAAGAAATTTAGAGTTTACAACTATCAGCTTCCTCTCCGCTAGCAGTAGGGTAATCAGGAGATGAAGACAGGGACTGGGATATGAGGATGGAGGGGGAACCCCTTACCTGCTATCAGGGTGCATTCTGTAAAGAGAAAAATCACAGCCTTGCCAGAAGGAATTCCTAAGTGTTGTCAGAAAAGGATGCCCCAAATGGGCTGTCAATCAAGGGACAAGATGAATTACAGACACCAAGGAAATGGAACGTAATTCCAGGCTAAGGTGGAATAGCAAGAAGCCACAAGTAAGGAAAGGAAGCCTGGAGGTGATAAGATCCATTGTAGACATGACCTGCCAACATCCTGGAGAAATACTTTATCCTCCCCTAGCTTCCTGGGCTAGGCTAGGGTAAGGCAGCGGTAGTTTCCAATCCCGAATGCAAGGTAGAATATGTTTTTAAAAAACACTGATGCCAGTGCCTTGGATTTTTGTTATTGCTTCCTGGGTGATTCTCATATAGATCCAGACTTGCAAAGTTGCAACCCATCAAGTATCTGAAGTAGCCTGGTACAGAGATGGACAGCAGCTATGGAATCAGCCAGATCTGGGTTTGATGCCACATACTTGTAAAAGAGCAAATATATATATAAATATAATTTGCTTATATATATGTGTTTTTTATATATGCAAATTATATTTATATATAAGCAACCATATTTATATATAAGCAAATACGTATAAGGGTCTGTCTGAGACTTAGTTTTTCCATATGTAACACTGAACAATATTCCCTGCTTAAAACTTGCGTGGGGATTAATGGGACAGCACATGCAAAATTCTGATAGTTACTGCAACTCAATTTTGTACCAGCCTACCCTCCAGTAAAAAATGGCTGTATTAATTCCATAAGGATGTATTAAACACTAAATACATGCTAGGATATTCTCAGATGAATAAGACAAAAATGGTATGCATTACCTAGAATAGTGGTTCTCAGACTTAGCATCCATCATAACCCCCTGGAGGGCCAGTTGAGACAGACTCTGCCAGCCCCACTCCTGAGTTTCTCCTTCAGTGGGCTTGGGGTATAAACCCACAATTAACATTCCTAAGAAATACCCTATTGATCCTGCTGCTACAAGTCGGGGGACTCCACTTTGAGAAGCATCGTCCTAGGAAAGGGCAGACCATTAGAAAGAATAGGCAGTTCGATCAGCGGTTTTGCAAAATGGGATAAGCTCTGTGAATGGGGAATGTTGGGAGGGACTCTAAGGAGCAAAGTGCAAGGAGGAGACAACACTGAACCTAGCTGAGGGAACAGGAATACCAAGGAAGGCCTCCTAGGAAAAGTTCAGGATGAGAAGGAGTTAGGGAGAGAGAGGAGGAAGCGGAAGCGTGTCCAGGTGGAGGGCATTGGCCCCATCAAGAACATGAGGAAGAGCTTCTGTGGGGTGTCTGGGGGCCTGGGGAACTTTCCTATCCTTGGAACATGGACTGGGGGAAATAAGCGATGCTGAAGGCAGACAGGCAGCAGGTGAAGCTGCCGAGGAGTTCATGCTTGTAAGCCACTCATGAGGAGGCAGACGGGAGGCCATGGGGGAGCCAAGGAGGGCATAGAGCAGTCAGCTGTGTAAAGGCCTCCATGTCTGCCCCAGGGGAATTAAACGGGAGACGGAAACTGGAGGAGGCCTTCTGCTCTCGGAGGGCCATTAGGCTGGCTTGATTCAAGCCATTTCACCTTATTAAAAGGGATTGGCTTTACAGAAAAGGTAAAGGCTCTAGTCCACCTACAAGGAAACTTACATTACAAAAGAGGGACTCCTTCTGAGTCTCAGGACCTCAAAAACTTCATGGACAATTTCTGAGAAGTTGGAGAGAGAAGCCTGGAAGGGAAGCCGGAGACAGCACATGGAGTCGGCCCCCTTTACTACCTGTGGATACCACATCCATGGATTCAACCACTTGCAGATCAAAATTATCCAAAAAATGACACCTGTACTGAGCAGGTACAGGCCTTTTTTTCTTGTCATTTTTCCCTAAGCATTGTAAATGATTTACATACCATTTATATTATATTAAGTATTATAAGTAATCTAGAGGTAATTTAAAGTACATCATATGAAAGAATGTGTGTAGGTTATATGCAAATACTACACCTTTTCATATCAGAGGCTTAAGCACCTGAGGATTTTGGTTCCAAGGTAAACCCAGGGACAACTATCTTCTAGTCCCACATGGAAGGTTGATGTATTAGTGTCCTATTGCTATGGTAAGTGATACCATGCTATGGTAAGTGATACCACAAACTTAGGGGCTAACAAACAACACAAGCGTATTTTCTTACAATTCTGAATGTCAAGAATCCTAATATCAATGTGCCACAGGACTTCATTTCTTCTGAAGGTTCAGGGAATAATCCGTTTCCTTGACCTCTCCAACCTCCAGAGGCTGCCCACACTCCTTGGCTCACGGTCTCCTCTTGGCAATTGCATCACTCTGACCTCTGACCTCTTCTTCTGACATCACCCCACGTCATCTTTTCATAAAGACTCTTGTGATGACATTAGGCCCACTGGATAATCTGGGATCATCTTCCCATCTCCAGATCCTTCAGTTAATCACATCTGCAAAGTCCCTTTGCTAGTATGATAACATATTTACAAGCTGCAGAAATTAGGACAAGGACAAATTTAGGAGCCACTCTTCTGCCTATCACAGGGCAAAATGGTACATGGGTGATGATTTGAGAGCACAGTTTGCAACAGAAATTAAGATGACAAGGCTAAGAATACTAGATTAGGAAAAAATACGTATAACATAAAGTGAAGTCCCTTCTGTGACCTTCTCAAATAGTAAAGTAACTTATTAGGACAGAATTTAGTCAGTCTTCTCTGCAATGACCAATGGACTGATTTTATTTCTCCTTCACTTATTTGATGCTTTAAAGCCCAGCTTTTCTTTCTTCCTTTCTTCCTTTTTTCTTTCCTGCCTGCCTGCCTTCCTTTCCTTCCTTCCTTCCCTCCTTCCACTTTCCCTTCCTTCCTTTCTTCCATTTTTCTTTCCTTCCTTTCTTCTATTTTTCCTTCCTCCCTCCCTTCCTTCCTTCTTTCCTTCCATTTTTCCTTCCTTTTCAGATACTCTTTCAGTTAGTTCTGATGTCAAGGCTTTAGAAGCCGTACACAAATAGCTATGTGACAGGACCTAAGATGACAAACTTATTTTTCAATAGTATAAAATGTTTTGGAAATTCCCTGCAGCATCCAAACTTTTACTTGCATTAAAAAAGAAACTGAAATTGTAGATTTTATCTTTTCATTTTCTTCTCTACATTGGTCTCTTACTTTTAGAGTTCACTTTCACGTAGCTTTAAAAAACTTATTTTTTTCCATTGGAAATTATCTCCACATTTACTAAGTAATTAGTATCTTTTATATTTGTGGCTTACGTTAGTGAGGTTGTGTACATGTATTTAACGTCTGAAAACAATTATCTTCATGCAGGATTTTGATGTATCCCCATGGTTAAATTTCATGTGAAATGTTTTTCCACTCCTAAAATAATTTTGCTAAAGAAAACAAAACACTACTCTTTTCTTGTAATTCAGAAGTGCTTTGCAATGCATGACATGAGTGAGGCAATGAAATTAGGTTATTATAAATTCTTAAAATTTTGAAGCAAATATGCACTTCTATATGCTCAATGTTATTCTCTTCTATCAAAATCTTTCTGGAGTCTAAAAGTGCATTAAATCCATTTGTGGACAGTTTGAGAATTTCATTTCTCTGCAAGCTAATGGGAAAGAATATACAGGTGTTGAGAACATAGGATTTCTTGAACAAATGTGAGATTCTCAACAGGAATGCACACACAGAAGAAGTGCAAAGACAGAGAGATGGTTCATTATGGCATACAACTTTGCTCCAAATGTGGATGTCATCTCTGATGAGAGAATTTGGGACCAAGCAGGCTTGACTTTTCACCAGGCTAAACATGCCTGAATGAAATCCATCTAAGTGGTTTTCTTGTCTCCTTTTACCTAAACTTAATAGTAAGTCCCAGATCTCGCCACCATGAGTATATGAAGTTTTCTCTATAATAGAGCAGCGGATGAAAAGAAAATAAGGCATTTGACTCCATTCAGGGTTATTTATACACTTTCCCATAGACTAAACTCCTGGATAATGTGGCATCATCAGTATCTTTGACTTTAACCAAGACTTAATGACACTCACCCTTGGAAAAAGAGACCAGTGCACCAAGGAATGGAGACTGTGCGCTTCCTTTGGCAGATGAATCATTGTGAATGCTAAAAAATTCAGGACTTTCACTAACCAAATTTAAATTTTTGTGGGGTCTGAGTGTTTATACTAAAGTCAGTTCTAAGTTCCCCATTAGAATACATGTTTTAGGTAATTATAATTAATATCAAATCCCAACTCATTTTAATGATAAATACCATAGATGAAATGCCATTTCTAAGATGGTAGGTTGAGCATATATTGAAATCTCACTTTCATGTCCCAAAACATATTACAGAAAAGATACAATAAAAATAATTAAATATGTAAACAAATAAGGTCTGAAATAAGAAAGAGACATTTCTGCAGTCCAGGTATGAAACTATCTTTTCAAAGAGAGAGAGAAAGTAAGGGTCATTGTCATGAGTAGGGAGTAGAGACATGAAGCCTGGACTCAGGATGAGAAGAGCTTGGCAGGATGGGAGAGGGAGGGAAGGGGCAGGGCATCTGGACCCAGGGTAGAAAGAGGGCTGGACTGAAGCTGCTACCTATGGCTGGCATGTTCCTATTTGTGCTTCCTGAGATAATCTGAAGATGGACAGGTGCTTCTTGATGGTGAAGAATGTTTATGAAGATTGTCTTGGGAGGACTCCCAAGGCAGAGCTGTTTGTCATTGCCAAGAGCTCATTGCCCACTCCCACCCCCAAAATCTCAGTCTTCAAATCATATCGTTTGTGGGAGGCTGAAGTAAGGGGTCTATGGCAAATGCCACTGTTGAAGGACAGGAAACACACATGGGGTCACCCTCTTGGTCTAGGGTTGGTGGTGCCTCCCCTTAGAATATATGAGTGGAGGGCTATGCTCAGCCCTGGTCCTCTGGCACATATTAAAATGTTGGAATGCCCCAAAACCAGTTCCTCAGTTCCTACATCTACAGTGTGCTTTTTTTTTTTTTTTACAGTGGGATTACATTTTGTAATCCCATCCAGACACCTGACTTTAAATGCCAACTATTTGTTAATAATCTCCAAAGTTACATTTCTGGGCTTCCCACACCATCAAACACCTAATGTGCATACACACTGCTGATCTGACACAGTGTGATGTCTCAAAGACATCTCAAACCTAACTTGCCAAAGCAGGACTCGGAGCTTCCCACCCCAACTCAATCTTCCCTTCCTGGTCAATAGTATCCATTCACTTACTGAAGCCTAAAATCTAGTAGTCATGTTTTCTTCTTTTCATTTTCTAGCTCTCTAATCCATCAGCACATGTTGCCAACCCTACCTTCAAATTATATTTCAGGTCCACCACCCTTTCTCCATTTCTACTGTTATCAATTTAGTCCAGACCTCAGTTGCTTCCTGCTGGGCCCTACTGCAATCAGTTCCTAGCTAGTCTTACTAGACTCCATTGCCATCCTTTCTCCATACACCATCCAGAAAGATATTTTTTGAAGACATAAATCACAGTGTATCACTGTCCTATTTAAACCCTTTAAAAGCTTGCTATTGTGGTAAGAGTGGTATCCACATTCCTTGCCATGCACCACATGGCCCTAACAGACCTGGCCTTTGCCTTTCTTTCTAAATGTACCTTCTTGCTCATGATGATGCTGTATCCACATTAGATTTCTTTTCTTTTCTTTCTTCTTTTTATTTCTTTCTCTTTCTTTCTCTTTCTCTCTTTCTCTCTTTTTTCCTTCTTCCTTCCTTCCCTCCCTCCCTCTCTCCCTCCCTTCCTCCCTTCCTTCCTTCCTTTCCTTCTTTTCCTCTCTTTCTTTCTTCCTTTCTGTCTTTCTTTTCTTTCTTTCCTTTCTTTCCTTTCTTTCTCTCTCTCTCTCTTTCTTTCTTTCTTTCTTCCTTCCTTCCTTCCTTCCTTCCTTCCTTCCTTCCTTCCTGTCTGTCTGTCTTTCTTTCTTTCTTTCTTTCTTTCTTTCTTTCTTTCTTTCTTTCTTTCTTTCTTTCTTTCTTTCTTTCTCTCCTGACAGAGTCTAGCTCTGTCTCCCAGGCTGGAGTGCAGTGGCCCAGCATTGGTTCACTGAAACCTCCACCTCTCAGCTTCAAGTGATTGTCTTGCCTCACCTTCCCTGGTGGCTGGGATTTCAGGCATGTATCAACATGCCTGGATCATTTTTATTTTTCATAGAGACGGGGTTTCAGCATGTTGGTCAGGCTGGTCTTGAACTCCTGGCCTCAAGTGATCCACCTTCCTTGGCCTCCCAAAGTACTGGGATTATAGACATGAGCCATTGTGCCCAGCCCTAGATTTCTTTCTTTCTCTCTCCCTATCTTTTTTAATATGGCACACCTATGCCTTTGTAGAATTTTTGTAATTACTATTCACCCTGATTAAAAAGCTTAGTTTCCAGATGTCCCTGTACTTGACTCTTTCTTATTACAAAGGTCTCAGAAACAGAAAAGAACATCATCTGCCTAAGTAAGGACCTTCTGGATCAACCACCCTAAACAGTCACCCTCTGTTAAATCACCTTGCTTTATTTTCTTCTTATCAAATTTCACTTCTTGGCATTACCTTCGTAATTCATTGTATTTACTTGTTTATTATGTTTCTCTCTTCAATGGAATACAGGGTCCACAGAGCAGGAGACTTCTTGCATGTTTTATCCACCGTAAAGGTCCCAGGACATTGAACTAGGGTGATGCACTCATTCTGATTTGACTAGGACTTTCTTGGTCTTAGCACTGAAAGTTCCATGTCCAGAGAAACCCTTTAGTACTGTACTAGTACTGACACTAGCACAAATGGCTGCCCTACATTGAATCGCACAGAATAGGTATTCAGTAAACACCAGTCCTTATGTATTTCCAAGATGAGAGTGCATTATGATTTCATAACTAAGAAGGCACCTGCAGATGATGAAAGTCACGTCAGACAAACTTACTTAACAAACATATTCTTAAAGAGGGAAAAGGAAGAGAGAGCACCATAAAATAAGAAGATGATGTCAAGAAACAAGAGCATGCATTTGCAGAGAAGAACCAGTTAGCATTCTTGAGAAAGAAAAGATAATTAGTGGGGAAATGCCCTCCATAGCTGAGTTGAATAGCAGCTTGGAAGCACAGGAACTGTGAAACAGTTACTGGGAGACAAAGCTTAGGAAACATCCAGAATGCAGCATAAATAAGTGAAGAAATAGAAAATAGGAAAGAAAATTTAAGAGGTATGTGGCATAGATCTAGAAACTCTACATGTCACCTGGAAGAAATTCTAGATAGAGAAAACAGAGAGTAAAGACAATGGTGGAGAGCAATATTTTGAATGAACGTGGATGAGGTTTCCGAAAATTTAAAAAATCAACACATCAAACAAAAATGAAGTTTGAAAAGCTTCAAGTGAGAAAAGATAAATCATATAATAAGTAATGATAATTGAACAGACATCAGGTTTTCCATTTACAGCACAGGATGCTAGAAGTTATGAGAATGTTGTTTACAAAATACTAAAGGAAAATACCTTTGAACTCAAAACTTCACACTAGCCATGTAATAGGGGAAGAAGGACGGTGATGTACAGACATTTGTCTGATGTGCAGGGTCTTAGAGAATTTACCACCTGCAGAATCTCACTTTTTTTTTTTTCTTTTGAGCCTCGGTCTGTCACCCAGACTGGAGTTCAGTGGCGCGATCTTGGCTCACTGCATCCTCTGCCTTCCAAGTTCAAGCAATTCTCTGCCTCAACCTCCCAAGTAGCTGGGATTACAGGTGCCTGCCACCACGCCCAGCTAATTTTTGTATTTTTAGTAGAGATGGGGTTTCACCATCTTGGCCAGGCTGGTCGTGAACTCCTGACCTCGTGATCCACCCGTCTCGGCCTCCCAAAGTGCTGAGATAACAGGCGTGAGCCACCGTGCCCGGCCAATTTTTTTTTTTAATCTTAATGGATATACACTAACAAGAAGATAAATGGAGTGATATAAGAAAGGATAAGAAATAATGGAGGATAAGGAAATCTGTAATAAAAATAATTCTAAACAATAAGAAGAATAATACAGTGGAAGCTTTCCTATATACAAATATAAGACTAGTAGGCAAAAAAGAAAATAACAATAATGTATCAATGACACAAGTTTTTATTTTCATTAAAATAAATTTATTTTTATTTAAACTTTATACCTTCAATGATGGAGTCATTGACTTTTTGAGGCTTTTCAGTTTG